>NC_000005.10:76359807-77609807 GCF_000001405.40 Homo sapiens | reverse complement strand
CTCCGTCCAGCTTTGTTCCGTTGCTGGTGAGGAACTGTGTTCCTTTGGAGGAGGAGAGGCGCTCTGCTTTTTAGAGTTTCCAGTTTTTCTGCTCTGTTTTTTCCCCATCTTTGTGGTTTTATCTACTTTTGGTCTTTGATGATGGTGATGTACAGATGGGTTTTTGGTGTGGATGTCCTTTCTGTTTGTTAGTTTTCCTTCTAACAGACAGGACTGTCAGCTGTAGGTCTGTTGGAGTTTGCTAGAGGTCCACTCCAGACCCTGTTTGCCTGGGTATCAGCAGCAGTGGCTGCAGAACAGCGGATTTTCGTGAACTGTGAATGCTGCTGTCCAGTCGTTCCTCTGGAAGTTTTGTCTCAGAGGAGTACCTGGCCGTGTGAGGTGTCAGTCTGCCCCTACTGGGGGGTGCCTCCCAGTTAGGCTGCTCAGGGGTCAGGGGTCGGGGACCCACTTGAGGAGGCAGTCTGCCCGTTCTCAGATCTCCAGCTGCGTGCTGGGAGAACCACTGCTCTCTTCAAAGCTGTCAGATAGGGACATTTAAGTCTGCAGAGGTTACTGCTGTCTTTTTGTTTGTCTGTGCCCTGCCCCCAGAGGTGGAGCCTACAGATGCAGGCAGGCCTCCTTGTGCTGTGGTGGGCTCCACCCAGTTGGAGCTTCCCAGCTGCTTTGTTTACCTAAGCAAGCCTGGGCAATGTCGGGTGCCCCTCCCCCAGCCTCGCTGCTGCCTTGCAGTTTGATCTCAGACTGCTGTGCTAGCAATCAGCGAGACTCCGTGGGCATAGGACCCTCCGAGCCAGGTGCGGGATATAATCTCCCGGTGCGCCGTTTTTTAAGCCCGTCGGAAAAGCGCAGTATTCGGGTGGGAGTGACCCGATTTTCCAGGTGCCGTCTGTCACCCCTTTCTTTGACTAGGAAAGGGAACTCCCTGTCCCCTTGTGCTTCCCGAGTGAGGCAATGCCTCGCCCTGCTTCGGCTTGCGCACGGTGCACTGCACCCCTGTCCTGCGCCCACTGTCTGGCACTCCCTAGTGAGATGAACCCGGTACCTCAGATGGAAATGCAGAAATCACCCATCTTCTGCGTCACTCACGCTGGGAGCTGTAGACCAGAGCCGTTCCTATTTGGCCTTCTTGCGAAATCTGTAACCTCCACATTTCTTTTAAATGGAATTAGGTACAGAAGAGCACCATCCAATAAAACTTTTGCAGTGATGGAAATGTTCTGTATATGCACTATCTAATGACTACATGTGGCTTTTAGGTACTTGAAATGTGGCTGTTGTGATGAAGAAGCTGGTTTTTTTATTTTACTTTTTAAATTTAAATATCTACATGGGACATAGTAACTGTTAGGTACTGAAGCCTCTACAGGCTTAATCAGAATTAGGCCCAATGTTTTTGGGCATGAATACTTCATAGATTCACATCAGGAGGCATGTAATGTTTGCTTTTCCTACTTCCAGGGATCTAATGTTGAAGTGGTAACAGCTTGATCTCCAATGTAACAATTCCCTATCAACATTTTACAATGGAATATTATTCGGCCTTAAAAAGAAGGAAATTCTGACACATGCTACAACATAGATGAACCTTGAGGACATTCTGCTGTATGAAATAGGTCATCTCAAAAGGATAAATACTGTATGATTCCACTTACATTAAGTACCTGGAGCAGTCAAATTTATAGAGACAGAAAGTAGAATAGTGATTGCCAGGGTTTGTAGGGGGAGAATCGGGAGTTATTGTTTAATGGGTGAGTTTCAATTTTGCAAGAGAAAAGAGGTTGTGGATGGCTGCCATTGAACTGTATGCTTAAAAATACATAAGGTGGTAAATTTTATTTTATGCATATTTTACCACATAAAAAAGTAGTTCTATAAAGTTTCATGTGGGCAAAAGCCTGATTGGAGTACATTTAAATGAGAATGGAAGGAGTAGAATTAGAGAATATAAATATAGGCAATTATTTGAAAACTTAAAATGTATACAAAGTCAGCAAAAAGTATTTTAAAATCCACTTATATGCTACTTAAAGATAAGCATATACTTTAAAAGTTATTTTATATATTTTCCACATGTATGTGTATATTATTAAAGAAATTTACATCATTTAAAAAATCCATAGGGAATATTTCCCCCTCTTCATTATCCTGAGACACCTTAAATGTGTTTAAACCACACTTATCTTGGAATGACATATCTAGAAGAATCATACAGAGGATCTAGATTAAACTAGAGGAGGACACAGGGTCCAGAGGTTGTGTTTACTCAAGGTAAGTAGCAGTAGACCTGGCAGAATGCCTATCCAATTTGATGTTCTTATCACTGCACCCAGCTGCTTCTAGTGACCCTCTTGAAAACTCGTTCTACCTCTTGCTTTCCCTGTATCTTTCAGTGTCCTCATTGTTCATCTAGCTACCAGGCTTAAAATATGGAAATAGTCATTAATTTCTATTCTCCCTTCTTCTTCTGTCTCACATCTAATAACTTAAGTCCTGTGGAAGTTTTCTTTGTAGCATCTATCACACCTTCCTCTATTTCCTCATTTTAGTGATGCTACAATTGATCAGTGGGTTCAAGTGTTGATAGCCTTACCTTCATTGTTCAGTTCCATATGAACTTTTTATCTAATAATAGTTTGATCTAATATCTAATAATAGTTTGATAATATTACTCTTATCCTAATTCAGAGCCTTATTGTTTTTTGCTCATCCTCCTGAGCTTTTTGCTTTTCTCTCCATGTGTACTACTGCTTGGTTTGTCTTCTTAATCTATCCTTCTAATCCTGTTTGTGTCTTACTCAAAAACTTCTCCATGGCCTTCCCACAGAAGTCACAGTTTGGTAGTATGTGACCTGCAAACTTATCTTGAGTTACTGGCAAAGTGCTTTTTTTTTTTTTTTTTCTTTTTCATTGAATGCTTTGGGGCAAGGCATGACCTCACCCCAAGCCTCATGATATCCCATTGCTTTTTTTAAACTTTCTTTTCTTTTTCTTTTCTTTTCTTTGTGACAGGGTCTCACTCTTCCATGTAGGCTGGAATGCAGTGGCACAATCATGGCTTGGTGCAGCCTCAAACTCCTGGTCTCAAGTGATCATCCCTCCTCAGCCTCCTGAGTAGCTGGGACTACTGGTGTGTGCTACCACACCTGGATAATTTTTTCATTGTTTGTAGAGACAGGGTCTTACTGTGTTGCTCAGGCTGGTCTTGAACTCCTGGCCTCAAGTGATCCTCCCTCCTTGGCCTCTCAAAGTGCTGGGATTACAGCCACCACACCCAGCCTCTATTACATTTATCTAGCTCAGCCACTCCAGTCATTTACACTTCCTGTTTGTTCCTGTATCCATTTGAGTTGGCCATCTTTCCTGATATTTAGCATGGTGTTCAATGCACTAAATAATGTCTGCACTCTATTTTCCCAACTTTCTTTCCTCCCCTGTAGGAAGCCTTTTTTCTTTTCTTACCCTACCTCTCCTTTTCTCACCTCTTACCCTCATCCCAATACCTTGCAATCAGCTTATCAGACACCTTATGACCAGTTTCTGGCTCCATGCGTTAAATGAATGGATGGATGAGGTTTTCTGGCACTAGTTAGGCTCGTATAATCTCTGTCTTCGAGGAACTCATAGACTATGCAAAAGATTGGTGTGTAAACAGCTAATTTTGATAGCAGATAAAAAAGGGTAGTTGTAAAGAGGGATGAATTCTGCTTGGAAGGTATAAAAGGCAAATTCTGCTTGGGAGGGCCACATCTTCTAGCTTTCCCTAACTGCTCCAAATCATTGACTTCTTTCTTTGTTCTTTGACCATACCATTTCTTAACATATACATGCACACTTTTTTTTCATTCTTTATATTTCCAAAATTAGATGCCAGTCTTCTTGAGAACAGTAATCACATTTGTATTTTATTTACCTATATCCTTCCATGATATAGGTATAAAGGTATAGGTATAAAGTCTATCAGTCAAAGTTTTTTTACCTATCATATTTTTTTTAAGCACAAAGGGTTATTTGACAGATAATGGAGACTCACAGAAATGACAGGAGGCCCAAGGAACAGGCTTAGAAAATGGGCAGGAACCACGAGGGCCCTAGAGACTAGGCAGCCTTAACAATCTGGCCAGCCAGCTGCTGTGTCTGTGGATACTGCCATCCTCATGCATTCCTCCATCAACCAGTCCTATCTGAGCCTTTGTCTTTGGGTCATTCTCCCAAACTCCAGAGTTCTAAGCAGCTCTGCCCTTCAGGGAGTACAGAAACAAAGGATCTGTCCCTTTTGGTCCCGTAGAGCAAAGCCTCTCACAAGACTGTACACAAAATGGATTCCTCTAAATAGGAAGAGGATTTGATATTGGGCAACTTCCACCACACACCACTCCCAGAGGGAAACAACAACAAAATACCCACTACTAATGAATAAAGAGTGTATGTAACCCCTGCTTTGGGAAATCTGGCAGAGAAGTGATTTATGGTGAGAATCCTTGGGCATGTGGAGTGGTAGGGAGAAGGTCAGTGGTGAAGGCTTTGAGAATTTAGGGCAGACAACAGTAAGGAGCAGACAGAATGTGTGCTAACACAGCAGAAGCAGAAAACTGTCCAGGTCAGACGAGGATCCCAAGGACAATCTTCATCATTTTATTTAGGGCTGGTTCAATCAGTAGCATTTTTGGCAGCTCATTAGGAGGTAAAAGTTGACTCAACAATTTGGAGAGGGTAGAATGGTTAACAATTAAAATATAAAAGAGTCTATAGTAGAAAGCCTTCCTCCCACCTCTGCCCCCATACCGAAATTCTCCTTCTTAACAGGTAGTCATTGTTATGTTTCCTGTGTATCCTAGAGATTTTTAAAAAATGCATTAAGAACCAATTTGATTATATGTTCTTTCCCCTTTTAGTGCACAAATGGTAACATTCTGTTTCCCTGTTCTGTACACTACTTTTTTCATATAGTGTACATTGGAGAGATTTCTACCTCAGTACATAAAGAGCTTTCTCATTTTTTTTAAAGTTATGTAGTATTTCATGTATGGATGCAATATAATCACTTGAGTCCCCTATTGGTGATCATTTAGGTCGGTTTTGGTCTTTTCCTATTATAATTATGCTGTAGTGAATAATGAACATTTATCATTTCATGTGCCTGAATATATTCATTGGATAATTTCTAGAAGTAGAGTTGCTAGATCAAAGACTTTTCCATTTTTAATTTTATAGATAATGTCAAAACATCCTCCACAAGGGCTTAACAACTTAAGGACAAAACGTCCTCCACAAGTGCTTAACAAGCCCTAATAGCAATTTATGAGAATGCCAGTTTGCTTAAGACTGAGGATGACTTTTAAAGATTGAGCCTTGAAAGACTATATTTTCAGAGATCATTTCTTAGTTTATTACTAGAGAAGTTTCTCTGAGCATGTAAAGCACCAGAACTAGCTGAGAAAGAAATCAAGAAGGCAATTCCATTTACAGTAGCTAAAAACAAAACAAAACAAAGGCAGGAATAAATTTAACCAAGGAGGTGAAAGACCTCTACAGGGAAAACTACAAAACACTGATGAAAGAAATGGATGAGGATATAAACAAGTGGAAAGACATCCCACAGTTATGGATTGGAAGAATTACTATAATTAAAATAACCATACTGTCTAAAGAAATCTTCAGATTCAATGCAATCCGTATCAAAATAGCAATGTCATTTTTCACAGAAATAGAAAAAAAATCCTAAAATTCATATGGAACCAGAAAAGAGCCTGAATAGCCAAAGCGATCTTGAGGGAAAAAGAACAAAGCTGGAGCCATCACACTACCTGACTCAAAAATATATTGCAAAGCTCTATTAATCAGAACAGCATGGTATTGGTATAAAAACAGACATATACACCAATGTAACAGAATAGAGAATCCAGAAATAAATCCACATATTTATAACCAACTAATTTTTGACAAGGGTGCCAGAAACATGCACTGGGGAAAGGACACCCTCTTCAATAAATGGTACTAAGAAAACTGGATATCCACATGCAGAAGAATCAAACTGGACTCCTGTTTCTTATTATATACAAAAGTCAACTCAAGATGGATTAAAGACTTAAACATAAGGCCTAAAACTATAAAACTACTGGAAGAAAACATAGAGCAAACACCTCAAGACATTGGTCTAGGCAAAGATTTTATAGCTAAGACTTCAAAAGCACAGACAACTAAAACATAGACAAATAGAACTATATTAAACTATTATGAAAAGCTTCTGCATAGCAACAGAAACAATCAACAGTGAAGAGACAACCTGTTGGATGGGATAAAATATTTGCAAACTATGCATCTGAGAGGAAACTAATGTCCAACACATACAAGAAACTCAAACAGCTCAATAGTAAAAACCAAAAACCATATAATCCCCATTGAAAAGTGGGCAAAGGACATGAATAGACATTTCTCAAAAGAAGTCATACAAATGTCCAACAGGTATATGAAAAAATGCTCAACATCATTAATCATCAGGGAAATGCAAATGAAAACCACAATGAGATATCATCTCACCCAGTTAGAATGGCTGTTATTAAAAAGACAAGGGCTGGGCGCAGTGGCTCATGCCTGTAATCCCAGCACTTTGGGAGGCCAAGGCAGGGGGATCACGAGGTCAGGAGATCGAGACCATCCTGGCTAACTTGGTGAAATCCCGTCTCTAATAAAAATACAAAAATTAGCTGGGCATGGTGGTGGGCGCCTGTAGTCCCAGCTACTCGGGAGGCTGAGGCAGGAAAATGGCATGAACCCAGGGAGCTGAGCTTGCAGGAGTCGAGATTGAGCCACTGCACTCTAGCCTGGGCCACAGAGCGAGACTCCACCTCAAAAAAAAAAAAAAAAGACAAAAAAATAACAGATGCTGGTGAGGATGCAAAGAAAAGGGAACTCTTATAGATGGTTGGTGGGAATATAAGTTAGTACAACCACTATGGAAAACAGTGTGGAGATTTCTCAAACAAACAAACAAAAAACTAAAAGTAGAACTACCATACAATCCAGAAATTCTACTACTGGGCATTTATCCAAAGGAAATGAAATCACTATATCAAAGGGATACCTGCGCTTGCATGTTTATTGCTGCACTATTTATAATAGCAAAGATATGGAATCAACCTAAATGTCCATCAAAGGATGAACAGACAAAGAAAATGTGCTATATGTACACAATGGAATACTATTTGATCATAGAAAAAAAAATCATGTCATTTGCAGCAACATGGATGGATCTAGAGGTCATGATGTTAAGTGAAATAAGCCAGGTACTGAAAGACAAGTATCATACATTCTCACTCATATGTGGGAGCTAAAAAAACTGATCTCATGGACATAAAGAGTAGAATGGGCTGGGCACGATGGCTCATGCCTGTAATCTGAGCCCTTTGGGAGGCCGAGGCAGGTGGATCACCTGAGGTTGGGAGTTCGAGACCAGCCTGACCAGCATAGAGAAACCCCGTCTCTACCAAAAATACAAAAATTAGCCAGGCGTGGTGGCGCATGCCTGTAATCCCAGCTACTTGGGAGGCTGAGGCAGAAGAATCGCTTAAACCCATAAGATGGAGGTTGCAGTGAGCTAAGATCATGCCATTGCACTCCAGCCTGGGCAACAAGAGAGAAACTCCATCTAAAAAAAAAAAAAGAGTAGAATGATAGATACCAGAGGATGGGAAGGGTGGGGATGAAGAGAGGTTGGTTAATGGGTACAAATATACAGTTAGATAGAAAGAATAAGTTGTAATGTTTGATAACAGAGTAGGGTGACTCTAGTTAACAACAATGTTTTGTATATTTCAAAATAGCTATAAAGAGGACTTGAAATGTTCCCAGAACATAGAAATGGTAAATACTTGAGCTAATGGATTCAAATACCCTGACTTGATCATTACACATTCTATGCATGTGACAAAATATTGCATGTGCTACATAAATATGTACAAATATTATGTATCAATAAAAAGTAATTAAAAGGTTTTTAAAAAGATTCAGCCTTGACATTTATGAATAGGAAAAGGAACTGGGGAGGAATTACGTTTCACTTTATTTCCATTCTGTGTCTCTGAGGGAGGCACCAGGTAAGGAGAGATGAGCCATTGGGTGGTGAACTTGAAATGAGAGTGTAGCTGCGTTTAGAAAAGTAGCTTCATATTGAAGCAGCAGAAACTTTCCCTCCCACACCTTAAGTGCCAAACCCTTAGTCAAATTGTAGTGAAGGTTTTCTACAATGCATCTTCAAGCTAGTTTTCTCACTCTCTAACCTCCTTGCAGTCTAAGTACTTCATTTATAAACAATACATTTAAAATTAATGTTATTTATAGTTTCTCTGCTTTACTGACATCCTTGTAACTCTTTCTAATGAAGATTTTGAGAAAATACTATGCTATTATCCCTCTAGAAAGTCAGAAGAAAAGCAATGGACTGATTCCCAGTAGCTGAAATAAAATGATTTTTATCTTTCAGGCCCACTTTAGTTCAGGGTTCATCTCAGGTAGGTATATCTCGACAAAATAAAAATTTAATAAAGGGTCAAGTTTTTACTCTAAAATTTTTCTTCTGATGATTTAAAAAACTATTTTAGGCAATAGTACTATTCTCACCTATAGTACTATTCCCCAAAGTTTATTATTTTATTAGTTTCATGTTTCAATTTTAGCCTTCAGTTATAATTCCTTTGGTTTCAAGAGAAACATTTCCCATAGTCATCTTTATGAACTTCCAGAACTCTAGTGTTTGAATTTTTCTTGAACACCTTTTCTTACTATGATCTTCTTGAACTTACTCTGACTTAGATGATGACTAGATACACACTGTTTATGGCCTTACACACACACACACACACACACACACACACACACATACACACAGAGTTAGATAATATAATTTTAGTTATGTGAATTTTTTTTTTTGAGACATTGTCTCACTTTGCCATCCAGGCTGGAGTGCAGTGGCGTTATCTCGGCTCACTGCAAACTCTGCCCTCCAAGTTCAAGCGATCCTCCTGCCTCAGCCTCCTGAGTAGTTGGGATTACAGGCACCTGCCACTGCCCCCGGCTAATTTTCATATTTTTAGTAGAGACGGGGTTTCACCATCTTGTCCAGGCTGGTCTTGAACTCCTGACCTCGTGATCCACCCGCCTCTGCCTCCCAAAGTGCTGGGATTATAGGCGTGAGCCACTGTGCCCGGCCTCAACTATGTGAAATTTTTACATAGTAAAATTTTTTTTAGATATACAGCTCTGAGTTTTGACAAATGTACATAGCCATGTAACTACCACCACAATCAATATATAGGATATTTTTATCACCTCCAAAAATCCCCTTATGCCTTTTCGTAGTCAATCCCTTCTCCCTGCTTTCGACCCCTGGTCTATTTATTGTTTCTAAATGTTTCGTCTTTTCCAGAATAACAAATAAGTGAGATCATTCAATATGTGGTCTGTGAGTTTAGCTTCTTTCACTTAGCATGAAGGTTTTAAGATTCATCCTAGTTGTGGCATGTGTCGGTTTTTTCTTGCTCAGTGGTATTCCATTGTATGAATGTACCAAGGCTATTATTTTTAGTGTGTGATTCTGAAGAGGGATTTGATTATATTGGTAAGACTTGAGTACATAGATCAGTAATTTCAATAAATCCATGGTCAAACCCATGTTTGACCTATGAAAGTTTAGTAGTACATTCTGGCACAGGGGTTTTAAATTTTCTTTAGGAATAGGCCATGTAGAAGACATCACTTCAGCTGTATCTGGAGGCATGAGGAAGGAGAATGCCATGATCCGCAAGAGAATGTTACAGAATAATATGTGACCATAACCACAAAACTTGGAGTTTCTCGATGAACTTGTCTTGCTCTTTTCTATGTTATCTTTCCTCTCCAGTGCCATTGTGGGCCCTTGACAGTTATTTGTTGAGTAAGCAGAATCATCCCAAAATGCAATCAGATTGTGGCTTTAACATATCTTGCCCCTAAAGCATAGTGCTTTTAAAACCACTGTGTACTTTATTGGATTGTGTGTTCTCCATGCCACCACCTCCCACCACCAACAAATAGCTGTAAAGAAAGAGGGCTAGCCTCTTACATTAGCATTTTCTTCTTTTCATCACCAAATGCTAAAGACCCTTTTTATTCTTCACCTCTCTTCCCACCATGGGACCCTGTATATTGTAATATTTTACCTATCATATAGCATTTATTAACTAAATAATCTCATTTGGAAAATCAGTCAAGGATATCTTGCTAGCTAGCTGTCTGTGTAGCTATCTATGTATCTGATATTAAGAGCTTCCAGGCAGGGTGTGGTGACTCATGCCTGTAATCCCAGCACTTTGGGAGGCCGAGGCAGGCAGATCACCTGAGGTCAGGAGTTCAAGACCAGCCTAGCCAAAATGGTGAAACCCCGTCTCTACTAAAAATACAAAATTAGCCAGGCTTGGTGGCAGATGCCTTTAATCCCAACTACTCAGGAGGCTGAGGCAGGAGAATCACTTGATCCCCAGAGGCGGAGGTTGCAGTGAGCTGAGATAGTACCACTGTATTCCAGCCTGGGTGAAAGAGAGACTCCATCTCAAAAAAAAAAAAAAAAAAAAAAAGAGCTTCCGATTAGCAAGAGATAACCATTGTAAATGCATGGAGTAGACATAATTCTATCAATAGAAAAAAAAAAAACGTATGTTTTAGTTAACCTCATTAAAGGAACATATGCAACTGGTTTTAGACTTTTTAGAAATATTAGTAGTAGCTTGAAGTGCCTCAAGCTATTCCTAATATTTCTAATATTAGTAATTGCACATCCCTAAAGGTCTAAAGACTTCAAGTTTGAAATTACTGTATTTTCTTTTGTCAGGAATGCCTGATCTAAATATTAACCAAATACTATGAGAATCTTGACTTATGGCTTCCTTGACTTTGGCTTCCTTGACTTGTGGCTTCCTTAAGGCCATAGGAATTTAAAATACTTCAGGACAGACTTTGGCTTTATGTTTCAGCTCTCAGCAGCAGCGTTAACATTGAACCATAATTGTCTGTGCAAATCTAGGTTGAGCCTATGAACAAGCAAAAAATACTGCATCAGGCTGTACTTTTCTATTGTTAATGTCAGACAACTCAACTCAAGCTAAGCTACAAAAAAAACAAAAAAAAAAAGGAAACTTACTGATTCACATAACTTCAAAGGCCAGCTTGGCTTCAGGCATTACTTGATTGGAGCTCAAGTGTTGTTCACTGAGCCTAGTTCTTCCTTCTTTGTCTCTCACCTCTGACTTGTGCTGTTTGTGTTCTGTTCTCAGGCAGGGTCTTCTCTGTGGTTCTAGGATGGCTGAAGCAGCTCCTGTCTGCATCTTTTCAGGTTTAAGTCTAGTGGAAAAGAGAGAGCCTTTTCCCCCAGATTCCCAACAAGAATTCCATTGACTGTCATTGGCTCTGACTGAGATATGTGGTCATCTTGTACAAGGGAGTAGTATGTCCAGGGAAATGATGCACTGATTGTTTAGGCTCAGGCCAATAAACCTAGGTCTGAAGCTCTATCCAAAGCATATGGACTGATAACTGGGGAGGGTCAACTTTTGATATTGTTATCAAAGGTAGATGGAATAGAAGTATGATAGCCCAATACCAACTGTCTAGACACTAGCATTTAACCTGTGCTTGTTATTTTCTATTTGCTAGGCAATGTGCTAGATACAATCACAAATGTAGTTTCCTTTAATTTTATTCCCACAATGTCTCTATGAGATAGTTTCTTCTCTCTCTGTTTTACAATTGAGGAGATTATCTGAGAGGTTAAGTCACTGCCCAATTTCATTTCAGTGGTAATTGCTGGGACCAGGATTCTAACTAAAGTCTTTCTGAATCCAAATGTGGCGTATTTCCCATCACCTCCTCTCTGATGTTCAAAAAACACTCTGAATGACAGTTGCAGCATCACTAGAAAATGATTGTAACCTCTCTAAGTTAAATTATTTCAAAACACTCATCTGGATGTGTTTGAAAAATAATGTTACATTATTTTAAGCTTATTCTTTGTGTAGGTTCATATGGGGTACATTCATTCATTCATTCAATAGATATTTGTTTAGTGCCTATATATGAGTCAGGTACCACCCTTGGAACTGAGGATAAAGCAGTGAACAAAACAAATCTATTTCAAGGAGTGTACATTCTAGTACAGACAAAATACGTAAAGAGGTATATGATATTGGGTGATCATGAGATTTCCCCTTACTTTAGATTACTGAAGGGGCTCAAGCCCTCATAGGTATTTGCTGCTATAGGCAGAACTGTGAAATTTCATCCACAGTTTGCCTAATCACGACTCTGATGAAACTACTTACTGAGGGCCAAACTCAGATCAGGGCCAGAAACAAGGTAGAGAACTAAATAAAGAAACTATCTAAAATCAGTCAAACTGTAAGGAAAGCTAAATGAATTAAACACTCATTAATATTCAAAGTACCTTTTCCTCAATTTTCTGGATTGTTTTTAAAGAGTTATTCTCCACTCTCCCCTCAGCCATTACCTTCCCTCCCTATACAAAGAATTATAGGCTTATTAGAGCAGTGGTTCTCAAAGAGTGGTCTGCAGACATCTTTGGGTCCCCTCCCCTTTCAAGAGATCCAGGAGGTTAAAACCATTTTCTTGTCTTTTTTTTCTTTTTCTTCTTTTTTTTTTGACAGGATCTCACTCTGTCACCCAGGCTAGATTACAGTGGCACAATCATGGCTCACTGCAGCCTCAACCTCCTAGGCTCAAGCCATCCTTCCGCCTTTAGCCTCCCAAGTAGCTGGGACTACAGGTGTGCACTACTATGCCTGGCTAAATTTTCTGTATTTTTTTTGTAGAAATGGGGTTTCGCCATGTTGCCCAGGCTGGTCTCGAACTCCTGAGCTCAAGCAATCCACCCCCTTAACCTCCCTCCCAAAGTGCTAGGATTACAAGCATGAGCCACTTTGCCTGGCTAAAACCATTTTCATAATAAGACAAGATGTTATCTACCTTTTTCACTGTGTTGACATTTGCCGTGATGGTGCAAAATCAATGGTAGATGAAACTGCTCATGTTTTAGAGTGAATCAATACATATGGCACAAAACTGTGCTAGTTGTTGTTGTATTTCTGCTGGCAGTAGAAAAAGAAGGCAGGTGTAGTGGTACCTGTAACCCCAGCTACTTGGGAGGCTGAAACAGGAGGATAGCTTGAGCCAAGAGTTCAAGACCAGCCTGGGCAGCATAGCAAGACTCCATTTCAATTTAGAAAAAGTTTAAGAACATTTTTGATGAAGCACTGAAAAAAAAAAGTCTCAAAGTAATAGTAATAATTTTTTTTCCCCAAGTTGGAAACTGCTTCTACTTAAAAAAGAATTCAGCCAGGCGTGGAGGCTCATGCCTGTAATCCCAGCACTTTGGGATCACGAGGTCAAGAGATCAAGACCATCCTGGCCAACATGGTGAAACCCCGTCTCCACTAAAAACACAAAACTTAGCTGGGGGTGGTGGTGCACACCTGTAGTCTCAGCTATTTGGGAGGCTGAGGCAGGAGAGTCACTTGAACCTGGGAGGCGGAGGTTGCAGTGAGCCAAGATCACACCACTGCACTCTAGCTTGGCAACAGAGTGAGACTCTGTCTCAAAAAACCTTCTACATTTTAGATCAGGATTAAATGTTATATTATTGTAAAGACAGGCAAAATTAAGGATGGTCTTACAGTGGTAAAATGGAGTCATTTTGTTTTTTATGAGACTGAATGATGGAATTTGACCAATAGGTTATGGCATTAAGCCCACAGCCAGTACTTAGAAAACAACAGAGGTAATAGTTAAGAAACGTCTGGATTCCCAAATTTCATAAAATAGCATCATATTGCTCAGGACCACTGGCATTTAAAGAAAAAAATAAACATTCCACAAAATTGTCTATTTTCTAGTTAAACTGATGTTCCATAACTGTATCTGAAAAGCTAAGTTGTAATTTTGAGGACGCCACGGATGAAAGAGAAAAAAAAATTACTACCACTAGTAACAGATGTGAAATTACATTAGATAAATATAATCATTAGTTTCAGTCTCACCCTGGTTAATTTGTTTGTGGAAATGTGCAACCCATTATTCATTAGATAATTTTGCACACATTGATTAGAAAGCCATGTCGAATTGTGACCCTGCACATTTGGGCTTACCTATCTTGCAATGAAGTATAACCACTTACAATAGTGGAAATGCGGGACAAAATGTTTATCTCAAGCTGATTTTGTGCCAATAAACAAAGTAAATCAATAGCCAGTGAAGTGTGAACAACATTTCTCTGCTGTATAATGTGGTTTTGGGGGCAATTTGACATGCTACAAGGGGAAACAAGGGTCTTGAACAGAAGGGTAATAAAAGCAAATCATGCTGGTAACTGTTACTGGAGTCCTGCATTTTTCTATACTTGGGCAGCTTTAAGACGTGAAAAATAACGTACATAAAATTATAAAAATATTGAGGCAACTCTCCCCCATATTCATAAACATTCTTATAGTTGAACTTGATCTTATTGGTCACGCACTCTATACCTGTGACAAATCTTTTCTATTTTCTGTTTGATCTAATTTAGTACACAGATTCAAATACCTTTAAAGACTTTATAGCAAATGAAGCACGAAGAAGACCTTAAATTTCAAATCGATTTTGTTAGCAGTCAGTAAGATCTCATCTGAATTTTACTTTTCAATATTCAGATAGCTACTTACAGTAATCAGAAGGCTCTCAAATTAAAAAATGTTTTCTCTCCTCTGTAAAAAGCTTTGGGGATAAACCCTCGTTTCCTCATCTTTCACCTTTCTTACTATTTCAGACCCTGCAGAACCACAGACGTCTTCTTTATCCAAGCCCATGAATCTATTTTCTAATGCTCTGAAGGAGAATAGTGATATAAATGCATTTATAAAGTGTATCTTCTTGTCAGTTGGAACCTCAGATGTTGTCTTTTAAATTAAGATGAAAGTAACACATTTTTCCGCATAATGCAGGCTGCATTCAAATAATTAATGGTTAATTAAAAACAGCTTTTTTTCCCCTGTAGCTCAGACAGTGAAGGGCTCTGTTACGTTACCATAGAAAGGAGAAGGTTGGGCTGTTTGGTTTCTAGAAGTAGACTTCTAGCCTGTTGATCTAAAATCATAGCCAGGGAAACCTGCAGATTCAAAGAAGAAATGGTTACTGGTGTCATAGAAACAGTATTTTGCTGCCCAAGCATGTTATTTCCTTGATAAATTCTGTATACCATTGTTAGAAATTTTAAAAATCATGGATCACAGACATTTTTATAATGTATGCCAAGATGTATTTAATTATTTATTTTCTTTTTTTATTTCTTTTTTATTTTTTATATATACATTTTTTATTATACTCTAAGTTCTAGGGTACATGTGCACAATGTGCAGGTTTGTTACATATGTATACATGTGCTATGTTGGTGTGCTGCACCCATTAACTCGTCATTTACATTAGGTATATCTCCTAATGCTATCCCTCCCCCCTCCCCCCACCCCACAACAGGCCCCGGTGTGTGATGTTCCCCTTCCTGTGTCCAAGTGTTCTCATTGTTCAATTCCCACCTGTGAGTGAGAACATGCGGTGTTTGGTTTTTTGTCCTTGCGATAGTTTGCTGAGAATGATGGTTTCCAGCTTCATCCATGTCCCTACAAAGGACATGAACTCATCATTTATTTTCAATGACTTGATTTATGTGAAGACTCCTGAAAATTATATCTATCTATGTATCTATCATCTATCTATCTACGTATCTATCTCTTATTTTGAGGTAGTCCTGCCCCCTTTCTTATTTGGACAGGGCTTCAGTCTACTATAGATTAATTTTAAAAATCTAGATTTAAGAAGATTTAATATAACTTATGAATAAAATAGACTTTCTGTTAGCTCTAATTGTCTGTTTGAATGCCAATTAGCAGGAGTATAAGCACTTATGAAATCTAACATAAAAGAGAGACCATGGGTGAAATAGAATGAGCATTAGACTGAAAATCAGATCTGTATTCTAGGCCTTGCTCCATCACTTAAGTCACGTAATCCTTCTGTTCCTGGTGGGTTAGGTGCATTCTAAGTCTCTTCCAGCTTTAATATTCTATGCCTATAATATTTTTATAAACTAGCACCATATTATACATGGATGAATGAACTTTGTGACTCAGATAATAGTTTATTTTTATAACTGCTTTGTTTACATTTACTATATTATAAACATTTTCTTGTGTTCTTATGTATTATTTTATATTATTTATAATGACTGTATCATATTCCATTATATGGATTTACTGTAATTCATTTAATCATTCTCCTGTTGCTGGACACAATCAAAGCTACCATCATCTGTCTTTTGTAATGCTGCCATAGTTTATTACTTGGTTTCCTCTTTTCCACTCTTGCTGCTTATAGTCTATAATTTCTGTAACCAAATAAATCTCACTCTCTTTCCCTCTCTCTCTCTCTGTCTCTGCCTCTGTCACTCATGGCAATTCAGATACAACATTCCTCTGCTGAAAACTCTCCAAAGGCTCTGATCATCCTTAGAGTAAAATACAAAGTCATTACTTTGTATTGTGTAATCTGGCACCTGCCTACCTCTGGAACCTTATTTCTAATACTCTCTGCCTCACTGCACTCTACCCACTGTTCTCCTGGCTGTTTTTCAACTCTCTGAGCATGTCCCCACCTCAGGGCTTTTGCTCCTGGTGTTTCCTCTGCCTGGGACTCTCTTCTTTCTGATATTCATGTGATTTGTTCTTTCAATTCCTTTAGGTCCCTTACCTGGGAATGTGGGTCATGACAGTTAGTTTATTGCTAGCAATGTGATTTATGGTGAACACCTGTTTTTGTTCACCTGTGGCCCTGGCCATACCACATTAGTTTGACCTCTGAGGTGGAGGGACTGGAAACTGATTAGCTAAGGTCAATCACAAGGGTTCTCCATACCTATGTGACTGACTCTCCAATAAAAACACTGGACAACAAGGCTCAGGTGAGCTTCTCTGTTTTTTCTCATGTTAGCAGTACTTTGCATGCATTGAAAACATCATTGCTGGGAGAATTAAGTGGTGTTATTCCAACTACACTGAAAGAGGAATCCTGGTTTCCTCTTTTCCAAACTGAAAGATTGATCCTGGTTTCTCTTGGACACCTCTGTTGCCCTTTTCTTTTGCTGATTTTAATTTGTATACTTTTGCAGTCATAAACTGTAATGGTGAGTATAACAGCTTTTCCAAGTTCTGAGTTCTTCTAAGGAATCATCAAACCTGAGGGTGGTCTGGAGATCTGCCGACACAAATAATAAGTCCACAGACAGAGAAATTTGAATAATAATAAATTCTTGACTATCTAAAACAAGGCAAGAAAGAAAAATAAGGAACAAAGAACAAATAACACAAGTAGGAAATATAAATTAATATGGGAGATTTAGACCCAGATATTATCATAGTTACACTAAATGTAAGTTGAATAAATAATTGAAAGATAAACTATCAGACTCAATTTAAAAAAATCTAACTATATGCTGCTTATAGTGCCATACCTTAAGTACAGGGACATGAAAGACTGAAAATAAAAGGATAAGGAAAGATATTTCAAGTAAATGTAATACACAAGAAACCTGGTGACAGTAATACCAGATAAAGTAGACTTTACTAAGACAAAGAAGTTCATTTCATAATGAAAGGCCAATCCCACATAGTTCTAAATTTGCATATTCTTAATAACATGGCCTCAATACATATCAAATAAAACATATAAAAATATAAATAGATAATTTCATAATCATAATTGTAGATTAGTATACTTCACAGTCACCAATAGAGGAGGCAGGGAAAATAAGTAGAAATATAAAAGATTTGAACAATTTTAATTCAATTGATATAATTACAATCAGTATTTAACAACCTAGAATGTACATTCTTTTAAGTGCATATGGAACATTTACTAAAATTGATCATATGGTGGAACATAAAGCAAGTTTCAGCAAATATCAAATGACTGAAATCTTACAAAGTGTTTTCTGACCGTTGCAGAATTAAAGTAGAATTCAATAACAGAAAAACGAGTAAACCCCCAAACATTTGGAAATTGGATAACATTTTCTGTATAACTTAAGGGTAAAAGAAGAAATCAAATTGGAAATTAGAAAACATTGAGCTATGCAATAATAAAAATACAGCAGACTAAAACTTACAAGATACAGCGAAAGCCAGGCTTAATGGGATGCTTACAGCTCTAAACACATATATTGGAAAAAAGAAAGGCTGGCTACCATCAAATTAAGTATCTATCTCATGAAATTAGTAAAGGATCTGTGAATTAAACCTGAAATGGAAGAAGAGAAATAATAAAAATAAGAACAGAAAGCAAGAGAACAGAAAACATAGGTACAATAGAGAAAATAAATACAGCCAAAAGTTGTTCTTTGAAAAGGCTAATAAGTTTGATTAACTCCTGCTAATACTGATGAGGAAAAAAAGCAGAGAAGGCACAAATGACCAATATCAGTAACAAAATGAGACATTGCTATAGATCCTAATTATTGAAAAGGCAATAAGGAGGATGTTATATATATTTATACCTTAAATACAAATGTATACCTAAACATTTGAAAATTTCAACAAAAGTGAAAATTGCTTGAAAAAACTTAAGAAAATGGAATCAGGGAGGAATAAAAAATTCAATTTTATTTTCTATTAAAGAAATTGAGTCTAATTAGAAGAACCACTCAGAAAGAAAAATAAAGTTTCAGATGACTTCTCTGGTGAATTCTTCCAAACATTTATTTCCATTAATATTGAAAGTAATATTTCCAAACATTAGGTAATCCAAGTCTTACATAAACTTTTCCAGAAAACAAAAAAAGAGGGAGCACTTTCCAACTCATTCTATGAGACCAGCATAACCTTTCTAACAAAACCTGACAAAGACAATACAAGAAAGGAAAAATACAAGCCAATCTCTCTCATTAATACTGTAGTGAGAAAATATTTTACTTAGCATAAGTTGTTGCCACGACATCTGTCAAGGGGAAAGGGAGAAATATAGACCTGTTCCAAGGGAGGACTCCTCCCTTATCACACAGGCCACTAGTCCTGCTAGCTGCTCTTCCCCTTGCTGTCCTGAGCAAGACTCCTTTGCTGCCAGCTATTTTATCTAACAGAGCTCACTCTCAGTTCCCCTCTGCATCTTCCTCTTTGTCAGCTCTGACCTAGTTTCCCACTACCTTTTACTCAAAGTACCCAATTAAAGGTATCTGTGGGAAGCCCTATCCTTCGAGGCTTGTAAGGCTGCTTTGTTTTGTCCTGTTTCTCTCACCCCATGTGCCATCTGTGTGGTCCCTTGGGGCAAGCTGTATCCCTCCTTCTGGGCGTTGTATGTCTTAATAACTCCGATGTGTTTCCTCTACATCCTGTTGGGTGTTATATGCTCAGTCATGTGAACCTATCGTGAAAGGAGATGCCTGCTAATCCACTGCAGACATTGGTAAGGCAATCAAAACAGATACACATAGTTGTAAAAATCCAGAATTAAAATATTAGCAAATCTAATCCAGCTATCTATAAAACTGATAATATACCACAATCAAGTTGGGTTTATTCCAGGAATGCAAGATTAGTTTAACATTTAACAAGTCAATAAAATTCACATTAATAAAATTCATAGAATAAAAGACAAAAAACCTCCTCCATATGGTTATCTCAATAAACAAAGAAAAAAAGCATTGATAGAAAATCAACACATTTTTATGAAAGCTCTTAGAAAACTAGGAATAAAAGGCTATAACCCAAAACTCATATAGAATATCTACAAAAATATTATGTAAACATCAAACATAATATTGAATTATTGAAAGTTTTCCTTCCTGATATAGGGAAAAAAGGGTGCCAGCTCTCACCATTTCTATTCAGAATTGTACTGAAGTCTTAGCTAGTGCTATATGGCAAGAAAAATAAATATTATAAGGATTGGAAAGGAATAAATAAAAATGTCATTGTTCATGAATGACATGATTATGTATGTATAAAATTTTAGAAGTACAGATACAATGTTAAAATTAGTAAATGAATTTGGCAAGATCAAAATACAAAAATCAATCATGTTTATATGTAGTGAAGAATTTTAAAATGATAATTTTTGCAATACCATGGAAAACACTTAGGAATATATCCTAAGAAATGATGTAAGAGATATCTACAGAGAAAACTCCAAAATATTTCTGAGAGAAAGACATAAATAAATGGGAAGACATACCATATGTAGATTTGGAAGACAACATAGTTTCCTCCAAACTGATCTCTAGATCCATTGCAATCCCAATCAGAATCCAAGCCGGTTTTTTCTTTTTGTTTTTTAATGTAATGCAATCTCAAACCCCTGGAAGCTTTCTTAAAACTTGATAAGCTGATTCTAAAATGAATAACTCTGACAGTTTTGAAAAAGAACAAAGTTAAAGGATTTATATACTACTGGATATTAAGTTAAAAAACCATAGTAAATATGGTAGAATAAGACGGGCATGATATAGATATACAATTCATTCTCATTATTCATGGATTTAGATTTGCAAATTCACATACCTGCTAAAATTTATTTGTAACCCCCAAATCAATATTTGCTGCTTCACAGTCATTAGAGGACATTTGTATAGCATTGAAAAATTTGAATTGCCTAACATGCATATTACCAGCTGAGGTTGAATAAGGTGTCAGTTTCTCTTATATCTAAATAATGTCCTTTTTGTGATCAAGTGCCACATTTTTCACATTTTT
The DNA here is from genome assembly GCF_000001405.40 of Homo sapiens. Classification (NCBI taxonomy): domain Eukaryota; kingdom Metazoa; phylum Chordata; class Mammalia; order Primates; family Hominidae; genus Homo; species Homo sapiens. The sequence continues at coordinate 77,588,997 of NC_000005.10, read as the reverse complement.
GTGCTTCTTGTTGATGATTTTGCTATTTAAATGGCCACAAAGAGTAGTGCTGAAGTGCTTGCTGGTGTTCCTAAGTGCAAGAAGGCAGTGATGTGCTCTACTGAGAAAATAATATCTGTCATATAAGCTTCTTTTAGGCATACAGTGCTGTTAGCGATGAGCTTATTGTTAACGAATCAACAATAATATTAAAGATTTTTTTTAAAACAAAAACACACATAAAACAAGGTTATGTATTGATCAGTTGACACAAATATTGTGACTGGAGGCTTTCAGGAACCTAATCTTTTATTTCGCATAGGAGCAATCATTTGGTATTTGCTAATCCAGTGTTTGCAGAAACTTTATTATTAACTATTGCAAATAATGAGAATTGACCATATAGGTCAGTGAGATGAAGTAGAAAACACAGAAATAGATTGATAATTGATTAAATTCAAAGTTGCCTTGGAAGTGCAAGGGAAAGGGTCATTTTTTTTCCAAAAAAGGAAATATCCAAATTGAAGTAAAAAAGGAATCTTTATCTTTATCTTATGTTACACACAAAAAATCACTTCTATATGGACTTCAGATCTAAATGTGGAAAGTGAAGCAATACATTTTGTAAAAAATCACACAGGAGAATGTCCTTATCAGCATTTTTTTTGGCAAAGATTTTTCTAAACAGAATTCAAAGTACTAACTATAAAAGAGAAGAATGAGATATTGGACTTCATGGAAACCAAGAATATCTGTTAATTAAAAGACACCATTAAAAGAGTAAAAAGGCAAATCACTGAGTGGAAGATTTGTATAATGCATATATATGACAAAGAATTCATATCCCCAATATGTAAGCAACTACTAACCATCAATAAGGAAAAGGCAAATAATCTAGTTTTAAATGGATTGTTTGAACAGGTGTTTATAGAAAAGGATTTTAAAATGGCCAATAAGCATATGATAAGGTGACTATATTAGTTCATTAGGGCTTCTGTCATCAAGTACCACATAATGGGTGCCTTAAACAATAAAAATTTATGTTCTTACAGTTCTAGAGGCCAAAAGTTCAAGATCCTATTGGTAGAACTGGTTTCCTCTGAAGCCTTTCTCCTTGACTTGGAGATGGCGCTCTAGCTGCTTCTTCATATGATCATCCTTCTGTGCACACATGCCTCTGGTTTCTCCATGTGTCCTAATCTCCTTGTGTCCTAATCTCCATGTGTCCTAATGTCATTTTATAAGGACACCAGTCATATTAATATATTAGGATACACCTTAACATCCTCATTTTAATTTAATTGCTTCTTCAAAGGCCCTGTCTCCAAATACAATCACATTCTGAGGTACTGGGGATTAGTGCTTCAACAAATGAATTTTGAGAGGACACAATTCAGTCCATAACAGTGCTCAACATCATTACTTACCAGGGAAAGGCACATTAAAACAAAAGATAACACTTCATATACACAAGAATTGCTAAAATTATAAAATGAAACAAAATAGACCATATCAAGTGTTGATGAGTAAGTGGAGATGGGAACTGTCGTACTGCTGGTGAGAGTATATGTTCGTACAAAACTTCTGAAAATTATCTGGAAGTGTTTACTAAAGCTGAATGTGTGCGTATCTTAAGACCCAGCAATTTGACTCCTAGATATATGTCCAGCAGAAATGTGTGTTTATACATATGCACCAAAAATACATGCACTGGACTGGTTTAGGGAAGTATTATTTGTAGTAGCCAAAAACTGGAGCATAAATCAAATGTCCATCTTACAGAAGAAACTATAACACAAAAAAATACAGGTTGTATCATTTATATAAACTTCAGGAGCAGGCATAAGTAATCTAAGGTAACAAAATTTAGAATAGGGTTACGTTTGGGGGAGCAATCACTGAGAAGGGGCAAGAGAGAAGCTTTGGGGGTACTAGAAATGTTCAATATCTTGATCTGGGTGGTGGTTTCATGAGTAGGTTAACCTTATAAAAAATTCAGGGGGCCGGGCATGGTGGCTCACGCCTGTAATCCCAGCACTTTGGGAGGCCAAGGCAGGCGGATCACAAGGTCAGGAGATCGAGACCATCCTGGCTAAGATGGTGAAACCCCATCTCTATTAAAAATACAAAAAATTAGCCAGGCGTACTGGCACGTGCCTGTAGTCCCAGCTACTCGGGAGGCTGAGGCAGGAGAATCGCTTGAACCCGGGAGGCGGAGGTTGCAGTGAGCCAAGATCCTACCACTGCTCTCCAGCCTGGTAACAGAGGGAGACTCTGTCTCAAAAAAAAAAAAAAAAGTTTAGATAATAGTAAAAAAAAAAAAATTTGATTTCATGCATGTTTCAAAATATCATATAAACTATTTTGCAACTTGCTCATTTTTCTCAACATTTAAAAAAATAGCTATTTTGAGGCCAGGTGTGGTAGCTCATGCCTGTAAATCCCAGCACTTTGAGAGGCCAAGGTAGGCAGATTGCTTGGGTCTAGGAATTCAAGACCAGCCTGGCAACATGGTGAAACCCTTTCCGTACAAATAATACAAAACTTAGCTGGGCCTGATGGCACACACCTGTAGTTTCAATTACTGGAGAGGCTCAAGTGGGAGGATCAACTGAATCCAGAAGGTAGAGGCTACAGTGAGCTGTGATTGCACTACTGCACTCCAGCCTGGGTGACAGAGTAAGACACTGTTTCAAAATAAATAAATAAATAAATACATAAATAAATAAATAAATACAAAATATAAAAGGGTTTTATTGAGATGTAATTAACAGACTATACAATTTACCCATATAAAGTATAAAATTTGTTTTTAGTATATTCACAGATATCCAACCATCACCACAATCAATTTTAATAACTTTTTTTTGCAAATGAAAAGTTATTTATTATTTGTTTAACTAAACTGCCATGGTTAAAAAAGTTCTAAAAATGTTTAAAATGCAGTATATACTTGCATGGCTTATGAAGTTTTAGATAGAGTTATTTTACTTGAATTGTTCAAAGTTCAATATATTTTAAATTAAGAAGAGTAAACTATATGTATTTTTTCCATAAGTTATTGGGGTACAGGTGGTATTTGGTTATATAAGTTCTTTAGTGGTGATTTGTGAGATTTTGGTGCACTCATCACCCAAGCAGTATACACTGAACCTTATTTGTAGTATTTTATCCCTCGCCCTCCTCCCTTTCTTCCCCCCAAGTCCCCAAAGTCCATGGTATCATTCTTATGCCTTTGCATTCTCATAGCTTAGCTCCTACATATCAGTGGGAACATATGATGTTTGATTTTCCACTCCTGAGTTACTTCACTTAGAATAATAGTCTCCAATCTCATCCAGGTCACTGTGAATGCTGTTAATTCATTCCTTTTTATGGCTGCGTGGTATTCCATTGTATATGTATACCACAGTTTCTTTATCCATTCATTGATTGATGGGCATTTGGGTTGGTTCCACGATTTTGCGATTGTGAATTGTGCTGCTATAAACATTAATGTGCAAGTATCGTCTTAGAATAATGGCTTCTTTTCCTCTGGGTAGATATCCAGTAGTGGGATTGCTGCATCAAATGGTAGTTCTACTTTTAGTTGTTTAAGAAATCTCCACACTGTTTTCCATAGCAGCTGTACTAGTTTACATTCCCACCAGCAGTGTAGAAGTGTTCCCTGTTCACCACATTCATGCCAACATACACTGTTTTTTGATTTTTTGATTATGGCCATTCTTGCAGGAGTGAGGTGATATCGCATTGTAGTTTTGATTTGCATTTCTCTAATCATTAGTGATGTCAAGCATTTTTTAATATGTTTCTTGGCCATTTGTATATCTTCTTTTGAGAATTGTGTATTCAGGTCCTTAGCCCACTTTTTGATGGGTTCTTTTTTTTTTTCTTACTGATTTGTTTAAGTTTGTTGTAGATTCTGGATATTAGTCCTTTGTCAGATGTATAGATTGTGAAGATTTTCTCCCACTGTGTGAGTTGTCTGTTTACTCTGCTGACTGCTCCTTTTGCTGTGCAAAAGCTCTTTAGTTTAATTAGGTCCCAGCTATTTATCTTTGTTTTTATTGCATTTGCTTTTGAGCTCTTGGTCATGAAATCCTTGCCTAAGCCAGTGTCTAGAAGGGTTTTTCCAATGTTATCATCTAGAATTTTTATAGTTTCAGGTCTTAAGTTTAAGTCCTTGATCCATCTTGGGTTGATTTTTGTATAAGGTGAGAGATGAGGATCCAGTTTCATTCTCCTACATGTGGCTTGCCAATTATCCCAGCACCTTTGCTGAGTAGGATGTCTTTTGCCCCATTTTATGGTTTTGTTTGCTTTTTTGAAGATCAGTTGTCTGTAAGTATTTGGCTTGCTAATTATCCCAGCACCATTTGTTGGAAAGGGTGTCCTTTCCCCACTTTATGTTTTTGTTTGTTTTGTTGAAGATCAGTTGGCTGTATTTGTATTTTTCAGTTTCAAGTCTTTGTCTTCTTAAATTTATTTGTCTTCTTAAAATTATTTACTTCTTAAATTTAGTGCTTTATTCTTTAAGATGCTATTATAAATTAAATTGCTTTCTTAACTTCATTTTGAATATTTCTTTGCAAGGGTATAAAAATACAACTGATTTTGGTTTATTGCAACCTTGCTCAACTCATTTACGAGTTTTAATAGTTTTTTAGTGTATCCCTTAGGATTTCCTACATACAAGGTTATATCATCTGCTAATAAAGATAATTTTACTTTTTCCTTTCTAGTCTATATGTCTTTTATTTCTTTTTCTTCCTTAATTGCCCTGCCTGTAACCTCCAGTACAATGTTGAATAGAAATGGTCAGAGTGGATCTCTTCATTTTGTTCCTGATCTTAGGAACAAAACATCCAGTCTTTCACCAGTGAGGTTGATGTTGGCTATGTTTTTTCACAGATGTCTTTTAATAAGTTGAGGAAATTCTTCTCTATTCCTAGTCTGTTGAGTGTCTTTATCATAAAAGGGTGTTGGATTTTGTCAAATGATTATTCTGCATCTATTGAGATGATTATGTAGTTTTTTATTCTAATGATATGATGTATTACATTAATTGATTTTGGGAAGTCAAGTCAACCTTGCATTTTTGGGATTAATCTCACTTGGTCATTGTAAATGTTGCTGGATTTGGTTTGGTAATATTTTGTTGAGAATTTTTGCATCCATATTTATAAAGATATTGGCCTGTAATTTTCATTTCCTGTGATGTCTTTGTCTGGTTTTGGTATCAGAGTAATACTTGCCTCATAAAATGAGTTGGGAGAGAGGAAGTGGTCCCCCATTTGCTATTTTTTGGAATTGGGATTCCTTCTTTAATGGTTGATGAAATTCAGTGGTGAGGTCAACTGGGCCTGGGAGTTTCACTGTTGGTAGTTTTTTAAAATTTTTAATTATTATGGATATATAATAGGAGTATATATTTATGGGGTACCTATATAATATTTTGATACAGACATGAAACGTATACGTGGGTAGCTTTTTTTTTTCTTTTTTCTGAGATAGGGTTTCTCTCTGTCACCCAGGCTGGAGTGTGGTGGTACGATCTCAACTCACTGCAACCTCTGCCTCCCTGGCTCAAGTGATCCTCACATCAGCCTCCTGAGTAGCTGAGACTACAGACATGGGCCACTGTACCTGGCTAATTTTTTTTTTTTTTTAGAGATGGAGTTTCACCATGTTGCTCAGGCTGGTCTTGAACTCCTGAGCTCAAGTTTTCCACCCACCTTGCCCTCCTAAAATGTTGAGATAACAGGGACGGCGCCTGGCCTGTGGGTAGCTTTTTTAATTACTAATTCAACCTCTGCACTTTTTTTTTTTATTTCAATTTGAGAGCAGGTACTGTTTATTAACCAACCAGCTTAGAAAAATAATCATGGTAGACACCTTAGTTCATTCTTCTAGTAAGCCTGTTGATCTGGTCCTCCCTGTTGCCAGCATCTCTACCTTCTACAAAATGGGTGGTCTTTTTCTTCATTCCACCTCGTGGAGAAGACAATTTGAAGGGCCACAGGAAGTTATTTGCCTCTTTGAAGCGTTTTCCAACAGTATAGATCTCATGAATCAAATCCTCCATGCAGATAATGCCGTATTTACCAAGAGATCGAGCAATCAAAGCGTTATCTGTCAAAGCAATTCGCTTCTTATTGATTTTGCCATAACCACGCTTGTAGATTAGTTCATTTACTGACTTCAGATTGGGGTACCCCCATGCTATATATGGCTCTACAATCCTCAGCATGTTAATCGAAGCCTTGTTGAGCTTCACAAAGGTTCCATTGAAGATTTGACGAAGGCGAAGAAGCTGCAACACCTTTCGGACCTTTGGGCTCACAGCACTGATACCTCTGATTCTGATGACAAACGCCAATTTGGGTTCTGCAGGTACATAGAAGTTGCCAGCTTTTCTTGCCATCCTCGCCACTCGAATTTCAGTTCTGTACATTTGCCTATATTCCTTGTGATAGTGCTTTGCTTTTTCATAGATAAGCTTCCTCCTTGCCTTTCGAAGCATCTTTTGGGCAAACTTCTTTCTCAGGCGCTTGATCTTCAGCTCTACGAAATTCCTTCGCTTTTTCTTAAGGGTTTCTGGCACAGCAGGAACCTCCTTCTTCTTCTCTTCTACACCCTCCATGGTTCCAGCCGGAAAAAGAGGAAGTTGGCGCATGCGTACTCTGCACTTGTTAACTTGTTATATATCTATGCATATTGTCTACTTTCTTGCTGAGCCAGAGTTGGTAATTTGTGTCTTTTAGGAATTTTGTCCATTTCATCTAAGTTATGTAATCTATTGGCATATAATTGTTCATAATATTCTTTGATAATTCTTTTTACTTCTGTAAGTTTGGTAATAATGTTCCCTCTTTCATGTCTGATTCTAGTAAGTTGAGTCCTCCCTTCACTCTCCATTAATCTAGCTAAAGGTTTGTCAATTTTGTTGATCTTATCAAATAACTGGCTTTTGATTTCATTGATTTTTTCTCTAATTAAAAAAATTGTTTCATTTATCTTTCCTCTAATTTTATTACTTATTTTCTTCTTTTGCTTCAGGCTTAGTTTGCTTTTCTTTTTCCAGTATCCTAAGGTGTTAGGTTAGGTTATTGATTTGAGACCTTTCTTCTTTAATGTGGGCTTTTGCAGCTATGTATTTCCTTCTAAGCACTGCTTTAGCTGCATCCCATAAATTTTGGTATGAAGTCTTTCTTTTCATTCATCTGAAAGTATTTCATGATTTCCTTTTTGATTTCTTCTTTAAGTCTTGGGTTATTTAGGAGTATGTTTTATTTCCATGTATTTGTGAGTTTTCCCATTTTTTCCCACTATTGATTTCTAATTTCAACCCATTGTGGTTGGAGAACATACACTGTATTATTTCTATCTTTTTAAATTTACTGAGATTCATTTTGTGGCCTAACATATGGTCTACTGAAGAATCCTCCACATCCACTTGAGAAGAATGTATACTGTTATTGTTGGGTGAAGTGTTCTCTAGAAGTCTGTTATGTGTAGTTGGTTTATAGAGTTTCTCAAGTCTTCTGTCTTCTTGTTGATTTTCTGTCTAGTTGTTCTATCCATTATTAAAAGTGGGATATTGAAACCTCCAGTTATAATTGTTGAATTATCTGTTTCTCCCTTCATTTCTGTCAGTTTTTGCTTTATGCACCTTGGTGCTCCATTTCAGAAGCATATATGCCTATAATTATATCTTCATGGTAGATTGACCTTTTATCATTATAAAATGTCCCTCATTATTTCTGATAATATTTTTTGTTTTAAGGTCTCTTTTGTCTGTTATTAGTAGTATCTGTTATTCAGTTTTTAAGTGATTGCTGTTTGCATAATACATAATTTTTACCTTTTTACTTTCAATCTATTTCTATATTTGAATCTAAAGTGTGTCTCCTGTAGATCATATTTTTTATCCAGTCTGACAATCCTTTTGATTGGATTGTTTAATCCATTTATGTTTAATATTATTACTGCTATAGTTGAGTTTTCATCTGCCATTTTACTTTTTATTTTTATTTTATTTTATTATTTATTTATTTATTTTTGAGACGGAGTCTTGCTCTGTCACCCAGGCTGGAGTGCAGTAGTGCAATCTCGGCTCACTGCAAGCTTCGCCTCCCAAGTTCAGGCCATTCTCCTGCCTCAGCCTCCCAAGTAGCTGGGAATACAGGTGCCCACCACCACGCCTGGCTAATTTTTTTGTATTTTTAGTAGAGATGAGGTTTCACGATGTTAGCCAGGATGGTCTTGATCTCCTGACCTCGTGATCTGCCCACCTTGGCCTCCCAAAGTGCTGTGATTACACGCATGAACCACCGTGCCCAGCCTACTTTTTATTTTTTATATATTTTTTTTCCATTTCTTTTGTACTGCTTTCTTTTGCATTAAGCGTATTTTTCTAAGGCAGTATTTTCATTTCTTTCATGATTTTTTCACTATATTTTCTTGTAATTTTTTGAGGTTGCTCTTGGATTTACCATATGATTTGGTTTGGCTCTGTGTCCCCACCCAAATCTCACCTTGAATTGTAATAATGCCTACGTGTCAAGGGCAGGACCAGGTGGAGATAATTGAATCATGGGGGCAGTTTCTCCCATGCTGTTCTTGAGATAGTGAGTGAGTTCGTATGAAATCTGATGGTTTTATAAGGGGCTTTCCCTTTCTCTCAGCACTCATTCTTTCTCCTGCCATCCTGTGAAGAGATGCCTTCTGCCATGATTGTAAATTTTCTGAGGCCTCTCCAGCCATACTGAACTGTGAGTCAATTAAACCTCTTTTCCTTATAAATTACCCAGTCTCGGGTATGTCTTTATCAGCAGTGTGAGAACAAACTAATACACCATATACACATTTACTTATCAGAATAAACTTCAGATTTATACTCGTTTAATTTCAATAATGTCTATCTATCTAATCTATCTATCTATCAATGTTACTCTTATATAGCTCTATTCCTTTTCTTCTATTTTTGTAGCATTATTGTTCTACATATTATAGCTACTGATGTCACAAACCTAATAATACATTGTTACAATCATCAATTTGTGGTCATTTCCTTAGCCCAATATAGCCTAACTTCTACTCACATTTTTTTTGCTGCCATTGGCAAATATATTACACATATATTATATTTCCATATGTTATAGGCCCAACAACACATTACATACATCTTATTTTATACAATTAATTTTTAAATCAGTGAAGATAAGAAAGGGGAAAATATGCAGTTATACTTCTTTTCTGATTACATAATTAACTTTACAACGTGTGTGAGTGCATGTGTTTGAATTACCATCTGGGATCACTTGCTTTCAGCATGTAGAACTTTAGTATTTCTTGTATGGAAGATCTGCTAGTAACAAATTTTCTCAGTTTCTGTTTTCTGGAAAAGTCATTATTATAACTTCTTTTTTGAAAGATAGCTTTTGCTGTATATAGGATTCTTGTTTGACAGGGTGGTTTTTTTTAGCACTTTGAACATGTTGTTCTACTATCTTATGGTCTCCGTTGCTTTTGTTTCATAGTTTGCTGTTAATCTTATTGAGTTTTGTTGTGTAGTTTGCTGTTAATCACTTGTAAATGATGAGTCATTTTTCTTTTTCTACTTTCAAAGTTTTCTCCTGGTCTTTGATTTTGGCATTTTTAGTGTGATGTGTCTATTTACAGATCTCTTTGAATTTATCCTACTTGGAATCATTGTACTTCTTGGGTATGTAGGTTAATGTTTTTCAATAAATTTGAGAAGGCTTCAGCCATTGCTTCTTCTAATATTTTTTCTTTTCCTTTGTCTTTCTTCTCTACTTCTGCTACTCCCATTACACATGTTGGGCAAGCTTAGTCAAGCCCCACATTTCTCTGAGGCTCTGCTCATTTTTCTTCATTCCTTTTTCTATCTTTCTTTGGCTTACATAATCTCAGTTGATTTACCTTCAAGTTCACTGTTTTTTTGTCTGCCAGTTCAAATCTATTATGGAACCTCTGTAGTGAATTTTAAAATTTTCTTTTATTATACTTTTTAATTTCAGAATTTTTGTTTGACTCTTTTTTATAGTTTCTATCTCTTTATTGATATTATCTATTTGAGGAGACACTATGATCATACCTTTCTTTACTTCTTTTTTTTTTTTTTTTTTTTTGAGATGGAGTTTTGCTCTTGTCACTCAGACTAGAGTGCAGTGGTGCGATCTTGGCTTACTGCAACCTCTGCCTCCTGGGTTCAAGTGATTCTCCTGCCTCAGCCTCCTGAGTAGCTGGGATTACAGGCTCCCACCACCAGGCCGGGCTAATTTTTGTATTTTTAGTAGAGACAGGGTTTTGCCATGTTGGCCAGGCTTGTCTTGAACTCCTGGCCTCCCAAAGTACTGGGATTACAGGCGTGAGCCACCATGCCTGGCCCTTTACTTCTTTAATTATGCTTTCCTTTAGTCCTGTTAACATGTGTATAATGGCTACTTTGAAGTCTTTTCCATTAAATCCACCATCTGGTTGCTCTCACTAGCAGTTTCTGTTGCTTGCTATCAGATGTATGGGCCATATTTTCCTGTTTCTTTGTATGACTTGCATTTTTTACTTGGAAAATGGACATTTTAAATAACATATGTAGTACTATGGATACTAAACTGCCCTCCCCCAGGTCTTGCTGTTGTTTGTTTGTTTGCTGGTTTTCTGACTCACTGGTATATTTTAGTGAATCCTACCCTCTACCACCTAGCTCCCTACAGTGTTAAGCCTGTTAAACTCTATGACATTATGGCTAATGTCTCTATTGTTTTCTCCAAATCCCTGGGGGTACGTATTGCTCTGCAAATATATCCAAATTGTGATGGTTCGACTTATGATTTTTTTGACATTACAATAGTGCAAAAGTAATATGCATTTAGTAGAAACTGTACTTTGCATTTTGAATTTTGATCTTTTTTCGGGTTAGCGATTTGCAATATGATACTCTTGCAATGCTGGGTAGTGGCAGTGAGCCATTCTGTTTTTCATTTTCGGGACAGTGCTCAATAAATTACATGAGATAGTCAACACTTTATTATAAAATAGGCTTCGTGTTAAATGATTTTGCCTAGCTATAGGCTAAGGTAAGTGTTCTGAGTGAGCATTTTTAAGTTAGGCTAGGCTAAGCTATGATGTTAGGTATATTAAATGCACTTTTGACTTATGATAGTTTCAACTTACAATGGGTTTATTGGGACATAACTCCATAATAAGTTGAGGAGCACCTGTAGTTTCTGAGGTCAGTGTTTGATATTTGTTCTGATCACAGGTGAGCTTCTCCCAGCTTTCTTATTCTTTCACTAGGAACAGTGCTGCAATATATATTCTTGTATATGTTTCCTAGTGCACATGTGTAAAGTTTCTCTAGGGTAAACATCTAGCAGTAAAATTTCTCAGTTGTATAACATTATGGCCACTTTTATTTAATATTGCCAAAATAATCTTTGAAGTATTTAGATGAATTTCTATTCCCTCCATCCTCAGCAATAGTTTGTGTTATCGGAACTAATAATATTTTGCAATTCTGATTAGTGTGAAATGATTCTCTTTGTTTTATTAATTTGCATCTCTTGATTACTACCGAGATTGAGCAATTTCTCATATTTTATTGATGATACTTGTTTCCTATTTTGAAAATTATCTTTATTTCCTTTGCCCATTTTTCTTTTCTTTTTTTTTGGTGGGGGGAAGGGGGCAGGGGAGTGGGGTGGGGATATTGTTTTGTAGGAAATCTTTTTTACATTGTGGTACAAATTCCTTGTTGGTATATGGATTGTGAATTTATTCTTCCAGTTTTTAGAACTTAGCTGATTGACCTAAAAGTGACATATGACCCAAGCTTGCCCAACACAATTTTTTTCCCTGAGAATATGAAAGAAATTTAGAACACAGAAGGCAGAGACTGAGAGTTATGTTTGTGGCTAGGCTGAGGAGAAAAATCGTGGTCTTCTTGTGAAGTCCCCAGTGATGTCCTGTTTCCTTCACTTCCAATGTCAACTCTTCCTTTGATTTTGTGAAATATGCCAGTATCCTTTCAATACCCACCTACTTAAAAATTATTATTATGCTATGTGGAGTTCATTTGTTGTTGCTTCTAACCACAAAAATTAATCTTAAAAATAACTTTAATATGACTCTCAAATTTCTGGCTTAGGTAATTGGTCTGAGAGTGACGTTATTAACCAAAAATCAGGATGATAGGAGCGAGCAGGGAGTAGCATTTGAGGAGAGATAGTTGGTGCAGATTTGCCATGTTTAGTTGTGCTACCTGTGAAGTATCCAAGTGGAACTGCCCAGAAAGAGTGTGAAATGTGAGGAAAAAAAAGGACCAAGAACAGAAACCTAGCTAATGCTAATTCTTAAAGAGAAAAAGGAGGCCATAAAGAGACCTGAGATGAGGTAGCCAGAGATCATGGTGGTGTGAGAAAGAGATTCAAGAAGTGGGGAACAGAGAACAGAATAAATGAGTAAGAGACCTGAGTTTAAAGAGAGAGTGGCTTATATCAGGTCAAGGAATATTTGGCATAAATGGTGTTGCCCTGGTCAGTGTTAGGGGCTAGAAATCAGACTGCAGAAGGTCAAGAAGTCAGTGGGACATTAGGAAGTGGAGAGTGTCTGTAGAGCCATATTTTGAGGAACTTAATGTGAAAGGAAGCAGAGATAAGACAATAGTTAGAAGGGGTGTCAGGTTGAGGGGGGTAGTGAAGGTGTGGGAGAATTGTGCATGTTAATATGTAAGGGAAAGGACCAGAAGGAGAAGCAGAAAAACAGGCAAAAGAGACAATGATTTTTGGGAGACAGGAGGGAATGGGGCTGAACATAGATCGAGGGGTTCTTCTAAGAGGGAAAGAGAGTAAGGGTGCGTTTTGTCATATCGCAAACAGTTATTCACTGTGTAAGACATGCTATGAAGTATTACAACATGATAAGAGGTTATCCAGGAGAGAACTATTAAATCTCTGTCTGTGGTGTCAGAAAGACTCCATCCAGAAGGTTCACTTTATTCTTGTATGACCGACTGACTGCCTGTCAGCGGAGTACTCAGAACCACAGACATTAGCTTTGTCACTTTATGGTTCTTGGGATCAAGGATTTTGTAGACTCGGTGCATTTTTTAGGCTCTTTTTGTTCAACTATAGGAATATATGATAGTGCAGAAAATAAATCTTGCTTTTTCCATTTCTCCATATACAAATTCCATGAGGAAAGTCTCAGTCTTCATCAAGTTACTGTATGAACAGAGAAGTTTCTCTTGTAATACTTCCCAGTGTTTTTCTACATCATGACACACAGAAAAAAAAGGATAGCATTTTTCCTGTATGCTGGGGGTGAACAGGTTGCACAATTAGTATCACGGACTCCTCTCTGAGTATCCTAAGGACTTCAATAGCTTGGGCACACCTGAGCACACCTGCAACTTATTTGGTGTGCTATAGCATTATTTCAACTGGGATGTCTGCCCTAAGGTGTGTTCCCTTACACTTTGATTTCTTTTCAGTTTCTGCTATATGATAAAGGACTTCCCTCTCACCACTAAAATCCTTACCAGAAGTATTCAACATGTCATGTAGGAGGATGCTTAAATACTGAAAGCACATGGCTTGCTGTGCCCTTGCATATCTCCTTCATAAATGTCCATATTATCTTAACCATCTACATTCAAATATACTGTATAGGCCTCTAAATTATCTCATTGCAAAGTTCTTTCCTATTTCTCACTATATCAACTCTGGTATTAGTGTCGTAGCTTATTCTTTTCCTCTTTTTCTTTCAGAAACTACAAAGATATTTCTTTCACAAGTTAGAGTGGTATAATGATGGAAGAAAGCATGTTCATTACACTAGACACTATACTGCAGTATATTTCTAATACATTATAAATAAGTTTCAGTGTGACAAAATCATTCCTATATCTCAGTAGGAAATAAGATATGTTTGTTTTTTTTTAAATTTTCTGAATGCATTTTAGGTTGTTCTCCCATGGATAGAGGCTTTTATGAAATGTGATTTTTGTAATTTGTTTTTAACGCCTCATTTCTAGTTGTGCATAATTTTATGTTTGGTCTCTGGAGATTAAGATGTATTGTTAACTCTATGTCCTTTATGTTTAGACAAAGTTGTAGGAAGACAAGAACCTGGACTTTCTTGTTTCAACTACGACAAGGAGAAAAATACAGGAATGTATTATGCATGGAAATGTTGGGTTGTATGGGAAATTGTGTTTTAAGACCTACTGTAGATCTATGTCGCTGTCTGTGAAAGAGAGGATAATTAGTGCCTGCACTCTCAGTCATATCAGACTAAAGGTAATGGGGTGTAAGAAATGGTTCATTAGGCTCTCTCAAGTACTTTTACTGTGTCCATACTATTTATACCAGCAGAAAAAATTCAGTCTTTAAAATCAAGTCAAAGCATTAGCCTTAGAGTCTTCAATATGAGAAATAACATTGAGTAATGATCCTTTGAAGTCAAATGAAAAAAATATACATAAAAAACCTACATAGTGTTTATTGGCTTATACGTCACTCACACAGAACACTTATAATGTCTGACCTCCTCCCTCTTGACTGCTGGCTGCACACCTGATATGTCTCCAGGAGCTTGGTGTGGAATAAGAGGTGAGATCAGAAACCAGTTTGCTAAATACAATCACTGCCCATATAGGAATTTTATTTATTTATTTATTTATTATTTATTTATTTTGAGATGGAGTCTCGCTCTGTTGCCCAGGCTGGAGTGCAGTGGTGCGATCTCGGCTCACTGCACCCTTCGCCTCCCGGGTTCAAGCAATTCTCCTCCCTCAGCCTCCTGAGTAGCTGGGATTACAGGAACGTGCCACCATACCTGGCTAATTTTTGTATTTTTAGTAGAGACAGGGTTTTACCATGTTGACTAGGCTGGTCTGGAACTCCTGGCCTCAGGTGATTCGCCTGCCTCTGCCTCCCAAAGTGCTGGGATTACAGGCGTGAATCATTGCACCCAGCCAGGAATTTTAATTGAAAGGGAACTTGTTGTAAAAAGTCTCTTACCTGGGGCAGATGGGGAAAAGTGGGGAGGAAGCAAGCAATAATGAGACCAGGGTTCTCTCTTCTAGAAAAGTTGCCTGTGATGGTGGATATGAAAATCAGGTCAATTAACAGAGGTTATAGTGTCTCTCATGAACTTACTCAAATACTGCTTACAGAGCTGTTGAGGCAGAGGTATTGGAAAGGGGTGGAGTAGTGTGTTTGATGCTGTCTAGACCACATCTAGTTCTGTCGGAAATTTCTGAAGTTAGTCTCTTTTAATCTCCTTCCCCCTCCTCATCTCTCCCCCTTTCTATAAATCTGGGGGGCACTTCTGAGCTTTGAAGCTGATGCTGTGCATACTTTAGTGGCTATAGTTGGAAATTCCGTGGCTGCAAGCAGAACAGTTCTTCAGCCTATGGAAAGAAAAAGGAGGTACCATGAAGAGTTAGTAGGGGAAGATCTAGCAGAGTTTGCAATTTGGGATAAGCTTCATATTTCATTCTTCTGTGGTCTCTTCTGCATATTTGGAGAATAAAGTTGAAAAACCTCTAATTCCGGTATGAGTGGAGTCTATAAATGTTCTGGTAATGTTTTCAGAAACTAATTATATTAAGAGAATCTGATAGGTGTGGCAAACCACCACGGCACATGTATACCTATGTAACAAACCTGCACATTCAGCACATGTATCCCAGAACTTAAAGTAAAATTAAAAAAAAAATAAAGAGAGAGAGAGAGAGAGAGAATCTGGTAGTAAATTAGGTCAGGCCTAGTACTTGACTTGTGCCTAGTTTTGTCTCTTAATATACCATTAGTTTCTGGATCCCCTAAGCCTTGCAGGTAGCTGGGCAAAAGTAGTGAAAACAGATCTGTCCTGGAGAGGAAGGAACCTTGTAAGTTCTTTGAGGGTAGTGACATGTCTGAATTGTGGCTCTGTGGCATCATGTACAATTGTGAGTGAATGAGTACATGCTCTTTTACTTTGATTGGTATGCTAGGAGAGGGAGATTTGAAGAAGGGAAGAGAAAGCATAGGAAATACATAGAAACTGCTCACTCCGTTGTGCATATTGCAGAGACCCTGTTTTATACATCACCGTTGGGTTTGATCTAATGAAAGATAGACTGATCTAATGAAAGATACAAAATGAAATAAAATACTTTGGGTTCCTGAAAAACTCAATCCATAACAGGTATTTTGAGAAATAAATGCCAAACAACTAGCTTGAAGGATTGTTTAATGAAATTGACCACTTTGAGACAAATCATTGTTTTGGAAATGGTAAAATTTCACTATAGTGGGGAAGGTGGTCTTGATAAGCAAACTTTTCAGTACATTGGATGACTGGCTATTCATCCACTGTCCTTAAGATTGATCTTGGCTTCATTTATTCTTGAAAAAATGTCAGGAAATTGTTAGGTAAAAAATTGTCATTGGGAAATGTCTATAATGACTCAACACTATTTATTAGATAGTAGGAGTTCCAAATTGGGTTTAAAGTCCACAACGTGAAACAAAATAAAAGGCCCTTGAAGTAACATTTTTTAGAATTATAGCTCTTGTAAAGCAGCAACAATTACTGAATACTCTTGAGAGCTTTTAAAATTGCTGTTAATTCACATAGCTAGAACAGATACATGTAATTTGAACACAAGATTTGGAGCCAAAAGACCTTGATTCAAGTTTCAGCATTGCCACTTCCTGCTGTGTCTCTTAATTTCTGAGTACTTTTCTCTTTTGCGAAGTGGGTAGAATGACATGAAAAAGTAGTGTATCATACAATGGATGTGCATTGTTAGTTCCAAAGTGCTGTACAAGCAGCAATAGGAATAGTGGTCGTTACTAAGATAGCTTTTATAAAGTGAACCTTCTTCTCCCTTTTTTTTAGCCTATCTTCCTAACTCCCTTTCATATTCTTTGGTTTTTCAAGATTGGTTTCATCCTGAACACACTAACCCACTAAGCCTAGAGAAACGTGGTTTTTAGGCCTTCCGTGGTTGCTTGCAGAATTGTGTGGCTCAGAAGCCTAGCATTTTTCTTGCTTATCCAGGCACTAAGAATGCAAATATTAACCCAATTTCTTCCATTGGAAAAACACTTTCCCCCTTTCCCTGAGAATTGGGATTTAAACACATTAACAGCAATTAGTGCCTGAGCCAAGAATTCAGGTTTTGAATAAAACTACGGTTGACACTTGCTCCTGGACGAGAGAGTGAAAAATGGTCCATAAAGTTTCTATTAACTTCAAAAGCAGCAACATCTGCTCCAATCCACAAAGCTTCAGAATCTACCATGGAGGAAGAGAGTGCTCTCTGTGAGCTAAGAATCCAGCCAGCAGTCAAGACCAAAGTCTTCCTAGTTTGGCATTAAAACACTGAAGGAGGGCATCATTTCCAGCAAAAACTTGGAGCAGTTTTATGAAGCAAGATGTGAATGCAGTGTTATGCTTGAGGCTAGCTGAGGAAACTTGGGAGTGCAGCAACCTGAAAAAAGTACTGCCCAGTGCTTTTGTTTCAGAAAGGTTATTCCAGTGTCTTCCCCTCTTTCTCTTCCTCATCTTCATTTTTAATTGCATCCTCCTCCTATGTTCCTCCTGTTCTTTTTCCTGGTGGATTTTTTTCCCTCCCGCCATGAATATTTGCATAACTCAGTGTAGAAGTTTGTGTTCTATACCTCTTTAGGGCTGCTTGCTGATGGAATATTTGGGTATTATGTATTAAAAATGACCCAATATTTTCCAAACAATACTGTAGTTTTCTCAGCTACATAAATTTTCCCCCCAAAATTTAGGGGAATTCCGGACCATTTTGCAATTAGTTAAGGATTATATTTCCTTATTTTTATTAATTTTATGTAAAGTGGGATTTATCAGTGGAGCATTCATTGACACTGACTTCAATTTATTCTGATGAAACTGACTGACATCTGTGTGTGCTGTTCATCAGTCATAATTTAAACCATTCTTAATTGCATTAAATGTAAATTAAGACATTCAATTTCAGCCATTATTTTTCATAAAACACTGTGAACTGAGTTTTAGTGGGTCAAGAGATCTTACATTCAAGATAAATAGGGTAAATTCAAAACTTACCATTTATGTTCATATTTCACCCTTTGTCGATGATTTCTTTCATTGCTTACTAGATTGGAACAATTAATTTGCTCTCTGAAGAGATGGATGACTAAGGAAGATGTAACTGAAGTTTTTAACAAATGATTTTGTCATTTTTAGAGCTTGCCTATGTTTGAAATATATGATTTAAAAGCCTTTAACTAACTGTCTATCTAAACCTAATGATAATTTGAATGGAAAGTGCCACACTAAGTTCTCTGATTTGGAACTTGCACCTTTAAATCCTTGGATTTTAAGAATTTAGGATTACATTTTTTTAAAAATGGCTTAGCTATGCAAATATAAACTTTCAACACTATATCTTAGAATATTAATGTAAAAATTAGCAACATCTGTGATGTAGGACATACTAGATGACCTAATATATATAGTAAAGCATAATCTTCTCCACTTCCCTTCTGGATAAGTATTGCATTTTCCAAATAATGTACCCTAGTTTCATTTGTAAGCAACTGTTCCTAACTCCTGCAATTCTTCCCATTGAATCATGTTTTAGTCATATAATTATTAGATGATAATGATAATTTTTAATAGTAAATAATAAATAGGCATTGTATGATATATTTTAATGAGAATATTAAACTATGGTTAATAGTCACCCCTAAAGAAAAATTCAATAGTATAGCCTATGATGGAGAACCTGAGGGAAATCAGGCTCAGGTGAAAGTCACACTGTTAGCAACAATTAGTTTTCAATAGAATAAAATATCAAATAGCTGTGTTGGAGAGACTGGATTTGGCTGGGTTCCTGATACTTATTTTTATCTAGGAAGGTATTGGGACAGTTATAGGATTAGAGTTTTTGTTTTATTTGTTTCTAAAAAATAATTGTCTTGACGTACATGACTAAATACCAGTTTATTCTCAGAGAGAAAAGAAGTTCCCAGGATCTGCTGGATGTGCTTGTATGCTGAGCTTATACTGTACTGTGCAATAGCCACAGGAGATGTAGATGTATTTAAGAAGAACATGCTGTGCCATTCACCCCAGTCAATGGTGAGAGGTTTCCTTTGATAACAAACTAGCTACAACTTTGCCATGCATTAAACCCCTTTGTTTTCCAATGGAAAGTTGGTCAACAAAGAGAAGAAAACTGTCACACTTGCCTTAGTAACTTCTGTAGTAAAATTTTATATGACTATTATATACGACATTTACATTCCCATGTCAGTTGAACTGATGGAAAATGAAGTGTTGCAATAAGTCTGGAGATGGGTAGTGATGCAATCATTCTACTGGTTTCTTGCTATTAATATATGTCTCTTACTCATTTTTAAAGATAGCATAAATAAGAGTACTGAATATAAATGGCTTTTGTAAGTCATCCAGGTCAGTGAAGCATGTCATTGTTTGCAACCTGAGTTCCATGAGAGCTCTGGGTGGTTGATAGGCATACGGTATATTTTTCTCATAAATGAAAAATACAAACAATACTCACAGCATTTAATGAATATTATAAAAAGTACAATATGAGTTTCCATAGGAAAAAATTAGTTGCATGTACTTAATAATATGACCTTAGTGTGTCATCTTTAAACTATGTAAAGCCCATATAGAAAGGCATTGTATAATTTATTTCTCCAGATGTAACATTAACAAACATTTTATTATGATTTATTTTTTGGCTCCTTGAAAGATGAAGTAAGTTCCTTAGTATTAGCATTGCTAATGATTTTAATGAGGCATTAAAATGTTGCAGTATTGTAGGAACATTTTTCTTTTTTAAAAACATTATTTCATTAATATTTCACAGGACTTTTAATGTTAAATTGATGAAAGAACCTGAAAGCATAATCCACAAAGTGTCAAAGTGCTTGAACAGTGGGAAAGAACCAGAGAAAGGCAGGGCACAGCGATGGGGTGACGTCTGATGAGATGTCCCTGCACTGGGACCACTCTGTGACACTGCAGTCTCTTGTTGCTGAAATGAATACAAAACAATTTTCTCTTCTTGCTTAGGGTTTTTCTGCCTCAGTCCACAGAAATCCGGCACACGTAGCACAGACTGTTTGTACTTCCAGATTAGGTGTGGGAAGCCAGACACACAAAGAGCTTTTCTGGGAGAGGATAGTCTGTTGATTCACTCCTGTGTTACAGTAACCTTCCTGGTTGGATATTTATCATTTGACTCCTATCTACCACATACTAGTTAATAATTCTTGTGTTTCCATGGCATCTTAGAGTGTGCAGAATGCTTTCATGGGCACTATATTGTTTAGTCATCACAAAGACCCTTGTGAACTATGTGGCCTTTAGGGGAAATTATTTTCTCCCCCAAATCATATTACCTGTGCGAGGAGTTGCTATTTAGATAACTTACAGTTACTGCAAAGTGACTGCTCTTCAAAGTATATAGAGCAGAAGAAATAGGGACAAGCAATTTCATTCCCAGCTAGCAGAGCTCTCATACAGGTTCATAATCTCAGGAAGAATGGGTTATTTTGGACATTTGAGAAAGTTTAAACAACAGATGATCCAAGGACTTAGCAACCTTTACAGCCGCACAGTGAAAATCCTGGCACAAAGGGGAACTGTTCTTGAATAAATTCTCCAATGTCACAGGCAAAAATAGCCCTTGTCGTGGTTTGGCCTCAGCAGCTGTTTGCTCTGCCTGGATCAGAGCATGGCAGAATAGTATTCTGGCTGGACAGTATCACTATCTTGTACATTTCATTATCCATAAGCCTGATACTGCCCTTAAACAGCCCTCAAGGCTACATCTTAAAGCTCTATATACCCTGGAAGCAAACACTTTCATCAGTTCTTGCTTTAGAGGAAGTGTGTATTGGATCTTTAACATGGTCTCTAAGTCAGTATAGCTGATATAGACTCAACTCAGCTGGGGGTTGTGGAACAAGAAAAAAAAAGATCTCTTGCTATGAAACCAATGGCAGGGATATCCAACTCTTTTTTTTTTTCATTCCCTAGGCACTGATTTTCAACATGTGGTCCATGGACCCTTCATACTTGAATCACTATGGTGGGATGAGGCTGGGGTCGGGATGAGACGGGAGGAGTAGGAGGATGAATAAAGGAAGAAGAAGGGCTACTTATTAAAATGCATATACTTGGACCCAAACCTATTAAGTCAGACTCTCTAGAGAAAGATTTGGGGAATGTTCATTTTAAACAGGTTTCTTAGGTGATTCAGAATAGCATTGGTTCCATGTTTTAATTTTTTTTTTTTTTTTTTTTTACTATTTGGTTTAGGGTAATTGTATTGTGTTTACTTCAGTACTTAGTTTGTAGAGATAACATTTATTACTAATTAAAAATAGTTCTGTTGATGCAGTGTTTGTACTACTGCTTGAGAATGAGGGGTTTGCACTAACCCTGTAATGTTGGTATGTACATGGGTCAAGTAACTCTGTGAGGATGGAAGTGGTGCTCTTTTTTCAACCTCAGCATCAGCCAGCCTTCTTGCAAATGTACAGGCAGTAGTTGATCACAGTGAACAAGCCAAGAGTGCAAATCTTTTTCTCTGGTGGCTTAATGACACCTACCCAAGAATGCTAGGAGATGTATAGAAAAAACTAAATGCTGAAATGCAAGCCAGTCACTTATTCTGTTTGTTAGCTAATATAATAAAAGCTCCATTGAGGAAGAGATGGCTTAATACCTTGACTAAAATTAAATTTTTGTATTATCTGTGGATTTCAATTATTCATGCTATTCCAAAACTGCAAAGCATGAAAAATCTAGAGCTACTTATTACCTGTTCTAGTAGAACCTCTAATAAGTATGTGGAAGCCGATATCAGTGTAAATAGAGCAATGGACTCTGTCGCTCTACCTCATTTGTTTTTAGCATTTTAATAGGGCTCAAATTTTCAGTGTGTAGTTCAAGACAAGAAAGTTGGTTCATGTACTACCATATTGGCTCTCCTATGAATGTTGGAACATATTTTTTCCCATTAACATGAACTGATAGAAGTGTCTCATTCCATCACATGGAGTGCCATTTAACTCTAGTGACTTCTGGTGCCCCTCAGATCATGCTGACTGTTAGGAAAACCAGACCCCCAGGCCCAGACATGTGCACAGACTTTGATTGCAGTCAATTCACGCACCCTGAGGCATAGCAGGTCTGTGTGTCCGAAGAAGTGGGCAACATAAAAAACAAGTCACTTATTATCCTGACATAAACAAATTTTGATGTCCACTCTACTTTCAAAAGCATATTCTTTTAATCCCTCTGCCCCCCACCACACAAGCGTGCATATGTATGCACCACACCCTCAAACTCACTGAATAAATAAATCCCTTTCTTTAAAAAATGGCAGCAAAGGCCCAGAAATATTGAAAAGGAAACTCTCTAATGAAATATGTGTCTTGGCTTGCTTTAATAGCCTTCAGAATGGACAGTTTGGGTAAGGGGGAATTTTTATTTGCATCTTTTTTTGTCCTAGAATGGTTTAGGTACTCATCGCTGCAACAAATATGCATAAATTAAGAGTTATCTAAAAGGTTATGTAGTATCAATATAAATAGAGACCCAGGGAGACCTAAACGACATACAGGACAGTGAGTAGAGAACAGTTGCCTTTAACTAAACAAACACATAAAGATTAGTAAATAGTAAAATAGCTTAGTTCTAGGCAGATGAGTTAGATGGCCTCATAAGCCCTTTCTGCTGCTCATGTTCTATGATTCCATGGTGTGTTAGCTAAGACAATAAGCTTTGGAAAGACTGCCCAGGTTTGAATTTCAATGCTTCCTCTTATGAATGGTATTAAGCTCACAAGAGGAAGAACTGAAATTCAAACCAGAGCAGTCTTGACCATAGAGAGGTAAATTATTTCACCTCTCTATGTTTATTTCCTTGTCTAAACAAGGAGTTTTATTTTAAAATCCTCATAGGGTTGTTATGAGAATTAAATGAGTCAATATATATATCTGCTATGCAGTAAGAAGTCAATGGGTTTTAATTAATTACAATAATGTGTTGAATACCTACAATACACCTTCAGATGTTATCAGGAGAAACATGAAAACAAATTTTTGGTTCTTCTTTTCATGACATTTACACTCTGTCTATGGAGAGAAGATTTATAAAAATGTAGTAGGAGAAGTATAAAACAGCATGGTACTGACTTAAATCACAATAGGAGGCAGAGAAGGAAAAAATGTAGAGGGAAGAGTATGGCTAGAGGACACTAGGTAAGAAGGTCAGATGGGGCTCATCTTTGAAGGAAGGAGGAGGTTTATATTGGTGGGTAGATGGGGAAGGAATCTTTGAGTCTTTTCCCTTTTAAATCCCTTATAGTCAATCTATCACCAATTTCTTTCTCTTTAATATGTCATTCAAATCTAAATAGTCCTTTCTACTCTCATTGCCATGATTGCAGTCCAGGGCCTCATGACCTCAAGTTGGAATGATTCAGGGGGCTCCCAGCTCAGGGAAAATGAATGGAGGAATTGACACGAGAATAAGATTAGAAGACTGTCCTTGTCAGACTAAAAATTAGATCTGAAAAAGTAAGGTGGGGCTAGGTTATGGAGACTTTTAGGAATTGGCAAAGGGCATTCAGCTTAACGTGCCTGGCAGTAGGACACCATTAGAAATGCACCATGATAAAATTGGTATTTAAATGCACTGTATGTGTTGAAAGTGGAAAGACTGTAGACATGAAATCAATTGAAATCATGGTTCCAAGTCTAGTTGTGTGTGAGAATCAACTGGAGAGCTTTATCCCCCAAGTCTTCTGATTCAGTAAGCCTGGGGCAGCCTGAGAATCTGTGGTTTTGCAAAATTCCCTCAGGTTATTGTGCTCTGCATCTAGGATATGAGAAGTACTGAGCTGGGAGCCCACTGCCTCATTCCAGGCTTGAGGTCATGAGGCCCTGTAGTACAATCATGGCAATGGGAGTAGAAAGGACTATTTAAATTTGAATGACACATTAAAGAGAGAAAAGAAATTGGTGATAAATTGACTATAGGGGATTTAAAAGGGGAAAATACTCAAAAATTCCTTCTAAGTTTCTACTTTGATAGAAGAAAAGATAGTTTGAAATACATTATGGGACTGTTGAGTTTGAGTATATGGTAGTTCACTTAACAGTGCATATTCTGCAGGTGGGTGGAAGCTGAAGACTGCAGCACAAAGCAAAGGTCAGGACTGGAGATAAGGATTTTAGGGTCACTGGGATAGAGTTGGTGGTTGAAGCCATTAGAGTGGCTATGCTTACCAAGGGGAATATGTACAGAGAGATAAAAGATGAGTGTTAAGAATAGAACCTCATATTATACCTATCTACCATTGCGCAGTAAAAGGATTTCAGCCAGGAAAGGAGACAAAGAAGTTAGGTCATTTAGAACGTGAGATGATTGAACTAGAGGCTTTTGAAAGTTTTACAAGTTGTGACAAAACTATGTTGATCATCTGAACGCTGTCCATGAAGTCTTAATGGGATGTTCCACATGTAAAATATGAATTTATTGTGAAAAAATGCAATTCGTTTAGTTTTTTATATAGACAGAGTCTTAATATGTTGCCTAGGCTGGTCTCAAACTCCTGGCCTCAAGCAATTCTCTTGCCTCCACCACTCAAAGTGTTGAGATTACAGGAATGAGCCGCTGTGTCTGGCCAAGAATGCAATTTGACAGTTAACCTTTCTATCAGTTATTCAGTGGTTCCGGTGCAAGGAGTTGAAATGGCAGAGATGTGAAATAACAACATAAGGATCTGGTAGGTCTCTTTTAGGGGATGGATGAAGTTCCTACAGAACCACCTACTATGTTTGGTGCTGTCTTTATACTTTACATGTATTTATTTAATCTTTACAATTGCCTGAAAAGGTAGGTATTATGCATATTTTATAGATGAGAACATTCACACTCATAGTGATTAAATAACTCACCCAAAGATATATAATGAGGAAGAGGAATAATTGAGATTCTAATCAAGACTTATTCCAAAGCATGTGTTCTTTCAGACAACTTATCAACATTTTTCAACTGACCTACCTAGAATGGCAGAAGAGAATGCATTCACACTCAGGGGGATCAAAAGCAGTCTACTGAAAGTAGGAATTTTTTGAATTCTATATTTTAAAAATTCATGAAAATTTTGCATTCTATTTCTTACTTTATTTTAATATAAAAATAATGTTTTAAATCATTGAAATTCCCCATCCAAGAAGTACCATGTTTCTCCAGTGTCTGCAGTATGTCCTGGCACACTGCCCGGTTCCTCGTGAGAGTACACAGCACTGTATCGTAATTACCTTCTAGTGCCTGGTACATAGTAAGCACTCAGTAATGAGTTGGTGAATTAATGTATGAATCAAAGGGCCATAAAAGCAAGCTGCATGTACCTTTTACTGAGAAGGCAACTTCCCATGGAATGACTTCAAATACTTCAAGACATGGATGAAGTTTATATCCTGTGACTTACACTGTGGTTAGATGAGGCACACTAAGGTTGTTCTATATTGAGAGATCTGAGTATTATGTGTAGGGGAGTGCTGTTTTGGTGGGGTTGGCTGTAGAGGGGTCTTAGATGAGAATTTGGTATAGCATGTGGTCTTGCTGGTGGGAGGCAGATTCAGAGAGAAATCAGAAATTATATATAAAGTGAGACTTCTGAATGTGAGAGGGACCATCGTAACCTGTATGTGGTGATTGAAGTGGAGATTCAGGAAGTCAGCCAGATATTAATGTTAATGATAATATCACCACAAATACTCATAACTTTAAAATTTCATCAACCTGGAGACTGCTACCATGTTGTAGATATGCATTTATCATTCATTCATTCAACAAACATGTATTGAGCGCTAGGGAAGGAGATGTTTGTAAAGATAAAATAGATGCGGTACTTGCTCTTAAGGAATTTACAGTCTATTGCAGGAAATGAGATAAAATGTGTCCCTCATACAAGATAAACAGCAATAACTAAGGAATGCACAAATCAAATATTGTAGAATTTCACGGAAGATCTTACTTCTTGGGAGAATCAGGAATTGCATCTGGAGGGGACAGCATTTGAGCTGAGTCTTAAAGGATAAATAGGATTTGGTCACTTTACAGACGCACTAATAATATGTTTACTAGCCTCTTGGTATGAATTACTCTCACCAAGGCCCAAGTGATTTTAAAAGGCAAAATTTACCTGTATTTGTTTTTGTTTTGCTGCATGTATGGAATACCCTTTAGTAGTCAAGATGCCTAGCCAATATGATGCATAGGCCAAGATGTTATATTTTGTCTCTAAATTCCTCTCTTTCTAGAACAATTATCATGTCATTTTGTGTTAGAAGGAAAAAGTTTGGACATATGCAATTTTCTGTTGAAGACATCATTAAATAACAGAATTTATTAACAACTACAGTTGAAACAAAGGACACATCAACTGATTGTTAGTTCCCTGCCACCAAATGAAGATATATTATCGGTATTTGTGTTAAATATTCCATTTTAACAGTGCAGATACATATTCATTAGCAGGCAGAATAACCTTAGAGTTGGCACTTTGCAAATGCTTCTTATTTTCGCCAAGTCTGTGCAGGTTTTAAAACTTTGTATTACCTTCTACAAGTAATCTCAGAGTCTGTCATTCACATGTAGAAAACTCACCTCTCTATTTAGCCCGTGGTTGGTGAGAGATAGACATTTACAGGGCCCCTCTGCCCTTGAGCTGTTCCATTAGTGCATGGAAAGCACCTTGCAGCCTGTGACAAGCGCAGCAGATCGGCACTAAATCAAAAATCAGTGCCAGCCAGGGATCTAAGCCACCATGAAGGTCACAGCCATCAACTGCATGCCATCTCAATCCAAACAAAACACATTGGATACAGGGGGATTTTCACAACTTACAATAGGTGACAAACATTTCATGTTAGAGTAATCCATAGCAGTGAAACTGGGAACTGACCTTTTAAGTACTTTTGAGTATTTAATCAAACTTTGAAAAAGCTGGAGGTAATTTTTGGAAATATTTTACATTTATAAACAAAATATAACAAAATAAAACCTCTATAGCATATTGTTACTGCAATCAGGATTTTGATGAAAGAATCTTTTTTTGTTTCAAAAGAAAACACATGTGTTTTTAAGATATAAAATCATCAGAAACATTATATAAAAATAGTTTTCATTTGATTTCTTGCTTTGAAAAGTATGTCATTGATTCACTATGAAGTGAACAATTTGTGTTGTAAACTGCCCAGTTTAGCTTATTCTGAGAATTTATAATTAGCATCTATATTAAATAGGAAATATTTGGTCTTAGTCTGACTTTATTTCAAGTTCACTTTCAGCAATCCCATTCAAGTTGAAGTTGCTGAATTTGAGCCTATATATTAATAAGATTTCTGTATTGTCCAATGAAGATTTCTAATAATAGAAACATTATTTAAATGTTGTAGATGCAATTCCCTTTTTACTTCCCACTTAAAAAAAGCAAGGAAAAAAAAGTATCAAAACTAAATAATGAACTCTCTACTTCATGAATTTTGTGAGATTCTGAGAATTAATTATCTAGGTTAATAAGAAGTGTTGGATAGCCAAGCAAAGTAAACTGGATTTTGCTAAATTAACTTGGAAAATTCCTGTGCTTCACAAAATGAAAAACTTATATGCAAAAATTATTTTCATAATTGAACTAGCATAGTAATGTCATCTGATTGAATTATATCACACTGATATGGGAGGAGGGGATGAGGCAAAAGCTTAGATCTACTTTTGATGAAATAACTGACAAGAGGCTAATATTCACTTATACATTATTCCTACTAAAATTAGCTTTTGTGAATGATATTCAACAAAACAATGGATACAGAGAACAATGTAAAAATGAAATACTTGTCAACATCTAATCAGGTTTGGGGCAACCAAGACTATTTTAAGAATATGCCATTTCAGAAACAAATGCTTCAACCCAGCTATCTCTACCGTTGAGTGAATTCATGGTTAATTTACACTAGCTGGTGAAGAAGTTTCATGAAACTGTAAATGCAAAGCAATCCAGCAGGAATGTATGTAATGGAAGAATGCCATCTGCTGGTGAACCCTATCAAATCCATAATTAGGAAAACCTGAGAACACATACCCTGTAGACAAGGAAGATTCAAAGTTTGTGGAAGCATTTTTAATTCTGAGAAATCTGCTTTCATTAAGCTGATGCATACCTTTGATATAAATTATTCATTTTAAATTAACTTGATTACTAATTTCCTGGAATCACTAGTCAGGAAAACCTTGAAAAGAAATCGGCGCAAAGGACTTTTTTTTTCTTTTTGCCAATTTACAAAGTTTTTATATTCATCATTCATCAGTAGTCAGCCAGCGAGTCTGTTCTATTTAAAAACTCTGGCTTTTCATTTAATGCATCCCATCTGTTTCTGAAATAAATTGCAATAATCCGTGTTTAATTTTAATCAATGTATTACTAAATATGCAAATTATATTAAAAGCCATGGTTTGAAAAAGCTTTCATTTGTAAATATGGTAGCTTAAAACAGGAAGCATATCTAAAAGCCATTTAGCTACAGTAGCCTAACTCTAACACTGTAGCTGATTTATAAAGCAGATCACAAGTTGATCTTTCTCCCACAAGGGGATATGTAAAACTGTTGCATATCAGATTTTGTTAACATCTGATGGGCTAGTGCTTATGGTATAAGAGACTCATACTTCAGCAACCATGTCTTTTACATTTAAATTAAGGTAATCTTATTCCATTCTACATCTTTCTAATTTTTTTATACAACCTAACAGATGAATTTGTGTGATTGGTTTATGAATCACAGTTAAAGCAATTTGAGCAAGCCTTTCAATCAATCTTAAAATTTTAGTGTCTAATTTACTTGTGATTTGCATAATTAATTGTGGAAGGGATCCTTTGGGAGTCTCCCTTTTCCCCCTTTTTCCTTTCCTACCTTGTGTCTCACACACTGACTAGATAGATTGGGAATGATACTGGAGTTCTTTTAGGCCTGCTAGATGACTTTGTTAGGAATCCAGAAATTATGTGTTGCTTTGTTCTCTCTGATCTGGCTGGACCAAGAGGTAATTCTGAAAATTAGGTCTGTTATCTGCAAAACAATTCAGTAGCATGGCTGTGATTGAATTGTGTATACAGTTTACCAAGCAATTACCTTAAAGGAGGATTTCAGGACTCTTTCCTATATAAAGGTCATGAGTATGTAGGAATACACACACACACACATAACATTATATATAAAGTTTTATATATAACATTAGATATAATGAAAATATATATTATATATAATGCTGACATATAACAAATTATAGATATGTTATGTATACATCAACATTATATTTATATAACAACATTATATAAAAATCATGTCCATATATTGAATTCTGTCATCTACTAATTGTTGTACTGGATTGGGTAGTACATTACCACCAGTACGGTCTAATTAGTGCCTTGCTAAAGCAGCTTCAAGAATTTTGCCAGCCTGTTGTTAAACACAGTAATTATTAACAATCAAATTATATAAACTTGTAATTTAAAATTTATATTAATGTAATAACTGCTCAAAAACATCACTTTCTAATTATGGTGCTGCATTTTAACATCTATACTCTTAAGATTATTTACATCTATCTTTTGTATCTGTGTGGTACATTTCTCCCCAACTCGACATTTAGTGATATCAAATTGGTAGCTTGAAATTGGCCACAGTGGGAGTGTTTACATGACAGAAATTGGCAAATGCTACAAATCAAGTCAAGGCTATTTCCCTCTCTATATAGCTGGTTGTTAACTATTTACCAGCGTACCACTGTCTTTAATACACACAGAGCAACTCAATACATGTGTCTGTTATTTATTCTTGAGCTCTCCTAAAAGAGTAATAACAGCTTTCATAGACCCTTTTACAAGAAGTGAAATGTATATTTGATTCCCTAAGGAATCTTAGCCCACAATTTCTTGTTAAGCTTTAAAAATTAAGGTTTTTTTCCCTTAGTGTAATAGATAATTTGGAAAATACAGAAAAAAAATATTTTTTCAATGACTTTATTATTTTGAAAGGATGAAAGTAATCACATATTCATAATTTTCTAAACAATTCATGTCTTGCATATTGGTTTATCAGACAACTTATTGCTGAGTTTAAGAGACTGCCAAACAATGCTAAGATTAGAAAGTGCTGGAAAATTAGTTTGTGGAATGAACTCACTGCAATAACATAAATAGTAGAAACATGTCAAGGACCATGTTTGTTAGAAATAAACTTATTTCTCTATGCAGAAGACTTATTAATCATATCTCAGGATGTTTAATAGCGTAAACAAATGGAAAACTTCAGCTTGTGATCCAAGGTCGTTTTCAAATTGGAAATGACCTCAGCCTGCCCCAAGAGGGCTAATGATGTAAAAATAAGTAGGGCCCAGTCCTCTGGGGAATTCGGTGCAGGTCAGCGAGGCTCTTTTGGTGAATGCGGCAATCTGCTCTGCCTCCATAGGCCTTTGTGTAGCCAGACTCCCTGGGAAAGGTGGGCTGTCTGCTGTTGCCTGGCACATATGTAAGAATATTCTTTTTCAATTTCCTTTTCTATTTTTCTTAGATTTTTACTCATGCACAAGGAAAAGCTCATAAGACACTAAAAATGTCACAATGGTAAATTTTCCTTTCCTAAACAGAAAGAGAATTCAAGAGCAATGATTTTTCTTTATACAAATTGTTTTTTAAAGTTAAATATTAATTTAAAATATATTAACATTTGAAGAATCGCATTTTAACGATTACCTACATACCTACTCCTGTTTTGTTTTTTTTTTTTTTTTTTTTTTAAAAAGAACATTTGAAGTTCCCTATGTGTTCATTTCTTCCCTCCCTACTTAAAGGTAATCATTACACTGACGTGGGGTTTTTATTTGCTTGTTCTTACTCACTGCATTGCCACATTTTTTCTTCTAAACAATATGTTGTTTAATTTTGCATGTTTTTGGCCTTTATATAAAGATAATCATACCGTATACATTCTTTTGTAACTTCATTGCTTCTACTATAAGTCATTACTTTTAACTCTCACCTAATAGTCCATTGTATGAATATGCCACAGTTTATTCATTCTACTGTTGGTAAACATTTGGGCTGTTTTCATTGTTCTCTATTATGAATAGTGTCACTATACTCTGAGTATTACTACACATGTATTTTGGTGTATATGTGCAAGAGTTTCTGTAGGTACGTGCCTAGGAGTGGAATTGCATGCCTTCAAATCCACTAAGCAATTAATGCCAGACTGCTTTTTCAAAGCGACTATACTGATTCCTACTGCCATGAGAAGTGTACAAGTGTTCTAGTGGCTCACGCTAACATTTAATATTGTCAGAATTTTTAATTTTTGCAAGCTTTACAGATGTGAAATGTCATCTTACTGTGAGCATCTTTTATCTTTTTATACTTTTGGTTACTTCTGCCACCTCTTTGTGAAATGCTTGCTCAAGTCTTCTGTCCATTCTCTATTGGATTGTGTGTGTTTCTCTGGTGACTTATAGTAGGTCTTTGTATATTCTGGGTACAATTTTGGGGGCTCATTTTTAGGGTGTAACAAATCACTTCTCCCAGAGTGTGGTTTACTTATTTATTCTCTTAATGGTTTTTTGTTTTGTTTTGCTTTTAAACAGAAGTTTTTAACTTTAATATACTAGAGTTAAATTTATCACTTTTTCTTTATGGTTAGTACTTTCTGTGCTATGTCTAGTAAATCTTTCACTACCTTGAGATCATAAAGATATTCTTCAATTTTGTCTTTTAAAAGTTTCATACTTTTGCTTTTAATATAACTCCTAATCCACAAGGAATTTTTTGTTTATGTGTGTAAAAGGGATCTGTAATAAATAATCTAATTCCATTTTTGATGTTTGACTACCAACAGCTTTCAGGCTCCACCCCTCCCCCTTTCCCTCTTGCCCAGCATCTGGCAAAGCTGATTAGAAACCCCAGGTGCCCCCTCCCTTGGTGCCAAGGAGAAGTTCAAATCATCCCTCATACTGGCCCTATCACTGACCACATTAAAAATCAAAGACCCTTTTCTCTCCCTCCCTCAAGCCATTTAGAACTGGCTTGGATGCCTGTCCTGTTCTGACCAGAAAGCCTCATTGTGTGTAATAAACTTTTAAAATACCTTCTTGTTGTAAATGTGGTATCAACAATCTTGATATCTGAACCAGTTTTGGATGGGGGCATTGAGCTCACCTTTCATGGGGCAACCACAAAAATAAGACCCAATTTCACTTTTTTCCCCACATGAATAACCAGCTGTCTTAGTGATATTAAATTTAAAACTCCACAAACAATACAGAAATTAGCTGGGTGTGGTGGCGCGTGCCTGTAATCCCAGCTACTTGGGGGCTACACGTAGGAGAATTGCTTGAACCCAGGAGGCAGAGGTTGCAATGAGCCGACATCATGCCACTGCACTCTGGCCTGCGCAGTAGAGCGAGACTCCACCTCAAAACAAACAAACAGTCAGTCAGTCGGGTGCAACGGCTCACGCCTGTAATCCCAGCGCTTTGGGAGGCCAAGGTGGGTGGATTACTTGAGGTCAGGAGTTCTAGACCAGCCTAGCCAACATGGTGAAACCCCATGTCTACTAAAAATACAAAAATTAGCTGGGCGTGGTGGCATGGGCCTATAATCCCAGCTATTTCGGCAGGCTGAGGCAGGAGAATTGCTTGAACCCGGGAGTCGGAGGTTGCAGCGGGCCGAGATCGCACCACTGCACTTCAGCCTGGCAACAGAGAGAGACTCCATCTCAAAAAAAAAAAAAAAAAAAAAAAAAAAGTCCATCTTTTCCCCACCACCTTTGTCAAAAATCAAACCTGTTTCTGGGTTCTGGGTTCTCTGTTTTCAACTGTTGGTTATTTTTGCTATTTCTGTGCAAATGCCACTGTGTTAATTGCTCCAGCTTTATAAAACACCTGATATCTGGTAAGGCAAGTCTCTTCCTTCTGTTTTTCTTCTTCAGTAGTGTTTAATTCTTGGCTCTTTTCTTTCCATATGAATTTTAGAATCAGCTTGTTAGTTTCCACAAAGAAACCTTGTTAGGATTTTGATTGAAATAGTATTGAATCTTTACATCTTTATGAATTTGTCTTCCAATCCATGAGGATAAGATTTATACTTCATTTATTTAGTCTTTTTATCTCTTTCAATAAAATTTTATAATTTCTTCATAAGGATCTTACCCATTGTTTGTTAGATTCATTTCTAGGCACTTTATATTTTCGGATGCTGTTGTAATTAATGTCTTTTTTAAAGATAATTACAGGCTAGGCGGGGTGGCTCACACCTGTAATCCCAGCACTTTGGGAGGCTGAGGCAGGAGGATCTCTTGAGCTCAGGAGTTCAGGACCAGCCTGGACAACATAGCGAGACCTTGCCTCTGCTAAAAACCAAAACAATTAGCTGGGTGTGGTGGTGTGCACCTGTAGTCCCAGCTTCTTGGGAGACTGAGGTGGGAGGCTCACTTGAGCCAAGGAAGTTGAGGCTGCAGTGAGCCGTGATCATGCCACTGCCCTTCAGCCTGTGTGACAAAGTGATACCCTGTCTTAATAAATAAATGAATTAAATAAAAGATAATTGTAGAGTAATATGCAGTTTAAGATACAACGCAGAAAGATCCTTTGTACACTTTGCCCAGTTTCCTCCAACGGTAACATTTTTGAAAATAATAGCATAGTATTACAACCAGAAAATTAATACAATTCACTGATTTTATTTAGATTTTTCCAATTTGAATTGTACGAGTGTGTGTGTTAAGTTCTATATACTTGTATTTTTTTTTTTTTTTGAAACAGGGTCTTGTTGTCTCACCCAAGCTGGAATGCAGTGGTACAATCAGGTACAGCCTCCACCTTCTGGGATCAATGAATCCTCCCACCTCAGCTTCTTGAGTAGCTGGGGCTACAGGTGTATGCCACTGTGCCCAGTTAATTTTTGTATATTTTGTAGGTTGGTCTCGAATTCCTGGGCTCAAGTGATCCACCCACCTCAGCCTCCCAAAGTGCTGGGATTGCAGGCATGAGCCACCCCACCCGGCCTCTAGGCACTTTTATCAGCTATGTAGATTCTTGTATCCACTACCACTGTTCAAGATACTAAACAGTTCCAGCACAACAAGGATCCTTCCTGTTGCTCTTTATAACTACACCACTGTCTTAGTCCATTTGTGTTGCTATAACAAAATACTATAAACTCATAAACAACAGAAATTATACTAAATAAGTTATAAATTATACTATATATTATAAATTATAAAAAATTTATATTATATAATAATAACAAATTTATTTCTGATAGTTCTGGAGGCTGGGAAGTCCGAGATCAATACATCAGCAGATTCAGTTTCTGGAGAGGGCCTGTCTCCTAGAAAGGTACTTTGTAGTTGTGTCCTCACATGGTGGGAAGGGTGAGCTAGCTCTCTGGGATCTCTTCTACAAGAGCACTAATCCTATTCACGAGGGCTCTACCATTATGACCTAATCACCTCCCAAAGGTCCCACTTTCTAATACCATCTCACTGGTGATTAGATTTTAACGTAAGAATTTCAGGGGGACAGAAACATTCAGACCAGAACAACTACTTCCCTACCTCCCCTCACCAATCTCTACCATCTGGCAACCACTAATCGATCCTCCATTTCTAAAATTTGGCACTCCCCAAATTTTATATGCATGGAATAATGTAGTGTGTAACTTTTGGGGATTATAAAACACTATATCATTGTACTCAGCAGAATTCCCTAGAGACATCCAAGTCATATGTATCAACCGACTATTTATTTTTATTGCTTAGTAGAATTCCATGTTGTGCATATACCACAATTTCTTTAACCATCTGTTGACTTCCAGTTTTTAGCAATAACAAATAAAGCTGCTATAACCATTAATTATTTGGGTTTTTATGTTAAAATAACTTTCATTCCTCTGGCATAAATGTCCAGAAGTGCAATTATTGGGTTGTATGGTAGTTGCAAGTTTAACATTTTAAACAACTGTTAAACTCTTTTCCAGAGTGGCTTACCATTTTACATTCCCACCAGTAATGTATGAGTGAACCAGTTTCTCTGCATCCTTGCCAGCATTTGGTGGTGTTATTTTTTAAAATCTTAGTCATGTTGATATGTGTGTAGTGGTATCTCATTGTAGTTTTAATTTAAAGTTTCCTAACAGCTTATGATATTGAATATCTTTTCATGTGCTTATTTTTATCATCTTTGGTAAATGTCTGTTTATGTCTTTTGTTCATTTAATAGATTTTTTTAATGTTGAGTTTTGAGAGTTCTTTACATATTCTAGAATTTAAAATGTGTAAGTTCTTTGCTAGATATTTGGTGCTATGATTTGAAAGATGGCATTCCCTCCAAAATTCATGTGTTGAAACTTAATCCCCATTATGATGGTATTGAGAGGTGGGGTCTTTTGGGGAAGTGATTAAATCAGGGGGATTCTGCTCTCATGAATGAATTGGTGCCTAGCTGGAGGGAACTAGCTTAGGCCCTTTTTGCCCTTTACATCCCTTCAGCTATTTGAGAACACAGCATTTGTCCCCTCAAGAGGATGCAGCAACAGGGCTCCATCTTGGTTGAAAGTGGAGATGGGGGCCTCACCAGATACCAAATGCTGGTGATTAAATCTTGGACTTCCCATCCTCCAGAGCTGTGAAAAATAAATGTCTGTTCTTTATAAATTACCCAGTTTGAGGTATTTTGTTATAGCAGCAAAAAAGGACTAAGGCATATGACTTGCAAATATTTTCTCCTGAGTGTGTAGTTTTCCTTTTCATCCTCTTTATATGGCTTTCACAGAACAAACATTTCTAATTTCAGGGAGGTCCAATTCATCAGTTTTTCTTTTTATGGATCATGCAGTTGGTGTCAAGTCTGGCAACTACTGGCTTAGCGCCAGATCCTGACAACTTTCTTCCATGTGTTTTGCTGAAAGTCTTATAGGTTTGTTTTACATTTAAGCCTGTGATCCAATTTAAGCTCATTTTTTATATAAAGCATGAAATTTAGATCTAGGGTTTTTTTCCCCATATGGATATGCAATTGTTCCAGCATCATTTGTTGAAAAGGTTATTCCTCCTCCTTTAAATTGGTTTTGCACCTTTGTCAAGTCAGTGTGGCAGACTGTGTGAATCTATTTCTGGGTATCCTGTGCTGCTCCGTTGATTCATGTGTCTACCCCTCTGCCCACACCACACTCTCTTGATTACAGTAATTATATAGCCAGGCTTAATATGGGTAGAGTAGTTTCTCCCATTTCTTTGTCTTTCTTCTCTATCAAGATTGCTCTAGCTATTCAGGGCCTGTGCCTTTTCATATATATTTTAGCATAAGCTTGCCTCGGTCTATGAAAAAAATATTGCTGGGATTTTGATAGGAGTTACACTAAACTATAGACCAATTTGGGGAGAATTGACAGCATTACTAAACTGAGTCTTCCAGTTCATAAACATGATATATCTCTTCATTTATTTAAGTCTTCTTTGACTTTCACAAAATCAGCATTTTGTAATTTGTAGCATATAGATCTTGCACATGTTAAGTAAATGCATAAGTATTTCATTTTCCTTGGAGTTATTGTAAATTGCCCTGTGTTTTTAATGTCAGCTTCCGCATGTTCACTGTTACTATAATTGATTTTTATGTGTCTTTATATTTATTTAAATTACTAATATATTTAGATTTATTTTGACAATTTTATTTAGTGGTTTGTATTTGCCCTACCTTTTCTATGGTCTTTCTTGTCCTCCCCTGCATCAATTGCATTTTTTTTCTCATTCAATTTTTCCCCTACTAGTTAGGAGATTTTATTTTATTTTATTTTATTTTATTTTATTTTATTTTATTTTATTTTATTTTATTTTATTTTATTTTATTTTATTTTATTTTTTGAGACAGAGTCTTGCTCTGTTGCCCAGGCTGGAGTGCAGTGGCACGATCTCGGCTCGCTGCAACCTCCGCCTCCCTAGTTCAAGCGATTCTCATGCCTCTAGCCTCCCAAGTAGCTGGGATTACAGGCTCGTGCCACCACACCCAGTTAGTTTTTGTATTTTTAGTAGAGAAGGGGTTTCACCATGTTGGCCAGGCTGGTCTCAAACTCCTGACCTCAGGTGATCCACCCACCTCGGCCTCCCAAAGTGCTGGTACTACAGTCAACAGCCACCTCGCCCAGGCTTTATTTTTTTATTTTTTGAGTCAGAGTCTCACTCTGTCACCCAGGCTGGAGTGCAGTGGTGCAATCTCAGCTCACTTCAGCCTCTACCTCCTGGGTTCAA
Source organism: Homo sapiens (assembly GCF_000001405.40). Taxonomy (NCBI): domain Eukaryota; kingdom Metazoa; phylum Chordata; class Mammalia; order Primates; family Hominidae; genus Homo; species Homo sapiens. Next base: position 77,551,594 of record NC_000005.10, on the reverse strand, counting down.
GCAATTCTCATTCCTCAGCCTCCCAAGTAGCTGGGATTACAGGTGAGCACCACCACACCAGGCTAATTCTTGTGTTTTTAGTAGCGACAGGGTTTCGCTATGTTGGCCGGGCTGGCCTCAAACTCCTGACCTCAGGTGATCTTCCTGCCTCAGCCTCCCAAAGTGCTGGGATTACAGGCATGAGCCACCACACCCAGCTAGTAAGGAAATTTTATGCTATATTATTTTTACTTTGTTAGTCATTCTAAAATTAGCTTTTGAATATCATTTATCAAAATCTAACATGAATTAATATTTTTGCCCCCTTCTTAAACATACAAAATCCTTAGGACATTTTATTTTATTTTATTCTTTCTTTCTGAAATTTTATTTTATAATTTCAGATTTTATTTTCAATTCACAGGGTACTGTGCAGGATTGTTACGTGAGTACATAGCATGATGCTGAGGTTTCGGGTACAAATGATCCTGTCACCCAGGTAGTGAGCCTAGTACTCAATAGCCTAGTACTTTTCAGCCCTTACTCCCCTCTCTCTCTCCTTCCTCTAGGAGGCCCCAGTGTCTATTGTTCCCGTTTTTATGTCATGTTTACCCAATGCTTAGCTCCCACTTATAAGTGAGAACCTGTGGTATTTGGTTTTCTGTTCCTGCATTAATTTGCTTAGGTAAGGACATGACTTTATTCCTTTATATGGCTGCATAGTATTCCATGGTATACATGTACTATATTTTCTTTATGCAGGCCAACATTGATGGGCATCTAGATTGACTCCATGTCTTTGCTATTATGAGTAGTGCTGTGATGAACATATGAGTACATGTGTCTTTTTGGTAGAATGATTTATTTGTCTTTGGTTATAATTCAGTAATGGGATTTCTGGGTCAAATGGCAGTTCTGTTTTCAGTTTTATGTGAAATCTCCAAACTGCATTCCACAGTGATTAAACTAATTCGTACATTCCCACCAACAGTGTATAAGCATTCTCTTTTCTCCACAGGCTTGCCAGCATCTGTTATTTTTGGCTTTTTAACAATAGCCATTTTGACTAGTGTCAGATGGTATCTCATCATGGATTTGATTTGCATTTCTCTGTTGAGCATTTTCCCATTATGTTTGTTGGCCACTTTTTTGTCTTCTTTTGGGAAGTGTCTGTTCATGTCTTTTGCCTATCTTTTAAAGGGAATGTTTGGTTTTTTGCTGGTTGAATTGTTGAAGTTACTTATGGATTCTGGATATTAGACCTTTGTTGGATGAATAGTTTGCAAATATTTTCTCCCATTTTGTAAGTTGTCTATTAAATCTGTTGATCATTTTTTTTGCTGTGCCGAAACTATTTAGTTTAATGAGATCACACTTGTCAATTTTTGTTTATGCTGCAATTACTTTTGAGAATTTAGTCACAAATTCTTTCCCAAGGCCAATGTCCAGAATGGTATTTCCTGGGTTTTCTTTGAGGATTCTTATAGTTTGAGGTCTTAGATTTCAATCTTTAATCCACCTTGAGTTAATTTTTATATATGGTGAAATGTCGAGGTCCTTTTTTTTTCTTCTGGTTATGGCTAGCCAGCTATCTCAGCACCATTTGCTGAATACAGTCCTTTATCCATTGTTTATTTTTGTCAACTTTTTTGAATATCAGATGGTTGCAGGTGTGCAGCTTTATTTCTGGGTTTTCTATTCTGTTTCATTGGTCTATGTGTCTGTTTTTGTACTAGTACCATGCTGTTTTGGTTACTGTAGCCTTATAGAATAATTTGAAGTTGGGTAATGTGATGCCTCCTGCTTCACTCTTTTTGCTTAGGATTGCTATGGATATTTAATTTCAGAAGTTTTTTCTAATTCTGTGAAAAATGACATTGGTAGCTTGATAGGAATAGTGTTGAATTTATAGATTGCTTTGGGCTATGTCCATTTTAATAATATTGATTCTTCCAATCCATGAGCATAGAATGTTTTTTCATTTGTTCGTGTTGTCTATGATTTCTTTCAGCAGCATTTTGTAGTTCTCCTCATAGAGATCTTTCACCTCCTTAACTAGATGTGTACCTAGGTTTGTTTTTTTGGGGGTGTTTTTTTTGGAGCGGCTATTGTAAAATGAGATTATGTTCTTGATTTGGCTCTCAGCTTGAATGCTATTGTTGTATAGAAATGTTACTGATTTGTGTACATTGATTTTGTGTCCTGAAACTTTCCCGGAGGTCATTTATCAGTTTTAGGAGCCTTTTGATAGAGTCTTTAGGGTTTTCTAGGTATATAATCATATCATCAGTGAAGAAAGATAATTTGACTCATTATTTTTCTTTTGTTTTAAATTTCCATAGGTTATTGGGGAACAGGTAATATTTGTTACATGAGTAAGCTCTTTAGTGGTGATTTGTGAGATTTTGGTGCACCCATCACCCAGGCAGTATACACTGCACCCTATTTGTAGTCTTTTATCCTTCACCCCCTTTCCCCCTTTCCCCCTGAGTCCCCAAAGTCCATTGTGTCATTCTTATTCCTTTGCATCCTCATAGCTTAGCTCCCACTATAAGCGAGAACATACGATGTTTGGTTTTCCATTCCTGAGTTACTTCACTTAGAATAATAGTCTCCAATCTCATCCAGAACACTGCAAATGCCATTAATTCATTCCTTTTTATGGCTGAGTAGTATTCCATCGTATATATACATATACCACAGTTTTTTTTATCCACTCATTGACTGATGGGCATTTGGGTTGGTTCCATGATTTTGCAATTGTGAGTTGTGCTGCTATAGACATGCATGTGCAAGTATCTTTTCCATATAATGACTTCTTTTCCTCTAGATAGATACCCAGCAGTGGGATTGCTGGATCAAATGGTAGTTCTACTTTTAGTTCTTTAAGGAATCTCCACACTGTTTTCTATAGTGGTTGTACTAGTTTACATTCCCACCAGCAGCATAGAAATGTTCCCTGTTCACAGCATCCATGCCAACATCTACTATTTTTTGATTCTTTGATTATGGCCATTCTAGCAGAAGTAAGATGGTATCACATTGTGGTTTTGATTTGCATTTCCCTGATCATTAGTGATGTCAAGCATTTTTTCACATGTTTGTTGGCCATTTGTATATCTTCTTTTGAGAATTGTCTATTCATGTCCTTAGCTCACTTTTTGATGAGATTGTTTTTTTCTTATTGATTTGTTGAATTCATTGTAGATTCTGGATATTAGTCCTTTGTCAGATGTATAGATTGTGAAGATTTCTTCCCACTCTGTGGGTTGTCTGTTTACTCTGCTGACTGTTCCTTTTGCTGTGCAAAAGCTATTTAGTTTAATTAAGTCCCAGCTATTTATCTTTGTTTTTATTGCATTTGCTTTTGGGTTCTTGGTCATGAAATCCTTGGCTAAGCCAATGTCTAGAAGAGTTTTTCCAATGTTATCTTCTAGAATTTTTATAGTTTCAGGTCTTAGATTTAAGTACTTAATCCATCTTGAGTTATTTTTGTATAAGGTGAGATATGAGGATCCAGTTTCATTTTCCTATGTGTGGCTTGCCAATTATCCCAGCATCATTTGTTGAAAAGGGTGTCCTTTCCCCACTTTATGTTTTTGTTTGCTTTGTTGAAGATCAGTTGGCTGTAAGTATTTGGGTTTATTTCTGGGTTCTCTATTCTGTTCCGTTGGTCTATATGCCTATTTTTATACCAGTACCATGCTGTTTTGGTGACTATGGCCTTATAGTATAGTTTGAAATCAGGTAATGTGATGTCTCCAGATTTGTTCTTTTTGCTTAGCCTTGCTTTGGCCATGAGGCCTCTCTTTTGGTTCCATATGAATTTTAGAATTATTTTTTCTAATTCTGTGAGGAATAATAGTGGTATTTTGATGGGAATTGCACTGAATTTGTAGATTGCTTTTGGCAGTGTGGTCATTTTCACAATATTGATTCTACACATCCATGAGCATGGACTGTGTTTCCATTTGTTTGTGGCATCTATGTTTTCTTTCAGCAGTGTTTTGTAATTTTCCTTGTAGAGATCTTTCACCTCCGTGATTAGGTATATTCCTAAGTTTATTTTTTGTTTGTTTTTTTTTTTTGTAGCTACTGTAAAAGGGGTTGAGTTCCTGATTTGATTCTCAGCTTGGTCACCGTTGGTGTATAGAAGAGCTACTGATTTGTGTACAGTAATTTGTATCCAGAAACTTTGCTGAATTCTTTTATCAGTTCTAGGAGCTTTCTGGAGGAGTCTTTAGGGTTTTCTAGATAAATGGTCATATCATCAGCAAACAGTGATAGCTTGACTTCCTCTTTACTGATTTGGATGCCCTTTATTTTTTCTCTTGTCTGATTGCTCTACCTAGGACTTCCAGTACTATGATGAAGAAGAGTAGTGAGAGTGGGCATCCCTGTCTTGTTCCAGTTCTCAGAGGGAATGCTTTCAACTTTTCCCCATTCAGTATTATTTTGGCTGCCGGTTTGTCATAGATGACTTTTATTATATTGAGGTATGATCCTTGTATGCTGATTTTGCTGAGAGTTTTAATCATAAAGGGATGCTGATTTTGTTGAATACTTTTTCTGCATCTATTGAGATGATCATGTGATTTTTGTTTTTAATTCTGTTTATGTGATGTATCACATATATTGACTTGTGTATGTTAAACCATCCCTGCATCATTGGTATGAAACCCATTTGATCATGGTGGATTATCTTTTTGATATTTTGTTGGATTCGGTTAGCTAGTATTTTGTTAAGGATTTTAGCATCATGTGCATCAGGGCTATTGGTCTGTAGTTTTCACTTTTGGTTATGTCCTTTCCTGGTTTTGGTATTAGGGTGATACTGGCTTCATGGAATGATTTAGGGAGGGGTCCCTCTTTCTCTATCTTGTGGAATAGTGTCAATAGGATTGGTACCAATTCTTCTTTGAACCTCTGGTAGAATTCTGCTGTGAATCCGTCTGGTCCTGGACTTCTTTGTTGGTAATTTTTAAATTACCATTTCAATCTCACTGCTTGTTATTGGTCTGTTCAGGGTATCTAATTCTTCCTGATTTAAATTAAGCTAAGAGGGTTGTATCTTTCCAACAATTTATCCATCTCTTCTAGGTTTTCTAGTTTATGTGTGTAAAGGTGTTCATAGCAGCCTTGAGTCATCTTTTGTATTTCTGTGGTGTCAGTTGTAATATCTCCCATTTCATTTCTTACTGAGCTTATTTGGATTTTTGCTCTTCTTTTCTTGGTTAATCTTGCTAATGGTCCATCGATTTTATTTATCATTTCAAAGAACCAGCTTTTTGTTTGATTTATCTTTTTTTTTTCAAGCTTCATTCACTTTATTTTTCTTGTATAAAAACTCTATGTTGTAGCCACAGCTGGAGCCTGGGTCCTTTGCACGGAGACTCTAGAGTGGGTCTTGACGAGGTGGTCAGTGAATTACTTATAGGGAGACTTGGTGAATACAGTCTCCTTCCAGAGGTCGGAGGTCAAGTAGCTGTAGGTCTGAGATGGCATCAAAGGTGGCCTTGCCGAAGTTGCCCAGGGTGGCAGTGCAGCCCCTGGCTGAGGTGTAGCAGTCATCAATACCAGCCATCATCAGCAGCTTCTTGGGCACAGGGGCCGAGATGATGCCAGTGCTCCTGGGCACAGGGATGAGGTCACCAGCACGGAGCCACAGCGGCCTGTCACCTTGCAAGGGATGGCATGGGGCTTTCCAATCTTGTTCCCCCAGTAGCCTCTGTCCCCCAGTAGCACAGGGACAATGGACTGCTTGGCCAGGATCATGGCCCCACGGATGGCAGTGGCCACCTCCTTGGAGCACTTAACACCCAGACCGACGTGGCCATTGTAGTCCCCAATGTAGTCAAGGCAACAAACGCCTTGAACCTGGTGCACTGGCCAGCGTGGGTCTGCTTCTGCACTGGCGTAACCTTTAAAACCTCATCCTTGAGAGAGGCCCCCAGGAAAAAGTCAATGATCTCAGACTCCTTGATGGGCAGGGAGAAGAGATAGATCTCCAGGGATTTCATCTTCATGTCCTTGACCAGACGGCCCAGCTTGGTGATGGGCATCCAACTCCTTGTCCTCAACTTGCCTCCGCAAGCTCCGTGGCTGCGACCCTGGCCCTGGATGCCACTGCCGAAGCCTCCCCGGAAGCCACTGTGGTTCCCCATCCCAGGGCCCTTGGGGCCTCCGGCCCGACCTGTCCCCGTGCTGCACTGGCATCATCGTCACTCGGTGTTTTCTTGAAGAAGCTGACTTGTCTTTTGTATTTTTGTTTGTTTTTTTCGATTTCATTTAGTTCTGCTTTGATCTTGGTTATTTCCTTTCTTTTGCTGGGTTTGGGTTTGGTTTTTTCTTGTTTCTCTAGTTCCTTGAGGTGCGACCTTAGATTGTTTGTGCTCTTTCAGACTTTTTGATGTAGGCATTTAGGGCTAGGAACTTTCCTCTTAGCACTGCCTTTGCTGTGTCCCAGAGGTTTTGATAGGTTGTGTCACTATTGTTCAGTCTGAAGAACATTTTAATTTCCATTTTGATTTCATTTTTCACCCAATGATCATTCAGGAGCAGGTTATTTAATTTCCATGTATTTGCATGGTTTTGAAGGTACTTTTTGGAGTTGATTTCCAGTTTTATTCCACTGTGGTCTGAGAGAGTGCTTGTTACAATTTCGATTTTCTTAAATCTATTGAGGCTCATTTTGTGGCCTATCATATGGTGTATCCTGGAGAAAGTTCCATGCGCTATTGAATAGAATGTATATTCTGCGGTTGTTGGATGGAATGTTCTGTATATATCTATTAAGTCAATTTGTTCCAAGGTATAGTTTAAATCCATTGTTTCTTTGTAGACTTTCTCTCTTGATGACCTGTCTAGGGCTGTCAGTGGAGTACTGAAGTCTCCCACTATTATTGTGTTGCTGTCTATCTCATTTCTTAGGTCTATTAGTAATTATTTTATTCATTTGGCAGCTCCAGTGTTAGGTTCATATATATTTAGGATTGTGATATTTTCCTCTTGGACAAGGCCTTTTATTATTATATAATGTCTCTCTTTGTCTTTTTTAACTGCTATTGCTTTAAAGTTTGTTGTGTCTGATATAAGAACAGCTACTCCTACTTGCTTTCATTGTCCCTTTGCTTGAAATGTCTTTTTATACCCCTTTACCTTAAGTTTGTGTGAGTCCTTATGTATTAGGTGAGTCTCTTGAAGCCAGCAGATGGTTGGTGACTTCTTATCCATTTCACGATTCTGTATCTTTTAAGTGGAGCGTTTAGGCCATTTACATTCAATGTTAGTATTGAGATGTGAGGTACCATTCCATTCATTGTGCTATTCGTTGCCTGTATACCTTGATTTTTTGTTTTTTTGTTTTTGTTTTTTAAATTGTGTTTTTGTTTTATAGGTCCTATGAGATTTATGCTTTAAAGAAGTTCTGTTTTGATGTGTTTCCAGGATTTGTTTCAAGATTTAGAGCTCCTTTTAGCAGTTCTTGTAGTGGTGGCCTGGTAGTGGCAAATTCTTTCAGCATTTGTTTGAGAAAGACTGTACCTTTTCTTCACTTATGAAGCTTAATTTCACCGGGTACAAAATTCTTGGCTGTTGTTTTGTTTGAGGAGGCTGAAGATAGGGCCCTAGGCCCTTCTAGCTTTCAGGGTTTCTGCTGAGAAATCTGCTGTTAATCTGATAGGTTTTTCTTTATGGGTTACCTGGTGCTTTTGTCTCACAGCTCTTAAGATTTTTTTCTTCATCTTAACTTTAGATAATCTGATGACAATGTGGCTAGGCGATGATCTTTTTGTGATGAATTTCCCAGGTGTTCTTTGTACTTCTTGTATTTGGATGTCTAGGTATCTAGCAAGGCAAGGAAAGTTTTCCTCAATTACTCTCCCAATTATGTTTTCCAAACTTTTAGAATTCTCTTCTTCCTCAGGAACACCGATAATTCTTTGCTTTGGTCGTTTATCATAATCCCAGACTTCTTGGAGGCTTTGTTCATATTTTCTTATTCATTTTTCTTTGTCTTTCTTGGATTGGGTTAATTCAAAGACCTTGTCTTTGAGCTCTGAATTTCCTTCTTTCACTTGTTCAGTTCTATTGCTGAGATTTTCCAGAGCATTTTGCATTTCTATAAGTGTGTCCATTGTTTCCTGAAGTTTTGATTGTTTTTTTATTTATGCTATCTATTTCCTTGAATATTTCTCCCTTCACTTGCATCGTTTTTTGGATTTCCTTACATTGGGCTTTGCCTTTCTCTGGTGCCTCCCTGATTAGCTTAGTAACTAACCTCCTGAATTCTTTTTCAGGTAAATCAGGGATTTCTTCTTAGTTTGGGTCCATTGCTGGTGAGCTAGTGTGATTTTTTGGAGGTGTTAAAGAACCTTGTTTTGTCATATTACCAGAGTTGGTTTTCTAGTTCCTTCTCATTTGGGTAGGCTCTGTCAGAGGGAAGGTCTAGGGCTGAAGGCTGTTATTCAGATTCTTTTGTCCCACAGGGTGTTCCCTTGATGTAGTACTCTCCCCTTTTTCCTAAGGATGTGGCTTCTTGAGAGCCGAGATGTAGTGATTGTTATCTCTCTTCTGGATCTAGCCATCCAGCAAGTCTACCAGGCTCTGGGCTGGTAGTGGGGGTTATCTGCACAGAGTACTGTGATGTGAACTGTCTGTGGGTCTCTCAGCCATGGATACCAGCACAGTATTTGGGGTGTCTCCTGAGTCCTGCAAAAGCAATCCACTTCCATCAGGGGGTCTGCCGGTCCTCTCAGGTTTCCTGATTCATTCCTGCAGTCATTCTGGAGCAAAAATTCACAATGTGAGCTTCACATGCTGCTCTGTCCATCCGAGTTGGAGCTGAAATCTAGTCCTGCCTCCTATCTGCCAATGACTTCTTTTTTCTATTTAGATGTCTTTTATTTATTTCTCTTGTCTGATTGCTCTGGCTAGGACTTCCAGTACTATGTTGAATCTTAGAACATTTTAATTCTAATCATACCACTCCTGGCTTACATGCTCTGTCTTATATGTTATTATGTTATTGTTATGTAATAGAACTTTATCATTTTTGTTTAGCTCCACAAAACCTTTTCATTTTTATTTTATAAGAATCAGTGTTTTGTTTTCAGTCTATCACATATCTACATTTTTCTCTTTTTACAGCATTTTTTATCCCTTTTTTAATTTCCAACTTTTATTTTAAGTTCAGGGATACACATGCAGGATGTTCATGTTTGTTACACAGGTAAACATGTGCCATGGTGGTTTGCTGTACAGATCATCCCATCACCTACGTATTAAGCCCAGCACCCATTAGCTATTTTTCCTGATGCTCTCCCTCCTCCCACCCTTTACCCTCCAGTAGGCCCCCGTGCGTGTTGTTCTTCTCCCCCATGTGTCCATGTTTTCTCGTCATTCAGCACCCACTTACAAGTGAGAACATGTAGTATTTAGTTTTCTGTTCCTGTGTTAGTTTGCTGAGGATAATGGCTTCCAGCTCCATCCATATCCCTTTCAAGGACATGATTTTGTTCCTTTTTATGGCTGCATAGTATTCCATGATGTATATATACCACATTTTCTTTATCCAGCCTATCATTGATGGGGATTTAGGCTGATTCCATGTCTTTGCTATTGTGAATAGTGCTGCAATGAACATACGTGTCCATGTATCTTTATAATAGAATAATTTATATTCCATTGGGTATATATCCAATAGTGGGATTGCTGAGTTGAATGGTATTTCTGCCTCTAGGTCTTTGAGGAATTGCCATACTGTCTTCCACAATGGTTGAACTAATATATACTTCCACCAACAGTGTAAAAGTGTTCCTTTTTCTGCCAGGTGTGGTTGCTCATGCTTCTAATCCCAACACTTTGGGAGGCCAAGGCAGGGGGATCACCTGAGGTCAGGAGTTCGAGATCAGCCTGGCCAACATGGCAAAACCTTGTCTCTACTAAAAATACAAAAATTAGCCTGGCGTGGTGGTGGATGCCTATAATTCCAGCTACACAGGAGGCTGAGGCAGGAGAATCACTTGAACCTGGGAGGCAGAGGTTGCAGTGAGCCAAGATCGCGCCACTGCACTCTAGCCTGGGCAACAGAGCAAGACTCCATCTCAAAAAAAAAAAAAAAAAAAAAAAGAATTCCTTTTACTCCATCTCCTTGGCAGCATCTGTTGTTTTCTGACTTTTTAATAATAGCCATTATGACTGACATGAGATGGTATCTCATTATGGTTTTGATTTGCATTTCTCTAATGATCAGTGATATTGAGCTTTTTTTCATGTTTGTTGACTGAATGTATGTCTTCTTTTGAGAAGTGTCTGTTCATGTCCTTTGCTCACTTTATATTGGGGTTGTTTGCTTTTTTCTTGTAAATTTGTTTAAGTTCCTTGTAGACTCTGCATATTAGACCTTTGTCAGATGGATAGATTGCAAAAATTTTCTCCCATTTTATAAGTTGTCTGTTCACTCTGATGACATATCTACAATTTTCTTTGCATGTCAGACTTTCCACCTGAGATTACTTTCCTTCTGCCTGAAGTGCATACACAGAATTTTCTTTAATGAGAATTGGTTGGTAGTAAACTTTCTCAATTTCTTTTCCCCCTACTGAATTATATTGATTTTCTCCTTGGTATAGCAGTAGCCTCAGATTTTGTACTGGTAGGGGTTTTAGAAAAATTTCTTTTTCCAGGGCTTTGGCTCCCATTTCCTCTGCCAATTTGAAACAAGACATTCTCCTTTTAGTCATCAAAATATCACCTTCATTAGTTGAAGCCTGTATACCATAAATGTGAAACAGGTTTTATACAATTTTGTTGGAATACAGCAGTTTGACTTTTCTTTCCTTCCTTCCTTCTTTCCTTCCTTCCTTCCTCCCTCCCTCCCTCCCTCCCTCCCTACATTCTTTTCTTTTCTTTGACAGGGTCTTGCTCTGTCACCCAGGCTGGAGTGCAGTGGCGTGATCATGGCCCAAAGCAGCCTCAACCTACCTGGGCTCAGGTGATCCTCCCACCTCATCCTCCCTACGAGCCTGGGACTAAAGGCATGTGCCACCACACCTGACTAATTTTTGTTATTTTTTATAGAGACGGAGTTTCACCATGTTGCCTGAGAATCATGTGATCCTCCCAGCAATTTGAATGGACACAAAACTATGTTTGAAATGTAAGAATGTCATTAGCTCTTAGCAGTATGTTTTAAAAGGATCATTACGTTACTTGGGCCTGGGTAGCATAGCTTATAAATGTCTAGCCAGTCTTGAGAAGTTTCAAGAGTTTAGAATTCTTAAACTGATATTTCTGTGACCATATATCCCCAAGGCAGCTTGAGACAAGACCAGTTGGGGTTCATGCTTCTGCTGCTATTGCATATGCTGTGATATGTTTGCAGAATTATCAAAGCAAGACTCATCCCACGGGGTCCTGCCAGCTGCTAGAGTAACATTTGACACCCTCTCGCTTTACAGTGTACTGGGAATTCTATCAGGAGTGATGAGATGCCATAACCCTTCATTTCCCTCTTAGCTGGTTATCTTCCCTTTTTCTCCTTCACTGGGTTGAGGAAAGCTAGGTAATATTCTTAAAGATTGCTTATGTTTTACTTTGTATTTTATTTTGTGAGCCTGTTCTGTATGTAAAGGCCCAGCTATACAGAACCTACTCTTGTTTCCATCACTGGGAGGAAAAAATCTTAATCAGACTGCCATAAATTTGTTGGGAGGGTGGTTAGGTACCATCTTAGAATCCTGACCACTGAGCTGTCAGGAATATTCATTGGATATAATCCAAGTTTATGTGATTATCCTTCTATCCTAAATATTACCATGGTTACTATTCTTGCCATTCTTGTCACTATTGTGGTGTTTTCTTTTAGCTGTTAGTATAAAACACTGTGCTAAGCCTTTTAAAGCAACCATTTGAAGTTGGTACTATTTGTTATCCTCATTTTACAGGAAACAGAGGCTTAGAGAGATTAAGTAACTTGTCCTCAGCCACATGCAGCAGTCAGGGTTCAAACCCAGACTTGCTCTTAACCAGTTTTGTGTACTGTATTGCCTTTTTAATAAAAAAGTGTTCACCCTCTGAAACCTTACTATTCAAAGTACACCCCCTAGACCAGCAGGACTGGAATCACCAGAGAGCTCATTAGAAAGGCAGAATCAGCCCCACTCCACCCCAGACCTACTGAATCACAATATACATTTTAACAAGATCTGCCAGGTGACTCTTACGCACATTAAAGTCTAAGAAGCATGATCCAAAACAGAATATAAAAAAGGCAGATTAACTTGATTAGGGAAGACATTCCAGAGCACAAAGAATATGAATTGATATTTATAGAAGGCTAATTTCCACTTTTGTCTGCAGATGGTGCAATGAATTCAATGCTTATATCTACCCAAAATTCTGATGCTGAAACCCTTATCCCCAGTGTGATAGCATTTGGAGGTGGGGTCTTTGGGAGGTAATGAGGTCATGAGGGTGGAGCCCCTCATGATGAGATGAATGCCTTTATAAAAAGAGATACCAGAAAGATGATCTCTCTCTCTCTCCTCCCATGAAGATACAGCAAGATGGCCACCTGCAAACCAGGAAGAGAGCCCCTACCAGGCTGGTACCTTAATCTTAGACTTCTCAGCCTGCAGATTTGTGAGAAATAAATGCTTGTTGTTAAAGCCACCTAATCTATGGTATTTGTTATAGTAGCCCAAACTCACTGAGACAGATGGTGTGAAATAATATAGAAAAAGACTTCTGAGAAAAAGTAAACAAAAACCTCTCTAGTTTACCAGTCATTACTTGAGTGGCCAATATAATTATCCTGATTTCATTACGGGCACATAGTGGATATTCAGAACTACTTTAAAATTTGTTACAAGACCAGCTTCTTAGCATGGAATGCAAGCCTTCCCATCTGACTTCAATGTACATTTTTAAAGAATGAAATCCTGTCTTTTTGGAATCTTATGCAGTCACAAAAAAGAACAAAATCATGTCCTTTGCAGCAACATGGATGTAGCTGGTGGCCATCATCCTAAGCGAATTAATGCAGGAACAGAAAACCAAATACCACATGTTCTCACTTATAAGTAGGAGCCAAGCATTGGATACACCTGGACATAAAGATGGGAACAATAGACACTGGGGAATACTATAGTGGGGAGGGAAGAAGAGAGGCAAGGGGTGAAATGAAATGCTACCCATTTAGTATTATGCTCACTACCTGAGTGACAGGATCATTTGTACCCCAAACCTCAGTGTCACACTACCCATGTAACAAACCTGCACATGTACTTCCTGAATCTAAAATAAAAGTGGAAGTGGAAGTTATTTAGAAAAGAAAAGAAATCATGTCTTTTGCAGCGACATGGGTAGAATTGGAGGTCATTATCTTAAATGAAACAGGTCAGACACAAAAGATTAATATTGCATGTTCTCACTCATAAGTGGGAGCTAAATAATATGTATAGATGGACATAGAGAGTGGAATCATGGAAATAGAGAGTGGAGAGATTCAGTAGGATGAAGGAGTGGGAGGGGGTGAATGATGAGAAATTATTTAAAGGGTACAATGTATATTATTTGGGTGGTGGATACCCTAAAAGCCCTGACTTGACATCTACACAATCTATGCAGGTAAAAAACTGCACTTGTACCCCATATGTTTATATAAAACCCCCAAAATACCCATACATTTTTAGTCCTAGTCCCATATATATTTTCGTCTATTCTATACTCCAGTCACATTTAAATAATCTCTCATTTACTTATTCATCTATATAATACCTACTTGTTGAGCACTTACACTTACCAGGCATGCTGGAAGCAGTGTGTATTAATTATATTTTCTTATTTTCTATATTCTTGATGCTCTTGCTGAGGCCTTGCTGCTGGAGAGACCGACCCTCCCAGGGCTAGCTAATTCCTAGAGAGATCAAATGACTCCACTGTGAGCATATCTTTAACATACAAACCAACCAATCCAGAGCCCACTCCCCGAAACATCTCCTTTATCAAACTCTCACACAACAAGCCAATATTTCTTCTGCCCTAAATGACCCCAGGGCCAGGTACTGAACAACTAGGAAGCACTCCAACAGCCCAGAGTCCGTCAAAATTATTCAAACTGTCTAATCATTAGCTTGCTCATTATACCTACCCTGCTGCACCCACTCCTTCTTGTGAAAACCCCAATAAAGGCTCTGGGCCATGTTTTCTTCTCTTCCTCTTCGGCCTCCTGACCAAACATGGTCGGATTCCCCATGTGGATCTGCATGGGCATGTCCCTCCTATTTCCAGGGACTGGTGAGTAAAAACTTGTTCCTTCATATCAGCCATTTCTGGGCCTATGTGTCTTACCATACCTAATGAAAATAAATCCCAGTCACATTTTCCGAACGCAATGGTTAACAGTGGTTGCTCTCATGGAACCTAAATTCTAAAGCAGAAAGATAGGAGGGAAAAAGATGTAGGCAAGGTCGGTAAGTATTCCCTTGGAATGCACCAAAATGTCTGTACTGATTATTATAGCCAATATTTGTTTTGATTGGTCAGTGCTTATACCATAATACCACATATCAAATTTTTGAATAGCACCTCTGCATGTAAGCAAACCTATTCCCATTTTTCTTACCAGTCAGGTTTCCATAGAGAATAAAAGATGAGGCAGGAATTAAAACCTGTCTTGGAACTCAACATCCAGTGCCTTTTCTCTTTTAAAATACAATTCTGAACTATAGTCATCCATCACTTAATGACAGGAGTATGTTCTGAGAAGTGCATTGGTGGTTTCATCATGGTGCGAACATCATAGAGAGTACTTGCATAAACCTCGATGGTTTAGCCTGCTATACATGTAGGCTACACGGTACAGCCTATTGCTCCTAGGCTACACACCTGTACAGCAAGTGACTCTTCTGAATAATATAGGGAATTGTAACCCAATAGTAAGTATTTGTGGACCTAAACATAGAAAAGGTACGGTAAAAATATGGTATTATAATCTTACAGGATCAACATCATATATGTGGTTTGTCATTGACTGAAATGTTGTTAATATGGTGCATGACTGTACTTAACTCTTAAGCCCCTTTGACTTTGTTGGTGATGTCTTTTTTTCCTCGTCTTTGACTTCAGAATTTTTATTTCTAGTTTAACTTCTGTATCTTCACTGGAGTCTTCTCTGCTCTCCCCAGATAATTTTCATTACTTTTTTTTTAACACTTTGCTTATGAATCTCTGAGAGTCCTTGTTTCATTTATAGGTAGTTTTTATCTCTTTTATTGCACTCTAAGCTCCTTGAGATCAAGGAGGATATTTATATTACAGGGATATAGGTCCCCGGCACCTAGCACAGTACTCCACACAGTAGGATCTCAGTAAACATTGAAATTAAATGACTAATTAATCATCAGGAGACTTGCAGGGGGCTTGCTTTTTGGAATCTAAATTCTGAATATAATTCTCCTCAGACGAGCATAAACTTGGATGTACACATAATAAATGAGGCTATTTGCATTGAGCCAAGAAAACAGGGTAGCATTCTTTAGTGGCATTCCCAAGGAATGGGAAACTGATTAGACCAATCACCTTCAATTTTCTTTGGCTCAGACTTTGATGACCAAAGTTCATTGTGACAGTAAAATCCTTGGGCAAAAATTTTGACTGCAGAACTATCCATTCTTATAAGGGCAGATGAAAGAAAAACAATATGCACTGTAAATTTCTCAGTAGAGCTAAGATTGTCTTACACCAGCTAGGTAGGCAAATCTTAGCAAGTAGGCTTCATTTGTTCTCACTTTCATAATTTAAACTTCTGCTGTTGAGCTTATAACATAATACTCTAATCCATGGGCAGAGGCAATTTCGTCTTGTCATCTGGCAGCTGTTTATTAATACTGGTGACTGGGAAAGACTAGACAAATGAAAAAAGATGGTTTTTGTGAGTCCAGGATAAATGGCTGAAGCTAGGCCAACTGTTCCCTTTCCTGTCTGTCATTATGGAGTTGAAGACCCTAGAATTTTTGTGATTCAGGTAACCACTATGAGAACTACTTAATTGGTAGGATGTGGTAGAAAATAAAGTCATTAGTATTAGCCCTGTGTGCTAGTCATCCCTGCTTCTTTGCTGTGACTATACCGAGATATACGTATGCACAACACAGTTGTAACTGACATCAAAGTGAACATCATGGAATAGATTTCCAAGAAAGTTTTGTTGTTACCTTAAGGTCTGACATGACTTTTGACATTCTAAACCTCGGTGTTTATGAGAAACATCCATACGGCCACCCTTTGCATAAATATAGCATGTTTCTCCCCAGAGTGACATGGAGTGTTCTGTGCAGAAGGGGAAGATGGAGTGGGAGGATCTGGCCACAGACAATTAAGAGCTACAGTTCTTCTCCACAGCAAGCATAGAACATAAGGGGGGCAATTTAGGATAGGAAATGAAGGATGCTGGGTCCAGCTGAGACTGTAAGAGGAACTCAGCAAGATAGAAATGACCTGATTCAGACTGTCCAGCTAAAATTAACCATGACTCTTAAAAAAAGAAAAAACTCAAAAATGACTGGATCCATGAACGTCTTTGGTATTTACCCAGAACAGTTAATGTGCCACAAAATGTTTAAACATAACTATTGGGTTCACAAATATAAAATATAATCTTTAAACTGTTGAGTCTTAATTTGTACACATTTTATAAACACAGTCAAAACATCCCTTTGTCTGGGGAATAAAGACACTAAAACCACTACACATCATTTATTGTTTTTAGACTTTGATCTCTGAGAGCAGGACCTACTTCATGTTGGTATCCTCAGCTCCCAGACTATGCCTTTCTCACATTAAATGCTCAATAAGTGTTTGGTTAAATTGAAGTTTTGAGGCCAGGTCAGTGTGGCTCACACCTGTAATCACAGCACTTTGGGAGGCCAAGGTGGGAGGATAATTTGAGCTCAGGGGTTTGAGACCAGCCTGGGCAACATAGTGAAAGCCTGTCTCCACTAAAAATACAAAAATTAGCCAGGCGTGGTGGTGCATGCCTGTAATCCCAGCTACTTGGGAGGCTGAAGCAGGAGAATCACTTGAATCCGGGAGTTGGAGGTTGCAGTGAGCCGAGATCACACCACTGCACTCCAGCCTGGGTGACAGTGAGACTCTGTCTCAAAAAGAAAAAAAAATTGAAATTTTGTAGATGCTTTATTCAAAACTGTTTTTCATTGTCTCTGCTTAGTTACCCTTGCTTCTCATTTTTTTGTCCATATAAGGTCTTTCCCCGCCGCCCCCCACATATAGTGGTGTAGTTGCAAATTTGTTCTAGAATATTATCTGAAATTTTATGGTTTGAATATAATTTTTACATAGGACCTATGTAAATTTAAAGATTCTGATCCATAAAGAATATTCTAGTAGTTTATGGGATTATTTTTTAATAAGCAAAGAATGCTACATTCATTTTTAAAGTAAATAATACTTTTTTAAGTGTCTATTTAAACTTGTATTCTTGGGGTAGAATCTTTAGATTCAGCTGCAGCGGTGAACATTTTTACTAGAAATATTACATTGTATTTTATAGGTTAATATTCATATAATAGCTGTAACAGTAGTATGCCTTTCAAAACCACACACATAGATGATATTTGTAGAAGCTTATTTGGTTGGTGTACTGTAACAACTCCACAAAATAATTCTGTAGGATTTGCAAAGGAAGATGCAGTGCTGGGGAGACCAGCTCTTTAATATGTGGAAAAGCACAGGCATCACATAAAGAAGTAGCCCCTGCAAAGGGAGCCCGGAAAAATAAATCTGATAAGGTTTAAGGATATGAAGGGGCCCCTACACTGATCTGAGAGTGCTGTAGATTAGCAACAATAACAATATTAGTATATTATTTTACTCTTTTGTTTCTCCTTTGAACCTTAGGAGTGGAGAATTGAATTAATTATATAATTCTGTTCACAGCACACAACCATCATCATCCATTTCAGGCTCCTATCCCTTCAGTCCCTCCATCCTGAGCCTTGTTTCCACTTTCCTACCTCCCATAGCCATCCCCTACTCTAAAGTATTTGGGATAGGTATAGATGTAGGTATATATACATTGCCTGTACTTGGATAAGTATGTGTCTGAAAAACGTATCTTTGTATATGTGTTTTACATTACATAAAGGGCATAGATATAATTGTATTACTTTTTCCCACTCAACACTATTAAAAAACCAATCCATGTTACTCTATTTTTTTTAGAGTTCATTGCTTCTGACTACCTATCTTTCCTTAATATGTATGTATCAGATTTTACTTATTAGTTCCTTTTCTAAGAAACACGGAGGTTGCCTCCAACTACACACTACCAAAAGTAAATAAATAAACAAATGTTGCAAAGAACAGCCTATGCAGAGATCTGTGAGGAATTTCTCTGGGGTAGATATTTAGAAGTGGGGCCGCCAGGTGGTAGGCAGAATGCCTACTGAATTTCATGGGAAATACTTCCTTCTCCCGAGAGAGCTTGCTGGTTTATATTCCCACCAGCAATGTATGAGGGATCCCATTTCCTGATATGCTTGTCCATGTGTATGCAAGATATTTTTTACTTTTAAAAATTGTGAAATACAAAATACATGCAAGGAAGTACATAACATAAACATACAGCCTAATTATTAAAAAGCAAAAATTTAGGCATCCCAGTAAAGAAATAGAACATTGCTAGCATCCCCCACATGAAAGGCCCGTTTCCCAATCATAATCCCCTCCTTTCTCCCAAGTGTAACCACTATCCTGATTTTTATGGTAATCATTTCCTTGCTTTTCTTTTTACCTTTACCACCCAATAATTCATATTTACTGTATAATTTTTAAAATATTTACTGTATAATTTAGTTTTGCCTGTTTTTGAGTTACATATATGTTCTTTTGAGTCTTTCTTCTTTCATTTGCTATTATGTTTAGGAGATTCAACCATGTTGTGTACTGCTGTAGTGAGTTCATTTTTGGCTGTTATATAAGGTTCCACTGTGTGATTATAAACTACCCTACTGTTTACTTATCCATTCTACTGTTGATAAACATTTGAGTTTCCAAAAGTTTTTAGATATTATAAGTAGAGTTGTTATGGACATTCTTTTACAAGACTCTTGGTGCTCATGTACACTCGTTTATGTTGGATATATACCTACAAGAAGGATTGCTGGATTGTAAAATATCAAGATATTCAACTTCAGTGAATAATGACTAACAGGTTTCCAAAGTGGTTGTATTAATTTCCATCTCCACTAGCAGCATTTGAGAGTTCCTGCTATTTTAAGTTGCACTATACTTGTTATTGTCCATTTTTCCCCCTGAACTTTCATCATAAAAAATTTCAAACATACAGCAAAATTGAAAGATTTCAGTGAACACCTGTATACGCACTACCTGAATTCTATCATTAACTTCTTTTAGCATTTAGAACCTTCTAAATCCTCTCCCTTGTTCCATTTTTAAATTTTTAAAATTGAGTTGAAATTTACATAATGTAAAAGTAATCATTTTAAAGTGAACAATAAAGTGACATTCACAAGTAGTCATTCACAATATTGTACAACCACTATCTCTATCTAGTTCTAAAATGTTTTCATCATCTCAAAATAAAACTCTATAACTATTATGCAGTTAATCCCATTCTTCCCTCCCCCTAGTCCCTGGCAACTACTGATCTCCTTTCTGTTTTTATGGATTAACCTCTTTTGGATATTTTATATGAATGGAGTCATATAATATGCGACCTTTTGTGTCTGGCTTCTTTTACTTAGCATAATGTTTTCAAGATTCATCCACCTTGTTGCATGTATCAGTATTTAATTCCTTTTTATGACTGAACAATACATTTGAGCTATTGTGAATAATGCTGCTATGACCATGTATAGACCACATTTAGGCTATTTTGAATAATGCTGCTATGTACAAATATTCGTATGAGTACCTGTTTTTACTTTTTTTGAGTACAAATGAATTGTGGGGGCATATGGTAATTCTATGTTTAACTTTCTAAGGAACCACCAACTGTTTTCCACAGCAGCTGAACATTCCCACTACCAATGTACAAGGGTTCCTATTTCTTCACATCCTCACCAACACTTGTTATTGTCTGTCTTTCTTGGTTATAGCCATCTTAGTGGGCGCAAAGTGATATCTTATTGTGGTTTTGATTTGTGTTTCACTAATGATGTTGAGCATCTTTTCATGTGCTTGTTGGCCATTTATATATTTTCCTTGGAAAAACGTTTATTCAAGTCCTTTGCCCATTTTTAAATTGGGTTGTTTGTCATTTTGTTGTTGAGTTGTAAGAGCTCTTTCTATATTCTGGATGTGAGACCCTTTTCAGATATACAATTTGTAAATGTTATTTCCCATTCTGTATGTTGTCTTTTTACTTTCTTTTTAATGCCTTTTGATGCACAAAAGTTTTAAATTTTGATGAAGCCCAATTTACCTATTTGTGTTGCTGTTATTTGTACTTTTGGTTTTATATCTAGAAATCCATTGCTAAATCTGAGGTCATGAAGATTTACCCCTGTTTTTTCCTAAGAGTTTTATAGTTTTAGTTCTTATATTTAGGTGATTGATACATTTTGAGTTAATTTTTGTATAACAAGCGAGGTAAGGGTGCAAGTTCATTTTTTTTGCATGTGAGTATCCAGTTGTCTCAGCACCAGTTCTTGTACCATTAACATTTAACTGTGCTTGTTTTATTATATTTCTACCCATTCATCAATCCATCTTACCTTTTTGATACATTTCAAAACAGAGTTCTTCAATCACTTTCTTCTAAATTTTTCAGCATACATATCATTAAATAGAATTCAATATTTGTTTACAGTTAATTTTTTAATGTAAATTTTACATATAATGAAATGCATAAATCTTAATTGTTCATTTTCTAGGTTTTGACAGCTACATATGACCATATATCCCAAACCTATATCAAGATAAAACATTATCACTATGCAAGGATATTCCTCCATGAATTTTCCCAAACTCCCAAGAGTAGAGGAAGTTTTTTTCCACTATAGATTAGTTTTGCCTATTCTAGAACTTCATATAAATAGACTTGTTCAGTATATTCTTTTTTGTGTAAGGCTTATTTCACCCAGTATAATTTTTTTAGTTCATCCATACTGTTGATTATATCAGTAGTTTGATTTTTCTTAGTGATAAGTGGTAATTCATTTTATAAAGATGTTTGTCTATTCTTCTATTGTTGGACACCTGGGTTATTTCCAGTCCAGGGCTCTTATTAATAAAGATGCAATCAACATTCTTGTCCAAGTCTTTTTCTGGATATATGTTTTCATTTCTCCTGGGTAAACACTTAGTAGTAGAATTGTTGGGTAATAGGATAGGGGTACCATTTTCCTAGCAAAAATGAATGAGAGTTTTGTTTGCTCTACATTCTTGCCAATATTTGAGGTTGGTGGTCTTTTTAATATTCGCCATTCTGGTGGACATGTCATGGTCTCTTATCGTGGTTTTAATTTTGCATTGATGACTAATGATGTTGAGCATCTTTCTTTCTCTCTCATTTTGTATGTGACTGGCTTTTTCTTATTGCTTTATTCCTTTCTGTATCTTGAGAGAAGCCTTTATGACACATATGTAAGATGTATCAGTCATTTCTATGGTTAGTGTTTTCCAAACTAATATTATCCCATGCTGCCAACTAAAATATTTATTTGTTTTGTTTTTTGTGCTTAGGTCTACAAATCACTTGAAACTAATTTTGGTACATCGTATAAAGAAGCAGCAAAAATTTATTTTTTCCATATGAATATACAATTTTTCCAGAACCATTTATCTTTTAAAGATCACTATTTCCCCACCATTCTATGAGCTGCTATTTTTCATAAACCATGTATTCATTTATGCCTGGATTTGCTTCTTAACTCTCCATTTTCTCTCATTGATCTGTTGGTCTGTCTTCATACCAATACCACATTGACTTAATTCTGTAGGTTTATAATAAATTTTGATATATGATAAAGCAAGTCTTCTCACTTTGTTGTTCTTTTCCAAGATTGTCTTGGCTAATCTTGGCACTTTGCATTTTCATTAAAATATTATAATCAACTCGTAAAGTTTTAAGAAAATTTGGGGTTTTGATTGTGGTTTTATTGTTTCTCTGTATCAGTTTGGGGGAGAATTGACATCTTTATAATTTTGAGCCTCTGAATCCATGAACGTGGTGTATCTCTCCATTTATTTAAACCTTTAAAGTTTTTTTTATCAGTAATAGTTTAGCGTTTCTCTGTGTAGAGGTTTACAAGTTTTTAGATTTATTCTTGTTTGCTTTTTTTGATGTTCTTTATAAATGGCATCTTAAAGTGTCTATTTGTTTATTTGTTGTTGGTATATAGAAATAAATTGATTTTGTTTATTGACTTTGTAGTCAGCAACTTTACTAAAATTGCTTTTGATATCTAATATTTTTTCTGTAGATTATTTTGTATTTTATATGTATGCCATTATACATGTCAGCTATGAATATGACAGTTTTATCTCTTTCTTTCCAATTCTTATACATTTTAATTTTTTTCTTGCCTTATTGTACTGGTACAGTACAAAGTTCAGTACAAAGTTGATAGAAGAAATGACAGTGGGCATTCTTATCTCATTCTACATTTTGAGGGAAAGCTATCAATATTTCATTAAGTATAATGCTATAGGTTTTTAAATAAATAATCTTTATCAGATTAAGCAAGTTCACTTCTAATTGTAGTTTGCTGAAAGTTCTTTTTTAAAAAAATAATGATGAGATATCGAATTTTGTCAGGTAATTTTTCTCTATCAAAATGATAATATGATTTTTCTCTTTTATTGTGTTAATGCTCTGAATTTTATGGATTGGTTTTAGTGTGTTAGTACAGCCTTGCATTTCTGTAGTAAACATGCCTTGCTCATATTATGTTATTCTTTCCATGTGTTGTTGAATTTTACTTGCTAATATTTTATGTTTGGCATTTCTAAATTATGTACATGAATGAGGTTGGCTAGTAATTTTTCTTTTTCAAAATGTTCTTGTCAGGCTTTGCTATTAAGCTTATTTTAGGCTCACAGAAGAAGTTGAATGATAGTCTTCATTTTCCTATTTTCTGGAAGTGTTATGTAAGATTGACATTATTTCTTCCTTGACTGTTTGGTGGAATTAGCCTGGGAAGCCACCTGGCCTGAAGCTTCCTTGGTGGATTTAATGTTCTTTTAATAGTTAATGAGCTGTTTAGATTTTCTACTTCTTGTGTCATTTTGGTAAATTGTATTTTCTAAGAAGTTTGTTTTATCTAAAATTTTAATTTATTGTCATAAAGTTGTTAGTAGCCACCTCTTAATATTGTTTTAATAGTTGGTATATGTAGTAATTTATTCTTTTCTATATATGTGTTGTAAATCTCTGCCTTCTCTCTCTTCCTGCCTTGGTCATTCTTACCATACAATTATCAACTTTAATAGTGTTTTCAATTTACCTAATTTTGCTTTATTGAACCTCTGTTGTAAGATTTTTTAATGTTTTACTAATTTCGATATAATCTTTATTATTTTCTTCCTATTTTGACTTTAATTTGCTGTGCTTTTCCTAACTTCTTGTGACTAATACTTACCTCATTAATTTTTAGTTTTACTTCTTTTCTAGTGTGCATTTAATGGTGTACATTTCTCCTAAAGTATTCCTTTAAACTACGCCTTACAAGTTTTGATATTTTGAATTTTCAGTTCAAAATATTTTCCATGACTTTTTCTTTGGCTGTTATATCATTTAGAGGTAGATTTCTTATTTTCCACATAGATGGAAATATTAAAGTTTTAAAAAATATTGACATTTAGCCTAGATACATTGTAGTCAGAGAACATACTCTGTCTCATATCAGTTCTTTGAAATTCGTGGAGACTTGCTTTGCAACACATGCTCAATTTTTGAAAATGAAATTTTTAACAAACTCAATATGCATTTTAGTTTTGGGGCACAATATTCCATTTATATCAATCAGGTCAAGTTTCTTCTTCTTCTGTTTAAATTGTATAGTCTGTGTATTCTATCAGCTTCTATTCATGATTGTAGGTTTCTCTGTTTCTACCTCTAGTCCTGTAACATTTGCTTTATATATTTGAGTTCACATTATTAAGTGCCTACAAATTTATCATTATTATATCTTTTGTATGAATTGGGTTCTTTATTATTATGAAGTATTCCTTTCTGTCTCTAATATTGCTTTTTTGCCTTAAATATGACTGCTTGATATTACTACAGATATATCAGCTTCCTCTTTGTAGATGTTTGCATGGTGTATGTTTTTCTTTCCTTTCACTTTTAATACTGTAAAATCCTTCTTAATGTGTATCTTTTTTGAACAATACAGAATTAGATTTTTTTTAAAAATCTGGCCTGACAGTCTATGTTTTCACTAGAGTATTGAGTCCACTAATATTTATTTATCGCAATTACTGGTATTTCTGCTTTGCTAGGAGGTCTTGGAATTTGGCTTTTACTAAACTTAGGCTAATGGGATGGCCTTTCTGAGATATTTACTATGGGCTCAAATTTTCTAGGTATGTCATAAGTATAGAGAAAATTTGCATTTTTGTTTAAAAAGATTCCATAGATGTGGAAAGAGACAGTAGATGTGGTTTCAAGCTGAAATTCAAATAAACTAGATTCCATATGGGATAGCTATTGGAAGCACTGGCTAAGAAAGGAGCCATATCAAATTTTGAGTACAGCCAAACCCAATCATCACGTTAGCATTGATGGAGCAAGAAAATATCTAGATTTATTGAATTATAATTACAGCTGTATGAATCACAATCACTGTATATATAGCAAGTGTGATTTTATCTGTGATATAAAAAGGCCTTTTTAATGGAATTTTATGTAATTTTAATAGACTGGAGAAAGTAATGAGGGAGTCATAGCTTGTGTGTATTGGGGTGAAAAAGCAGGAAGGATATCTGTAGTAATCATTGAAGTGTTAAAAATATATTATGGCTGGGGTCAGGATTAGGTAGGTGTGCCTGAATTTAATGACTTATATGTAAGGCCCTTGTAACTAAGGTACCAGTTCAGAATAGAAGTTTATAAAAAGCAAGAAAAATTGGATTGCTGAATCCAAATATAGAATACTACTTTGCAGTAAAATAGAAATACATATTTAAAATGACTAAAATAAATGTAAAAAGATATTTTTGAGACAAATAAGGAAACTTGAACATTGGTTATTAGATGATATTAAGGGATCATTGTTAATTTTGTAGCTGTGACCACATTGTAGTAAAAAAAAAAAGTCCTTATTTTTTAGAGAACACACAGAAGTATTTAAGGTTGAAATGACGTAGACATAATGTCAGAAATTTGCCTTAAAATATTTGCAGTAACAAAGAAAAAGAAAGAACAAAAAGAGGGATAAAACAAGTGTGCCAAAATGTTAAAAGCTATTGAATTTAATCAATAGGTAGTATGAGAATGTCTTATACTATTTCCTCTATTTTAGTGTATAGTTAAAATTTATAATAATTTTTTGTAAGGAATAAAATATTGTTAGAAAAGCACTATATATTCTTAATGTTAACACATTTAAATATTTTCATGATGGATAAAATTTTATGTATATTTTTCAACTGACTAAAGGCTAGAAAATGAAGCACAGAATGCTAAGGGTGGTGCTGGCGTGTGTTGCAGTGGAATGGGCACAAGCTTGGTTACAGGCTTCAAGCTGCCACTAATGAGCTCCACTCCTTTGGCACTATCTTTACACCTCTCCGGGCCTTGGGCTATTTTTTTGTTTCTAAGATGGGGCATTGTCCTAAATGAGCTCAAAAGTCTTTTTCTAGGTCTTATTACCTATAGGTCTGAATGTACTGCCCTTGGAATCTTTTGTTTCTTGGAATTGGGAACATATACAAGACACTAGGTTTCAGATTGCACCCCTCCAAATTTTAGTGGTCTTAAGGAATCCCTGCAAGGTGAAGGAAGAGGGCTGAGGGATCAAAAGTCTAGATCTTCCCTAAACCCCAATTTAATAACCCAGCTCAGCCACTATTTACATTTTTTTTGTGGTTCCTGTTTTCTGCCAGCATCCCTAGAAAGAGTTGGTCTCTCTGTGCCCACTATGTACAGTTATGTTTGCAGCTCCTATTCTGTCTCACTGCATGTACCTTCACACAGACTGTGAGTGCTTCAAGGTAGGAACTTCTATTTCATTTTTGTATCCTTAAGTACCTAGGACACAGTCTGGCATGTGAAGGGGCATACAAAATATTAATTGCTGAGTGAATGAATGGATGAATGAATTAAAATAAACTAAAATAATTTGTGACATTTAATTTAATTTCATGGAATATAATGAAAAGAATATGAATTCATTTTTACTATGAAGTTTAGGAAGCTTTGGCTCTTCAATGGGGTACATTCTTATTGCACACCCACTCACTTTCTCTGTTGTCTTATTCTACCCTCTTCAATAATCTTCAGCAGGATTCATTTGATCAGAAAGCATTAAGTTATGTCCTCCCCTCATCATCAAAATTCATTTAGCTGTAGTTTTAAAACTAGGGCTGAGGGTGCAGGAGGCTGGGGAAGCCATAGGTGAATTGTGGTGCATCCTCCAGAGGACTGATTTTCTGCAAATATTTAGGGAAATGTAATGTAATTGGCAAACGAAGCATTATTTTATATTAAAACAAATTCAGATATATTTTGGAGTAAAATGTTCAATGAACACAAAAGCCTAAGCTAGACCTTGAGATTTCTGAGAATCTTCTAGGCTAAGACTGTCCTCTCCACCTCAACTCCTAGGTCAGTGATTTATTTAGGTATTTGTATTTGAGATAACCTGTGAGGATGCCAACCAGGCAGATATACAGATAGGCTGTGGTTCTGCGGGGAGCAGAAGTAAGAGCTATGGAGTTGAGGAAAACTAGACTGAAAATGGAACCTTTGAGACAGCTTCACAGAAAAAGCCTTGAGGAAGACAAAAAAAAAATTGTGTCTTATCTATTTATTTGGAGACAGGATCTGGCTCTGTCACCCAGGCTGAAGTGCAGTAGCCCAGTTATAGCTCACTGCAGCCTCAAATTCTTGGGCTCAAGCGATTCTCCCATTTCAGCCTCCCAAGTAGCTAAGACTACAGGCACACACCACCACTCTCAGCTAATGTTTGTTTGTTTTTTCTGCCAAGATAGGGTCTCACTATGTTGCACAGGCTGGTCTTGAACTCCTGGCCTCAAGCTATCCTGCTGCCTCAGCCTCCCAAAGTGCTGGGATTACAGGTGTGTGCCACCGCACTTGGCCTGATTTATTATTTCCATAGTACTTTGGTAGAAAATGCCCAAGTTGTGCTGACCTAAGACATATAAAATTCCCAATGTAATAATAAAAGAAAGCAAGTTACCGATTCTATTTTTAAACTGTCATATTTTTATTTGTTAACTACACCTCAGTAAAGCTCTGGGGGAAAATCTGTCATATTTTCTTTAGGACTAACTTGATTGTTTTGTCCCTGTTGTGAACACATGAACACTGTTGTTTTAGACTGAAATATAATTTATAAAAAGTATTAGAAAACACGTTTAGAAAAATCATAGTCAGCGTATATAAGATTGTTTTCTTATTAAAGGGAAGATAATTTGAAACATTTGTCAATTCCCTAGGTAACTAGATGCTCCCTTTCTCTTTAATAAAAGGATCAGATAATTCAAATCCTCTTAGTTCATTCAAGTCTGGCTTTTTTCTTTCTCATTTTCTTAGCTTTCAAGTGAGTGGGCATTTACTTCAGTCAATGCAGTCAATATTCAAAGTTCAAAATTGTCTTATTGAACTCTCAATTTGATATTTATTCTTTATAGTCACTTTTTCTTTTCGGCATGGTTATGGGTGTATTCAAATCCATTTCTCATCGTTGGCAAGATTGTTAAACTAAAAAAGAGCCTGGTATTCCAGGTATCTGTGTTGCCTGAAGTGACACTTACTAAACCCAAATATATTTCTAACTCAGCTTACTTGAAAAAAAAAAATTAAGCACTGATCAGTGTGAGGCACTATAGGTGTGGCACTAGTATACTTTACTGAATATAGTAGGTAATCAGTAAAGGCCTTGAAAGTAGGAATAACAGTAACAAGCAAAGCACGTAAACTCTCTCCCTTTACTCCTTTGTTTGTAAAATAGAAATAATTATTTCCCCTCAGAAAAGTTGTAAAGTAGAATTTACCAAGCACTTGGTAAATATAAAAATTATTAAGGAGTGAAAAGTTATATTATTCTAAAAGGTAGAAAATATATCTTTTTTTTTTTTTGATGGAGTCTGGCTCTGGCTGGAGTGCAGTGGCACAATCTCGGCTCACTGCAATCTCCGCCTCCCGGGTTCAAGCAATTCTCCTGCCTCAGCCTCCCAAGCAGCTGGGATTACAGGCGTGCACCATCACGCCAAGCTAATTTTTGTATTTTTAGTAGAGATGGGGTTTCACTATGTTGGCCAGGTTGGTCTCAAACTCCTGACCTCAGGTGATCCACCTGCCTCAGCCTCCCAAAGTGTTGGGATTACAGGTGTGAGCCACAGCGTCTGGCCAACTTTTGAAATCCATGTGGTGTTTTCCATTATTTACTTTTCAAATTTTCCTTTTCTTTGGTGACTTTTACAGTTGCTTGTATTCCTTTTCAAAGGAATGCTCTGCACCTGTTACCTTCATTTTCTCACCACACATTACACATCCTTTCTTTAATCCCGTGTTGTTTTTACTGAAACTACACTTTCAAAATCTTCAGTGGCTCCTTTCTGGTCAAAACATTTGGTCCTTGCTCAAACACCTCATACTCCCTACTCTTTTTTTCTAGCATTTAATTTTTATAGTTGCCCCCTTTGGAGAACTCGTGACTTATCTTGGCTTTTATGATGGTGTACTTCTTGGCCTTCTTACTATTTCTTGGATGGTTGTTTCCATTTCTTTCTTTCCTTTTTTTTGAGACAGAGTCTCGCTCTGTTGCCAGGCTAGAGTGCAGTGGTGCAATCTTGGCTCACTGCAACCTCTGCCTCCCGGGTTCAAGAGATTCTCCCACCTTAGCCTCCTGAGTAGATGGGACTACAGGTGAGCGCCACCACGACTGGCTAATTTTTGTATTTTTAGTACAGATGAGATTTCATCGTGTTGGCCAGGATGGTCTCAATCTCCTGACCTTGTGATCCGCCTGCCTTGGCCTCCCAAAGTACTGGGATTACAGGTATAAGCCACCACGCCCGGCCTCTTTCCGTTTCTTTTAAAGATTCCTTCTTCCCTGGCATTCTTTGGGGCTATCTTCCTCAAGGCTTTTTCTGCAGAAATCGCTGCTGTCTCAAAGTTTCCATTTTCAGTCTTGTTTTCCTCAACTCCATAGCTCTTACTTCTGGACCACATAGAGCCACAGCCTATCTGTACATCTGCCTGGACGGCGTCCTCACAGGTTCCCTTAAATACAAACAGGTGTGAACTTGAAAGCATATCAAAGTCAGTGTCCCTTCCTAACTTCACCTCTGATGTTTTAGTCACCTATTGGTCATGAAGTTCCATTGATTCTTCTAGGAAAAACTCCTGCAATTGTTTCAGACTTATGAGGAACCATGTGATTCATCCCATTACTAAGCTAGTAGGTGCAACCAGGATTCAAGCTGAAGTCTTAGAGCCTGAAGACTAAAGACCTACGGCTTAAAAGACTCACAGCATCTTAACAGAAATCCTTGGTACCAGATACATTCCAGAACTCAGAATTTTTTCGAGTTTATAAAGATAGTGGTGTACATATGCTATTAATAAGGTAATATACCCTTCTGGGGGCAGCATGGCAGACATAATCACATAAATTAATATTTCTGCAGTAAAATGTGTGATTATTCTCATGGAATGTGATCAGTCAAGACTGTAAAAAGCCTCTAGTCAGTTTAGGTTAGGTTTCGCCATAAAATGTGGTCAGGTCAGGTGAGGCTTTGCCACCAAGTACTTTATAGAAAGATGTCCATTTTGAGAGCCTTTTGAATTTTTGGAATTATGGATAAGGGATTGTGGACCTCAAAAATTAATCACTTGGAATTAATGTTTGAGTTTTGGTATAATATTTTCATTGGGCAGATAGGCAATTTTCACCATAATCATCTAGGGAAACAAAGTATTTTCTTACCTTTAAGTAGGAGTCTCCAACCCCAAGGCCACAGACCGGTACCGGTACCCTGCTGTTAGGAACCGGGCTGCACAGCAGGAGGTGAGTGGCATGGGAGCCGGCATTACTGCCTGAGCTCCGCCTCCTGTCAGATCAGCCTCGGCATTAGATTCTCACAGGAGCTCAAACCCTATTGTGAACTGCGCATGCGAGGTATATAGGTTGCATGCTCCTTATGAGAATCTAACTAGTGCCTGATGATCTGAGGTGGAACAGTTTTATCCCCAAATCATCCCCCACCCACCCCCAGCATGGAAAAATTGTCTTCCATGAAACCAATCCCTGGTGCCAAAAAGGTTGGGGACTGCTGGCTTAAAAGGAACCTTAGGAGACAAGGGTACCTGGGGCAATACCAACTTATTTGGGCGAGACTTATTTGGGTTGCCAGTCTCCTGGCATATAGGCTTCCCGAAGGTCAGGGGCCGAGGATGAGAAACTCAGGTGGTAGTAATGAGTTGCTGCCAGTAAGATGTCCTGGAGGAATGTTTTCAGATACTTATGACGGCTGAAGAGCAAATTTGTCAGACTCCAAATTCCATTCATTATCAAACCTAGTTTTCGGCCCTGTATAAAATAAAGTCTATTTCTAGGTCTTGATAGGTTAAATAATACCTAGCATAATCTGCACAAGCATAATCTGAACCTACTTACCTACAAGTAACTCTTTAACAGCTATAATGTACTCTGTAATAATTGGGAACAGGGCAAAGTGACCTTCAGCTTTATGGGGTTCAGATCTGAAAGGAAGTTCATTTTCAGGGTGGATGAGCAGCTGAGGAGGAGTTTGCAGGGAGAATGTCAAGCAAGGCTCAATTTTACGAGGATAAAGCTAGTAAATTTGGTGATAGAGATGGTCATTCTGCATATACCAGTGTATAAGGCACCTCCTTGTTCAATGCGGTGTCAGGTCTTTGAGCTCTGTTTCATTTGTTGGTGTTGCTTGTGTGACTTCTAGCAAGTTCATTTCTTGATGATTTGGTTTCCTCATGTGGAAAATCAAACTAACCGTACTTACATCCTACTGCCTCACAGAGAAAGTGTGAAAATTAATGGGTTAATGCTGGAAAAGATCTTAAAGATCTTTAGATACAAGTAATTATCAATCATAGCATAGAATCATTTGGACTTTAGAATAATGGTTCTAAAGAGATTACAAAAATACTGTCAATGCACGTTTATTAGCGTAGACCCTTTTTCAAGTTACAGCTGTAGTTTCTAATTTAGCAAATTAATTTTATTTAATCAATCCATTCTAAATGGGCCTGGAACTCTGTCAGAGAGTGATCTTACACCAAAAGGGCAAGATACATGATCATCGTGGCATTCTCATCTGAATGTTAGGTCTCTAATTGTGCAATTTTTCCCAGTTAGGCTGTGTGCCCTCTGCAAATAATATGAGGAGAGTAACTTAGAGGCCTAAAAACATTTTTTAGGTGTTTTTCTTTTACTTACAAAAAATACAAAATTTTAACATACTGGGAAAATACATTGAAATAATATATTTTATTAAGAATAATTTAAAAAAATATTTTCAATGAGCAATCCAAGGGCTTAGATTAATTAACCTTCTGGAGCTTTGAATCTAGTAGCCTTCCTGTGTGTGTTTATATGAAAGTTATAAGGAAAAATTCATGAAAAAATTTAAGTACATGCCTAGAATTGAAATAATTTTAAAATGGACTTCACATTTAACATAAACACTTAAACTAATTTTAATAAAGATGAAAAATACATGATTTTTAAAAAATATTTTTAATTATTCAACTTAAATGCAAACCAAGGTGGTTTTTTTTAGAATAAAAAGTTTAAAACCTGGTACAAGTTTCACAAGAAACTATTTTCAGGTCTAATATTAAATAATTACTTCACAATAAATATAATTTTGTTTGAACTCTTAGTATATTTTGTTAAAGATAATTTGCTAGAGCAGTGGGTAGATTAAATTTGAAAAAAATAAAGACTAAATACTTGGAGATAAATTACAACCTGAACTTACAATTTAATTACCATGTTGATTATTTAGTAAATACAGTGAATACAAAAATAACGTCCTTAGAAAGTCATACAGTATAATTGATTATGGTGTCTACTGCTCAAGTATAGTTTGATAAGTTTGGTCTTACATACTTTGAAAATAATTTATAGGAGGTTTAAGTATTAAAACTCATTATGTATGCAAGGATATAGGAGAGTAATTTAAACAAGTTTATTTTACTGAATATAAATAACCAGGCAGAATACCCTAATAAATAATTATTTTCCTTTTTGTATTCATTACAGTAATTCATTATTGAATTATACTGGTCAAGTACCTGAAATTATATTTATTGAATACACAAATTATATTATTTGATATTAGCTGAAAAGTTCTTTTTTCTTACCTATTCCTAGCACTTAGCTAAAGACCTTGAAAGTGTTTTTCAGTTTAATAAATGTAGTGTTCTTGCTTTGAACGTTAGAGAAACTGAGTCTTAGAAAATTAACAATTTATTGGAGGTCGCAAAGAAAATTAGTAACAATTGCAAATAAACTACTTCTCACTGAGATTATTCATTTGGAATTAAATTTGTACTGCTCATATATATTTATTTAGACATATATTATTGGATTCTGAAAGTAGTATCCTTGAAACTTCTTTTGGGAAAGTTTGGTTTATAAACTATTTAATTTGGAAAGTGGTTTATCTTATTTTAATCCAAACATATTTTAAGTTCGTAGCTATTCCAGAAGAGAACTTACTCAAAATGAATAAATAAACAAATTAAGAAAATAGTATTTTTCATATTCACATTTATCATTGGAGTAAGCGGAATTTCTTGTTAAAGTGGATTCTGATCTGTGCTATATGAAAACAAATGACTTAGGGAAAACAAGGCTATAATGCCACCTGGGGGCTTTTAAGGACATCACAGTTCACTAAAACTGATAATCCTATAGGATAAATTCCAGTTAACTCCATTTGCCCTGCAGAATAATAATTACCATTTATTTTTCCCTTTTCACTGATTTTTATAGTGATTACAAAGAAGGAATAATGGTTCAAAATATTATCCTATTTTCTACAGTCTACATTATCAAGATATTTCTTTCCTGTAACCAACCAACATTCTTTCTTTTAGGAGACAGCATAGGTACACCATAAGATGTCTACAATTTTATATTACATTATGAGATGCAATAGGGTTACAGGGTCAAACCAAAAAAGAACAAGCTTAAACAACAACAAAAAAAATCCCATATACTGATACGTATCTATGGCAGTGAAAATATTCTCTCTTTTTTTGTTAATCTTAAAAACTCATAGAAGAGTTAGTCACACCAGCCGAGCCACCTCAGGGAGGTAGCATATGAGAAGTGGTTACAATGCAACACTTTTTTTTGAGGGAGCTCATTTGCATTCATAATTTGGTAGTCTTTACTGAATGCCTAATGTTTGCTGAATATTGTTAAGAAAAAAGAAAGGCCCTCTGTGTTGTCAAATGATGGTATACACAATACACATGAGATGAAAATATATAAGAGCTGCTAATGTCTTTATCTACAGTATTTTTGTTTTATAACAAAATGTTCGTTTCTTCTTATTATTATTTTTACCGTTTTGGCTATCTTATGCTTTAACTGTATCTTTCTTATTTGGGTGTTTTTCAAATTTCTGTTGCTATAAGCAGTATCATGTTTAATTAAAAGCTCATTATTGTATTTGTGAATTTATTCACATCCTTTTTCTCTTTCCGCTAATTACCTGTTAGCCTGGTATATATATATATATATATATATATATGTTCAATAAATATGAATAAATGTCAATATGTTAGAATTTTCTAGTTGTCCCAACAGAAAAGATATATCATAAAGGAAAAGGAAAAAAAGTTGAAATAGACAGTGACTAGATCTGTGAGATGAAGGATTTGGTTCATATGCACATGTTCAGAGAACTAAGCATGGTCTAGCTGCAGCAGGGGCATTTAAACAAGAATAAGAAGTTTGCAAGTGAGTCTGATCTGTTTTTTTTGTTTTTGTTTTTGTTTTTGTTTTTCCATCAGCTAGTCACTATAGCATCTGCTGTAAGCTCTGGTTAGAAGTTGATGAGATTTGTGATGTTTAAAGATGAAGATCTATAAATTATATCTGTAGGTTATTTGAACTGTATTACATTACTATGGCAGAAACTAGTAGCAGTTCCCCTAGATCCATCTTTATTGTTACCAATAAAATTTTTATCTGAGCATTTCACTGCTCAGAATAGAGGTTACCTTCCCTAGTTTGCCTTGCAGCTGTCTGTGTCCATATAACTAAGTTCTGGCCAATGGGTTGTAAATAGAAATATCCTGTGGCAACTTCTGGAAAACATTCTTTTATTTTATTTTTTCTTTTTCTTTTTCCTTTTTTTTTTTTTGGAGATGGAGTCTCGCTCTGTCACCCAGGCTGGAGTGAAGTGGCGCAATCTCGGCTCACTGCAACCTCCAATCCCAAGTTCGAGCGATTCTCCTGCCTCAGCCTCCCGCGTAGCTGGGACTATAGGTGCGTGCTACCACACCCGGCTAATTTGTGTATTTTTAGTAGAGACAGGGTTTCGCCCTGTTAATCAGGATGGTCTCAATCTCCTGACCTCGTGATCCACCCGCCTCGGCCTCCCAAAGTGCTAGGATTACAGGCGTGAGCCACTGCACCCAGCTGGAAAACATTCTTAAGAGACAAGTGGCACACACAATTTGCCTCTTCTTTTCATCCCTTCATCAATTCTGCTGTTTGAACATAGGTGCTATTGTCTTGGGTCATAATACAGAGGCCACACAGAGTAAAGCTACATGGAAAAACCAAAGTCCCTTGCACCATGGGGTGCTAAAACAGCCCTGGACTATTTACCTCGGAACTATCTCCCTAGAAGGGAGAAACCAACTTCTATTATGGCACTCTTATTTTGGATTTTCTACAACTTGCAGCTAAATCTATTCTCAACGGATATAATTGCTATGGGAAATGCAGATTCATTTATTGATTAGTTACGGAAAAAGTATATGTTTTAAAATTAATTTTTATATAATATATTCATGCGTTATTTACCACATTCATTTTGTCCATCCTCTCAGCTTAGAAGCATCATGACAGTATTAGAAAGGGTACTGTTATACACAGTTTATAGAAATGCAAATAATAAACATAAGAAAAATATCCAGCCTATAACTAAAAATGCAAATTAAAACAATAAATTATTCTTTGCCTACTAGTAACTTAACAAGAACGTTTTTAAATACCCAAAACAGATAGAGAAAGGAAACTGGCCTACCATTTCACTGCTTGTCACAACATAACTTGAAGAGCAATTTGGAACTACGTACCAAGAGCCATAATAAGATATTTGCCTTTTGATCCAGAAATTCTGTTTCTGGTAAACAGTTGTAAAATAAATTGGGAATACTAAAATGTTACATGCACAAAGATACTCATTGAGGCATTATAATGTTGACAAATTGGAAACAATCTAAACGTCCAATATGGGGACTGGCTAAGTAAAGTATAATCACATATATTGAATAGATTATCAAATGGCCATTGAAAATGAGGGTTATTTATTTACTCATTCAAAAAATTTATGTGTTGGCATACAATGGCATCTCAATAAATATAATCCTATACTGCCTAATGATTTTTTTTGGTCAATGACAGACTGCATATATGATCATGGTTCCATAAGATTACAGTGGAGATGAAAATTCCTATTGCCTAGTGATGTCAAAGTGCAATGCATGACTCATGTGTTTGTGGGGATGCTGGTGTAAACAAAGCAGTCATATAAAAGTAGAGCATATATAATATGTACCCTATATAATACTTGATAAGAATAATGATGTTACTGCTTTATGCATTTACTATACTCTTTTTATTGTTATTTTAGAGTGTATTCCTTCTACTTATAAAAAAAATGTTAACTGTAAAACAGCCTCAGGCTGATCCTTCAGGAGATTTTCCAGGGAAAGGCATTGTTGTCATAATAGATGACAGTTTCATATGTGTTATTGCCCCTGAAGACCTCCTGATGGGACAAGATATGGAAGTGGAAGATAGTGATATTGATGATCCTGACCCTGTGTAGGCCTAAGCTAGTGTGTATGTTCATGTCTTAGTTTTTAACAAAAACATTTAAAAAGTAAAACAATAAAAATAGAAAACTCTAAAAATAGAAAAAGGCTCATAGAATAAGTATATAAAGAAAACATTTTTGTACAGTTGTAAAACATATGTTTTAAGATGTGTTATTAAAAGTCAAAAAATTTTTTAAAATTAAAAAGTTGATAAGGTAAAAGAATTATAATAAGCTAAGGTTAATTTATGATTGAAGAAAGAAAAAATTTTAAAATAAATTTAGTGTAACCTAAGTATACAATGTTTATAAAGTTTACTGGAGTGGACAGTAATGTCCCAGGCCTTCACATTCACTCACCTCTCACTCACTGACTCACCCAGAGCAACTTCTAGTCCTTCAGGCTACATTCATGGTAAGTGCTCTATACAAGTAGACCCTTTTAAAAATCTTTCATACTGTATCTTTACTGTACCTTTTCTATGTTTAGATACACAAATACTTACCATTGTGTTACAATTGCCTACAGTAGTCAGTAGAGTAACATGCTATCTGGATTGGTAGACTAGGAGCAATGGGCTAGACCATATAGCCTAGGTGTGTAGTAGACTATACCATCTAGGTTGTGTAAGTACCCTCTACAATGGCACAATGACAAAATCACCTGACAACACATTTCTCAGAATGTGTCGCTATCATTAACTGACCATTACTCTATTTGTCAAATGTGAGTGTCTACTATGTTCCAGGGTTTGTTCAGGTTACATAATGATAGGCAAAAGTAGGTAGACATGGTCTTGGTTCTCATAGAGCTTACACCTTATGGGGAAGACAGATGATGAAATCATTACACTTCTGGTTATTGCTGTATAGGAAAGGAATATGATTCTGTAAAAGCAAATAACAAGGGAACCAGACCTAGTTTGAAATGTTAAGACAGGCATTGCTAATTAAAGGTGTGACCTTTGCACTAAGACTTAAAGAATGGAAAGAAGTTAATGAGAAAAATAGATATGAACGCTGTACATTAACATGGAAAATGTCTAGGCTATTGTAACTGGAAAACACGTAGCACAAAAATGAATCTGCAGTATGATTATGTGCGGATGTAGGTGTACAGAAAAAAAAAGACTGGTAGGAATACATCAAAATGCTAAGAATGATTTAAAAGGTGGTAAAATTTTAGGTGATTCCCCCCCATATATTTCCCTAATTCTGTATAATGTACTATAATTACTTGTATGAAAAACATTTTAAAGAAATGCTGTTTTTTTCTGTTTGAGTAACAAAACAATCAGCATAACACATGTAGGGAAGTTTTGACTCTTAGAGTACAAAGAAGAAAAAAATTAAAGTTTTTTTTGTAAAACAAAAGAAGAAAAATATATGTTTGATTATGCAGTCATTGCCTAAGAAAAGCCCTCTGTGGACATGTGCATAGGGTATTAGAATTTGTCTACTCCAAGTTGAAAAACGGAGCAGAAAAGTTTTGTTTTCTTTTTCTTTTTACCATTCAGAGGGTCTTCTGTAGTCAAAGGAGCTAGAAAAATAAGTTGGGCTCATGAACATTTAAAAAGCAGGCTTAAAAGCTGGCAAATACTATGTGGAAATGATTAACTGTTTTTGGAAATTGTTCGGTTAAAACATGTTTAAATTTTTATGAAGGAAAAAAGGTATACTAGCCCTTTTAAAGGGCTGGTTTAGAAAATCTTGGCAACTTCTTGTCATGTCTAGTATTGTGTACAAAGTAACTTTTATACTTTCCCTGAATGCAAGGAGGAAGGAAGCAGATGGATGAATGAGGAATAGTAATTTAGTTCCCAGAGAAACCCTTTGCTAATTGGAAAAAAAGGCAGGATCTGTGGCTATGGCAATGTATCTAGACTATTGTGAATTCTTCTGCTGTTATTTTCTACTCTAGAAAGAAGACACATTATAGATTTTCTTTTTCAGTTTAAGAGCTAATTTAGTTATCTAGTGAATGCTGACCACTAGCAACAATAAGAAAGGCCATGCCACTGAAGAATTCAAGTTTCATTGGCAGGTGCACAGACCTACAGAGTGCCAAGCAGTAATAAGACTCTAAAATCTATTAGTTAGGCTCAGGAATCTTTACAAAATTTCATTAAACAGAAGTTAACACAAGAAACTATGTACAGAAGTACAAGAATTAAAAAGTGCATGTGCCATATAGTTTATCCCAAGAATATGAAGGTGAAACAAAACCATATATGTTCAAAATATGTCAATTACTTAAGTTTATTTTAGCGTCTGTGGAATAAAATCATAATAATTTAAATTAAGGTTCCAGATTTCAGCCAGGTGGGGAAAACGATAAGCCTTTTCATTCCGTCTTAATCAGGAAATTTCCATTGCTAATTAAGACTTCCTAAGAGAAAAGGCATCTTTGAATCCTTAGCACTTGAAACAGGGTTTAACTTGTAAGAAGAATAAAATATGTGAGTACCAAATAAAATAATGCATTTATATATTAATTTGATTTCAGTGTTCAGAATTTTAAACATCATTTTCCTACCAGGAAAGTTGAGGTCCCGCCTGACCAATTTTTTTTTTTTTTTTTTTTTGAGATGGAGTCTTCGCTCTCTCGCCAGGCTAGAGTGCAGTGGCGTGATCTCAGCTCACTGCAACCTCCGCCTCCTGGGTTCAAGCGATTCTCCTCAGCCTCCTGAGTAGCTGGGACTACAGGTGCACGCCACCACCCCTGGCTAATTTTTGTATTTTTAGTAGAGGCAGGGTTTCACCACATTGGCCAGGATGGTCTCGATCTCTTGACCTCATGATCCGCCTGCCTCGGCCTCCCAAAGTGCCGGGATTACAGGCATGAGCTACCTTACTCGGCCCCGCCTGACGAATTTTATGTCCAAAGACTTTTAATTTCTCACCCTCTCTTCCTGACTGCCCCCATCATACACACACACACACACACACACACACACACACACACACACACACACTCACTCTCTCTCTCTCTCTCTCTCACTCACCCCATGTAATTACAGACCATGGCTTTTCTTAACTTTGTGGGGCACATTACAATCATCTGGGAAACTTAAAAATTTGTGTCCAGGCTGCTCCCTATGCCAATTATATTAGCTTCTGGGTGGAACCCAGGCATGAATATTTTGTAATGTTCTCCAGGTGATTCCACTGTGCAGCAAGGTTGAGAATCCTTGCTCTCCATACACAAGTAAGCTAATAAAATTATACATTTATTTTAGCATTTTCATACTTTGTCTAGATAAAGACATAATATTGTTGTTCTGTATCTGTAGATACTGGCTACGAATTCCCAATGGGATATTATATTCGTTGATTAACTGCCTAAATCCTAAGAATGGTAGAAGTGGAATAGGTGGTAAAGTAATTATAATACATATTACTGATTACTGATTTAGGAAGTGTCTTAGATGTGCTCATCCGTAGTAGTAATAATTAGGTTGGCTCTCGGTAAGAATCGAAACTTAACTAATGCTTCTTGGTAACCTAAATGGAGATTTAGTATCTTGGACGCCTTACTTACCTGCATTCTAAATAGTCATAGTGATAGTAAAGATACAGCAATTAAGCTCATCTATTCTTGCACCTTTCTGGCTGCTGACAGTGAACTAACCTAGGCTGACCTTTACTAATAGAACTGCAGATGTAATGGAACTGTGGATGGATGTTTGAACAGATTCCTATTGTTAAACATTGCTCCACGGGTTACATAGAGAGAAAAGAAAAATTCTTTGCCTGTGTTGTTCACAGATCTAATGTGATACAGTGTTGGCTGACTGTGGTTGATTAATAAGTCATTAAATAAGGGTCTGAAGCTAATTCAGACAATGGAATATGTTATGGTGGATTTCTGTCATCACAAATGCACTCATTACAAAACTATAATTATGAATGAAAAGCCATTAGAGATAAAGACAGATAATTTAAAATTCTACTGCATTCTCCTTAATTCCACAAAATCTACAACAAACTCATTAGTAGGAATGCACAATCCTTAGCAGAACAATTCTTTGAATAAGAGCACAGGATAATCTATTGGTGTAGTGGCCTGTATTGAAAAGACGTCAACTGGAGAGAATGAACTGGTTGTATTTGTTAGAGGGGAAAGTAAGAGAAAGCTTTAAATAAGAATTGTTATCTGGAGGATCTTTCAATGTGGAGTTCTAAAAATTATGATAAGTAACACTTTGTTAATAGAAATTATATTTATAGGGACATAGTTTTTTAAAAAATTCTAATTTTAAAAATTAAATTTGGGCTGGGTGTGGTGGCTCACACCTGTAACCCCAGCACTTTGGGAGGCCAAGGCAGGTGGATCACCTGAGTTTGAGACCAGCCTGACCAACATGGTGAAACTGTCTCTACTAATAAAAAATAGCTGAGTGTGGTGGTATGTGCCTGTAATCCCAGCTACTTGGGAGGCTGAAGCAGGAGAATCGCTTGAACCTGGGAGGCAGAGGTTGCAGTGAGCCGAGATCACGCCACTGCACTCCAGCCTGGGAGATGGAGTGAGACTCCATCTCAAAAAAAAAAAAAAAAAAAAAAATTGAATTTGGAGTCAGAAAAACCTAGATTCAAGTCCTGGCTCCATTACTCAACAGGCAGTATAACCATGGCTAAGATAATTTACATTTTTGAGATTCAGTTTCATCATCTCAAAAATGTAGCTATTTCTCCTGCTAACTTCATAGGGTGGTTGTGAGGAAAATTAAGATAGTAGAAAGGCATGGAAACCTGAAAACACTAAGCAAGTGTGTAGCAGACACTATTGCTGACCCACCCAATAGCCAATCCTCCCTTCATTCTTGTTGGGCAGAACCATAATTTTATTTATGAATGCACTCATTTCCTAATTGGTTAAGTCATGATTAATCTAATGTAATCCTGGTGATATGGTTTGGCTCTGTGTCCCCACCCAAATCTCATCTTGTAGCTCCCATAATTCCCATGTGTTGTGGGAGGGACCTGGTGGGAGATGACTGAGTCATGGGGGCAGGTCTTTCCCATGCTGTTCTTGTGAGAGTGAATGGGTCTCACGAGATCTGATGGTTTTAAAAACGGGAGTTTCTCTGCACAAGCTCTCTCTTTGCCTGCTGCCATCCATGTAAGATGTTACTTGCTGCTCCTTGCCTTCCACCATGATTGGGAGGCCTCCCCAGCCATGTGGAACAGTAAGTCCAATAAACCTCTTTCTTTTGTAAATTGCCCAGTCTTGGGTATGTCTTTATCAGCAGTGTGGAAATGGACTAATACACCTGGTGATCTCAGTTCCATACTAGTGATTGGTTTAGGAAAGGGGGAGGGGATCCAAACCTGGCCAATGGATGTGAGGGGAAGTTTCTTAAGAGGTTCTATTAAAGAGTTACTCTCATATACTGCTAGAGTTGCAAGATTCAATGACAACTTCAGGTTGCCAATAAATATCTCAATGGCCTGAATTTTAAAATCAGCATTGTTGAGATATAAATCACATATCATATAATCTACCCATTTAAAGTATACAATTTAATGGTTTTTAACCTATTTACAGATATGTGAAGCTATTACCATAGTCAATTTTAGGTTTTCGTCACCTCAAGAAGAAACCTTATATCTTTTGCTACCATTGCCCTGTTACCATTTTCCCCACCCGTAAGCAACCACTAATCCACTCTCTGTCTCTATAGATTCCCTATTCTGGACTTTCATATGAATGAAATCATAGCATGTGGTCTTTGTGACTGCCTTCTTTCACTTCGCTAATGTTTTCAATGATCATCAATGTCGCAGCCTGTGTCAGTACTGTATTCCTTTTTATGGCATAATATTCTACTGTATGGTTATACAACATTTTGCTTATCAATTTGAGTTCTTTCCCCTTTTGAGTATGATGAATAGTGCTGCTATAAACATACATGTACAAGTTTCTGTGTAAATATATGTTTTTGTTTCTCTTGATTATATACCTAGGAATGTAATTGCTGGGACCCCTTCATTTCAGGGAATTCAAAGGGGAATTCCAGGGAATTCTCAGGAAGATGGCAAAGGAAACCCCAGGGTGACAGCTGTGTATCAGACCTAGAAAAAAACCAGTTCAGATAGAAGCAGCAAGTCAGAAGTCTTGATGAGGGAGGTCTCCAGCAATAAAATTAAACTAATATTTTCTATTATTGGTCTGGTTGATTGAAAGATTATATTGAGAACAATAAGCTAAATCATAGGCCAGCTAGTTCACCCAGAGAGAGGGACAGTTAAGAAGAGTTCTCCTGAGAACAGAACAAACCTCAAACACTAGCCTCAAAAACTATCCCTGCCTGAATTTAATTGGATCAGACCATAGAACCATTTATACCACAGGACATTGTCAAAAACAATCAGCCAGCAATTAATGGAGACCAAAAAAAGGGGCAGAAGGTTTTAAAGTGAAATCAGATAAACGAAGAGAGCCCTGCTAAGATCAGTCATTCCAGGGTGACTGTCCCATGCCTAAGGATGCACACTGTGATGAGTACAGAAGCTTCACGCTGTGGGGGGAGAGAAACAGACCACTAAAATAGTTTAGCAAAGCTACTAAGTACACAAGCAAACAACAACAAAAACAAGCTCCAGAGAAGGGAGGAAATAAGTATCTAGTGTCAAACAATATATTACCAAAAATGTTCAGCTTTCAATAGCAACAAATAATTGTGACACAAGCAATGAAACAGGAAGGTGTGACCCATACACAAGAAGAAAAAGCAGCCAACAGAACTGCCAGTGAGAGGGTCCAGATCTTGGATTTAATAGATGAAAAATTCAAAACAGCCATTATAAATATGTTCAAAGAACTAAAACCATGTGTACAGAAGTAAAAGATGTTATGATGACAATGTCTAATCAAATAAAGAATACCAACAAAAACACAGACGTTTTTATAAAAGGGCCAGGTGTGGTGGCTCATGCCTGCCATCCTAGCACTTTGGGAGAACCAGGCAGGTCAATCACTTGAGCCCAGGAGTTCAAGATCAGTCTGGGCAACAATGGAGAAACCCTGTCGCTACAAAAAATTAGCTGGGCTTGGTGCTGTGTGCCTGTAGTCTCAGCTACCTGGGAGGCTGAGGTGGAGAATCACCTGAGCCTGGGTGGTCGAGGCTGCAGTGAGCTGTGACTGCATTACTACACACTCCAGTCTGGGTTAGAGAGTAACACCCTGTCTCCAAAAGAAAAAATAAATAAATAAAAATAAAAGAAATTTTTGTAAAAGAACTAATGGAAATTTGAAGTCAAAAAGTGAAATAACCAAAATAAAAAATTTACTGGAGAGGCTCAGTAGATTTGAACTGGCTGAAAGAATCAGTATACTTGAGAACAGATTGATAGAGGTTATGCAAGCCAACGAGCAAAGAGAAAGAAGAATGAAGAAAACCGGACAGAACCTCAGAGAAATGTGAGACACCATTAAGCACACCAGCATACATGCAGTAGGAGTTCCAAATGGAGAAGAGAGGAAGGAGCAGGAAAAATATTTGAAGAAATAATGGCTGAAACTTCCTAAATTTCATTAAAAAATTATGCAATAAAGATACATAATAAACTCTAAGTAGAATAAACAAAGAGATCCATACCTAGTCACATCATGAAGAAGAAATGGAATTCCATCACTATATTTGACTCAATAGTGAATAACATTTTCCACCTAATATTACAGCCGTAACACTGCAAACACTGAATATTGACTGACAAAAAAATCTGTTATACTTATATCGAGAGTATAATGAAAAGGAACATTGGCAATATAGGTAGGCGATGAGGTGAGGAAAGTTTCATGTGAAGGCTTGGTGGGGAAGGCTTTAGTGCTAGTGCTCATCTAACATAAGAAATCAAAGATTGCAAAATGATGACACGAGACAACAAGTATAAGATATAGCAGTATTGCATATTGTCAGAAAAATAAAGGCAAATTACAAAGAAGCATCTACAGCCTTGAAAGTGGTTGCCTCTAGAAGCACTATTGGTGCTGGAAATGGGTGGAGCAGTGTATTTATGTTTTATTTTTAATTTTGGTAAAATATATACTACATAAAATTTAACATCTTTTCAATTTTTAAGTGTACAGGTCAGTTACTTTAAATATGCCTACGTTCTCATGCAACCAATCTCCAGAACTCTGATGATTATTTTTAAGCTAGATCTCCTTAGAATTTACTCCTTCAGTTTACTCATTACTAATTTACATGTGCTCCCTTCAGTTGTTCTTCTTAAAATGCAAGAATTTACTCAATGTTATCCTAAAGTCTAAAATATGTTTCTTTTTTTAAAATTATACTTTAAGTTCTAGGGTACATGTGCACAACGTGCAGGTTTGATACACAGGTATACATGTGCCATGTTGGTTTGCTGCACCCAACAACTCATCATTCACATTAGGTATTTCTCCTAAT
Organism: Homo sapiens; assembly: GCF_000001405.40. NCBI lineage: Eukaryota > Metazoa > Chordata > Mammalia > Primates > Hominidae > Homo > Homo sapiens. Next base: position 77,506,913 of record NC_000005.10, on the reverse strand, counting down.
GCTATCCCTCCCCCAGCTCCCCACCCCCTACAGGCCCCAGTGTGTGATGTTCCCCATCCTGTGTCCAAGTGTTCTCATTGTTCAGTTCCCACCAATGACTGAGAACATATGGTGTTTGGTTTTCTGTCTTAGTGATAGTTTGCTGAGAATGACAGTTTCCAGCTTCGTCCATGTCCCTGCAAAGGACATAATCTCATCCTTTTTTATGGCTGCATGGTATTCCATGGTGTATATGTGCCACATTTGCTTAATCCTGTCTATCATTGATGGACATTTGGGTTGGTTCCAAGTCTTTGCTATTGTGAATAGTACTGCAATAAACATATGTGTGCATGTGTCTTTATAGCAGCATGATTTATAACCCTTTGGGTATATACCCAGTAATGGGATTGCTGGGTCAAATGGTGTTTCTAGTTCTAGATCCTTGAGGAATCGCCACACTGTCTTCCACAATGGTTGAACTAATTTACACTCCCACCAACAGTGTAAAATCATTCCTATTTCTCCACATCCTCTCCAGCATTTGTTGTTTCCTGACTTTTTAATGACCACCATTCTAATGGCATGAGATGGTATCTCATTGTGGTTTTGATTTGAATTTCTCTGATGACCAGTGATGATGAGCATTTTTTCATGTGTCTTTTGGCTGCATAAATGTCTTCTTTTGAGAAGTGTCTGTTCATATCCTTTGCCCACTTTTTGATGAGGTTGTTTGTTTTTTTCTTGTAAATTTGTTTGCATTCTTTGTAGATTCTGGATATTAGCCCTTTGTCAGATGGATAGATTGCAAAAATTTTCTCGCATTCTGTAGGTTGCCTGTTCACTCTGATGGTAGTTTCTTTTGCCGTGCAGAAGCTCTTTAGTTTAATTAGATCTCATTTGTCTATTTTGGCTTTTCTTGCCATTGCTTTTGGTGTTTTAGACATGAAGTCCTTGCCCATGCCTATGTCCTGAATGGTATTGCCTAGGTTTTCTTCTAGGGTGTTTTTGGTTTTAGGTCTAACATATAAGTCTTTAATCCATCTTGAATTAATTTTTGTATAAGGTGTAAGGAAGAGATCCAGTTTCAGCTTTCTACATATGGCTAGCCAGTTTTCCCAGCACCGTTTATTAAATAGGGAATCCTTTCCCCGTTTCTTGTTTTTGTCAGATTTGTCAAAGATCAGATGGTTGTAGATGTGTGGTGTTATTTCTGAGGTCTCTGTTCTGTTCCATTGGTCTATATATCTGTTTTGGTACCAGTACTATGCTGTTTTGGTTACTGTAGCCTTGTAGCATAGTTTGAAGTCAGGTAGCATGATGCCTCCAGCTTTGTTCTTTTTGCTTAGGATTGTCTTGGCAATGTGGGCTCTTTTTTGGTTCCATATGAACTTTACTTTTTTAACTTTAGTTTTTTCCAATTCTGTGAAGAAAGTCATCAGTAGCTTGATGGGGATGGCACTGAATCTATAAATTACCTCGGGCAGTATGGCCATTTTCACGATATTGATTCTTCCTACCCATGAGCATGGAATGTTCTTCCATTTGTTTGTATCCTCTTTTATTTCATTGAGCAGTGCTTTGTAGTTCTCCTTGAAGAGGTCCTTCACATCCCTTGTAAGTTGGATTCCTATGTATTTTACTCTCTTTGTAGCAATTGTAAATGGGCGTTCACTCATGATTTGGCTCTCTGTTTGTCTGTTATTGGTGTATAGGAATGCTTGTGATCTTTGCACATTGATTTTTTATCCTGAGACACTTTGCTGAAGTTGCTTATCAGCTTAAGGAGATTTTGGGTGGAGACGATGGGGTTTTCTAAATATACAATCATGTCATCTGCAAACAGGGACAATTTGACTTCCTCTTTTCCTAATTGAATACCCTTTATTTCTTTCTCTTGCCTGATTGCCCTGGCCAGAACTTCCAACACTATGTTGAATAGGAGTGGTGAGAGAGAACATCCTTGTCTTGTGCTGGTTTTCAAAGGGAATGCTTCCAGTTTTTGCCCATTCAGTATGATATTGGCTGTGGATTTGTCATAAATATCTCTTATTATTTTGAGATACGTTCCATCGATACCTAGTTTATTGAGAGTTTTTAGCGTGAAGGGCTGTTGAATTTTGTCGAAGGCCTTTACTGCATCTATTGAGATAATCATGTGGTTTTTGTTGTTGGTTCTGTTTATGTGATGGATTACGTTTATTGATTTGCGTATATTGAACCAGCCTTGCATCCCAGGGATGAAGCTGACTTGATTGTGGTGGATAAGCTTTTTGATGTGCTGCTGGATTCGGTTTGCCAGTATTTTATTGAGGATTTTTGCATCGATGTTCGTCAGGGATATTGGTCTAAAATTCTCTTTTTTTGTTGTGTCTCTGCCAGGCTTTGGTATCAGGATGATGCTGGCCTCCTAAAATGAGTTAGGGAGGATTCCCTCTTTTTCTATTGATTGGAATAGTTTCAGAAGGAATGGTACCAGCTCTTCTTTGTACCTCTGGTAGAATTCAGCTGTGAATCCATCTGGTCCTGGACTTTTTTTGGTTGGTAGGCTATTAATTATTGCGTCAATTTCAGAGCCTGTTATTGTTCTATTCAGAAATTCAACTTCTTCCTGGTTTAGTCTTGGGAGGGTGTATGTGTCAAGGAATTTATCCATTTCTTCTAGATTTTCTAGTTTATTTGCATAGAGGTATAGTATTCTCTGATGGTAGTTTGTATTTCTGTGGGATCAGTGGTGATATCCCCTTTATCATTTTTTATTGCATCTATTTGATTCTTCTCTTTTTTTTTTCTTTATTAGTCTTGCTAGCAGTCTATCAATTTTGTTGATCTTTTCAAAAAGCCAGCTCCTGGATTCACTGATTTTTTGAAGGGTTTTTCGTGTCTCTATCTCCTTCAGTTCTGCTCTGATCTTAGTCATTTCTTCTCTTCTGCTAGTTTTTGAATGTGTTTGTTCTTGCTTCTCTAGTTCTTTTAATTGTGACGGTAGGGTGTCTATTTTAGATCTTTCCTGCTTTCCCTTGTGGGCATTTAGTGCTATAAATTTCCCTCTACACACTGCTTTAAGTGTGTCCCAGAGAGTCCGGTATGTTGTGTCTTTGTTCTCATTGGTTTCAAAGAAAATCTTTATTTCTGCCTTCATGTCATTATTTCCCCAGTAGTCATTCAGGACCAGGTTGTTCAGTTTCCATGTAGTTGAGTGGTTTTGAGTGAGTTTCTTAATCCTGAGTTCTAATTTGATTGCACTGTGGTCTGAGAGACAGTTTTTTGAGATTTCTGTTCTCTTATATTTGCTGAGGAGTGCTTTACTTCCAATTATGTGGTCAATTTTAGAATAAGTGTGATGTGGTGCTGAGAAGAATGTACATTCTGTTAATTTTGGGTGAAGAGGTCTGTAGATGTCTATTAGGTCTGCTTGGTGCAGAGCTGAGTTCAAGTCCTGGATATCCTTGTTAACCTTCTGTCTTGTTGATCTGTCTAATATTGACAGTGGGGTATTAAAATCTCCCATTATTATTGTGTGGGAGTCTAAGTCTCTTTGTAGGTCACTCAGGACTTGCTTTATGAATCTGGGTCCTCCTGTATTGGGTGCATATATATTTAGGATAGTTAGCTCTTCTTGTTGAATTGATCCCTTTACCATTATGTAATGGCCTTCCTTGTCTCTCTTGATCTTTGTTGGTTTAAAGTCTGTTTTATCAGAGACTAGGATGGCAACTCCTGCTTTTTTTTTTTTTTTTTTTTGCTTTCCATTTGCTTGGTAGATCTTCCTCCATCCCTTTATTTTGAGCCTATGTGTGTCTCTGCAGGTGAGATAGGTCTCCTGAATATAGCACACTGATGGGTCTTGACTCTATCCAATTTGCCGGTCTGTGTTTTTTAATTTGGGCATTTGGCCTGTTTACATTTAAGGTTAATATTGTTATGTGTGAATATGATCCATCATTATGATGTTAGCTGGTTATTTTTCCCGTTAATTGATGCAGTTTCTTCATAGCATTGATGGTCTTTACAATTTGGCATGTTTTTGCGCTGGCTGGTACTGGTTGTTTATTTCCATGTTTAGTGCTTCCTTCAGGAGCTCTTGTAAGGCAGGCCTGGTGGTGACAAAATCTCTCAGCATTTGCCTGTCTGTAAGGGATTTTATTTCTCCTTCACTTATGAAGCTTAGTTTGGCTGGGTATGAAATTCTGGGTTGAAAATTATTTTAAGAATGTTGAATATCAGCCCCCGCTCTCTTCTGGCTTATAGGGTTTCTCCCGAGTGATCCGCTGTCAGTCTGATGGGCTTCCCTTTGTGGGTAACTGGACCTTTCTCTCTGGCTGCCCTTAACATTTTTTCATTCATTTCAACCTTGGTGAATCTGATAATTATGTGTCTTGGGGTTGCTCTTCTTGAGGAGTATCTTTGTGGTGTTATCTATTTTTCTGAATTTGAATGTTAGCCTGCCTTGCTAGGTTGGGGATGTTCTCCTGGATAATATCCTGAAGAGTGTTTTCCAACTTGGTTGCATTCTCCCGATCACTTTCAGGTACACCTATCAAACGTAGATTTGGTCTTTTCACATAGTCCCATATTTCTCGGAGGCTTTGGTCATTTCTTTTTACTTTTTTTTCTCTAACCTTTTCTTCTCACTTTATTTCATTAATTTGATCTTCAATCACTAATACCCTTTCTTCCATTTGATTGAATTGGCTATTGAAGCTTGTGTATGTGTCACGAAGTTTTCATGCTATGGTTTTCAGCTCCATCAGGTCATTTAAGATCTTCTCTATACTGTTTATTCTAGTTAGCCATTCATCTAACCTTTCTTCAAGGTTTTTAGCTTCCTTGTGGTGGGTTTGAACATGCTCCTTTAGCTCAGAGGAGTTTGTTATTACCAACTTTCTGAAGCCTATTTCTGTCAACTCATCAAAGTCATTCTCCATGCAGCTTTGTTTGATTGGTGGCGAGGAGCTGTGATGGAGAAGAGGTACTCTGGTGTTTAGAATTTTCAGTTTTTCTGCTCTGATTTCTCTCCATCTTTGTGGTTTTAATCTACCTTTGCTCTTTGATGTTGGTGACCTACCAATGGGGTGTAGATGTCCTTTTTGATGTTGATGCTATTCCTTTCTGTTTGTTAGCTTTCATTCTAACAGTCAGGACCCTCAGCTGCAGGTCTGTTGGAGTTTGCTGGAGGTCCACTCCAGACCCTGTTTGCCTTGGTATCACAAGCAGAGGCTGCAGAACAGCAAATATTGCTGCCTGATCCTTCCTCTGGAAGCTTTGTCCCAGAGGGGCATCCACCTATATGAGGTGTCTGTCAGCCCCTACTGGGAGGTGTCTCCCAGTTAGGCTACATAGGGGTCAGGGACCCACTTGAGGAGACAGTCTGTCTGTTCTCAGAGCTCAAACGCTGTGCTGGGAGAACCACTGCTCTCTTCAGAGCTGTCAGACAGGGACATTTAAGTCTGCAGAAGTTGTCTGCTGACTTTTGTTCAGCTATGCCCTGCCCGCAGAGGTGGAGTCTATAGAGGCAGTAGGCCTTGCTGAGCTGCGGCGGGCTCTGCCCAGTTCGAGCTTCCCGGCTGCTTTGTTTACCTACTCAAGCCTCAGCAATGGTGGATGCTCCTCTCCAAGCCAGGCTGCCGCCTTGCAGTTCAATCTCAGACAGCTACACTAGCAGTGAGCAAGGCCCTGTGGGTGTGGGGCCCGCTGAGCCAGAAATGGGAGAGAATCTCCTGGTCTGCCAGTGGCTAAGACCTTGGGAAAAGCGCAGTATTTGGGCAGAAGTGTCCTGTTTTTCCAGGTACAGTCTGTCACGGCTTCCCTTGGCTAGGAAACAGAAATCCTGCAACCCCTTGCACTTCCTGGGTGAGGCAACGCCTCGCCCTGCTTAGGCTTGCCCTACATGGGTTGTGCCCACTGTCCAAGCAGTCCCAATGAGATGAACCAGGTACCTCATTTGGAAATGCAGAAATCACCCATCTTCTGTGTCAATCACGCTGGGAGCTGCAGACCGGAACTGCTCCTATTTGTCCATCTTGGAACCTCCTGAAATATGTTTCTTGAGAGCAGGGACTACAAGATTCAAATTTTAAAGTTTTTAGTATCTTTTTTGGTTTTTAATGTAATGTCTCACAGCACATTCTAGTTCGTCTGCCCTTCTTTATACCTATTAGAAGCAGCTTGTCTATCTACAGGAAATCCTCTGGGATTTTCATTATGATTTGGTATCTGAACCCTAAGATTTCTTTTTAAGAACATTTTAAACTATGAATTCAATTTTGTAAATGGTTATGGGACTACTTAGGTTACCTATTTGAGCTTGAACAGATTTTGGTAATTTGTGATATTTGAGAAATCACTCCATTTCATCAGTTGTTAAATTTTTGTGTGTAGGGTTATTTATAATACTCTCTTATTATCCCTTTAATGTCTGTGGGGCCTACAGTAATATCCCTGCTTTCATTCCTTATACTGCTAATTTTTATCTTTTATTTTTTTTCTTTGTCAGTCTTGCTAGTGGCTTATTAATTTCACTGATCTTTTTAAACACCAGCTTTTGGTTTTATTGATTTTCTCCATTTAAGTTCACTGACTCTTGCCTCTGTCCTCTCCATTCTGCTATTAGTTCATCCACTGAGTTTTAAATTTTGGTTATTGTATGTTAAATGTAAAATTTTTCATTTGGTTCTTTCTATTTTATATGTTCTATTTCTTTGCTGATACATTGTGTTTTAATGTTTGTTTCAAGAGTGTTTATAATTGCCATGCCAGCATTTTTATAATATGTTTTAAAGTCTTCGTCAGGTAATTCCAACATCTGTAGTTTTGTCATTGGCAACCGTTGATTATATTTTTCCATGTGAGCTAAGACTTTTGTGTTTCTCCATATGCCAAGTAATTTGGGCTTATACTCCTAGACCTTTGGAATATGACACTATGAAACTTGGTTTTAAGTCCTGTGGAGACTGTTGGTATTTTTTTTTAACAAGCAATTAACCTGACTAGGTTAGGCACAAGTTGTAACTCACCTTCTGTGAGCTGTGGCTCTAATGTTTGTTCAGTTTTAATGCCTTTACAGTGTTATCTGTATTTGTCCCATCTAGTAATTAGTCTCGGGCCCAGGCAGAATTCTATTAACTCAGTTTACACTAATTAGATTAAGAGCCTTGCATATGAAGATAAGGAAGGTGTGCCTACATGTTCATATAAAAGTAATTGGGGTTGCTTTCCTGAACTCTTCTATTTCCACTATCTCTCTGGTACTTTCTGTTTCCTTGGGGTTTCCCTTTTTGGAAACCACCCCCTTTCGTAATTGCTCCACCTCTGGTGCCAGTTAGTGGAAGGGTAGAAAGATGGGAAAAAACAGGTCTGGGTTTGGATGCACTCTTTTGCAGCATGAGCTCTACCGAATGGAGAGGAAGTCTCCCTTCCCTTAGAGTTTTGGCTCCTGCAGTCTCCTGTTGGTAGCCACTGTAACAGCTGCCACCATTACTGTGGGATATTTTGGAGTCTGAGGCATAAGAGAATGGACAAAAAGGAGAGGAAAAGACCCAGAGGATTCCTGCATTCTCTCTAAGCTTTGGGAGTTCCTCTTCCTGCAGTTTCAGCCACAACTAGAAGGTACACCTTTCTCTTTCTGCACCACAGTGCTCCTTTCCAGATTTGAGGTTGCATTGGATTCAGGCTGGGGAAGCTGCTGAAGAAAAAAGAAATGCTGACTTGCTGGTAATTTGAATTCTGGTATTCTTCCCCATTCCTCCTTTTTCAGAGTCCTTAAAGAGTTACGTCATCTATTTTGTTCAAGGTTTATAGTTGTGTTCAATTGGAGAGAAAGAGTGACGTGTATTTATCCTATCTCACTCAGAACTGGACTTTTATTAAGTTTTCAGGGTTCTTTATATATTCTGGAGAGAAGTCCTTTTTCACCTACCTAATTTGCAAATATTTTCCCTAGTCTATTGCTTATTTTTTATTCTCTTAACAGTGTCTTTTAAAGAACAGAAGTGTTAATTTTGATGTAGTACAATTTATCAATTTTTTCTTTTATGGATTGTACTTTTGAGATAAAATCTTTAAAAAGTCACAATGGTTTTTTCTTTTTTTCTTTTTCTTTTTTCTTTTTTTTTTTTTGATGGGGTCTTACTCTGTCACCCAGGCTGAAGTACAGTGGCATGAACATAGCTTCCTGCAGCCTCTAGCTCCTGAGCTTAAGTGATCCTCTTGCCTCAGCCTCCTGAGTTACTGGAACCACAGGCACCTGCCACCATGCTCGGTTAATTTTAAAACTTTTTATAGATATGAGGTCTCGCTATGTTGCCCAATCTGGTCTTGAACTCCTGGGCTCAAGCAATCCTCCTACCTCAGCCTCCCAAAGCGCTGGGATTATAGGCTTGAGACACCATGACTGGCCTCTCCATGTTTTATTTTAGAAGTTTTATAGATTTAGGTTTTACATTTATGCCTATGATTAATCCTGTATTTTGCTTATGGAATGAGATATAAATTGAAGTACATTTATTTGGATATGGATGTCAAATTGTCTAGCACAATTAACAAAAAGACTTTTTCAATAGTCTTTTCTACACTGACTGCCTTTACACTTCTGTAAAAAAATCAGTTATCCATATATATGTGGCTTTATTTTGGTACTCTATTCTGTCCCATTGATCTATTTATCTCTTTTATTGTGGTAAAATATACTAACATATTTGTCATTTTAACCATTTGTAATTGTACAATTCAGTGACATTAAGTACATTCACAATATTGTATAATCATCACCACTATATACAAATGTTTTTCATTGGTCTCAACATAAACTCTGTACTCATTCAATAATAACTCCCTATTTCCCCCTCTCCCATCCCTGGTAACCTCTGTTCTATTTTCTGTCTCTATGAATTTACCTATTCTAAGTATTTCATAATAGTGGAATCATACAATATTTATTCTACTGTGTTTGGTTTATTTCACTTAACATATGTTTTCAAGGCCCATCTATGTTGTAGAATATATTTAAAAATTAATTCCTTTATGACTAAATAATATTTCATTATATGCATACATCACATTTTATTTATCCATTCATCTGTGGATGGACACTTGGGATGTCTCCGGCTTTTGGCTATTGTGAATAGTGCTGATGTCAACATTGGCCCAAATATCTGTTGAGTCCTTGCTTTCATTTCCTGTAGATATATGCCTAGAGGTGGACTTGCTGGGTCATATGGTAGTTGTATGTTTAACTTTCGAGGGTTGCTAAACGATTTTTCACAGTGGCTGCTCCATTTTACATTTCTATTAACGATGCACAAGGACTCCAATTTCTCCATATCCCTATCAACATTTATTTTCCAGCTTAAAAAAATTATAGGCATCCTAGTATGTGTGAAATGGCATGCCATTGTGGTTTTGATTTGCATTTTTCTAATGACTAATTATGTTGAGCTTCTTTTCAGGTGCTTAATGACCATTCATATACCTTCCTTGGAGAAATGTCTACTCAAGTCCTTTGCCCAGTTTTAATAGGGTTGTTTTATGTTGTTGTTGTTGTTGAGTTGTAGGAGATGTTTATATATTACAGGTATCACTTCCTTATCAGATGTATGATTTGCAAATATTTTCTTCCATTCTGTAGGTTTTCATTTTCTTGGTAGTATCCTTTGACGCATGAAAGTTCTTAATTTTGATGAAGTCAAATTGGTTTATTTTTTCTTTTGTTGCCTGTGCATTTGGTGTCACCGCCACTAAATTTTGCCAAATTTAATGTGATGAATATTTTCTCCTCCAATTTTTTTTCTTCTAAGAGTTTTACAACTTAGCTTTTAAGTTTAGGTATTTGACTATTTTAAGTTAACATTTGTGTATGGTATAAGATAAGGATCCAAGTTCATTCTTTTATGTGTAGAGATCCAGTTTTCCTAGTACCAATTGTTGAAAAGACTGTCCTTTCCCCATTGGATGGTCTTAGTACACTTGTCAAAAAAATTGACCATATATGTAAGAGTTTATCTCTAGGCTCTCTGTTCTATTCCATTGGTCTACATGTCTGTCCTTGTGCCAGTACTATTACTTTAACTTCGTGGTAAGTTCCACAGTTGGGAAGTGTGAGTCCTCCAACCTTATTTTCTTTTTCAAGATTATTTTGGCTATTTGGGACCCCTTGCAATTCCATATAAATTTGAGGATTATTTTTCCATTTTTAGGAACAAGATTATTGAAATTTTGATAGAGATTGCATTGAATCTGGAGATTGCTTTGGGAAGTATTTATATCTTAACAATGTTGTCTTTCTATCCAAGAGCTTGGACGTCTTTTTATTTATTTAGGTACTCTTTAATTTCTTTCAGCAATGTTTTGTTGTTTTCAGTATAGAAGTCTTTCACCTCCAGGGTTAGATTTATTCCTATGTATTTAATTATTTTAGATGCTATTGTAAATGGAATTGCTTTATTAGTTTTCTTTTTGGATTGTTCATTGCTGGCAAGTAGGAACAACACTAATTTTTTTTGTATTAATCTAGTACCCTGCAACTTAGCTGAATTTATTTATTAGCTCTATACCTTTTTTGTGGATTCTTCAGGATTTTCTATATATAGGGTCATATCATCTGCAAATAGAGAGAGCTTTACCTCTTCCTTTCCAATTTGGATGCTTTTTACTTCTTTTTGTCTACTAGCTCTGGCAAGAACTTCCAATACAGTGTTGAAGAGCAGTGGTCAAAGAGGACATCTTTCTTTTGTTTCTCATCTTAGGGGAGAAGCTTTCAGTCTTTCACCATCGAATGTGATGTTAACCATGGGTTTTTCATAATTACTTTTTATCCTATTGAGGAATTTCCCCTCTATTTCTGGTTTTCTGAGAGTTTTGTGATAAAAGGGTGTTGGATTTTGTAAAATGCCTTTCTGCATCAGTTGAGATTATCTTGTGGTTATCTTCCTTTGTTTTATTAATGTGATGTATTACATTGGTTGATTTTCTTATACTGAACCACTCTTCCATTCCCGGAATAAATCTTACTTGGTCATAGTAAATAATACTTGTTAATATGCTGTTGGATTTAATGTGATAATATTATGTCAAAGATTTTTTTCATCTGTAGTCATAAGGGATATTGGCCTATAATTTTCTCTTTTTGTGATTTTTTTTCTGGTTTTGGTATCAGGGTAATGCTGGCCTTGTATAAGGAGTTAAAAAGTGTTTCCTCCTCTTCACTTTTTGGAAGAATTTGAGAAAGATTTGTGTTAATTCTTCTTTAAATGTTTGGTAGATTCATCAGTAAAGCCATCTGGTCCAGGACTTCACTTTTTTGGGAGGTTTTTGAATACTGTTTCAATCTCTTTACTTGCTATAGGTCTGTTAATATTTTCCATTTCTTTCTGAGTCAATTTAAATAATTTGTGTATTTCAAGGAATTTATTCATATCTTTTAGGTTATCTAATTTGTGTTCGATTGTTCATAGTGGTCGCATAGTCCCTTTTCTCTCTGCAAAGTCAGTAGTAATGTCTCCACTTTCATTTTCAATTTTAGTTATTTGCATTTTCTCTTTTTTTCTTTGTCAGTCCAGCTAAAGGTTTTTAAATTTTTTTCATCTTTGCAAAAGACCAACTTTTGGTTTCATTGATTTGCTCTATTTTTTCTATTCTCTATTTTGTTTATCTCTGCTCTAATTCTTATTATTTCCTTCCTCCTACTAGTTTTGGGTTTCATTTGCTCTTCTACTTCAAGTTCCTATGGTATAAAGTCAGGTTATTGATTTTAGATCTTCTTTTTTAATGTAGACATTTATACCTATAAATTTCCCTTTAAGTACTGCTTTTACCGCATCCCGTAAGTTTTGTCGTGTTGTGTTTTTGTCTCTAGGTATTTTATAATTTCTTTTGTGCTGCTTTTTCTTGTGACTCATTGGTTGTTTGAGTGTTTTGCTTAATTTCAACACATTTGTGAATTTTCCAGTTTTACTTCTGTCACTGATTCCTGTTGTGGTCAGAGAAGATACTTTGTGTGATATCTATCTTTTAAAATTGATTGAGACTTATTTTGTGGCCTAACATATGGTCTATCTAAGAGAATGTCTTACATGTGCTTGAGATGAATGTTTATGCTGATGTTGTTGGGTAGTGTGTTCTTTATATGTTAGATGTAATTAGTTTATTGTGTTGTTTATGTCCTCTATTTCTTTACCTTGTCTGGTTGTTCTATCTATTATTGAAAGTGGACAGATGAAGTCTGCTACCATTGTTGTAGAACTATATCTTTCTTCAATTCTGTTAAGTTTTGCTTCATAAATTTTGAGGGTCTATTATTAGGTGTGTAAATATTTGTAATTGTTTTATCTTCTTGCTATATTGACTATTTTATTAATATATAACATAATGTTTCTGTCTTTGAAAACTTTTTTGATTTAAAGTCTATTTTGTCAGCTGTTAGTACAGCCACTCCAGTTCTCTTTTGGTTACTATTTGCATGGAATATCTTTTTCTATTCTTTCCCTTTTGATCTATTTGTGTCTTTGATCTAAAGTCAGTCTTTCATAGACAGCATATAGTTGGATTCTAGAGTTTGGTTTTTTTTTGTCAATCTGCCTTTTCTTTGGACAGTTTAATCTATTTATATTTAAAGTAATTACTGATAAAGAGGAATTTCTATTTTTCTATTTGTTTTCTATATGCCTTATAGTTTTTTTGTACCTCATTTTCTCTATTACTGCCATCTTTTGTATTTAGCTTATTTTTTGTAGTAAATGTTTTGATTCCCTGATCATTTCCATTTATGTATATTTTACAGGTATTTTTGTGTTTACCATGAGAATTACATTTAACATCCTAACGTTATAACAATCTCATTTTAATTTATACCAACGTAACTTCAATAGCATACAAAGACTCTGCTCCTATATTGCTCCACCCCCACCCTTTCTATTGATGCCACAAATTACATCTTTATACATTGTGTGCCCAATAATATACTAATCTTGTAAAAAATTCTTTCTTAGCTGTCCTAAGAGGAACCAAGGGAGGAAGTGTTCAACCCTGGACCAGTGCTTTAAAGCATCAGCAGAATGTCCCTTACATCAGAGTAATGTGGCATTGGGCAAACCCTAAAGAGCATGGGGCAAACCCTAAAGAATGTGGATAATCAGAAGAATAAAATGTAGGCTATTTGGGCAACCACATTGTCTCACGTGAAGATATTCCTTCCAGAACTGAACTCCTGATGTCTCTGAGTTTTGTTTTACTTAAAGATAAGTCCCTCTTTCCCAGGGGATAGTCTCTGTTTTGGTCTGTCTTCAACTGTATGCAGACTGCAATTTGGGGCTAGCACACAGAAGGCAACATGCTCCTGATCCTTGGGAGTGTGTTCTTGCCGAGTGCACTCAAAAGGAATACAAAGATGAATTATAGGAGATCCGAGTTCCAGAGGGACTGTAAGTTTGTGTAGCTGCTCACAACCAACTTAGCTTAAAGTGGGATGTATGGCTCTCTCTTATTGGTGACTGGGACATTATGCCTTGTCCCTCCAGAGCAGCATTTTATGTGATTCCTTTCTGCTTCTCTAGTGCATCTGTGTCCAATACATGTTTGCTGAATTAATGCATTAGTTGGGACATTTGTAGATTCCCTACAACAATTTACTGCTAGGAGGATTATTTGAACCTAATACATATGCAAATATATATATTTATACTTTTGCAAACATGATATGTATAAGTAGTTCCTAGACCAGTGATTTTCAGACCTTGCTACTCATCAGAATCACCTGAGGAGCCTTCCCAAAACCCCGATTCCTACGTCCCAACCACAAAGATTATTTTAATGAGTCTGAGGTGGAAGCCAGGAATCTACATTTTCAAAAGCTACCCAGGTAATTCTGATATGCAGTCAGCATAGATAACCACAGCCCTTTGACTACCTAAGAAAATGTAGTAGTCAAAAAAAGGTATATGAACTGCCTTCTATTCTTTAGGGAGATTCTATGTTAATATAGCATACGGTCAAGAACACTACCAATGTAGCCACTTCCTAGCTGTTATCTTTAGACAAATTACCTAATCATTCAGAGCTTTAGTTTCTTGATGTGTAAAATAGAGGATATAGGTTTACCATGAGGATTTATGTAAAGCCTTAGCACAGTAGCTGTACTATAGCACACAGTAAATGTTGGCCGGATTTATTCGGCTGTACACATGAGCCACTGGATTTGTCTGGATGCAGAAGTCTACTGCGGTACACCTTCTTCAGCAAGCTCTTGGGAAAGCAGGGGAGATTTCCTGGTACCCTAGGAAGTGGAGGATACTAAAGCCATGTCACAGGGAGGGGCATTATTCTTCGTGCGCGCTTGCTCGCCGGGGTCGGGTTGCTGCTCCGCGCGCGTCCACCAGGGGCCGCTCGAGCTACCTAAGCTCCGTGCGCTACCCGGCGGCGCTCCCGCGCGTGCTCACTCGGAGCAGCGCGCGCCCCGCAATCGCCGCAGCCGCCCCCGCCGTCGGCCGCCGCACCCCAAGCGACTGCCCAAACTAAGCCTCCGTGGCTGGGTACGGGAGCGCTTTGGGGACAAAAATTCTCCCTCAACTGTGGTCTGCATTCCTTCGGCCCGTGGGCTGATCTGGGGCGGGAAGTATTAGCGTCTCAGTTGCGCTGCAGCCGGGGAGGAAGGAGGAGGCCGAGCCTGGGGCGGAGTTTGGGCTGACTGGGGCTGGACCGGGCAAGACGCCGCCGCTGCCCGGATGTTGCGATGGCTGATCGGGGGAGGCCGAGAACCGCAGGGACTGGCCGAGGTAAACCCCGGGTGGGTCTGCTCTGCGTCCGTCGAGCTTGCTGGAGGGGCGGCTTCGTTCCGGTTCGGCCTTCCTGGGTTCCGACCGCGGGGACCCGGGCGGAGGCGGGGCTGGCTGCTGAGCTCGTGCCACGCGCTGTTCTCACGACGGTGGGGGCGGAGGGCGCGGGAGCCGGAGCTCCTCAGACCCGGCGGGACCCCAGGCGCACCCTGGAGCTGCAGACCCCCGGCCCCGTCCCACGGCTAGCTGAATCGTGAGATCCTGGCTCAGGGACGCTCAGCTGGTCAGCAGTCCTATTGGGACCTGTGACAACTTAGGGCTTCTGGCTACCGAAACTATCTTCATTTCCACTTAAAAAGTATACGATTTAGCTAGAAACGAACGAGTTGTGACCGCAGCTTTCCACTTTTGGTTTATTTGAATTGGTGTCTCTTCCTGGCGTCTACTGATACTTGGTCAGGGAATATAAAATTAATTTACTTATCCAACAACCGAAAAAGGATATAATTATTTTTAAAAAGTAATCTGCTTCAAGGTCAAGAACATGATTTTCTAATTAACTGCTGTTTTTGGTTTCATAGTCACACTTTCTTCATGGGCCCGAATAATTGAATAGACCGTGTGTAATGAAATTTACATTTGAAATGTGAATAAAATAATTTTTGCAGTCTTGGAAATTTTGAGGTCCCAAATTTATTTCGTATGCCACACAAGAACTTTCATGCGCGTCCGTGTGAAGAGACCACCAAACAGGCTTTGTGTGAGCAATAAAAGCTTTTAATCACCTGGGTGCAGGCGGGCTGAGTCCGAAAAGAGAGTCAGCGAAGGGAGATAGGGGTGGGGCCGTTTTATAGGATTTGGGTAGGTAAAGGAAAATTACAGTCAAAGGGGAGTTGTTCTCTGGCGGGCAGGAGTGGGGCAAGGTGCTCAGGGGAGCTTTTTGAGCCAGGATGAGCCAGGAAAAGGACTTTTACAAGGTAATGTCATCACTTAAGGCGAGGACCGGCCATTTTCACTTTTGTGGTGGAATGTCATCAGTTAAGGCGGGGCAGGGCATTTTCACTTCTTTTGTGATTCTTCAGTTATTTCAGGCCATCTGGGCGTATATGTGCAAGTCACCGGGGATGCGATGGCTTAGCTTGGGCTCAGAGGCCTGACAAGAACAGAATTTGTGAATTGCATTTTATTTCTCATAAGAAGTATTTGTTTAGATTGTTAAAAGTAAGAAATTGGATTGTTGAGAGTAGGCAGTCTTCTCAATTTTAACTTCCGCATGTCTTTGCAGTTGACGGTATTGTCTGTTTTTAAAAATTTCTTATTTCAGATTAATCCTAAATCCTTGAGATTGTGGATTATTGAATAGCCATATATGGTATATACGACATTTTGGATAATTCTGTTTTAACCTGGTTCTTTGGTTAATCATGTTATTTGCTTAACCAGGTCTCCCATTCCTGGCAAGTTTTCATTGGAGGAGAAGCAGTTTATATAGTTTTCAAATTTCTCACCACAATCTCTTCTAGAAGGAAGACAGAATAAATACAAAATCAATGCTTTGTGGTGGTGGTTTTTTTTTTGGAAAACATTTATGCATGTTTTAAATTTATATATTTCTTCATATAAATCTAATTGAGTTGTATAACTGCTGTGAATTTGTACATTATCGGAACCTATGATTGTCCCTAATTTATGCAATAACTTTGTATCCAGGCTTCTCGTTTAAGCAGTGGTTCTCAACTGGGGTGATTTTTGCCCCGCAGGAGACATTTGGCAATGTCTGGAGACATTTTTGATTGTCATGCCTTGCAGAGGGGCAGTTCTATTGGCATCTAATGTGTATAGACCAGGGATGCTGCTCAATGTCCTGTAATGCACAGGACAGTTCTCAACAACAAAGAATTATCTGGGCTGGGCGCGGTGGCTTACTCCTGTAATCCCAGCACTTTGGGAGGCCGAGGCGGGCGAATCACTTGAGGTCAGGAATTCAAGACCAGTCTCGCCAACGTGGTGAAAACCTGTCTCTACTAAAAATACAAAAATTAGTTGGGCGTGTGGTGCGAAAAAAAAAAATTCTCTAGCCCAAAATGTCAGCATCAAGTTTGAGAAATCCAGAGTTGATTTCATGCCTTCATTTATTCATTTAGCAAGCATGTATTGAGTGCTTGTAATGGATGAGGCACTGTTTCACTATTTTATGTCTTTGATTTGCAGTTTTGTTTCTGCCACATTTTAACTGAGAAACATGCATTCTAAAATGTTGAGTTGGATTGGCCCATTACTTTTTTTAAAGTGAGGTTTAATAGGATACAATTTACATAAAATAAAATTCACCCTTTTTGTAAATTTATTGTGATTTGAAAATACTAAAATTCATGATTCGAATTTGTGGTAGGAGAAGTGTTTTATGTGGAACTGGCAGTTATTTAGTTGATAAAAGAAGAAATAATATTTAGTAGTAGAACATGATACCTTAAGGCTTTTAAAATCTTGTGTTCTCAGATGTATACCATGGAGTTATATTCCAATATGGTCTTACAAATCATTTTATCTCTTTTTTTGTCTTTTGTTTTTTGCTTTTTTTTTTTTTTCAATACAAGAAATCTCCTTTACAGACAATAGGTGAAGAACAAACCCAGAATCCCTACACTGAACTGCTAGTACTGAAGGCTCATCATGATATTGTACGATTTCTGGTACAGTTAGATGACTACAGGTAAGAAGCTATAGTGGTCTAATTGACTATTGTTTGGGAAGAGGTTTTAGGGAATTTTATGTTAAACACCTTTAAAATTAATACATCTTTTCTAAAAATTTAAAAACTGTGATCATTAGTAACATTTAGTAGAAATTGAAATTGGCCTCTGCATCTCGATGAAATATGTATCTAGAGTCTTTTTTGCCCAAAGTCAGGGTGTCGTGTCTGGTGATTTGAGGGTTATGTTTGTTTGTTTGCATTCTCAGAAATATTCTTAATAGTTTAAAAGAAGTGTATGACTTTAAAATTTGGGTAGGAGTTATAACAGTATATTAAGGAGAACTTGTATTTGAGAAACAAATATGCTAAGTGTTTAAGTATCAGGTACCTACCAGGAATGTTTTATTTTTAGTGGAAGGTAAGTTTAATCCAAAGTTTTTGTTATTGATGAAACCACTTGAAAATGTACATTATTCTGTACTTCCTTGCTAACATGTATAATAATTATGTTTAATATATTTGCAAATAGAGGTGAAGGTGTATAGGCTTTAGGACTGTAGACTATTACTGATATGTATATATGTATATTAAGCCCATATTCAACTGTATATCTTTTATAGCATGTTTCACCATAATAATTACATAATTAGTGGTGTAATTCAATATTTTCGTCCTCTCTAAAATGTAAGCTTCATGAGAATGAGGCTATGTTTTTCTTATTCACCATGTTTTCTTAGTACCTAGTACAGTGCCTTACATGTAGCAGATAATTCATAGATGGTGGCTGAGTGAATGAATGACTCTCCAGACTACTAAGCATCCACATTGAATGCCGTCCTAATCCCCCAACCTCATTTCTGTTGTCTCTACTAGTTTTTCCACTTTCATCTCTAATTTTGTCTTTTGCCTTTGCTGTTTTTTTTCACTCCATGGATGAGTGTTACTGTAATTATTCCTAACTCTGACCACCACTTCTGCTGTCTATTAACCTTGTCTTTTCTCTGCTTTTTTTTTTTTAATTTAATTTAATTTTTAAAATAGAGACAGGGTCTCACTATGTTGCCCAGGCTGGTGGGCAACTCCTGGGCTCAAGCTGTCTTCCCACCTTGGCCTCCCAAAGTGTTGGGATTACAGGCATCAGCCACCGTGCTCAGCCTTCTCTCTGCTCTTTAAATGTTACTGATATTTAGTTGCTTTACCATGTGCAGTGCAGTTCTGACATTACCTGGACTTAGGTCAGATTCCACAGATGAAGGGCATAGTCTATACAGCACCCCTCACTGGAGACACTAGCTGCAAGCCATGTATGGGTTTGTAGGCCACTTGCATTTCCAGCTGCTGGCTACAAGTTCCTGCTGTTCCCTCAGGTCTGATAATTCACTAGAAGGACTCACAGAACTGAGGAAAGCACTATACACAGGATTACAGTTTTATTATAAAAGATACAAATTAGGACCGGCCAAATGAGAGGATGTATATAGGGCAAGGCCTAGGGGGTCCCACATGCAAAGCTTCCATGTCTCAAGACTCCTCGCCCTCTTGGAACATCAGTGTGTATCACCAATGAATGAGCACACTTGAGCTTTGGGTGTCCAGAGCTTTCATTAGTAGGCATGATTGTTTGAATCATTGGTCACATAATTGAACTCAATCTTCAGTCCCCACCCTCCCCACCGTGACTGGTAGCAGAAAGCCCAAACCTTTAAATCATGTGGTTCATTTTTCCACCTTGGCCAGCCCCTTTCCTGATGTTATCTCAGGGCCCACTGTGAGTTGTTCCTTTAGTATAAACTTAGGTGTGGTCCAAGGGACCCACCATGAATAATGAAGACATTCTTACCACTTGGAAAATTCCAAGGATTTAGAGACTCCCTTCTAGGAACCAGAGACAAAGTCCAGCAAAGTTATTAAACAGTACCATGCTTCTTAACTTTTGCTTGAAAAGATTTGTCTCATATATATTACTGGCCTGTCATCACTGTTTTCCTGTTGTGATGCAAGTCAACCAAATCATGGCATGTTAAACAATCATCTGCAGCCTTTTTTTTGGCAATGTTACTTGTTGCTATGTCCTGAGAGACACTCCATTTATTAAAGTGGTCATTTTTGTGGGGAACTAATTATTTCTGGAAAGGTAAGATTTTGGACAGCTAAAGTTTTCTTGCGCTATATTTTACCCTAGTAAGTTGCTAGATTAAAGAAAATCTGATAATTTCTTATAATCACTAATACTTGGGTGTTAAGGAATCCTAAAGTTATTTTGTCCAGGAAAGTTAAATAATAAATACACAGTATGTGATCAGGTTGTGGACTTTAAATATTTGTATAAATTGTTAAGAGATCATGTTCATTGCTGTCTTTCCTCTGTGAAATATCCTCTTGGCTATTCCTATCCCATAGTTAGAAGAGGACTCTGTAGAAGAGGCCAGCCTATAGAATAATGGTTAGTGTACAAATGCTGACATATATTTGGTTTAATTTTCCCCACAGTGGTGCTCACATATACTTTAGTTGTTTAATGATAGAGTAAATATTCTGTAAAGAGTAAAAAGCCATATGTGGGTATGTTAGTTACCTATATGCTCTGTCAGCTGTCACACCAAACTTAGTGGCTTAACACAACCCCATCTATTTAGCTCATTATTCTGCAGGATGGCAATTCGGGCTAGGCTCAGCTGGGTGAGTCTGTCTTTGCACCAGGAGCAACTGATCTTGGCTAGATTCACTTATGCCTCTGTCAGCTGGTAGATTGGCGGGGGCTGGCTGGTTCATTTCAGCTGAAGGTCTCAGCTGAAATGACTGTGGTCTCCCTCCATGTGGTTTTTCAGGTGCTTGTTCACATAATGATCATGGAGTTCTAATAGCAGCAGAAGGGCAAGCCCCAAAGTAAGACACTTTTCAAGTCTCAGCTTGCCTCGTGTTTGCTGCTGTTTCGTCAGCCAAAGCAAGTTAGGAGCTGGCACAAATTCAGTGAGTGGGTAAATAAACTTGACCTCTCATGGTAGAAGTAACTAAGTCCTATTGCTAATGGTGGTGGCAATATTGGGAGGGGGAATAATTTGTGGCCAGTTTGTGATCTACCACAGTGAGTCTAAGATAGATGAAGAAGCCTGCTTTTTGGCTTTTGTAATACAGTGATGATATGACTTCATGATTCACATTTAATTCTTTGAAAAGTCATCAAATTTACATATAATCAACTATGAAGTTTTTCGGTCATTTGCTGACCTGTAGAACTTTCAGTCTGTATGTTGTTTTTAAAAATTTAATTCTGTAGTGTACTAAAAAAGAAAAACCGAAAGAGTCATCTTCGTAAGAAGGACACAGGAAAATCTACAAAGTATAAACATTATGAACAGAATTAACCGAATGTTTTTACTCTTAATAGTTTAGAATTATCTTTACCATTGCATATGTACATTATGCATTGTCAAATTAGAGAAATACCTTTCCAGTTTTAAAATTTTATATCATTATCCTTTTTTTGTTTCTTAGTTTTTGAAGACATTACACTCTGGGTTTTTTTTGGTCAGCTGTTATAATCCAGGTTTCACGCTTCAAGTCTTTAGATAATATCATCTTATTGAAAATTTTGCAGAAGGATTTTCTTGTTTTCTCAGTGGCTCAGCTAAAATCAGTGAGTGGAAAATTTTCTCGGATTGGTTTTTGAAGATACCCAATAAATCCTGTATAACCTAACAGACAGCTGCCTTTTCTTTTCTTCTTTAGTATTTTTTGAACATGAAGTGAGGGTCGTATTGATGAGAGATCACTAAAGAAGGTTAAGCCTCAGCAAAAGTCTTCCAAAAAATGGGCTGTGCTAAAATTTCATGTAATACTCTAGCGTTTGACACATTAAACTAAACTGAGTTCATAACACATTTTAAGAAGAGTTTTCTCCGTTGCTCATTTGACCATTCCTTGCTCCTTCAGGAAACAGACAAGGTTATGTAGGATGGTGATCATGACTGGAAAGGAATCAGATGACCCATGATGAAGTGCCAGATTGGAGAACAAAATGTGCCTCTAGGATGGTTGGTGAAGCTGTACATTCACAAGAAAGTAAATAAACTCAGTATAGCTTGATAATCCACTAAAAATGAACAATATGCTCATTTTAAAGGAAATATTCTCAAGCTAAACATATTCTTTCTTATACACTAACCTTCAGAGAACAGAAATCAGTATAGTTTAGATCCTAGGATCTGGGTTCCCTGGGAAACAGATAGTCAGTATAGATCCTTCTAGTACCTGGGTTCCCTGGGAAGGAGACACTAAAATGGAGACACTAAGCATGCAATAGGTTTATAAGAGAGAAAGCCAATGAAAGGAGAAGGGAGGAAGCAGAATTGGATAAGGGGAGCTGTCTCAGACTCTGATGCAGATGTGACAAAGTTTCTGCCAGCCCAATGGGGACCGCTGGAGGAAAGGCTGCTTTTTAAGAGTTCTCTACTGGATGTAAATAACTAGGGCTTTGTACTATTGCCTTGCTTAGTTATTTGCTGAGGGTCCTTCATGAAGAACATGCACCTGGCTTCTACTATCTTGCTTAAATCCCAGTGACTAGGAGCCGATTGAGCTAGTATAACTTTGGCTTGAAGGCAGAAATGGATCCTGAAGTCAACAGCTGGAGGCAGTCAGATAACTATATTCCTCACAGCTGGGCAGTGAGTCCTGTCTTGAAAGGGGGTCTGGAAGGCAGGTATTGGCGTCTGCCACACTTCCATAGTTGTAAGTTGGTCTATTTTATTTTTAACTTGCATGAACATACTCATTGGCTATGTCTTTGGGCAGCTTTTTAAGAAACTGTAAGTATGCCATTGGTTAATAGTTATTTGATGGCTTGAAAAAGTTAATATTTTTAGAGCTATTAACGTACTTATGCCTGGAAAAAAGGGTATAACCAGAATCCTTTTTATCACAAATTCCAGCAGCTACAATATTAATAACAGACTCCATATCTGGCATTTTTTTAAAGCACTTATATCCAGTGTGACGTTGACTTTAGACAACTTTATTATAGTAAATTTTACTAAAATCTGTTAACCAAATAGCTTTTCTATTTCTAAAGGCCCCTAATCCACCATGTGTGGTGAATGTGTTGATTGAATTTCTGTTGTTTTGCATCGTGCCCTGAATCAAGCGGGGAATTTCGGCAGTGTCATCACACAGATGCGTGTGCCACCCTTGCTGCTTTTCTCCTTATTTCTAATAATTTTGTCCTTTCAGCTTGTGTTTTGGAGCTGTAGCTGAGTTTTGTTTAGTTGGATAAGATGTTGCAGGGTTTGGGAGGATGACAGGAGTGAGTGAAACGGTAATTGCTGCTTCATGCATTAGCATAGAATCAAATTTTAGGATAAGGACAGCAAGTGTCTAACAGTATTTCAGTTTCAAATTTGTCATCTTAGCAGTAAAACTCTAATTTCTAGATAAAATCAGTCTCTCTCAACTACAAAATACCCTTACTCTAGGCATTTGAAAATTATTTTCTTGAACATCTTTCAAATGTAGCTTTAAAAATCCATCTGGCAACTTGAGCATAGATACAGGAAGTAACTGCAATGAATTGCAACATATCACATATGTTTAAATCCATGTGTTCATAATGATACTTAAAAAAGAGAACTCACCTTTGGAGAATGCTGGGGAACTAACTCATTCTGTTGAAAATCGGTAAATAAAAGGGCAGAGTCAAAATCTATACTGCCTTTCTTATATAAACTGTGTCTTGGGATCAGTAATAATTGACGAGAAGAAATTTCTCTGAAGAATTCAAGCTAGGAAGAATGATAGAATTAGAATATTGTAATTTTGCAACCTCTAATGTGTAGAGGAGGAAAACACTTTTCTTCTACCTATCTTAGATTCATTGATCAGGGCTCTACAACTTAGACATACAAAAGACAGGTTAATGAGCGAAAAAGAAGTATATCAATGCATACGTTGCATACACACACACACACACACACACACACACACACACACACACACACGAGTATTCAGGTAACTCGTAGGGGTGGTTAAAACTTGGGCTTAGGCTGGGCACGGTGACTCAGCCCTGTAATCCTAACACTTTGGGAGGCTGAGATGGGAGGATTCCTTGAGCTCAGGAGTTTGAGGCTAGCGTGGGCAACATGGCAAAACCATGTCTCTATTAAAAAATACAAAAATTAGCTGGGTGTGGTGGTGCACACCTGTGGTCCAAGCTACTTGGGAGGCTGAGGTGGGAGGATCACCTTAGCTCAGGAGGTTGAGGCTGCAGTGAGCTGTGATCGGGGCCACTGACTGTAGCCTGGATGACTGAGTAAGACCCTGTCTCAAAAAAGAAAAATAAAACTTCAGCTTATATAGCATCTTAGCAGAACAAGAAATTTGTTGAGTGACAAGACAAAGGAAATGGACTTTGAGTTTCTTGGGGTGGCAAATTGTGAGAAGGCAAATATATGATGGAAACTGCTGGTAGAGAAGGGCTCATTAGTGAGGTTGGTTTGTGTAAACTCTTGGTGCCATCTCATCTGTGATAAAGGTTGTTATCCCCCTCCTGGTATGGGAGTGGGGGTGGAGGTTCCGGGGGCACTTTCCCAAGGGTGATGTGTGCTTTTTTTTTTTTTTTTTCAGGTAGATGTGGGGAGGACAGAGCTCATTCTGTGCCTGCATTTTCTCAGTTGCCTTAAGCTGAAAATAATCATTATGTCAGAGTGGCATAGTTTGGGGTTATGTGCTCTGAACCCCTTCAAATGAAATAATGAATTTAGATGGCCTAAATCATAACATATACACATACACACACAAGATAGCCAGAAATTATATTTCCGGATGGAGTATACAATCTGCCTTTGGGGTGGTCTTACCAAAAAGTCAGATATGGATCTTATTTAGTCTCTAGATTTAACTATCAATTAACAAAAAATACAGAGGACAGAGGTGCATGTTGGATAACAGCACAGGAAAAAAAACCCAGACTGTGAGAACTCGACAAGACAGGTGAATTTTTTTTTCAACAAATAAATTGCAAGGAAAAACAGATGGAGAAAAAAATCATTAGAATAAAAGAGATATTAGAGATAAATCAACCAAGTGTACTATAGAAGCCTTATTTGGATCCTTCTAACTGTTTAAAAAATTACGATCAGCTAAATTTGATCATTGACTGGGTATTTGATGACATTAAGGAAGTAAATGTTAACTTAGGTGTGATGTAAAAGAGTCCTTAGAGATGCATTCTGAAATACTGACAAAATGAAATACAGTGACTAGGATTTGCTTCAAAATAATTTACAGAGGGGTTGGACTGGGTGCAGATAAGACACTAGTGGCCATAAATTGATAATTACTAGAGACAGGCAATGAGTACATGTGGCTTTTTATTATAATGCCCTTCTCTCCACTTTTGTATATATTTAAATTCTCCGTAATGAAAAGTTAACTATCTGTATTTGAAATAGAGGAAATAAAAATGCCAATTTAAAAGGTATTTATGCCTCTGTGAAATAAAATGTTTTCTTAGATATTGCTAGTGTTCTGAGTGTTCAGTGGAGAACCACCCTTGTTTCTCTTTGAGAACAGAATTTATTGAGAATAGTTGTAGGAATCATACAGATGAACATGAACATATCAGCTTCATAAAGTAATAACCGATACAAAACTGGATTACCAGATATGGCTCTTTTTTTTTTTTTTTTTTTTTTTTGAGACGGAGTCTCGCTCTGTCGCCCAGGCTGGAGTGCAGTGGTGTGACCTTGGTTCACTCCAACCACCGCTTCCCAGGTTCAAGCGATTCTTCTGCCTCAGCCTCCCGAGTAGCTGGGACTACAGGCATGTGCCACCACACCGAGCTAATTTTTGTATTTTTAATAGAGACAGGGTTTCACCATATTGGCCAGGCTGGTCTCGAACTCCTGATCTCGTGTTCCGCCTGCCTCGGCCTCCCAAAGTGCTGGGATTACAGGTGTGAGCTACCAAACCCAGCCAGGATGTGGCTTTAATATGTACCCACAGTGGATTTCCTTAACACTTCACCCTGAGTCAAGTAGACTATTTCAATGAATCCCTGGGGCAACTGAAGAGTTGCCAGCCTCCCATTCAGATACAGGCTTACCTCAAAAATAAGAGCAGACCAGTATGTTCCCTCTCTGTGAACAGATGAATCTTCAGAAAACCCACAAGGGGCCGGGTATGATGGCTCATGCCTGTAATCCCAGAACTTTGGGAGGCCAAGGCGGGTGGATCACAAGGTAAGGAGTTTGAGACCAGCCTGCCCAACATGGTGAAACTCCATCTCTACTAAACATACAAAAATCAGCCATGCGTGGTCGTGGGTGCCTGTAATCCCAGCTGAGGCAGGAGAATCGTTAGAACCTGAGAGGCAGAAGTTGCAGTGAGCTGAGATCACGCCATTGCACTCCAGCCTGGGCAACAGGGCGAGACTTTGTCTCAAAAAAAAAAACAACCCAGAAAACCCACAAGGGTCTGAACTGAGCATGCCTAATTCATTGTCTCAAGCAAGTGGGGCAGAGAGAGACCAAGAATGTTTCTCTAGTAGTGGGAGTCCTCCATGGAAACTTGAGTGCAGGGGAATGGAGGTTCACCTAATAGAAGTCACACAGATTTTTTTGGTATTCTAATACTGTAATCTTTTTTTTTTTTTTTAATTATACTTTAAGTTTTAGGGTACATGTGCACAATGTGCAGGTTAGTTACATATGTATACATGTGCCATGCTGGTGCGCTGCACCCACTAACTCGTCATCTAGCATTAGGTATATCTCCCAGTGCTATCCCTCCCCCCTCCCCGCACCCTACAACAGTCCCCAGAGTGTGATGTTCCCCTTCCTGTGTCCATGTGTTCTCATTGTTCAGTTCCCACCTATGAGTGAGAATATGTGGTGTTTGGTTTTTTGTTCTTGCAATAGTTTACTGAGCATGATGTTTTCCAATTTCATCCATGTCCCTACAAAGGACATGAACTCATCATTTTTTATGGCTGCATAGTATTCCATGGTGTATATGTGCCACATTTTCTTAATCCAGTCTATCATTGTTGGACATTTGGGTTGGTTCCAAGTCCTTGCTATTGTGAATAGTGCCGCAATAAACATACGTATGCATGTGTCTTTATAGCAGCATGATTTATAGTCCTTTGGGTATATACCCAGTAATGGGATGGCTGGGTCAAATGGTATTTCTAGTTCTAGATCCCTGAGGAATCGCCACACTGACTTCCACAATGGTTGAACTAGTTTACAGTCCCACCAAGAGTGTAAAAGTGTTTCTATTTCCCCACAGCCTCTCCAGCACCTGTTGTTTCCTGACTTTTTAATGATCGCCATTCTAACTGGTGTGAGATGATATCTCATTGTGGTTTTGATTTGCATTTCTCTGATGGCCAGTGATGGTGAGCATTTTTTCATGTGTTTTTTGGCTGCATAAATGTCTTCTTTTGAGAAGTGTCTGTTCATGTCCTTCGCCCACTTTTTGATGTGGTTGTTTGTTTTTTTCTTGTAAATTTGTTGGAGTTCATTGTAGATTCTGGATATTAGCCCTTTGTCAGATGAGTAGGTTGCGAAAATTTTCTCCCATTTTGTAGGTTGCCTGTTCACTCTGATGGTAGTTTCTTTTGCTGTGCAGAAGCTCTTTAGTTTAATTAGATCCCATTTGTCAATTTTGGCTTTTGTAGCCATTGCTTTTGGTGTTTTAGACATGAAGTCCTTGCCCATGCCTATGTCCTGAATGGTAATGGTTAGGTTTTCTTCTAGGGTTTTTATGGTTTTAGGTCTAACGTTTATGTCTTTAATCCATCTTGAATTGATTTTTGTATAAGGTGTAAGGAAGGGATCCAGTTTCAGCTTTCTCCATATGGCTAGCCAGTTTTCCCAGCACCATTTATTAAATAGGGAATCGTTTCCCCATTTCTTGTTTTTGTCAGGTTTGTCAAAGATCAGATAGTTGTAGATATGCGGCGTTATTTCTGAGGGCTCTGTTCTTTTCCATTGATCTATATCTCTGTTTTGGTACCAGTACCATGCTGTTTTGGTTACTGTAGCCTTGTAGTATAGTTTGAAGTCAGGTAGTGTGATGCCTCCAGCTTTGCTCTTTTGGCTTAGGATTGACTTGGTGATGCGGGCTCTTTTTTGGTTCCATATGAACTTTAAAGTAGTTTTTTCCAATTCTGTGAAGAAAGTCATTGGTAGCTTGATGGGGATGGCACTGAATCTATAAATTACCTTGGGCAGTATGGCCATTTTCACGGTACTGATTCTTCCTACCCATGAGCATGGAATGTTCTTCCATTTGTTTGTATCCTCTTTTATTTCATTGAGCAGTGGTTTGTAGTTCTCCTTGAAGAGGTCCTTCCCATCCCTTGTAAGTTGGATTCCTAGGTATTTTATTCTCTTTGAAGCAATTGTGAATGGGAGTTCACTCATGATTTGGCTCTCTGTTTGTTGTTGGTGTATAAGAATGCTTGTGATTTTTGCACATTGATTTTGTATCCTGAGACTTTGCTGAAGTTGCTTATCAGCTTAAGGAGATTTTGGGCTGAGACAGTGGGGTTTTCTAGATATACAATCATGTCATCTACAAACAGGGACAGTTTGACTTCCTCTTTTCCTAATTGAATACCCTTTATTTCCTTCTCCTGCCTAATTGCCCTGGCCAGAACTTCCAACACTATGTTGAATAGGAGTGGTGAGAGAGGGCATCCCTGTCTTGTGCCAGTTTTCAAAGGGAATGCTTCCAGTTTTTGCCCATTCAGTATGATATTGGCTGTGGGTTTGTCATAGATAGCTCTTATTATTTTGAAATACGTCCCATCCATACCTAATTTATTGAGAATTTTTAGCATGAAGTGTTGTTGAATTTTGTCAAAGGCCTTTTCTGCATCTGTTGAGATAATCATGTGGTTTTTGTCTTTGGTTCTGTTTATATGATGGATTACATTTATTGATTTGCGTATATTGAACCAGCCTTGCATCCCAGTGATGAAGCCCACTTGATCATGGTGGATAAGCTTTTTGATGTGCTGCTGGATTCGGTTTGCCATTATTTTATTGAGGATTTTTGCATCAGTGTTCATCAAGGATATTGGTCTAAAATTCTCTTTTTCGGTTATGTCTCTGCCCGGCTTTGGTATCAGGATGATGCTGGCCTCATAAAATGAGTTAGGGAGGATTCCCTCTTTTACTATTGATTGGAATAGTTTCAGAAGGAATTGTACCAGTTCCTCCTTGTACCACTGGTAGAATTCGGCTGTGAATCCATCTGGTCCTGGACTCTTTTTGGTTGGTAAACTATTGATTATTGCCACAATTTCAGATCCTGTTATTGGTCTATTCAGAGATTGAACTTCTTCCTGGTTTAGTCTTGGGAGGGTGTATGTGTCGAGGAATTTATCCATTTCTTCTAGATTTTCTAGTTTATTTGCGTAGAGGTGTCTGTAATATTCTCTGATGGTAGTTTGTATTTCTGTGGGATCAGTGGTGATATCCCCTTTATCATTTTTTATTGCATCTATTTGATTCTTCTCTCTTTTTTTCTTTATTAGTCTTGCTAGCAGTCTATCAATTTTGTTGATCCTTTCAAAAAACCAGCTCCTGGATTCATTAATTTTTTGAAGGGTTTTTTGTGTCTCTATGTCCTTCAGTTCTGCTCTGATTTTAGTTATTTCTTGCCTTCTGCTAGCTTTTGAATGTGTTTGCTCTTGCTTTTCTAGTTCTTTTAATTGTGATGTTAGGGTGTCAATTTTGGATCTTTCCTGCTTTCTCTTGTGGGCATTTAGTGCTATAAATTTCCCTCTACACACTGCTTTGAATGTGTCCCAGAGATTCTGATATGTTGTGTCTTTGTTCTCGTTGGTTTCAAAGAACATCTTTATTTCTGCCTTCATTTCGTTATGTACCCAGTAGTCATTCAGGAGCAGGTTGTTCAGTTTCCATGTAGTTGAGCGGTTTTGAGTGGGATTCTTAATCCTGAGTTCTAGTTTGATTGCACTGTGGTCTGAGAGATAGTTTGTTATAATTTCTATTCTTCTACATTTCCTGAGGAGAGCTTTACTTCCAACTATGTGGTCAATTTTGGAATAGGTGTGGTGTGGTGCTGAAAACAATGTATATTCTGTTGATTTGGGGTGGAGAGTTCTGTAGATGTCTATTAGGTCTGCTTGGTGCAGAGCTGATTTCAATTCCTGGGTATCCTTGTTGGCTTTCTGTCTCGTTGATCTGTCTAATGTTGACAGTGGGGTGTTAAAGTCTCCCATTATTATTGTGTGGGAGTCTAAGTCTCTTTGTAGGTCACTCAGGACTTGCTTTATTCATCTGGGTGCTCCTGTATTGGGTGCATATATATTTAGGATAGTTAGCTCTTCTTGTTGAATTGATCCCTTTACCATGATGTAATGGCCTTCTTTATCTCTTTTGATCTTTGTTGGTTTAAAGTCTGTTTTATCAGAGAGTAGGATTGCAACCCCTGCCTTTTTTTGTTTTCCATTTGCTTGGTAGATCTTCCTCCATCTTTTTATTTTGAGCCTATGTGTGTCTCTGCACGTGAGATGGATTTCCTGAATACAGCACACTGATGGGTCTTGACTCTTTATCCAATTTGCCAGTCTGTGTCTTTTAATTGGAGCATTTAGTCCATTTACATTTAAAGTTAATATTGTTATGTGTGAATTTGATCCTGTCATTATGATGTTAGCTGGTTATTTTGCTTGTTAGTTGATGCAGTTTCTTCCTAGTCTCGATGGTCTTTACATTTTGGCATGATTTTGCAGCAGCTGGTACTGGTTGTTCCTTTCCATGTTTAGCACTTCCTTCAGGAGCTCTTTTAGAGCAGGCCTGGTGGTGACAGAATCTCTCAGCATTTGCTTGTCTGTAAAGTATTTTATTTCTCCTTCACTTATGAAGCTTAGTTTGGCTGGATATGAAATTCTGGGTTGAAAATTCTTTTCTTTAAGAATGTTGAATATTGGCCCCCACTGTCTTCTGGCTTGTAGAGTTTCTGCCAGGAGATCCGCTGTGAGTCTGATGGGCTTCCCTTTGAGGGTAACCCGACCTTTCTCTCTGGCTGCCCTTAACATTTTTTCCTTCATTTCAACTTTGGTGAATCTGACAATTATGTGTCTTGGAGTTGCTCTTCTCGAGGAGTATCTTTGTGGCGTTCTCTGTATTTCCTGAATCTGAATGTTGGCCTGCCTTGCTAGATTGGGGAAGTTCTCCTGTATAATATCCTGCAGAGTGTTTTCCAGTTTGGTTCCATTCTTCCTGTCACTTTCAGTTACACCAGTCAGACGTAGATTTGGTCTTTTCACATAGTCCCATATTTCTTGGAGGCTTTGGTCATTTCTTTTTATTCTTTTTTTCTCTAAACTTCCCTTCTCGCTTCATTTCATTCATTTCATCTTCCATCGCTGATACCCTTTCTTCCAGTTGATCGCATCGGCTTCTGAGGCTTCTGCATTCTTCATGTAGTTCTGGAGCCTTGGTTTTCAGCTCCATCAGCTCCTTTAAGCACTTCTCTGTATTGGTTATTCTAGTTATACATTCTTCTAAATTTTTTTTCAAAGTTTTCAACTTCTTTGCCTTTGGTTTGAATGTCCTCCCGTAGCTCATAGTAATTTCATCGTCTGAAGCCTTCTTCTCTCAGCTTGTCAAAGTCATTCTCCATCCAGCTTTGTTCCGTTGCTGGTGAGGAACTGCGTTCCTTTGGAGGAGGAGAGGCGCTCTGCTTTTTAGAGTTTCCAGTTTTTCTGCTCTGTTTTTTCCCCATCTTTGTGGTTTTGTCTAGTTTTGGTCTTTGATGATGGTGATGTACAGATGGGTTTTTGGTGTGGATGTCCTTTGTGTTTGTTAGTTTTCCTTCTAACAGACAGGACCCTCAGCTGCAGGTCTGTTGGAGTACCCGGCCGTGTGAGGTGTCAGTCTCTCCCTTCTGGGGGGTGCCTCCCAGTTAGGCTGCTCGGGGGTCAGGGGTCAGGGACCCACTTGAGGAGGCAGTCTGCCCGTTGTCAGATCTCCAGCTGCGTGCTGGGAGAACCACTGCTCTCTTCAAAGCTATCAGACAGGGACATTTAAGTCTGCAGAGGTTACTGCTGTCTTTTTGTTTGTCTGTGCCCTGCCCCCAGAGGTGGAGCCTACAGAGGCAGGCAGGCAGGCCTCCTTGAGCTGTGGTGGGCTCCACCCAGTTGGAGCTTTCTGGCTGCTGTGTTTACCTAAGCAAGTCTGGGCAATGGCGGGCGCCCCTCCCCCAGCCTGGCTGCTGCCTTGCAGTTTGATCTCAGACTGCTGTGCTAGCAATTAGCGAGACTCTGTGGGCGTAGGACCCTCCAAGTGAGGTGCAGGATATAATCTCCTGGTGCGCCGTTTTTTAAGCCCGTCGGAAAAGCGCAGTATTAGGGTGGGAGTGACCCGATTTTCCAGGTGCCGTCTGTCACCCCTTTCTTTGACTAGGAAAGGGAACTCCCTGACCCCTTGAGCTTCCCGAGTGAGGCAATGCGTCGCCCTGCTTCGGCTCGCGCACGGTGCACGCACCCACTGACCTGCGCCCACTGTCTGGCACTCCCTAGTGAGACGAACCCGGTACCTCAGATGGAAATGCAGAAATCACCCGTCTTCTGCGTCGCTCACGCTGGGAGCTGTAGACCGGAGCTGTTCCTATTGGGCCATCTTGGCTCCTCCTCCTACTGTAATCTTGATGTGTAGTTTAGCTTTCTATCTGTGATTTGGGAAGGGAAGAACTTACCAAATGTTTTACCTTTGCAAATAACCATGGGAACTATGCAATCTTTGTTTGTGAGCTAAAAAAGGACCTTAGACTTTTAGATGTTAGAGTCATGTTAATATAATACATTCTTTTTTAAGGAAAAGAAATTGTTGAAGTAGATCTAATTAAGGAATTGGTTGCGTCAGCATCTATGGCTCCTGAAAATGCTTTGACGTTTCCTTCAACTCCTTTACAAGTCCCTATCTGGATGCTTCTCTAATTTTCTTCAAGTAGTTCTAGCATACAAACATATACTTTAAATGAAAATTGTGATTTTTTTTGTTGTTATACTTTAAGTTTTAGGGTACATGTGCACAATGTGCAGGTTAGTTACATATGTGTACATGTGCCATGTTGGTGTGCTGCACCCAGTAACTCATCATTTTAACATTAGTTATATCTCCAAATGCTATCCCTCCCCACTCCCCCCACCCCACAACAGGCCCTGGTGTGTGATGTTCTCCTTCCTGGGTCCATGTGTTCTCATTGTTCAGTTCCCACCTATGAGTGAGAACATGCGGTGTTTGGTTTTTTGTCCTTGCCATAGTTTGCTGAGAATGATGGTTTCCAGCTTCATCCATGTCCCTACAAAGGACATGAACTCATCATGTTTTATGGCTGCATAGTATTCCATGGTGTATATGTGCCACATTTTCTTAATCCAGTCTATCATTGTTGGACATTTGGGTTGGTTCCAAGTCTTTGCTATTGTGAACAGTGCCGCAATAAACACACGTGTGCATGTGTCTTTATAGCAGCATGATTTATAATCCTTTGGGTATATACCCAGTAATGGGATTGCTGGGTCAAATGGTATTTCTAGTTCTAGATCCCTGAGGAATCGCCACACTGACTTCCACAATGGTTGAAGTCCCACCAACAGTGTAAAAGTGTTCCTGTTTCTCCACATCCTCTCCAGCATCTGTTGTTTCCTGACTTTTTAATGATCGCCATTCTAACTGGTGTGAGATGGTATATCATTGTGGTTTTGATTTGCATTTCTCTGATGGCCAGTGATGATGCGCATTTTCTCATGTGTCTTTTGGCTGCATAAATATCTTCTTTTGAGAAGTGTCTGTTCATATCCTTTACCCACTTGTTGATAGGGTTGTTTATTTTTTTCTTGTAAATTTGTTGGTGTTCATTGTAGATTCTGGATATTAGCCCTTTGTCAGATGAGTAGATTACAAAAATTTTCTCCCATTCTGTAGGTTGCCTGTTCACTCTGATGGTAGTTTCTTTTGCTTTGCAGAAGCTCTTTAGTTTAATTAGATCCCATTTGTCAATTTTGGCTTTTGTAGCCATTGCTTTTGGTGTTTTAGACATGAAGTCCTTGCTCATGCCTATGTCCTGAATGGTATTGCCTAGGTTTTCTTCTAGGGTTTTTATGGTTTTAGGTCTAACATTTAAGTGTTTAACCCATCTTGAATTAATTTTTGTAGAAGGTGTAAGGAAGGGATCCAGTTTCAGCTTTCTGCATATGACTAGCCAGTTTTCCCAGCACCATTTATTAAATAGGGAATCCTTTCCCCATTTCTTGTTTTTGTCAGGTTTGTCAAAGATCAGATGGTTGTAGATATGCGGCGTTATTTCTGAGGGCTCTGTTCTATTCCATTGGTCTATATCTCTGTTTTTGGTACCAGTATCATGCTGTTTTGGTACCAGTATCATGCTGTTTTGGTTACTGTAGCCTTGTAGTATAATTTGAAGTCAGGTAGCCTGATACCTCCAGCTTGGTTCTTTTGGCTTAGGACTGACTTGGCAATGCGGGCTGTTTTTTGGTTCCATATGAACGTGAAAGTAGTTTTTTCCAATTCTGTGAAGAAAGTCATTGGTAGCTTGATGGGGATGGCATTGAATCTATAAATTACCTTGGGCAGTATGGCCATTTTCACGATATTGATTCTTCCTACCCATGAGCATGGAATGTTCTTCCATTTGTTTGTATCCTCTTTTATTTCATTGAGCAGTGGTTTGTAGTTCTCCTTGAAGAGGTCCTTCCCATCCCTTGTAAGTTGGATTCCTAGGTATTTTATTCTCTTTGAAGCAATTGTGAATGGGAGTTCACTCATGATTTGGCTCTCTGTCTGTTATTGGTGTAAAAGAATGCTTGTGATTTTTGCACATTGATTTTGTATCCTGAGACTTTGCTGAAGTTGCCTATCAGCTTAAGGAGGTTTTGGGCTGAGACAATGGGGTTTTCTAGATATACAATCATGTCATCTGCAAACAGGGACAATTTGACTTCCTCTTTTCCTAATTGAATACCCTTTATTTCCTTCCCCTGCCTAATTGCCCTGGCCAGAACTTCCAACACTATGTTGAATAGGAGTGGTGAGAGAGGGCATCCCTGTCTTGTGCCAGTTTTCAAAGGGAATGCTTCCAGTTTTTGCCCATTCAGTATGATATTGGCTGTGGGTTTGTCACAGATAGCTCTTATTAGTTTGAGATATGTCCCATCCATACCTAATTTATTGAGAGTTTTTAGCATGAAGAGTTGTTGAATTTTGTCAAAGGCCTTTTCTGCATCTGTTGAGATAATCATATGGTTTTTGTCTTTGGTTCTGTTTATATGCTGAATTATGTTTATTGATTTGCGTATATTGAACCAGCCTTGCATCCCAGTGATGAAGCCCACTTGATCATGGTGGATAAGCTTTTTGATGTGCTGCTGGATTCGGTTTGCCAGTATTTTACTGAGGATTTCTGCATCAATGTTCATCAGGGTTATTGGTCTAAAATTCTCTTTTTTGGTTATGTCTCTGCCCGGCTTTGGTATCAGGATGATGCTGGCCTCATGAGTTAAGGAGGATTCCCTCTTTTTCTGTTGATTGGAGTAGTTTCAGAAGGAATGGTACCAGCTTCTCCTTGTACCTCTGGTAGAATTCGGCTGTGAATCCATCTGGTCCTGGATTTTTTTTTGGTTGGTAAGCTATTAATTATTGCGTCAATTTCAGATCCTGTTATTGGTCTATTCAGAGATTCAGCTTCTTCCTGGTTTAGTCTTGGGAGGGTGTATGTGTCAAGGAACTTATCCATTTCTTCTAGATTTTCTAGTTTATTTGCATAGAGGTGTTTTTAGTATTCTCTGATGGTAGTTTGTATTTCTGTGGGATTGGTGGTGATATCCCCTTTATCATTTTTTATTGCGTCTATTTGATTCTTCTCTCTTTTCTTCTTTATTAGTCTTACTAGCGTTCTATCAATTTTGTTGATCTTTTCAAAAAACCGGTTCCGGGATTCATTAATTTTTTGAAGGGTTTTTTGTGTCTCTATTTCCTTCAGTTCTGCTCTGATCTTAGTTATTTCTTGCCTTCTGCTGGCTTTCGAATGTGTTTGCTCTTGCTTTTCTAGTTCTTTTAATTGTGATGTTAGGGTGTCAATTTTAGATCTTTCCTGCTTTCTCTTGTGGGCATTTAGTGCTATAAATTTCCCTCTACACACTGCTTTGAATGTGTCCTAGAGATTCTGGTATGTTGTGTCTTTGTTCTTGTTGGTTTCAAAGAACATCTTTATTTCTGCCTTCACTTTGTTATGTACCCAGTAGTCATTCAGGAGCAGGTTGTTCAGTTTCCATGTAGTTGAACGGTTTTGAGTGAGTTTCTTAATCCTGAGTTCTAGTTTGATTGCACTGTGGTCTGAGAGACATTTTGTTATAATTTCTGTTCTTTTACATTTGCTGAGGAGTGCTTTACTTCCAACTATGTGGTCAATATTGAAATAAGTGTGGTGTGATGCTGAGAAGAATGTATATTCTGTTGATTTGGGGTGGAGAGTTCTGTAGATGTCTATTAGGTCTGCTTGGTGCAGAGCTAAGTTCAATTCCTGGATATCCTTGTTAACTTTGTCTTGTTGATCTGTCTAATGTTGACAGTAGGGTGTTAAAGTCTCCCATTATTATTGTGTGGGAGTCTAAGTCTCTTTCTAGGTCTCTAAGGACTTGCTTTATTCATCTGGGTGCTCCTGTATTGGGTGCATATATATTTAGGATAGTTAGCTCTTCTTGTGAATTGATCCCTTTACCATGATGTAATGGCCTTCTTTGTCTCTTTTGATCTTTGTTGGTTTAAAGTCTGTTTTATCAGAGAGTAGGATTGCAACCCCTGCCTTTTTTTGTTTTCCATTTGCTTGGTAGATCTTCCTCTATCCCTTTATTTTGAGCCTATGTGTGTCTCCGTGCATGAGATGGGTTTCCTGAATACAGCACACTGATGGGTCTTGACTCTTTATCCAATTTGCCAGTCTGTGTCTTTTAATTGGAGCATTTAGCCCATTTACATTTAAGGTTAATATTGTTATGTGTGAATTTGATCCTGTCATTATGATGTTAGCTGGTTATTTTGCTTGTTAGTTGATGCAGTTTCTTCCTAGCCTCGATGGTCTTTACAATTTGGCATGTTTTTGCAGTGGCTGGTATCGGTTGTTCCTTTCCATGTTTAGTGCTTCCTTCAGGAGCTCTTTTAAGACAGGCCTGGTGGTGACAAAATCTCTCAGCATTTGCTTGTCTGTAAAGTATTTTATTTCTCCTTCACTTATGAAGCTTAGTTTGGCTGGATATGAAATTCTGGGTTGAAAATTCTTTTCTTTAAGAATGTTGAATATTGGCCCCCATTATCTTCTGGCTTGTAGAGTTTCTGCCAAGAGATCTGCTGTTAGTCTGATGGGCTTCCCTTCGTGGGTAACCCGACCTTTCTCTCTGGCTGCCCTTAACATTTTTTCCTTCATTTCAACTTTGGTGAATCTGACAATTATGTGTCTTGGAGTTGCTCTTCTCGAGGAGTATCTTTGTGGCGTTCTCTGTATTTCCTGAATCTGAATGTTGGCCTGCCTTGCTAGATTGGAGAAGTTCTCCTGTATAATATCCTGCAGAGTGTTTTCCAACTTGGTTCCATTCTCCCTGTCACTTTCAGTTACACCAATCAGACGTAGATTTGGTCTTTTCACATAGTCCCATATTTCTTGGAGGCTTTGTTTCTTTTTATCCTTTTTTTCTCTAAATTTCTCTTCTCACTTCATTTCATTCATTTGATCTTCCATCACTGATACCCTTAGCATTTTTTCAATGTTATTTTATTGTAAATGTAATAATGACTTCAGGCAGTGATTATTGATGGGTGTTAACATCACACACACGCAAAAATGACTGCCAGAAATTTGTTTCCTAATGGAGTATACAAACTGCTTATGAAATGGTCTTACCAAAGAGTCAGATTTGAATTGGATTAAGTCTGTAGATTTAAGGATCAGTTTTCTAAAAATACAGAATACAGAGGTGCATGTTAGATGACAACAGAGGAAAGTAGTCAGCAAAATCTGGGCTGTGAGAATTATACAGGAGAGACAACTAGGGTACATGTGCACAACATGCAGGTTTGTTACATATGTATACATGTGCCGTGTTGGTGTGCTGCACCGATTAACTCATCATTTACATTAGGTATGTCTCCTAATGCTATCCCTCCCCCCTACCCCCACCCCACGACAGGCCCTGGTGTGTGATGTTCCCCTTCCTGTGTCCAAGTGTTCTCATTCTTCAGTTCCCACCTATGAGTGAGAACATGTGGTGTTTGGTTTTTTGTCCTTGGCGATAGTTTGCTGAGAATGATGGTTTCCAGTTTCATCCATGTCCCTACAAAGGACGTGAACTCATCCCTTTTTATGGCTGCATAGTATTCCATGGTGTATATGTGCCACATTTTCTTAATCCAGTCTATCATTGATAGACATTTGGGTTGAAGAGAGACAACTTTTTTCAACAAAAAGATTGCAAGGAAGAAAAAGATGGAGAACAAAACCATAGAAAAAAGAGACTTTAGAGATATATCAAGCAGTTGTGCTATATAGACCTTATTTAGATCCTGCGTCTTACTGTACAAAAAAAATGATGAGATGATCATGGAAACTGTATAGTATTTTAGTTTTATCATGCATTAGAAAGTACTTGCAGGTTAGGTGGAAAGTTAACCACTGGGGTGCCTGTACTGCCATAATAATGTCGTATTAAGATTTTTATTTTTTCAGTGCCTTATGTAGACATTGAATACAGGAAGATTTATGGTTCAGGTTTATGGACTATACTTTTTATGTCCTTTAAGGTAACATTTGAATTTTTGGGACCTTCACTTAGTTGAAAGGCCTTCACATGAGTAAGAACTATTAAATGAGCATTTAGCTATTGGACATAAGAATTATTGTGAAAACAATTTATTTTTTACAAATCTTTATTAAGCTTTGCTGTAGTTTTCAGCCCACTGTTGGAAGGAACGAGAGAATACTTTCTCAGAGATGTTCAAAGAGAAGATGTTTAGAGGGAATTATTTTTATACATTAAGATGGTTGTAAGTGAGAATTCTCTAAGGACTCATGATCTAGACCCTATAGCATCACATGGTAATGTTGGACTGTGAGTTCTTGAATGGCAAGAACAATCTCTTGATCTTTATTCTTAGGTTTAAGCATCTATATAGTTAGTGCTTAGTAAGTATTGAATTACCGAGTGACTTATGGACTATCATAATAAATTTAGTTCTCATAATTAGGGGATGAGAGGATGAAACATTCTAGGAGGTCTGCCATAGGTCTTTGTTAAACCATGTTTCACCTTGTTGAACTTGTTTTTCATGAATGTAAGTTTTGCTTAGTCATTTAATTGTGTAGTCTCAAGGAGTATTTTTAACAACTTGGGTTTTTTTTGTTTTTTGTGTTTTTTTTGAGATGGAGTCTTGCTCTGTTGTCCAGGCTGGAGAGTGGTGTGATCTTGGACTTGGTTTTAAGTTAAAGAAAAAACCTGAAGTATATGGATAAGAATTGGACAGGAATATGAAAAAATATAGAAATTTATTTTTGTGTGGTAGGGATTCTGGGTTTTAAATTTTTAAGTTTCTATTTTTTGTGGTAGTATATTTACATTAATTATGATAAAAGGAAAATATGGGGTTACATTGCCATCATTAATCAATCTATTTCACAGAGCCCTTGAACACTTAAATGTTTGCTTATGCATTCACTTATTCATTCAACAAGCATTTCTTTAGCACTTAAAACCTGCCAGAGATAATCAGAGATTCATTAGACTGGCAAGTGCCATGTTATAAAGATAAAGATCAATAAATATGGTAATTCTTAGAGTTCATGATTCTAAGAAGCATATTTTTTTCTATTTTGACATCTCTAAAATTTGGACACATCATATAATTGTGTGTTTCAATTGTAATTGGCAGTATGTTTTCCTTAATGGTAAATAAAATAAGAGTGTCTTACAATTGATGTCTTAGATTTGATGAAATACGGTACATTTCTAAACAATCATAAAGTTTTAAGATCTCAAAGCAAGAACCACATGTAAGGTGTCTTCACATTTCCCTAACTCCTAGCACGGAATCACACTGAATACATTTTTTGCTAATCGGTAAAGAAACATTTCTCTCAAAATCTTATCTTTAGGCTTAAGTTTTTGCTTTCTGTTACTTTAGAATGTTTTTAAAAATTAGTATGTAAAATGTTATCTGGCAATATTACTATTCTTCCATTGGATAGAATAGCTTAAACTTTATTGACATTTTAATCCTTTTTTTATTTTATAGTTCATTACTTCTTTTCAGCAGTTACACTATACCTTACAATTAGGAATTCTTGGGTTGTATTTCCATTTCTGATTTGGAGATGGTTGAAGTGTATGCTTGACTGACTAGGATTTAGTTTAAGATAAACTGATAAAGTATAGCTAGTTTTTTGTTATCCATCATAATAGGATGGGTAATTGTAATTTGTGAATGATATCTCAACCCTTTATTAGTTTTTTTATGACAGGTACTAATATGTGTCAAAGTTATACTGGTTTGTATTTTAAAGCTTAATGTTTCCTCTTTAGGGGAGGTAGTAATAAATACTGAAATGGCAAAAAAAAAAAAAAAATGGTAGCAATAGAATATATATAAGAATAGAAGGCCTGAATAATCTACCAACCAGGTAATTGACCTTGCAGCAATAAAAAATTGACTGTGATTTCATGCATTACTATTGAGCCTTATTTAGATTTAACTTTTGTTCCCTACTGATTGAATTAAAGTTTGAGGTTAAATGCTCTATATCCCATTTCTAAACTCTCAGCTGTTCTCAGTCATCTCTCATTGTGAACTCATGAAAGTCAAACATGATAAAACAATCATAAGAAGTTAAAAATTAGGGTTAGAAAAAAAGTATGTATTTTAAACTTGCTGTCTTCTAAATGCAATTTTAAGTTTAAAGAATCAATAGAAATTGATGTTTTATACCAAAGAACACTTAAGACCTTGAGTCCTGCCCTCCCCACCATCACTATACAAATAAAAAGAAATCAATAGGCCCAGAAACATAAGCTGCTAAAGATTTATTTCCAGCAACTATTTTTGATATTCAAGGTACTATTTACTAATCTGATTGAGAAAATGTAGATAATTAAGCATAGGAAATCTATTTTTATTTTAAAAATGATCATTTTCTTTTTAATCTCCGGATCTTTTATATGTTACATTTTAAAATAAGAATAAATGATAGGCATGGATTTAAAAATAACTCTTTGTGATTTTTAGCTAGTTACCTAAATTTAACAGGTCCATTCTGTTAAAAAGATAGGTAGTTCTGTATTTAAAAATTATTAAAAGACTGTCAGACTGTATTTGATCAATTTCATGTCTCCTGAATAATCTTGGTTCTACCAGTAGTAGATGTACTCAAAGGATTTTGAAATAAGAACTGAGTATTGGAATTGTCTGAGCCAGTGAAGGCACTGAACTTTGAAACTGAAGATAAGAAATTTGAACATGAAACTCAGTTTGGAGTGTTAAGGAAAGTATTTCATGACTGAAATAGTGGGATTTTGTTATCTCATAAAGGGGTAAAAAATCCATTAGAACAGATGCTCACATAGCATCTGTTAATTATAAGGGGCCAGTTATATGTCATTCATAGCTGGCTCTCTTTAACACCACTTCTTTCTCTCATACTGAAAAAAAAAAAAAGCCTGAATTTGAGTGAAAGCAATATTATGGGGACAACTTT
Organism: Homo sapiens; assembly: GCF_000001405.40. Classification (NCBI taxonomy): domain Eukaryota; kingdom Metazoa; phylum Chordata; class Mammalia; order Primates; family Hominidae; genus Homo; species Homo sapiens. The sequence goes on along the minus strand of NC_000005.10, from coordinate 77,465,681 downwards.
AAATTGATTCTGAGTCATTAAAAATTATTTACAAACTTGTGGATGACATTAACAGTAAATTATTTGACATGCTTATGATGTGATTATTTATACTACTTTGTTGCGTTAGTATAATAAGATGGTGAATTTTAGTATAATATGGTGATGAATAATCCTGTATGACAGGTTATTCCTTTTGATAGTGTTTATGTTCAGAATATCTTCTACTCTACAGAATTTGGTGATTGTCCCTGTGATATGGTGAATGGGATATAAAAAGGAGAGAGAAGCTATAGCAGACTATCACAGCTCATTTTTCATGCCATAAGACAAGCTTTACCTGTGCATTTCAAGCATCTTCACTAAAAAGCAACAAAAAAACCCTAAAAAATCCTCAAATCTTCCAAACCAAGAACAAAGCATTTATGTGGAAAGACTAAGGAGTTGAGCTGAGCAAAAGAGAGATCTTGACTTTAAATAATAATTATTTACAGAGAGAATAATAGAAGTAATGAATTTATTTAACATCGTAATCACTTCCTAGAATATCACTTCCTGTCACTGAAGGCACTTGTCAGCTTGGTTTCATTTCACTTAAGTCAGGGATTTCTTAAAATCATAGAATTTTAAAGCAAAGAAGGACTTTAAAGATTATTTTTACATTTCTAGCAGTTTATTCTTTGTAAACTTATAAATGTCTTATTTATCTTTTGATCTTCCATACCTGGTACAGAAGCTGGAATGTGTTTCATAAATATTTTTTAAATTAGCTGAAATAACTTGATCTTCGTTAATATTAGTCAAAATACCACTAATAAGGTTTGATAGTTCTTAATCTTAGTAATTAAATGTCACCAGTGATTTTTTTTTCTTGACCCTTTCTCCCTAACCAGATTTGCATCTGCTGGTGATGATGGAATTGTAGTTGTGTGGAATGCCCAGGTGTGTATTGATTATGTGTGGATTGTGTGATAAAGATATGATGATGTAGTTGAGTATGTATTCATATAAATACTATCTGGGGATACATTTACATATCACTGTTAATTGACACATTAATATTTGAAAAGAGCTAATTAGGATAAATCCATATACAGTGGGGACCAGTATTTCATAATGAAGAGGGAAAGTTTTTTTAAATTGAGATTTTTTTTCCAGCTGGGTGTGGTGGCTCGTGCCTGTAATCCCAGGACTTTGGGAGGCCAAGGCGAACGGATAACTTGGGGCCAGGAGTTTGAGAACAGCTTGGCCAACATAGCAAGACCCCGTCTCTACTAAAAATACTAGAAATCAGCTGGGCATAGTGGCACATGCCTGTAATCCCAGTTACTCGGGAGACTGAGGTTGCAGTGAGCCGAGAACATGCCACTGCACTCCAGCCTGGGTGACACAGCAAGACTGTCTCAAAAAAAAAAAAAAAAAAAAAAAGTTTTTTCCTAAGAAACAAATGCCAAAGTATGAAAATTCAAAAAATACAAAATTTTAATCTTATTTAACAAAATTTAGGTTATCACTAGCTATGCCCTGACTTCCAAAATGAATAAATGAATTGTGTTGATTTTTGTGAGACACACAAGTTTTCTTTCAACATTGCGTAATAGCATAATGTAACATTTTTCTCATGTTTGACTTAATATTACAAAAGCCTTTTTTTTTTAAATAAATACTTAAGGCTTCACCAGTTTCTTCAGAGCCTCCCTTCCTGATCATTTGTTACTCAAATTATTCTTTTTTGAAGTATCTTCCTCTCACCTTAATTTTGGATTGTTATCTAGTCTGACTGTGTCAGATCTTTATTTTTCAATGGCTTTGCCTGTGATAAAATCAGTTCTTTAACATTATTTTCACCACATTCACGAAGTCCTGCAATCTTGGAAAGATTTGCCATTTACATTGTATTTTTGCATGTTTACTACTTGGTAAATTAGTCAGAGACTGATGGATGAAGACACTGGATGGGTAGGAATAGATGTTGGTGTTAAATAACGATGGAGTGGAGACTGACTTTCTAAGTGGTTAATAAATGAGTGGATATATATACTTATTTGTGTGTAGGTACATATACAGTTGTTATGGTGACTTTTATTTTCTTCTATGACCTTATAACTGTGGAGACTTAAATAACAAATACTTGGACAATGAGGACTCCATATTTTTTTCCTGCAAACTAAGTTACTGATGTTTTTATGCTTAATTTACACAATTATATTTTTAAATTTATAGAAAAAAATACTCAAAATTTTCTATAAAAATATACTAAAAATTAGCATTTTGTTTTAGAAAATAAAACTATAGTTATGGCTGTACTTTCAGTGCTTGTTTAGATTCTGTGTGATTGCTTAAGTTAAATTCTGAATAAGTAATTTTAAATGGAATGTATATGTATCTTCTATATGGTAGTTGTACTTAATGTAGTCATTTATGATTATCTAAATTGTGAAAGCTAAGCCTATTAACATTTTTATTGGTATTTCAGACAGGGGAAAAACTTTTAGAACTGAATGGACACACTCAAAAGATAACAGCTATTATTACATTTCCTTCCTTGGAATCTTGTGAAGAGAAAAATCAACTCATCTTGACAGCCTCTGCTGATAGAACAGTTATTGTATCCTTTAATCTGGAAGAAATGAACAAGCTGTAGTGGCCTAAGGAGCCACTACATACACTATTAGTCTTTAGCTGATAGGGTCTTGTCTGTATATTCTTGTTATAGCAAAAATGATTTTTGTTCTGTTACTTATAAGATACCATTTATTAGGTATCTGAAAAGTATTAGACTGGAAATAGGAGGTTAAGGCTTGTTATTGATGGAAACTCCGTGACTATTGCTGTTCTTTCCAGAGTTACTCTATCAGGTTGTATAAAATTGATGAAATGGGAAAATGTGGACTTAAAAATAATTTATTTTACTATCTCAGTTTGCTTTTCAATTTAGGGAAACAACGATGAGTTGGACTGGAGAATAATTTACATTTTTTTTCCCCACTATACAGCAGAAGAAACCAAATGGTCCCAACCCATAAAAATCTTTGGAGCATCTGAGTCTGATAGAAAAGTGAATTACTGTTTGTTCAGTGTGTAATATTTAATAATTAAAAACAATTTTATAAAAGTAAAATTACTTTTTCTTTACCCATACTTTTAGGTAAAAAGTTAAGATGGGATAGCAGTAGTAAAGTGCTTATGTGTAACAGGCATTGTTCTAATTGTTTTACATATATTAACTCATTTAATCTTTAAAATTAGCCCTTTGACATAGGTATTTTTAATTCTTTTTTTTTTTTTTTTTTGAGACGGAGTTTCACTCTTATTGCCCAGGCTGGAGTGCAATGGCGTGATCTTTACTCACTGCAACCTCTGCCTCCTGGGTTCAAGCGATTCTCCTGCTTCAGACTCCCGAGTAGCTGGGATTACAGGCCTGTGCCACCACGCCCAGCTAATTTTGTATTTTTAGTAGAGATGGGGTTTCACTCTGTTGGTCAGGCTGGTCTCGAACTCCTGACCTTAGGTGATCCACCCACCCTGGCCTCCCACAATGCTGGGATTATAGGCATGAGCCACTGCGCCCGGCCTTATTTTTAATTATTCTTATTTACAGATGAAAAAAATAGAGTCACACAGAGGCTAAGTAACTTTCCCAAGGCACACAGCCAGTGTAGGGCAGAACTGGCAAGTCTGACTGCAGAGTCAGAGCCCCGAACCACTGCACTTCATAAAATGTTTTCTGTAAACAAACTCAGCCCTTTAATATCTGTATGAGGAATTGGCTTGGTGAAGTCCAGAGTCAAGTGCTATGGATAACTGTTGTCTTTCATTACTTTTATTTTTTTAAAAGAGGTTGTCAGATTAATTTTTTTTTTTTTTTAGACAGAATCTCACTGTTGCCCAAGCTGGAGTGCAGTAGCACAATCTCGGCTCACTGCAGCCTCCACCTCCCAGGTTCAAGTGATTCTTCTGCCTCAGCCACCCAAGTAGCTGGGACTACAGGCGCCTGCCACCACGTCCGGCTAATTTTTTTGTATTTTTAGTAGAGACGGGGTTTCACCATATTGGCCAGGCTGGCCTCGAACTCCTGACTTCGTGATCTGCCCGCCTTGGCATCCCAAAGTGCTGGGATTACTGGCATGAGCCACTGTTTCCGGTCATATTAATTTTTAAAAGTATATGCTTATCTGAAAGTTCTGTGTAAACACTTTCAAGCATTGGTGAAGTTTTGGAGTAAGCCCAAAAGTATAGGTGTTTCTTAGGCTCTTACAGAACCAAGATACAGACTTGAACATGCTTTAAATGAGTTCATCAACTGAAGTGCTTTCTAGACAGATTGTTCATAGCTGAAAAAATGTCAAGAAAAGGTTTAAATGGGGATAAACTCTCTATACATACATACATATATACATACACACATATATGTATGTTTGTGTGTGATTATGATACAATGTAAACAAGGGCATAAAATTCTCTCAGATGGTTAGGTCAGAGTTGCTTTATTACTACTCTGTAGAGGCAAATATGGGATAAAGCTCTCTTTTTCAGTATCAGTGTAATCTTTGCAAAAATAGAATTTAAAATACTCTATTAGACCACTCCTAAGACACTATAGCAATATTTTGAGGCAGTGATTAAAATTACATACAGAAGTTAGTAGCTGGTACAGTGTCACTATGAATTTTACCTGTAAATGATAGTATGGACTCATTTCCTTTGCTGAGTGATTTTTGTTGTTAGAAAAAAATTCTAGGCCGCTTATTTGGCAGTCTCTCTTACCCAAATGAATTCTAAATTTACTCTGCTTGGGTTTTTACTACAGGTTGAGCATCCCTAATCTGAAAATCCAAAATCTGAAATGCTCCAAAATCCAAGACCTTTTAAGCACTGACGTGATGCCACAAGTGGAAAATCTTATACCTGACATCATGTGACAGGTTGCAGTCAAAATTTTGTTTAACGCACAAAATTACCAAAAATATTGTATAAAACTACCTTCAGGCTATATGTATAAGGTGTATATGAAAAATAAATGAATTTTGTGTTTAGACTTGGGTTCAGTCCCCAAGATAGCTCATTAGGTATATGCACATATTCCAAAATCCAAAAAAAATCAGAAACACTTCTGGTCTTAAGCATTTTGGATAAGGGATACCCAACCTGTAAAAACTAACTTCCTTAATTAAATACTGAAGGTAGATAATTTTTTAAAGCGATAGCCTTAGGAGCTCAGGTTACTGAATATTAAATGTTCTGCTTGTGAATAGTGAAATAAGTGAAAAGGCTGTGAGATACTACTAGAATTCTGGTAAATATAAGGCCAGAAAACATTTCCTAATTACTGGGAGCATTTTTTGTATGCTAGCAGTTTTAGTGTGTTATATACATAAAATGTAATTCTCATGATAATCTAGCTCCATCTAAAGCATGACATAGAATATAGATGGTCCCCAACCTAGGGTGGTTTGACTTACAGTTTTTCAACTTTATGATGGTGTGAAAGGGAGGTGCATTAAGTAGAAACTGTACTTTGAATTTTGAAGTCTGATATTTTCTCACACTAGTGATGCATGGGATGATAGTCTTTCCCAGTGCTGGGCAGCAGCAGCCTGGAGCTGCAGCTCCTTCCTAGTCAGCTATAAGATCACAAGGGTAAACAGCCTTACTCTACAGTGTACTGTGTTGCCAGATGACTTTTTTTTTTGCCCAACTATAGGCTTATGTAAGTGTTCTGAGCACATATAAGTTAGGCCAGGCTAAGCTATGATGTTTGATAGATGTGTTAAATGCATTTTGACTTAGGATATTTTCCACTTAGAATGGGTTTATTGTGGGACATAACTACTTTAAGTCAAGGCACATCTGTATAATAAAAATATAACAAAAGGCATTGGCCATGATAAGGTTAACTAGTTTGTGAAATTAGTTTCAATTTTTAATACATGCATATACATTTGTATACGTAGTACATACATGTATGTAAATGTGTTTTCAGACATGGTGTAAAATGTATTTCTTACTATAGGAAATGGTGTAAAAGTTTGAAAATCACTGTGCTTAAGTCAAACTGAACTTGGATGTTTTATGAGAGGCCCTCTGATTATATTAAATGCACATACAGGTAATAGTAATACACTGTTAGTGTCTTCTCGAATCAAGATAACAGTAGTAAATCATGCTATCCATATTATAGGGAGCTTTCAGTAAATATTAATGGACATGATAGTTTTTGGTATAAGTACTTTATGCTTATTAGATTATGGTGGGCTATTCTGGAGAATAAACTTTAAACAGTTGGAATATTTAGTGCTTGTAAAGATTCAGTACTTCAGACCATTCATTATGTTGGCATTTTCAAATAATTTGATAGTAAAATTTACCTCAAACTTATTTTAGATTATAAGCCTGCTTTGCTAAGTTGATGACTCACTATATGAATTCATTTTTGTGGTGGTATAAACACTAAATATTTTATGTTTGATTTAAAGATTTTCTAACTGCTTAACATTTGTGGCTTAATTGTTAATTAGAAAAGTTATAATTAAGATTTTAAAATTCTGTTTAGAAATTATTTCTTAACATAAATTTAGGTGTGGGATGGTGATACTACCAGACAAGTTCAGAGAATATCATGCTTCCAGTCTACTGTAAAGGTAAAATCTTAAGTAAATATGAGTTTTTATGACAATCTATTTTTGTCTCAGAAGACATGGTTTAAAGAGTTAGACGAAATTACTTTTGTGGGTCTTATGAATTATTTCTTTCCACACACTTGTAGTCATTTGCTTCGTGTAAGATCAGATTTTTGAGAGCACATGTATTAAGTGTTAGAATGTTTCAATTTGAAATTAGAGCAAGGGATAATCCCAATAGCAAGATAAGGAAAAAAGGTAGTACCTGGTATGTTTTTTGTAGGTAGTTCCAGGAAGAGATATTACTTGTAGAATGACCATAATAGTAGCTGGTCTGTTTTCTTTATACTTTGAATTTAAAATATAGAGCTATTTGTCCCATGACCTTTGCCTTCTCTAAGGTCACAAAGGCAAGACATGTCAGTTACTTAGTTTCAAAACTAAAAATCTTACCTGGCTAATTTGCTGTTACTGTTAGGTTTATTCCTTTTACAAACAATTATTAATTGGGGCTAATGATATGACAGAAGCTCTGCTACGTTTTAGAGAAACAAACATAGATAAGACTTGGTTGCTTGTGATTCCTACAGAAATTAAGTGTTCAGAGAAAGTGCCACTGTTTTTTAGTAATGTAAGCAAGTTTTGGAAAAGATAGTAGTAGCAGTAGATGTTCCCTCATTTACTTTAAGGATAACTGATCTCCATATTGGAGCTCTTTTCTTTTTTTTCTTAATGTAAAAAGAATTGCTGTGTGCCAATAGGTAGAATAGTTGATCTTTTCCCAAAAAGGCAGAATCTCTGGTAGCCATCTCATGGCACTGTGCTGTTCAAAATATCAACTTAGTCAAGTTTCAGGGGAAGAAAGTGCCATGTACTATATATACTTCTATCTAACTTAACAGTGGATTTTTTAAGAAGGCATTAAAAAGTATTGATTTGATTAAAATCTCTATACTTTATGTGACCTGAAATGATGTGCCTTTTACATTCCTTTAAAAATATTCTTGCTACCTGAAAAACTAAGGTCGTTAAGTTTCCAATGAAAATATGTGGCTTGAAGGAACAAAGAGAAAAAAATTTAATGTATTTGGGGGAAATTCCTTTTGGTAAACTGTGTTATGAACTGGTTATAGGAACTGGTCACTAAAAAAGTATCTTATTCCAATATAGTGAAAGTAGTTTTAAAAGGGGTTTTACTGTAATGTGAATCAGCTAGATATTTGTGTCTGTTTTCTCCTGCTGTGATCCTGTTTCACATAAAAATTGTTAAAAAATAGCATTGCACTCATTTAGTTCAGTGGTTCAGTTGTTCTTGAATAGATAGTTTATCCAAGAAATTTATATCCCTAATATGAGAAATACTATCATTTATTTTTTGAACTAACAAAATTTTTTATAAGGGTTGATGTTAGCAAGGAGATAGTGAAATTGGCATTTTATTGCATATTGAGACTATAAATTGATATGATCTTCCCGGAAGGTAGTTTGGCATTATGAATGAATCTAAATAAATTATTATATGCATTAATCCAGTGATCATTCTAGAAAACTCTTTAAAGGAAATGATCAGAAAATAGGGCAGAAATTTATGAACAGAAATGTGTACTACAAATACATTTTTATAAATGGATGATTGGAAGTGCCCTAAATGTCTTATAAGAAAATACATTATGGTAGATATATATACTAAAATTTATATTTCAGAAGAATATTAAAAGAGGAAAATGCTAGTGGTAAAATGTTAAGTAACAAAAACATATATTATCCTCAACAAAATATTATCAAACCAAATTCAGCAACATCTAAAAAGAATTATACACCATGACTAAGTGAGATTTATCCCTGGAATAAGCTTAGTTTAACATCTGAAAATTCATCAGTGAAATACACCATAGTAAGAATAAAGGACAAAAACCACAGGATCATCTCAACAGAAACAGAGAAGGCATTTGACAAACTCCAACACCCTTTCATGATAAAAATACTCAACAAACTAGGAATAGATGAGAATTTCCTCAACCTAATAAAGGGCTTCTGTGAAAATCTCAAGGCTAATTTCGTATTAATGGTGAAAGGCTAGGCTGGGTGTGGTAGTTCATGCCTGCAATCCCAGCGCTTTGGGAGACCAAGGTGGGTGGATTGCTTGAGCTCAGGAGTTCAAGACCAGCCTGAGCAACATGGTGAAACTTCTCTACAAAAAAAAAGAAAGAAGAATTAGCCAGGTCTGGTGGCACATGTCTGTAATCCCAGTTATTTGGGAGGCTGAGGTGGAAGGATCACTTGAGTCCAGGAGTTCGAGGCTGCAGTGAGTTGTAATTGTGCCACTGCACTCTAGCCTGGGCGATAGAGCAAGACCCTGTCTCAAAAAAAATAATAAAATAAAAATTTTTAAAAATGGTGAAAGACAAATAATTTCCCCCAAAGATCAGGCACAAGATAAGGATGTCTGCTGTCAGCACATCTGTTTAACATTGTACTGGAGGTTCTAGCCAGGGCAGTTGGACAATAAAAAAGATAAATGACATCCATATTGGAAAGGAAGACATAAAACTGTCTCTATTCCCAAATAACATGATCTTGTGTATATAGAAAATCCTAAGTCCACAACCAAACTATTGAGGCTAGTAAATGGATTTAGCAAGGTTTCAGGATATAATATCAACACACAGAAATCAATTGTATTTCTATTCACTAGCAATGAACATTCCAAAAATTAAGAAACAATTCCATTTACAGTTGCATCCAAAAGAATAAAATACTCAGAAATAGATTTAGTCTGGGCGGGGTGGCTTATGCCTATAATCCTAGCACTTTGGGAGGCCAAGGTGGGAGGATTGCTTGAGGTCAGGAGTTCACGACTAACCTGGCCAACATAGCAATACCCCATCACTATTAAAAGAAATTTGAAGTAGTATGAGACTTATATACCAAAAACTACAAAACATTGTTGAAAGATATTAAAGATCTATATAAATGGAAAGACATCCTGAGTGCATGGATCAGATTTACTATTGTTATGATTCCACCACTACCCACATTGATCTACAGATTGAACCCAATCTTTATCAAAATTGTAGCTGGCTTGTTTTTTTGTTGTTTTTTTTTTGAGAAATTTACAAGCTGATCCTAAAATTCATATGGGAGTGCAAGGGACCCAGAATAGCCGAAACAATCTTAAAATGGAAAAACAAAGTTCCAAGACACACTTCCCAATTTCAAAACTTAATATGAAGCTACAGTAGTCAAGACAGTGTGATATTGGCATAATGACAGACATGCAGATCAATGGAACCGAATTAAAGGCCCAGAAGTAAAGTCTCACATAGCCAACTGATTTTTTGACAAGAGCGCCAAGAACCTTTAATGGGAGAAAGAATAGTCTCTTCAAAAAATGATGCTGTGTCAATTGGACATCCACATACAAAATAATGAAATTTTATCCCTACCACATATCATATCCAAAAGTTAACTCAAAATGGGTCAAAGACCCAAATGTAAGAGCTGAAACTACAAAAATCTTGGAAGAAATATAGGCGTACATCTCTGTGACCTTGGGCTAGGTGTCTTAAATATGATATCAAAAGCATATCAACAAACAACAAAAAAAGATAAATTGGACCTCATCAGAATGAAAAGTTTTTGTGCTTCAAAGTGAAAAGACAACATACAGAATTGGAGAAAATATTTTCAAATTGTATATCTGATAAGGGACTTGTGTCTACAATATATGAAGAATTCAATAAAAAAGCAAATACTCCAATTAAAAATAGACAAGATTTGAAAGAAAGAAATTTCTCCAAAGAAGATAAACAAATAGCAAATAAGCACATGAAAAAGAGGTTCAACATCATTAGTCATTAGAGAAATGCAAGTCAAAACCACAGTGAAATACTATTTCCTACATACTAGAGTGGCTAATATCTAAAAGACAAGTGTTGGTAAGAATGTGGAGCAATTGTAACCTTCATACATTGCTGGTGGGATCTAGAATGATACAATACAGCCACCTTGGAAAACAGTTTAAACAGAATTATCATTTGACCCAGCAGTCTTACTCCTTGGTATATCCCCAAGAGATATGAAAATGTAAGTTCATATAAAAATGTGTACATGATTGTTCATAGCAACATTATTAATAATAGTCAAAAATGGAAACAATCTATATGTCCATCAGCTGATGAATAAACACAATGTATATCCACACAGTGGAATACTATTTGGCAATAAAAAGAAATGAAACACTGGCATTAAAAATTCAGAGATTAGACAGGGTAGGACCACTAGAAATATAAACTGCATTGGTTATTTTCAACTCTTTTTAATCCAACAGTTTTAAAAGCAGCCTAGGCAAGATTACCAGAACCTCTGCCTTTTATTTTCTGTTCTTCTCTCTCGCTCTTGCCCTTGTCTGACTCAGAGTCAGTGGGCGAGGAGAGTACTATTAAAGGTAAAGGGCTTATATGGTACTTGAAACACTCACTTTCCTGACTACCAAATGTATAGAATTGAGAAGACTTGGGCATTATTTATTCTAAAGATACAGAGAAACTAAGGTCATAGTTTCAATTTGATTTAAAAAGGGGTTTAAGCAATTGTGTATTAGTAATTTATTACTGAGTAACAAATTACCTCAAAACTTAGTGGCTTAAAACAATAAACATTTGTCATCTCACAGTGTTTGTGATTAGGACTAGAGAGCATCTTATCTGGGTGGTTCTGGCTCAGGGCCTCTCCTGAGGCTCCTGCTATCTGAAGGCCTGACTGCGGTGGAGGAGCTGCCTCCCAGGAGGCTCACCTACGTGCTTGGCAAGTTAGTGCTGTTTGTTGCCCAGAAGCCTCAGCTCTTTGCTACATGGACCTTTCTCCATGTGACTGCTTTAGTGTCTTCACCTTAGAGCACGTGATCCAAGAGAGAACAAGGAGGAGGCCACAGTATCTTTTATGACTTAGTCTTGTAAGTCACACACCATTCCTCTTGCCAGAATCTGTTTGGTAGAAGCTAGTCACTTAGTAGTGCCCACATGATCTACTAAGGAGAAATAAGCTCCACCTAGTGAAGGAAGGGGTTAAAGAACTTGTGGATATATTTTTAAACCACTGAACAATGACTGCTTAAGTTTCTAACCTGATATACATTTCAAATAAATTTTGCAGTGTTTAACTGTTCTTCAGAGACTAGATGTTTGGCTTTCTGGTGGGAATGACCTGTGTGTGTGGAACCGAAAATTAGATCTCCTGTGTAAGACTAGCCACCTTTCTGATACAGGTAAAAAACATCAAGGTAATTTTGAACTATGATTGACAGACTAGAAGACACAGCAGATCTTCAGAGAGACTTTCCATAAGTAGAAAGGTCAATATAGGGGATTTTTCTTTTTCAGTTCTGAAGATAACAGGTAGCCATATTCAATTCAGATCGGGGTTGTGTAAAATATATTTTTATCCTGAATCAGGAGGAGAAGACTCCACTCAGGAACAACCTTTTCCAATGCTCTTGGGCTGTTTTCCTGAACTGTGTTTGGTGAGCACGCTGATACCTAGAAGCAGACCCTTACGACTTTACAGTAGCATTTGTGGGGTCATTAACTTTGAATAAATGCCTAAGGATGACCTCTTTTTACAATTGTCCTTACCAAAAAGATCATACATGTGCAAGCTTACTGATAAAGTTTCATTTTCTCACAATTCTGTGTACATACGATTTTGGTTTCAACAGAAAAAAAATAATCAAATCAGTTTTGACTTTTTGATACCAAGGATCTTAAAAAATAAAATCTATTTTTAGAGTAAAATATTTAAATGAGTAGATTTTAATAACAACCTTGAAGTCACACTAACTATTGTTATTTCTAAAAATAATCAAATGAGCCTGGGTATCCTAGAAGGAACATTGTTGTGCATGTTGTTGATATTTCAGTGGTAGCAGGAGCCCTGTGAATTGAATTTAGTTACTAATAGGAGCTAGCTTAGCTCCACGTAGATATTTTAAAGTATCAGAAACATAATGACTTAGGAAAACTAAATCCATACATTGCTAGGGTTTACAATTTAACCACTCAGTTCAACATTTGATTACTAATAGTCTTGCTCAAATCTAGAATATATTTCCCTGTTTACTATTATCATGAATTATGTGTCTTTATGTTCATTTTTCTCTCTCTTTCACTAGCCTGTGGTTTTCATGAATTTTATTTTGGTAAAGTTATATTGTAAAATGTTGAAATTGGGGCTGAAAAGAATCTTCTGTGTGTTCCTGGAAATAGCCACCTCTTATTGCAGTCTCCCTTTGTTTTGCAAGTTATGTTTAAGTACTATATATTAAATCATTACAATACTGCCATTTATCAGTGTCTCAAGAGTTAACAGAAGGCTTTGAGGGTATCTATGGGAAAGCCTTGAGAAGGCCATGGGTTACTATTGGTGAGCTGTTCATCATTTGGGTTTTCCAAATTACTGGAGGCCAGATTGTTAATAGTGTTATTAGATCCTTATGTCATGATGTCCTTTCATAAGCCCTGCTTGATTTATGGACTGGTGGAGCTTTTACAAGCAGTTATTCTGTGTTTGGAAATAAGCAAAGACAATCTTAGTCAATGTGATACAATGGAAGGAGCCCTGGACTAAAACACAGGGCATCCGTGTCCTTTCCAGTAATATGTTTTGTGATTCTGAGTATTAGGTTGCTACATCTGGATTGTTGGGCTTCTAGTATTTTCACATATAATTTAGTGAAAGATTTTTAAACAAGCTGTTTTCTGCATTTAGAATTCTTCTCTTGCTATCCACCCTGCTGTTCTCCCATGTCCTCTGCCTTCTCTGTACCATTCCTTTGCCTTCCTTGCAGCACCATTTCCTCCTTCTTGTACATGGGAAAATACAAAACCTACTGTTAAAATATGCCTATGTGGAGAAAAATCTTGGCCAGAAATACTATCCAAATCACAACAGTCAGTCCTTTGATGGATGGGAAGGATAAGCAAATGACTAGACCGTTTTCTACACTTGCATATATATTATAAATTACATATATATCATAATGGAAAAATTAAACAGGTTTTTTTTTTTGCCAACACGTGGTGGTTCTAATTTATCAACTCTTTTATTCATACTGACAGAAGCAAAATTGTAACATGCCTTGTAGAAGTTATAGTTACGCTAAAATCATTAACCTCTTTACTTAAATAAGTGAAGTGTGTTAGAATGTTGAATCTGATTCTTTCATTAATAGAAGAAAAATTTTACATGTATTAGTGGATCACAAACATGCTATTTGAAGGCTGCTTTCTTAGCTGCTGACTGTTGGCTAGTTCATTCAATGCCAGGGAGCCTGCTCAGGCTTCTAAAGTTTACATGAAGGAAAACCCCAATTTTACATCACTTTTGAGCTAGCCATCTTGTAAATGGGTGATGGTGATTATCTTAAGGGATCCCTGGTAAATAAGTGTGAATTGCTGAATCTACCACTTTATCACAATAGTAAAAAAAAGTACAAAAAAACCCAACCCCATATTCTGCTCTTAATAAATCAATAATGTCTTCCAAAAGTCTCAGAAACCTACATTTAACAATCATTTTCCATTAGTAAGCAAGCAAGGAAGTGTGTGTGGAGCTAGTTCTGTGTGCTTTATCTTCTTTATGGAAAACGACTGACATAAAACTGAGAATGTTTTTGTTTTTGATATAATCTGTGAGAAAAATAATTTGAACTTTGTTTTATATGTTTTTGGAGGTATTAGTGCTTTGGTTGAAATACCTAAGAACTGTGTTGTGGCAGCAGTTGGCAAAGAACTGAGTGAGTATGAATTTTTTTCTTTTTGTGTATTTTGAACGAGAATTGTATACACATGCTGGAAGGACTAAAGTAATTTTTTATTTAAGGGACATTGCGTGTGCCCCACTCTTGGCTTCTTGGGATTGTTGAAGTGATACAGAGACTAAGACATTTTCAGGATGTTAGGCCAGGTTTCTTTTTCTTATCAGTGTTTTAATCAGTATGTTAGCTTGGTTAAACAGTTTATTGCTTGTTATTCCAAAATTCCAGTCTCAAGATCACTTCATAATATTCCAACTAAAGTAGAATTTCCCATAAGTTCAATGTGTATCAGAAAGAGTTCTCTTTTCTATTGACTGAAAAACCTTCTTTTGACAACCACAGTTTGAATATGAGTAGCTGTCAGGATTAAATAACCTGGATAGAGATTTGTAGTTTGGTAAAATATTGTCAGAGACACAGAAAGAAGCATGGCATGACCTATCTTCTAGAGAGAAATGTGAGAAAGAAAAGATACTTTCGTAATTTGAAAAGGACATGATCTCAGAGACTTGTCACTTCTCAGATGTTAGTGATGCTAATCTTTGAGCATCCACAGCACCTGGTCCAGTGGTGTATTTTTAAAACACTCAGTACATTGACGGTAAGCCTGTTTATAAACAAGTCTCTCTCCCACTCTAGACTGAGCATTTGTGACTGGGCCTTATTCACATTTGGTACGTAGAGTTCCTGGAACATAAATGTTTAGTAAATGATGATAGAATCACGTCTGTGGATTTTATTATGGGTTTTCTGTATTGATTAAAGTTAGGATTTATACTAGTTTAAATAAAACTGTATTTGTTAAAGTCAGATAATGAGTAAAGCAACACATTGAACATTACTATAGTCAGAAGAACTGTATGATATATAAACATTATAAGACATACTCAGAGAATTTATAATTTAATGGTATATGCCTAGGAATCAGAAGCTTTTTAAAAAAGAAGTTGCTTATGTCTTCACTGAGTTGAAGTTAAACTTGGATTTGCAGCTTATTCTGTCGCAATGCTTACATGAGTAAGAGACATGAGTAGAGAAAGCTGATGTTGGAGGTGATTGAGGGATGTGGGCTAGTCACTGATTAGGGAGGGAGTGAGTTGAGATAACAAGACATCCGTTGAAACCCTAGAGAGAATGGGAGCTTCACTGTTTGGAAAAGTCAGTAAAGGAAGAGAGTTCTTCAGGACACATTCAGTATGGGTTTTAGTAGATCATCTCAAACATCTCAAGCATTTGAAAGAAATAGTTTAAAGTAGTATGAATAAGGCTTTTTTTTGGAGATGGGTTTTTCAGTATGGTAGGTATTTTTCACTTAATGAAATGCTTGTTTTTAGAGCAGGAGTAGTATTTTATCCTCTTAGAGCATTGTAATAAAATTTTATCTGTCTTTTTCATTTAGTAATTTTCAGGTTGGTAGCACCCACAGAAGGATCACTAGAATGGGATATTCTTGAAGTTAAGCGCCTCCTTGATCACCAGGATAATATTCTCTCATTGATTAATGTCAATGGTAAGCTCATTGTGTACATTTATTATGTACAGTTTTGTGCTTGTTAACACAACCTGCTCTGAACACGAGCCTTGCTTAGTTCTGGGATTCTAGAATAAGTCACTAAAATAATGGGATTGTCATTCTCTTTTACTCTGAAGTTTTAGCCGGTGGAGCTGAGCAAGTTTCCTAGATTGCTAGGTCTAAGATTTAGGGACAAGGAAAATAGTGTAAGGCAGAGAAAATAGAGGAGAACATAATGATCTCAGGCACTGCTTGGTAGCTGTGGGATGACTGTCACAGGCTGTTTCAGCATTTTTGGCAGCTGTTTCTGGCTAGTTCCTCTTTTGTAGAGAGATTGGAAATATGCCCTTTTGTCTTGCTGTCCACACCATACAATATCACATAGCAAGTTACACACTTACACTAGAATGAGCAGGATTCAAGCCAGTTGTAATCCTGGTTGAAGACTCTCAAAGAATAATACCAAACTAAAGTAAAAGTCTGCAGAAAATGGGTCATGTCTTCCCTTCCTTCCTCGTGGTGGGGGTTTTGACCTGCTGTACATCCTATTTGGCTTCCTAAATGATTTTAATGAGTATCTCCTGTGAGCTAAATCTGACATCAGATGGCAAGATCACAAACCACTGATCTTGACATTCAGTTCACTTGCAGATAAGTGACAGCTTATATCATCAG
This sequence comes from Homo sapiens, assembly GCF_000001405.40. NCBI lineage: Eukaryota > Metazoa > Chordata > Mammalia > Primates > Hominidae > Homo > Homo sapiens. Next base: position 77,449,081 of record NC_000005.10, on the reverse strand, counting down.
AACTGTGCTGGGTGATCTGTGTATGAAGTCACATGAGAGGGCTTTTGGTGGCTTCAGTTTGATAGTCTGGTGGAGCCTGCAGGACGATCCTGTAAGGCTGCTTGGGAGTATGATGTAGTGGGAGGGCTAGACAGCACCCCAGCAACATATCTCCCTGAGGCCTGGCTTGGCTTTGTTTTTTTTGTTTGTGTTTGTTTGTTTGTTTGTTTGTTTTGAGATGGAGTCTCCCTGTGTTGCCCAGGCTGGAGTTCAGTGGCATGGTCTCGACTCACTGCAACCTCTGCCCCCCGGGTTCAAGCGATTCTTCTGCCTCAGCCTCCCAAATAGCTGGAACTACAGGCGCATATCACCATGCCCAGCTAATTTTTGTATTTTTAGTAGAGACGGGGTTTCTCCATATTGGCCAGGCTGGTCTCGAACTCCTGACCTCATGATCCACCTGCCTCAGCCTCCCACAGTGCTGAGATTACAGGCATGAGCCACCAAGCCCGGCCGGCTTTGTTTTTAAGCAGTATTTTGCGTGAATGTGAGACAAAGGGGAGCGAGGGACACAGAGAGTACCAAGTCTAGTCTCCATTTGTGTCCATTCAGTCACATGTTCAGATACACCAGTAAGAGTGTCCCTCCCAGCTCCAAAATCTTCCTCCCAAATAGCCATCTTATTGTAAAACTCAGCTGCAGGTCTTTCTAAGGACTAGATTGTCTGTGTTGATAGAAATAACAATGGTTGCTGGTGTCCCTTTAATTTTCTCTGGGGGCTCTTTTTCTCTAGCCATGGATGGAGACAGCACAGAAGGCAAGTTCTTATTTGGGAAGCCCTCTGAAGCCTCATTGGTGACACTGAGTCTTAAGTCTCAAGTTCCCAGGGCTGCTGAGAAAAGCCCAGCAGTATTCGGCCCATTACACCGGTCATGCTTAGTTATTTTGTTTTAGCAGTGAAGCACTGGCACCACTGAGCCAGCATGGTTACTTAAATGAAGATGATAGGATGATACAAGATAGCCTGAACTTCATGGCATGTCTTTTACCATGTGATATGCAGAGGAACTTACAGCAGTTTCTGAAAGCTTTCTTCGAGTATTCATTTGCCAAATTCGTAAGGGGAAAAAAGGGAAAACTAAAGAAAAAAGTTGTTTATGAAAGTTACAGAAAGCCTCATGCACTTTTTACTGTTTTTTACTATCTTTTTAAAAAATTTCTTCTAAAAAAATGGGATACATGTGCAGAATGTGCAGGTTTGTTACATAGGTATACGTGTGCCATGATGGTTTGCTGCACCTATCAACCTGTCCTCTCAGTTTCCTCCCCTTCCCCACAACAGGTGCTGGTGTGTGTTGTTCCCCTCTCTGTGTCCATATGTTCTCATTGTTCAGTTTCCAGTTAGAGTGAGAATATGCGGCATTTGATTTTCTGTTCCTGTGTTAGTTTGCTGAGAATGATGGCTTCCAGCTTCATGACTATGTCCCTGCAAAGGACATGATCTCATTCCTTTTTATGGCTGCATAGTATTCCATGGTGTATATGTGCCACATTTTCTTTATCCAATCTATCGTTGATGGGCATTTGGATTGGTTCCATATCTTTGTTCTTGTAAATAGTGATGTAGTAAACATACATGTGCATGTGTCTTTGTAGTAGAATGATTGATATCCTTTGGGTGTATTCCCAAAGTAATGGGATTGCTGGGTCAAATGGTATTTCTGGTTCTAGATCCTTGAGGAATCGCCATACTGTCTTCCACAATGGTTGAACTAATTTACACTCCCACCAACAGTGTAAAAATGTTCTTCCCATTCTCCACAGCCTTGTCAGCATCTATGGTTTCCTGACTTTTTAATAATTGCCATTCTGACTGGTGTGAGATGGTATCTCATTGTGATTCTGATTTGCATTTCTCTAATGATCAGTGATGTTGAGCTTTTTTTCATATGTTTTTTGGCCACATAAATGTCTTGAGAAGTGCCTGTTCATATTTTGCCCACTTTTTGATGGGGTTGTTTTTTTCTTGTAAATTTAAGTTCCTTGTAAATTCTGGATATTAGACCGACCTTTGTCAGATGGGTAGATTGCAAAAATTTTCTCCCATTTTGTAGGTTGCCTTTTCACTCTGATGGTAGTTTCTTTTGCTGTGCAGAAGCTCTTTAGTTTCATTAGTTCCCATTTGTCAGCTTTGGCTTTTGTTGCAGTTGCTTTTGGCATCTTTGTCATGAAGTCTTTGCCCATGCCTGTGTTCTGAATGGTATTGCCTAGGTTTTCTTCTAGGGTTTTTATGGTTTTAGGTCTTATTAAGTCTTTAATTCATCTTGAGTTAATTTTTGTATAAGGTGTAAGGAAGGGGTCCAGTGTCTGTTTTCTGCATATGGCTAGCCAGTTTTCTTAGCACCATTTACTGAATAGGAGATCCTTTCCCCATTGCTTGTTTTTGTCAGGTTTGTTGAAGATCAGATGGCTGTAGATGTGTGGTGTTATTTCTGAGGTGTCTATTCTGCTCCATTGGTCTATATGTCTGTTTTGGTACCAATTCCATGTTGTTTTGGTTACTGTAGCCTTGTAATATAGTTTGCAGTCAGGTAATGTGATGTCTCCAGCTTTGTTCTTTTTGCTTAGGATTGTCTTGGCTATACGGGGTCTTCTTTGATTCTATATGAAATTTAAAATAGTTTTTTTTCTAATTCTTTGAAGGATGTCAATAGTAGTTTGATGGGAATAGCATTGAATCTGTAAATTACTTTAGGCAATATGGCCATTTTCATGATATTGATTCTTCCTATCTATGAGGATGAAATGTTTTTCCATTTATATGTGTCCTCCCATTTCCTTGAGCAGTGGTTTGTAGTTCTCTTTGAAGAGGTCCTTCACATCCCTTGTTAGCTGTATTCCTAGGTACTTTATTCTCTTTGTAGCGATTGTGAATGGGAGTTCATTCATGATTTTGCTCTCTGCTTGTCTATTGTTGGTGTAAAGGAATTCTTGTGATTTTTGTACATTGACTTTGTATCCTGAGACTTTATTGAAGTTGCTTATCAGTTTAAGGAGTTTTTTGGGCTGAGATGATGGGGTTTTCTAAATATACAATCATGTCATCTGCAAACAGAGACAATTTGACTTCCTCTCTTCCTATTTGAATACCCTTTATTTCTTTCTCTTTCCTGATTGCCCTGGACAGAACTTCCAACACTATGTTGAATAGGAGTGGTGAGAGAGGGCATCCTTGTTCTGTACCAGGTTTCAAAGGGAATGCTTCCAGCTTTTGCCCATTCATATGATATTGGCTGTGGGTTTCTTATAAATAGCTCTTATTATTTTGAGATATGTTCTATCAATACCTAGTTTATTGAGAATTTTTAATATGAAAGGATGTTAAATTTTATCGAAGGCCTTTTCTGCATCTATTAAGATAATCATGTGGTTTTTGTCATTGGTTCTGTTTGTGTGATGGATTACGTTTATTGATTTGCATATGTTGAATCAGCCTTGCATCCCAGGGATGAAGCCCACTTGATCATGGTGGATAAGCTTTTTGATGTGCTGCTGGATTTGGTTTGCCAGTATTTTATTGAGGATTTTCGCATCGATGTTCATAAGGGATATTGGCCTGAAGTTTTCTTTTTTTTGTTGTGTCTCTTCCTGGTTTTGGTGTCAGGATGATGCTGGCTTCATAAAATGAATTAGGAAGTCCCTCTTTCAGTTGTTCGGAATAGTTTCACAAGGAATGGTACCAGCTCCTCTTTGTACCTCTGGTAGAATTCAGCTGTGAATCCATCTGGTCCTGGGCTTTTTTTGGTTGGTAGGCTATTAATTACTGCCTCAATTTCAGAACTTGTTATTGGTCTATTCAGGGATTCGACTTCTTACTGGTTTAGTCTTGGGAGGGTGTATGTGTCCAGGAATTTATTCATTTCTTCTAGATTTTCTAGTTTGTGTAGAGGTGTTTATAGTATTATCTGATGGTAGTTTGTATTTCTGTGGGATCAGTGGTGCTGTCCCCTTTATCATCTTTTATTGTGTCTATTTGATTCTTCTCTCTTTTCGTCTTTATAAGTCTAGCTAGTGGTCTATTTTAATTTTTTCAAAAAACCAGCTTCTGGATTCATTGATTTTTTTGGAGAGTTTTTCTTGTCTCTGTCTCCTTCAATTCTTCTCTGATCTTAGTTATTTCTTGTCTTCTTCTAGCTTTTGGATTAGTACTTTTTACTTTATAAACTCTATGACTATAAAATTATACTACAGATAATAAATAAGCCAAAGGCGTATTTAGGAATCAAACATGACCAAGTAGTCTGTTAAAATTTGAAAATGATCTGCTGACAGTCTCATCTTGCAGTACATAGGCACGTTAGCCATGATGTGGATGTCAGTGATCCTGAAATGTTTATGTTGTACAGTTCCCTGCTTCACTTGCAGGAGCTCTGCTCCTTTCTCCTCACCCATTACCAATGAAAGATATGGCCAGTTGCTTGGGATTGTACATCACAGGGCAAATCTGTTTTCAGAGGGGTGGCCCCAGGGCAACCTTAGAATTGTATGAGAGAATACCAACAAGTGTGGATAATGAATACCAGATTTGCTAAAAAGATTGGAATGCCCAGGCAGAAGGTTTTCTAAGACAGACAAAAAATAACTGATAATCTCTCCAGGCAGAAGGCTCTGGGTGCTCCTTTATTTTATTCCTTTTCTTGTATTATGTTGCCAGCATCTTTTGGTAATCATGAAGTACTAGTACTTGTGAGGGATGGATAGACAGATACCAGGTGAGATTTTCATACTAAGTGGCTTTTGACACAGGATGAAAATCCATCCACTAATAATATATAATTGAGGTTGTTTGTCATGAAACATTTTGAATGACCTGTTTGGGAATTAGTTTGCCATGTGTAAACTGCTTAAAAATATGTGCTGATTGGCCAGGTGCAGTGACTCACGCCTGTAATCCCAGCACTTTGGGAGCTTGAGGTGGGTGGATCACCTGAGGTCAGGAGTTTGAGACCAGCCTGGCCAACATGGCGAAACCCGTCACTACTAAAAATACAAAAATTAGCCAGGTGTGGTGTCACATGCCTGTAGTCCCAGCTACACAGGAGGCTGAGACAGGAATTGCTTGAACTTGGGAGGTGGAGGTTACAGGGAGCCAAGATTGTGTTACTGTACTCCAGCCTGGGTGACAGAGTGAGACTTCATTTCAAAAAAAAAAAAAAAAAAAAAAAAGTGCTGATTGAGCTGAATGCCGTATTTTATTTTTAGGGAAAATTCCAACTGGTCATTAATATTTTGTTTCTACTGCATGGAGGTATCACAGACACTTGGAGGATTAAGTCAGAGCAAGCAGCTGCATGGTCTCAGTAGGTTAATTCTGTGTTGTGACTACAGATGCAGAGTGAGAGTCAAGGGGAATCTTCACTCCTTAGCTTCTCTGGTTCTTTTGTAGTTTGAATGAAATAGGAAAAAGGAGGGAAAGGTGTGGGAAAGAAGGTCCTGGGAAGATGAGTACTGCCTTAACTTTCCCACTACTAAAACTAGAAGCCCGTTTTGCTCCACAGATGAGAAGTGATTTCTCCACAGAGCAAGTTCTATAGAGTCTGTTAATAAACTATAGAAATTAGATATTAATAATCTACCTATTATGGCCTTGGAGTCAAGACAAATAATATTTACATGTAGGATTGCTGGTAATTCTGTATCTCTTAAGAGATTGTTCATGTGGTCATTAGAGATTTCTGTCGTGCTGGTTTATTTGATAAATGAAATAATTAAATCATAATTACTCATCTGTATATTCCTAAATTAACAAGTAACAGGATGTTTTAATACGATTAATGTGGAATAATACCAGGGGCTCAAAATACTACCAGGGGCGCAAAGATAATATTTGATGTCTTTTTAAAATGGCTACACGTTTATTATTCAATTTGATTTTTAGTCACTCATTTAATGCATGAAGAATCCAAGATAAAGGTTAAACTACTTCCTAAAGACCACCTGTCTAGCAACAGGCAGAGCCAAAATCAGAACTTGGGTTTCTAGACTAAGTGCATTATAGTCTTCTGTCTTACCCTAAATATGTAATAATTTAAATAAATTACATTTATTTGAAATAAGACTAGCAGTTGTACATTTTCTATTAAATATATAGTGTGTAAAATAAATAATATGTAAAATGGAAAAAAATCCTTTTTTTTTTTTTTTTTTTGGGGAGACAGAGTCTCGCTCTGTCGCCCAGGCTGGAGGGCAGTGGCGCGATCTCGGCTTACTGCAAGCTCCGCCTCCCGGGTTCACGTCATTCTCCTGCCTCAGCCTCCCGAGTAGCTGGGACTACAGGCGCCCACCACCACGCCCACCTAATTTTTTGTATTTTTAGTGGAGACAGGGTTTCACCGTTTTAGCCAGGATGGTCTCGATCTCCAGACCTCGTGATCCACCTGCCTCGGCCTCCCAAAGTGCTGGGATTACAGGTGTGAGCCACCGCACCCGGCTTTTTTTAAAGGTTTTAAAAACTTGTAAAAGTTATACATAGTCATAGTAGAAAAATATGAAAATAGTGAAAAACATTAAAAATATAAAAGTTAATATTAAAATCTTTCCACTATCCAGTATTAAACACCAGTCCACATCTTTCTAGGTGATTTTCTGGGCCTATGTATGTGTGTACATGTGTATTAATATGGTTTACTGTTTTGTAACAATATGTCATAAATATATTTCCATATCTAAGTTTATATTGTTAAGCATACTTTTATAACTTAATTTTTAATAACAGCATTACTATTTCATTTTGTTGATGTCTTATTCAATTCTCAATTCGATGTGTAGTTATCTTCAGATTTTTAAGATTGTGTATTTGTACATATATGTATGTAACAACCTTGTACATTTATGTATTTCCTTCAGGATAAATTCCTAGAAGTGGAATTGTTGGATCGAGATTTACATTTTTCAAGGTTTTGATACATATTAGCAAATTAATCTTTGAAAAAAATACTAATGTATAGTAGGGCATTAGGCAATACAGGAATGTGCTGATTTCTTATGCTTTTGCCAGTACTGTGTTGGGTATTTTCCTGTTTTATATTTCCTGATTCACAAGTCAATAAATGGTATCTCCTTGTTTTTAGATTTCTTTGATTATTAAAGGAGTTGAACATCTTTTCACGTTTACTGACCATTTGTATTTGTTTTGCCTTTTCAGGTCCTTTTCCCATTTTTTTTTCTGCTGTATTTATCTTGTTCTTAATAATTTCCAAGAACTCCTTATGTATCAAGTATAATAAACCTGTTTTGTCATCCAAGTTGCAAATTTTTCCCAGCTTTTTGTCATTTCAGTGTATTTGTGTGTGTGTGTGTGTGTTTTAGACTGAGTCTCGCTCTATTGCCCAGGCTGGAGTGCAGTGGCGCGATCTCAGCTCACTGCGACCTCTGCGTCCCAGGTTCAAGCAGTTCTCCTGTCTCAACCTCCCAAGTAGCTGGGACTAAGGTGCACACCACCATGCCCGGCTAATTTTTGTATTTTTAGTAGAGATGGGGTTTCACCATATTGGTCAGGCTGGTCTCGAACTCCTGACCTCAGGTGATCCACCTGCCTCGGCTTCCCAAAGTGCTGGGATTACCTCGCCCGGTCCTTGTTTTTGTTTTGCCAAGCAGCTACTTACTAGGATCTCTTCCCCTGGCACCCCACTCTGCTTCCGTTAGAGCCCTTTACCACTCCACATTCCTAAAAGTATTCACCTTTATCTTCTTCCATCCTTTAACTAACTTTCATGTTTTAATCTATTTGAAACTTATTTTGGTGTATGGTACAAGATAAGGTTCTTTTACTTTTATTCCCCTTAAATGTAACCAGATATTCCAGCATGAGGTATTTCTTTACTGAAATGAAATGCAATCATTATTACATACTAAATTACTAAGATAATTTGAGTCTATTTCTGGCCTTCTTATTCTGTTACATTAATCTTTCTGTTGGCTTGCCTAGGTACCTCACTGTTCTAATTACTGTGGTTTTATACGGCATTACTACTAGACATTCCATTCAGTTATATCTTTACATAGATAAAATGATCGATAATGAGGCATATGTGAACTTTGCCTAGATTTGAGTTTTGTCACCGGCTCCCACGTCGGAGAGCTGATCATCTGGGATGCCCTGGACTGGACCATGCAGGCCTATGAACGCAACTTCTGGGACCCATCTCCACAACTGGACACCCAACAAGAAATAAAACTCTGTCAAAAATCAAATGACATTTCTATTCATCATTTCACATGTGATGAAGAGGTAAAAAATGTATACACTATCTATAAACTTGCCTTTGACATATATAACCCAATTTCTGATTTTAAAAATTTAATCCCATGTTGGACATAAAAAAGGTATCATTCATGGTTTCAGGTTGTGCTTTAAAATGGTCTTTTTCTAAAATTGGATGATTTGTGTTAAGCATTTTAATCTTTGCTTCTAATCTCGAGGCAAGGAAATGATTAAATGGCCACAGATTTAAAAATTATTGAAATTTTGGGTTGGATTAAATAATCCCATTGGATTTGAGGTTAATGCTTAAAATTGTTTTAAGAAACACTGTGAAAAAGAGTTCTTTTGAAGATCTGACACATTTCCTAGTGAGGCAAAGAAAATTAAAAATTTTAGGAGTGTTTCTCAGTCTGCTGGCATCTTGGGGCAAGATAAATTGAGTGAGAATTGTTGGATTCCATCTTATAGGACTTGGGAGTGATGCTCTTGAAGCACTTTAGATCTGTTTTGCTGTGAGAGATTAGTACCAATGGACTACTGAATCTTATCTCTGATCTGAAAAAACAAATCTCTTAGCATCAGGGGCTCAGAAAATGTTTTTAAAGGGCAATTAACTTTTCTAAATGTAATCACAAGAAATGTTTATGAATTGTACCCTTCGAGGAGAAGGAGTTGGGGAGGCTTTTCTCTATTTTGTGACTTTCTATACTGTTTAATTTTTCTAACGGCATGCACGTTATTTTTATTAAAAATTTCAGTAGTAGTGTTATGTAGTGGGGGGAGAATATGATCCATTTTTCTTTGTACCACTCTTTAAAAACAAAACAAAAGATTAGGATAGGAACAGGACTTAGAAACACTAATATATTCAAAGATTGTTTCTTTGTATCCCAACTTTATTTTGAAAAAAGTTAAATATACATGATAAAGACAGTATGGTTTCAGAAAAGATAGAGACTAGATCACTAAGAGTTGTAGCCCTACAAATTATCTATTTTAAATGTTACATGTTTTTTCTCACTTTTGTGAAAATTAATATTTAAAAGTTTTGTATTTTAATCTTAAATTTTTTAATTGATGTTTATTTTCTACTATATATGCTTGATAAAGCATTGTATAGTTTTCCCTAATTTTTCTTCTTTTGTTGTGAGTTCTTTCCTTCTATAAGGGACCGTTAGTTATTGATAGCGGGGATAGCATCCCCATTGAGTAAATGCTGCCTCCAAAGCTCATGAATTCTCTAGTTGTGTTTATAATTTTCTTCCTGACCTTGGATAAATTACTTAAACTGTGCCCAGATTTCCTGGTCTATAGAATGAGTTTCGGGGGATTTTGGCATTGAATACAATCCACAGGGCTTTCCATTTTAGTACATTGGCTAGCAGTGTTCATTAATGCCCTGGCATTGGGCCTCGGCTGCATTGCTGATTGCAGAGTACTAATCCTGAGAGTCAAGGGGATCATTCAAGATTTAAGATTCCAGCAAGCCTTGGGGGCATGCTTTGGTTCAGTTACTATAGGTCTGAGTTGAGTTTGTAGTCTTGGAGGCTGTGTGAGAAAGGTTGGAGAGCCCAGAATCTCTGGTGAAAACAAGAAGGCAATATGTAGGGATATTTGAAAGGTCTGCCTCATGGGGATATCTATTGAGTAAGAATGGATGATTCTAGGACAGGTGCTTGCAAAAATTTCAAAGGCTACTACTGCATGTGAGTCACGTGAGGAATGAGCAAGGGACTGGAGTAACATGACCTTGATTCTAATATTGACTCCATGTTTCATTTCTTGTGTGACTTTAATCTCTTTAATTTTAAATTCCTTATCTGGAAAATGGCAATGATGCTTGCCTTTCTTAACACGATGTTGTGAGGCTGAAGTGAGATAAGTATTAGTGAAAATGCTTTCAAAAGATTAAAGTTGTTTTAGTAAAAAGGTATTTATTTCTAATAGTACATTTGGAAAAATGTTTTTTGAAACCTTCAGAGGATTGCATGATGATAATGCCACTGTAGCCGTGCTTTTTTGTATCACTTGTAGGTCTCCTGATTGCTTAAGATGTGGAATGCAAGTAATTTTGCTTGCATTTTTCAGGCAGAAGAAGCTAGGTAATTTTCCCAAGGATATAGTGTTATTTAAATGAAAACTCAGGTTATCCCTCAACAGCTTCCACTGCAGGGCCAGGCTGCTAGCTATAGCTTTTCTCTAGATATATTTCAGTGAGGAAGAAGTGGCGCTAAGGGATATACTATGCAGACCTACCTTTCTCTGCATTAGTGGTTGTGTCCTACCTTCTAAATGCTCAGAGCTTTCTTTAGTGCTTTGACATTTTGGGGTTTCAGAGATTAGTACTGTAATTTGGGCTAAAGGCTAGGAATGGGAAAGGTAATGGTGGCTTTCTGATGTCACATGAGGGCTGGAAATCCATTACACTAGGAAGGGTGAGTGCTAGTTTTATGCCCATTTCTGAACTTCTTCCCCTAGAATGTATTTGCTGCAGTTGGAAGGGGTTTATACGTGTATAGCCTTCAAATGAAGCGTGTGATTGCCTGCCAGAAAACTGCACATGACTCCAATGTCCTGCACGTTGCCAGACTTCCAAACAGGTACAAGTTCCCATCTGTTCTGCAATAGATGAAAGCAAGTCACAGTTCCCAGGGCTACCAGTGTAATTTCTCAAGTGGCCAAGTTACCTGGCTTCATGGCTTGACCTGCTGTGTTCTTTTGGAAATGGAGAATGCCTGAGGGCTGTCTCTAACAGAAGGGTATGTGGCAGTATATTACAGAATTTACAAGAAGCAAGGTGCAAATGAATTACATTGAATTTCATTGTTAAGAAGAGATGATTTAAAATTTGGTATTTAACAACATAAACGACTTTGGGGCCACTTACATTGTACCAATTTTTATATTTCTCATAAACCTACCTTCTTTTTGTTTATGGCCAGAATCAAATGGTTGCTGGTCTCCTTGTTGTGTGAGGCTACTAAGTGAGTGGTTTCCTGTCAGGGTAGATTTGCTGCTGAGCTTCTAGGGACGAACATATGGACAGGGACTATCATTATTTTCTATGCAGGATATTTTTATAGTGAAGCACCCAGAGAAGAGAGGTAGCAAGAGGAGGGAAGGGGGCTGCTTAGGACATTGTGAAGTATAATTCACACTGTTTTCCCAAGGGCATTTTTTTAAATGGAGAGAATCAATTTATAGCATTTGAGCTAATGTAACGAGTAACATGTGGCTTTCCTAAAGGGTGCTTTTAGTTTGCGTTGTAACGTCATGCTAAATTGTGATTTTTGTCAGTTCCTGCTAAGAGCTGAATAAAAGCAGTTGAGGGCTCCACTGATTTCTTTCACTGCAAATTTAGCATTGGCCCTCAGTGGTGCGCTCTTTTTGTATTACTGATTTTCTGTTCTGACAGGCAGTTAATCTCATGCTCAGAAGATGGCAGTGTACGCATTTGGGAGTTAAGAGAAAAACAGCAGCTTGCAGCTGAGCCTGTACCAACAGGTGTGTGTCTTCTCTCAAAAAGGTAGTCTTTTTCTCTCCTTTTTTCTCACGTGAAAGGCAGGAGAAGGACAATTATGTGAAACCACTAAAATAATATAGAAATGCTCCAAATAGGCATCAGATGTTTATAGAAAGCATATGGTAATTGAGATCTAGGATTTACAGCTTAATACTGCCCTAATGTAGAACTGCCACTTCATTTCAAGTAAGATAGAGATTTTCTTGTTTTGAGGGAAAACTTACTTTCTGGTAATCTGAATGACCAAATGGCCTAATGAAGTATTCATTTATATTGTCTATAATTCTGACTGATACACAAAATTTGTACCGTCAGATGTCAAACCAAAGTGTTCTTTACCCTTGATGTTGAACTTAATTTATGGGAAAACATACTTTTCCTTGTGTGCTTATATCATAATTTTATGAGCTCTTGACTTCCAGGTGTTTAGTTTGAAAAACAAAACTCTGAAGGGTTGAATAAATTAGTTACCAACCTTTGCACAAGAAATCAGATGCTGGTACCTAGTTGTTTCTGGTCCTTTTGACTTCCTGAAGTCCTGGGGTGTTGCTTTTGCACATACATATACAGCTTTTCCCCTATGCCTTGTTTGTTGATCTGAGTTTTGCCCTTTTTTCCCTTGACAGTTAGACACTGCCATTCAAGCTTTGTTTCTGTCCTGTTTTATTCCAAGTGTCTTTTTGTTAATATACCTGCACCAGTGGGTGACTAGGGGCAATAAAAAGAGATGAAGAACAGACCTGGTTAGCTAAGAAAGATGAAATAACATATTCACAAAACCCTAGCACGGTGCTCAGGTACTGTCCACTTAGCCCTTGACTAAAATAAGTCTGGAACCTCTTCACATTTAAATTTTGTTTTTCTGATCTCATGTTATTGTAAGTACAGAGCACAGTAATTTTGGAAATGATTCTTTTTCTAGGTTTTTTTAACATGTGGGGATTTGGAAGAGTCAGCAAACAAGCCAGCCAACCTGTTAAAAAGCAGCAAGAAAATGCTACTTCATGTTCACTGGAGCTTATTGGAGATTTGATTGGACACTCATCATCTGTGGAGGTATTGCTGTTTAGCCACAGAATGTCCAAGCAACTCCTGCTTTTGCATTTCATTGCTCTTTTCTTTCAGTTGATCTCATAAAGGCATATACTTTTTCTTATATCTGTAGGTGTTTGTCAGATCTGAACATGGAATGGGATAGGCTATAGTATGTGCAGTTAGGGTCTCCCTTTCCGGATATATGATTTGAGGAAACAAGGAATGCATTGCTTTTAAGAATGGTCTTAATCACCATTATTTAGGAGCTGGAGATAGCTGACAGTAAGGGCAGTGTGAATAATGTTGACTATATGACAACAGTAAACAGAGGATGCATGAAGGGTTGTGGTTATATGTGTATACAGTTAAAGCCTTAACAGAATCGAATTCCAGGGGCCTTTATCAAATTCATGAACAGAGTCCTGTTTCTCCTGCCTTTGAAGGATAATAGTTTGTTAGCTTTAATGAAACCTATGCCTTGATTTTCATTGTGCAAATATGAAAGTTTTAGTTGAAAATTATGAAATGCGTAAGCTTTTAACATGTAGAAATCCAGATACATTAATATTTGCTGCAGGCATCATTGCCTGTAGTGAAGGAATAAGATCAGTTGAGGTAACAGATTAGCTGTGAGAACTAATAACAGTGTAATCAGGGCCCTAAGGAATTTCTTAAATTGTTCTTCCCTGTTTCATAGCCAAAGAACAAAAAATTTCTTTTCATTTGAAAGGGCATTCATGCTTAGGAGGAGCAGCGGCAGCATCCTTGTTAGTGAGCATTTCCTGTATTTCAGGCACTGTGCTAAACACTGGCTGCTGGAGTTTACAGAGAGAGATGAAAACAGTCCTTGCCCTCATGGATCTTACCCTTGAGTGGAGAGAAGGGGTATAGACCTAATAGGCTGTTACCCTAGGCTGCATTTGATGGACCCAAGTAAGCAGCAGTGACTCAGAAGAAACATTTCTTGCTGAATCTTGTAAATGGTTAGAGGATATAGGACTTGACACTTGAGCTGAACCTTGAAGTTTAGTAGGATGAGTATATAGCCTTGTCATCATAAGCTCCTTGATGTTGGGGTACAGTGTCATAGTTATCTTTGCTTTCCTCTAACAAGTAGCTCAGTTTTTAACTTTGTGTTTATGGTTGGGAGGTGAGCATGGACTGTGGTAGGCAGAAGGGCAAAGATAGCATTTACGTGGTGGCAAGGAGCACCTTGGCTAGGCCGGAGCGCTGGGTTCCTGTGAACAGACACTAGTAGGGGATAAAGCCTGGGAACGTGGTTTGGGGTCAGATTATGGATGTCCTTGAATGTAAGGCTGAGGAGTTTGGACTTTATTTTTTAAATAGTAGGAACTCATTAAAAAGGTTTTTAGATGGTAGGGAAAACCCCATGTAAAAGACATTCAAAATGTGTTTGAATGTGGCACATTTCTCATTCTATAAAACAGTGTCAGCTTCTTAGGAATTTTCCTGAGTGAAAGTGTTGAGACCTGAACACTTTTAAAAAGCATCTCCAGCTTCGTTGATAAAATCTAGGCTATCTTTGCAGTGTCACCTGAATTTCCTCATTTCTTTTTTTTTCTTTGAGACAGCATCTCACTCTGTTGCCCAGGCTGGAGTGCAGTCTTGGGTCACTGTACTCTCCGCCTCCCAGGTTTAAGCAATTCTCCTGCCTCAGTCTCCCAAGTAGCTGGGATTACAGGTGCCCGCCACCACGCCCAGCTAATTTTTGTACTTTTAGTAGAGATGGGGTGTCACCATGTTGGCCAGGCTGGTCCTCATTTCTATTTTCATCCTTGCTCTACTGGCGCAACCCCTCTACCTGTGTACTGAATTTTGTGTTTTCCAGTTTCCGAAGGAATTCTGCTCCCATGTTTCCTCCCTTCACTCCTGCATCCTCAGCTGAGTCTTATCCTGTGGTCTTCAGAAATGTATATGTCATTTCAGAGAAAACTCTTGTTTTTTTTCCCGAGAGGGAGTTTTGCTCTTGTTGCCCAGGTTGGAGTACAATGGCGCAATCTCCACTCACTGCAACCTCTACCTCCTGGGTTCAAGCGATTCTCTTTCCTCGGCCTCCCGAGTAGCTGGGATTACAGATACCCAGCTAATTTTTAGTATAGACAGGGTTTCACCATGTTTGGCCAGGCTGGCCTTAAACTCCTGACCTCAGGCAGTCCACCCACCTCAGCCTCCCGAAGTGCTGAGATTACAGGTGTGAGCCACCACGCCCGGCCCTGTTTCTCTTTTATTTCACCCTTTCCTTCGAGGACCTCATCCTTTTCATTGATTCACTTTTCTGATACAACTCTTCACCCCATAGTATTCATGCTGCCTTTTGTCAACACTCTGTTTTCCTATTCTTAGCTTCCAGCCTATTCCTTCACTGGGCAAGCCCCTTCCCCTTACTTGGGGCATTTTCTCCCTTTGAAGCTTTTTCTGAATTTCTGTGACATGTCATAGTCTATACTGCATTATTTAGTACCTGATTACATAATCTCTCATTGGTACCTTTATTGTTTCAATTATGATTTGCTTTTCAGAATCTTCTTGAGGGTAGGGACCATAAACGTAGTGCTGACACTTAACACCTATGGATTGAGTATATCTACTTTTATAGAGAGCTGAAGCCAGTGTTTATCTTGGGAAATTTAGAATTCAGACATTTTTTCCATAGCCATTATACAGTATAAGTAATGGTTAAGTAAAACCAATACTTGAAAAATCAGATGATGAAAAAATCTGGAAGAACTATGAGAATTCATGTACTTTACAAAAATAGCTATTCTGTAGTTGAACAATATTAACAAAATTCTGATTAAAATATTAGATATTATTTGTATGTGACTTACCAATACTGAAAAATGAAATGAAGTTCTACACCCAGATCCAAAGGAGTCTTTAAGGCACATATCTCACACGCACATGTGTTAATGTGGTATTAGACACTTCTCTGCTTTTCGGGGTCCCTATAATCAGTTTTAATTTTCTTTACAGATGTTTCTATACTTTGAAGATCATGGACTAGTGACGTGCTCCGCTGATCATCTCATTATTTTGTGGAAAAATGGAGAGCGAGAATCTGGATTGCGCAGTTTAAGATTATTTCAAAAATTAGAGGAGAATGGTGACTTATACCTTGCTGTCTAGTTTAAGGAATTAAAAATACACATGCATGAACCTTGAACATCAAATATCGGGTACTACTCTGAAAACCATTAATATATTGATCACTTAAATTGGTAATTTTTTTTGTCAGTCCATAAAATTCTACATGTTTAAATTTTTTGTGGACCTACCAACCAGGAACATGTTGCTTCTCAGGTCCTAGTATATCCTCCAAAGAATATACCACAAGTTTTTCCATTTGACTTTGAGCTGCTGTTGAAGTGGTGAGTGCTGTGTTTTGAGCTTATTTTGAACCTAGATCCTTGTGAAAGGTACAAATAGAGGTAATAGTTAAGTTATGGCATTTATTAGAAGTTTTATTATTTGGCTTCCTTTAGAATTATTGTGAAGTTTAAAAATAGCCTTTCTCCTGCAAATTTTCCTAGTCTTTAGTAACTGTTAGTGTTCTATATAGCACAAACTTGAATCTCTCAGCCAAAAAAGGGAACATATATACTGTTTAAGTATGGCAAGTTTTCTTTGGTACCAATTTGTTTAGATAATTTTAAAAATGTTTTTTAGTTCTAGCTACTAAAACCTGTATGAACTCAAATGGATAGGCATCTTGTGAGGGTGTGTTTTTCCCAGTGTGAATTGGCTTGAAGAGCCATGGGCTAAATGGGTACTAGAACAACAACTGCCCCTCATGTACGCCAAGGATGAGCTCTAGATCATTTGAGAGGCACAGTGTTTCCGGAGTCAGGGACTGCAGCTGAGCGCAACTGCCCCATCTGACCACTGACTCAAATACGAACTGCTTGAGACAGACTTCTTTTATGTAGTTCTTTGCAGTGTCCATTGAGACACTATAACCAGCCTTGTAACAATATGTTTTCTCCTTTTGGTGCTAAAAAATGAAAATATTAGAAAGTAGTCTACACATTAAAGATTGAAATTCTTAAACTACTGATGAAGAAAGGGCAACGTGACAGATGTTAGCAGACTGACCCTTCTTACAGAAAACCTACAGATTTATTTGTTCATTATACAAATATACTACAAATATACCCTAAAGGGAATCTCCATAAGTTCTTTTACTAGTTTTAGCTTTGACAGTTGCTTCCACAACTACCTACAAAGACTGGAAGAGTTAAGGTCATCTGAGTAGACCAGTGGCATAATGTTACAAATGAGGAAACTGAGGCCCAGTGCAGTAAGGCCTTGCAATTAAATCTGTAGTGCCCAGTATCACCAAGCAGCTCTAAAAACAGGAACTGAAGACTGAATGAGAAAAGGCTTATATGACTACTTTAAATCCAAACAACATTGAGTCATGAAAAGTTCTATGGAGAAATATTAAAACTTAAGCTACCTCAATTACAGAAGACTTTCTCCCATTATTCACGTGCTTTTTCCTTTAGAAATTCTGCATTGGCCCATACATTTGTAAAGTTGTTTTCTGAAGTTGTATGACACAAGGGAGCCATAGACTTAACTGTTTTACTTCCTAGCCTGTTCTAGGCTAGTATTTTGTGATAGTAATCTATTCAAATGGAGTGGTAGAAATCACATGAATTTTGGAAGCAAATGGTACCGTAAGTACCACAGCAAATTCCTTCTGGTCATTATACAGGCGTACCTCAGAGATACTACAGGTTAGGTTTCAGACCACATCAAAAAAGCAACTATTGCAAATAGAGTGAGTCACATCTAGTTTTTGGTTTCCCAGTGCCTATAAAACTTGTGTTTATACTACAGTCTTAAATTTCTAAAAAATGTACATACCTTAAGAATACTTTATTGCTAAAAAATGCTAACAATCATCTGAGCCTTCAGCGAGTCATAATCTTTTTGCTGGTGGAGGGTCTTGATACTGCTGGCTGTTGACTAAGGTGGTTACTGAAGGTTGGGGTGGCTGTGGCAGTTCCTTAAAATAAGATAGCGATGAAGTTTTCCAAATCAATTGACTTCCTTTCACAAATGAGATCTCTGTAACATGTAATACTATTTAATAGCATTTTACCCACAGTAGAACTTCTTTCAAAATTTAGAGTCTGTCATCTCAAATCCTGATGCTCCTTTATGAACTAAGTTTATAGAATATTCTAAATCCTTTGTTGTCATTTCAACTATGTTTACAGCATCTTCACTGTGGAAATGACTGTCTCCAGAAACCACTTTCTATACACATTCTTAAGCAACTTCTCATCTATTAAAGTTTGATCATGAGATTACAGCAATTCATTCACATCTTCAGGCTCCACTTCTTCCAGACTCCTTTTAATGCTGGAATTTTGACCGCCTCCCATGAATCAGAATGTTCTTAGTGGCATCTAGAATGCTAAATGCTTCCCAGAAGGTTTTCAATTGACTTTGCCCAGACTCTTCAGAGGAATCACTAGTTAGGGCAGCTACAGCCTTATTAAATGTATTTCTTAAATAAATAAGACTTAAAAGTCAAAGTGACTCCTTGACCCATGGACTGCAGCATAGATGTTGTGGTAGCTGGCACGAAGACAACATGAACCTCCTTGTACATCTCCATCAGAACTCTTAGGTGACCAGGTAACATTGTAATGGGCAGTAATATTTGGAAAGAAATTTGAGCAGGTCTCAACCATAGGCTTAAATATTCAATAAACCATGCTATAAACAGATATGCTGTCATCTAGGCTTTGTTATTCCACTTCTAGAGCATAGGCAGAGTAGATTTAACATAATTCTTAAGGGCCTTAAGATTTTTGGACTGGTAAATAAACTCTGACTTCAACTTAAAGGCACCAACTACACTCGCTGGCATTGAACTTCTTCTCCCCAGCTATGAAGTCCTAGATGACATCTCTTCTAATAGAAGACCATTTCATCTTCACAAACTCAGTTGTTTAGTGTAGTCGCCTTCAGTGATCTTAGCTAGATCATCTGGACAACTTCCTGCTGTTGTTGTCCCTTGCACTCTGACGTTAATGGGGATAGTTTCATGAACCAACCTCTGCTTGCTTCCAGCTTTTCTTCTGTAGCATCCTCACCTCTCAGTCTTCGAAGAAAGAATTGAAGAATTAATTAGGCTTTGGCTTAAGGGAATGTTGTGGCTTGTTTAATCTATATAGACCACTCAGACTTTCTCCATCTCAGCAGTAAGGCTGTTTCACTTTCTTGTTTGCATGTTCACTGGAGTTAACACTTTCAAGAACTCTTCCTTTGCATAACTTGGCTAACTGGTGTAAGAGGCATGGCTTTCACCTGCCTGGGCTTTCAACATGCCTTCTTCACTAAGCTTTATTATCTGTAGCTTTTGATTTAAAGTGAGAGACATGTGACTCTTTTACTTGCACATTTACAGGCTACTGTAGGTTATTAATTGGCTTAATTTCGATATTGTTGTGTCTCAGGGAATAGGGAGGTCTAAGAAGAGGGAGAGACTGGAAACCGCTAGTTGGTGGAACAGTTAGAATATACACAAGATTTATCAATTAAGTTCACTGTCTTATACGGGCATGGTTTGCAGTACCCTAAAACAATTACAGTAGTAACAAAGATCACTGATCACAGACCACCATGACAGATACAAGAATAAAAACATTTGAAATACTCTAAGAGTTACCAAAATGTGACACTTACACAAAGTGAGCCCATGCTGGGAAAATGCCCCGATAGACTTGCTCTATGCAGGGTGGCCACAAGCCCTCAATTTGTAGAAAAGGCAGTATCTTTGAAGCACAATGAAGCAGAATGCAATAAAATGAGGTATACTTGTATTCTAATTTTCTGCCATGAAAAACTGTCTAGAGGGCAGTCTCCAACCCTAGGGACTAGATTGCTTTTGTTTTCATGCATGCCCTAAGGTCACAGAGATGGGGGATAACAGTATGATGGGAGATTCTGGTAGGGACTCAAACCTGATGGTGTTCAGTAGTTGCAGGTAGACTGCTGCTAAAAGTTGGACTTTCAATTTAGAATAAAATAATGGGTCAATGTATATTATGTACATTTTCTCCATTTCCTGAGTTTAGCTTTCAACAGTTAAGATACTTGCAACAGCAGAAGTAACACTACATAGTGTTACAGTGTACAAATCCCTTGTCATTTTTATTTTAAAATATATTTATTACCTCAGTCTCTGGCTATATTCACATAGCGCAAGGGCACAAGATCATCCCTTCTGTTTCTCTCTCTAAAGCTGAGTAGGTTCTGAGTGAACTGACAGGCTTGTTTTTTTTTTGCCCAGAATGCTAACCAGTCCTGACATGGAGGGCAAGTAAATTTAAAAATCTTAAATTAGAAATAAAGAATGATCTTAGGAAATTATAGGGTCATTCTGGTCCAGCAGTGTTTTATAACTGGCTTCCTTCTCTTACTAGTCACGGAAATTATTAGAGAGTGTTGCATTTTCCTAATACGGCCCTCCTCAGCACATGACATTTAAGTAAACAACTCTGTGTAAGAGGCAGTTATAATAGTTTATATAATATAAACTATCTGATACACATATCATCTGAAAGCCTGTATTTCTAACAAGTTGACTATGTGGAAGAATAGACTAGTTCGCAGGCCAGAAGATTATACCGTAGATTACACTGGTAAAGAGCAGAAATTGTTGACGCTTTAGTACCTAGCTGTCTTAAAGCATTTTTAAACATTTGCACATTACTAATAAAAAGTTTGAAGTTAACAAGAAATTTGACATAAAACTGAGTAAGCTGTAAATATTTCATATAGAAGATGTCTGACACCTGATAAATGTTACTTACCAAATAGAACTGAAAGTGAGATGATCAGAAAAAGATTGTCCTTGCCTCAAGCAAGCTTCTGAAGCCTAGGCAAGTTAGCTAGGTCCTTAATATGGGATTCTGGCATCCTGATTTTAATGTGCTCTGAAAACAAAGTGTGTGACTCATGAAATAAAGGACACTAAACCCCAAATTTGAAATTATGAAAACTTTAGGCCAAAGAGGTAAAATAAAAACAGCTGTTGGGAGTGAAAAATGGCTGTAGGAATTTAGTTACAAGTACTTCACAAAAACATTTTCATCACATTTACATAATATAGCATTACAATACAAAGCTGGCTGCTGTCCTGACCAAGCAAGTTCTCTTATCATCTAACAAAAATAATTTAGATACATTTCTTTGCATGGAATTGTCATATTTTTCCATTTTTGGTACAAAACATAGAAAAAAACATTGGCACATTATGTAGTGATAAGTCATTTTTTCCCCATGTACAAGTTCCAAGTATTCTGCATTCCAATTTGTATTGGAAAAAAGTAATTACTGATTCAATTAATTCAGTCTCTGTTTGTTTATACCTTTTAAAAATGCAGCATGAAGTACAGAGAAAGAAAAATGAAGTTTGTTTACGGAGTCTAATATTTATAATACATAGGAAGGATCAGCTGGTAAAAGAGAAAGGAAAATCTCGAGTCTGACTTTATGTAGATCACAGGGAGTTGTGAAAAGAGCAGTATAAAAATATGCACTTGTGCTTTAGAAGCTTTTAGCATACAATTAATAGCTTAAAATAGTATTTACTGCCTCCCCATATGCCTATTTTCTGATATATTTACACCACACAATTTTAACATTGTTAAAGCTAATGGCATGATTTCAAATATAGACTGGTTAAAAATATCTGAACCTTGAAACTTCCCCTATCCCCTCCCAAAATATTACGTATAGATGGTGCATGGCACAACATACTGCATGGGCTTACACCCAGAAAATTTGGATTTTAATAAAAATTTTAAACATGTATATAAACTTTTTTTTTTTTTTTTTAAGAAAAGCTTGTCCAAGGGCATTCAAATTTAATGGCTTTTATATAATACTTGGTGTAGTGCCTCGTGGCTGCCTCTGTGAGCCAGAAATAAAGGAAGCTCATGGATTCCCCAAAAATGAAATGCCACTTTTTCCCTCATCATGGATGACTTTGTTAAGATGAACCCCTTTTACAGGAAAGGGGTTACACAGGCTGCTGATACCAGTCTAGAGAGGGCACCCACCAGCCAAGGCTGTGTTCTAACTTAGGTGTCATACCATCGGCCAGAAGAACCATGTAGCCATAGAGGCTGTGAAGCTAACTAGTTTATCTGTAATTTGGTCCTAGTTGTTTCACTTATTTTATGTCGTTTTTTTTTTTTCTTAGATAAATCTGTTCAGATAAGCTCCTTATGAATCCTTCAGATCGATGTTCTTGAGGAAAACAGTCAAGCTAAACAGCAATGATGACTTTTATGGTAAAGGATGAGCTGATCACTAGCTAAGCTACTTAGTCACCATCCTGGGAGATGAGCTCACAGGCACCAAGGCTTTGCTTCCTGTGGCCTGCTAGTTACAGTGAACCAGCTCCATGGATTGACAAGGGTACACAGGATGACAGCAGAGCAAAGGAGTTTGCCAAGTATTTGTTCTGTCATTAAGTATTCAAAAGAACATATATTTTTCTTCATGGAACATAACTTTCTAAGAATGAAATTTGGGGACTTGAATGATTCAAGGTCAAATATTAAACATTAGCTCCTTCACCAATACCTGTCATTGTCATTAGAAAGGAAGGCCTCTCGTTTACGCTACTGTGATTCACAGTGTCCTTTGTCGGTCAAGAGGCCCCCTCTGTGGCTTGGCTTTAGCTGTCAGATGGAAGCCTCAAACTTTTGCACTTTAGGTCATCTAGTGTCTTCCAGTGTTTGTAGTTGTCAGCCAAATGTTGCATCAGGGCTGGCAGATGTGCAAAGGCTGCAAAGACAGAAAAGAATCAAAAGAAACCGGTGAACTTAGACCCCAGGAGCATTTATAAGCCTGGGGGTGTCTGGGACAAGTTTGGGATCAGAATTAGAGGAGGCACACCCTGGGCGAAGCATGAGGACAAGTCATTAAACACTAGTTTCTGAAATGCAAACAGGTCCTTTTTGAAAAGCTGCTTATCAGTGACATTATCAGAAGAACCTGTGATTCAGAGTAAACTAAATACATTTTGCATTCTTTCTAGAGTTTTCCTCCAACGACAGAAAAACACTGCAGTAAGCTTTGGCAGCGTGTCCTTTGAAGAGGCAGAGACTCGTTTATCCAGCTATCAAAAATCCATCAAGTCTTCTGCACACAAGCTTCTGTGCCAGCTGCTGGGGATGCAAAGAATGCACCCCACCCCACTTGGCCACAAAAAGCTGACAGCCACATTTTTAAAAATATATTTTGTTTACCTTTAGGCTCACCCTGTGTCACTAAAGATAATATTCGTAAAGTATAACAATTTTCTTTGGGTGACAAAACAGTAACTGTCTTACCATCCCAAGCATCAAACATGTCTGTTATGAAGTAGTCAATGAAAGAGATCTGAGACTTGGGGATGCTACAGGTATTCCGGTCAAACACTGGCATCACCACAGGTAGTCCCTGTCTCTTCTCTTCATCAGTCTGTAAGAAAAAACCACCACATAGGGCTGGAGGACATGCGAGACACTTTCACAGTAATATCCTGTTTCTCAGAACAACCCTGTGAAAATGGGTCATTATCCAGTTTTCTCAATGAAGAAATAGGCTCAGCAAGGTCCTCAGACTTACGTAAGTCAGCTGAGCTACACTGACTACACTCAGACCTTCCCACTCTCAAGCCTCTTTTTTTGTTTTTGAGACAGTGTCTCACTCTGTTGCCCAAGCTGTAGTACAGTGGTGCAGTCTCGGTTCACTGCAACCTCCGCCTCCCAGGTTCAAGCAATTCTTCTGCCTCAGCCTCCTGAGTAGCTGGGAATACAGGCACCTGTCACCACGTCCAGCTAATTTTTAGTAGAGAAGGGGTTTCACCATATTGGCCAAGCCAGTCTTGAACTCCTGACCTCAGATGATCTGCCTCCCTTGGCCTCCCAAAGTGCTGGGATTATAGGCACGAGCCACTGTGCCTGGCCCCAAGCCTCTTTCTATGTGATACCATAGCATCTCCTGACACATTGATCTCAGGGTACTTAGCCCCTTTTCTGGGATCTGCTTTTATCATTGCAAAGTCAAAGCTCTGTTCAATGTCATACAAACACAAATTCTCATACCAAAACTACTGACATTTACACTGAGAAGAAGCAATAGTGGGTAAAACTGCTAACACCTTAGCATGACTCAATGAACTAGCACCAAACTGTATTAATAGCCATAGTCATTATATTATTTGCTGCCACATGTTTGCACTTAAAAAAAGTTTCAGGCCAAGCCCAATGGCTCATGCCTGTAATCCCAGTGATATGGGAGGTCAAGGCAGGAGGTTCGCTTGGGGCCTGGAGTTTTGAGTCTGCATTGAGCCAGGACTGCCACTGCACTCCAGTTTGGGTTACAGAGTGAGATCTTGTCTCACATTAAAAACAAAAAACAAAAAACAAAAAAACAGAACCAGTTTCACTTGAGAATTACCTCTTTGAAGCAGTAAGAGTTATTAATTGTATTAAATCTTGACCTTCGAAGTACATGTCTCTGTAATATTCTGGATGATGAATGTGATGAAATGGGAGTACACGTACACTTGAACTGCATACCAAAATCTGCTGGTTGTCTTGTGGAAAGCACTTATGCACTTGAATTGAGCTGAACCAGCTGTTTTTATCCATGGACCATTATTTTCACTGGAAAGAATGACTGTCAAACTATGATTGTTCAAACTTGGGTATTAGCCTTGCAGCTTTTGAGGTGTGTGGAAATCTGAGTATTCTGCACATTAAACTAAGGCCATCATCATTCATTGAGCTGAGTATTAGGATCCGCATTTCCTGGTGGTGTATTAAGCCAGAAGGCCAGCTCAAAGGCTTCATTTGTAACTTTCATTTTTAGGTCACCCTGGCTTATGAACATTAGTACATTGCTTTTTGGGAAAAGGACACCTAAATAGGAAGCTTTTATCAAAAAACTTAAAAGCACATTTTTCTCATCCTCCATTCACACTGAGAACAACTAGGAGTAGTACGTCAGGTCCTCTCTCTGTGGGTCCGGGGAAGCCCATTGATGAGCAGCTTTTGGCTTGGCTTGCTCATTTCAGGTCAGTCGATCAAGCAGCCTTAAAATATCCACTGGTGTTCAAGGAGTCATTTGATCCTCACTCCCTTCCTGTTCTTCTCTCTGGAAAGCTCAGAACTACCTGTCCTACTTTTCTTCAATTCAGAGGCTCTCTTCCCAGAAAGCTGCAGTCTACTTACTGGATTTCATGAACAGACACTTCTCAAAAGACGACACACAAGCAGCCAATAAACATAAAAAAAAAAATGTCCAGGCTGGGTGCGGTGGCTCACGCCTGTAATCCTAGCACTTTGGGAGGCCAAGGCAGGCGGATTGCCTGAGCTCAGGAATTCGAGACCAGCCTGGGCAACACAGGGAAACCCCATCTCTACTAAAATACAAAAAATTAGCCGGGCATGGCAGTGTGCACCTGTAGTCCCAGCTACTTGGGAGGCTGAGGCAGAATTGCTCAAGCCTGGGAGGTGAGGGTTGCAGTGAGCTGAGGTCATGCCACTGCACTCCAGCCTGGGCAACAGAGCAAGACTGTCTCAAAAAAAAAAAAAAAAAAAAAAAAAAACTAAACAAAACAAAAGTCCAGCATCACTAATCAGACATGCAAATCAAAACCACAATGAGATACCATCTCAAACTAGTCAGAATGGCTATTAAAAAGTCAGAAAATAACAGATGTTGGCAAGGTTGTGGAGAAAAGAATGCTTATACACTGTTGGTGAGAAATAAATTAGATCAGCTAGCCCCTGTGGAAAGCAGTTCGGAGATTTCTCAAAGAACTAAAAATAGAAATTGCTATTCAACCCAGCCGTCCCATTACTGGGTATATACCCAAAGGAAAATAAATCATTCTACTGAAGAGACACCTGTACTTGCATGTTTATGACAGCACAATTCATGGTAGCAAAGACATGGAATCAACCCAGGTGCCCATCATTGGTGGACTGGATGAAGAAAATGTGGTGCATATACACCATGGAATACTATGCAGCCATAAAAAAGAATGAAATCATGTCATTTGCAGCAACATGGCTAGAGCTGGAGGCCATTATCCTAAAGTGAAGTAATAATAGAAACAAAACCAGATACTACATGTTCTTTCTTAGAAGTGGTAGCTAAACATTGGGTACACACAGTGGCAGAAACTGGAACAGTAGACACTGGAGACTTCAAAAGGAGGGAAGGGGGCAAGGGTTGAAAAACTACTTATTGGGTACTATGTTTACTACTTGAGCCATGGATCATTAGAAGCTCAAACCTCAGCATCAGCAATATACCCTTTTAACAAACCTGCACATGTACCCCCAAATCTTAAACATACTGGGCTCCTCTGCTGGTCACTCCCCTTCCCAGTCTTCCTAGGCATCATCTATTCTTTATCCTGCCCTTATTTATCCTGCCTCCACAGTACATTTCAGCCATGCAGACCCCACAAAATTCACTACTTGTGGCTGCTTGTTTGTCACCCACACACCCATCAGTGCTTAGAGTCTCTTCTCTGGAAGTAGGGCTGTTTTCACATGTCCATTTACAGTCTACTGCTTTCTAGATTTCTCTCCTTTAACTCTCTACACTGCTACAATTAAAGTGAACTACATATTGCTCTTCCCTTTTTATAAAAATTCTATTTCCCCTCCCTTTGTTAATTTTGCTCAGAATGCTTTGTTCTTCCAGAAAGTCTTTTCCTATTCCATTTCTGTAGCCCCCCTTTTATCTAGAAAAAAGTCTCTCTGAACGTCTGTAGCACTTAACATAAACTTCCTTGAGATACACTTCATTTTTTACTAACATGTGGACCTATCTACATCTCTCCCCTATTGGACTGGAACTCCCCGTGGCCGCGATGTCTTCACTAATGCCTGTGTTCCCATAACGCGCCATGTAGACACCCAGGAATAACCTAGTGAATGAATGGAAGATTTCTCGGTTTTTGTGCAAGTTCTGGATCCAGCAAACTGAAGATGAAAAGTTACTTCCAAAGGCTCAGTTTATCCCCCTTCTCAAGAGACTCTGGTTAGTGATCAGCCCCATCAGTCAGCTCCTGAAGGAACCAGAAGCCTACCCCAGGTGGGGGTAAGCTGCTTTCTTCCAGGGAGGAGTGGTTAACTAATTGGTAAAAAGTTACTCAGCTGGAGAATCCCCCAGGAGTTCCATGACCTAGTTCCCATTCCCAGAGGGGAAGTGGAGCTTCCCTGGAAAGATGGCGCACCTGTGCAAAATACTCCTCAGAGATCCTCCCAGCCCATTCAATGCACAGGTCCAAGGGGCGGCATGGGTTGGCCACGTCAGCACACTTAATCATCATGCGTTTGATCAGGATTTGGTTTTCAGGGAAGTTCTTCCCAGCAGGGTTGCATTCACAGTCGCTGCCTTCAATCTGGAAAACAGATGGTCAGATCAGGCTTGGTTCAAGATGACGGTGAAGCCCACAAGGGTTAATTCGCCAGGCATTCGATGGTGATCACCGAGCACACAGGTAGGACTGGGACTCGGCGAAGGCAGCTTTTCCTTTTTTAAATTCCATATATAATATACTGACACATTCTTTAAAAAAAGAATATACTGATACAGTCTTAAAAGACACTCAGCAATACACACACACACAGAGTTTGAAAGTTGAAAGTCCCTGTCACCACCTGTCTACCCCTCACATCCATTTTCTTCCCTAGAGGTAACTGCTACAGCAGTTTTGTTTTTATTTTGAGCAATTTGATATGTAATCTTAGAGGAAATTTCTCCCAGTTTTTTTAAAAAAATGTGTAAAAGCAGAGCTTTTAGCTACTTTAATGCATTTCAGGTAGGGCAGTGGCACATACATGTAACCCTTCAATTATTTCTTGATTTCTACTACTTATGCCTACCATCTCCCTCCCTCCTATGACCTGTCCCACCCCCAACTCACCCAACTCTCTCGCACTTTGGTTCTCCTAAGGCATGTGTCCACTCATGTTTTCTTGGCTGTTCTTCTGACTGGCTGGTAAGTGAGCCAGGTAGGCGTGGGGTCCTTGGAGTAGGAAGTAGTCAGGAGCAGGTGTGTTCAGCCATGTTTAGAAAGACTGGTCCACACCTAGTGGTGATGTCAGTGTCCTGAGCCATGTGGCCAGGACACGAGTTGGTACACACATCACAGGCCATTTACATAGAACCTGAAAGATTGTTATTCTCCACTTTTAAAGACACCATCAAATTGATTGTGTAAAAACAATTAGGTCTCCAGAGCTCTGCCAAGCCAAAAGGCTGCATGACATTTGGGGGGTTTAAGACTGGACCTATTTATTAGACTATCAATGGGCAGAATATGTTCTGGAGGTTTTTGATTACTTATCAAAGTAATACTGTTTACTATAAATACTGCAGTTAATAGTAAGTTGCAGTGCAGAGGTGGGGGCTTACATGAGTGGATGACCTTCCTAGTTCTATGAATCTCTATACTTTTCCTTCTCTAAATCCCCAGATCCTTGCTCCTGTAAGTCTTCTGTGGAAGGAGAGGGCTCTGGTGTTGTGCTGTGGAATCCCTGGGGGAAGGAGCTTAAATAGGTGAGGTAGACACTGTCACTCCATCCAGACTGGTCATGGGATGGGTCCTACACAGTTCATCTCCTTACTGAGCAAGTTACTCATGATGATCATTCACATCCATCCAGTTTGCCAACCTCTGCCGCTCAACAGGAATGAGCGGAAAGCTTTTCTACCTTTATGGGGTTATGAACAGCTTCATGGCTTCAGAGAACAGTGGATCTTATTAGGTGTGAACCTTCTGTTTCATGTTCCTAAAAGCCAAATTGGTAAGGACCTTAAGGCAGGTCCAAGGTACATGAGTAGGTTTTAAAAAAGGAAAACACAATAAATGCTTCTGCTTTCCAGTCACTCCCAGTTTTATGATAGTCTTCAGGTACTGGTATGCTTTTAATGTGAATCAGGAACATTCTTTGTTTTTTAAAACACCTTCCAACTTTGAGGTTTTCCAAGAGCTCAGTGAACAGAGAAGTAAAGGCTTTGGATTCTCTAAAATACCACCATTTATGCCAGTCTCTGTTCGTCTGCGTCTCCTTCCATATTCTTTGGGCCAAGCTTTTCTGGTCAGTACTGGCTTTTTCTCAGGGCCTTTCTTTCAAGGAGCTCAGAGTTGCTGTGGACACAGTTTATTTTCATCCCCAAGGAAAACAAGTGGCCAGTCCTTTCAGCCCTTTATCAACTCCAAGTAAATAACCACCTTACATTTGAGTGGGAGAGAAAATGCTTCAGGGCCAGAGCAGGCTCTTATGGAAATGTACTTGGATGTGCCTTATGGCATGGAAAGCAGTACTCACCTCAGCTGCCATTGGCTTGTTGATGCTGTTCACAAACTTATTCACATGTTCAAAGTGTTTTGTCATCTCTGTTGCCAAAACCATGTCAATAATAGCCTGGCGCAGCGTTCGATAATGGTTCCTAAAATAACCACAAGACAAAGGGGCTTGTTCACAGCGTGTCTCAAATTATAACTATTCTGCCACCATTTCACTACACTCCTCACAACCTAGGAGGAAGCTGGGGCACAGAGTTAAGAAATGTGTGCAGATCACAAGAAGAGCTCGTCCTCCCAGTAAGCAAGACTTGCAGATGCTATTCCATTTTCCCCAGTGATAGCTGACCCTTATGTGATTTATGAGTATTTTAAAAAAGAGAGAAGGTACCTGTCACATGGTGGACGTTTATCTGACAAGGTGATTCCCCTCTCCCTTCCCTTGAGAACATCAAAACAGTAAGGTGGCAGGAAATGGCAGGCTGGCACGGCAGCCACATAAGCTGGCCCACTGCACTCTGTGCAAACACAGGGATTCCCATTGCACAGGATGGCCACAGCCTCTTTCAATGATGGCATTGGAAGACTTTCCTGTTAATAAGTAATTCTCTAGACTGCAGCAGATAGAAATTGTAATGAATGAAGCAACAACCCTGCCCCAAATTAACCATCCAATTCTGTCGTCGTTTTCTAACTTCAAGAGCCAGAATGGCTCTTGAATAAAATTGGCTACTGGAAAGAATTTTTTCTGCAAAAGTTTAAAAACCCATCCTCGATACTGATGAAGCTGAAGCCAAAGCTGGAATAACTCATCTCCATGTTTTCCCAGTTTTCTGGAGACCAAACCAATAGGTTCACATAGACCAGCATTCCTGAGGCCCGAGTGAGCTCCATGTTCTCTGTACACTGCCCCCTTCCCAGGCATCTGTGCACCAGCCTGGCTGGTGCTGTGTGGGAAATACCCACAAGCCTGACTGCAAGGTGCTGGGAGGCAAGAGGACCTGCTCACATCTAACCCACTCTCATCAGAGAATGCGGGGCTGGGGTAACCTGCCCCACCCTTCGTGCTCCCGCTCTGTGGGACCTACTCATGAGGGAGTATTTTAAGCGGCCGGAAATTGAGCTAGGGAAAAATGGGGGTGGATACATTTTCCTCGAGTTACACAAAAGACAGGATGTCCTCGTAGGAGGGTAAAAATATCTGGTGTACTTAGTAATAGTACAATCAATATTTATGTAGTGTTCTGCAGTGTATAAAACATTTTTATGAACTCACTGAAGACCAAATGAGATTTCAAAACATAAAGGCAGTCTGAAAAGTCAAATTAAGTTAAGGGCAAGGTTATTTTATCATCTGGTACAGTGGGACAGCTAATATTTTCCCTTTCCCCTAAGAGGAAGCTAAGTATTTGGGAAAACCACTTAAACTTCACAAACTTGAGCACAGGAGCCCCAGCACAACAAACCTGTCAATATTCTTGAAAATGTTGCATTTGGTGTCCTTGACCGTGAGCTGGAAGGCCAGGGCGGTGTGGTGACTCTCCAGAACAGCAGTGTCATTGTAGAGCACAGCAAGCTCACTGCCTGCATTGCAGAGGAAAGAGTTGGTCCTTCCCGGGTGATCCACGTCATGGACTGTGGCAGCAATGAGGGCTGCCACCTCATCCAACTGATCGAGGCTTCCCTGGGATATGGGGAGGCAAGGTTGAGCATTACCCACTGGATCTTGGAGACCCACATCCATCCTTGTCTGTGCGGAGGGTCGGGTCAGGGGATTTGAGATTTTCAGAACGTTTTTAGCCAGCTGAGCCTTCTGACCTAGATGTGGAGAGGCGGCCTCGGACATGCAGCATCGCTTTACTGTGCTGTCTGTTATCTGGAGGGCAACCTGAGCCACAGTTACAGCAGACGCTTAATTCATTCTCCAGGGGCCATCAGCTGCAGGAAGAGGCCAAACAAGCCTTTTGAATTGCCCACTGTATGGTATTTCTGCCACAGCAGAAAGTGGCCTGTGATCACAACTATTACCAATTTGCCTAGCTCTGAAAAGATTTTGAGTGTGCTGGTAGCAAATGGCTCAGATACAACAAAACTATTCATACAATGGTGAAATGACTAGAGCTGTAGAAGAGTAAAAGAGTACCAGGTAAAAGAGGACCAAGCAGTAAAAGAAGACCAAGGGAAAGAATAACTTTGCCAGGAAAATTAAGGCTAAAGGGGTTCTTGCAAATAAGAACAAAATTCAGCTCTGGGCTAGCAGGCAGCAAAGGCAAAAAGGGAAACCCTAATTCGAAAGCTCTCATTATGTAATTAAAGAAACAAACCAGAGCATCCGGGGATACAAGTGTTTTCTGAGCCTGCAGCTTTAGGAGTTATCAGATGGGCTACTGTTATATAAGAGATGTTGTGCTAGGAATTTATTATTTATTGAGTGCCTACCAGGTACCAATTATCACTGCATAGTGCCAGAGCTGCCATGATGATTTACACTGGCACAGTCTGCACAATGGAGTTTGTAATGTAGAGGGAGAGAGACAAATACATTTAAAAACACAAACGGAAGTAACTTGCTGTGAGACGTGCTAAGAAGGAAAGTACAGATGCTTTGGGAGTATAACCATGGGACCTGGTCTAGTTTAGGGCAGCACTGTCCAATGTATTTTTTGCCATGACAGGAATGCGTTCTATTTGTGCTATCTGATAAAGTAACTCCTAGTTGCATGCAGCTACTGGACACTTGAAAGGTAGCCAGTGCAACTGACGAACTGCATTTTAAATTTTATTTAGTAGCCATGCGAGGCTGATGGCTACCATATCGGATAACATGGATTTCGAGGGTGGTCACTTCCAAGGAAGTGATTTTTCTGCTGAGCCTGAAGGAGAAGCAGGAATTGTCCAGGCAACAAGCAGCAAGAGGGCAATTCCAGGCAGAAAGAACAGCCTGCATGACGTTCCTGAAGTCAAACAAAAAAGGTCTGTTCAGGAAACGTAAGCGACATCACTGTGGCTGAAGGGATAGTGAGAGGGAAAGTGGTCCCCAAGATGTTGGGGGTGGGGAGGTCATCATTTTTGGTATTCCCAGAATTTGCTCTCCTAGGCCTGCAGGAGGAAGAGCTGCTACTCAGGTGAGGAAGGTGAACCTGTAGCTCAGCCCTGTCCTGCAACGGCACCCTGATGGCCAAGGGGCTGCACTTGCTTGTGCTGGTTTAGCAGGCTTCCCTGAAAGCTCTGTCTCCACCAGAAGGGAGTCATTTCCATTCCCAACGCTGACCCCATGGAGCTGGTGAGCAACCCTGGGGTGACCCCAATCAACACAACTAGGCTTCCTGAATAGGGACAGCAGAAGTTACTCTTCTCAGCTGTTCTCAGAGATTGATTCTGCAGTGCCCAGGGCAAGCAAGCATCATTTGGCCCATTTCACTGCTGGTCAGGAGAGGCCACGGTCACCTGCAGGCACGTTCAGCGATCTCCAAGCTCAGGACCCAGGACAGCCCCAACCTGGGCTCCACCTTCACTGACTGTACCTGAGCAGTGAGAACCCACGGGGCCCAAACTCTGGGCCTCCAGCTAGTGCCACTGTGGTATGTTCAATCCTGCTTGGAGTCTCAGGCCTGTTTATTTTTTAATTCTTCAATGAAATAGATTCAAGTAACTGGGGTAGAAAACATAAATAGCACTAGATGAAACATGCCTTTCCTTCCAGCTAACACTGATTTAAACCATGCCCTCAGTGACTTACAAAGATACCAATAATGGGTCCTGCAGTTTAGGTGGGCACCAACAAGGCCTTGTCAGACCAGAAATGGCTGGGAGGTAGGGAAGGAAGACAGGCTAGCTCACTAGCAGAGGAGAGTAGCAAGGCCCTACGTCGAGGAGGAAATGTCCATGGAAGAAAACCCCACCAAACCCGCAACTGGCGAAATTCCAGTCCCGTGGAGGTGCAGTTACCTCTGCATAGTTTTTTCCCTCTTTAACCAGTAGGAGTAGATCTGGATCACACTGAGGAAAGGGTTTCATTCTAGATCTGTCTTTCAAATAGTTTCTTATTCAGGATAAATATTCATGTATGCTCAGATACTAATAAAGGAATGCTTGTTATCCTGGCTTCTCCACTTGCACTAGTTCCCTGGAATTGGGTAACATGGGGAGAGGATGGGGTCTGTCACCAACTGAAGGGGCTGTTAGCTCTGGGCATGCTAGCTCTACAGCTGGGTTGGGCATGCTTTGTCATAGTGACATTAAGAATTTTAGCCTGGCTGGAAGCAGTGGCTCACACCTGTAATCCCAGCAGTTTGGGAGGTCGAGGTGGGTGGATTATCTGAGGTCAGGAGTTCGAGATGAGCCTGACCAACATGGTGAAACCCCATCTCTACTAAACATACAAAAATTAGCCTGGGCTTGGTGGCATGTGCCTGCAATCCCAGCTACTCGGGAGGCTGAGGCAGGAGAATCGCTTGAACCTGGGAGGCAGAGGTTGCAGTGAGCCAAGATCATGCCATTGCACTCCAACCTGGGTGACAGAGTGAGACTTCATCTCAAAAAAAAAAAAAAAAAAAAAAAATTTTAGCTTATCACAAAGAAATTAGGGGTGACAGATGACACAAGAGAAGTAAGAAAATACTTCCTGACCCTCTTTGTCAGTGCCAGCAGATCTGGTAGAAGAGGCCTCAGGAGTAAATCTTTCTGGAAGCACCTCATGATGGACCCACCAGTGATCACAGGCAGGTAACCAAACCTCTGAGCCCAGAAACCCCTTCCAGCTCAGTTCTCCAAGCTTCCTCGCAGCTCTAAGTTTTCTGGTTCTCTGGCAGGGGCTGCCAGCATGAGAAAATGTTTTTTGAATTGTAAACATATTCTGTCCAATCTTAAACTTGTTTCTATTGCTGTCATTTGAGAAATCTAATCAGACTCCAAATACACTAGCAGAACTCACAATTTAAAGAAATATATTTTGGAGGAGGATAGTAAGATATGATCAAGTTACTAAGCATTCCCTAATTTATCAAAAATTTAATCAATGTTTTCCTAGAGTGGTTCCGCTTGAGTGAGGTTCACCTCTAACTCAAGACTGCAGAGGCTATTGATCACCTTGGTCTTGGCATTAATGAATTGGGTGCTGTTCTCAACTGGTAGCATGTGGCTTCAGCTGTGAAACATCATGTGGTATAAAAGAAAGGAGCATAGGCCGGGCGCAGTGGCTCACACCTGTAATCTCAGCACTTTGGGAGGTTGAGGCGGGTGGATCACGAGGTCAGGAGATTGAGACCATCCTGGCCAACATGGTGAAACCCTGTCTCTACTAAAAATACAAAAAAAAAAAAAAAATCGGCTGGGCATGGTGGCCTACGCCTGTAGTCCCAGCTACTCAGGAGGCTGAGGCAGGAGAACTGTTGGAACCTGGGAGGTGGAGTTTGCAGTGAGCTGAGATCGTGCCACTGCACTCCAGCCTGGGCAACAGTGCAAGACTCCATCTCAAAAAAATAAAAAAATTTTAAAAAAGAGGAGCATGAACCTGTAGTAGGAATCCAGGGTGTTTTTGCTCCTCAAAGAAAGGTGTTATAGAAACATAGGTTGATATCACTATTAGTTTTCTAAAAGTAGAAGACAAAATTATTCAAAAGCATCATTCTTGGGCCACATTGTTTCCTTGCTGATGAAAGTGAATAAATATCAGGATGCTGTTGGCAAAACTGAGAAGAAAACCTTACCCACATACCCCCTTACTGTTTTCCTGCCATTTCTGCTTCTACCTGTCTCACTATAGCTCTTAAGTACCTAGGACCTTAATCCCTCAATACCTGGTTCTAAGAAAATGATCTAATGTCAGGCATTTACAGATAGATGTGAATTTCAATCCCCATATGGCACTTCTCCCAGGGGTATTTAAAATTTAAGTTTTAGTTCTAGTTGTAGCAAAAGAATGTATAAGCTTTGGTGTGCAAGTGATGGTAGCTGGGGAGGAGGAGAGATGGGGATCTCTTGCCAGCTTTAAATAGGGCTGCCCTTATGTAAAGGGCAAGGGGTTCCTAGGGCTGCCCTACAAATCAGCAGTGGTACATGACAGTATTGAACTGTAAGACTAAGGGATATGGAACTCTTTCAGAATTATGCAAAAGTCATTAATATAAAGATAGGCACGTTCATACCTACACAAAACACAAACATAAATATATGTAAAACAGTGTAGAATGCGGAATGGCTATTATTAATATCTGGACTGTAATCTACCAATGGCCAAATCCTGATACTAAAATTTAACCTATAGATCTAGTAACCATTTGCTGTAATAATTAAGTTCTGTCCTGCAACCCCGTAACACAGCTCCTAGCTAACATTTGGAAAATGGGTTCATGATCTGCCATGCATATAAAGGAGTCTCTATGGTGATATAATTATTTTAAGTATTTGGAGGAGGGGAGGGCTGGCAGAAAGGTCCATGTCTTTACAACACCAAAGTGACTAGTCAATTTGGTAACAAAATTTTTTTTTAAAAAAGCTGTCAACTTGGTTGCAAAATAGCTGTTTGCCTAATGTATTTACTAAGATTAAGTTCTTGGATCTCCAATCCAGGCAGGTAACTAGGTCATGATATCAAAATCCTACCTTTACTCTTTCCTTTCCAAGAAAGAAAGCGGTGGCGTGCAGGACGTCGGCAGCATGGGTGGAGTTGTGGTAGGCATTGGAAGAGTGGTAGTTGGCTTCGATCACTTGGAACCAGGCCCGAAGAGTGGTTTCAGAACAGTTTAAAAATTCACATACTCCAAACCGAGAGAAGACCTTTAAGCCCAGATAAACCAATGGCCTGAAAAATAGGAAAACCCACCCTGGCTCATTGTATTCACTGGCCCAGAAACTGTTTTCTTTGATGATAGTGGGGCATGGAAGCATTTTTCTTCTGATGATAGCTTCACACACACAGGGGTTTAAAAGCATCTCCTCTAAAAATTAGGAGGTAGGATCTCTCCTTCTCACCAGTCACCTCTTTGGAACTAGATGCTTCATGGTAGTACATCCAAATTATTTCTAGATGAACTCTAAATCATAGGCCCCTCAGTGGCTCTGACAACCTAGAAATGAGCCTGGCAGTCCCTCTCCATCCCCACTTCCACATTAACCTTGCACTTTATTTATGTTCCCTAAGGAAGTGACTAAGCCTAAGGACAAAAAAAAACAGCTTGGATGGTCCCAAAGTCCTATCATTTAGAGTCCTGTTACTTATTTACGTTACAGGTGAGAATCTTTCATATCCAACAGACCAACACCTCTGGGAAGAAACAGCCTTCTCCTAGTATAGAAAAAGACCTTTCAGTTATCTAATCTTTCCTCTGCCTACAGGATGGATCAGAAAAAAAAAAAAAATCTATAGTGCTCTCAATTCCATTCTGTAGGGTAGAGCTTCGACAAGTTTGAGGATTCTTAGAACTCTTGGCTCACTAGCACAAAGGAGGGAGCTGTGGATACCCAGGCAGATCCCACATCTTACTAATACTCTCCACAAAGGATCTCACTCAGGGGCCATAGTCTCTCTGCTCATTCAACACTACTCTAACATGGCATGAGAGCCAGAACCCGTGAGGTCTCTCACAGCAAAAACATGTCTCCCTCAAAGTTTCCAAATGTGAGAGTTTGAGCATGGCCATCAATCCTGCTCTGCCTTCAGCCAGAGAAGTCACATACCTTTTATGCGTAATGGCTTCCAATTCAAAGATGTTGAAGTCCCAACTCTCCTCATTATCAAGTAATTGAGAGATACAAGGGGGAACATCATTGATGGTTATTGGCATTGCAAGGTGACTGTGACTCTGGTGCACATCTGAGCAAACAGATGGGATGGGGGAGGCTGGTTAATTGTGGAATCTTGAGTGCCCGGGTGTCTGTCATCATCTTCATAGTTACTACTAGAAAAAAAGTCTTGTACCTGATTTTTCTGTTATTGAACTTCAAGACCCTCAAATAGAAAAATAATTCACTTTAACTCTGTTTAAATGTATAGAGATTTGCAATTCTTACTCTAACTGTGCTCAGAGAAGTAATTTTAATTAGGAGACTAGTTTTAAATGTAGACCATATTGATGCTTAAACTCAAATGGGACTAGCTGGAAGTAACACCTCCCAGAACAATAATCGCAACAGCGGGGACAGCACAGGCTGGAGACAGGTTACACTAACAAGTAAATAGATGAAAACTTACTCTTAGTAAACACATACTCGTTTCCTGACAGTCTTCTCAAGCCGTCCTGGAATAAAGGAAGAGCCTGTTAGAAGCATGCTTTATATCTATTATCATTCTCTTTTTTTTTTTATTATTAGTGAAAGAGATTTGAATCCTGAATAACCCAACCAATCTGGAAGTCTAAGTTGAAGCAAAGCTCAAAATTAAATCACAACAGTTATAAGACAGATGATACTCTCCCTTCTGTAACTATTAGCCCCAGAACGTGGAGAACTGGGATAGAGTGGATGTGACTGTGTCAGGACTCACAGTGAGCTGTGGGTTGGCTCTGTTCTGAGGCCATCTTCCTCTCCTGGCATTTTCAAGCTACACAGGTGAAATCACAGGAGTGACCTTGCTTCAGATCTTGACGGGATCCCCCTCACCCTCAGAGGGACTGTGTTAATTGTGTTTTTGACTTACATTTTGAAGAGTTGAAGCCATCAGCCATATTTAGGGGATTACCTTCTAATATAAAGTTTTAAAAAGATTGAGCTATTTTTTGACTAATATCCCAACTAATTTTTCCCCAACTGTATTTTATGTTTTGAAACATGAGCATTGCTGCTTGCCTTTTAAAGAAGAGTTTCTGGGCTTGAGGTCCTTGGAGATGCAGCGTTAAGAGAGTGGACGAAATTCCAATGCTTGGCCATATCCTGGCTCTTGAACTAGTCCCCAAGTGTTCCTGAATCTCAGTTTCCTTCCCTCCACCTTTGATCTCTGAGTACCTCAATCATCTAGATCTTTGCTTAAAAGTCATTTAGAAATGCACACCAACATGGCACATGTATACATATGTAACAAACCTGCACGTTGTGCACATGTACCCTAAAACTTAAAGTATAATAATAATAAAATTAAATTTAAAAAAAAAGAAATGCTTATTTGTCATTCCCAGACGATGTGTGCTAAGGTTTAAAGTAGTATTAATTAATGAAGGACTCCCCTGAAGTTACAT
Source organism: Homo sapiens (assembly GCF_000001405.40). Taxonomy (NCBI): domain Eukaryota; kingdom Metazoa; phylum Chordata; class Mammalia; order Primates; family Hominidae; genus Homo; species Homo sapiens. Next base: position 77,410,742 of record NC_000005.10, on the reverse strand, counting down.
GTTGGATCTTTAGGCCAAGAGCTTAATTTTAAAAACTGAGTAAATACAGAAGTAACAACAGCCACAATTGTCCTGCCTGTAACGTGTGTATGGCAAGAGATTCTTGGTTTTACTTGCTCTTCTCTCGCTCCGCTTCCCCAAAACCACATAAAATTGAGGTGGAATCACTCACTGGTTCCTCACAGCATTCTCTGGAGAGGAAACCCACGATGGTATGGCAGTGAGGTAGGAGAAGGGACTCGGACATGGGGCCAAATTGAGGACTAGGTAGAACAGGGCAGAAGCACCTCCCCATAAGCTATGCCCACCAGCATGCCACGGCAGTTTACCGTTGCCATGACAACATCCAGACCTTTCCACCCTTTCCATGGTAACAACCCAGAAGTTACCACCCTCATTCTAGAAATATCTGCAAAAACTGCCCCTTCATTTGCATGTAATGAAAAGTAGGTATAAAGATGAGTGCAGTGCTGCCTCTGAGCTGCTACCAGGGGCACACTGCCCATGGGGTAGCCCCGCTCTGCAAGCAGCAGTCCCTCTGCCACTGCAGTACAACTGCTGCTTCAATAGAAGTTGCTGTTTAACACCACCAGCTTGCCCTTGAATTATTTCCTGGGCGAGGCCAAGAACCCTCCCGGGCTGAGCCCCAGTTTGGGGACTTGCCTGTCCTGCATCAGCAGCAGGGGAGGGAGGGAACATGGCTTGCTCCCAGAACCAGACCCCTCCCACTGCAGCTCTGCGGTGGCCACCTTCTTGCAGAGCCCTTGGCAGTGCTGCCTAGAAGCTGAGGTCTGCACTGCATTAGATGGAGTTAACAGGCCAGCCCAGGGGCAAGAAAGAAACAAGAAGGCCCTCAAGTTCCAGGTGGAGAATGGAGGGGAAAGGCAGTCAACATTCAGCATTTGGCTGCAGGGCTGGACAGAAACCTTCAAAGTCAAACTCATACATGACTTCTGGACTTTTTTTCTAAAGAATTCCAGCTTCAGACTCTGATGGGGAACTCAAATAAACAATTTGAATTTTTTTCCTTTTCTTTACTTGCTGATAGATAATTATGAAAGCCAAATAGATCACAGCAAAACACCAGAATAGGTTGAGTCCCTAGAAACCAGCTACTCTTGGTGGTGTAAATGGTTCTTTTTGGAATGTGGCAGTGAGAGGTTCCTTCTCCCCTTCCCCTCCCTGAGCCAGAACAGCCCCAGTCTGCTTTTACCTTATAAATGGAACTTCTATACAAACTTTAAATAAAGGATTCTATAGTTAAGATTAAATGCTATAGTCTAACAATAAACCCTTTCATTACATGAGGAATCTGAGGTCCATGGAAATGAAATCCAATACTATACCAGATCAAGGGAAAGCAGGAATAATCAAGAGCCTGCAAAGCCCCATCTTGCACATTGAGCCCTCCATCAGTTGCCCAATGACTCCCTGCAGTCATAGGAATTCTGAAACACTGTCCCCATGGCTATGGTAGGCCAGCCTCATGGAAAGACAAATGCAAGAGTCACTCAAATACCACTGCACATGTTATACATAAATTCTGACGCAGTTGCTTCTGGTTATGCTAACGTTAGTCTATATAACAGGTACTTCTGCAACCACAGGTAACAGTTTCCACATCAGCTGCACTCTAGAGGCCCCGGATACCTCTCTTGCTTTTCAGGTTTTGCCTCATCACTCACAGTCATCAGGCCTCCAACAAGATCACTGGTGTGGGGATCTTCATCTTTGGTACCCAGCTGAGGGGAGTACAGTTCTGTGGTCCGTAAAATCTCTAGAACTCTGTCCAAGGCTTCCGCTACTGTGACTGGGCTGTTTTCTTGGGCTGCATTGATTATATTTATAACCTAACGGAGTGAAGAAAGAATACATCTGAGGATAATAGGGTTCTACTTCCCAAAAGTCATATATATGCCCAGAATCCAAAAGAAATCAGTGGGTAACCATCTCTTATTCAAAATGACCAGTGCTTTCACGGCACCGCCCTTCTTCCTGAAGCATGCTTTTCTCCCTGCGGGCTCCTGGTGAATGTTCTCCTGTCTCAGTGAGTAGGCTTCCTCAGGCTCCCTTGCAGATTCACCTCCCCTGGCCCTCCTCTACAGATTGGAGTTGCTCAGAGATCTGTTCTGGGCCCCTCTCTCACTCTCTCGCTTCCAGAAATGATATTTTGTCTCCACGACTTTGGACACCTATAGCTAGGGACTTTCGATATACCTCCCAGCCCTCAACTTCCTTTGACCTCCAGGCTTGTACATTCAATTCCCTACCTGACATACCTACTGGAATATCTCACAGGTCTAACACTAAACTGCAGTCTTGTTCCCCTCTCTCCATAGAAATCACATAAACACACACAACAAAAAAATCAAAGACAAAAGCTGTTCACCTTCTGTGGTTTCTACACTGCAAAAGAAAGCACTTCTATCTCATGTCATTTTCTATCAAGAAAGCACTTCATGCTCACACCAAAAACCTGGGAGGGCCATGCCTGACATAATACTTTTCCTCATTCCTCTCCCTACCCTGGCAATATAATTCATCACCAAGTCCTATTGGTCTGCCTCAAAATATTTCTTGATCTATTCATTTCTCTCCACCTCCACAGCTATAATTCTAGCTCAGCTACTTCTAGAATAGCCCCCTAACTGACCTGTTCTCTTGCCACCTCCAATCGATTCTCTGCACAGAAGCTGGGTGTTCTTTTCAACAAACATATCTGGTCACATCACCCACCCCACACCTGAAACTCTTCAGTGGTTTCCAGTGCACATAAACTAAGATACAAACTCCTAACTATGTCCCTGCTGTCCAGAATGAGCTGAGCCCTGTACAACCTACATCCTCCTCCTCTCTCACCTGCTTACCAAGCTCCGGCCACTCCGACTTTCTTTCAGCTCCTTAAATGTTCCAGTCCCTCTTCGCCCATTGCAATGCTTTTTCCCTGGCTGTTCCTGCTACCCGGAGTCTTCTCTTCCTTCTTCTCCTGAGTAACATCTTATGCTTCAAGACTTGCTTCAAACATGACTGAGAGTTTCCCTGACCACCCTCTCTTCCAACCTACTTAAGGGCCCTACTCTAATTTTCTCTCACAGAACCCGCTTGTTTTCCTTCACTGCCCTGATTGTGACTTAGGATGAGGTGTTTATTTGCTATGTGTTTATTTGCCTGTTATTTGCTTCTTCCACTAGACTGAGCTCCATGATGTCAGTGTGATGTATTTTCAGAGCACGGCCCTGTGTGAGGGCCCCTGACTGCAGAGTGCAGGCAGCAGCCGCCACTCACCTTTGTGATGGGAGCCTCGATGGTCATGGAGTGGATCCTCGCCATGGACGGATAGCGACGATTCTGCAGGCTTGGTGCTGGAGAGAAGGCAAGAAAGCTGTGTCCAGTTCCGGTGGCTCAGTGTGGCTAAGTGCAGCAAAGGAGTCCCTTCATGGACCAGGGCCCGCTTCTCACAGGGCCACCCTCCCACCTAAAAAGCCATGAATTCACCCATCTCTTCTGCCAAGGCTGGTAGCCCAACTGCTACTTGCCTGAGTCTGGAAAGGCGATCTGGCCTGGAACTTTGGAGGCAGGAGGGCTTGCTGAGCCCCAAGTCCACAAGGGGAATTTCAGAGAAGGTTGATGAGGTCCAAAAAGGCCTCATTCCAACAGCTTAATGACCCCCACACGGCTCACTTTCCCCCAAGTCACCCAAACCCAACTTTTGCAGTTCCATGACTTTCAGTCCTAAGCTGCTGGCCGTGTAACCAGATGACTGTGCAGCCAGCTTGAGAGGGGAGGCAGTTCATGGTTAGGGTCAGGGCGGAGGATTGAGCCCATTCTCAGTCTGAATTAGGGCCAGTCACTCCGCCTGCCCATGCCTTTAGGCTCTTAACTCCCAGAAACCCATGGAAGTTCTAGTTCAAATCTACAGAAGCTTTCATTTTTTAAAAAATCTTTTATTTTTCTACATAGTTAATGTTTATACTTGGTTTAAGATGCCAAGGGTAGAAGCTTGACTTGAAAAGCACTGTTCTCATCAGATCTTCCTACCACCCCCTCTGAGGCAGGCAGGAGGGGGAGTCCCATTTCATGGATGGGATCACTGAACCCACCCCACATCAGAGCCTGCCTCCTGCTCAGCCACCTCTGGGGTCCCCCCGCTGCTAGTGCAGCAGCCATTGCAGACCTGCATGCTCTTCAGCCTCCACTGTGCCCGTACTGGAAAGAAGACAGTCCCCTTCAAGTTCTGCTCCAAAAACAGTGAATCCAGTTCAAATTCCCTCATCCCTTATCCTCTCAGACTAAAATATTCTATCTATCCGCTCAATCCATCTCAAAAATCTCTCGATTCATATTCTCTTTATATTATTGGTTACTGTCCCTCACATGCCCTGTGAATTATCATCTTGTCTCTAGCATCTTTGGTTCTTGCTATGTCAGCCACTTTTTAAATTTTTTTTATTTTTATTTTTATTTTGAGATGGAGTTTCGCTCTTGTTGCCCAGGCTGGAGGCACGATCTAGCTCACCACAACCTCCGCCTCCTGGGTTCAAGCGAATCCCATGCCTCAGCCTCCTGAGTAGCTGGGATTAAGGCATGCGTCATCACACCCAGCTAATTTTGTATTTTTAGTAGAGAGGGGGTTTCACCATGTTGATCAGGCTGGCCTCGAACTCCTGACCTCAGGTGATCCGCCTGCCTCAGCCTCCCAAACTGCTGGGATCACAGGCATGAGCCATCGCACCTGGCCTATGTCAGCCACTTTCATACTCAGTCTTCCTACTGTGTACAGAAGGACTGGAAAGTCCCTCCCTTGTCCTTTCTGTTGACTCTCTTAAGTTACCAGCCTCATCTCTCTTTTCTATCACAGGCACTAACCATCCCCTCCTCACACCCCAGAACGTGTCCTCCCATTTGCCAAATAAAAATCAAATGAGCGAGTGAAATCTACTAGTCTGTTGTCCGCTCTCGAGTTCTGATATCCACAGCATCTAACACTGCTGGCCACCGCCTTTCTCAATCCCCTCTTGTTCTTGGTTCATGTGACACTGCACTCTCATGGTCACCCCCAGCTCTTCTGTCCTCTTTACTGGCCCTATTTCCACTGCCCACCCCCTGGCTGAGACTATGCCTTCAGGCTCAGGCTTGGACCCTCTGTCCTTTCACTACATGCACATCACACACCCCTTAGAGATGTTCTTCTGCTCCTGGCTTCACCTGTCACCACTAGGACTGCCAACTCCACATCTATAGCCCCGAGTACCAGGGTTGCAGGTTAGCTTCCTAGCCATCTCCATTAAAATAAGATTCATCATCTTCTCCTTAACCCCCAACCTAGCAAAACCTGGAGACGTTTCCATTTCTGTATATATGACTTAAAATTTCCCAGACACCGAGGAATGAAATGTCAGAATCGTCTTTGACTTTTCCATCTCCCTGCAAATCCAGTTGTTTACTTAGGCCTGGCTGATGGAACTCAAAAAATGTTTTGCTAAATCCTGCCTTGCAGGGCAGAAACATTTTGCTAAATTCTGCCTCACGATTTCTCTGTGACATTTTATTAAGAAGTGAGTGCATATAGCTGGTACACTGAAAACTAGGTTTGTGTTGGGAGTTGGGAAGCCAGGACTGGCTGCCTCTCTGCCTCTAGCACCCAAGAGTGACCTTGTTCAGCTACTAAAACTCTGAGTTGCTTGGGTGGTTATGGCTCAACATGCTTCAAGCCATCAAGGAACAAGCATGGAGTCCCTCCAAAGAGACGACAAAGACTACAGCATAAGATTTTTAAAAATAATTAAAATAATTAAAACCCCTAAAACCTTTGAGCTTATTGAAAAATAAGTCGGTGTTGTTGAACTCTTACTCTTTGGAGTTTATACGCTGATGAATTTTTTAACATATTCTTCCATCATTTTCTACATTTTAAAAAGGTCAGAGGAATCTGAAAAACATCTTACCATCACTGCCTCGAGATGATATCGATTTCACGTCAATGGACTCTTTCCTCCTGTTCTTATATCTGAATGAATGAGGCTCTAAGGATTTCAGATTAGAAAGGGAAGGTGATTAGTTTTCCGTGTATTCACAGAAGAGATTCAAACATGTTTTTTCTTTATTCTCTAAAGAAAACAAGGTTACTTTTTAAGCACTATAAAATAATTTTAAGAAACAGTCAACCACTTTCTTTTCAAATCATGAAAGACAAAAATTATAGTCATATTAGTTAAATGATGGTTTTTTAAGATAATGCCATGTTATATCATAGTAATATAGCTTAGTATCAAGGGTTATTTAGTTACATGAATGTAATTTTGAAAATAAACATTAGGCCGGGCGCAGGGCCTCACACCTGTAATCCCAGCACTTTGGGAGGCTGAGGCAGGCGGGTGGATCACCTGAGGTCAGGTTTCGAGACCAGCCTGACCAACATGGAGAAACCCTGTCTCTACTAAAAAAATACATAAAATTAGGCTGGGCACAGTGGCTCATGCCTATAAGTCCAGCACTTTGGGAGGCTGAGACGGGCAGATCACGAAGTCAGGAGTTCGAGACCACCCTGACCAACATGGTGAAACCCCATCTCTACTAAAAATACAAAAATTAGCCGGGCATGGTTGAGCATGCCTGTAATCCCAGCTACCCAGGAGGCTGAGGCAGGAGACTCGCTTGAACCCAGCACGCAGAGGTTGCATGCAATGAGCCAAGATCGTGCCACTGCACTCCAGCCTGGGTGACAGAGCGAGACTGTCTCAAAAAAACCAACAAAAAATTAGCCAGGCATGGTGGTGCATGCCTGTAATTCCAGCTACTTGGGAGGCTGAGGCAGGAGGATCGCTTGAACCTGGGAGGCAGAGGTTGCAGTGAGCTGAGATTGTGCCATTGCACTCCAGCCTGGGCAAAAAGAGTGAAACTCTGTCTCCAAAAAAAAAAAGAATTTAAGAAAATAAACATTAAAACTTGAGGGACATTCTCGGGGGAACTATTGAACTAGTAAAGGTGGAACTATTATAAAGTTAATCTGAACACCATAGCTATAGCACCTTATCTTAAATAATCTAGCTTAAAATATTTATTATACTATCTCTTTTCCTAATTTTTATCTTCCTTAGTAATTTTCCTATCATGCATAAAAGTTTCAATATATATTTTTAAAATTATCTATAAATAATAGTACTTTAAATCTTTACTTGAAAGACAATATATTCAACTGGATAGGGAAGGCTTTTAAATGGGGATATTTGAGGAAATATAATACTAATGAAACTTATAGAGATTTAAATTACGAGATTAATTCAGACGAATTTTGGCACCTCTGAAAAGTCAGACCTCTAGATGGGCTTCTAGATTCTCTTTAAGGATGGATTTCATCAAATGATGCATACTGCTGATCACAGGAAAGGAAGAAAACAGTTTTAGATTCCCCCAACATTTCAATAACTAAACCTTCACCCTTGTCCCTATTTTCCAGGGTGGTGGGGGCAGGCAAACATTTAAAGAATTTTGGCCTAAATCTTTGCAGACTTGAATTTAACACTGAAAACGCACGGTCATGTTAATGTAAAAACTAACAAAAAGCATATGCCACCAGTGAGCGCCGAGATATAAAAAATGACAAGGCAGCAGTGTTGGCTTCAGAAACACACATTTTCAGCGCATTTGCTTCTGTGAGAGTAACTCATAAGCGAGTAGAGAAATTTAACCATAACACAGATTACTCCTCACTAGGCTAAGAGAGGAGGCAGACATGCAAATTTCAGCAGGAAGAATGCGCTTCTCAGATGCCAATAAGTGATCATATTCCAAGAATAAAAAAAAGATGCAATAACACTTCTTTAAGAATTGCCTAGTGACAGCAGGTGCAAGAAGCCTAGTAGTTAAGGAAACCAGGTCCAGAGCCAAATCGTCAAGATTCAAATTTCTACTGTGCCACTCAGCAGCTGTGTAATCTTGGAAATGTTACTTAACTTCTCTGGGTCTCATTATCCTTGTCTATGAAGTGGGGGTAATGATAGCATCTCATTTATAGGCTGTTTTGAGAAATAAGTGAGTTAATATATGCATAGCATTTAGAACAGTGTCTGCCACATAGTGAGCATGTAGTATATGGGGGCTATTAATTACATCCGTTCATTTGCATATATGTCTTTAGACACATGTGATCATGTTACATTGTTCTACTACTTACTGTTTTCACTTTATAATGTCTTAGACACTTTTCTAGACCACCTTCTTAACCATTTACTTTAGTGTCCTAAAAACCTGATTCAACTAAAAAAATTATTAAATCAAAAATTAAAACTGAATTATTTTTATACAACATGAAGTGAAAGCGGAACTATTATAAAGTTAATCTGAACACCATAGCTATAGCACCTTATCTTAAATAATCTAACTTAAAATATTTATTATACTATCTCTTTTCCTAATTTTTATCTTCCAAATTCTACCTTAGTAGTTTACCTATCCTTGCATATAAGTTTCTATATATATATATTTTTACAATTATCTATAAATAATAGTACTTTAAGTGATATTGTTGGGATCATGGCATTTCTGAATCCCTGAGAAACGAAACTAATACTGCTCACTTGTGAGACACTTGGTTTAGCCTATTCAGGGACCTCATAATCATATACAGTCCTAGCATTTATTTGTGTACCAAGTAATAAGTTAAATCTAACTTAAAAATTTAAGATTAAATTCAAGATTCAAGAACCAAGAATTCCTCAAAATGTAGTTTCTAAACAAAACTAAAAGAGAGGTTAGCTTCAAGGCTGTGGCCCAGGCTAGCTGGTTGAATTCTAAGTCGTTCATTAGAAATTATTCAAAGATGGATGATGTTTATTCTTCCTCATTTTATCTCAGTTAAAATTAAGAGAATCTATAGCAATAGAAGTGATTAAAAGTTTAGAGAAATTATTCTTCAATAAAGGCTAAAGTAAGGCCACATAATTAAAGAATTCATTGTCATTCTTTCAACAGATGTTTACATGAATTAGAAACTTAAGCCAGAGAAAGGATAAAGGACATTTAAACAGCTGTACTCTGTGGCAAAAAGGAATATGTGCCACCAATTGAAAAAAAAAAATAGCTCCACTTACTGAGTGCCTACTTTGTGACAGGCATTGTGCTATGTACTTTAAATAATTGTCTCATTCAATCATTACAACAATTCTCAAAACTACATAGGGCTATCCCCATTTTACTGATAAGAAATTTAAGCATGGAGAGATTTTGTAGGTAGCCCAAGATCAAAAAGAGAATAAATGGTGGAAACTGTACTTCCAAGATGGAATGGTTTCAATTTACCAATATTTGCTGAGTATTTGCAAAGTGTCTATTATGTACAAGGCAATGCTGGGCACTGCAAAGGACACAAAAATGCTTGGAACAATTTGTGGCACCCAGAAGCTCCCAAGTTAGTTAAAATAATACCCCTGCTCAGGTGTTACAAGAAATTAACTAAAATGTATGTGTGTGAGTGAGGGAGAGAGAGAAAATGCACCTGTGTGTGAAGTGTCATTATGTTATCCCAGCCTGTTCATGTCTAGAAAGTTTTCAGAAAGGGGGAAGGAAGGTACAAGTTAAATGCCAGTTACTGCTAAGCATTATACATTTCCTTCTTTAATCCTCATTAACAATGAGATGGGCTTTTGTTAATTCATTTTACAAATGAAAAAATTTGAAGCTTAGAAAGAGCAAATGACATCTTTCTAAGTATGCTAGATATGATCCACCTCACCAAGAAGAGAGACTAAACACTTAGCCTAGGGTCTGACATCATGCATTAGTGGCTGGGAAAGCCACCAACAGGGCAAAGAATGTTGCAATTCTTGCAGGCACAAAAATCTTAACTTCTTGGTAGCAGACTGATTTTTTTTCCCTCTAATGGTCAGAGAATTCCAGACCTTTCCACTTGTAGAAGTCATCAGGTCCAGCTCCTCTTTTTATGGAGGAAGCCAAGAACCAAGCAGAGTCTTGCCCAACATATGAAATGAGCGAGTAGGAAACTGAAATAGGAACTTGGTGCTTCTGCCTCCCAGGCCAGGACCTAGCCACATTTTCCAACTGTACAGTCACCAATTAGTGCAAAGAAAAGGGAGACTGGACACGGTTGAGCAACTACCATATTGTCACCTGTGTCATATTCAACCAGTGTCTCCCCTAGACTTTCGGCCCACTCTCTTGGGTTTATCTGTCCTACATGGTATCTAGCCAAGAAAAGAAAAACAAGATGGGGAGGGCGTTCAGTATGATAAGGTTGCCATAAAGGAAGATTCAAGGACATTTTAAGGGATTTCTGCTTTTCTTCTGGCTTGCCAACCTTGTGATATGAGCACGTGGATTTTAGCACTCCACATTCTGGGGTAGTAGATGTCAACTTAGACTTCTTCAGAGAAATGTATACATTTGAACCCACAGCTGCCTCCTAAGTATGTTAGAGTTCAATTGAAGTATTCTCACCTGTCTGAGAATTGTCTCCTGAATCACGATGAATCTTGTGAATCTAAAGTCGTTCAAAAGTTTGATAAAACAAGAGAAAGATTTTAAATATGCCATTTGCTATATTTCTCATCAAACAATTTAGTTAAAAAGCTCTGAAGACTTGAAGAAAGCAAGAAGCTGCACATATAATATGAACAGATGAAAGACATACACCAAGTGGTACTAATCCAAAGGCTCTGTTACTTTCAGACACTTATAGAATGGCTGAGCCTGAGAGCAGGAAGGTACCCAAGGCACATACTCTCTAGACAGGACATCTACTTCTCCAGTCAGCTACTGTCTCATTTTGACAGCCTACAGAAATGCAGAAAGATAAAAGATATAACTAAATTTAAGTTATTTATAAGGCTAACATATAACCTGTTTGTTTCAGATACGTTATAAAATTTTTCTGTGCTACAGAATAATCTGAATTTAAGCCTAGGAGTTAAAAACATTTCCTACAAAGCTCTTCAAATGCTCAATTATAGACAATTTATAAAATGTTTTCTCACGATGAGATCTGAACTTTAGATGCAGTTTTCCACCTATTCTTTCTCATTATCAATTTTTTTTGTTGTTAATGGTTTTGTGCTAATGCTCAATAAATGTCTGTCAAATGACAAAAGGAAGTCATTAGCACTAGAAATAATAAGTGTGCTTTCTTTGGGATCCTGCATTTCTTGTTTTATAACTGACCCCAACACTGTTAGTGGGGCACATTTAGTTCTATTAAACTTATAATCATGCGGCTTCACTGCTAAATCAACCTACTTTCAAGTGCTCAGACCATTAAATCTTTGTAGCCACTCAATGAATGGGGTAGGTTAACTTGAAAAATAAGACAGATGAGTGTGTAGGACATCTGCAGAGGCAGATTAATATGGCTTAGCAACATCAACTGTAATAGCCAGAAACCCTGTCTGCGGAGGCCAAAGCAACTCCATGTTGGATGCTAATCCACCATGTTGACTTCTGATTAACCCCAGTTCCGGGATGGCCTCCAATATTACTATTTTATCTACTGTTCCTTGTGTAAGAAGAGCATGTACTTACCGTAAATCCTGCCCTTACATCAAAACAACCTTGACCATAAATCCTGCCCTTAGGCAGATTCACATAGCATTCTTGCCTTTCTCTGCAAGTGTCCTACACATTCCTTTCCTCTGGTATGTAAGTGCTGGGTCTGTGGGTAATGGAACAGGGATCCGTTATCTTGTCTTGCCACCATCCAAGGCACAGACGTGGCTTCTGTTCATAAGTTCCTATTAGATGTTTCATTCCGAGGAACGGGATTCATCAGCCTCTTTCTTTGGCCTCTCAGCTTCCTCGGACTTTGGGGTAGGTGTGCACAGGCCTGCCCACTCTGACGTGTGGTAAGCCAGGCCAGGAGCTGAGAGACCAAAAAATGGAGGAAATCTTGTGGTGGGCAGCCACTTCTATGTGGAATGGTGTGGCTCACACTTCAGATGATTGTGGACCACCCCGTGAGTGTGGGGATGACCCCAAATGCCAGCGGGTTTAGAGTGACGGTGAACTGAGTGCCAACCATCACACTGTGGCCCGGAAGGGCAGCAGGCAGCCAGTGCGGTAAGATGACTGTGTCTTAGCGGGAGCCAGCCAGCAGCAGACACAAAAGTAAAACAGCCGGTCGGGCGCCGTGGCTCACTCCTGTAATCCCAGCACTTTGGGAGGCCAAAGCGGGTGATCACTTCAGGTCAGGAGTTCAAGACCAGCCTAGCCAACATGGTGAAACCCCCTCTCTACTAAAAATATAATATTAGCTGGGTGGGGTGGCGGGCGCCTGTAGTCCCAGCTTACTCAGGAGGCTGAGGCAGGAGAATTGCTTGAATCCAGGAGGCAGAGGTTGCAGTGAGCAGAGATTGTGCCACTGCACTCCAGCCTGGGCAACAGAGTGAGACTCCATTTCAAAAAAAAAAAAAAAAAAAAAGTAAAACAGCTTGATTAGGAATTACAATTAGGAAAAAGGTTTTTTTTTTTTAAGGGCCCTACAGTCAAAAGTAAACTTAGTTAAAACTGAAATTTGGGCTGTATATGTTTACATATGTATTAAGGCCTCTGCACTCTCTGTAAAACTTCTGACCAAATTCTGTTTCTCCATTTACTTCTGTCTGTTCCTACTACTTCTTGCCACACGAGGGATCTAAAAAAAGGAATTTCCAACAGCCTGGGATCCCTTGGGGAAAACAGACGGCATCAAAGACTCCTCTTTTAGGGAAGAATCTCTTTTTCCTCATGAAACCCAAGGGTAGTAAGCAGACAGATTCTACTCAGGTCTAAAACTGCACTCTTTTGTATTGTGTTATCTCATCTCTGGTTAGTGTGTGGGGAGGCGGGGGGTGGGGTACAGAGATTACTTTTTACTGTGAGAGTTGCTGACCTTGTACCTAATGGCTAGCAGTCACGGGCAACAGCTATATTGTTAGAGGTGGCCGACAGCAGTTGTTAAAGCAAGTGGTTACTACTATAAGGGCTACTCATTTCTTGGCATGTTTGGATAAGAATTGTGTGGTTTAGGCCCTAAAACTTCCATGCTTTCTTGGCCCTGTTCCTTAAAGCCAGTAATATAAGAATATACTGACACCTTGAAGCCAGTAATGTAAGAAACAAGCTAAGTTGAAGAGAAGACATTTTTCCTGGCAATCTTGTTTCCAGATAATGCTGTTTAGGTCTAAGTTCTGTGCCTTAGAGATGTAGATCTTCTCCACCTTGTTTCATCTGAGTCATGTCTTTGGGTGGGTTGTGTAAAGGTGGGAGAGAAGCTATTTGAGAACTGGCAAATGAAGAATCTTATAAGTCTATAAGAGCTGCTTCTGTTTGTGTGTATGTCTATATATATTTAGTATGTTATATATGTGATACATCATTACCAAAATATATGACAGAGCTCTAATTTGGCTTAAAGAAAAAGTAAGTTCTGGCTGGGCACAGTGGCTCACTCCTGTAATCCCAGCACTTTGGGAGGCCAAGTCAGGTGAATCACCTGAGGTCAGGAGTTCGAGACCAGCCTAACAAATATGGTGAAACCCTGTCTCTACCAAAAATACAAAAATTAGCCAGGCAGGGTGGTGTGCACCTGTAGTCCCCGCTACTCGGGAGGCTGAGACAGAACTGCTTGAACCCAGGAGGCAGAGGTTACAGTGAGCCGAGATCATGCCACTGTACTCCAGCCTGGGTAACACAGTGACACTCTGCCTCAAAAAAAAAAAAAAAAAAAAAAAATTTCTTATCGGAAATATAGAAACCAACTCAAATGCCTTTTAGTTCACCTAACTTTAGTAATCTTTCAAATAAAACTAGTTTCAAAGTTCTTTTCAGTAATTTGAAATCTTAAAATCTGTTATGTTAAATTAAGTAATCCTAGGTTTTTCCATGGAAATTAGGGTTACTACGAGTTAAAGTAGTAGTTAATATATGTAATTAAAACTACTAAATATAAGAGAAACAATTCTACATGAAAGTGAAGAAAGAAAGATGTGTTTTGATAAAGAAGTTTATTAAAAACATGAAGATGAGGTTTTTGCCTAAAGGAAGAGTAACCACATAGTTTAGAGGCTATTTAAAGGTTGTTTTAAAATGAATGAAAAATGATACAGATAAAACTAGATGGATAGAAAGGGAAAGGATAAAAGGATAGAGAATGAGGAACTTTTGATTGATTCCTGGGCGGCCACGTGGTCACCTATGGTATGGAGCTGTAGCTGTGCTGTGCTCAGTTACTAAAAGGTAAGAGTTACCAGTGGAATTTAGAGAAAAATCCAACTCCTAAGGAGTTGTTCACTGGATACATAAGTAAATGCAAACCAATAAGGAAAAGTGAAATATTCAGTACCTTGGTTATTTTCTATAAAAGCTAAAATAAGAGTGCCAGATTGGGCCTTGAGGCTGCACCAAGCTCAAATGTGGGTCTGTCTGAGCTCAGATCATTAGCCTCAAAGCTATCTACAAAGGGGAAAATAATGACAGGGCAACAGAAAGTACCTCTGAGACCTGTGGTTGCCAAGAAGGTAGTCAATGTGGGGGAAGGGCAAAACCCAAGTAACTGCTGAAACCAGAGGGTACTGTGTGAAGGAATTGTTCCCTTTTGTAGATAGGCATCATCAGCTCCCTGGATAAAACCTGTTGTTGAATTGTGAAAGTAGCTAATTTGGAGCAGTGTCTTTGGTTTTAAATGCTGCAGAGTGGTAAAACATGTTTGGGTTGATGCACGATCCCCAGCTCACTACTGAACAATCACAGATGGCTATATGTGATCCAGACACATGGGAGGTTATTCCTGAGGGAACAGCCAGCCTGGTGGACTGGATAAAAGCCTCTGTCAGATCTGTTTACCCTGAGAATGGGGTCGGCCCCAATGCTACGTGGAGCACCCCAGATGAAGCAGCTGATATGCTTTGTCTATAAGCCATGTGGAACTGGCTTTATGACAGGGATAGCCACCCCATCAATATGCCTATTACCCAGGTCATGGTAAATGCTGTGGTTAAGCATGTGTGTGTCTGGTGAGGGGGTGGGGGTGGGGTAGGAGGGACTTTTGCGTGGGCACTTCGTTACTGATGAAAAATTAAAAGTTCAGGAAGCCTCAAATTTGCTGTCTCAACTTCCCCTCATGGGTCTTACAGATGCTAATAAAAACATTAGGCTAATTAACAAGAGCATAGGGAATGGCAAAACGGAGAGTCAAAGGACTTATCCTAGCGAGGTGAAAATTTTAAAAGTTATTTTAAAAGGTAAATTTTTAAAAATTGAAAGGGTTGAAACTAAGAAAAACAGAAAGGGAGAGTCATGGAATTTGTCCCAGCAGGGTGGAAATCTTGGTTATTAAGAAACTGAAGGTCGGGCGCGGTGGCTCACGCCTATAATCCCAGCACTTTGGGAGGCTGAGGCGGGCGGATCATGAGGTCAGGAGATTGAGACCATCCTGGCTAACACAGTGAAACCCCCTCTCTACTAAAAATACAAAAAGTAGCCGGGTGTGGTGGCGGGTGCCTGTAGTCCCAGCTACTTGGGAGGCTGAGGCAGGAGAATGGCGTGAACCCGGGAGGCGGAGCTTGCAGTGTGCCGAGATCGCGCCACTGCACTCCAGCCTGGGTGACAGAGTGAGACTCTGTCTCAAAAAAGAAATTGAATGAATTGGAAATTGATAGGGTTCAAACAAAGTTCTTAATACAACACTACCAAAAGCTGGATGGACCATGGTGAGCCCCTGCTTTTCCCCCAACATTACAGGAACCCAAACCAGTTTTCTGTATTTACCCTAGATTGGAAAATATTTTTTTGAAAAATCAAAAGGTAAAGATTAAAATGAGAAAGGTGATCAACAATTGCCTGGGGCAATGTTGAGGTAATTAATCAAGACACATTGACCAAAGTGCCCAGGTCCCTTGGCTCAATCCCCTGCTGCAAAGCCAAAGCCTTTTTGACAAGAGGGTAAAATGGTCTAGGGGTGCAAAAGAGAAGTTCCTGGAAGCAGAACATAAAAATGTAAGGGCTGATGGAATTATGAAAGTTGAAATGTTTAAATAGTCTTTATGTGAAATAGTTATATCTCTTTTCCTTAAATGTTTTATGAAAATGGATATTATATCTGACTGCTGAAACATTTTTCCTACCTAGTACTACAGAAGAGAAGGCATGCAAATCTGCCCTTTGAGCAATATTAATTGGATATGCTAAATGGGAATAAGACTGCCTGAGCCCACAGAATGTAGCATGCCAGAGTGCTTGTAGGGATAAATTCTTCACTTGACAGCCCTTAGTGAATCATTTACTAGGGCATATGGGGGTAATGTCAGAGAAACACTCTGATGGGGATCACAGTGCCCAAAAAGAGTCCCATGATAAAATGGAAATGGTTTATATAGGATCTTGCTACCTGAAGAGTGCGAGGAGGAGATACTCATGAGCAGAGAGCCTCTTTTTTCCCTAGGACTGACTCTGAAACTGTGTGAGGAGCTGCTGGATTCTACAGTGCCTGACAAACAGCTCCCTCACCTGACTAAGAGCTGCTTGGTTTGTGGATGGCCGTTCCATGATGAACGGGCAACATCCTGTTTGGAAGACTGCTACTCTGATTGTAAAGGATACTTTTGTGAGCAAAATTTACTTCTTCCCTCTACCTGAGTTCTCCAGAATTTGGAAACTTTTCATGAGTATTCTTACTTTATGGCAATGTAGTTGTTTGCATAAATTCAGTAAGAATCTGTTTTGTTTTGTAACAGGACACAATTGGAAACACTGGTTATTTCACCAAGGCTTTGACTAGAATCATGTATTTTCAGATATAACCAGACTGCTTTGAGGAATTGACATTGACTTTATAGAGCCGATAAAAAGTCCTTTGGAAAGACTAACTTGGTACGTTGTCTAAATGGTTCCTTACAAGGTTCCCGGCCTCTGGTAAGTAAAGAATATCACTTTCTGACAGGCCCAGGAACCAAGATATTTTGGGAACTAAAGAAGAGAGGAATTTCTACAGGTATAGTACCTATGTATAGGTATTACAAGCATAGTCTAATGGGGAATCCTTAGTCTCAAGGCTTTTAAAATGTCAAATCCAAAATTCCTTATAAAGTTCCAGCAAAGCCAATTGAAAAGAAGCCTATATGACTAATAACTATTCTTGCTACACTTTAAGCAAATAATTAGGCCAAGTATAGTGAGACTAAAATTTATTTTGCAACTAAAGCAAATAAATTGGTCCTGTAATTTTTTTATTTTTTATTTTTCATTATTCCTGAAATAGCAAGGTACTATAATTTATCCTTGGTAGAAATGGGGAAACTGGAGAGAGAAAAACTTAGATTCTAGTCCTAACCACTCTTTTTCTTTTTCTTTCTTTCTTTTTTTTTTTTTGGAGACAGTCTCACTCTGTCGTCCAGGCTGGAGAGCAGTGGGTGCAAACTTGGCTCACTGCAACTTCTGCCTCCCGGGTCCAAACTATTCTCAGGCCTCAGCCACCCGAGTAGCTGGGATTACAGGCATGTGCCACCACACCCAGCTAATTTTTGTATTTTTAGTAGAGACAGGGTTTTCCCATGTTGGCCAAGCTAGTCTCCAACTCCTGAGCTGAAGCAATCTGCCCTCTTCAGCCTCCCAAAGTGCTGGGATTACAGGCGTGAGCCACTGTAACTGGACCTGAAATACTGTTCTTGAGTTTTTATTATTTGCCTACAATTTGGGCTAAACCTGAATTACTTCCTGGCTACAAGTCTCTAAAGAAGAACCAAGTTTTAATGTTCTTCTAGTTGGCTAATAGGCTTTTTTTGTTGTTGTTGTTCTGGCATACGAATTCTCTTTCAAGTGTCATTATATTTCTACTATTCAAATTATTAATGTTAAGTATCTCTCATTGTCTTACTTCTTCTGAGAAAACTGAAGTCATGGTATTCCTAAGACTAGAGATGATTCCAACAGCCTGTGAACCTCCCTCATTTGGAATCCCACTGGGCCTGAGCTGTTTTCCATTGCCAATGTACTGCTACTAAAGCTATAGCCACCCTCCCTACAGGCTAAGAGACCATCATAGAAGAGGAAGAGTGCATGAGATTTTAAGAGCTGGTTTTGGGAGGCTGGAGTGTGGAGGCCAAAGCAACTCCATCTTGGATGCTAATCTGCCATGCTGTCTTCTGAATAACCTCAGTTCTGAGAAGGCCTCAAAGATTCCCAAATTATCTATTGTTCCTTGGGTAAAAGCACATACCTACTGTAAATACTGCCATTAGGTCAAACAACCTTGATGTTATCATACTTCAGTTGTCCTACACATCCCTCTGAATCACCCTTTCTGTATGGTATATAAGCCCTGGGTCTGGGGGTAATGGTGCACAGATCTACCATCTTGTCTCACTGCTGCCAGAGACACAGACAGGGCTTCTGTTCTTAAGTTCTTATTAATGTTCCTTTCTGACAACTAGAGTTGTCAGTCTCTTTCTTTGGCCTCTCAGCTTCCTCAGACTTTGGGGGGTAGGTCTGCATAGGCCTGTCCGCTGCAGAACACCCTGTATGACAGATACAGGTAAAAGGTTTCAGCTTGACTGAACCACTGAAAAATCATCACATAAAACTGAAGCGTGAAAATAGGATTTTCTACCAACTCTTCTGCTCAGTCCATTCCACATAATTATGGAAACAATTACATGACCAACCTGTGTGATATCCTTGTCAAAATGTGACTAAGGGCTGTGACTCATTTATCCCATAATTATGGGACATTTTTATTTCCCATGTTTCATGTTTTCTTCAGGGATAAAGACCATTTGCTATACAGCTACTTACTGATATAGTGTGAATTTTTTATATGATACCAAATGAATAAAACTTTTGCCTTGCAAATTGTTCTTTCAAATAGCTTTAACACAAAAACAAGTGATTTTTAAGTGCTTAGCTTTTCTTTCTGAATCAAAACGCCTCTCTCCTTTAGAAGCTGTGTCCCATGGCTCCCTATGTTATTTAAAAACAAAACAAAAAACAAACAAAACACAACAAAAAGCCTTTCTTGCGTATCCTCTGCCCCTCGGGCCAGCCGATTGGCTCGTGGAGCTCCTGCGATGTCAACATGGGTTTTGTGTTCTGTCTAGAGTGGAGCCAGATAAAGCCCAAGGCCAGCAGGTGCACATGCACATCCTGCTTTGGGGATGGAAATGTATGCCAGCCACTAGGTACAGGGAGAAGCAGGGATGACAGGTACCAATTCCATCTGCTGAGGTGGCTCTGGGCCATTCTTCTTCAAGTATAATTTGGCATTTTGAGCTGAACACACCCCCAGACTGGCTCACCTGCCTTTGCTGGGCTCTCTGCATGCCTATGGCTAGCAACCCAGCATGGAGATAACTCCTTGCTCTACAAGCAGAGACTCTTCCTGGCTGCAGCAGCATCTGCCGTCAGGAACCCTATTGTGGGACCGACTTAATGATGCTCTGTGCCGAGAGCAGTGCCAGCAGACCTTCCCCTGTCACACCCCAGCGGTGCTGGGTTTTCACTGAAGCTGACTCTGATTATCCACGTACCTCTTCCAGATACCCCACTGTACAACTAATGATTCACTTGGATGAAAATTCTCCTAGAATCAGAATTTTCTTGTGGACCCTACACTTACCAGTCATTTCAGTAGAAATTATTCTAAAATTATTTCCTTAATACTTAGTTGAGCTCATTGGGAGAATAGATACAGAATGAGTGGGTCTGTGGTTTGGCATTCTCTCCGGTAGGCAGCCAAGGGGATGAACTTTGCTCCACAGCCATCTCTTACGTGTATTCCCACATGCTGGCAGCATGACATCTGCAGTCTAATCATGATGGCACTCTTGCACAAGGGGAGGTATCCTCATTGCTTGGAACAGGCAAGGAAGCTGAGGTTTAAGAGGTTAAGAAACTTGCCCAAGCCACACAGGTAGTATGCAGAGCCAATTTCAAATGTGTCCCTTTGGCTCTAAAACCATTTGCTCTGTCAAGCTGCTGTTTACAGTGAAGCCCCAGAAGGGATGTGCCAGGACCGGGCTTGTTAAACTGGGGTCAAGGAAACACCCCCTGCATTAGTGCGGGACATCTCTCTGAAACACAGTTTTCCTTGAAATTTGGGGGGACGTGTGAGTATCTCTTATCAAAAGGTTTTGTCATGTGCAAACTAACTCAAAGCAAAGGGACGGGGATTCAATGGCATCAATGCCCCATGCCAGTCAGTCTCTCTGTAGTGTGGTGTGTTTCTCCTCTTGTAAAAGCATAAAATGTAGAATATTCTCATTTGCAGCAGTGACTGGGAAGTTTGATTTTGTGTGTTACTGGGGAAACCGAAGGCTTTAGTGCTTAGTTTGTGCAATGTGAATACTGCTCTCCTTGGCCTGTGAAGCTCTTTGCCAGAGCTCGAAGCTGGGATTCCTCAGCAAGTCCTTGGAGGCTTACAGCTTGTTTCAGGGAGAAAAATAATTTCAAACCCTTAATTACTTCAAAATATTATAAGTTGCCACAAATTTTGCTGTCCTTGTGCTAAATGCTTTGTTTACAAACATCTGATTTTGCTTGGTTCTAAAAAGCACTATTAATTCTGAGTTAGGTATTTGTGTGTATGTGTGCATGATTTCAGGGTCATTTGTCTCTTAATCATTTAAAAATCCTATTTATCTACACACCCACCAGAATGTCTAAAATTAAAAAGAAGTTTTGTCAAGGCTATGGAACAACTGGAACTCTCATACATAGTTGGAGGGAGTATAAAATTGTACAACCACTTTGGAAAAAAGGCCTGCCAGTTTCTTTTAAAATTAGCCATCCACCTACTACGCAGCCCAACAGTCCCACTCCTAAGTGTTTACTCAAGGCAAACAGAAGCATATATTCACAAGAAAACTTGTCCAAGAATGTTCAAAGCAGCCAAAAGCTGGAAACAGCCCTGGAGTCCATCAGCAGAAGTAGATTCTCCACACTGCGATAGACTGATGCAAAGGAATATTCAGTAATAAAAAGGAAAAAAAATGATACAGTGAAGATGAACCTCAAAAACATTATGAGTGAGAGAAGCCAACCGTGACAGTATACACTCAAACTCTAATCTATGGTTAAGTAATTCAGAAAAGTGGTCACCTCTGGGGGCGAGCAGGATGGGTGGACAGAGATAGACTGTGAAGGGGCATGAAGGGACTTTTGGGACGGCAAGGTTTAATATCGTGATGGGGATAAGGTTCCAGTATTATATGCTTTGTCAAAACTCAAGGAAGGGATTGCAGACAAGAGGGCCAAATAGGAACAGCTCCCGTCTGCAGCTTCCAGAGAGATCGCCGCAGAAGGCAGGTGAATTCTGTATTTCCAACTGAGGTACCCGGGGTTCATCTCATTGGGACTGGTTGGGCAGTGGGTGCAGCCCACGGAGGGTGAGCCAAAGCAGGGTGGGGCATTGCCTCACCTGGGAAACACAAGTGGTCGGAGAATTCCCTCCCCTATCCAAGGGAAGCCATGAGGGACTGTGCCCTGAGGAATGGTACATTCCGGCCCAGATACAGCACTCTTCCCACAGTCTTTGCAATCCGCAGACCAGGGGATTCCCTCTGGTGCCTATGCCACCAGGACCCTGGGTTTCAAGCACAAAACTGGGCGGCCGTTTGGACAGACACCAAGCTAGATGCAGGATTTTTTTTTCATACCCTAGTGCTGCCTGGAACACCAGTGAAAGAACCACTCACTCTCCTGGAAAGGAGACTGAAGCCAGGGAGCCAAGTGGTCTGGCTCAGCGGGTCCCACCTCCACAGAGCCCAGAAAGCTCAGATCCACTGGCCTGAAATTCTCGCTGCCGGCACAGTAGTCTAAGGTCAACTTGGGATGCTTGAGCTTGGCGTGGGGAGGGGTATCTGCCATTGCTGAAACTTGAGTAGGTGGTTTTACCCTCATAGTGTAAACAAAGCCACCAGGAAGTTCGAACTGGGTGGAGCCCACCGCAGCTCAGTAAGGCCGCTGTGGCCAGACTGCCTCTCTAGATTCCTCCTCTCTGGGCAGGCCATCTCTGAAAAAAAGGCAGCATTCCCAGTCAGGGACTTATAGATAAAACCCCCATCTCCCTGGGACAGAGCATGTTGGGGAAGGGGCAGCTGTGGGCACAGCTTCAGCAGACTTAAACATCCCGGCCTGACAGCTCTGAGGAGAGCAGCGGATCTCCCAGCACAGCGTGCAAGCTCTGCTAAGGTCAGACTGCCTCCTCAAGTGTGTCCCTGACCCCCATGTATCCTGACTGGGAGACACCTCCCAGTAGGGGCCGACAGACACCTCATACAGGAGAGCTCTGGCTGGCATCTGGCTGGTGCCCCTTTGGGCTGAAGCTTCCAGAGGAAGGATCAGGGAGCAATCTTTGCTGTTCTGCAGCCTCCACTGGTGATACCCAGGCAAACAGTGTCGGGAGTGGATCTCCAGCAAACTCCAGGAGACCTGTAGCAGAGGGGCCTGTTAGAAGGAAAACTAACAGACAGGAATAGCATCAACATCAACAAAAAGGACGTCTACTCAGAGACTCCATCTGAAGGTCACCAACATGAAAGACCAAAGGTAGATAAATACATGAAGATGGGGAGACACCAGCGCAAAAAGGCTGAAAATTCCAAAAACCAGAACACCTCTTCTCCTCCAAAGGATCACAACTCCTTGCCAGCAAGGGAACAAAACTGGACAGAGAATGAGTTTGACGAATTGACAGAAGTAGGCTTCCGAAGGTGGGTAATAACAAACTCCTCCGAGCTAAAGGAGCATGTTCTAACCCAATGCAAGGAAACTAAGAACCTTGAAAAAAGGTTAGATGAATTGCTATCTAGAATAACCAGTTTAGAGAAGAACATAAATGACCTGATGTAGCTGAAAAACACAGCACGAGAACTTCATGAAGCATACACAAGTATCAATAGCCGAATTGATCAAGCAGAAAAAAGGATATCAGAGATTGAAGATCAACTAAAGAAATAAAGCTAGAAGACAAGATTAGAGAAAAAAGAATGAAAAGGAATGAACAAGGCCTCCAAGAAATATGGGACTATGTGAAAAGACCAAACCTACATTTGACTGGTGTACCTGAAAGTGATGGGGAGAATGGAACCAAGTTGGAAAACACTCTTCAGGATATTATCCAGGAGAACTTCCCCAACCTAGCAAGACAGGCCAACATTCAAATTCAGGAATTACAGAGAACACCACAAAGATACTCCTCGAGAAGAGCAACCCCAAGACACCCCAAGACATGTAATTGGTGAATTCACCAAGGTTGAAATGAAGGAAAAAATGTTAAGGGCAGCCAGTGAGAAAGGTCGGGTTACCCACAAAGGGAAGCCCATTAGAGTAACGGCAGATATCTCTGCAGAAACCCTATAAGCTAGAAGAGAGTGGGGACCAATATTCAACATTCTTAAAGAAAAGAATTTTCAACCCAGAATTTCATGTCCAGCCAAACTAAGCTTCATAAGTGAAGGAGAAATAAAATCCTTTACAGACAAGCAAATACCGAGAGATTTTCTCAACACCAGGCCTGCCTTACAAGAGCTCCTGAAAGAAGCACTAAACATGGAAAGGAAAAACCAGTACCAGCCACTGCAAAAACATACCAAATTGTAAAGACCATCGACACTATAAAGAAACTACATCGGCCGAGGCGGGTGGATCATGAGGTCAGGAGATCGAGACCATCCTGGCTAACAAGGTGAAACCCCGTCTCTACTAAAAATACAAAAAATTAGCCGGGCGCGGTGGCGGGCGCCTGTAGTCCCAGCTACTCGGGAGGCTGAGGCAGGAGAATGGCGTGAACCCGGGAAGCGGAGCTTGCAGTGAGCCGAGATTGCGCCACTGCAGTCCGCAGTCCGGCCTGGGCGACAGAGCGAGACTCCGTCTCAAAAAAAAAAAAAAAAAAAAAAAAAAAAAGAAACTACATCAACTAACAGGCAAAATAACCAGCTAGCATCATAATGACAGGATCAAATTCACACATAACAATATTAACCTTTTTTAAATGTAAATGGGCCAAATGCCCCAATTAAAAGACACAGACTGGCAAATTGGATGAAGAGTCAAGACCCATCAGTATACTGTATTCAGGAGACTCATCTCATGTGCAAAGACACACATAGGCTCAAAATAAAGGGATAGAGAAATATTTACCAAGCAAATGGAAAGCAAAAAAACCAGGGGTTGCAATCCTAGTCTCTGATAAAACAGACTTTAAACCAACAAAGATCAAAAGAGAAAAAGAAGGCCATTACATAATGGTAAAGGGATCAATGCAACAGGAAGAGCTAACTATCCTAATTATATATACACCCAACAACAGAGCACCCAGATTCATAAAGCAAGTTCTTAGAGACCTACAAAGAGACTTAGACTCCCACACAATAATAGTGGGAGACTTTAACGCCCCACTGTCAATATTACACAGATCAACAAGACAGAAAATTAACAAGGATATGCAGGACTTGAACTCAGCTCTGGACCAAGTGAACCTAATAGACATCTACAGAACTCTCCACCCCAAATCAACAGAATATACATTCCTCTCAGCACCACATCACACTTATTCCAAAATTGACCACATAATTGGAAGTAAAACATTCCTCAGCAAATGCAAAAGAATGGAAATCAAAACAAACAGTCTCTCAGACCACAGTGCAATGAAATTAGAACTCAGGATTAAGAAACTCACTCAAGGCCAGGCTTGGTGGCTCATGCCTGTAATCCCAGCCCTTTGGGATGCCAAGGCAGGTGGATAACAAGGTCAGGAGTTTGAGACAAGCCTGGCCAACATAGTGAAACCCCGTCTCTACTAAAAATACAAAAATTGACCAGGCATGGTGATGCACACCTGTAATCCCAGCTCCTCAGGAGGCTGAGGCAGGAGAATCACTTGAACCTGAGAGGCGGAGGTTGCAGTGAGCTGAGATCGTGCCATTGCACTGCGACAGTGCAAGATTCCATCTCAAAAAAAAAAAAAAAAAAAACCTCACTCACTCAAAACCGCACAACTACATGAAAACTGAACAACCTGCTCCTGAATGACTACTGGGTAAATAATGAAATGAAGGCAGAAGTAAAGATGTTCTTTTAAACCAATGAGAACAAAGACACAATGTACCAGAATCTCTGGGACACATTTAAAGCAGTGTTTGAGGGAAATTTATACCACTAAATGCCCACAAGAGAAAGTAGGAAAGATCTAAAATAGACACCCTAACATCACAATTAAAAGAACTAGAGAAGAGCAAACAAATTCAAAAGCTAGCAGAAGACAAGGAATAACTAAGATCAGAGCAGAATTGAAGAAGATAGAAACACGAAAAACCCTTAAAAAGAAAAAAAAAAAATCAATGAATCCAGGAGCTGGATTTTTGAAAAGATCAAAATAGACCACTAGCCAGACTAATAAAGAAGAAAAGAGAGAAGAATCAAATAGATGCAATAAAAAATCATAAAGGGGTATCACCATGGATCCCACAGAAATACAAACTACCATCAGAGAATATTATAAATACCTCTACGCAAATAAACCAGAAAATCTAGAAGAAACAGATAAATTCCTGGACACATACACCCTCCCAAGTCTAAACCAGGAAGAAGTTGAATCCCTGAATAGACCAATAACAAGTCCTGAAATTGAGGCAGTAATTACTAGCCTACCAACCAAAAGAAGTCCAGGATCAGAAGGATTCACAGTCAAATTCTACCAAAGGTACAAAGAGGAGCTGGTACCATTCATTCTAAAACTATTCCAAACAATACAAAAAGAGGGACTCCTCCCTAACTCATTTTATGAGGCCAGCATCATCCCAATACCAAAACCTGGTAGAGACTCAACAAAAAAAGAAAATTTCAGGCCAATATCCCTGATGAACAGCGATGCGAAAATCCTCAATAAAATACTGGCAAGCCAAATCCAGCAGCACATCATAAAGCTTATCCACCACGATCAGGTTGGCTTCATCCCTGGGATGCATGGCTGGTTAGACATACGCAAATTAATAACTGTGACCCATCACATAAACAGAAACAATGACAAAAACCACATGATTACCTCAATAGATGCAGAAAAGGCCTTCAACAAAATTCAACAGGCCTTCACACTAAAAACTCTCAATAAACTAGGTATTGATTGAACGTATCTCAAAATAGTAACAGCTATTTATGACAAACCCACAGCCAATATCATACTGAATGGGCAAAAACTGAAAGCATTCCCTTTGAAAACCAGCACAAGACAAGGATGCCCTCTCTCACCACGCCTATTCAACATGGTATTGGAAGTTCTGGCAAGGGCAATCAGGCAAGAGAAAGAAATAAAGGTATTCAAATAGGAAAAGAGGAAGTCAAATTTTCTCTGCAGATGACATGATTGTATATTTAGAAAACCCATCGTCTCAGCCCCAAATCTCCTTAAGCTGATAAGCAACCTCAGCAAAGTCTCAGGATACAAAATCAATGTGCAAAAATCACAAGCATTCCTATACACCAATAACAGAAAGAGCCAAATCATGAGTGAACTCCCATTCACGATTGCTACAAAGAGAATAAAATACCTAGAAATACAACTTACAAGGGATGTGAAGGACCTTTTCAAGGAGAGCTACAAACCACTGCTCAAGGAAATAAGAGAGGACACAAACAAATGGAAAAACATTCCATACTCATGGATAGGAAGAATCAATATCATGAAAAATGGCCATACTGCCCATAGTAATTTAGAGATTCAATGCTATTCCCATCAAGCTACCATTGACTTTCTTCATAGAATTGGAAAAAACACTACTTTAAATTTCAAATGGAACCAAAAAAGAGCCCGCATAGCCAAGACAATCCTAAACAAAAATAACAAAGCTGGAGGCATCATGCTACCTGACTTCAAACTATACTACAAGGCTACAGTAACCAAAACAGCATGATACTGGTACCAAAACAGATATATAGACCAATGGAACAGAACAGAAGCCTCATAAATAACACTACATATCTACAACCATCTGATCTTTGACAAACCTGACAAAAACAAGCAATGGGGAGAAGATTTCCTATTTAATAAATGAGGTCGGGAAAACTGGCTAGCCATATGCAGAAAACTGAAACTGGACCCCTTCCTTACACTTTATACAAAAATTAACTCAAGATGGATTAAAGACTTAAATGTAAGACCTAGAAGCATAAAAACCCTGGAAGAAAACCTAGGCAATACCATTCATGACATAGGCATGGGCAAAGACTTCATGACTAAAACACTTGGTATGTTTTAATCATGAAGTCAGACTAGTCGAAAGTGAAGCCATTTAGTCAAAAACAATGGCAACAAAAGCCAAAAGTGACAAATGGGATCTAATTAAAGAGCTTCTGCACAGCAAAAGAAACCATCAGAGTGAACAGGCAACCTACAGAATGGGAGAAAATTTTTGTAATCTATCCATCTGACAAAGGGCTAATATCCAGAATCTACAAAACTTAAACAAATTTACAAGAAAAAAACAAACAACCCCATCAACAAGTGGGCGAAGGATATGAACAGACACTTCTCAAAAGAAGACATTTATGCAGCCAACAAACATATGAAAGAAAGCTCATCATCACTGGTCATTAGAGAAATGCAAATAAAAACCACAATGAGATATCATCTCATGCCAGTTAGAGTGGCCATCATCAAAAAGTCAGGAAACAACAGATGCTGGAGAGGATGTGGAGAAATAGGAACACTTTTACACTGTTGGTGGGACTGTAAACTAGTTCAACCATTGTGGAAGACAGTGTGGCGATTCCTCAAGGATCTAGAACCAGAAATATCATTTGACCCAGCCATCCCATTACTGGGTATATACCCAAAGGATTATAAATCATGCTGCTATAAAGACACATGCATACGTATGTTTATTGTGGCACTGTTCACAATAGCAAAGACTTGGAACCAACCCAAATGCCCATCACTGATAGACTGGATAAAGAAAATGTGGCACACATGTGAACCATGGAATACTATGCAGCCATAAAAAAAGGATGAGTTCATGTCCTCTGCAGGAACATGAAGCTGGAAACCATCATTATTGGCAAACTAACACAAGAACAGACAACCAAACACCACATGTTCTCACTCATAAGTGGGAGTTGAACAATGAGAACACATGGACACAGTGAGGGGAACATCACACATCACACACTGGGGCCTGTCGGAGGGTGGGGTGGGGGTTAGGGGAGGGACAGCATTAGGAGAAATACCTAATGTGAAGGGTTGATGGGTGCAGGAAACCACCATGGCACATGTATACTTATGTAACAAATCTGCACATTCTGCACATGTACCCCAGAACTTGAAGTATAATTAAAAAAAAGTTAAAAACCTCACGGAAGGCTATGCCTAAGATGTACGTATTTTGCTGTATGTAACTTCTACCTTAGAATAGATGAAAACAAATGTTAAACTCTAGTTAATAATGTGCATGCTGAAGTTACAAGGGGTGAAACATACTGATATATGCAACTTTTTTTTTTGATAGTTGGAAATCTGTCAGAAATTAGATGGGCTGCTGGATGTCTACAGGGAGACACAGATGGTTATATGATCAAGCAACATGCTAATTACAGAATGTAGGTACTGAGTACATGTGTATTCACTTACAGTCCTTCTAACTCTATATGGTTAAAGATTTTCATAATAAAGTATTGGGAAAATTGTATGTTCAACTGAGTATACGGATTGATGGCTGAAAATTGGAAGTCTGAACTGTAGTTTCAAAACCTATGAAAATAAACAAGACGAAATCAGAACAGCCTGAAACAGAGGAGTGAGGTTAATGTCATGTCACAGTCCCTGGGACACCCTACTATGAGCCTGGGCATAAGATAATACACTGCTTCAAACCATAACTAGGGAATTGTGTATAACAGCTGTCAATCTACCAAGTGTAAGACCTACTTAGGTAACTATTTAAAACATTGATTTTTATTAAATTTATATAATTTATGATGGATAGATTTTATGAACTAGCCTCCTTCCCCTGCTCCCAAGTTCTCCCATGACCTTAAATTATAGAATTTAAATTCATTTGCGACATAAACCTATCTCTTGTAGGAGAAAACCCTAAAAACAATATGAAAACATCCCTCTTAGTATGATGTGTTCATGTCAACCTTTTATTTAAAAAAAAACAAAAACAAAAAATAAAAAATCATGAGACTTTTTAGCAACTAAAATGAGTCAAGGCCAGGATCAGTACAATAACAAACAAGTAAGGAAATAAATACTGGATGCCTCCTTCAACACCCATTTCAGAATCACCGTGGGAAGGTAGACAGCATTTGGTAGAAATGTCTGAGTCATTACTGAAAGTCAAAGGCATCAGAACTCACAATTAAATCACCAGATATATCAGTATGCAAGCCAGGGGTCATCCTTGCTGCTTCCTTCTCTCTCCTCCCCAGAGCCAGTCCATCATCCAATCCTGTAAAGTCACTTGCGTCTCTCTACTACCAGAACGCAGGTACCATCAGCTTTCATCTGAGCTTGGCAATACCTGCCCAACCCAGTCTATTCTCATCAGCCAGTGTAAGCTTGCAAACTATGTATTTAATCCTGTCATTCTCCTGTTTAAAACTCCCACATCCCGTTGGTCTTAGGGTCAATTCCAGGCAGCGAGCTGGCTATGAGGCTCTGCTGCATGGCCTGGTCCCTGCCAGCTCTCCAGGTGCACCTCTGATCCCCACCACTCTGCCCTGAGCTCTCAGCTTGCAGGCCATCCTGGCTTCCTTTCCATCCCTCTTGTTCTCCCATGCCCTTTCCCACCTCCGAGTCTTTGTACTTGCAGCTCCACTGCTTGGGAAGCTTCCCAGTCCACAGTCTTTCCTCTGCCTATTTGTCTTCCAGATCTTAGCTCAAACACGATTTCCAAGGGAACCCTTCCCGGATATTTCCTGCCCATCCTACTCCCTTATAAGGTCAAGCCCTTCTGTTACATGCTATCAATGGACTTTCCCCTTATTGTATTTATAACAGTTCATAAATCAGTACTTATTTGAATAATGTCTATCTATAAGTTCTGTGTAGGCAGGGGTTATGTCTCACTTGATTACCTTTGTATACCCAGTGCTAACACAGTACCTGGCGTATAAAAGCTAATATAAAATGAATCCATAAGAGATTGAGATTGACCAGGCTGTTTGCCTCATAGCTCTGGTGAAAACACTGTTATTAATAATTTGGCCATTATATATTTTACTTAATAGTTATGTCTCTAAAAATACTAATTTACAGTGTTTCACGGTAAAATGCTGAGAGAAATGTCCATTTAAAATACATCCATGGGCTCAGATAGTGCCAAATCTGACAGGCAAAGAGTTGTTGTGAAGGTGAGAAATGGAGGCCAAATATCTAAATGCACCTTTGTCCCTAACTTGGTTCCTTGAGCTTCTGACAGAGTCTGTTACTTTTCTTGTTGTATTCAATGGAATGGTACAAATGGTAGATGTTATTTTAAAAACAAAAAGATTGTTCATATTCTTACACACATTTGCAATGAAACAGGAAGTGATTTTTAAATGTTTCTTGATTTTATATAGAAGAATGCAGGTTTTGATGGAAGAAATTTTTGATCCACTTTTTCAAACTCAGAATTATATTGTTTTGTTTTTGTCTCATCCTCCATTCCCCTGAATGTTATGGAAAGGGGTAAAAAACCTGGTTAAGATGAACAAAAGTACTATTCACTTAAATAATCACTGTAGCTTTAAACGTTGACTTATTAAGCACTTTTAAGACTGAACATTCTTGATCTGCAACTTCACGACAGAACTGAATGCTTTCATGTTTGTGACAAGACTGCTTTGATGAATTGGAGTCTGAATGCTGGATAAAGAGATGTGATCGCAGGAACTGAGTCATTTGAGACCCTCCCTTCATTTACATGTAATGAAATGACAGTGTGAGTGGTATAGTACAGAACGTCTTTGATCATCTTTACTCAAAAAACTTTGATGAGTATTTTCTTGAAATTAAAAGGATCTGATGCATAGATCAAAGATCTTTTCTATTTTCAAAAACCACTTGAAGATTCACTTCTCAAAATCCGCACCCAAGCAGCTCCTAAACACCGGAACAAAACACCTCTTGCAACACTCTGGGCCCCTGTCCTCAGTGACTGCCTTTACATAGCTCTCAAAGCCACCCACAAGCTGTTGCCATTTGTTTTCATGTATTCCAAGTTCTCCAAATGCTGTAGCACCAAGACAGAAAAGAAATATACATGGGTGCTGATTCTGATACTTGGTATCATACCACTTCAGTACATTTTATGAGTCTAACAGACTAAGTGCAACAGCATCTCTCCCCTTTTATCTTAATGGTAATTTAAAATGTTATTTATATCAAAGCAACATGCATTGGTTTGATATAGATGAAACTGCATATGAATTTCTAGGATTACACAAGATTAAAAAGAAAAATCCCAAGCTGTTTTTTTCCCCCAGATCATTTTCTGCATGCCAGACAAGCAGAGATTTATCTTCTTCTGCTGTTAGATATATTTTCTTTGAAAAATTTTAAGCATCATTTTCCTGTGCAATGCCAGGTCTACATCTTCAGATATTATACTGTCCCTTGGTCATAACTTCTCTTAGCTCCCAGTACTTGTGCCCACTGGCTCTACATTCTACACATATTTGCAAGAGCCTTTACAGAGAAGTACTGTCATTGTTTAGCCCAGTGATAATCATTTATGTGTCCTTATCTCACAGAAAAACACTTAATGCAAGCTACTATTCAGGCTTAAATGTTTTATCTTTTTTCTCTTGTCTAGTTTCTCTCTAATGTCTTTCAAATATCTACAATGTAAGAACCACCACACTTCATAACTTGGCCAATACTGAGTTTTCTAGTATGGAAAGATGATATATTTGTAGTTTTCAAACTTATGCATGAATCAAAATCACCTGAAGGGCTTGTTAAAACCAACTGATAGGCCCCATCCCCAGAGTTGCTGACTCAGTAGGTCTGGGTGGGGCCAAGCATTTGGATCTAAGAGTTCTCAGGTGAGGCTGAGACTTTAGTTCTGGGGCCCACCCCATTAACACATTAAGCCTTTGTATTTAAGGTGTGCTCAGTGTACCGGCGGCATTGGCAACACCTGAAGCTTGTTAGAACTACTGACTCGCAAGCTCTCTGACTACTGAATTGGAATCTACATTTTGCCATTTAATCTCCAGGTGATTCAATTACACACTACAGTTTGAGAAACACCAATAAAGTGAAAAGACCATAGGTTTTGAGAAAAGATCTTTGGTACATGCCCTTTTTTTTTTTTTTTTTTTTTTTTTTTTAGATGGAGTCTTGCTCTGTCGCCAGGCTGGAGTGCGGTGGCGCGATCTCAGTTCACTGCAACCTCTGCCTCCTGGGTTCAAGCGATTCTCCTGCCTCAGCCTCCCGAGTAGCTGGGACTACAGGTGTGTAGCACCACACCCAGCTGATTTTTGTATTTTTAGTAGAGACAGGGTTTCACCATGTTGGCCAGGATGGTCTCGATCTCTTGAGCTCATGATCCACCCGCCTCAGCCTCCCAAAGTACTGGGATTACAGGCATGAGCCGCCGTGCCCGGCCAGTACCTACATTTCTAGTTGTATAAACCTGGGGAACTTACAGAGCTTTACTAAGTCTCAGTTTCGTCATTGGTAAATGGCGACCAACACCTGCTATATTAGCATTCTCTAGACAAAGAACCAACAGGGGGTGTGTGTGTGTGTGTGTGTGTGTGTGTGTGTGTGTGTGTAGAGAGAGAGGGAGAGAGCGAGCAAGCGAGCTGAGTTTATTATATAAATTGGCTCACATGATTATGGTGGCTGAGGAGTCCCATGATACGATGTCTGCAAGTCTGAGAACCAGGGAAGGCAGTAGCATAAGTCCCGAAGTCTGAAAGCCTGAGAGCCGGGAGCACCGATGTCAGGGGAAGGAGATGATGAACGTCCCAGCTTAAGAAGCAAGGGCAAATTTGCACTTCCACTGCCTTTTTATTCTATCCAAGCCCTTGGCTTATTGGCTGGTGCCTGCCCACATTGGTGAGTGCAGATCTTCCTGTCCTCTGATTCAAATTCAGTCCACTGATTCAAATGCCAGTCTCTTTGGGAAACACCTTCCCATAAACAAGGTTTTACTGTTTTAAAGGATCTGATGCATAGACCCTTTTTCTGGGTATCTTTTTTAAGCTAGTCAAGTTGACACCTAAAACTAAGCATCACATCTACTTTTTAGGATCTAAGAGGATCAAATGAGACAATATTAGCCCGTGGCTTTTAAGCCGGTCTTTATATCAGAATCACCTGGAAGGCTTGTTAAGCCACATTGCTGGGTTCTGCACCCATCACTTGTTTCAGCAGGTTTGGGTGGGAGACTACGAATCTGCATGTTTAACAAGCTCCCAGGTGAGGCTGAAGCTGCAGGTCCGGTGCCATCCTTTGAGAAGCACGAGCCTAGCCTAATGGGGCCCAGATCATGCTGGTTCTCTTTGCCTTCTCTTTCATAGGTGTATTCTGTTTGTTGAGAATCTGGATTCAATGACATTTATATTGCTTGCTCTTTCAGGATTGATTTTAGTTTCCTTTCCTCTGAAGCTCAATGTTGAGCATATGTGGGGTGCTCTGCTGAGCGGCTAACACAAGCAGCACACTTGTCTCCTCACTTTTATGCTGTCAGTCCTCCAGCCCGTGTCCCCTTGCTGCTCAGTGACAGACACTTACATATAAACAGGGACAGAAATTTCATTTTGTTTAAAGTTTCTTGTTCTTAAAGAATTGTCAGTGACGGATGGCACTTTTCTGTGTAAACCCACATGCCTCCTAGATTATGGTCCAGAGAATAAGAGAATGAGAGAGATCCAACATTTCCCCACCCCTGTTACACTAGCACTCAACAGAGAGTCATTAAACTACTTAATGACACCAGGCCTTCATTTGCACTTGATTAGCATAAGATAGAATTGATCCTCAGGCCCAGAGCTTAGTAAATCAGGTCCCTTGAGAGCTAGTGCAGAGGCGAGGGGACAGCACAGGGAAAAATTAGTAATAACGAGAGGAATGTAAAACAGTTTTATCACTGTGTGTCCTAAGGTTCTGAAAATGCTGTTCATTAGAACTTTGTTTACATTTTGTAAACAATTACCCCCAGGAGAAAAAAGGGCATCTCTAATTAGAACCTCAACTTCTAATTCAACTCAAGAAATATTTATTGGGCCTGTGAGGCAAAGGTGGTTAGGTCCCAGTCCCTGCATTCATAGGATTTACTGTCTAATAAGGGACAAACACAGTGCTGTCACAATGAAATTATTCATTCAGCAGGTGTTTGTTGAGCATATACTATGTGCTAGGCAATTTTCTAGGCACTGGGATGTGACTGAGAACAAGAGATAAAGCTCTGGCTCTCAGCGAACTAGTTCAGAAGTGCCCAAAGACAGTATTTCCCAAAAGGTGGTGCCATGCGGTCGAGCAGTTAAAAGGTAAGTTTGGGGCATTCTCAAATTTGATACTAAATAACCTTGAATCACACATTCAAGCTACTCGCTCCTTGAAACCTGCAGCCATCCCTAGTCCTAGGTAGCCCATCTGAGGACGGATGCCACCTGTGAAGAAATCCTAGGAAATGAGACCCTTCACCTAATTTGGCCTGGGAATGCTCCACTAGAAATGAAGGCACATGGAGAAATCCCATCTCTACTAAAAATACAAAATTAGCCAGGCGTGGTGGCACATGCCTGTAATCCCAGCTACGCAGGAGGTGGAGGCAGGAGAATCGCTTGAACCTGGGAGGCGGAGGTTGCGGTGAGCCGAGACTGCACCACTGCACTCCAGCCTGGGCAACAAGGGCAAAACTCCGCCTCAAAAAAAAAAAAAAAAAAAAGAAATCAAGGCACAAAGTGAGTATTAACACTCCTGTACCCTAAAAAGGGGCAACAAAATGGATGAATTAAGCAGCATTTATAATTTTTTTAAAGTATATGTATCTCATGTGACATGAGCAGTTTTTTCCTTCCAGACACGATAAAAATGCCACCCAAGCCCACGCTGAGCGCCACTTACTAGACTACCACTGGAACTTTTCCTGAGTCCGTTAGGAATGGACTGTGAGTGGCATTTTGTGATAGCAGGCTAGCTGCAGGAGGACATTAAGGAGGGATTTAACTTTCTGGGGTGGCCTGGCTGATGGAGGGGAGATGGGCACAGGTGGCAGCAAATGCAGCCATGGGACCTATTCTCACTTTAAACAAAGAGAAGTTTGATGTCCTCTCTCCTAGCTTTTCAATTTGGCAGATTCTGGTACTATTATGCTGAAAATGTGCCAGCAAAACATAGCTGAAATTCATGTCTGAAAGCAGGAATTTAAATACTTTTTGCCAAAGTTTTGGTTCTGTCCAGGTAACAGTTTAGACTGGCCCAGCTGTCTAACCTGACCCTCCCTGCCTGGGGCGATTCATCTTGTGCCTCCAAGCAGCAGTGGTTCCCACAGTCTTGGGCCCTGGAGCTCCCTCAAGAGATAAAACTACTCCTTTTGATGCTGCAGGTGAGGTCTATCTCAGAAGAGAAGGATGGGCAGGACGCACAAAAACTGCCAGTAGAAGTCCTAGAAACACAGCTGAGAGCTTCGTTAGTGTCCACATCAGGGGCAATGGCACAGTGACTACACCATCACGTATATGGCAGCTATTGTAAAAGTTTCCTGGGAAAAACAGCTGTATCCTCTGGGAACTGTTTCAGTGTCTAAAATCCACATTAACAATGCAATTTCTCAAGAATTAGAGAACCTAGAGTTGGGTGTGTGTGTGTGTGTGTGTATCTGGTTCTGTCTGTAGTCTGTAGGCAAAGACACCTACTGACCTGCTACAGAGGGAGACAGCTGAGGCCAAGTCCTTAGGGGATTTGCCCAAAGGCACAGGATTAGCCAGAGACAGAGTGAAGGACAGAACAAGCGTGTATGCTGCCTTCTCACCGATCTTCAGTGCTCAAGATTCAATGGCAAATACTTGGGTACATAGTAGATTAAATTTTCTCTTAATTTCTTTAAAACACATGCATTTAAGGCAAAAACAGTAACCGTATTATGGGATTTATAACGTATGAGAACTGCAACATAAAGGATAAAAGGGAAGGTGGTAAATGGACTTCCAGTTTCAAAAGTTCCTATGTTTCACATGAATTGGTACCATATTAGGCTAAGTAGACTGTGTAGTTAAAGATGTATATAGTAATCCCCAGGACAACCACTTAAAAATGCCAAGAGATTTAACTAAAAAACCAATGGATAAATAAAATGGCTTTTAAAAATCGTTCAAATAATCTAAAATACCTATATAAAAGAAAATAAAAATAAAACAAAAAAAACAGATGTTAAAATGGTAGACCTGAATCCAACCATATCAATAATTACATTAGCTGTTAGTGGACTAAACATTCCAAATAAGAGGCAGATATGAATTGATTAAAAAATGAAAAGCCAATTATACACTCTCCATAAAAAATATACCTTCAATAGACACAGATTGAAAGTAAGTGGATGGGAAAAGATACATCATGCAAACAAGCATAAGAAGGCTGGAATGGCTATATTACTATCAAATCAAATACATTACAAGATAGAGAGTATCAGCCAAGTGCAGTGAGTCACACCTGTAATCCCAGCACTTTGGAAGCTGAGGCAGGTGGATCACCTGAGGTCGGGAGTTCGAGACCAGACTGACCAACATGGAGAAACCCAGTCTCTACTAAAAACACAAAATTAGCTGGGCATGGTGGCGCATGCCTGTAAATCCCAGCTACTCGGGAGGCTGAGGCAGGAGAATCGCTTGAACCTGGGAGGCAGAGGTTGCAGTGAGCTGAGATGGCACCATTGCACTCCAGCCTGCGCAACAAGAGCAAAACTCCGTCTCAAAAAAACGAAAAAATAGTATCACCAGCTATAAAGAAGAACATTTTATAATGATAAAAAGGATAGCTAATGCACTAGAATAATATTGACCAATAAAAGGAAATGAACCACTAAAATCCATTGAATGGTACACTTTAAATGGATACATTGTATGGTACGTAAATTATATTTCAATAAAGCTATTACAATAAGAAAATAAACTGATAAATGCAACAGCATGGGTGAATCTCAGAATTAGTATGCTTAGTGAAAGATGTCACAAAAAGGAGTATACACTCTCTAATTTTATTTACATAAAACCCGAGAAAATGGAAATTATTCTATAGTAATCAGTGATTGCTTGGAAATAAAGGAGGGCAAGGAGGGTCAGGAGGGAAAGAATACAAAGGGACCCAAGGAAACTCTTGGGGATATGTTGATAGATATGTTCATTATCTTGATTGTGGTGATGGCTTCATGGGTGTGTACATACAACAAAGCTCATCAAACTGTATGCTTTAAATACGTGCAGTTTAATGTATGTCAGTTATTCCTCAATGAAATTGTCAGAAAATAATAATAATGACCTGAGGTTCTACCTAAGAAGCTAGAAAAAAGGAGCAAACTAAACCAAGCTGAGTAAAAGAGATGCAGGAAATAATAAGGATAAGAACAGAAAGCAACAAAATAGAAAACAGATTAACAATAGAGAAAAGTAATAAAGCCTACAAGTTGGTTCTCCAAAAAGATCAACCAAGTTGATAAATCTCACCTAGACAGAACAATAAAAAAGAGAGAGGACACAAACACAAATAAAGAAATGAAAGAGAGGTTACACTACAAATTCTTTTTTTTTTTTTTGAGATGAAGTCTCACTCTGTCGCCCAGGCTGGAGTGCAATGGTGCAATCTCAGCTCACTGCAACCTCTTCCTCCCAGGTTAAAGTGATTCTCCTGCCTCAGCCTCTTGAGTAGCTGGGATTATAGCGGCACGCCGCTACACCCAGCTAATTTTTGTATTTTTAGCAGAGACGGTGTTTCACCATGTTGGTCAGGCTGAGTCTCAAACTCCTAACCTCGGCCTCCCAAAGAGCTGGGATTACAGGCGTGAGCCACGACACCTGGCCTTACACTACAAAGTCTACAGACATTAAAAGGATGATGAGAGGATATTATGATCCACTTTTGCCAAAAAATTTGATAGCCTAAATGAAATGGACAAATTCTCTGAAAACTACAACTCACCTGTATGGACATAAAAACAGAAAAGACTGAACTTTCCTATATTTAGGGGAAAAAAGATCTTCTTATGAAAAATCTTTCCGCATAAAAAATTCCAGGCCACGATACCTTCACAGGTGAATTCTATCATACATTTAAGGAAGTGATAACACCTGTCTTATATAAACTTGTTCGGAAAATAGAGAAGGAGGGAATATTTTCAAGATCATTTAATAGGCCAGCACAATCCTAATATACAAACCCTGATGAAGACATTATCCAAAAAACAGATAACTACAGACCAAGATTCCATCCTAAATAGATGTGAAAGACATGACTTTTTGTGTATAACATCCTAAGCAATCTATAAAGCAGCTGCTGAAACTAACAAATCCATCAAGCAAGTTCACAAGTAGAAAGCTAATTTTAAAAATCAATTTGTTGTTGTTGTTGTTGTTGTTGTTGTTTTGAGACAGAATCTCACTCTATCACCCAGGCTGGAGTGCAGTGGCACAATCTCAGCTCACTGTAACCTCTGCCTCCTGGGTTCAAGCAATTCTTGTGCCTCAGCCTCCTGAGTAGCTGGATTTACAGGTGTGCACCATCATACCTGGCTAATTTTTGTATTTTTAGTAGAGACGGGGTTTTGCCATGTTGCTAGGCTGGTCTCAAACTCCTGGCCTGAAGTGATATGCCAACCTCGGCCTCCCAAAGTGTTGGGATTACAGGCGTGAGCCACTGCACCCGGCAAAAAATCAATTGTATGTTTATGTACTGGCAGCAAACATTTAGAAAATGAACTTAGAAATCAATTCCATTTGTCACAACATCAGCAAACATAAAGTACTTTGAAATAAATTTAACAAAGATATGCAAGACTTCTATACTGAAAACTACTTAACATTGCTGAGAGACATTAAAGAAGATCCAAACAAACATAAAACTACCCCATATCATGGACTGGAAGAATCAATATCATCAAATATCAATTCTCTCCAATTGATCTACAGCATCAATGTAATCCTAAAAATAAACTCAGCAGGCTTTTGGGGGAAACATTATCAAGCTAATTCTAAAATTTATATAGAAATTGAAAGGACATAGAATACCAAATCATGCAATGTTAAGTTGAAGAACTTACATTACCTGACTTTGAGACTTACTATAAAGTAATTAAGAAAGCATGCAATATGTAGATTGACCAATAGATCAATGCAAAGAACAGAGTCCAGAAACAGATCAATATTACATACTCATTTGACTTTTGACAAAGATGTCAAAACAATCCAATGAAGAAAAGAAAGTCTTTTCAACAAATGGTGCTTGAATAATAGATATCCAAATGGAAAAATATTAAGCTTGATCCCATCTGACACCATACACAAAAACTAACTCTAGATGGATGATAGTCCTAAATGTAAAACCACTAAGTTTTTAAAGGAAAATACAAAATATCTTCCTGACTTGAGGGTAGGTAAAGTTTTCTTAGGTAGGTCACAGAAAACAACGAACATAAAATATTAACAAATTAAACTATCAAACTAAAAACTTCTTAAAATATACTGTTAAATGAATAGGAAACTCACAGAGTGAAAGTACATATGAGCAAAACATACACCTAGTAATAGACTGATGTATTCATCAGGATATATGCAGAACTAATACAACTCAATAATAAAACAACCCAATTAAAATAGCAAAGGATTTGAGTAGACACTTTACAAAAGATGACATTTAAAAAAGACCAATAGCACACGAAAAATTGTTCAACATTATTAGTCATCAGAGAAGTGCAAATTAAGACCTGCACACCTAATAAAATGGCTACAATTGTAAAGACTGGCAAACCAACTGTTGGCAAGGATGTGCAGCAACTGAATCCCTCATACATTGTTCTTGGCGATGTCAAATGCTAAAAACTACTTTGGGAGAACTGGCAGTTTCTTACAAAAGTAAACACACATTTAATCCATGACTTAGCAAATCTACTCCTAGGTATTTTCCCAAGAGAAATAAAAATATATATTCACAAAGAGACTTGTATAAGAATATTCACAGCAGCTTTATTCATAATAGCTCAAGACTGGCACCAATCTAGGTGCCCATCAATGGGAGAATGGATAAACAAACTGTGGTATATCCATGCAATAGAACAGTGCTCAGCAGTAAAAAGCAACCAAATCATATACTCAAAACCATAAATACATCTCAAAAACATTATATTGACTGAAAGAAGCCTTCCACGAATGAGTAAATACTGTGACTCCATTTAGATGAAATTCTAGAACAGGCAAAACTAATCTATGGTGGATAAAATCAGCTCAATGGTTTCTTCTGAGGACTGGGGGACAGACATTAATTGGGAAGAGGAAGAAGGACCTTCTCTGGAGTGGCAGTGATGTTCTACGTCTTCTTAGGGTTTAGGTTACAAAGGTGTATACATTTGTCAAAGGTCACACAAAGGTACACTTACCATTTGTGCATTTCTTTGTATGTTAATTTTACATAAAATGTAAGCAGATATAGAACTGTTGCTAATGATATGCACGCTAAAGGCTTTAGGAGGAAAAGTACTAATAGATGAAATTTATTTTAAAAAAACAAGATGGATTAAGGATGTACAGAGGGATGTATATTTAAAGAGATGTGATAATGCAAATATAGTAAAATGTTAACGGTAGAATCTAGGTGGTGGTTATTCAGGTGTTTACTGTAAAATTCTTTCAACTTTGCTGTATGCCTGACAATTTTCACAATAAAATGCTTGAGAAAAAATTGGCTGGAATGTGAACTGAGGGTGAGCTCTGGGTGTCTTTTTCACAATGTTTGCTTCCCCCATGACTTACAAAAAGTGGCTGAGTGTACTTCATGTTGTGAGTGGCCTGTGCCAGTGAAAACATTTGTTCAAAGGCACCACAGGGAAGGGCTGTGTAGTGGTCTCGAGGTATGATGCCAAGCTTGCACATTTTCTAGCTGTGTAACTGCTCTCTGAGTATCAGTTTCTTCATCTGCTGAATAAGGATAATACTATCTTATGGGCTTGATAAGATGATTAATTGAGACGATGCCTTTAAGACAGTCTAGGGCCTGTCCCAAAACAAACACTCAATAAAATATTATTGTATTACACTTCATTATTTTCAGATACAGCATGCCATTTCGGATCTCCTTGGATTCCTCTCTCTGCATATCTAGCCAGACGTTGGCTCTTATGTCACCTCGGTCCAGCACACCCTCATCCTCCCTGCTTCTCTTGTCCAGCAGAAACCTTCGCTCAGGGCTCTGTGATACTCCTTCCACCTTGGAATTCATGGAACAGTCAATGCCCTGCTACTCAGGTGGGGCCATTCTTTATTCTTCTTTCCATCTCACCCTTCAATACCTCACTTCAAAAACATTCTGGTTAATGTTTTGATCAAAACATCTCTTATGTCTATCTCTTCTTTTTTTTTTTTTTTTTTTTTTGAGACAGTGGACTCGCTCTGTCGCATAGGCTGGAGTGCAGTGGCATGATCTCGGCTCACTGCAACCTCCGTCTCCCAGGTTCAAGCTATTCTCCTGCCTCAGTCTCTGGAATAGCTTGGATTACAGGCCTGCACCACCACGCCCAGCTAATTTTTGTATTTTTAGTAGAGACAGGGTTTCACCATGTTGGCCAGGCTGGTCTTGAACTCCTAACCTCAGGTGATCCACCTGCTTCAGCCTCCCAAAGTGCTGGGATTACAGGCGTGAGCCACTGCGCCCAGCCTCTTCTTTTTCTTTTGTCTTTAAGATGGGGTCTAACCACACCTCTTTGCTTTTCTTTCTGTTTCCATATATCTGAGTATTGTCCACTTGACTTAATAAGAGTAGAATAGAACAGGGGCTGTCTTATTCCTTCTGTGTAGCTCATCAAGTAAGTGCCTTTCTAGTGATTGATTTATAAGACATGATGCTGGTAACCTAATTATGAATAATTTCAGGTAATCTAATTTAGTCTGAATGTATTAGTCACCTACCTAGCACCGTGTAAGGCCCTTGGGGAAAGAAGAGGTCAAGATGGAGAAGATACTGAATGCTGCCTGGGATGACCTGTGTAGTGAGACAAAACTTGGCTGAGTGCTGGGCTGTGTGACGCAGCCAGCAAGTGCAGCAGGGCTCCGAAAGGACAGTAAGCTATCGTGAAGGGAACATTCCATGAGAGGGACCAGACTTCTAGATTGCCCTTTGAATATGCAGTATACCTGGGGATCAGGAGCCAGGAGTAACAGGGTGTAAGAAGCTGAGCCTTCTACAGTGCAGGCTCCACAGGAGTCACGGGAAGGGTAAAGGATCAAGGGCTGGGACTTTAAGTCAGCAAGACAGACCTTATACACAACAGGGAGTCAGTGTAAGTTTTTAAGACAGAAATAAAAGAGTCAAGTGTTATCTTGGGGAGATGAATCTGGAAGGGGGTGCAGGATGGATTGGGAGAGGAGGAATGGCTTTAATACAGTGATTCTGGAGAAAGTGAAGATGCTTCCAAAGGAATAAGAGAGATGGATTTGAAAGACCAAACACAAAATTACACTTTCTTCTCTAAATGCTGCTACTGAAAATGGGAGGCCAAGGGTTAAGACTTCTCCAGGGAATCAAATGTTTTCCAACTTATCTCTTATTCTCACATGGGGACATATTAGTCACAAAGGCCATGCCAGCCTCATTGGCCCTGACAATCACATGCCAGAGAGATGGCCAGGGGAGCCAGTTCAGCACTGAGAACAAGTTGGGGGCTTTTGTGAAGAACGCTGCAAGTGCAGATGACTCACCCAGGTCTGTGACTCAGTGTTGCTGGAAGCCTTAGAAAACGGTAGAACTTCCCAGCTAGGCGTGGTGGCTCACGCCTGTAATCTCAGCACTTTGGGAGGCCAAGGCAGGCAGATCATGAGGTCAGGAGATTGAGACCATCCTGGCCAACATGGTGAAACCTCATCTCTACTAAAAATACAAAAATTAGCAGGGCATGGTGGTGCGTGCCTGTAGTCCCAGCTACTTGGGAGGCTGAGGCAGGAGAATCGCTTGAACCCGGGAGTCGGAGGTTGCAGTGAGTCGAGATTGCGCCCCTGCACTCCAGCCTGGTGACAGAGCGAGACTCTGTCAAAAAAAAAAAAAAAAAAAAAGAGAGAAAAAGAGAAGGAACTCCCCAGGCTTCCAGTTGGTATTTCCAGATCAAAGGTCAAGGTCATCACCAGGAAGACTAGCTGGAAAGTATGCTTTCAGCCCCAGATTAGTTCAAACACAAGGGGAAGGGATAACTTCTGCACTGGCCACTCCACAAGGGACGACACTCACTGGCTGCAGCATCTGCTTCTACACTCTCCACCACTGAATCAAGAGGAACCAGAGTGTACCCCAGGAATTCATCACAACGCTGCTCACCTTCAGCAGCTGTGAAGGAGTAACTGAATTCTGAAGACAGTGAGGAAGTTTCTCTTCCCTTTCCTTTTTATGTGAAGACATTTGTGTGTGTGTGTGTGTGTGTGTGTGTGTGTGTGTTTTGAGAAAACAATGTTTTAGCATACCCTCCTCTTTCTAAGTTTACAAATAACAGTCCACATTGTCTAAAAAGAATTTTTGAAAGGTCCATTTTCCCAACAGTTTTACCCTGTTGGCCCCATAGAAGCTAATGAGTTGAGAGGCCCCAAGGGGCCTGGACCCCCTTGGTCATCATCAGCTTCTGCCTCTGGAGGGCCTACTTGGGCCTGACCTTGCACATTCTCTGCACAGATGCCCCAGGGGACATCTGGACCAAAGCGCCCTTGATGGCCACCGGGGGGCTGCCATCCAGGAGCAAGGCCTAGAGCCCCGAAGCCCCTAGAACCTTTGGTTGGATGTTTTAAAGATGTTGCAGTTTTTAATGTCACTTTAAATTCCTAATATAGAACATGTCTCTGGGGCCACTGTTCA
Organism: Homo sapiens; assembly: GCF_000001405.40. Taxonomy (NCBI): domain Eukaryota; kingdom Metazoa; phylum Chordata; class Mammalia; order Primates; family Hominidae; genus Homo; species Homo sapiens. The sequence goes on along the minus strand of NC_000005.10, from coordinate 77,366,743 downwards.
GACAATTCCCTCTGAGGGACAACATTCATCAGAAGATGAAAGAACATACATAGGCCCCGCTCTGGCCTCATGGAGCTGCTGCAGGCCAGGCAGACCCCCACACACCCACGAGGCTGTATTTCCACAGCAGTGAGTTCCCCAAGCATAGGCGCCAAGGTTCTTAGGCACAGAGGAAGAGCCCCTGACAGCAGTGGAGCAGTGGTGATCTGCCCTCTAATGCAAAAAGCTGCCCCTGCCTGAGCCTGGACCACTTGGCACAGCTGACCGACCCCAGGGCCTACTCAACAACCGCTGTCTCTGGACTCTCACCCCATGGTGATACACTGGCACATGCTTTGGATCTTACCCCTCAACTGCTTACCCAGAACACTGTGCTTCTGTGGCTAAAGGGGGCAGCCGTTTGCTGCATCTCCTGAGAGCCCAGTAGTGACAGGCAGAGAAACAAGACTTGGAGTTTTGGTGGTGCAGCGTCGCAGGGACGATGATCTATTGAAGATTTTTTTTAAAAAAAACCAAAGTTCTCATAGCCTAAAGGATGTTGGGTGAATTTTTCTAATTTCAATTAAAGCAGGAAACTGTATAAATCCCACTCACACTATTACTTCCCCTATCAAATCTCAAACCATAAAACATTAATGTGCAAGAGACATGAAAAAAACAAAAACAAAAAACAAAAAAACCCAAAAACCTGTCAGCTGAATCAGATAATGGGGCTTGGGGTGTAGACTGTGGAATGAATTTTTGTTGTATTTGTCCCCAAATCTCACTGTAATCAGGAAGTAAAGTGCCTTCAGGTCAGGCCCTGCAGATAGAGGAGCTTCGGTGCCTGAAGCCAGTTCCAGGAAGAGGGCTGACTGCCCAGCACATCATCTACCCCTACGGAAGCACCTCCTGTGCACCAGGCTTCATGCTAAGTGCTGGAAACATGGCTGACAAGACAGGCAGAGCCACATCATCACAGTGCTCTCTGAGTCCAGAGAGGAGAGCAGCTTTGCCCAGGTCAGACTTCTCTTGGGCCACTGGCTGCTCTGGAAGCCCAAGCTATGCTCCAAGCTCCCTGGCCCTGACAAAGCCTGAGGAAGGGCACACACAGGCCCCTGTCTCTCAGAAACCACTGCTGCTACCCAAACACCATGGCTTCTCTCTGCCTGGATGCAAGTATTTATTCAATAGATATTTTCTGTGTGCCAGGACCTAGGAGACAGATATAAGATGATGACGATGAAGGCATGGTCCCTACCCCTGGCAGTTCCACAGTGGCCTGGTCTTCCTTGTGAGAATTATACAAAGGCCATCCTTCTATCAGCCTGCCCTAACAGGAGTTTTTGGTCAAATCAGTCTTGTCCCCCTCCAAGACATCCAGCAGGAAAGCTCCCTAGCCTAATATAACATGATCGCGCCAGATCTAATTCACTCAGAAATTTGGTGGTTCTCACCCTCAGCAGTACATCAGAATCCCCTGGGGCGCTCTCAGAAATCCTCATGCCCAGACTGCACCCCAGACCCAATCTATCAGAGCCTCTGTTTTTGTTGTTGTTGTTTTCTTTGATAATTCTCCAGGTGATTCCAATGTGCAGCCAAGGTTGGGAGCCACTATGTTAGCCCTTCCACACTCCTCCTCATCGAACACAGGTGCTGAAGGAGCTGCTGTTCCCTAGCACCAGTGGGTAGATGTGAACGTTCCTCCTGTAGGGATTTCCGCCATCAGACAGGTCCAGTGTTCCCTATGGATTACAACTGGCTTCTTATGAATCTGCCTTTTGTTTCCTTTGTAACTTGTGGGCCAAAGCTCTGCGAATAGACTTAAACTCTTTTCAACAGTTCCAGTGATCTGAAACCTTCTCACAAACCTCTACTAGACCCAAAGCAGCTTGAGAGCAGGCTCCCCCGTGCTTTCTCTTCATCGTGCCATAGTTCAGGGTTGTGTTTGCTATGAAAGTGCTCAAAAGGCACTTGCAGAACTAATGGCACCCACTGAGACCTGGCCCTTTTCTTCCTCCCCAGACCCTCGAGTACATACGTTGCAGCTGTTCAGCCTCCCATCCTGCAGCCATCTTGTTTGACTAACAAATAATGAGGAAAAGTTGAAGCCACTCCTTACATGGTGATTCTGGGTTTAGGTGCAGCTGGTCAGGATGAGTAAATGCATACTTTCTTCAGTTTCCTGGAGCTGGGCTCTGAAATCTCACCCAGGAAACCTAGCCTTCAGCAAACCAGGGTGAGAAGCGGAAGGAAGAACACTTCAAATTCTTCCTCCTCCTCACTTCTTTTTCAAGCAATGGCACTAGAGGAAACCATACCTCTTGGAATTTTGTTCTTAGAAATTATTTAAATGAGGCACCACAGAAGCGAAGATCCAGACGCTTGAGTCTAATCTTATGTGATGAACACTGCTTTGACCATGTTAGAAATAAAGGGTCCTATAGACAAAGAAGCAGGTGGTACAATGGCTGGGTTTTAGGTGCAGTTGGCTGCATACCTCCAAAGTGTGGTAGAAAGCTGAACTGAAATGCTGCAGTCAGAGCTGACATTTACTACTCCATTTACATTACTGCATGCCCAACCTTGCCCACTCCTGGACGAGGTGCTCTCATGGCCTTCAAGGAGCTACGCAGGTCTGGGCCTCCAGTTTTCCATAAAAGAGACCCAGGATTCTCCGTACAGATGCAGTTAGCTACCTCACTCTCTTAGCTTTTCACTCCAAGCTGCCCACCTGCCACTCCCTTCCATGGCACATCACGTAAACAGGCCCATCCACATGACATGATCTACTTCAGCCCAAACACCCACTGGGGTGGCTGTGGACCCTGAAGCACCTGGAGGTAGGGTATGGACTGTGGAGGAAGCCAGGCCAAGCCAGGTGGGCAGCTGAGCATCTGGGCACCAACTGTACCCTCAGCTCAAGCTCCCCTACTCTACACATTGAGGGGACCAGCCATGCTTGATTATCTCCTCTCCTGCCTTTCGTTGCCTTTTCACTTTTGCAGAGGATCTCTCCCTACAATGACATATTCTTTTTTTTTTTTTTTTCTGCGATGGAGTCTTGCTCTGTCACCCAGGCTGGAGTGTAATGGTGGGATCTCGGCTCACGGCAACCTCCGCCTCCTGGATTCAAGTGAGTCTCCTGCCTCAGCCTTCTGAGAAGCTGGGATTACAGGCACCCGCCACCATGCCCAGCTACTTTTTGTATTTTTAGTAGAGATGGGTTTTCACCATGTTGGCCAGACTGGTCTCGAACTCCTGACCTCGTGATCCGCCCACCTCGGCCTCCCAAAGTGCTGGGATTACAGACATAAGCCACCGCACCAGGCCTACAATGACATATTCTATCCACTGCTCAAACCCACGTCAGTCAACACCTCCTCTATGAAGTCATCCCCTCACTTCCCAAGCAAGGGAAACCTTTCTCTTATGAATTCTCCGAAGATACACTTGTGCTTCCTTTATTTCCATATTGCTAACTACTTTAGGGTTAGAATCCTGGTTCTGCCACACGCATCCCATGTGAAGCCTGGACAGGCTTCTTGACCACTTCAAGCCTCAGTTTCCTCATCTGTAGAAAGGGGAGCCTAGTATCTCCCTCCTGGAGTTGTGGTAAGGATTGCAGGAGTTAATGTATGAAATGCACTTGGAGAGTAACAGATACAAAGTGTCAACACGAAAGACATCTTACTTGGATTACTAAAACATAGGCTCTTCCATGAGCTCCACTGATCAAATCTTTACTAAGTGCATTCAGCAGCATCAGTGGGAGATGGGGACACAGCGACCAAGACATGATGCTGCCCTGGAGGGTCTGGTCAGGCTGAGCAGTGATAGTGTGGTCAGTGCCAAATCCACTCCACAGCGGGGAGGAGGAGAGAGGTGGCCGGGGGCAGTCACAGAGGGGGCTCCTGACCTGGCTCAGGGGACCAAGATTTTTCCAGGAGGACAGGAGGAAGGAAGAGCATGCTAGACAGAGGGAGTGACACACAGAGGCATGGCCAAGCCTGGCATGTCCAGAGAACTACAAACAGCCTAGTGTGACTTGGGAAGGTGGCAGGGAAAGCGGGGCAGGAAGTCAGGAGCGTGCTCCTCAAAGATGCCTGATGATGGTTTAGTCAGTGATGAGGAACCACCACTGAGCCCTTCACAATGAGGACTGGGGACCAGATAGGATAGTAGTCAACAGTATGCTGCTAAGAGTTTAACCACCAGCTTGCTGAAAAAGCAAAGATAGCCGAACATAAGTTTATTATACATTTTACTGATATAAAGCGGAGGTCAGGAAATTACGGTCCAGGCCATAATTTAGCATATGGCCACATAGCACATTACTATAGCTTACCATCATGTATGCTCTTGACATTACTAACACGATAGTGAACTATAGTAATGTGCTTGGGAAGGGATGGGCTGTTCTTATTATTTCTTAAACATAGCATTTGTTTAATTGCATGTTTATGTAATTTAATTTTTAATAATGGCTGGTTTAACAACTGAATCACAAAATTCCAGAAAATCAAACAATCAGTTTTCGCAAGTCAGTATGTACTGGCCACCTGTTTCTGTAAATACAATTTCATTAGAACATAGCCTTGCCCATCATTTATATATCATCTATTGCTGCTTTCCCATTACAATGGCAGAGTTGAGTTAAGCAGTTTGACAGAGACCATAAGGCCTAATGTTTACTATCTGGCCCTTTAAGAAATAAATTTCCCAATCCCTAATACAAAGAATGTATAACACACAATTTCAAAACAATATTCAAATATAAGGCACTCTTGGTTGTAGAGTCTATATAGCCAATGGATTCCCACAAAATGCTTTTGCTGGTTTTTTTGACCTCTTGTATCAGCAGCCAATTTATGGTTACAGTTAATGAATGAGTGGAGTCTTGGCATAAATGTTAGTTGATATTTTCACTTACATCAAAAAGTAAGATGAGGGCCAGGCACAGTGGCTCAAGCCTGTAATCCCAGCACTTTAGGAGGCCGAGGCGGGTGGATCACAAGGTCAGGAGATCGAGACCATCCTGGCCAACATAGTGAAACCCTATCTCTACTAAAAATACAAAAAATTAGCTGGGTGAGGTAGCGGGCGCCTGTAGTCCCAGCTACTTGGGAGGCTGAGGCGGGAGAATGGCGTGAACCTGGGAGGCGGAGCTTGCAGTGAGCCGAGATCGCGCCACTGCACTCTAGCCTGGGCAATAGAGCGAGACTCCATGTCAAAAAAAAAAAAAAAAGTAAGATGAAAGACAAATAACAAAGGTGTACATAGAAATTTCACTCATTTGTCAGTGATGTGAGGAACTTCTTTGTTGAATCAAATAATAGTTTGTAAATACTGGGGGAATCATTCTTGATATTTTTGGGTTATTCACAATGAAACTACTATAGACATGATACACATTTAAGTTTATCTTGTATTATTAACATTTTCTTCATCATTTTTTTAAGTCTAGAAAAATCAATTAAAAAAAGGTCCTGATTTGTAGAGTTTGCCAATTTTCTTGATCTAAAAATACTCCCTTCATGGCTGTTTAAAGCTGCCAGAATGATGTCACTGAATGTGGAGTTGGGAAGATGTGTGCAGGGCACAGCTTTATCTGGCATTTCCATAATACAGATAAAACAGACGTACAAATGTCAAGAGCACACATGATAGTAAAATATAGTTATGTGCTTGGGAAGGGATGGAATGTAAGTACTTATTACTTCTTACAAATAAAATTTGCTTAAATGCATGCTTATATAATTTAATTTTTAATAATGGCTGGTTTAACACTAAATCACAAAATACCAGAAAATTAAACAATCAGTTCTCACAAGTCAGTATGAACTGGCTCCAGCACACATTACAAGGAGGCAGAGGGAGTGGTCATGAGGCTCTGTAGGATGAGAGGTCATAATGGCTTAAAGGAAGTGGTGGTGGGTTGGGAAGTGGGCATGGAGTCAAGAGTTGTTTCAAAGACATCACCTTTGGAACTAAGTGGCTTCTAGGATGCAGGGGGCTCAGGAAAGCAAGGATGCTAAAGGTGGTTCCCAGGTTAGGATGGGGGTGACTGGGTAAATGGGGGTCTCATTAGCCAAGCCAGGGATTCTATTCTAGCAAGAGCAGATGCAAGGAGTGACTTCAGTCTCATCCATCCTGTATCTTCCACTGGGCCAAGTGCCAGCAGGCATGCATGCTCACTGAATGGATGATTTAGGTTGAGCAAAATGCCAGAAACTGATTCCTTCATGTGAGGTGAATAATTCCTTCTGAAAAGTCAGCCACCAACTGTTGCTTTGGAAAAAGAAAATTTTCCATAGAGTGCTAACACCCATAAGTGGCCTAAAAATTGGTATATTAAGTAAAACTTTAACAGAAGTCAGGCCTAAGGTACTGTAAGTCTCTTGGGCTTAATTAGTACAAGCCTCCGGAGTGAGCAGAATCTTGTAATAGTCTGAATGACACAAGTCATGTAGAAGTGCAACCTTTGGAATTTTAAACTTATCGGGAAAAAACCCTCCTCCCAAACGCCAACATAATACTCCTCTTTAAATCCTAGTGGTCTTCAATGCATTAGAGATGAATAGATAACATTAATTTTTAAGAAATAGCTCAGCTATGTCTGTTCATTATCCATTACCAAACCTATCTTACTTTTCTTTCTTTTTTTTTTTTTTGCGATGAAGTCTCGCTGTGTCACCCAGGCTGGAGTGCAGCGGCATGATCTTGGCTTGCTACAACCTCCACCTCCTGGATTTAAGCAATTCTCCTGCCTCAGCCTCCCAAGTAGCTGGGATTACAGGTGCACCACGCCTGGCTAATTTTTGTATTTTTCGTAGAGACGGGGTTTCACCATGTTGGTCAGGCTGGTCTCAAACTCCTGACCTCGTGATCTGCCTGCCTTGGCCTCCCTAAGTGCTGGGATTATAGGCGTGAACCACTGCGCCCGGCAGTCTATCTTACTTTTCTTAAGTCAAATTATTTTTTCTCTATGTTTAGGCCTCCAGGACTGAGGCTCAGCTAAGGGTGAGGTGGGGTGGTGGGGGTCCCTGCTGAAGCTGGTTATTACTGGTGAGCAGGCATTACTGGTCTCACACAAGGAGACACTTTATTTCCAGCTCAGACCTATAGCTTCTTTCCCTCTGATTTTCCCATTCTCCACCTCCCACTTATCCCCACCATAGGGATACCTTATAAACAAACATCCATTGCCTTATAAACATCCTCGATGTAGCAGAAAGGATAGAATGAGAGAACAGACGGGTCAAAAAACCCCATCCGTGCAGGGCAGACACCCCCCAGCCTGCTGTCCTGCGGGCCATGAGGGTAAGCTTCTCTGCCAGGGCAAAGGGCACCTGTGTCTACCTGAAACTAGGCAGCCTCCTCTCACATCATGCTCAGGGTAGGTGCACATGCCCAGAATGTTATCGGTTTACCCTTTCCCTCGCAAGCCAAGAGAGCCCCCTCTCAGCTTCAGATGCTCTGGAACTTCACAGAGCCTGGCATGATCACCTCCAGCAGCCACCATCACCACCAAGCGTGAAGTTGTCTCTCCCTCCTCTAAGTCAAGACTTCTCAAACACAGAATCCTACCCCTGGATTCTCAGTACCCCCACCCCTGTCCCCTCCTCCCGGCTGCAAGCCCCTGCTTATCTTGTGCCCTCAGAGCCTCCCACAGTCCCTGATGTGTAGCAGGTATTCCATTCATGTCTGCTCGGGGGTTGGCTGTTCCAAACGTGGTTTCTCAGGAAAAAAAAATGTGGTTTCGCAATATCAGAGGCCTTTCTTTAAATAGATTCTTGTAAATACGTACTAAAGCTAAATGGAAAAATTTGGATAATTTTGTTTACCTTGTGGCTTTACCAAATATGTCAATAAATATTTTGGGGCACACAAATAAGGTGCACGTGTACAAAGTCTGTATCATAGTAATATTCCAATTACATAAAATACATTTCTGTGACTAGCTGCTTTTAGAGATAACTGCAGTCATGTTTTCAGTTGCAGTAGCCTTTTTCTCCAATTTTTAAAAAAAGAAGTCACACTTGGATGTGTGCCTTGGAAGAGTACAGAAACTATTCTTTGTAACACCATGTGAGACATATATTGGCTACATATAGATCAACTCTACATGGAATAAGAATTCGGGATAAGACAGAAGTTGCATCTTTAATTTCCTATGCCATCCAAAGGTTATTGTGTTAAGGAGTAAAAACTAGTTTTCAAAATAATTTCCTGATGTCTATGGGGCATACATAGGAGGAAGTACGAAGAGGCATAACCCACAGTCCCCGCCCTAAGGCGAGAACTCACCCAAAGCAGCATAAGATTAATGATCCAATGGGTGGTGCAGACAAAAAGTGTCCCTGCTCCCTCTTTGCAGGGTAGAGACATGGGCTGGAAGGTTTGGAAGATTTCCTGGGGGGAAGAGAAGCTGAGTTGAGTCCTAAAGGACAGGGAAGCAACAAAAGGTCCACACTATTTAAAAGCATGTAAAAGAGCCAAGTACTGGGAATTTAGGACAAATTGAAATTTTGTTTTTATCACTACTTAGCAATGAACAGAACCCCCACCACCCTCTTCTCTCAGTTCTGCTGAGAATGCCATGAGATATTAGACTCTGTTAGTGCTAAGGATCATGGTTTGCCAGAAGCTGGAGGAGAAGGCCCCAAATCATGAGAAGGCCCATCGGCCACACCACCCCTAGAAAGGTAAGGGATGAGAGAAACAGAAATGGGCAAATGTGGGGAGAGTAAAGGCATGGGGGCAGTGAAGGCCAAGGACACACCCAAGAGAAGGCTGGCCTGGCGGTGGGAACCAGAATGGGCCACCAAGGGTTGCAGGCAGCAGAAACCCATTGAGAGGATGGTCCATGAAGGTGTAAGGACTGGATGGGAAAATCTGTGGACTGTCTGGAGGCCTACAGAAGGTGACTGAAGGTAGAGTGTGGATAAAAGAGAGAAGGCAAAAGAGGGAGGAAGAAAAGAAAGATGGCGTCAGCCTGCCTCTTTCCTGTAGTACTGGGCACAAGCAACTACAGAGTCCTTGAGTCCTTGGGTCCTTGTGGGTTCAGGGGGCTGTGAGCACAGTCCTACGAGGCAAAAAAGAAATCGACCAACGGTGCTTGGTGGAGCAGCCTGTTGGTCACACTCAGACCGCACACATCTCAGACAAGGCCCATGATCCAGGACCTGCTGGGTTTGGAGAGAAGCTCCTAGATCCTGGTGAGAACTGTGGGGCAGTCTCCTCTGTGACATGCTGGTGAAGCCAGGCTGTGCCAGGAAAAAAAATCTTACTAGCTGTCAACTGGTAGCTTTGCTCTGTTCCCACAAAAGGGCAGGAGGTCATTTTAATTAGGGGAGGCTGACCATCTCCTTTAACCCATGGTTGGGAAACCCATCTCAACCCATGGCTAAAGGGTTTCTAAGCATGTGTGGTCTCTTTGAGAATAAGCCATCCCCACTTTGCTGCCCAGACAAGCAGGGATGATGACTGTGCCTAACTGTCCACTGGCCCTCACTGGCTCCCATGCATCCCACTTCTGCTTAGTTTTCTGAGGGCTGTGGTGTCCCCTTGCCTGAGTACACTCAGTAGGACATGGTACTCCCCACTGTCCACCAAGCTCTAGAAAGTGAGACCTAACTTTCTGCAGCAGTTTGAGAATGATTGAAAGGGGCCCTGCATCTCCCCGCAAAGACATTCTCTATAGGTTTGCTTAAGCACCCATCAGAATGTCCTCTAGTGAGGGTAAAAGCCTCCTAGGGGCCTGGGAAACTGGTTACAGTATCTTTTCCTGGAGGCTCAGTGAGTCTGGAGCTGACTCATTGCTAGAAACGAGAGGAAGTCTGTAGCTCATTAGCATCCCGTCACCTGCAAAAGGGCAAGTGAGGTGAATCTGTGATAGGATTTGGCAGGGTAGGGAAAGTCCAGACCAGGTCTGTCCAATAAAAATATTGTGTGAGCCACACATGCAAACCACATGTGTAATTTAAAACTTCTAGTAGCCACATTAAAAATGTAACAAGAATAAGAGCTGATGGCTGGGTGTGTTGGCTCACACCTGTAATCCCAGCACTTCGGGAGGCTGAGGCAGGTGGATCACCTGAGGTCAGGAGTTCAAGACCAGCCTGGCCAACATGGTGAAACCCTATCTCCACAAAAAATACAAAAATTAGCCAGGCACTGTGGCGCAAACCTATAATCCCAGTTACTTGGGAGGCTGAGGCAGGAGAATCACTTGAACCCAGGAGGCGGAGGTTGCAGTGAGCTGAGATCGTGCCACTGCATTCCAGCCTGGGCAACAGAGTGAGACTCTGTCTCAAACAAAACAAAACAAAACAAGACACAAGAGCAGATATAATGTCAGGGCCCTAACTGCCTCCTTTTTTCCCTATGCAATATGACTCTTGGACCATGGTTGCAGATCCTTGAAATTCTGAAGTCTGAGCCATGAATTTGCATTTGGATTTTGTCCTTGTGAAAAGGAAAAAGCCTCAGGGGACCTAGGTTCTCGTGTCCGCACCAGTATGCAGGGGCTGAGATAGGCTTTGAGACAGGACGCAGAGGCTAGCACGAAGGCAAAAGGTGCCCAAAGAAGTGTATGAAGGGGAGAAGGGGTACTTCTGGGAGGTCAGGGCAGACTGTTGCTGGCCTAAGAAAATGGAACATCCAAGAAAGAAAATTATCTTCAAGAAATGAAGTCAGCAACCTTTTTCTGTGCAGGACCAGAGGGTAAATATTTAAGCTCTGCAGGCCACATGGCCTCAGCTCTGCCACCACAGTATGAAAGCAGCCAGAGGTGCAACACACTAGAGAGTGTGGCTGTGTTCCAATAAAACTTTATTTACAGAACAGGCCATATTTGGCCTGCAGGCTCTAGTTTCTTGGCCCCTATTTTACACAATAGCTAAAAATCCCAGACAGCCTCCTTAGGTCCTGGGTTTTGAGCTCCTCCAGTGCTTGATTCACATTTCCTCTGTGCTGCATTCTATTTATTCTGTTTACCTGTCTGTGGCCTCCCTGACATTGGGGGCAGATGCATTGTGTCCCTGGTGCCAGCACAGAACAGGTGTTTAACACATATTTGGGGAGAAAGTGTGTGTGCAGAGGAGAGGAAGACAACAGACAAACCTCACTGAGCATTTCCAGCCTCTTGGCAAAAAGCTACAGGGCTCATACAGGAAAAGGGATCTTTGCTGACGGCAAGCCTTACCAGGAGAGAGCAGCCTGGCTTACCACGTCACACCTTGTTAAAATGCAAACCCATGGGCCGATTTTGACATCAGGGCTAAACCCCAGAAAACCACACCACCGGAACCGCCTGCAGACAGGTGCCCTCCCCAGCACAGATCCCATTGCCATTCGCTGCAGCCTCCTTCGATGAAGAGGAAAAACACTGTAGTTAGCCAGAGGTATAAAAATGCTTTGTTATTAGAAAATCTAAATGTCTCTCCAGGCCTGTGCAGTACCATTAGGTGACGTCAATGGCTCAGGGTATCCGAGCTCTGCATTTCCTCTTTTCTAGGAGCAGCAGCTAATTCATGGTAGTAAAGGCGTTTCTACTTAGAGCCTCAGAAAAAAAGCAGGTGGCCCCCCACCCCTGTATCCTAAAGTCCTGTGCTAAGGGCTTGCCTGCTCTCCCTGTGAGGCAGGAGGGCTTTACAGCTGGCAGGAGGCCAGGACTGAGACATTCAGTTTCATTAACGCTAGCCACCAGCTTGAGGGCCTACTACATGCCAGGCAGTGTGGGCACACAAGGACAGCACAGACCAGTGGCCCTGCTAGAGGGGAGAGGGCAGTTTAGCACGCAAATAGCTGTGAAGATGATGGCGGTGGTTGGTGGGTGATACAAAGCAAAGAGGGTACCTCAGGGGCCTTCAGAAAGAAGGTGATACTTAATGTTTCTTGCACTGGGTCATGAAGGACTGGTAGGACTTGGGCACATGGAGTTGCAGGGAGACTGGTGACAGGGAGAGTAGGGGTCCCTGTCATTAAGTGAGAAAGAAGGTAAGGAAGAGGAGCAAGGCTGAGTTGGTGGGGGAAAGGCATGAACTGGACATGAACTGTGCTTGGTCAATTTCTGGCATGAGAATGAATGAACCCCAGTGGACCTGTGTCCTCTACTGTGGATCCACAGCCAAGAAATGTTGGTCTGCACTGCTTGTGTTCAGAAGTTTGTCTCGAAAGAGACACCAGGTGTCCTGTCCCTCTCTTTCTGCCTGCGTCAGCTCTTATGAAGAACTCATTCTTTCTCCTGGTATGTAGCAAAATGTCTGTTGGAACCCTTTTTTTTCCCTATGAAAGGCCATTCTTTCCTTTACCAGAGGTCTCCAAGGACTTGCCTCTTGCATGACTTCATGGTATTATGTGAAAACATCCTGATTTCAGATGAGATTCTCAGTGCTGGAGGAAGGACTTTATCTCCAACTATATCTTATAAAGGAGCACATGGACGTGGACCCCTTTGATATCCTGAGACAACCGACTGAAGACCCTCACGGGCTCACTGGGCTCACCCCACTGTCTACTCACGTCCTGCTGGTTCCAGTTGATCTCCAGGCCTGGCTGGGCTTCACCTTCTCATCCAGCACTTCACACATCTCTGCCATCCTCTACTAAAATGGATTATGCCACAGAAGCCCTTGAAATCCTTTAGAGATACTGTCCCTCTTTAAAATCCTCATAAAAATCAAAGACCACATGTTGTAAGTTTTCAAAAATAGATCACTGATAATTATGTTTGTTGTATAATTGTTAATCTACAAATTACAATGCATGAAGTGAAAATACACATAATCCAGTAGTAAAAGTACTAATCAAATAGAAAAAATACCTACACCAATGTTGCCCTCCATTACAAAATTACCTTAAAAAGTTCTTAAATAAAGTGGCTTCTTAAAATTCTGTTACTGCAGATGATAACATCCAGATGTATTCTTCTGTATGATGTAAGGGTAAGAAAAAATTGCAGTACTAATTTGGAATGATTCTTGTTTTTGATATGAATTTGTAGGGGTGCAATGCTCAAATGGATATATACTTTCCAACTGATTAAGAAATTAAGATAAAAATAGAACATTTTTTATTTGGAGGAAAAATTTTATGCCTTCATATATTAGTCTAGAGAGTTCCTCAGCCACAAGCTAAATCATAACCGATGTGCACTACAAATAAAGTGATATAGGTTTGCTGGGAAATAAAAAGATTTGTCAGAGGAACCAAATTTTCCCATAAATCTGCTTAATTGGCAGCTACAATTAGACATGGAGAAAGACAAGCAGAGAACAGTGGTGAGATAAGCAGAGAACAGAGGTGACGCATGGCCAAACAGACAGAGCAAACGAAGTGAGCTAATACCATACCTGCTTATTATTGTCAGTGGTACAACACAGTTTCTTGAGCGAGACAAAATGCCTAATTTTCCTAATAACAAATAATCAGTTATTAGTGAGTCAGATATGAGATGATTCAACAAATCAGCAAATAAAAATGTCAACAGACTTCTTAAAGCTAAACTCCAGGGTTCGTCCTAGGGCAGTTTTAAAATTCAAGCAAGACTCAATCTACAGAAAACACAGTTTTCACACAGAGCCCACACATGCCTTTGGAAACTGGGCCTCCTTTATACATCCTAGAGGGCTCAGAAACACTTCCCTAATGGGTATGTTATTTTGTAACTGACTCCTAAAGTTTGGTTCCTAGATATCTTCAGTTGATAGGATAAAATGCTGCTACAAATAAATTAGTTTTAATTCTGCTGATACTAATAATTGCATAGCTACAAAAGATTCATTTGGACAATGACCACATTTCATGGCTGCTGTTTTTATATTAAATATCCCATATTCTTTCACACTATAATTGTCATAATAATGGCACTTCTCAGGCAGATAAAAATCCTCTCATTTCAACGTCATGGACTGGGTCCTGAAACTCAGTGGGCAGCCTCACTCTTTATCACTGTCACAAGGAAAACCGGGCAAAAGATGACAGGTGCCTCAGCCCCATGCAAAAATCAGCTCACAGTCAATATTTTACTGAGAGTAAAACCATGAAATCCAGAGAGTTACATTAGGTTTTTTGCCCCCAGAAGCCCGTGGGGTATCCCACTCTCTCTCTCTCTTTACCTGGTTCACTTTTCTCTGTAGGCCTCTGAAAAGAGGATATAAAATACTGGTTACTCTGTAATAAACTTCACCCAACTAGGAAGAGGTAAAATTTCCCTACTTTTAATAAGAATTGCCTCTGATAGCTCACTGCCTACAATTACAGGGAAAATAACACTGGAAATTGTGTCTGGACAAAAGAACTTCTTTTTCTTATCTGTAAAATCAGAGAGACCAGAAAAGTGTATTCTGTTGGAAATTACCAGGCAATAGCATGTCTCCTCTGCTTTGGTTGCCTAATGATTCTGGTCACACACACAGAAAGGGATTCTTAGCTTTGATTTTCTGAGGAGATGGTATAAGGATGAGGATAAAAACAATGTGACAGTCACGGGCATCATCTCCACCCCACAGTTCTCAGCACTGCCTGTGGGTGAGAATGGCCACGCTGAGGCCAGGCTGCTCAGGAGGAGGGCCGAGGGGCAGCCTCTCTCCAGCTCACAACCTCGGTCAGGGGCCTGTCAGTGCCCCCATCATCCAGAGTGAAGCAAAAAGGGAGCTTCAAATTACAAAATGGCATGAAATACCAGGTGGTATTGACGGGACGTAGCCTGAATTGATGGGAGAGCAATTTTGAAACTAACCAAAATTGGAGGGGAAACAAGCTATTACAAATACCTGGCTGATTTTATGAAACATCTCGTTTTCTATTCATACAACAATTTGCAAGGAACTCAGGTAGTCCTAAGAGTCACAGGTGGGGCTCCTGTTCCAGTTCCTGGCAGGATGACTGTGGCCTCATCTTTTTCTGACATGTCACACAACGTTGTGTTCCTTATACACCCAAGCTATGAACCTGGTGTTGACCTTCAGGCTGGCTCCCCACGGCTCACCATGATGTATGGTTAGGGGGTCCTGTTTGGCTTTGTAAATCTCACAAAATTTAACTGGAGGAAGGAAGAGGAATTGCATATTTTTCTTATCTCTCCACAAAAGAGAGAAGCTTCTCTGGTAATCTGAGATTCAGTGGATTGAGATGCCCTCAGCTCCTGGTCAGACACACCTTTCTCTCCATAAACAGTGGGCCTCCAAGGAACAAGTCCAGAACCGGCCTGGAGGAACCAGCATGGAGCGAGGGCCTCAAGCAGGAGAAAAGGTTGGCTCCCTATGCACTGAGTGCAGAGGCCAGAGAGCACCAGCAGGAGATCATTGTTGTTATGGGGAAAGGGAAGCCCAGAAATCAAGCCCCTTTAGAGCACACTGGGAATGACAGAAGGCATAGGTGATCAGGTGGAGGTGGGAGGTTGGGGTGATGCTTCATAAAAGACATGGAAAACCATGTTTGGGGGTTGCTGCCGGCTGAGTGGAAGCACCCTCGATCTATACTACATTCAGCACAACCCTACTGCATTTGTGGATGTAAGGCTCATACTGGCATTTCAAGCCCAATGCCCATGAGGGCCTTGAGTCTTTATCTTCAGCTAAAAGAGTTGAACAGTTTGCTCTCACCCTCCTTGGCCAATCACTGGGGTGATCTTCACGTGCTGTTGGATGCTGTCCCCGGATTTCCGTCTGGCATAGTAAACCCCCTGCCACTCCTACATGGACAAAGAGAGCTCTTAAAATCCTTCAGTCAAGGATGACAGCTGCTCCTGCAGAGGGTCTCAGAAGGCTGAGAAGGAACATTCCCAC
The DNA here is from genome assembly GCF_000001405.40 of Homo sapiens. Taxonomy (NCBI): domain Eukaryota; kingdom Metazoa; phylum Chordata; class Mammalia; order Primates; family Hominidae; genus Homo; species Homo sapiens. Next base: position 77,350,970 of record NC_000005.10, on the reverse strand, counting down.
ATGCTCTCGTTACATTTCCCAATGCCTGCTGTATTGTTGTACCCAGTGCAATGCTGATGTGGCCACATGTGTGAAAACAAGACCACAGATCCACATATCCACCACCAGGTTGTCTGTCCCAGCTTCCAGGACACTTGACCTGTGGGTGGAATTCTGCTCTCAGCCCTATGGCTGCTGTGGCACCAGGTCAAGGGATTCTTTGGAGGTCTCTCTCAAAATCTTCACAGCAATCTGTGAACTTGGCATTATCATACTAAATTTACAGGTGGGTAAACTGAGGCTCAGAGAGTCTAGGTAACTTGCCCACATGAGGATGCAGAAAATCTGCGTATAAATTCATGTCTACTTAACACTCGCTGAAGCCCATCATCTTCCTAACATCCTACGGGCCCCCCAGCCAAGGCTTCTCGGGGGTTACTCTGGCTCCTCTTAGCTTCCGTGAAAGAGGCCAAGGGGAGAGTATTGGTTCCTGTTCTCTGAACATGGGAGGTTTGGCTAATCAGAAACTGAGATTCCGATTCCCTGCAGCCATTTCTTGTCCCCTCTATCACATAAGGTGGCTAATTGGTATGCACCTTGGTATGTGTGGCTATATTCTTTTGGCAACAATCTTTGGAATAGTTAACAATGTCTTGTTTCCTTTTTGGTCTCATTGCCTCAATTAAAAAAACATTTTGATCATCATCTATAATCCAAATTTATCTTATCCCTCTAAAATGTTCCCTCTATTAAATGGATACAGGGCTTATTTAACTACTTCACATCACAGAAAGGAAGATGAAAGAAATTGTATGTGAAGAAGCATTCTGAATGCTTAACAGAAAATGCACAGGCAGTTCCAGCGATGAGAGGCAGTGCTCTACAGGAGGAGAGGGCTTCAGGGAAAATTCCTCTCGGACTTCCATCATTACCTTCATCTACCCAGATGAAGGGGAAGCCACTGGAGGAACAGGTGCAGCTGGGAGGAGGAAGCTACAAATGTATGTTGAACAGCGATCAGAGAACAGAAAAGGAAAACTGGGAAAAAAACCTGGCCTACCTATAAATACTGGTATTAAATATGTCTAGTCTCCCAAACACTGGATAAACTGAAAAAACACAACAGCTCTCTGGGTGGAACTCTGCTCAGAGATACCCACGATATTCCAGCAATGGCAGATGGGACATATTCATGCACAGGATGAAATGTTTTCACACAAAATCACCAGATTCTGTACCATAATGATAAGCACCAGATTCACTTGAGTTCCAAAGTTAACTTAAAAACGAACTCATTTTGCAAACATAATAGATCTTTCACTTAATTATGACATTATTAAAAAAGCTAATCTTAAGGATGAAATTCTAAAACTCAGAAAAAAAAGTGCATTGGGGAGAGGGTTCGTGGATTGGTTTTGCTGGTGTAACCCACCTTTCCCTTCTTGATGCATGTATTGATGGTGTCGAGAAGGTCTGCCCGGTTCTTATCGCTTTTGGGCAGATCAGCGAGTTCTTTTCCCAGGAGCTCACCTTTGTGGTAGCCCATCATCCTTTCGAAGGCTGGGTTGACATACTGTTAATGGGAGGTTGGTACAGATCAGTGCGGGGACACAAGACAGAATTCATGAAATGTCTGTGTGCCCCGTAGGAAGACTTGTTGGGACCCAGAGGAATATCAAGCAAGAAGTTCCCAGGGCAAACATTCTCTAATGCAGTTAGCTGGCCAGGTCCTGCTGCCCCTTTCCATCCCCAAACCCTTCCTGGAGGAGTTCCCTCCTTCCTGGCAGCAATTTATTCATTCAACTGCCATCCTGATCCCCTGTAGGATATCAGAAGAAACTTCAGCAGGAAAAACACAGGAAGCCCTCATCTAGCAGTACCAGCCTCTTGGGGAACTCATTCACCATCTACCGCCCCATGAATAAGGAAAAACTCAGACAAAAAAAGAAATAAAAATAAATTAGGACTGGGTCCATATGTTTGTAGTTAAAAAAAGAAAGTTTCAGGCTGGGCACAGTGGCTCATGCCTGTAATTCAATTCCAGCCCTTTGGGAAGCTGAGGCAGGAGGATCAGTTGGGCCCAAGAGTTCAAGACCAGCCTGGAAAACACAGCTAGACTCCACCTCCACAAAAATAAAAAAATTAGCCAGTTGTTGTGGCACACACCTGTAGTCCCTGCTATTCAGGAGGCTGAGGCAGAAGGATCACTGGAGCCTGGGAGTTTCAGGCTGCAGTGAGCTATGATTGCACCGTTGCACTCCAGCCCAGGCAACACAGCAAGACCCTGTCTCTTATAAACAAACAAACGAACAAATAAGAACTCCATTCAACAGTGGCGGCTTGTATTATGCACATCTCCACAACTGGATTTCTCATGTCTCCTTTCCAATTGCCACTATCTATTGATCAATGTTTGCTACAGTTTGGGGACACTACCAGTAGAATCAGAACAATAAATTCAGTTAAATGGCTGGGGCAGGAGGCAGCCCTTTCAGTGCTGGGCTCAGGCAGGTGTGAAGCTCCCCTCGGCAGATTCTGGGGCCAGCAGACTCAGAGGTTTCTTTTCAAAATTCTGCCTGGGGTCCTGGAATTTAGAGCCATGACCCTAGATGACTCCCAGGTCCTGTCCCACCCTCTGATTTCTTTTCAAAGATCACAGATGGGGGCTGAGTGGAGAGAGACAAGCGGTGAAGAATGTCGGGAAAATGTAAACAGACTGCATCTGGGTCATGAATTTCTTTGGGCTTAAATTGCATCCATCTGCTGCTTCGGAGATGTTCGAACCAACTGTAATCACTCTTGCCCTCAACTGTGATGGCAGCAGTCATGAACAGGGTGGCACAGGGACACTTGGGGAGCTGTTCCTTGGGAGACACAGCTTCTATTAACACGATCAACCCTGAGAGTTGAAGGGGTTTGGAAGATGCTCTGGTCATCAGGCCTTTGGTGGGTGACTGAAGAGAAGGAGGCCTGATATTGTCTTCATGGATCTCCAGACCCCCTCCTGGCCCCATTACTGACATGTAGTACTCAGGGCCCTCCCTAGGCAGGGAAGGGCATCACTTACAGCGTAGCCCCTGCTCACAAAGCCAGCCTCATACCTCCCGGGGCCACCTCTGCAGGCTGCTGAGCTGTCTGCATGTCTCTCTCATCTCCGGGCCTTTCCCCACGTGCTCTCTCTGCTTATAATACCCTTCCCTGTCTCTTTCCCTCTCCAACTCCAATTTATCCCTCTTCTCTTCCAGGAAGCCTTCCCTGATTCCCCTACCTAGTCCACTCCCAAGAGCTGCCACTGATGCCTGTGCAGACTTTCAGTGACTTATTACACCGAATTTAAATTTTTGTTTATCTCTGTCTCTCCCAGTGGACATTCAACTCCTCAAGGGCAAAGGCTATTTTGAATTGATCTTTGGATACTCAGGACTGTTTATTAACTATTTGAGGAATGAATAGAAAATATTAGAGAATATATTATTTTCTTTATTTGTTAGCCATATTCTCATACCTTTTCATGTGTGTTCATTCTGCCTTCCCTATTAAGTTGTAAATTTGGGTAGAAGTCATGGCCCTTCTTTCACACCAGGGTTCCTGAAACCTCAGAATGCAGCAGGTACTCCCAGATATGGATTCTGGAGCCAAGGCACCCAAGTTCAAATCCTGGCTCTGCCAATTACCAGCTACAGAACCATGGACAAATTACTTAACTTCCCTGGTCCTCAGTTTCCTCATCTGCAAAATGAGTACAATAGTGATACCTGACTCACAGGATTGCTTTAAGAAATAAATGAGTATGTGTGAAATGCTTAGAACTGAGCCTAGTATATGGCAAGTAACAATTAAGTGTTTTAAAGCAAATACATATAGAGTTTAGATAGATGGGGGCATGGAGGAAGACAGGAAGGAAAGGAGGGAGGAATGGATGGGTGGATAGATAACAGATGGATAGACAGACACAGATAGGTAGATATTGCTTCTAAATTTTAAGTGCTGCTACTTGACCTCTGAAGATTTGTATTCAAAAAGGCATCTAACTATTTGATTGGAGTGCCCTGAAAAGGATGCTGATATCAAGTAAGAACATATATTAACTATCCCATCCAATGATGACATCCTCAAAATTTATAGCACATAGGTAATTTCACCATACATATAACATCCTCTATTCAGCTCCTTCCTCCTTCCTCTTGTTTTAAGTTCCATACTACAGATTGCTGATACATTTTTCTAAAGGAGGATGAAAAGGTTCCCTGAGAAAAAAGCTGTAAGGTCTTCTTTCAGAATCCAAGTTTCCCTTTAAAGGCAGTGACTCTCCTTCCACCTCTCCTTTACAGGCATCTGTTATACTGGCCTCATGCTCCTGCTTCTTCCTGTTCATCGCAAAGGCTGGGAGATGATTAATATCATAATGTGACACCATCACAATATTACCTCTCCCAAGGATACAGGTTTTCTAACCACCAATTGATAACTGGAGAATGAAAGACTCTGTTCCCTATTCTAGAAGTTGTTTGTTAGATTACAGGTGGAGGGGCGGCTAGTGGGCAGGGAGCCCCTTCTCCTCATTTCTGAAATCAAATCCAGCTGCACACTGCAAAACAGGGAGGTGCAAAGCAAATGTGCTTCATGAATAGAATCGATTGTCCAAGTCGGGGTATAAGTGGGGGAGATGTGGGATTTTTGTGCTTGGTCTGTAACAGAAACACGTCTGGCTCTCTCTGAGGTCCAAGAGGCAGACCTGTGGGCAGGTGGGCCACTAAGAGCCAGCATCATGAGGAAGCCTTCAGATACATTTCACGGGGCAGCCATAAAACATATTCTAACAATACAGCTAAACAGGAAACCAGGTAGGAAGGCTTTGGAGACATGACTACATATTTTAGTTCTGATACTTATTACTAAGGCTTTCCTTGGATAAGTTCCTTGGCCTTGTTGGGACTCAGTTTCCTCATCTGCACTATAGGGCAATGATGTCTCTTGCCTACCCTTATTGAATAGAAATGAGACAACCTAATGAAAGTGCTGATGACAGGGCCTAGGCAGGGTGGGCTATTGATGTCATTGGTCTGGTATGAGAACAAGGTGTGTATGTGTGCACTGGGAGATTTCAGGGCAGACAAATGTGAGGCTTCTGCTGTGGGCTTCGCTGTGTGTTGCCCACTGTCTTTGGTGCCCTACTGATAAGTGCTCCTCACACTCCATGCCACTCTGCAAACCAACAGCAGGCAGGCAAGCACCAATTCGTGGAAAGTCTATATTTCAGGGTATTTTACAAATACAGATGTCTTACTTTCCAACAATTATAATAAGAACACCTCATTTCTTGAAAGGTTTCTCTGCTACACACATTTCCTTAGGAGGATGACATTCATGTAAGAATGCTTTGTAATTAGGATACCCACTGCAGGTAAACAAATGAATGTCTTTGAAAATACTCTGTTCCCTAGACATTTATAAGCATTTGCTGTACCATTCTGACTTACTTCTATGTCAATAGTGTCTTCACAGATGGTCAAAAGAATTTACCCCGGTTCTAGCTGGGTGCAGTGACTCATACCTGTAATCCCAGCACTTTGGGAGGCCAAGGCAGGTGGATCACTTGAGGTCAGGAGTTTGAGACCAGCCTGGCCAACATGGTAAAACCCAATCTCTACTAAAAATATAAAAATTAGCTGAGTGTGGTGGCACATGCCTGTAATCCTCGCTACTTAGAGGCACAAGAATCACTTGAACCTGAGAGGCAGAAATTATACTGAGCCAAGATTACCTCTGTACTACAGCCTGGGCGACAGAGTGACAATCTGTCTCAAAAAAATAAAATTTTTTTAAACCCCATTTCTGTCAAAGAAATTGCAGGTTCTGATCTGAAGTAATAATTTTTTGTTCTTTATTGAATATCTAATTCTTAAGTCTATCAGTATTCTTTGCACAGCTTGATATTTATTTCTCCTAAGAAAATGTGCTGATACATGAGGATGATGGGAAAGTACTTGATAAAAAGTGTGGCTTAAACCTGAAAGGTTCATTTTGAATGTTAATGATAGAGGTGGTTTCTTTCCATACCTGAATCACGTGGTCATCGCTTGTTATTTCTATGGCTTCATGACAGTGATCTAATGCTGTAAACACTGAATTACAGGCCCTGAAAGTTATAAAAGATTGAAGTTAGTTCTTCTATGAAAACCATTCACATTTCATCTGTTAATTTAACAAAGTAAACAGATACCAGGTTCATCAAATCTACGTACTTTTTGTTATTGCCATGGTCTGAATGCTGATGTCTCCCAACAGTTCATATGTTGGAATCTAACATCCAATGTGATAGTATGAAGAGGCAGGGCCTTTGGGAAGTGGCTAAGTCAGTGGGGCTTCATCCTCATGAATGGGATTAATGCCTTTATTAAAGAGGCTCCAGTGAGCTCCCTTGCACTTTCTGCCATGTGAGGACATAGAGAGGGTGCCATCTATGAGGAACAGGCCCTCACCAGACACAGAACCTGCTGGCACCTTGATCTTGGACTTCTCAGCCTCCAGAACTGTCAGCAATACATTTCTGTTGCTTATAAATTACTCAATTTAAGATACAGTAATGCAACTCATAACGATATTTCAACAATGGACTCAATATACAATGGTGGTCCTGCGAGATTATAACCTAATTCCTATTGCCTAGTGGTGTCGTAGCAGACATAACACCCTCACGTGTCCGTGATGATGTTGGTGTAAACAAGCCCACTAAACTATCAGCTGTATAAATGTGTAGCAATACAGTAATGATGTACAGTATATAACATTTGATAAGATATAACTAGGATACTGGTTTATGTATTTGCTATACTATTTATCATTGTTTTAGATAAAATATTCCTTCTACTACTAAGAAAAGTTAACTGTAAAGCAGCCTCAGGCAGGTCCTTCAGGAGGTATCCCAGAAGAAGGCATTGTTATCATAGAAGGTGACAGCTCCATGTGTGTTATTGCCCCTGAGGACCTTCCAGTGGGACAAGATGTGGAGGGGGAAGTCAGTGATATTGATGATCCTGACTCTGTGTAGGCACCAGCCAAAGTTTGTCTTAGTTTTTAACAAAAAAGTTGAAAAAGTAAAAAAAAAAAAAAAAAAAGATTTAAAAATAGAAAAAAGCTAACAGAATAATGTTATAAAGAAACATTTTTTTTGTACAGCTGTGAAATGTGTTTGTGTTTTAAGCTAAATGTTATTAAGAAAGTGAAAAAGTTTAAAAATATAAAGGTTTATAAAGTTAAAAAGTAGCAGTAAGCTAAGGCTAATTTACTATTGAAGAAAGGAAAATGTTTTAATGAATTTTGTGTAGCCTAAGAGTACAAAGCTGATAAAGTCTATAGTCCTATACACATAATGCCCTGGGCCTTCATGTTCCCTCTCCATTCACTCACCAGCTCACCCAGAGCAACTCCCAGTCCTGCAAGCTCCATTCATGCTAAGTGCCTTATACAAGTGCACCATTTTAACTCTTTTTATACTGCATTTTTACTGTGCCTTTCTATGTTTAAATTCACAAATGCCATTGTGTTAAAAGTATTTACAGTATTCAGTACAGTAACATGCTCTACAGGTTTGTAGCCTAGGAGCAACAGGCTGTACCACGTAGCCTAAGTGTGTAGTAAGCTATACCACGTAGGCTTGTGTAAGTACACTCTATGATGTTTGCACAATGACAAAATCATCCAACGACACATTTCTCAGAACATATCCCCATCATTAAATGATGCATGACTGTATTTCATTATTGCAATCCTAACAGACTAAGAGGGTTAATAATATGCTTTGAGGGAAAAAAACTAATCTTTCAAACTAAATGCATAAACAATAGCATATATATCTGTGTGTATGATACAAAAAGAATTGTAATTCAGTGAAATCTTCGTGGATCATGGAATGGACTATGTGTGTGCTGAATGAAACTTCAACACTAACACGAGGCAATGACGTTCTTCTGTTTCATTCACAGTTGTGGTCATGGAGAAGTTAAGTCTCCAACAATTAGAGAACTTAACTGGGCCCAAATTGGATGTGAGGTATTCTGGCCTTTTGCAACAGACACAAAAACATTTTTTCTCCTTTTTTGCTGTTGTGATGTTACTCGGCTTCCAACCATTCCCCCTGGCATGGTGAAAGGCAAACCCAGCAGAACTCCCCTTGCTGGTTCATTGCACCTCTGCAGCTCTCCAGTGGGGACTTTTCTTGGTGACCTTCCCTATATTTCTGGAATATTTGGAATCAAACTCTCATTTTGTTTATCATAGTTTTAACTAATTTCCTAATCTAGAGCAACTCCAAATACAGTAAGCTATTTACTGTCCAACACAGCAAGCATGTAGCTAGAGCTCTGTTATTTATACTGACTGTTTAAAGAATCCCAATAAAAAGCTTTCTTACACATTACAAAATAAAAAAAAACTGTTGATTTACTGGATTGATGTTTTTTCTTTAAAAAAAAAAACTCTGAAAAATGTTATTTTTTTCCACTCATAAAGGCATTCTAACTTTGTCTTCCTATTTTGATCCGTTTAGAGGGAAGAAGGCAGAAAGAACTGGGTGAAATCTGGCTCTGTATTTTTCCAGTTATGCGACCTGAGGCAACTTTTTGTCTTCAATGGCCCTCAGTTTCCTCATCCATAAAATGAGGATAATAATACGTATTTCACAGGTTTTTGTAAAGATCAAAACAGATAGTTTATGTGAGGCATTTCTCGAAGTGCTTGGGACAATATGAGAATACAACACATGTAGATACCTGTTGTTATGTTTAAGATCACAGAGTAATACTTCTTTGTTCTCTAAGGCTTTCAAAAGGCTTTGGTGAAAAAAATGAATCGTAACCTATCTTTTCTCATAAGTATACCTGAAATGTCAAACCAAGAACTGTATTCAATAATAGTGAGGTATGCGTGCGGAGTGCAATATTTTAGCCAACTGCAAGACGCCATTCCTATAGTTGCAGAAATGAAGATATCAGTGTGAGAAGGTAAGTGTAACAAGTAATCATGATACGGGTTAGAAGAGCAGAGGAGAATATTAACCTAACTCAACTGAAATGGCTTACAGGCGCAGTAGTATATTTTCTTATTTAAATTGCTCCAGTCTACCTAATTTGAACTGTATACTGTCTTAGTACCACCACTTGTAAACACAATTTAAAATAAGAAACAAGAATAAAAGGGGGCTTTAAAACTGCTACCAAATTTGTCACTGCACTGCCTCATAAGAGACAGCAAGAGCTAGTCTTATCAACAGTGTTTTCCAGGCACCTGGTCCAAAACTGGACGAAGCACTGTAGGGAAGGATTTCCTGGGCAGCAGCTGTCTTTCAGAAGTCACTCTTGGAGAAACACACTCTATGTGGACTAATTTGTTAATTTTGAGAGCTGGATAATTAAGCTTTAATTAACACATTTTATCAAATGACAAATTCCTCTCTTGCCTAAGTATTTTCTCTAACTATGTAAACAGGTTTCAACTAAGTATATAAACAGGTACTTCAGACTATTATCATTTTCATCAATTCAAGAGGTTGCCTTTATACATGATCTTAGATCCAATCTCCAAAATTTATTAAACATTCATTTTATGATTATCCACAAAGCATGAAATTTTCAATAAGTATAAAGCCCCATAAGACAAAGTAAATGCTTATCAACAGTTGAAATGAAAGGATATTGGTAGAAAGAACACACTATTTCCCACCCCTGCCCCCCACAACAAACACTACCAGACCACAACGTTTATTCAGGCTCTCAACCTCTTTGGTTGATGGTTCTATTTAAATAAACCTGCAGCAAAATGAGATAATCAACTTGAGTCATGTTTCTAGAGTTTTAGAACTTAATTGCTTGTATTAATTATTCATACTCTTCTGGCAGAAGAACCTTAGCTTTATTAATATCTGTTCTTGGGAACCATATAACTCTTTTGTCTCAGGTATCTTTATGTTTTATTCTTCAGGTTAAAAAGTTGGAAAACTAGAAAAAAGAAACACAAGGGAAAAGTAACCTAGTTGTGGGAACCCATGAAGTATAGGTAATATCACCACTTTCCCTGCACCTTCTTAAGAGCCCTCGAAGGTCCAGAGAGAAAAGGTAAATATTACAGGGGTCCAGGTATAAAGTCTATAAATAATATAGTGCTATGCTGAGTGGAAAGTGCACCAGACTGAAAAAGCAGGATGCCTGGATTCTACTCCACCACTGCCACCAACATGCTGAGTAGCTGTGATGGTTCTCAGTGTTTTCCTCTGTCAATCATGGCCAGGGTGTTGGGTTACATTATCTCCTGTGTCCCTTCCAAAAGTGCTCTATCTAGACTCCACTAAAACAACACACACACACACACACACACACACACACACACACACACACTGTGAGGCTGCCTGGAACAAGGGTAGGACTGGGCAAGGCGGTGGCTTGTAGGGAAAAGATTCTGAACACAAGTCCACATACCAGCAGGAGTCTGGGATGAGTTGGGAGCAGGGAGTGGAAGAGGTGAGAGGATCGTGACCTTGTTACTTGTTGGCACTCATTACTGGGCAATAAAGCAATAGGGACTGGTTATTTTAAGCCTTCACAGCTCAGTTTCCACCCCTGAAACACAATGGCTATCACGCAGAGCCCATATGAGAATAAAGTGCTCTACAAATGTCTGTTAATACTGAGAGATGTGGTGTTCCACAGAATACAGAGTTTTGCCCACCAAAAATTTTGATTCTTTCTAAAATTGAGGATTGCTACTGTCTTAAGATTTGGAGTGAAATAAACATAATGACTTGGATGTAACTTCTAGACTGACTAATGAATCAAACAATAGCTGGTACTGCATTAGTATATATCGATCAGCCCAAACTCCTGCTAAGTAGCTAAATAATTATCTTTATTTTAGATAAAATAGATCTTTTCATGATAAAGAGGTGTAAGAACATCAGAAGAGATAAATAGTCATCATTTAATCTAGATTATCCTAGACGCTCTCCATTTCATAAATTCTTCTATTCAACAGAGTAATTCATCAAAGGCATACAGATATGTGATTTAGTTCTTATATCTTTAAGTTATTTTATATAATAGAATCTTAAAATTAGACTACATCTTCTGTTTGATCACATCAGGTGATCCTTTTTGTTTCTCGGTTAAGTAAATATGGTCACCTGACATGGGACCTAGGCAGAGGTGTCTACCTTTAACATTCACCATCATCCTGCAGTACAGACTGTCCTTGCAGAATGACAGTAATGATACATATTTAGCTGCAGCTGGGGGCGGAATTGTAGGGGAAAGTATTATATAATTAGACTATAATTATTCTAGCATTGTATAATAAAGAGCCTCATTTTCCCAGTCTGCAACAAATGATAGAGTTGCTTGCCTGCCTTGGGGTGCAGGTATATGTGCTAGATGTCCCTGAGTGCCCTAAGGAGCTGGGGAGAGGCCGTGGCATGAGTCACTGCCCCTATCTGCTGGGCCTAGATACAGAATACCTGGGAATATGCACATAAAATCATGCACATGTTCACACACACACCCAAAAGGGCGATAACTTGAATAAGGTTGAGGCAGAACCCACCAAAAAGCAACAGCTGAAACTTGTGCAGAAGGCAAGATAATCTCTGTGCCAGGCAAACCTTCTTTCCTGGGGCCACTACCTTCGTGGGTCAAGTCCATTATCCAATTTGACACTGATTTGTAGTAAGAACTTGAGCCTTTTCATTATGACCTCAACAACGGGTCCAATGCCCCCAACCAGTTCTAGTAAGTGAGGGGTCAGAAGTATAGTACTTACATAATGTACTTAGAAACTTGCAAAGTTCTGAATCTGATAAGACCTTAAAAAGTCTTTGGTGCCCTGGCTCTAAACAGATTTCAGCAGTACAATAACCTGAAGGCTTTTCTTTATGCTATTGTGTTGGCTGGGGATATTTATTTCAAATTTCCAGGCCTGCTTTTGCCCTGCTCATCATGGACAAGGTGCCCCTAACATTCCTGGGACAGCCCCCCAGTGCCCCATGTGCACTGCAGAATCTGTATTAGGGCATCTCCTGGCACCTAACATATGCCATCACATGTAATGTTGCCTAAAAAACCAGAAGCACTTATTTAAAATCAAATAATGGAATTGCCTGTCAATGCAATGAGGTGTTGCGCCGTTCATTTTTTATGGTGGGTAATACACAGTTGAAGAATTAAACCACAGTAAAATCCCCCTCTTTCTAATTCTATTTATTGTGTAAACATCTAAAATAAAAGTACTAAGTCTTTTAACCTTCAATTAAAAACAGTAGAGACCCCCAGGAATAATAACAATTAATCTACATTATTAAAAGGCATAAATTACAGAAGTACAGGCAACATGGGTTTCTAGAAAAATTCTGTGAAGTTCTCTGAAGCTGACATACACATAAAAAGAAACCACAGGATCTAGCTTACTTATACGCTCAAAAAGTCTTTGGCAATATTTCTTACCAAGGGCTGTTAAAAATACCTGAAGTCCCAAAATATCTGATTTCCCACTGGTTTGAGATTCTTTTTTTAATACTTTTCTACCTAAGAAAGTGACTGTTTATCCCCACACTTTATTTCTTAGATCACTCTACCCACCAAAAAGTGACTTCCCTGACCAGGGTGCACCCCAGGGGAACCTGCTTCTCTGGGTTTATGTCGATTCATTTTGCCTCCCTGGGACGGAGGATAATTAAGTTTGAAAAGGATTTTGTCGTCTTTGAATGACAATAAGTAATCAAGATAAGGCATATAATTACTATAATAGGATGCTCTCCTACTTATTTTGTGTTGAGCCTCAAACTATGCATGACTTCTCAGTCAGCCAGAGAGAGAGGCCATGCTACAGAATTTTCTGGCATCACACAGCCTGAAGCTCCTGGGGACTGGGCCCCGCAGTGGCCCACGGGTGGAGAAGAGCCTCCTCCTTTCCCTGCTCTCTGGCTGAGAAGAGAGGAAAACATCAGGGTCCAAAAAGCCTGCCAGAGTGGAGCCTGAGCAAAACCAGGCAGGAGCTAGGACCCTGATATTCCTAAGAGGGCCCAGGAGCAGAACATCCCCCAGCCCAGCATTCTGGCCAGCAGCCAGACACGCAGAGAATCCCATCCCTGGAATTGAGCACCAATGACAAGCCTGCTCTTAAAACACTATATGCTTGTAAAGAGACTTAAAACTGGTTTCTTAAAGCTACTTCATGCATATTGAGGCCACAAACAGACTTAATAAAATTGCTATTGTGGTTACTTAGCCATTTTTATGGTTAGCATGATAAATATCGCCATTAGTTTGCCCCTATGCGTAACAATCCAAGTAAAAATGTATAAATATTGAAAGTAGGAAGTAGAAAATAATTCTCAAGGCTATTCCTAATCTCGATCTAATTGTGCAAAAATTAAGCATTTTCCCAGGTTACAATTTTAAAATTCTGTAAATAGTGGAAAATACTGTCAAAAGAAGAAATGCTTCCAATTTATTTCTTTATATAATGGGCCTTCTGGCTTAGATACTGCTGTTGGCCAGCTGCCATTCATTGCCTGTTTAAAAGCTTCAAAATCCCTGGGATTCAGCTATGAACCCCTGAACATCAGCCTGTTGACAGATAAGATTTTCTAAAGAATTGTTAACCTCATGTTACTGTATCATTTTGCTACATACCGTAATTTGAACTGGGAGCGAACTTCCCCATGTTCTATTTGAATCAGTTCATTATAGCAAGCAATTATGCTGCTATTCTCCATAAATCTCTGAAAAGAAAGCAAAGACAATACATAAGACATATATAATTACTTCTTAGAGAGTCAAATAGAGAAACTTAACAGTTGTTCCTATCCCCAGGTAACTCCGTTATATAAGACAATTAGTAGGTAAGATGAGATGAAACAGCTGTCAAGGTGTTCAAAGTGCTTGTTTAAATGTATGAGAAACAACAGAGCAAGTAATACTGTACACTTCACTTCCTGCATAACAAAGGTAGAATAAACTACATTATGAATGCTCTAGAGCACGGAATGCCTGCCCAGCCATGTAAATGACTGAAACACTTTGCTTCATATTGCACTAATAAAATCATCTAAAACCCAACACTCAGCATGTTCAGTGTGCACCACATTATCAATGATCTCTTTGGAAGGGAGAGCCTACTCTTTACTTCCTTCCTAATTTTCTGAGTGCCTAATGCAGGGGAAAAGTTAAACACAGAATTCTCATATGATCCAGCAATTCCACTCCTAGGTATATACTCAAAAGAACTGAAAACAAGTACTCAAATAAATACTCATACATGTGTGTTCATAGCAGCATCATTCACCATAGCCAAAAGGCAGAAACAGCCCAAATGTCCAACATTTGAACAGATAAACAAATTGTGGTGTATACATACAATGGATTATTACTTGACCATAAAATGGGAATAAAATACTGATACATGCTACAACATGTATGAACCCGAAAAATGTATTAAGTGAAAGAATCCAGACAGAAAAATTCACATATTGTATGATTCCATGTATATGAAATATCTAGAATAGGTCAATTGATTGAGCCAGAATGCAGACTGGTGGTTGTCAGGGCTGTGGGGAGGAGGACTAGGAGTGACCGCTTAATGGGAACACATTTGGGAATGATGAAAATGGCTTTTTGCTTGTTTGTTTTGCAACAGGTTCTCACTCTAACTAGAGAGAGGTGGTGGCTGTACAACACTGTGTATGTGCTAAGTGTCACTGAATTGTTCACTTTAAAATGGCTAATTTTAGTTTCATCTCAATTGAAAAAAAAGGCTTTCATGTATTTATAAATAAACTTAGTGAATGAATGAACAGATAGATAAGCAAATAATAACATAGAAGAAAATGCAGCACACATTGTCATTCATCAAAGAACTACGAAGCACCTATTTATGCTAGGCATGAGCTGCTCAAGTCCCGCGTTTAAAGAGGAGTAGGCCCTTTTTCACTTAATCCCAAAGTAATTTGGTTTACATTTCTTATATATGCTATGTGATTCAGTGTAGGGTATATAGGAAATTGAGCACTTCTCTGACATGATCACATCAATACTTAATGAGAAATAATGAAATCAGAAAAAAAAGCAAGTAAAAAATAGTAAGGGAAGAGATTTAAGGACAATTCTACTTAGGAAAGGGGAAATGTTATGCATTTTAATTGATTAAAAAAACATATCATGCAAACCTTTCTAAGCATATGGCTGGCAAACTATTAAGTAGAAAGATAAGCAGAATTCCAAAGTATTCCAAACTACTAGTCACATACTTTTGCTTCTCCGGTAGCTATATAAGTGGAGGAGGAGAATACTAGGCCCTGCTGAAAGATGTATTTCTTAGATTTCCTTCACCCAAGTTGGCCAGAGAAAAAAATCAATCCCTCTCCTCACTCCTTCCTCTCTCTCTCACACACACACACACACACACACACACACACACCCCACATATACACTGGAGTGGTTGGCTCCACATATCTGGAGTGGTTGGCTTCTCCCTGGCTTTCCCTGGGCCTCTGGTCCTCCACAATTCTTACGTGGAAGCTGGGAAGAGCTAAGGAAGGAGAGGAAGCCATAAACATACACATAAGGGAAATACTTTCTGTTTGATTTACAGAGCAAAGTTAAACATGGTTAGATTCCATTTGAGCTTTTAGATGGATAAAAGCTATATATCAGCCTATAACAGAACTCAGGGAGTTGTTAGCTCATGTTTTGTAAAAACATGAAAAAACCATGATAAAATATGTTTTGAAAATGCTGGAATAACATAGAAAGATATGTATGTATATCACGACACTGTTTTGTAAATAATACACAGTCATTTCTATTTCTGCCTACAAATAAATCTGAAAGGCTGGTGGCATAAATAATTTTAATTTTTAGCTTATCTGTATTTTCTATAACAAACATGGATTAGTTTTTGCAAAAAATGGAAAGAAAATGTTGGGATAAACAAAGTTAGCAGGTTTCTTTACTATGGGACTTCTCAGAGTATTTAAAATGCTAATATGCAATGTTGCAAAAGTGCTCTGTGGATTCTCAGGTGTGAGAGGAGGGGGAAACTGAGTTTTCACTGATTCCCCAAACTTATTTGATCATAGAAGGCTTTTTTCATGGACCATGTATTAATAGCTTTTGGTACAGTGGTGTTCTGTGGAACACTAGCTTGGGAAATCTAACTTTAGTGAACCCAATATAGAGTTTGGAGTTAAACAACATGTATTTGCTTCTGGACTTTGTCATGAGTGTGAGCTCTGGCAAGTTTAGTTGTTTTGAGCCTGTTTCCTCCTCTGCAAAAATGGAGAAAATATCAAATCCCTCATATGTAGAGGAGGATTAAGTAAATCACTGGGAACTGGGCCTGACAATAAATCGTAGCTCCCCACTTCCTACTCCACAAAAGGCCTCTCCACAGAGAACTGTGTCCTACAGTTGTGCCCCCGGCATGCCTAGCACATTGCACAGAGGCAGAACTCCATAAACACTTGTTAAATTGAACAAATATTTTTGCAAATAGAAAAAGAGGCACATAAAGTTGATATAAAAACAGTTGCAACTGTCCTTTGCTAAGATGCTGGTTTCTAAAAGGCTCAGCATGGAATTAGCATCTATATAGTCGGCTGCTTACACATAGCTCCAGAGCCTTCAAGGGGAGTTGTTGTGGGATATGTGATGGCACAATTTGTTCCTAGATCCCCACTCAGGGACCACAGACTGAAGCACCAGCCAATTAGCTAGCAACACAGGGGTGAGTTTCAGCAGATAATCTAATACAATCAAACCAGCTCAGAGATGGGAAACAACTTCATGGAAGGCAAAGATAACTGGCATATTTGAAAAGGTGCTTGGGAAGAGAGTTGTGAAAGACAGGATTTTGCCCAAAAAAGGAGAACCACCACATGAAGATCAGTCTCAGCTGATGGTGTGCCACAGTAATGCCAGGAGAGCTGTTGTAGGTGCAGCGTGCTTCTCCTGGAATGAGCCCAAGCTACTGGGGGCACCCTGACCTAATGGGCAAATGGCCTCTATCAGGGCCAGCACTGAAGAACACCAGGTGGTCCCTGACAGCTACCGCTGTTCATGCCCCTCCCCCAAAGCTTTATTCACTGAGGCTGACTGCAAAACACAGTAACATGTCTGGATAGTGGCAAATGAAGCCTTCCAGAGCCCCATGGACAGGTTGTAAAATGTGTAAGAAGGAAACAATGGAACTTTGGTTAAATTTTCTCAATAGCATTTGCACCCAAAGAGTTCCAGTTGTTTCTCCTAACTGTGAGCAGATGTGCAATCTCAGCCTTCCAGACAAGATGCTATCGCTTCAGATGGCAGCAATTCTAGACCAGTTTGAGGTTGGATCACTGAACTAAAGGTAGAATTCCAAAAGGACACTCAACAGCACGTACATGGGTCCTGATCGATAAAACCCACAGTGTGTCATTGCCATTCTCCAATCATCTCCTAGGTAATGAGGAAAATCTATGTCCTCACACTCCATGAGGTCCCAACTCAAACTTGAAAAGGATGACATTGGAATGGGGTAGAGTCGGGGGGTCAATATTACACAGAAGTTCTATGAAGCCTGTGAATAATTTTAGAGCTATTTCTTAGAAAATGAGTGAGTAAAGAAAATCTGTCTCAACCACATGGCTTCTTTGCTGATTTTTCTTTTGCAACTCTTCATTCCAAAAACTCAGAAGCATTGTCTCATGCATTCTCATTAAGATATAGCACCTAAGAATAGCTTTCAGAACCAAATGCCAACCTTTGTGAGAAGAGATAACAGACAAGAAAAAAGTGTTAGGAGCGTGAAAAATATTGCTAGCTGGAAACATTCATTTCTATCACGCATCGTGAGCCACTAGACTACCTTGAATCTTCTCTATAGCACTTTCTTCCACACTGAAGCATACCAAAGCACAAAACAACTGCATCACAAAGGTAGTTTTTGCTTCTCTGTGGTCTACAACTAACAGGAATATATATATATATTTTTAAGCCAGGAGTAGCAAAGTACCATTACTTAAAGCACACAGAGGATTTTCATAATTCACAAGGCACACGCAGTACCCTATTTTTTAAGAAATACATCACTCCACCTACTTGGGATTCAGATTACTCTTTTTTTTTTTTTTTTTGAGACGGAGTTTTACTCTTCTTGTCCAGGCTGGAGTGCAATGTTGCAATCTTGGCTCACCGCAACCTCCACCTCCTGGGTTCAAGCTATTTTCCTGCCTCAGCCTCCTGAGTAGCTGGGATTATAGGCATGTGCCACCACGCCCAGCTAATTTTGTATTTTTAGTAGGGGCAGGGTTTCTCCACGTTGGTCAGGCTGGTCTCGAACTCCCAACCTCAGGTGATCTGCCTGCCTTGGCCTCCCAAAGTGCTGGGATTACAGGCGTGAGCCACCGTGCCCGGCCGGGATTCAGATTACTCTTACCAAGAGATCTTGAGACACTGGGTATGCCTAGTTACTTAGTTTTTTTGGTAAGTCTCTTTGGAGTAACCAATCTTAATCTTCAAGTTGAATATCAGTGTTATTCATGATGTTTATAGTTTAAGCCAGGAGGTCACAGGATGCTATAGGATTACTTGCGTTTAGATTATCAGCAAAAGCTGTATAAGTAAACCATGGTCCTCTATCCTATTATTCTCCTAAGGGAAACCTTTTACTTTTTACATAGGAGTAATATATATATTTGTTATTTAAAAAAATTAAAATATGAAGTAAGGTCTTCCACAATTTCTCTATAAGGACTTGTTTTCTTTTTAATATTAGGGAATATAGTTCTTTTAAACATTCATGTTTTGATAATCTTTTTCCTCCTCCCTTTCTTCTCTTTCTTCTCTTTTAAGTCCATTCTATCAGTTCCTTTCCATTTGCAGGCACACAGCTTTGCCTCCAATCTAATTTCTACCCTGAGATGCTGGGTGAGCTTGGTTATTTAGTTTGTTAGTGAGTTTCCTTGGAGTAATTCTTAATCTTCAAGTGGAATCTCAGTGTTATTTGTGTAGTTTGTCACTCAAAGAATTTTTCTTTGCTGATGTTAATGGTTTCAACCGGGAGTTTACAGGATGCTACAGTCATCATGGGCCTGTCCCTAGGGTAGAAGCTCTGGCCAGCCCTGATGAACAGAATCTTGGGTGCCAATTTGGTGGATGTATCTATGTATGATCACACACACATTAAATCGAATTGACTGTACTGATTTAAATAAGATTACTTTATTACTTTAGGATGACAGAATTTTAGTCTGATATAATAAGATGTGTTTTTATGTCATTGTATATCTATTGCTAAGATATATGGAAATAACCCAGAGAGCAAAAACGCAAAGAGCTCGACTGGCAGCTGCTCGTTACTTTCCCATGAGAACACAGTTTCTTCCTTTCCCCAACAGTCCTGGGGCTTAATTTCCTTAACAGTTCTCCGTGGCAGCTTTGCTTCCCTGTTATGGGAGAGTTAGGGGTTAAGGTGCCTGCAACTGAGAGAGATGCTGGATATCTTGTACATACCCTGTTGAAGCCTGCGTGGAGAAGAGGAAGGACTGACGCCTCTTCATGGTCATCCGATCTGCAGCAAAGCAGAAAATGTGGTCACTCAGCAGATACAAACCAGGATTCCTCACACTGAAACACGGAGAGAGAGCAATGAGGCCACACAGCGTTAGCTCCAAGAGTGGCTTCCTGACGAGCACGTGCCCACGGGGCACACCTGCCTTCAAGGATACAGACCCCACATCTACCTTCCAGATGCAAAAAGAACAAAAACAGCAGAGAAAGCTCCAGCAGTGTACCTGGAGGTATCACCCTCAGTACACATGAATGGCCCTTTCCAACTCAGCTGCCCTTTGGGGTTGAGCCACATGTATGGGAGCAGTCCCATAAAGGGACATGTTACGTGCACTGTTCATTCGGAGACAATTGTTCCCAAACCATCTGGAAGTATGACTCCCACACCAAAACCGAGCTGGTCCAGCTCTCAACATGAGGAAGACAGCCAGCATTCCAGGCTGCAAGACCCCCAATCCAAATGGGAGAGAAGTATCAGCAGGAACACACAGTTAGAAGGGAAGGAGAGAAAACAAAAATGGATAATTGCTACTCATTTCACAAGAGGGTTTGCTATAGTGAGCTTACTGCTGAGTCTCAGGACTTTAGTTTGAGTACAAGGTGGGATGTGGATTGGCTTGTCATGAAGACATGCCATCACTGGGCTCTCTATCACCAAGATAGAGAAACAGTGTCTGAGACAGCCAGCAAGTAACATGGGGGACATATCCTAAGAACCAGGGAAGAAAAATGGAATAAAAGGGATTGGGTGGAAACGCAGATAGAAAACAGGAACAGAAGTCCCAGTGCTGACTTGTGGCATTACCCACAGCTGATTCCTGCCCTAAGGGAAAAGCTATTTTACCCACTTTCTTTTTCTTCTGGAACTCCAAATTCTATCTTCTCTGACTGTTAGGAAGGCCACAAAAAGGGTTCCAAGGGTATTAATAATGTTTTATTTCTTAAGTGGGTGACATAGACACACACATTCATTTTATTACTACTCTCTCTATATGAACTATTGTATAATTAAACCAGGAAAAATCGGTGACATCATAACAAATAAGCCATAGTCAACCATTATTTGTCAAGGACTAGCAAACCTTTTTGCCATATGAGTCAGAAAAACAAGAGTATTTTGTTCTTGGACCCGTGTAATAGCCAGGCTTGGGAAAAATGCTGTGTGGCCTTGAACATTTCTGGTATTGATGTCCAAGACTCTATGACCTCATTCAGATCTCAGAGTGTCCAGAAGATAAATGTAAAAAAGAGGGCTGAAGGATGCTGATCTTATGTCTCAGTTCCCCTCATTCATTCCCTGTGGAATCTTAATCTCCCACCAGGATGGAGAGGTGTAATGAACCAGTGAGGACAATGTCTCTGCTTTCTCTGGACCACATCCCATGGTGGGTATCAAACAAAGTGAGAAGACATAGCCCCTAGGGAGACACTCAAGGAGTAGCAGGTAAGTAGGAGTCTTCAGTGAGGGTAAGACTTTGCAGCCATGATTTCCTGTTGTATCCACATGGCTTTGGAATGAGGCATTTCAAGTCCCCTGGGCCAGACTTTCCTGGCCTTTGTCGCAGAATTTGTGCCAAATGCCATAATGCAGCCAAATCCAATAGGTCCTAGGTCCTAAATAAGGTCTTATTCTCTGCAAAGCTAAATACAGCCATTAAAAGACTACAACAAATTTTGTTACCTGCCAAGATTTCTACCACTGCAGCTTGCACAGACAACTTTTCTTCCTGCTGGCTCTTTTATTTTAAGTGCTGGCCACTTCAGACGATAAACCCAGCAGAGCAAGCGCTCATCCTACAGTTTCATTGCACCTACAGCGCAATCCCTTTTCTTTGCCTTCCAGCATTGGATAAACTCTACTGTCCTGCCTCTAGCCACATATCAGTCCCAACATCAATTTCACAACCCTTGTCTTGTGGATTTAGTGCCCCTTTGTTCTCATGCTTGAATATGAAAAAAAATGTGTTTCTTCTTAAATGAAAAACAAGCATATCCCCATCTCTTTTCTTCAAAGGAAAAAAAAGAGATAAACTGGAACAATGTTTTCTCCAGACCACCTCCTCCTCAAATTTTCCATTCATTTTTGGCATATAATGAGTAAACTTTCTCCCTGAGGTGTATGACTAGGTGCTAAAGGCAATTACACAAGATACAGAGAAAAACCTAAATATTTCCAGGAACTTGTGAAACAAACAAAACCCCCAAAGCAAGATCAAGATCTAAGGCTGGTGTTCTAGGACCCAAGACACACCCATTGCTTAGATAGCTCAAAAACCAGATTACATCTGACAAATATTTCAGAATGAACAGTACTCCTTCCATCTGGGAATGGGAGGTGCACTTACACTCGCGAAACCACTGCGAGGATCACCGTGTGCTCGGAGGGATTTGTGGCCCGGATCGACCTGCAATGAGAAGGCTCCAAGTCAAACAAGGTGATCTGGGCTTTGTTACATTAAATGAATGTGGAACTTCTTCACACTGAAAATGATACAACATCAAATCTTTCTCTAAAGAAAACGTCTCAAAACACAGAGAAGACAACAAAGAAAGATGCCCTTGTGGATTAGGACAATCTCTTCATTTCGTTAAAAAATTTTTTTTCTCTTAACTCCCAGGCAATTATCCAATAGGTCAGACCTGCCAATTTTCCACTTAAAAAACTGGCAAATTCCACTTAAATTCCATTTTTTAAAATTGAAACTCCACTCTTCAAAACAAAAATAAATTGGCAGTCCTACAATCCTCTTCTTATCAGTATGTACCTGGGGGAGCTCACTGGGTTTGATCTTTTTTCTTTTAAAATAGCAGGTAGTTCAGAAAGTTGAGCTTATGATAAAAATTAAAGCACTTGCTGGCAGCTGGATGTACAAATGCCAGTTAAAGCCAATTAAAGGTGGTACAAAGAGCCACCTCAATTTTTCAGTCCTGCTGTAGTTTGTGCTTAAATACTTTAAACAACTTGATCATCAGCTGGGGCTGAGAAATGTTGCAATATAGTACCTGTCACCATATAATGTTTGTTGTACTAGGACCACCTGGATATAGTTAGTTTATTCCCTAGGAATTAAACAGGACCAAAATAATCAGGACATAGAATTTTGAGGTCCATGAAACTTCTTAGCTGTGCCATGCTACAGCCCAGATTCTGCACTGTTCTGGTCAGGGGGTTGTAAATTGGACAAACTTTTAATAAAGGCCCACACACTTGAATCTAGGTGTGAATCAGCAGCTTGCTTTGACCTATTCTCTTGGTCTGGCCTCTGCTTATTCTGAGATATCTTGGAAGGGAACCATGATCTCCAAGAACAGAATTACTCCTGAGTAATTTGTGAAACAACATGCATTTGTTTTTCTCTCTGGCTGTGGGCATTTCTGCTCCTCTCTACTTTAATGTATTTGAACTACCACTCCCCAAGGGACAGCCAGCTCGTATTGCTTCATCCTCTTCAACTCCAACATTTTATGACCTTTCTCAAAAAATGTACCTTCTCCATGTCCTGTTCCTTGAGCCCTCACACTGTGTGGGGGGAAGGCTCCCGGAAATGATCGGCTGCCATATTCCCAGGAAGTGAAGTTTCCTCTGTTGATAAATGGTATTTGAAAGAGATCTTTTGGAGAAAATGCTATTAACTCACAATGGGGCAGGAGGCATAAGTCAATATCCCTCCAATGCCAGCACAGGCTACTTCCCAGTCAGCCACCCCACAGGGCAGGTCCTGCTAAGGTGAAGCTATACTTATTTTATACTCAGGAGCCTACTGGGTGGATACTCAGTGGAAATACCAGTTAGCACCTAATGAAAAAATACATAGTGTTTTAGAGGCATGTTCTTATCTCTAGGGAAACACTAAGTACTTCTCAACTTCATTCAGTCTTTCCCACCCCAGCAGGCATCATGGACACACTGCTGGGCTATATCCTAAGGCGTGGGTTTTAGGCAAGAGGCTGAAACATGTAATGAGCATAACTGGGCTGGAGCACACACTCTCTTGGTTTCTTTTGGGACTGGCTTCCATCTTTTGGGTTGCTTCCTGCTGCTGTCTCTTTTCTCTCATCTCTCCAAAGGAACCGGTATGGTAAGAGAGACCTAGGCCTCTTCCTGGATGAGAGGACTAAGGAGAAGGTGGGGCTGAGGCTCAAGGACGCATGTTAGGCTAAGGTCCAGTCCTAGCTCAAGGGTGAGGGATCTAGCACCACAGGTGACAACAAAGAATGCACATCTGCCAGGAGCGTGTCACCCACCCATCTCCCCAGGGAATGTGTGCTGGGAGTCAAGCATTTGGAATCTGGCCACCCTCAACAAGACCAATAATGGTCAGGAAACACACTGCCAGATATGTACATCTGACTTCTAAACTGCATAGACCGCTATTGGTTTTCTGTGCAGCTAACACAGAAATATATTTGGTAGGAAATAAAACTCTTATTTATTTATATTCAAAGAAAAATGTAAAGCTTATCTGCTAAACTGGGCCTTTGCCTGAATTAAAAGATTTCTTCCTGTTGGTTTTTTCTTTTTAAGTAAAGCTTATCTTAAGTGATTATATATAGGAACAAAGAAGTGTGATATTTCTACTACAAAACTACATAGGAAAAGTAAGTGAAGGCCAAGAAAAATCAGAAATACTTAGTTTTACAAGACCCAATTCTATTATAAAATCATCAAAAATATTTCCTAATACTAAAAATAGCATCCAGATATTTTATGATATACTATATGTATATTTATATACACTATTAAATAGAAAAATATGTTTATGCAGAAAGATGAGATTATTTGAAGCCATTAAAACATATCTAAAACAGATGCTTAAGAAAAATTCTTCTTTGGGAAACTGAAAATCATCAAAGAATAGCAAGATGATGCCTGCGATAAGAAACTTCTCTTAATCCACTAATTTCTTGTCAGGGTACCAAAGTCTAAAAAGCCATTTTCTCACCTTTTATTTCACTTACTAACATTCAAGAAAATTCCAGCTCCCCATGCAACTGGACTCTGTCTTGGTCTAGCATTTAATTAGTGACCTCTTCCATCTAGCTTCAAAGCATTCCACTTCTGCTAAATGAATCAGTTCATCCAGAGCTAACTCTTATGACTGAGCATTTATTTATGAACAGGCCTGTGTTTCCTCCCCAGAGTGCAAGCATTTCTATAAACAAGCAGGGGGTTTTGGTCCCTGGAAGATTTTCTGTTGCTGCAAAAGTGGCTGCATTCACTCCATGACTGGGAAGCCTGCTATGGGATCTACCCATCTGTGTCAGGCAGGAAAAAATTTATATTTCACACATTTCCGATGTTCATTTTGGGAGAGAATAATGAAGATTAAAATAGCTAGTTTAAATCCAAACCGTATCTGTGTAATGCGAACTGTGTGAATTTTAATGTTTTTTATGAGCAATACACAGGGTGGGGGGAATACCCTGAAGTTATCAGGGGAGCCCAGCTCACACCTCTAAATTTAGTACAACTCAAATGTGGAAAAGTAGAAGAGGAGAGAGAAATCTACAGGAAGGAGCTATAGCTTTCACCACAGACATCTGTATACACTGCTTAAAAACATCAACGCATATTTTAAAAATATTTGAAATAAACTAAAGATATCTATAAATGAAATTCGTTTTAAGATGTAAAGTGAACATTTACTAAGCATATTAAATTAGAGAAGGTACCTGCACACTGCTTCTGCATCGAAGTTCTGAGTTTGTCTATGATCAATTACAATAATTTCATGATGCTTATCAAGAAAGCATTCAAGGGCTGACTCTGGAGTCCGAGCAATATTGCATCTATAACCAGCTCTGTCGCAGGCCCACCAGAAGCCATCGCTCTGACTATCTTCCTTTGCAAAGATCAGCAAAACCTGAAACACAACAAAAAGGGCATCTTGAAATAAATCATCATCCATAGAGACTATTAAAAACAAGCCTAGTGGCCAGGCGCAGTGGCTCATGCCTGTAATCCCAGCTCTTTGGGAGGCTGAGGCAGTGGACTACTTAAGCCCAGGTGTTCAAGACCAGCCAGGGCAACATGGCAAAACTCTGCCTCTACAAAAAATACAAAAAAATTAGCCAGGCACAGTAGCACATGCCTGTGGTCTCCACTACTCAGGAGGCTGAGATGAAAAGATCACTTGAGCCTGGGAGGTAGAAGCTGCAGTGAACCATGATTGCACCACTGCACTCCAGCTGGGCAACAGAGTGAGACCCTGTCTAAAACAAAGCCAAAACAATCCCCCCAAAACAACCAAAAGACCAGGCCTATGGTATACTGGTTAAAAATGGGGCCTCTAGAGGGAAGCTACCAGGGTTCAAATCCCAGCTCCTCCAGTTGGTTACAGTGGTCTTTGAACAAGGTATTTCACCTCTTTGGCCTACAGTTTCTGGGCTCTAAGAGTGAAAGAACAGTGCCACATAAGTTAGTTCTGAGAACTGAATAAGAACAGAGAAGGTGCCCATTCACTCTGGTGGTGATTGTTACTCACTGCAATTACAAGTATTTCTAATTTCCTAATTAGCTTTGTTTTTAAATAAGTAAAATTATTAACGAGATAGTTAACACAGGTTAGATTATGGTTTACATTTACAATACATATATTTGATTCCAGTTGCAAGTGGTATTTGCCTTTAAGTCCCTGGAGGCCACCTCTTTGAACTTAGCACTAAAATACCTATAGACATAAGGAAGTAAGGGAACTCAAAACAACCTCAAAAATGAATTTTAACATCCAATCTTTGCCAGAATCTGGAAAGAATGATCATGAAATGTAAAGCTGATGGAGCTAAGTCGAGGGAAAAGTGCTTCTATTGATGAACTGCCTCATTGAGAAGCAATTCCACCCACAGAAAAGAAGGTAGCAATACTTTACACAGTTTCCCCCTCAACATCCCTTGGGTCCAGGAACACAGATTCTCTGCCAGCCAGAAAGACACAGACTACCCTACCACCACCTGAGCTCATTTATGTATTTATGGTCCATCTCCCTCACTGGAGAAGTAAGCTTCAGGAGAGTGAGGGCTCGGCCTGGCTTGTTCCCTGCTTGTACCCCCCATGCCCAGCACCAGGCTGGCACTTCCTAGATGTTCAGCAAATATCTGAGAAATGAAAAAATAACTACCTGTGGGGTCTTCTGAGAAATGCAAGAGGGCTTTACTATGAATAACATGTAAAACCACCTCCCAGCAATAGATCTAATAAGAAAAACCTATAGTAATCTCAAGATATCGTTAAGGCACTCAATATTCTTCTGCACCCACGTCTGGTTTAAATAATTAACAATAGAAGGGTAGTTTCTCAACATGAAGAGCTTTTGAGTCAATAGTCAATATATTCATCATGGTGAAACACCAAACGTGTTTCACTTAAAATCAGAAACAAGCCAAATTGTCCAATCATTACTATTACATTTGAAAAATACTTTTTTTTGTTGTTTGTTTGTTTTTGAGATGGAGTCTTGCTCTTGTCACCAAGGCTAGAGCACAATGGCACAATCTCGGCTCACTGCAACCTCCACCTCCCAGGTTCAAGTGATTCTCCTGCCTCAGCCTCCCGAGTAGCTGGGATTACAGGCGCCCGCCACCATGCCTGGCTAATTTTTGTATTTTTTTAGTAGAAATGGGGTTTCGCCATGTTGGCCAGGCTGGTCTCGAACTCCTGACCTCATGATCCGCCCACCTCGGCCTCCCAAAGTGCTGGGATCACAAGCATGAGCCACATGCCCAGCTGAAAAATACTTTTATTAATTGAAAATTGGAAGTATATAGAAAAGTAGAAACAATAATATAATGAAACTCACGTACTCCTTACCCGGCTTCAGCAATAACCAACTCCTAGCCAATGTGAGTTCATCTCTATCCCTACCCATTTTCCTAGCTCTTATAATAGATGGTGGCAAATACAGCTATTTTATCTCATCCATATGCATCTGTGAAAGATAAAGATTTTTTAAAAAGAACAAACCACAATATCATTTCATATCTAAACCTCCCCAATAATTCCTTAATATCAATAAATATCTGGATATATTATATATGCCATTTGTTAGGAGCACCCTGGACTGGCTAGGGTCTGAACTTCTTCAGCCCAGGAAGCTCCTAACATTTCCAGCCACAGAGTTCCTTCCAGGAAGAAACAGGAGGTGGCTCTCCCAAGAAAAATGAAGGACACAACCTTGTGGATTTTGATAATGAAAGCCTTCAAATCAAACTGTTAACAAGGAAGCCTGAATGAGAAAAATCAGGTAGAATAAACTGGTTGGTGCAAAAAGTCAATAACCTTTTACTTGGTGTAGCTGTGGTATTAACACAAGAAACTCAATATGCCAAACCTAGAAGTCAAAAAAGGTGAAACATTTCTTGTCTCTCACCTGTCTGGCTGAATTATGGGTTTCTAAACAAGAATCTCAGCAATTTATATTTCCTTGACACCATTATGCCTCAATCTTTGACTAATACAGTAAGAATATAACAATTCTCTTGTTGGGCATTACAACAGCTATCACTAATTTTCAGAAACACTGCTATTAACTGCTTATGGTATGTTGATGAACAAAATAAAGACTCTTTGCATTGTAGTGGTAGAGGCACACACAATAAATAGAATATTAAGTAAGCACATTATACAGAATGGTAATAAATGACAGGTGCTATGTGAAACCCGGCAGAGCAGAGTAAGGGGGTCAGGAGTGGGTGCCGGCAGCAGAAGGAAGTAGGCAGTTAGAATAGGTCCTGCTGAGAAAGTGACGTGTGAGCAAATGCCTGAAGGCAAGAGAAAAGCAAGCCCAGTTTATGTTGGAAGGAAAAGCATTCCAGGCAGAGTTCTATGAGCCCCTGGTGTGTTCTAAGGACTGCAAGGGAGCCTGGGTGACTGAAGGGAGGGTGTGAGGGCAAAAGGGTGGGAGCAGGTCAGGTTCACGGCAGAGGGCTAGACCATGATAAGGCCTTCTAGGACATTTGAAGGTGTTACAAAACTGGATTTCACATGGAAACTCACAAAACTGATTGAAGGTGGACAGCTGTATTAATTGTATATTTTTATTTTCTGTGTTTCTGATGCTTTGACTTCTGGGGCTTTGCTGACCCTGGAAGGACTGCCCTTCTCAGGGTTGCTAATTCCTAGAGATAGCACACAATTCTCCTGTGAGCATGCCCTTCATATGCAAATCAACCAATCCAGAGCCCATTCCCCAACCACCACCACCTTTGGCTCTTACACTCCAGGCCACAATTCCCCAACCCTAATCACCCTAGGGCCAGGTACCAGACAACTAGAACCACCAATATGTCCCAGACCTTTCTGAAATTAATCCGACTAGCCTAGCCTAACCCTGCTCACCCTGCCTCACCCAAGCCTTCCCATGGAAACCACAGTGGAGGCTCTTGCCCGGGATCTCCTCCCGCTCCCTGTGCCTCCTGACTGACTGCGGTGCTTCCCAGTGTGGCCCTGGGTGGCATGCTGTGCCTCCTGCTCTGGGAACTGTAATGATTTTTTCAATGCCAATTGTTCCTAGATCTGTTGGCCTTACCATACCTGAATAATAAAATCTGTATCTGTTGCAAGGCCAACAGATCTTATTATTTAGGTATGGTAAGGCACTCAGGAGAGAATTTCTTTGGCTAATATTTAAATTTTTTCCTATTTATAAAAAATTTAGAAAGACTGCTTTTCAATTATTCAATTCCTAAGCAAAGTGAAAATTTATGGGAATAAAGAATATATACTTCAGAGTAAAACACTATAGTAATCACCTTTTAAAAATATCTGCCTAGCTCTTAAAAATAATACCTTCTCCAGGAAAGAAGTAGATCCAAGTAGCCCAAATTGGACTCTTTGTTCCCATCTCCCAGGCTATAGCTAGGCTAATGATATTCTGTTTCTGGGAATTTGGAATTTGAACAGAGAGACATAAAGGCTAGGAACTGGGACCTGTGGCCCATTAAGAATAGAGATATTGGCTGGGCATGGTGGCTTACGCTTGTAATCCCAGCACTTTGGGAGGCCAAGGTGGGTGGATCACCTGAGGTCGGGAGTTTGAGACCAGCCTGACCAACATGGAGAAACCCTGTCTCTACCAAAAATACAAAATTAGCCAGGCGTGGTGGTGCATGCCTGTAATCCCAGCTACTCAGGAGGCTGAAGCAGGAGAATTGCTTGAACCCGAGAGGCAGAGATGTTGCAGTGAGCTGAGATCGTGCCATTGCACTCCAGCCTGGGCAACAAGAGAGAAACTCCATCTCAAAAAAAAAAAAAAAAAAAAAAAATAGAGATACTGATGGAAGAATGTTAAACTGCTGATGTCAAACGGCTCAGAGATGGCCCATGGACACCCTTCGCAAGCCACCCACCCTTTTCAACTCTTTCTTGGAGTCTGAAAAAAAAAATTGCACTATCCTTCTAATACATTTCTTATTTACTTATGTACTTTTTTGGTATAAGGCAGTTATTACTTGCAACTAAAAAATAAAAACAAAACAAAACTTAAGTAATGCATTCCCTCTTCAGCTTTAATATTCTGTGTATCAGTATTTCTGATTTCTTTGACATGGCCATTTTTTAAGATTTATTGACTATTAACTGAGGTCAATAAATGATTAACTCATATAAATGATTCTGCAAAATATATTTTTGAAAAATCATTACTAATGGTGTTATAACTGAACTTGATCTGTAAAGAGTAACAGCTAACTGACCTTGTGCTTGCTCAAAATAATATCCTCAACATTCGTTCAAAGAATATTTATCGATGACTTGTTATGCAAGATGTTAAGAACTGGGAATAAAAAGATGACAGAAATAGCCATAGGCCAGTCTCTTCCCCTGGGCTCCAGTCAAGGAAGCAGATAATTATAATAAATGCACCAATAAGTGGTGACCACAGATAAACAAAGCATGGACAAGAATCCAAGCACAGGAGAACAAGCAGAAGGAAGTAGTTTTGTCACATCGATCTCACTGTACCCTTGTAAACACAGCAAAAGAGGAGAAGATGCAGAACTGATCTGGGCTGAAGCCTGGAACAACGAGGAAACCTCTTTCTGGAGCAGAGCTCAGCCAACTTGTGTTCTGTCCGTAGTCAGAACATAGCTATCGGCAATCCTCACTTTGCATAGTAGAATCAGACTGTAATAATGACCATGCACGAGGGTTGAAAACTTACGTAGTGGGTACATTTTTCACTTTTCGGGTGATGGGTACACTGAAAGCCAGTACACAATATATGCATGCAAGAAATCTGCATTTTTATATTCTATAAAAATAAAAATGAAAAAATGACCATGTAAAGCTATCTTAATAAATAATGGTAAAAATTATGATTGTTTTGTGACCTTTAAAAATTTGTGTCAACATACTGAAAATTTTCTTATTCTTGGTTATAAATATATAGGGAAATGAAAAAATATAAAGCTAAAATTTATTTAATATACTGTAACTTAAA
This sequence comes from Homo sapiens, assembly GCF_000001405.40. Lineage (NCBI taxonomy): Eukaryota > Metazoa > Chordata > Mammalia > Primates > Hominidae > Homo > Homo sapiens. The sequence goes on along the minus strand of NC_000005.10, from coordinate 77,319,967 downwards.
ATATTAGAAACATTGAAAATTAAGATGTTTTATGTATTTAAAAAAATTTATCAAGAGTAGTTTGGACAGTGCTTGCCACCTTCTTCTAGTTGTATAAGTTACGATACGAAGTGAGCATCTTTCCTATGCCTTGGCAAATTGTCATACTCCTAACTTTGGATCAGCTGCTGACATTTTATCCTCTGTGCTTTCAGTATCATGCAATATCCCCAGAGCTCCTTTCATTAATGTGAAGTTTTTTGCTGGCTTCACTTCCTCTATGACATCTTCATCCTTTTTGCCACACCGCTGTCCTCATTTATGTTGATGAACTTGCATTCACTAACTTCTACCAGCTACATGTCTAGAATCTCTCAAAGACAGCAGTGTCGGCATTCCACAGTCAACTATTTCTCCTCTAAGTCCATTTACATTCAATTCAAATTTCACTCACAGCATTATCATTTTGCATCTCTTCATTGCACTTTCATCTTTGTTAGCTCATTCCCTCTTTCAATGATCTATTTTTGCATAATGTCATTTGGGTTTATCACGGAGAGATAGGAGGCAACACAACTACATGCTTTGCTGTCTGTACTTAGGCTGAATAACAGATAGGCAGAAACCAACCAGTCTTTGGCTAAAAAAAGTTATGGTTAAAAAAAGCGATAAGTTACTGATGATGCTGCACATTTGTTATTTACATAGTGATTTGTGGACTGAAGAGCCAGCTGCAAAGTTTATGCTTTATGCATTTATTCACAGTTAAAACACTGATGTAACCGCAATTTGAAACATGTTGTTGGGGGTCTGGTGTTATCTAAGTAAACCATGAAATCTGTGCACATTGGACCTGTACAAAGCAAGAGATACCTGCTTTTCAAAGGTAACTACAAAGACCTCAAAGAAAGCTGAAACATATCTTTTTGAGGATAGCAATAATCTGTCTTTGACAGCTAAATTAGAATGAAACTACTTTATCTGGTGATGGCTAATTATAAAAAAAGATGAAAACAAAAACTAACTTTTCCTCATCTTGAATAAGGCAATATAGGTGTTCATTATTACTAGCGTTATTTCTAAATGAGGGTGTATCTATGTGTCTTCAAATGGATTGTCAATGTCTACCATTAAACATCCAGTTTTTGGAATATTTGGTTTGGCTTTAAGCAAACACCTGGTAATGGAGCTTCTAAAGCAGACCACATATATAGATCACATAAGCTCTGTCTGCATAATACTAAACAAGTGGCCAATTTGATCAGGGGAGTGGTCATTTGAGCTGAAAAAAAATGGTCTGAGAACTTTCCTTAAATGTCCCTAGGAAAGTGATGCTGATTACAGCTATAGTTTAATGGGAGTTTTTTAAGGGGCAGCCACTATACTGAATGCACTAGAAACATACTGTCTCACTCAATAACCCGTTAGAGAAACTCTTTGGAGTTGGGCATTATCCCTATTTTATAGACATGGAAACTGAGGCTTAGATGGTTAAAAAACTTGTCCATAGCTGCACTGCCAGCAAGATGTGAACCGAGGCTGGCCTGACCCCAGGGCCTTTGTAATCACTATGTTAAGTAACTTACTATCTCTCAGCACCATAAATATTTTTACCTATAATATTAGATGAAAATTCTTAACAACTCTATGGTTCTTTGAAACTGGCTGGACGAGGTAGAAGACACAACCTGGTAGCAGCAGTAAGGACAGACAGCAAAAGAAATGCTGACCACAGCAAGTTACTGAGTCTGAACATCTCCATCCCTCAGTCATTTCACTTAATGTGTGAAGGTCAGCTCCCTATGAGGCCATGTGATCTCCACTATATAAAATCCCCAAAATATAATGGTTCCAGAAAACCCATGCCCTACAACATGGAAGAATAAGGTGGTTTTTGTTGTTGTTGTTGTGTTTTTTTTTTTTTTTTTTTTTTGAGATGGAGTCTCACTCTGTTGCCCAGGCTGGAGTGCAATGGTGCGATCTTGGCTCACTGCAACCTCCACCTCCCAGGTTCAAGCAATTCTCTGCCTCAGCCTCCAGAGTAGCTGGGATTACAGATGCCCGCCACCACACCCGACTAATTTTTGTATTTTTAGTAAAGACGGGGTTTCACCATCTTGGCCAGGCTTTGAAAGGAGATGTGTGACCTTGCTAAGAAAAAGCTTAGGTCACAGCTGTGGGGATCCATTTCCATGTCCAGTTGGAAAGCCCAGCATGACGGGAATGGGGACGGGACTCTCTAAGCAGAAACACATACATTCTGCACACTGGGGAAGTAAACGTGTTCCAGGTATGGATGAAGAAAAGGCCACTTGATTTTTCAGACAGTATCATGTTGATTTGAATCTCTGCCTCATAACACTTCCTCTGCTTTTTATTTTCTAGCCAAGATTGGAAAATATGACTTTCCCTGTGGGTCACATCAACTCACCCAGGAGAGACGTGCTCCACAGCACCACTCTGCACTTCCAATCCATTCCACTCCTAACTGTGCTCCTGCCAGCTCTGTGTGGGGTGTGTGGAGCCCTATGGGAGTACATTTCCTGACATGGGAGTAAATTTCCCCTGATGAGCTCAGAAATGCACCCTCAAAAGCAACTCTATCCTGAAATATTCTTATCAAGCCATTTCCTCCCAAGCCCTAAGGGCTCTGGCTGATGTAGCTAATTAATATTTTTGGCATTGCAGTGAAGCAACAGAATAGTTTTCTTCAAGGAGAAAAAAAAGTAAAATAAAAACATTAGGACATAGCTTCATTTTTCTAAGTCAATTGCAATGTTAGTAGAAGAAGCATAAAAACACTAGATGTCAATACACTGAAAGTTAGTGTGTTATAGACAATAAAACTGACCTTCCAGACCTCTCTCTGTGGTCAGGGAACATGGTGCCTTCTCTCTCTCCCCTGCAACACTTAGCATAGAGCCCTGAACATAGGAGGTACTCAGTAGATTCTTATTGCATGAATCATTGAGTCAAACTCTATGTTTGAATGAGACCATGTGAAGCCATCCTTGGTTCTAAGTTGAGCTTATTATCTTTTTTAAAAGAAACCCTTAATTATTGTGTCCTTCACTCAAAGAGGTACTCTTTACCACTTGCATCTGCTGTTATTTGGAGCCAAACTCACATGAGGGAAATCAATGGGGTATACCGTAGCACTGGTAATGTTCCAGGTCTTGCACTGGGTGGCAGGCTTATGAGTTTATGATATTCAATTTGTTATTATGTTTCATAGGTTATGAGCACATATCAAAAATATTTTTGTATGTTTTAATATGCCACATATAATACATTCAAATTTATAGACAAGTGTTTTTCAGTTGTGGGAGAGTGGGGCTGTCAGGAGGTACTTAAATTCTGCAAAGGACTGTATCATGTTTGAGAAGACAGAAAGATAGTATGGTGAGATTTTGTTATAAAATTTGACTGCTAAGCAAGCATATTAAAAATAATTTCAGGCCGGGCACGGTGGCTCACCCCTGTAATCCCAGCACTTTGGGAGGCCAAGGTAGGCAAATCACGAGGTCAGAAGTTCGAGACCAGCCTGGCCAATATGGTGAAACCCCATCTCTACTGAAAATACAAAAATTAGCCAGGCTGGGTGGCATGCACCTGTAGTCCCAGGTACTTGGGAGGCTGAGGCAGAAGAATCGCTTGAACCCAGGAGGCAGAGTTTGCAGTGAGCCGAGATCGTGCCACTGCACTCCAGCCTGGGTGACAGAACAAGACTTTGTCTCAATAATAATAGTAATAATAATTTCAGGGTAACCACTAAAAGAACAGAAGTATACCTATATTAGAGAAAAGAAAATGTAACTTCAAAAACATTCCCAACTTGATAATAAGCAGAAACAAGAAACAATAAAAAAGGAAAAGATTAATAAATAGAAAATACAAAATAAAACTATATCAGTATTCACACTCAATGTAATCAGATTTAACTCACCTATTAAAAGACAAAGATTATAGAAACAGATTTTATTTCCCATATTTTTATTGAAAAAAAAACCCCAATATGCTGCTTAAAAGAGGCTACTCAAAATAAAGTTATAAAGTATCTGCAATCTTTTGTTTCTGAAAGAAAAAAACAGAAAAAGATAACTAGGAAAATGTTAAAGAAAGGCAGCTGGCCTGGCAATATTACCAACAAATAAAACAGAATATAAGGGAAAAGGTTAAAGTAGGACACTACGTAATGATAAAAGGGACAGTCATCAAGAATATACAATAATCAAGAACTTGGATACACCTAACAACACAGACTCAAAATACCAGCAAGTATTAACACATATTGATGATTTCAACAAATCCACTGTAATTAGAAACTGATAGATCACATAGTCACAAAATTTAAGTCAAAAATTAATAGAGATGGTTTGAATAGCACGATTAATGAAATTGAAGTAATTCATGTAAATAGGACCCTCTGTCCAACAAATAGAGAATACATCTTTTTATCACTTTTTGTGGAGTATTAATCTAAAAACTGACTACATACCTGGCCACCAAACAAGCTGCAACAAATATAAAAAAAATCAGTAGCAAAGGCCTCAAAGCAATTCAATGGGGAAGAATAGTCTTTGTAATAAGTGGAGCTGGAAACAATCAGACATTAATATGGTGGGGTGGGGGGATCAGCCTTGACACCCATATCACACTGCACACAAAAACTAACTTGAGGTAGATTACAGATCTAAAATTAAAAGTTAAAACAATAAAGTCTCTAGAAGAAAACAACAAATTATCTTCTTGACCTGGGAGTAAAGATTTTTAAAGCACAGAAAGCAATAACCATTTTTAAAAAGTGAAAGATTTCTTCAAAATGAAAAATTATTGTTCAAAAGCCAGAGTTATGAAAATGAATAAAAGAGCCACGGATTGAGAGAAAATGTTCTCAGAATCTGACAAAGGAGTCATAACAAGAATATATAAAGAACTCATACAACTCAATAACTTTTAAAAATTAACCCAATTAAAAAATGAGGAGAAGACTTGACCAAACGCTTCACAAAAGAAAATAGAGGAATGGCCAATAAACAAATAAAAAAGTGCTCATCATTAGTCATGGAGAAATGCAAATTTAAATCATGATAATACTACTCATCCACCAGAATAGCTAAAATTTAAAAGACTCACAACATCAAATATTATCAAGGATTTAGAGTAACCAGAAATCTCATATTGCTGGTAAGAGTGTAAAATTGTACTTTGAGGAAAGGTCTAGAAGTATCTTAAAAAGCTAAACACACCATTGTTCTGGAGGTTTTAGCTAGGGCAATTCGGCAAGAGAAGAAAAAAAAGCATCTAGACTGGGCCATGATCTTGTACATAGAAAATCCTAAGGAATTTAATCCTATAATACATAATGCTTAGGATTATAGGAATTTCTATATTCACAAAAAACTAATACATGAGTTCAGCAAGCTTGCAGGATACAAGATCCTGCAAAATAGAAAGATATTTCATGGTCATAGACTGGAAAACAAAATTGTTAACATAGTAATACTCCTGAAATTGGTCTATAGATTCATTGCAATCCCTATCAAAATCCCAGCTAGCTCCCCGAAGCCCCCACAGAAATTGACAAAATGGTCCTAAAATTCATACAAAGATGCAAGGGACACAGAAAGCCAAAATAATCTTGAAAAATGAGACTAAGTTGGAGGACTTACACTTCACAACTTCAAAACTTACTACAAAATTACACTAATCGAGACAGTGTGGTACTGGATAAGGACAGACATATAAATCAATGGAATAGAACTGAGAGTCCAAAAGTAAATCCTCACATTTATGACTGATTTTCGACAAAGATGCCAAGACAATTCAATGGAGAAGAGTATTTTTTAACAAATGCTGCTAAGACAACTAGATAAAAATAAAGCCCCTACCTCACACCATAAACAAAAATTAACCCAAAATGGATCATAGAGCTAAATGTAAGATCTAAAACTATAAAACTCTTAGAAGAAAACAAAGAAGTAAATGTTTACAACCTTAGATTAGGCAATGAATTCTTAGATATGACACCAACTGATGAATGAAGAACGATGTGTATAGCACAACACCTTTCAAAGAGAGCTAAAAAGTATTCAAAACAAGTGTACATATTATGAATGGACACATACATACGAAGAGTGAGTATACAAATATGTATCATAGTGGTTGCTTTCAGAGAGGAAAGAAAGGGGTAGCAAAGGGATAAATAAAGGGCTTAAACAGTATCCACAATCTTTTGTTTCTGAGAAAACTCTGAAACAAATAAGACATATCATTAATATTTGATAGAAGTGGGTGTTGGTACACACATGCACCTTTATGAATATTTGAAATATTTTAACATTTGACAACTTACATTTTTAAAAGAATGAGACATCCTTATGAGCATTAATTGCCAGTGTAGCATAGGACAAAAATGAAGGTAAATGAAATTGATCTAAAACCACACTAATCCCAAAAAGTATTCTGGAAATTGCTTTGGGAATAAGTCCTTGATATCAATGCCTTTATTTGTTATTGCCTTTATTCAAAATTGGAGTACAAAGGGCATGGCTCAGAATGATTACTGAAATTTTCCATTTGTTTGTATTCTATACAAATAGTTGTGGCTGGTGTTTATTTTTCTCTCTCTCTCTGTTCCTAAATTTGTTTTCATCAAATTTTCCCAAGCTAATCTCTTCCTTTTTTTTTTTCCTTTCCTAGATTTGCATTTCTTTTTCCAAGCAACTATAAAACACTATTTTCTTTTTCCATTTGCTCATAAATCAAATAGCACATTTCCTTGCTTGGTTTTTCACTTTCATCTATATGTTGGTTGACTTGTTTACATCTTTTCTGCATCTTTACTTGTCCCAAGTACAGGGCAAGATTCCAGGTGCTAATAAGCTACAGTTTTTACAAGGAAGAAGTTAACTTATTTAGGCCTAACAGGATGGCTTATATGCAGATAAGGATTTAGAAATTATTTAAAAGGGTACAAACTCCCTCTTCATACATGTTTCTCTTAAGGGGGCACGGGAACCTGGAAGGGCTGCAAGGAGGACATAGTTGCTGCCATTATTAGAGTGAAGTCAGTCCTACAGGTGGTTGGGCCTTGTATCCTTGGACACAAGTTCCTGCTGTGTTACAGAGCCCAGTAGGCTGCTTGGCTTAAGTCACATAGAAGATGTAGGGGAGCATTTTATCATCTTCTATTCCCACACAACAGCAACTGCTATCATTAATGGTAACTGCCAGAGAAAGTTCTAGGCATCCTATGCTATCTCATTTAACTTACAATTTCCCGAGGCATAATCATCTCCATTTTGCAGACAGGACACTGGGTCAGAGGAGTGAAGCAATATATGCAAGGTCACACAGCTGATTAAAGGCAGAGCCAAGATTCCCACCCAGTTGTGACTCATGGCAAAGCCCAGCCCTTCACCATTTCATTGCTTCTTCCCTTTCTGGCTACAGTAGGATGTGGAGCAGACTAGTTTTGGGGTGGAAGAGCTGTTCTTTCTCACAATCCACCATGCAATCTGTCCATCATATTTATACTCAAAATGGGGAAATGTTTAGGTCTTCAAGAAAACAATTTGAGCCAGGCCGGGCACAGTGGTTCACGCCTGTAATCCCAGCACTCTGGGAGGCCGAGGCAGGCAGGTCACCTGAGGTCAGGAGTTTGAGACCAGTCTGGCCAACATGGTGAAACCCCATCACTATTAAAAATACAAAAATTAGCCAGGCATGGTGGCGCACACCTGTAATCCCAGCTACTTGGGTAGCTGAGGTGGGAGAATCGCTTGAACCCAGGAGGCAGAGGTTGCAGTGAGCCGAGACTGAGCCTCTACACTCCAGCCTGGGCAACAGAAGGAGGCTCCATCTCAAAAAAAAAAAAAAAAGAAAAAAAAAAGAAAATAATCTGAGTCACAGGGCTGAGTAAAGGAGGCGTACCTGAATAGGGTCCTGCGTCAGTCTCATGGGCCCGATGCGCACCTCCGCAGAAGACACCTGCTAAATAAAGGACAGCACAAGAGAAGCGTCAAGTCTTAAACTACACAAATGGATACATCCTTCCTTACGCAACGCATTGCATTATGCCACCGTGTGCACTAAATTGAAGAATCCAGCTTACTGAACTGGAGATGGGTTACCAAGCATGATGTATATGTATAGCACAGTCCTGTTTTTGTATTAAAAAAAAAGTATCCATTTATATGCATTGGAAATGTCTTTAAGGATACATCCCCAAATGCTAAGTGGTTGGACTTTGAGTCATTTTTACTAGAAGTGTCTGGATTTTTATAATAAGCATGTACTATTTTATGGAAGAAAAGAATTCAATTCAATAATTATTTATTGAGCACCTACTATGTGCTGGGCATCATGCTGAGGCCATTATTATTCTGAAATTTCAAAAGAGAATAAACATTTCTCTCAAATCTTGAGGCTAAATCACATGTATGGTTTAAGAGCCTTTCCTATATTTAGATCTTGGTTTTCTTATCTTCATGTTTTACTATGAGGGTCAAACAGCTTAGTCTTACTCACATTTACCATGGATAAATTATTCATCTTAGTTGTAGTTCCACAAATAAACTGAGCAACACCACACCATGATGACCACGAGAGGCTTGTCTCTGCCCCACAACTCCAGGAGTGAGCATAGGGCTCTTCAGTGTTCACTGGCCAACACCATCTGGCTGCCTTTGGCAAGCAGTTAGATGGTAGCAAGCATAAAGCAAATATTTGTCTTTATTTTTAATTACTTTACTGAGATTTCTAAAAGTGACTATTCTCTAGACTAATTTGGTTGACGGTCTTGACCTCACCTCCATGGATCCAATTTTGTTTTTCTCTAAGAGACTGTGGTCATTTGTCACTATTGGAAGCTTATCCTGCATTCCACACTCTGTACTGGCCCCTTGTCAGTCTGAAGGAGCGCCTTCAGCACGCAGCAGCATTTACACAACCAGAGACACTTGCAGTGACCCAAGGGCCATGGGAGCCTTTTCAGTTACAAAAAACAAACAAGAAAAGCAAACTTTCTTTACATTATACTTTGCAAGACCATAATAATTTCCCTTTCTCCTTTCTTCTCCTTTCCCCAAGCTTAACTCTTAGTGCTGGTGCTATGAACACTCTCCAAAGCACCAGTCTTCTTCTCCTCTGTAGGCCTGATTCTCCTACCCCACCCCAACACAGCAGTGTAAAGAACTCATGCAGGGCGCTTGGGCCTCTCACCAAACCAGCCAGCAGAAAACTCAAAGAGCCCTCTAATGACTGCTCATCTGAGGTTCCTGGCCCTCTGTGGGGGGTTCTCAGGAGGGCAAGGATGCCTGTTCTGCTCCTCTTGGGGAGGCAGCCTCCTCAACCATGGGTCCACTCAGCAGGCCTGGCACAATGAAAACCAACTGGAGGCTTTGAGTCCCTGAGCCTGTGAACAAGTTCCTTCAGTGTTTCACTGCTGTGTTCAGGTCAAAGTGACAGGCTCATGTTGAGTGTGGACTTCTCTTACTCTTCTTTTGTCTAAGTAAGTCAGTATCCTGCAAGGTGTGGGTGCTGACACCAGTAGCCTAGGGGCACAGCCCCAAGAGCAACTCTACTGGGAGAGGACCAGCACCAGAACCTGCTGCGTCACTGGGCTGCCAGCCCTTCACCCAGCTCCACTCCCAAGCCAGTTTTTGTTATTGAAATAGACACCCTCTTTCCAAAGCAGTGCAACTGCCAGAACGCTGATTAAAAAGTTAATGATTGGGCCAGATGCGGTGGCTCTCGCCTGTAATCCCAGCACTTTGGGAGGCCGAGGTGGGCAGATCACCTGAAGTCAGGAGTTCAAAACCAGCCTAGCCAACATGGTGAAACCCCATCTCTACTAAAAATACAAAAAATTAGCTGGGCATGGTGGCGGGCGCCTGTAATCCCAGCTGCTTGGGAGGCTGAGGCAGGAGAATCGCTTGAACCTGGGAGGCAGAGGTTGCAGTAAGCCGAAACCGTGCCATTGCGCTCCAGCCTGGGCAACAAGAGCAAAACTCCATCTCAAAAAAAAAAAAAAAAAAAAAAAGATTAATGATTAAAAAGGGAAACCAGTTGGGCATGGTGGCTCATGCCTGTAATCCCAGCATTTTCGGAGGCCGAGGCAGGTGGATCACTTGAGGCCAGGAGTTTGAGACCAGCCTGGCCAACATGGTGAAACCCCATTTCTACTCAAAATACAAAAATTAGCCAGGCATGGTGTTGGGCGCCTGTAATCCCAGATACTTGGGAGGCTGAGGCAGGAGAATGGCTTGAACTCGGGAGGTGGAGGCTGCAGTGAGCCAAGATCACACCACTACACTTCAGCCTGGGCAGCAGAGTGAGACTCTGAAAAAAAAAAAGTGAAACCAATTTAGTATATACTAAGATAAATTTGATAAGCCAGGGTACCTTTTCGCTTGCCCTGTGATCTCTCTTGAGTTCACTGCCTCCACCACACACAAAAGCCCCCTCCAACAAGACCACCTGTGAATGATTTCTCCAGCAAAATTAGGCTCCTAAAAGAGTCACTCAGTGGCAGAAAATAAAGCAATGAATGAAATCATAAATAGAAGCTTAAAAGGAATAAAATAAAAAGTGACTCGCATTGGAAGGCCAAGAGATAGGGAAGGATTCCTGCAAGAAGGGCACAGGCTGTCCAAAAAATAATAATTCACCCCTAACCAATACCTTGCCTGTATACTTTTCTTTCTCTCTTTCTTTCTCTCTCTTTCCTCTCCTTCCCCTCCCCACCCCTCCCTCCCCTCCCTCCCTCCCTTCCTTCCTTTCTTTCTTTTTCTTTCTTTCTTTCTTTCTGACAGAGTTTCACTCTGTCGCCCAGGCTGGAGTGCAGTGGTGCCTTCTTGGCTCACTACAACCTCCATCTCCTGGGTTCAAGTGATTTTCCTGCCTCAGCCTCCCAAGTGGCTGGGATTACAGGCACCCACCACCACTTACAGCTAATTTTTGTATTTTTAGTAGAGATGGGGTTTCGCCATGTTGGCCAGGGTGGTTTCAAACTCCTGACCTCGGGTGATCTGCCCGCCTCGGCCTCCTAAAGTGCTGGGATTACAGGCATGAGCCATTGTGCCCAGTTGCCTGTATACTTTTCCAAATAATCAATATGTGCATGAAGTGTTGATACAGCTAACCTTACATGGTGGGCTGGCGGGGAAGGGCAGGCGACTTTTGACTCTACCAGGAGAATATCTGATGACTGTGAACATTCCTTAAGTCCCTCTGACCCAGGCATTGTGCCAGGCGCATTCACACCTGTAATCCTAGGGGCAGACAGGCAATGGCCACTGTGTCACAGCATGGAGTTTTAAAAGCAACTTTCAAGCTAGAAGATATATCATTTTTCTTCCTAAAGGCAGGAAAGACCCTACGACTTTCTCTCATAGCCACAACAGTTCTCTGCCTGCCATCCAGTATTCTAACTCCTGTCTGACCTACCCAGCAGGAAGGCATGCTGTGAGCTCGTGGGAGGACAGCAGAGCCCGGAAGTGGGGCTGTAAAGTTGCTGCTAAGGGACATTCTCCAAACCCCTGCCTCTCGTATCTCTACCATCCTTTGCATCCTTTGCCTCTCTCCTCCCAGCCTCACTTCACTGTGCTCCCTCCCACGTGTTGTCACTCTACCTGCACTACCGGCGTGGGTGCCTCAGTTTACCAGCTCCTCTAGTCCTGACCCACACTTTGCTTTGTGTCTCTTGGCCTGCCTTTTCCTTCTTGGTCTGTGCTCCAAGTCATCTGGCCTTGGCTTCTGTGTCCAAAAGAGGTCAACTGTCCCAAAAGAACACTGGAACTTGTTCTTGCTGACTCTGAGGGCTGGCACTAGGTAGTGACCAGCAGGAAAAAACCTGTAGCAGGTGTATTCACAGACGGCAGTTTGCAGAGTTCTGCTTCTGACACAGGCGTCTAACTGCCTGCATTTCACCAATTTATAAAACAGCAACTATGAACAGAAACAGGAGATAATTTACTGACATCTGTGTAGCCAGGCCAAGATTCTCTACTTCAAAGAATGAACTTTGAGCAACTGCAGATGCACAGACTCTTCAATTAGTGTATTAGCTCTGATTCCAGGAAGTGGCCAAGTTTGCCAGGGTCAGAGAAACAAATGCAGGGGTGGGGGCATAGGTAACATAATTCCAACACCTGAGAAGAGGGGAGGGTGGGACCAGAGTGTGAAGAGAGACACACTTCCTAGCCACATGTGTTTCCACAGTAGCCTAATGAGGAAGGACTGCTGAACTACAGCGTAGTTTTAACTGTGCTGTATAACATTCGTAGTGTGTCAAATATTTGTGTGTACATGTGTGAATGGTAACATACACACATATATACATGGAAGCAGGGTCACCAATCCACTTTCACATGAAAAAAAAAACACAAGTACTATTTTGTAGCATTTGTTGACTTCCGTGGTATAAATACCATTGTTGATCTCAAGCTGGCAACATGGGTCCATGACTGCAAAATTAGGAATACATCATTTCATTCAGAGAAGGTCTATGGCAAAGTCACTCAGTCTTTGTTGATCTGTAAACGTCTATCACTCACTTTTGCTTGAAGTTTGGCTGAATATAGAATTCTGGTTGAGAGACATTTTCTCTCCCACTTTGAAGTTGAGAAAGAGGAGGTAATACTTCTGGTTTGGGAGGTGGGGAGATCAAGGAAGGCTTCATGAAGGCAGGCAGGTGGTGAAGAATAGGGGGACGAAGATACTGGGTTGGGGAAGGAGATTCTAGGCATAGGGAACAGCACAGGCACAGGCATGGAGGCAGGAAAGCGAAGGTGCTGGTGGGGAGAAAACAAGTGTCCAGAGAGCTGGATTGCAGTGTGAGAAAGGGTCGACTGGGAAGGCTGGGGTCAGATCCTCAGAGGACACAGGAAGGAGCTCTCTTTTTTAATCTCTAAGCACCAATCACATTGCAGGTGTTTGAGCAAAGGATTAACGTAATAAGATCTGTGACTTGGGAAAATCAAACATTGGCTTGCCCACTTTCTGAACAACCAAGAACAGAGATTTAGCAAAAACTAAACAAAAACACCACTATGAGTAGGAACTACAGCAATGAAAGCAAGTGGGAAAATACACTGCAATGATCAAGAAAAAAACTCAGCTTGGCTTCACTTCAATAGAAAGGGAACTCCACGATACAACCCAGCTGGTGCAGGGTAGGCAGATGGAAGAGGCAAACTCACGAGAGAAATCAAGGTAGTTCAGGTTGGTTAATTCACCTGTCACGCCACCACATTCTCTAGAGGTGATTGCTGCAGCTCTTAATAGTTTCAGCTTCAGGAATTTTGTTAAGTAACTTGGCATCGAGTTTTAGAGCCTTCCTCAGACAAGAGGGAAGCTAAGGATTCAGGAAGGAAAGCAGTTGACCTGGAAAGCCCTTTCCTGCCTCAGCAGCTAACGCATCCTTCAAGGGCCTGCTCCAACGCCCTTGCCCTCTGACAATGGTTCAAGTCCAACTTCACCCAAAGAAGAACCAGTGATTTCTCTCCTCAGTACTCCTGTATTCATAGCACTGATTTTGTTACTCATTTAAATATCTCACTCCTTGGCAAGACTGTGAGTTTCTTGAGGACATAGTCTCTGTCTTTTTCACAATTTTATCCCCAGCATCTACAAGATGCTCAGTAAATGCTTTGTGGAATTGAATTAAACTGAAAAGAACAGACAGCTTTTAAGTAACAGAGTGAAGATTGAGACTTCATTCTTCCTAACTCCCAGTGCACTGCTCTTCCATTATGCTCCAAAATTGGAAGCATTAATTCTGCAGCACTCATCTTTCTGGTATGGCTTCTGGACTCCATTCAGACTCTGCAAAACAGATGATGCAGTGCCTGGCGATCCCTGCTTGTGCCTGGTAGTCTGTTAACAGGGCTGGCCCAGCACCAAGAAGAAAAAGGGTATGCATGCGTGTGCATGTGCGTGTGTGTCCAGGTGGGGGTGGAATGTCTGAGTTCCAAAACTCAGAGTCTGAATCTTCCCCACTTCAATGACTTCTCCTTTAGAATCCCTTCCTTCCCACCATCTACAGTACTGAGTGTTCGCACACACACAGCTTAAGGCAAGCTTGACTTGCACTTTGTGACGGGTCCACGGTGAAGATCATTTCACACTGAAAAGACACCAGCTGTGGGCACAGAAATAGGCACTTTTAAATGCTCTTCATCAACTCTGTCTGCTGCCCTGTTGGCTCTGATTTAAAAATAGCATTTAATGATCTCAATATGTGCCCTGTCCACCCTCCATTCTCAGGCCAAACTTAGTTCTTTATTCGTCTGAGCTCTGGGTAAACAAAGGTTGTGTCTGCCTTTTGCCTTTTTAATGGGCCCCTGTCTGTCCTCTGGCTTCCAGTCAGAAAGGGACTGGCCCTGCAGCCTCTAGGTGATCCCACTGTGAGGCTGGGCCTCCCTGCTCTATGCTGGGAAACTCTGTCCCATCCCACCCTCTCTCCCCTGCCAACTGTGCTTAGCACACCCAGAACACTCTCTTCCTTCTGTCCCCTCTCAGTTGTGGGCCCTGCTGGCTGGCGCTGCCCTCACTCCAGCCTCCAGCCTTACCTGGCTGTGGTCTGGCTGCCCTCCAGCACCTCCTGGCAACTCTGATACCCTGGACCTTTCAGGGCCCAAGAGCTCACTGGGCAGCCCATGAGCTTCCCTTCTCCTTCCTGCTTCCAATCCTCTGGTCTAGAAGTTCTCAACCTGGGCTTCATATTAGAAGTACCTGGGGAACTTTAAAAATATATCAATGCCTGGGTCCTATTTGACACCAAGATAACTGGAATCTCTAAAATCTCTAAGAATGGGGCCCAAGTGTCTTCAACTTTTTATCTCCTTGGGTTTAGCCAGGGTTGAGAACCACTAGTCTATTCTTTTGAGCAGACTTGTCTGTTGCTAACTTCAATTCCTGCTTCTTTAATGGCCCCTCCTGCAGACTCTATTACATATCCATTTACTCAACAAACACCGGTGGAACACTTACCTCGTGGAAGGTAACAACACCCACCCAAGACTCAGCTATCATGCCTGGACCCAGACATTGACAGCTATCTGTGTTCATTTCCAGATACCTCCACTGGTTTTTTCCAGATAGCTCCACGAAAAACACAAGATTATAATGTTGGCATGAGGAAGATAAAGTCTTTTATATTTGGTGAATTATCCCCCCCAAACAATATCCCTACGTTACAATCAAAATCAATCAAAAATCTCTTTCATAGTTTTTCTGTTATATAATATAGATGGACGATTACTCATGGTTACAAGATACTCACAGCCAGTGACATATTTCATTACTTTTATGTTTTATGCCCTACTATTTAGAATAGTACATTAATTTGGCAGCATGATGTTTTATCACATAAACATACAAATGTCTACTCATCAAAATATACAACCATGAAATAAAAGATTAATCACTTTGACTTTAAAATTATAGCTTCTATTCACCAAAAACAAAACAAAAAAAAGCAAAGAGCACTGTAATAAAAGAGAAAAAGGCCCAGAGCTGGAGAGATGAAATCTAAAACATAAAAACCCAAAAATACTAGTAACCAGAACATAAAACAAAATTTTTTTAAACATCAGTAAGAAGACAGCCAAAAACAAAGCCGGGGAAATGATTTGAAAAAGAAATTTACAGGAGAGGAAATATAAGTATGAAGAGATGCTCATCATCATTAGTAATCAGGAAGATAAAAATTTTAAATTACAATGAGATACTATCTTACATCCAACTATTTTTATCAACAGAATGGCAGAATTAAGAGTCAAACATTATCTAGCATAGGCAAGAAAGTGGCCCCTCAGAAACTCTTATACATTGTTGGTGGGCATGTAAACTGGTTTAGCAACTTTGAAAAACAGTTTGGGGATATCTAGTGAAGACGAAGAAGTATATATCTGACAATTCAGCCTCCTATATGAGTGTATCTCTAGGGTGTATAGGAGGCATTTACAAGAATATTCAGAGCAGTATTGTTTGTAACAAAAATTTAGAAAACTGAATCCATAGTCTATTAATATCACCAGAAGAAACTGATATATGTATCAAGGACTAGCCATACAATAGAATATTATACAACAGTAAAAATGAAACAACTAGAGTTACTCATTTAAAACTTATGAATCTTACAAACATTGAGTTAAACAACAAAACAAAAAATTGCAAGTTTTAGAATGATGCATACCTTAGGATACCACTTGAAGTTTACAAATACTTAAAACAATACTGAATAGACTTTAGGAATATATTATAACAGTACAAAGAAATGCTGACAAACTCCCAATTGAGGCAAGTGGTCCTGCTGGTGGAGGGGACGATGAATTCAGGGAGAGAAGTGCCGGGGCTTCAACTATATTGTGAATGACCTATTTATTTATTTATTTATTTATTTATTTATTTTGAGATGGAGTCTTGCTCTGTTGCCCAGGCTAGAATGCAGTGGAGTGATCTCGGCTCACTGCAACCTCCACCTCCCAGGTTCAAGTGATTCTTTTGTCTCAGCCTCCCAAGTAGCTGGGATTACAGGCTAATTTTTTGTATTTTAGTAGGGAACACAAAAATTCTCTACGCCCTGCTAATTTTTTGTATTTTAGTAGAGACGGGGTTTCACCGTGTTGCCCAGGCTGGTCTTGAATTCCTGAGCTCAGGCAATCCATCCACCTTGGCCTCCCGAAGTGCTGGGATTACAGGCATGAGGCACCACACTCAGCGTATGACCTATTTTTTTAAGCAGTAAATAGTGAGTACATGGGTGTTTACTGAATTAAACTTTCTATCTTCTTGTATATGTAGATATTTCCAAATAAATGGAAATTAGGTTTAATTTTATTGGGAAAGTCTATTTCCTATTTTGGTGTTAACATTAATGGAGCATTAGCCACTACATAAATATTCTACACATGCTTTTTATTTTTCCAGTAAAGTCTTTATTTGGTAGAATAAGGTGTTGTATTTAAAATTCCTCAGAATATAGATGGGGTTTCTCTGAAACTTGGTAAAATAAAATTCTAGAAAATTGGGCTGGGACTCAGGGGACCTTGCTCAAGATGAGTAACTGCACTGTGCCTCAATAAGACAAAAGGGGCTGATGAATTCCCCACGTACATCATCTCACGTAAAGGTCACAGCAATCCCACAGGGCATCCTGGGCCCCTTTCTATGGCTTAAGAGGTTATGCTGCAGAAAGGTTAAGCCACTTACCCGAGAGGATGAAGCTGAGATTTAAGCCCAGGTCTGCCTCACTGGGAAGGCCATGCTCTTATTTGTGTATTTACTTATATCTCAGACTGTTCCAGAAAGGCCTTAAGATGGTGTACAAAGAGACTTTAAATGAGGTGAGGGTTTTTAAATGACTTATAAATAAGATGTGAAAGATCTGGCTGAGAAACAATGAGCATGGAAAGAGGAAGCAGGTAGGGAAGTCGGTGTGCACAACGTTTGGCACAAGGCACCCGCTCCCGCTGCAGTGGGCCACCCAGACAGTGAGGTCAGGCTGCAAAGAAGGAGGCAGTACCGTCAACCTCCCCCCATGCACTAGACACAGTGATGTGCTTTCCAGCACAGCATCTTACACTGCCCCCTACCCATGCCCTCTCCTTCCTTCCCCACTGTCACTGGTCTTTCTTAAGAAGTGCTACTACTAGACTCAGAGAGCTTTGCTGTGCCAGTGGAGGGGGGATGCTACATCCCACTGTGCCTGGAAAATATGGCAGTGAGAAAAGATAAAGAGGCCATCGTCTTGCTAACTCTGAAGTCGTAATGAGAAAAATAAACACAGAAGTCATGCAGATGCCATCAGATCTAAACACAGAAAACTTGGCTGGCACAGTATAATGGAGAAGCCATTTCCCCCTGACAAATATCAGATTAAAGAGAAATTATTTATACAACATAGTCATGTCATCTACAGTCATGAGAAAAAAACTCAGCCTGATGTCGATTATGCATTAAAATGGAAAGAAAAAAATGGTCTAGAATATAATCCACAAAATGACAAGTACCCAAAGGAGGCCAGCACAAGGAAGCCTTAGAGAGATTTAACTTCAGAGGAGGAAAACAAAACAAAACAAAACAAAAAAAACCCCAAACTGCAGTTCGATGCTATGATTATGTCAAAATTCTTTCTGTCGTACATGCAGTGCAGGAATCAAGGCATCAAGCTTTCATAATGTAATAATTCAGCCACAAATGACTAGGCTGAGTGTGTGTAAACACAGCTCCATTCCAAGATCCCAAAGATCATGCAGGGTCTGACTGGGAGAACACAGGAATTTAAAGGCAATGGTCAAAACGTGACATCCCTCAACTGACTTCCTTCCTTTTATTAGAGATACCACTGATAATAGACACTGCCGGATGACTTCAAGCATGTAAAATTACATTGTGTAATAGAGAACAAGCAAAGAACAGTCTAGCTCTGATTATTCAGGAGGCAATTATCCAGACTGTGGAAAAACCCAAGCACTCATTTCTGATCCACCTCCATCCTCCTGCATGCCTCTGATGCCTTCCCTTCTCCTGAACATTACATGAAGTTGGGAGAAAGTGGGGAGGGATGATATTCAAATCAGTAAATTTTGCTACATGGTCAGCAGTTCTGGTAAATAGATTTGATGGGCAAAGAAACAGAAACCACCTGCTAAAAATGAGTTTTAGAGATTTCCTGTGGATTTCAATTATACATGCTGCCTCTGTCCTCAATTTTATCATTGATAAGCTAGAACTGCCTTAGAGGACCAAGAGTGAAATGTCTTCCCTGCTTGTCTCCATGGGAATCTCCCATTAGGGACCTGTGACCCTGAAGCACCTGGATTTTTAGCCACAGCTGGTACCCCATCAAGAATCCAACCACACTCACTTTCCCGACTCTGGTGTGTCAGGACCACTCATGCTGGGATGAACCATGACCTTCAGTCACCAAGTCCAAAGATTAGATGGCCCCAGGGGTAATGAATCCTTGTCGGGCACTAATTCCCATTTAAAAACCAATCTCACTGAAATGAATCCCATTTAAAAGTAAGTAGCCCATGCAAAGTCAGCCACAAAATGCAAATGCCCACTTTTTTGAAAAGGAATTTCACTTATGTGGCAAGAACAATCATGATTTCCAAGCAGTTATTGATAAAAAGCACCATTAACATCCTAATGACATACAACCTGAGTGAAACACTACACAATTAAAACCTCAACATTTTCAGAAGCTTAGCAAAGACACCAGAAGCCTGAGACCGGCAAAGCTTCTCCTGGGAAGGTCCCCAAGGCCTTAGGCCCAGCCCTTGGCCCCTCCTCTTTGCTAACACACATGGAAGACAATCCCCACTGCACCTTGACCCTCTGGGGCCACTATGTTTTACATCAAAAGCCAACGAGGCAACACCCAAGGAACTATATTTCTTCCTTGTATTATTTTTGAAGATTTAGAGAGGTAAGCACCGCAGCAGCAATGAAAGGAAGCAGTCTGTTTACAGGCAGGTGACTAAGCTGAAGATGGGCTCCCATGGTAATTCCCCCTCCCATCTCCCCAAACCCTAGAGAGTATGAAAGGGGTACAGTTCTGTGTCCATTGGTGGAATAGAAAACAGAAAATGCCCAAAGCACAGCAAAGGGTTAAGTAAGTCCTAAAAGACCATTTTGTGTTCAATCAAAGTATATTTCTTTTAAAAAACGGTTCAAACTCACAGGCTATCTTGGATCCACTGACATCATCCTCTTCTCTTGGCTACAGAACAGGCTGAGTAACGTATTCTCGTCTAAGAGAGGAATGAGAACAAGGGGCTCCCTTGTATTCTTGCTCTAAAACTCTAAAGCTCTGCCTACTTGCTCATTTTGATGAGCCTCAGGTTCTCACCTTCAGTGCTCAAGGCATTAAAATGCCTACACTGCAGAACACTGGGTACTCTATGCCCAGCACCAGGGTTCTCTGACCACGGTCTAGCATCACAGAACATGGCTTCATGTGTCTTTGATCAGGCACTGGGAGCAATTCTGGCCTACTCCACTGCATACATGGGAGCCCCTGATCTTAGAAGACTGCCTCACAAGCTTTTCAGTTACAACTCTCATGTTCCACTTTTACACTGTTGGTGGGACTGTAAACTAGTTCAACCATTGTGGAAGTCAGTGTGGCGATTCCTCAGGGATCTAGAACTAGAAATACCATTTGACCCAGCCACCCCATTACTGGGTATATACCCAAAGGATTGTAAATCATGCTGCTGTAAAGACACATGCACACGTATGTTTATTGTGGCACTATTCACAATAGCAAAGACTTGGAACCAACCCAAATGTCCAACAACGATAGACTGGATTAAGAAAATGTGGCATATATACACCATGGAATACTATGCAGCCATAAAAAATGAAGAGTTCATGTCCTTTGTAGGGACATGGATGAAACTGGAAACCATCATTCTCAGCAAACTATCGCAAGGACAAAAAACCAAATACCGCATGTTCTCACTCATAGGTGGGAACTGAACAACAAGAACACATGGACACAGGAAGGGGAACATCACACTCCGGGGACTGTTGTGGGGTGGGGGGAGGGGGGAGGGATAGCATTAGGAGATATACCTAATGCTAAATGACGAGTTAATGGGTGCAGCACACCAACATGGCACATGTATACGTATGTAACAAACCTGCACATTGTGCACATGTACCCTAAAACTTAAAGTATAATAATAATAATAAAATAAAACAAACAAACAAACAAACAAACAAAAAAACAACTCTCATGTTCCCAATCTTGCTGTAATTCTGTAAGCAACAATGCAGATTCATGGGCTCCACTCTCCTGGAATCCTGTTTAAAATCATTACTATTTCTTACGGGCCTTGGGGCCTTTGTGTAAGACAGGCAATGCTTTAGAAATGGTGATGGTGCAGAGATAGGGCCAGGAGACATACAAAGCTACAAGTGCATCCTAGTGGAGCATCCATTTTTATGTCAAGATGAAACAAGTTTAGTGATTTAACTACAAAGTCCTTCAAAATATTTTTATCTTAGTTGAGAAAACCAGAGTATAATGCAAAGTTCACATGAATTTTTAAGCTAAAGAATGAAATTTCACAAAAATCTAATGCTTGCAGCAGATCACTTTACCTGGTGGAGGTAGGCATCCACTTTCTTCACCCTCAGATTTGAAGAGGTTTGAGAAGCACCAATCTAAAGGAAGAAGACCAATTCACGGAGCTGAGGCCTTGGCATTTTAGTTCAAAGTCTCTAAAGCCCCATCATCACACATAAGGATTCCCGGGGATCCCTGGACAGTCAGATGGCTAAAATACAGCCCTGGGAATGGTGTCTGGTGAACCAAATGGCGGGTCTATGTGGACTTGGAGTTCTACTGGTGTAAGTCCAGCCTCTTTCTAAACAACCAGTGGACAACTTTATACTCTCATTAGAAAGTTCTGCCTTCAGTTGCACTGAAATCTGCATCTTTGTAACAGAAAGACTTGCCTCGCCCCCTCCAGGGGTGCCCACATGCTAAAATTCATCAATGCTGCTTATTTGACCTTAGTGGTCAAGGTTGCTGCAGCCTGTCACGTGGGTAACAATATTCTCCCCATCTCTTTCCAAACCGTCACAATTTCAAGAACAGGAAGAAACTTAGGGTAACAGAGGCCATGATGTTCTGTGGCTGAGCCCACAGCCCTCAATTTAAGTCTAACCACAGGAGGAAGATATATGAAGATTGAAATGATGTCTAAAGGGTAACAAGTCCCAGTATCAGGAGGTCCAGACCCTATACTTTTCAGCAATGCCTAAAAGGCACTGTTTCCTTATGATGGGAGGCAGGTACTAGCATATGGGTGGCAGGGCCCCTGAGGGGAGATAGTTATACTCAAGAGTAGCACCAATATTTAGTTTAGATCCACAAACTTTCATCAAGCATCTATTATGTGCCAGATACTACACAGAAAATAAGCCAAAAAAGATAAGCAAGACTGAGTGTTCACGCCTTCAAAAAGCCCACAGTCTGAAGACAGGAGTGGGGAGCAGAGTGGGAGTGAGATGACCATGAAGCCAGAGAAACCTAAGGGCAACTTAGCTCAATCTGGGGATTCAGGCAAATTTCCAGGAAACCACACTGGAGATCAATGTTGAAGGATCAGTGAGAATGAGCCAAGTGAAGACCGATGGAAGGAGCATTTTTGGCAGATGGAATGGCACAAGGATGGCAAAGAACAGAGTTTGTGTGAACAGTCCCAGGCAATGTGGAACAGACCATGTGGCTAGAGAGGGAGGAAGGAGCCAGGTCACAGAAGGCTGCTGTGGTGAGAAGCCTGGGCTTTGCTAGGTGGACAAAGGTGTAGCATAGCTGGATTGTAGTTGGCTGGATCACTCTGGTTGAAATGTGCATAGACTAAGGGAGGAACAGAGATCAGAAAGGAGTTCCTGCAATGATCCCCGTGGTTCTCAAGGTGTGGTCCCTGAACCAGCAGCATCAGCATCACATGGAACTTATTAGAAGGGGAAACATTCAGGCCCCATCCGAGATCTATTGAATCAGAAACTCTAGGGGTGGGCCCAGTGTGTAATGACTGGCCTTCCAGATGAATGTGATGCTTGCTAAAGTTTGGGAACTACTGGTGTTGACAAAAGATGATGAGTGTCTACACTAGGAGTAGTGGTGAGGGGTGCTATGATTTGAATTTCCCCTCCAAAATTCATGTTGAAATTTAGTCGCCATTTTGACTATATTAAGAGGTGGGATCTTTAAGACGTGATTAGGTCATGGGGCTCTGCCCTCAGGAATGGATTAATGCTGTTATCTTGAGAGTGGGTTAGTTATCACAGGAGAGGGCTCTTGATAAAAGGATGAATTCCGCTTGCTTTCTTTGTTCTGTCTCCCACACTCACTTGCCCTTTCTACCTTCTCCATGAGATGACACAGTACAAAGGCCCCTGCCTTTGTACTGAGTTTGAGATGTCTCTAGTCCTTTCAAAATGCAAAGTCAGGCTCTGGGATATGTAAGTATGAAGCTCAGGGAGAGTGACACCAGCATACAGGAAAGGCAGTTAAAACCTTGCCATCACTCACAGCAGAAGACCAAAGACAGAACTCTGGAGAACACCAGTATCAGAGGGTTGAGGAGAGGCAGAGAAGTACACATAAGAGCTGGAAGAAGGAAAAAGAGAAGAAAAGGGGAAACAAGCAGATTCTCCCAGAACCTCAGTTACTCCCACAGAGCACAGCTAAGTAGGTTGCCTTCCCTAACTTAGAGTATCTATTTACATAACTCACCACAATCAATAAGAGTCAATATATGATCATCTCAAGAAATGTCAAGATAGCACTTTGATAAAATTCAACACGTTTAAAAATTCTTTTTTAGATAGCCTCCCCAGTCCATTCCTTCCTTTCTCCTTCCAGGAGTCACTGACTTCTGTTTGGAAATCTCTGTTTGGTTCTAAAGACATGTGGGCTGGGAGCGGTGGCTCACACTTATAATCCCAGCTTTTGGGGAGCCAAGAGTTCAAGACCAGCCTAGGTAACATGGTGAGACACTATTTCTACCAAAAGTAAAAAAGATTAGCCAGGCACGGTGGTGTATATCTGTAGTCCCAGCTACTCAGGAGGCTGAGGTGGGAGAATTGCTTGAGCCCAGGAAGTTGAGGCTGCAGTGAGCCATGTTTATACCACTGCACTCCAGCCTGGGTGACAGAGTGAAACAAGAAGAAGAAAGAAGAAAGAAGAAGAAGGAGAAGGAGAGAAAGAAGAAGAGGAAAACGAAGAGAAGGAAGATGAGGAGGAAAAGGAGGGAGAGAAAGAAGAAAAAAAGAAGAAAAAAGAAGAAGATGATGAAGAAGAGGAGGAGGAGGAAGAAGAGGAGGACAGGTAACCATAACTAAGCATTTCATTTTCCTGGCTATAGCAATTGGTTAGGAGTAGTCACGTGACTTGGACTGCTACAGCAATTGGTTAGGGGTAGTCATTTGACTTGGGCTAGTCCACTCAGTTTATCCCAGGATTTTGCTAGCAATGCTGGGAAAAAGCTATTCTACTTTTAATAAATATTCTCACTGTTTATCAAAAAGAAATGTGTAGTGAGGTTGTTTCTCGTAACATCTTGACACCATGTGAGAACGAAAGCAACACCATGGAAAGCAGAGTGGAGAAATGGAAAGAAACAAGATCCTTTGTAACACTTCCAAATTACCAGATCAAGACTTGCCCAAAGCCATATCTAACTCTGGATTTTTCAGTTAGGTGAGCCAATTAATTGGCTTTTTTCTCCTTATTAAATAAGGTTGAATGAGCTCTCCTGTGTTTAAACAGAAAGAATCTCAATGGAAACAAATGACTTCCCCTTGTTGATATTAGAGAGATCTGATGATATGTATCCTTTGGGTGGGCAATTGGCCACACAAGCTACAGGTGCATTGGTGTGTGGCTTCTTAAAAGGAGGGATATGAAATAATCACAAGCCAAATGACTGGAGTCAAAGCCAACACCTGAGCAGAGGAGAAATGGTATTCCAACCAAGGGATCATAGAACCACTTTTTACAGCTGTCTTTGGATCAAGAACACTTATGGAATTCTGAGAAAGCCAGGGGTCTCACCAGAAGCTAACGTACCCCAAAGTCTCACGTGTCAACCACCAGTCCTTATGCTAAAGTTTCTCCAGTCACAGTAATTGTCAGAAGGTTCCTCAAGAAGGGTTAATGGGAAATTCATTCCCCGAGGTCTGGCATGTTCGCACAGTTTTGTCTGTGGTTCTTATATTTGAGGGTCCAGTTTGGCTGAATGTAGAATAATTGGCTCACTTTTTCTTTTCTAGATTATCTTTAACATATCTTCTCCAGTATTTCCTGGCTTAAAGCATTGCTCTCAGGTTCTGATGCCAATCTGATTTCTTTTCCTTATAAACGACTTGGTCTTTTTGCCTAGATGCCCCAAAAGACTTTTTTCCTTTATAGTGCAATTATGTTACTAGAATATGCATTGATGTTGTCCTTTTGGATTGATTTTCCCAGTACACAACGGGGTTTGGTTTTTTCTCTTCAGAGGCTCCTATTATATAGAGGAGTTATATATGTATATGTATTATATATGTGGACCTATCTAGATAGATATAATATATATTATATATATCATATATATATTATATAATGAATCATCATATATTTGTGGAGCTCCTTTGCCTGTCTTGCATTCTATCACTTCTCAAATAGTTTCTTGTCTTCTTTATTTCTGTGTTTTTCTTCTTCCTTTCCAATTTCTATACAGTGCTTTCTGCACTGTTTATTCACTCTTATATTTCTTCCAGTTCGACCTTCCTTTCCTAGATTTTTTTTTGCTTTTATTTCTATTTCTTTTCTGAGTAATCAATTCCCTTTCATATTTTTCTGTTGTCTAATGATGTAACCTGTGTTTTTTTTAATTTGCATTCGTCCTGTTCTTTTGTAACTTTTAATCATTTTCTTAATTTCTTTTAGCTCATTTGAAATATTAGGTTGCAGTTTCTCTTCTGCTTTGTGGGCATACTTTTCTCATTTGTCCTTACTGTTTGCCAACTGGAGCCTGGGAAGCCCCCTCCACTTTAAGCGAATGTGTTCACATCAACAGCAAGCCCTCCACTCCTGGGGGACTGTCCCCTTCTTGGGACAAGTGTTGAGAGAAGTTTCTGGGTCCCCAGCCCTGGGATCCCCAGAAGTCTGTTTGTCTGCCAGCTGCTTCCTCCTGCAGACTTCCTTGTTACGGTCAGTGGTTTGGCCCTAACTGCTCATATTTTTTAGTTTATAGACATATACTCTAATCCTTAGTTTTATGAAAGATGCTGCTTATGGACTGTGTGCTCTGTCAATTTACATTATTGCCCTGTCTGTTTTTATGAGTTGATATAAGGGGCTTAAAATTATACTACAGAGCAGGATCCATGAAAGAAAAAAATAGTAAATTGGATTATATTAACATTAAAAACTTCTGCTTTCAAAATAAGCTGTGGGAAGAATAAAAACACAAACCACATATGAGGAGAGAATATTTTCAAACATAAATGTGATACCGGACTTATATCCAACATACACAAAGAACATTGAAAACTCAACATTAAGAAAACAAACACCCAATTAACAAATGGACAAAAGATCTGAACAGACACCTCACCAAAGAAGATGCTTGCCATCATTTGTCACCAGGGAATTACTAATTAAAACACACCTAGTAGAAGGGCTAAAATCTAAAAAACTGACAATGTTAATTGCTGGCAAGCATGCAGACTAAAACTCATTCACAACTGCAAAAACAAAAAATTTAGGAATAAATTATTTCATTCAAACATTTCTTCAACAAATGTTTACTGAGCAACACTATGTCCCACTCACTGGGGAAAACCTTTCACTGATATACAAGCTAATAAATGGCTAGACTTGGATTTGAACTGAGACTCTCTGACTCCAGAACCTGTGCCTTAACACATCATATCGCACACTCAGACTATCTGAGTGTCAGAAAATATGACTGAAATAAATGGAATGAGATGCTGTTTTCCTGGGTGGAAAACCAGTACTAAAAAAATGCTAAGTCTCTCTCAAATTAACCTATATACTAATTGCTATAAATACACTGGCACAACTTTTTAAACTTGTGAAATGATTCTCAAATCCATATAGAGGAATAAATTCCAGCCACTGGCTAATAAAACTGTGAAGAGTTACAAGTATTTTGCTCTGCCAGTTGTGACAATAATACTTCAAAGATACAACTATCAAAATAGTATGCTTCCAGCAGAGAGATCAACAAAAAGATAAAATCTAGAACTGACCCAATTTTACACATATCTATACATATATATAAAGCGATATATGTGATTTATTATGTAATAAAAATGTCATTTTATATCAGTGAGAAAGTAATGGATAATTCAATAATAATATTGAGATAACTGGTTAACTATATGGAGAAAAATTAAGTCAGCTCTATGCATCATGACATATACCCAAATTACTTCCAGATAGATTAAAATTTTAAATGAGAAAAAAAATCCCATGAGAATATTGAAAAACAATTTAAGTGAACATTTCCAGCATTCAAGGGCCCGGAAGCCTTTTGTTAAAAATAACATCAAAGACATAAACCAAGAAAAGATTGTTAGGTTTTTAGTAAGAAAAACATATTAAAAAGCATAATAAATATTTAAATACAAAACTGAGAAAAAATATTAGTAATATATGATAGTAAAGGGATTGGCATCCTTATTAGAGTTTTTTGAATCTCTACTAAGACAATAATAAAACAGGCGAACATCCCAATTAAAAAGGGTCAAGAAAAGGACAAGCAATGCTCAAAACAAATACACAAATGGGCTGTAAAACCAGGCAGCAATGCTCAGCCTCTCTGGCAATCCAAAAATGCAAATCAAAATAACCAGATTCCACTTTTGACTCATCAAAATTCCAAAGATTTTACAGTGAATTTCACAGTGATGATGAGGGTCTGGGGCCATTAGTAGTTTCATACCCTGCTAGAGGGAGAGGAACACTGTCTGAGTGACTCTGGATCCCTTAACACACAACATACGCCTTCCTGAGCCTTGGTAACTGAAACAGTTAGAACCTTAAAGTGTGTTTGATACTCTTTCAATTGCTGTCCCCTTTCCTCTGTTTATATGTCTGCCATGATATTTGTCACACAATAATTTTATCACCATAACCACAAACTGTTGGGGGCAGGAGGAACCTAGGAGACAGATGCCAACTCCACCCAGCCACAGTCAGAGAACCAGTAAGTGATCAGCTGTGACAAGATGCACCCCAGCACCAAACACTCAAATCCATCTGCGCAACCAACACTCACAGATATTTGGTGAGTGGGTGTTTAATTTAATACATCATTAAAAAGCAAAAAAAGCTCTTGGTAAATGGAAGATTACTTTGCTCCTTAGCACAAAATGTATGTAGGCTGCTGGAGAACTAAAGCTGCCAATGTTGCTAAGTGGTAAATGGTTTTTTTTTTTTTTAATGTTGTAACAATTTTATTTTGATTTTTAAAAAAGGAGTCTTTTGATTTAATCAGGGCTTTGGGGTCATAGGGGGATTAGTCACTGTCACAGTCATAATAATGCATTTATTCAAGGAAAACTTTAATTTTCTTTGTCTTCTTCAAAAACAGCTGCCGAACACCTCAAATTAAGGGATGTTCATCTAAAACACCTTTACTGAAACTTGATTCCTTGGGCCAGAGGAAAGTCTTTACTGTAGTTGATAGTACAAGTAGACCTTCTCATGTACTGTTTCCAGGCATCACTGCCAGATTCCCTGCCACCACCAGTGTGCTTTTCTCCTCCAAAGGCACCTCCAATCTCAGCCCCACTTGTTGGAATGTTGACATTTACAGTGCCACAGTCTGATCCTTTAGGTCCAAGCCAGCGAAAGATTCTGCCCAGATCTTTGGTAAAGTTGCTACTTGAAAGTCTCTGTTTTACTTCAGTATTCCATGCAAAGACCTCTTCTTCATTCTTGAATTTAAAGACATACAGAATCGGAGCAAAAGTCTCTGTGTGTGCAATGGATGCATCGTGGGCAAGACCTGTCACAATTGTCGGTTCTACATAATTTCCAGGGCGATCCATAACCTTGCCCCCATAGACCACTGTGCTACCTTCTTTCTTTGCTTCTTCCGCTGCTCCAAGAAACATGCTCACTGCCTGCTTGGTGTGGAGTGGCCCATAGAGAACATTAGGGTCCCATGGGTTCCCAACTCGGATCTGTGCGTAGGCCTTTTTAAGTCTGTTTACAACCTCATGATGGATGCTTTCATGTACAAACAGTCGCCTCGCAGTGGTACACCTCTGGCCAGCTATTCCCACAGCAGTGAAGAGAGCTGATGGAACAACTAAGCTGAGGTCTGCATCTTCAAAGGCAATAATGGTACTGTTTCCTCCAAGTTCCAACAAACTTCTCCCAAACCTCTCCTGCACCATCAGGGCCATCTGTTTTCCCACCTGAGTGCTCCCGGTGAAGGACAGCAGGTTCACTCGTTCATCTTTGGCCATTGCTGTGCCGGTATCTGCTCCACCACAAGTCAAGGAACAAATTGCACCAAGCAGCTTGTTGTCCTCCAGAACCTTGGCTATTATCTTTGTGACAGCCACACTAATGAGGGAAGTGGTTGGAGCTCCTTTCCAGAGGCAGACATTTCCACAGATCATGACAATGGCGTTGTTCCAACCATACACTGCCACAGGGAAATTGAATGCCGTGATGATTCCAACCAGGCCTACAGGATTCCACTGCTCAATCAGTGCATGGCCAGGTCTTTCAGAAGGCAAGATAGGTCCTCCAATCATCCTTGATAAACCAACAGCATAGTCACAGATATCCACATACTCCTGAACTTCACCCACACCTTCCACTAAGATTTTCCCCATCTCCAAAGACACCAAGCTTCCTAGTACTTGGATCTTCTCCCACAAGGCATCGTCAATCTGTCTTACTATTTCTCCTCGTTTTGGAGCAGGAATATCTGCCCAGATTTTCCATGCTTCTGTTGCTTTCTTTACAGTTTCTTCATAGTCTGCCACACTGGCCTGTCGGACTCTTGCTATTGGCTAGTTGTTAGCAGAGCAACAGGTCATAATAACCTCTCCCCGGCCTCCCCAGCTTCCATTATACACGCCCTCATTTTCCTCTCGGAGCCCCACCTCTTTCAGCCATGCATACTGGGGCTGATTGATGAGGAGAGTGGACATGAAGGCAGCAGGCCTGCTCCAAGGTCCAAGGAGCTTGCTGGTCTTTGCAGCGTGCACACACAGTGCGCGAGGCAGGCGCCACATCAATGGTTTTTAATGTAAGACCAGATTGGAATTCATTTTCCACACGTGGAACTAGGGGTAATAATACTTACCCCTTGGAGAGGACAGATGCCAAATCTGTATTACTCACGGATGTATCTTGGCACAGCAGGCAGTTGATAAGTGATAGATATTATGATGATAATCTCTCATTCATTCTTTTGGAAACTCCTTACTGAGCCCCACAGTGATAAGGAAATGAAATAGGTGCCTTACATTTGTTATCTAACTTAATAAGCTGGGTCATCACAGCATAAGCTCTTTAGCTTGAAACAAAATGTAGTCCAGAACATTTGACTTGCTTACATGAAAACACAAATGTCAACTTCTAGATTATCTAACTTTACCCACCCTCTTCCCACAAGATCACAGGAAATAAAAAATTGCTTTAAGTCCTCATTCATATTACAAAATGCTGTTCCAGACACTGGCCTCACAGTAAAGGATAGTTTTCCAAAAATTTGAGAATTGTAAGGCTCCCAAGGGGTATCTTGTCCAACCTTTTCATTTTACATATTGCCAAATAAGGCCTAAATTGTATGTGATGTGTCCAAGGTCGCACATAAGTGAGAGGTCACAATGGGATAAAATTGAGGTCTCCAGGCTGCCAGACCAGTGACACTTCCAACCTGCCCCATTCTTTCCTCCTGGTAACCACCAAAATGCTTTCTCTTCAAAAACAGCGTGGAATATCACATTTTCAGGCCTTACAAAGATAAGATGTGGGAAATGATTTACTTCTGGTCAGCTTTATTCCCAGTATCTAATTCATGATTCTGCCTAAAATTTAAGGTAAGAACCTATAAATATATACCATGTGCTTAAGAGAACAGCAGATAAACCACAAAAGTTAAAAGCCTTTACAAGCAATTCTGGAAGAGATTATGAATTATTTTCAAGGGAAGCAGCTGATCATGAGTTTAAAAATCTCAAATGCCTTATTTTATCATTTCCCTTTTCACCTTACGTTTCAAAACCTTTTAGAGAATCTGATATAATATTCCCAGGCATAAAAGAGGACAAACTAATTATGCAGTCCTGAACCCACTCTACTAGAGCATGTCTCTCAGTGTGGACGTGTCTATTAGCCACAGGCAAGATGTCAGTGGCAATGTAAAAATTCAGAGATAAAAAGAGAAGCGAAGAAAGAGGGGAAAAAAGAAGGTAACAGGTGACACTCATATGTGGTTGTGGCTGCATAAATCAAGGACAATTTTCTACAAATGAGAAGAATCTTCTTGGACCACTGAGCACTGAGATGTCTTACTAAAGCTGGGATGTAGGTCTGGGTACCTAAGTAACAATAAAAAAAAAAAAAAAAAAAAAGATGGGGGCAGCAAGATTTAACAGGAAAAAACCGAGGAGCACAGACCTAGATTTTACCCCAACTCACATATTACCTCGCTGTGTGGTCATGGACAAATCACACCATCTCTATGGATATCAGTTTTGTAAAACAAGAGAGTTAAACATAGCAACTGTCAAACTTAATACCCAAATGACAAAGGATGGTGAAGGCTGGGCATGCAGGCTGCTGTAAGTCTCAGATTTCTCTGGTCTTGTGCCACCTATTTAAATAGATTTCATAGAGATTCTACTTTCAGGGTCTGTATGACCCTGGACAATTTATTTATTCTCTCTGAACCTTACTTTTCTTGGGCCGACTCTCCAATAAGAATAACTAGAGAAATTGGAAAGAAGTTTTAAAAATCTATTTGAAAGTATCAGATAGATACCAGTGCAGTGAGACTTTGTCAGACCAAGATCTGCGAGAGAAAGGAAGGCAAGAAGGAAAATGTGGCTTTTGGTGTCCATATCCCCTGAAGGCCACTGACAATTCCAGAAGCCGAGAAGCTGAGCAGAGCTTCCATCCACCACACAGAAATGGAAGGATAAAACTGGAGTTCAGGGCCCATCAGAGAGTGAGGACCTTGGCAAACATGTTAGGTTTTCAATGGGGACCCCAATGAGCTGCAATCTAGGAACAGAATTGACCTGGAGATAGGCCAGCCTTCACATAGGACGAAATGGTTCTTTGACTCATCTCAGTCACTGAGTTATTATCGCCTGTCCCCTTCCCAGCTGCCAACTAGAAGGAAAACTAAATTCTGTCTGCGGGAATATGCCATCATTCAGAGCATCAAATTATCTCTAAATTTAAAATCCAATGCTCAGAAGAAATAAGCAGTTATAAGGGAAAAAAAGGTTGACCAAAAGCCAAGAGAGGGAAAAAACATTAAACAGACACGTGGAAGATCCAGATACTAGGGTTACACACACAGACTTGAAAATATGTTCAAAGAATTAAAAGACAAGAAACAACATTTTGACAAAGAACTAGAAAACATTTTAAAAATCAAGTGGAAATTTTAGTCATAAAACTACCATTGTTAAAATCAGTTACCAGATGGATGGGTTTATATGGATATTAGACACAGTGAACAGAGAACTGGGGAACTGGAATATATGTCAGAAAAAAAGAAAAAGATCCAGACTAAGGTGCAGGGAGACAAAAGGATGGCAAATATAAGAAGAATGTGAGAGGCATCCAGGACACAGAGAAAAGGTGTCACATACATGTAATTTCACTCTCAGTAGGATTAGAGAGAACGCGTCAGGAACAATATTTGAAGAGAAAATGGTGGAGAATATTCCAATATTGAAGAAACAAATCAAGCTGCAAAGTCAAGAAGCACTGTAGGCCCTAAAGAGAAAAAAAAATATGAAGAAAAAAAAATACCTAAGTGCATTAAAGAAGAACTGGTAAAAGCAAAATATAGGTGAAAAACGTTTAAAAATAGCCAAGGAAAAACAGAAATAATGGGAGGTGGGACACAATGAAATGATATCTTCAAAATGCTGAAATAAAATACGTGGCAACCTGGAACTCTATACTTAGTAAAAATATACTTCAATAATAATAATAATAATAAAAGAATTTCCAGACAAACAAAAACAGAGAATTTGTTACTAGAACTATTGCACTAAAAAAAATAATAATAAAGGGTGGTCTTTAGAAAGAAGGCAAATGATCTCAGATGGAAGCTCACAGATGGAGAAAATAATGTCATTTAGAAAAGGTAAATTTGTGTGTAAATCTAAATGAATATTGAGTGTAGAAAATGACAGTAATTTCTTCTGGGATTTAAAAATACATAGAATTAAAATGCACGACAACAGGAGCATGGAATCCGGAGGGAAATAACTGGAATTTAAGTATTCTACATTCCTTCTACTGTGTTAAAGAAGGGTAGAGATATTAACATTGGGTTAACAAGGTAAAAGTAATTTTGTAATTTCTACTAATTACAAAAAGGGTATAAACAGGGAGTTAACTAATAAGCTAAAAGGGGAGGAAATGGAAAATATTTAAATGGATAGAAATCAAGATAAGAAAAACATTCTGAATAGAATAGGTGGGTATAATATAAATAGTAAGATAGCAGCATTAAATGCAAATACATGACTAATTATATTTAATGTCAATGAACTGGGGTCCTCTTCCAGTAAGAACGAGTAAATTCCTATAACCACCAACCCTCTCACTGATAACAACAACACACTTTAACAAAACACACAAAAAATGACAACCTAAGGGCTCTGGAGCGTGAACAAAAGCAGGCAGATTTGGAGAAAGATCTGGAGAAGGAATCTAGCATCTGGTGAGTTACCTAGTTTTTCAGTTTTGCCATGAGGGCAGGCCACAGTCACACCACGGCATGGGACGGTCCAACTGTGATGGAGAACCTACCATCAATCTTGCCTAAGGAACCAGAAGATGGAGCCTGGGGCAACCAGAGTTACTAGAGAATGAGGAGGGAACCTAAATTTTGTGTACAAACTCTGCTCACATCTCTGGCTGATCCTGGAACTGTTCATGCACAGGGAAGATTTTAAGGAGTCCAACTAAAAATTTAAAAATCTCTGAACTGAGATTTGAGCTGCCACCCACCTCAGGTGACATCATGTTTACACTGTGAGTGTAATCAAGCTAATCGCCTGCTAAAATGAAACAATAAAGAGCCTCCACAACATATCATTCACAATGCCCATGATACAATCCCAAATCACATCACCTAAGAAACATAATGGCAACCCTGAGATGACCCAGATGTTGGAATTCCCAAAGACTTTAATATCACTATTATGATTAACCTCAGTGCAGAAAAATAAAGAAAAAACTCATAACAAATAAAGAAGAACTCTCAGCCAAAAATAGAAAACGTAAGAACAAATGAGAATTTTAGAACTGAAAAAATACAATATTGGAAATAAATATTCACTGTATGGGATTAATAACAGACTAGAGATTAGGGAGGAAAAAGTCTCTGAACATGAATACATCAATACAAATTGTCCAATCTGAAGAACAGAGAAAAAGATTGAAAAAAATAAACAGAGACCTAGGGATCTGTGGGCAGTATCAAAATGCCTAACATTAGTAATTGAAGTCCCAGGTGGAGAAAAGTGAGAGGAGATAAAAGCATTTGGGAAAAAAATAGATGGGAAATTTTCCAAATTTGCTGAATGGCATATATTTACAGATTTAAGGAGTCAACAAATGACAGACAGGAAAAATACAAAGAAAACTATGTTTAGGCACATTGTAATTAATCTGCTGAAAGCCAAAGACAAAAGCGGCCCGAGAAAAACTACACAATACACACAGTGGGACAATGATTCAGATGACTGGTAAATTTTCATGAGAAACTACGGAAACAGAAAACAGGAACAACAGCTTTCAAGTTAAGACATTTCTGGACAAAGTAAAACTAAGGACAGTTCATTGCCCACAGATCTTCGTTATAAGAAATATGACAATAATTATTTCAGATTAAAGGAAATGATACCAGAAGGAAACCTGACTGTTGAGGAGTGAATAAAGAGCATACAAGTGGTAAATATAAAAGGTTATTTTATCTAGGTGAACATAAAATACTGTAAAAACTAAAACAATAAGACTTCTAAAAGATTATACAGGCATCTGTCTTCATGACTTCGGGGTAGGAAAAGATTTCTTGGACTACATTACATTTCTATTCATCAAAAGACATAATTCATTTATTAGCCAAACTGGGACACTTCTGAAAATGAAAGGGAGGAAAATTATTACTCTGGACGTCTAGGCATAAGCTGGGACAGTGGGGCACAAACTGGAAATATAGTGACACTCACTATCTATCTTAGGTAAATACCCAATAGGAATGTGCCCAGTGAGCACCAAAAGATATGTCCAAGAATGTTTACAGCAGCATTATTCATGACAGCTCCAAATGGAAACATCTCAAATGTCCATTAACATTGAATTGTGATGTAATCACATAATGGAAGACTACATGGCAATGAAAATGTATTAAACACTGCAACACCCAATAAGATGGATTATTTCTGAAATGTAACATTAAGCAAAAGAAGCCAGACATAAAATAGTATATGCTATATTACTTCATTTTACTTAACGTTCAAAAACAGGCAACATTACCCTATGGTTTTAAAAGTGTGAATAGAAAGGGAGGGAGCTATGATTGAGAAAGGGGACAAGAGAGGCTTCTGAAGTACTGGTTCTATTGCTTAACCTGTGTGATAGTTATGAATGTGTTCACTTTGTGATAATTCATCAACTTGTATACTTATGACTTTTAAACTTTTGTTTGCATATTATTCTTCAATCAAAAAGTTTATAAAAAGGAAATCTAACCTAAATGTAATATGCAAAACTATAAAACTCCTAGAAGATAGCATAGGGGAAATCTAAACAATCTTGAGTTTGGCAATGACTTTTTAGGTATGACACCAAAGGCATGACCATGAAAGAAGTAATTGATAAGTTAGACTTAATTCAAAGTTAAAAATTTCTGCTCTGCAAAAGATACTGTCAAGAGAATGGGAAGACATCACAGACAGGAAGAAAATATTTGGAAAATTATTTTGATAAATGACTGTTAACCAAAATTCACAAAGAACTCTTAAAACTCAACCATAAGAAAATGAACAACCTATTAATAAATGGGTAAAATCTGA
This sequence comes from Homo sapiens, assembly GCF_000001405.40. Classification (NCBI taxonomy): domain Eukaryota; kingdom Metazoa; phylum Chordata; class Mammalia; order Primates; family Hominidae; genus Homo; species Homo sapiens. Next base: position 77,284,144 of record NC_000005.10, on the reverse strand, counting down.
AAAGACACCTCACCAAAGAAGATACACAGATGTCAAATAAGCATGTGAAAAGATGCTCTGCATCATATCATTAGGGAAATGCAAATTAAAACAACAATGAAATACCAGTATACACCTATTATAATGGAAAAATTGCAAGCACTGACACCACTAAATGCTGGGAAGGACATGGAGCATCAGGAACTCTAATTCATTGTCAGTGAAAATGCAAAATGGTAGAGTCACTTTGGAAGACTTGGTTTCCTACAAAACTAAACATACTCTTTCCATATAATCCAGCAAATTGCATTCCTTGATATTTACTCAGATAACCTGAAAATTTATGTCTACACAAAACGTGCACACAGATGTTTACAGCAGCTTTATTCATAATTGCCCAAACTTGGAGAAACTAAGCTGTCTTTCAGTAGGTGGCTGGATAAATAAACTGTGGTACATTCTAATGATGGAATATTACTCAGCACTAAAAAGAAATAGTTTGTCAACCCATGAAAAGACATGGAGGAACCTTAAACGCATATTACTAAGTGAAAGGAGTCAAGTCAATCCGAAAAGGCCATATACTGTATGATTCCAACCATATAACATTCTGGAAAAGGCAAAACTGTAGAGATATTAAAAAGATCAGTGGTTGTCAGGAATTAGTGGGAAGGGAGAGATGAATAGGTGGGGCACAGAGGATTTTTAGGGCAGTGAAACTTTTCTGGATGATACTACAGTGGTGTATACCTGTCAAACTCCCCAGAAGGTACAACATCAAGAGTGAACCCTAATGTAAACTATGGACTCTGGATGATTATGTTGTTGTCAGTGTTGGCTCATCAATTGTAACAAATGTACCACTCTGGTGGGGGATGTTGACAGTGGAAGAGGCTGTGCATATGGCTCCAGGGAGTGGGGGGTGGTGCAGGGTTTCGAATATATGAGAACTCTACTTTCTGCAAAATTCTGCTGTGAATCTAAAAATGCTGTAAAAAAATTAAGTCTATTTTTTTAAAAAAGAAATAACTTCAGTGCTTACTTACATAATGTAAAAGACGTAAAGCTATTTGTATCCTCATCAATAATATATCCATACTTTTATTATTAAAACATGTATATTACAGGGAATTTAATAAGATTGCTACTCTGGGAGAATGTTCCTGGCTGCAGGCCCAGGTTGGACAGGTCTGGGCCAGGCACCTCCCAGCAAAGGTAGCCCCAGGGAGTGCTCCCCGAGGTCAGCACAGGGCTTAGGTTCCAATTCTCATAACATCCTTCTGCTTGACATTTTATGCTTCCACGATGGGGATCCAGAGCAGCTTATCCAGGATGACTTCTGAGGCAGCACAGCTCTACCAGCCATGTCTGACTATTGCCTCAGGCCACTACAGAGAGTTCTAGATTTCACACTTTCCTGAGCGTGCCGGACATTGCTCCACCAGGGCTCAAATTCGCTGTCGGAAGAAGAGGACTCACGGCCTAAGAATCTTTCCTCCACCTCCAGCTGCTGCAGGAGTCCAGCCGCTGCAGGCACTGCCTCCGAGCAGCAGATAGGAGGCTCTAGAGGGTACCAGGGCAGCCAGAAAGAAGGGAAGGCCTCCCCACAGCACAGGGGTGTGAGAACACCCTCCAGCACTCTCATGTCTGACTTCCAGCCAGGAATGTTTAATGACATATCATGACAGGATCAGCAAACAAATCCAAACTCAGCCAGCGTCTGCTGACTGCCAACTCCCTGACTGTCCAAGGGGCAGCGCAGTGTGGGGGCTGAGAGCCAGATTGCCTGGAAACTCAGGGTTATTCACACAGTCCTCTGCTTGGGTTCCTGAGCTGCACTTATCCTGCTGGGAGAGAGCTGAATAAGCTCATCCTGGCTGTCCACTCTTGGGAAGGTGCATCCTGCAGGCTATCTGGGAAAGAAAAGAAGCTGGGACCACAGGGCCAGGCTGGAGCACTAGGACTGCCATGTGGCTGCTCCCTGTGGGGAAGAGACGTGCTTAAATTAAGCCCAAATCACAGGGTCTGCCTCTGTCCACGGGGCAGTTAGCAGGTAAGGACTCTGGCTCTGAAGTCAGGCTGAACAGGATTGCATGTGGCTTCCCCAGGCCACAGTACCTCTTGGGTTGACGTGACTGTTAAATGGGATAGTATATAAAGTCCTTAGCAGAGAATCTGAAACACACATTACTAAGTATTAGCTGCCACCAACACCCCCAGACTCTGAAAACCTCAGATCGCTCCCACAAATGATCCCATATACCAGGTAGTCCAGTTGAGGTGGGGTAGGGGTTGGAGTAGCGCACAGTAGAAGCAAAATTTACAGGGGGTGAAGTGATAATGACACAAATTCCCAAGCATTGTCGTGGTAGGCTGAATAATACCCTCCAAAGAGATCCAGGTCCTGATCCCTGGAACTTATGAATGCCACCTTGCAGGGCAAAAAGGACTTTGCAAGTGTGATTGTGTTAAGAACCTTAAGGTGGAAAGATCATTTTGGATTACTGGGGTGGGGGGCCTACCTCTAATCAAAAGTGTTCTCATAAGAGGGAGGCGAATGGAGATTTGGCAACAGAAGAGGAAAAGGCAATGTGACCATGGAGGCAGAGACTGGGATAAGGTGGCCGTAGGCTACAGAATGCTGGCAGCCACCAGAAGCTGGGAAGAGGCAAGAGTGATTTCTGCCCTAGAGCCTCCAGAAGGAGTCAGCCCTGCCAACACCTTGGTTTTATCCCATAAGATTCATTTTGAATTTCTGGCCTCCAGAGCTACAAGAGAATAATGTTTTGTTGTTTTAAGTCATTAAATTTGCGGCAATTTGTTGCAGCAACAAGAGGAAACTAAAACATTGGATTAGAATCCTGGCCAACAGCTAGGCATCCAGACAACAGAATCTAGGCCTCGGGGAGGGACGCTGGAAGACCCTCTCAGTACCACAGCCACTAAACCAGTTAGGTTCAGGAATGAGCTCCAGCACCAGGCAAACAGAATGAAACTGGAGCTGAGGTAGAGGCCAAGTCACAAGGGCAGTGGTGTCATGAAGGGCAGCAGGGAAGTGGCGCTTCCACGGGCACTGTGGCCTGGGGCTTGCGCATGCATTCCACAGAGCAAGTTTACAGCAGCAAGCACACCTCCAGCCCCTCGGCAGGTGGACCTGCATTCACATATGAAGTGCCCACCTCAGTCAGGGTAGGCTCTGGGCCGGCAGTCTGTGCACTGGTGGTGGTCTGTGAACTGTTTTTTGTTTCTTTGTTTGTTTGTTTGTTTTTGAGACAGAGTCTCTCTCTGTCACCCAGGCTGGAGTGCAGTGGCGCGATCTTAGCTCACTGCAACCTCCACCTCCCCGGTTCAAGCGATTCTCCTGCCTCAGCCTCCTGAGTAGCTGGGATTACAGGCATGTGCCACCACACCCAGCTAATTTTTTTTGTATTTTCAGTAGAGACGGGGTTTCACCATGTTGGTCAGGCTGGTCTCAAATTCCTGACCTTGTGATCCACCCGCCTTGGACTCCCAAAGTGCTGGGATTACAGGCGTGAGCCACCGCGCCTGGCCAGTCTGTGAACTGCTACCCAACAGTAAAGAGATTAGGAAAAAAACTGACAATAAGTGCTTAGAAACTTCCAGCAATTTGGCATTGCCAGGTCATTTTTGCAATGTTATTTTCTTGCTGTTGAATCTTCTAATAAAATACTATGCTTACATTTTGAATGCCTTTTTAAAAACTATTTTTCCAGAAATTTGTTTTCATTGTATTTTTCAAGGGTCTTGGTCCATAGTAAATTGGAAATTTAAAACACACACACACACCCTCCTGCAGGAGGACAGGGAGGAGACAGCAGCAGTGGCACAGGTGTGGTCTGACAATCCTTCCAGGGGAGGGCTTGCACGTGACTGCCTGAAGACAGAAGGGCTAGACACCATGCACAGGCTCCGGGAGCTCTTCAGTGTCCTGGTTGGCACCCAATCCCCTGCACTCTCATGACCTTGGGAATGATCCTATCTGTCAGAAGATAAAGAGCCCAGGTACGGCTCTCAAGTGCATGCCTTTCCTCATGACTACTTTCCTGCTTAATGAGGCATATTCCACTTTATTTGCACTTCCTCAATGCACACCAACCCAGAGGTGGGGTGTATGCTGGGCGTCAGGATAAAGCTGGCCCAGGTGGGAGACACTGCTATCTATAATCCAGAAATAGGGAAAGGCATGCAATGAAAAGAAGATGACTGTCTAGGCTGGACTACCTATATTGCTCAAGTGCAGCATAAGACAAGGATGCTCTGCCTCCCTCGCCTCACTTGTGCCCCTGGACAACCCCATGAGACTGAGATTGTCACTCTCACTTCCAGAAAACCCAAAGTTGGTTCAGAGAGGCACAGAGGTAGCACAGGTGGTACAGGAGGTAATTCAAGTGCAGACTTTGGAAGTAAGACCTGTATTCAGACCCCACCTTTGTCACTAACCAGCTGGATAACCTTGGAGTTATTCAACCTCTCTGGGCCTGAGTCTGCATATTTGTAAAATGTGGATACTAATACCTGCATCATAGGCTTCTTGTGATAATTAAAAGAAGGAACATCTAGAAAACACGTGACACACAGCATATAACCTGAAGTCCTCAATAAGCGTTGGCTTTTAAAAAAAGAGGATTGACGGGGAGGAGAGCCACAGCTAAAGGGTGAAGGAACCAGTGCTTTCTGGCTATAAGGACAGTGCACTTTCCAATGCTTATGGCATCACCACACAGATGACAACTGGAAGCTGGGAACTACAGTAGCATTATAGACTCTAGTGGGACTAAAAGGACATACCATCTAGAACATCAAGAAGGCAAGATACAGCATAAAATAAAAGTAATTTACTTAAGAATAGCAACTTTTGTTCAAGTCATGCCCATGTTCTGTAAATGTAATAAAAAAACTATCCTGTTTACAATACAAATCATCAAAGAATTGGAAATTTGGAACTAAGCAAGTTTAATTTTTAGGTGGTAGCCCCACTAAATCTAAACTCCATTTTCTTAGTTTTATTATCTATACACACTCATTAGAACACCACATAATCACCAGTATTTTGTGAAATGTGATATAAAGATGTAATTGTAGATGAAACAAAACAGTTCAAGAAAATAACAAGTGATTTCCTAAGGTGGTGTATATTCACTTTGTTTCAGTAGTGTATAGTAATTAAAGCACTAAATCAAGCACTCTAACAACAGGAAGTAACATGAGTCTCAAAGTTTCCCCATTGTATATTTCATACCCTGAATGAACTAGTTTGAAATAGCAACTTAAACTAGTATTTGTCAAGAAAAAGATAAAAAGCGTAAAAAATTGATGTTGTACTATTTTCAGTGTTAGCATTAATATGCAAAACTAGCCACTCAAAAACTTGAAAAAAGGTATCTCTCTTTGGGCCTGGCGCGGTGGGTCATGCCTGTAATCCCAGCACTTTGGGAATCACGAGGTCAGGAGATCGAGACCATCCTGGCTAACACAGTGAAACCCCGTCTCTACTAAAAACACAAAAAATTAGCCGGGCGTGGTGGCAGGTGCCTGTAGTCCCAGCTACTCGGGAGGCTGAGACAGGAGAATGGCATGAACCCGGGAGGCAGAGCTTGCAATGAGACAAGATCGCGCCACTGCACTCCAGCCAGGGCGACAGAGTGAGACTCCGTCTCAAAAAAAAGAAAAGAAGTATCTCTCTTTAAAAAATAACATGGAGTCTTGTTCTGAATCTCAAGTACAATTCTTCAAAGACACTTGGCTTTATGATTTCCATCTCATGAGAACACAGTAGTTGAAAAACTAAAATGGATATCCTGAGCAAGGCTATCAGTAAGGCCTAAGGGATTTGTAATGACAACTTAGTATTACATCCCCTATTCCCTTTAGCCAGAAGTCAGGTTCCTACCTACCAGAACCTAACAGGAGCATGGAACTGCAAGACAGTGGCTCTAGAGTACTGAAGCTGGGAGACGTTTACCTATAGAAGAGGTGGAGGTAAACTTGAACGTGAACTCGGCCAGCTGTCATTACAATAAGGAAAACATGAGAATTATAAAGACCCAGCGATGGTCCCAGGAAATGGCAGCTGAGAGTGGTAGGCAGAGGCAAGACATAAGAGCATTTGGTGCCCAGGAAAACAGCTCTGATTAGCTCAACAGCCTCCAAACCATGGACAAAAGTGAAAGCTCACTAGGCTGGCTCTGACTCTGTGAAAGATAGGCATACATTCTATGTACATCTTATGCATAGTTTACTTTGCAAATGAAGGAACTGTGAAATGTATTTCCAGAGTGATTAAAATAATCATTCTTCAAAGTTTTAGCGGTTAATGGAGTAAGTTTCACCTATGTGAAAAATTTGCTCACTGGGAAGTCTTTAGTGTCTCACTGTGAATAAAAGAGACAGGAGAGAGCTGTGATGTTAGGGGAAACTACGCTGAAAAAATCTGAGCATCTCTGATCTCCCATTTCCTGTAAAATGAACAAAAGAGAAAGAAGAGAAATGGCAGGTAAAATGCAAGATATAATAAAAACTAGATCAAAAACAGGACACAGATTTTAAAAATATAGCTACTTAAAAGTAAGCCTACATTTTTGATGTGAAGCAGAGAATATATGTTTTTCATGTCAAGAGGAACAAATCCAGAAGTAAAATCCCCACCAAATAAGCCTATGATATTTTGCAGTTTGATGTTGCCACTGTCAGAAGATGCCTTCTGAAAACAGTTAAAAGGGAAACACCGAAATAATAAGCACAAACACAGAACCCAGAAAAGAGTTTCCTATGTGGAAGATGATTTGAATTTTTGCATTCTGACAACCCCAGTCATAGATAATAGGTGTTTCCTAAAATCCTTTGCTAAAGGCCATCTGAGCACTAACATATTACATTAATATAAATCTCATCTTACAAAGATGGCTTTATAAAAAGAATGTATGCAGGTGATTTTATGACAAGATAAGAAACATTCATAGTATTTAACTCTATAGATGCAATTTTCCAAAAATCTCCTTCTGCGTTCTACCACAGCACCCCTTGGAGAATCAAGGTTATATCTGAACAACTTAAGGCCTTCACATGCTGTGGGAAAACTGGAATGTCAAGGTTCATGGTGAGAACAACCACCGTGAAAGCAACTGTCTTATCCTGCTTTTGACCCAGGAGATCAGTGACCAGCACCCCTGTGTCTAGAGGCAGGAAGGGGCCATTGTTGGAGCAACTAGTCAGAGTTACGGTAAAGGAAGTGGCATCCCTCTGGGCTCACAGAAAAACCAAAATGTAAATTTTAAAAATTCACTGTAAGGACACTTCACAGTGAGGACCACACCATATCAATACTAGAGCTTCTATCTGAGATGTGCTGTAATGTATTTAAGGAATACTCTCATCCAGTATTTTACAATTTTATCCTTTACTTATTTATAGCCAATATTTACTTTTAAGTAAATGTTGGTATCTGAAGGGCTAAGCATTAATTACCTGAAAATTCCACTGCAATCACTACTACTGAGTCCAGCACTGTGAGTTAGACACATTAGACACTCAATATTGTGTCTGATGCTGAACAGATAAATGAAGGCATGAACGAATGAGGAAAAGAATAACTAATAAAGCTCTTTATTCATTCACCAGGTATTTATTGAAGACTCCACTGGGTGCCAAGGCAGAGGCCTAACTCAAAAAGTAAGCAAACAAACATGAGAATGACAGATTATGACAAGTGGCATGAAGAAAATAAATCAGATAATAGGAAGTGATTGGAGGGAGAAGACACTCTGGATGAGGTGATCCTGGGAGGGTCTCTGAGGTAGAGGCCTTTGAGCTGAGCCAAGCCCTGAAGGATGAGGAGTGATTCTGCCTCCTCATACAGAGAAGAGCGTCAGCAACCCAGCAGAGGGAACAGCAGGCGCAAAGGCCCTGAGGCCAGAAAAGACTTGGCTTATTTTAAGAAACAGGAAGGACATCAGTGCAATGCCATGTTTTAAATGCTGAGTACAATAATGCACACAGAAGTGTCATACCTTAGAGACACTTTCAGATAATTGTACTAAGTTCTTCTAAAGAACTCTACAAACAAATGACATAGAGGTTTGAGACAATCACTTGAGTAATTCAGGCAATTCGTCACACAGGAACTACACTCATATTTTGAACTTTATTTTTTACATAATTAATTCAGTATAAAGGATAACAAATATATACTACTTGCTTTAGTTCAGAGCACAACAGTATAGATATTTATATCCCACTTCATATCATCTTTAAGTACCCTTTGGTGTGTCTGTAGGATAGGATAACAATTACTTTTAAGCTTTCCAACCTCATGCGGTTAGATATCTTTTTCTTCATTTGAGATATTTAAATGAAATTCAACATTTAAAGAAATATCTTGGAAGCACTTTGCACGTGGGACACAAAGAACTGTAATCCTCATAACAATTTCTCACAACTTGTCAAATTCGACTTTTACTGTGGGTGGATTCTTACAAGTTCACAGAGTAACTAAGGAGAATTGTGCAGCAATTAAAGCAATTAAGAGCAAATCCATAACTTCTTGAGTCTTTGGTTGTATTTTAGTTGAGTCACAAGATAATTCTCTTCTCCCAAGCATCAGATCCACATTCATAGCCTTGTCTACACTTTGCTGATAATCCTACTGGTGTGTTGCACCCTCACAAGAAGCAATTTAAAACTGTTCTCTTAAAAGACAAAAATAAATTAATTAATGAGACCAAAGGGATAATGGCAGAAAAATAAGAATTTTTTAAGTGGTCCTCTTTTTGGGAAGGAAAGAAAAGAAAGATTGTATGGGCAAACCTAAACAGATTTGTCACTATGAGTAACAAATTCAGAAAGGGTAAACTCCACATTGTTAACAGTGGTTACCTCTAGGGTGGGGCTGGAGGAGTAGTGATCAAGGGGAAGGACTTTACATATACAGTATATATATTTTTTCTTTTTTAAAAAAAGATGGGGTCTCACTATTTTGTCCAGGCTGGTCACAAATCCTGAACTCAGGTGATCCTCCTGCTTCAGCCTCCCAAGTAGCTGGGACTACAGGTGGGCACCACTGTACTCAACTAGTGTGTGTGTGTGATACTATGTGGTGTAAAGTGGTGATATTATGCTTGGTTTTTACATTTTTTTTGCATTTCTCAGTATCTTGAAAATATTTCTTTTAGTGGGCCAGTGGATTAAATTTCTGACCACTTAATTTCATCTGGCTGTCAACAAAATCTCTTTCTCTTTCTCTTTTTCTCTCTCTGAAACGTATATATGAACTTTTATCTAAAACTTTTATGACAATTTGCATGGCATGGGTGCAGTCTCCTCTCGGGCTCTCAGGTCTACAACTGCTAAAATTCCAAAGTACTGACATTTTAATAAAATAGTTAAGTTGTAAATTTTCCAACTATGACATTGAAATATCCTGTATTTTCCCATCTGTTTTTCCTCAGTGAACACTGTGCCTTTACTAGTTATTTGAGGAGGGTTATCAATAGGCTATTTGATGAGATCAATAAAGCACATTAATCTTCTAAATTTATACTTAATTGGAAATCTGTAGGTCTCAGAATACCAAGGTACTATTTGTGCCTCCATTTGTCCCCCACATGTAGCTAGGCCAGGTTGGCCATCACTGCATGTCCAGGAGCTAGCATAGCACCTGGGACATGTCAGATGCTCAATAACTACTTGTGGAATGAATGAATATGTCAGTGGAATGAATGAATATGTCAGTCTTATGAATGGGTCCGCAGGAAGGCAGCAGGAAGCAGTGGAAAGCTTTGGAATCAGATAGATCTGTGTTGGATTTCCAGCCCTGCCGCAGATGACCTGTGTGGCCTTGAGCAAAATGATTAACTTCCTGAACCTCAGCTTATTTACCTCTATAATGCAAATAATAATACCTCCCTACCTCATAGGGATTTTTTGAGGATTAATTGAGATAATATATATGTACCTAAACATTTGCATTCATTAAACAGCAGTTCCTCCTTTTTATAGATACTTAAATTTTAGTCTAAAGATAGAACTAGCTGGGCAAGATGGTTCACGCCTGTAATCCCATCACGTTGGGAGGCCGAGGCAGGCAGATCACCTGAGGTCGGGAGTTCGAGACCAGCCTGACCAACATGGAGAAACTTTGTCTCTACTAAAAATACAAAATTAGCCGGGCATAGTGGCGCATGTCTGTAATCCTAGCTACTCGGGAGGCTGAGGCAGGAGAATTGCTTGAACTCAAGAGGCGGAGGTTGCAGTGAGCAAAGATCATGCCATTGCACTCCAGCCTGGGCAACAAGAATGAAACTCCATCTCAAAAAAAAATAAAAAATAAAAAATAAATAAAAAAAAAACAGATGGAACTACCTGGAAGTTCTCTCTTTTCACCATTGTGTTAATAAAAATCAAACTTTATTTTTTATATACTATTTTGTCCACCTCAAATGGCTTTTGCCCTATTTCTTCCTGTCAAACCCAGACAAAATCTCAAGGTCAAGTTGAACCACTGCCTTTGCCTCAAAGCTTTTATCCTGTACTCCTGTCCCCAGGCAAAAGCAAGTTATTCTTCCTCAGTAAGTGTACTACCCTGCCTCTCTTACAGCATCTCACATTGTTGTGTTTAAAGTCATCTCTACCTATCATATCTCCCCTCCTAGCCTGTCAGCTTCCTGAAGGACAAGGGCGATTGCTAGTTCATAACTGCATCTCTCAAAAGCATTTTCTATAGTGCTTTCTGGGTAATAGATGTTTAGTAAATTTTAAAAAACCAAATTAATAAACGATCATATTTTCCCATAGGAAAAATAATATAATAGGCTATTACCTGCCTGTTCAAGAAATTGATTTGAAATAAATTACAGATAGAATTGATAGGATAGAAGCAAAGTGTCAATAACTATAAAAAACGATACAATGTTAAAATTAGGCTTCAGATTCTATAGAAAGTACATAAATGGGAGCTACGTACACTGCAGTGATGACAAGGGCTTCAGTGCAGCACAGAGACACACTAATAAGCTAAAACACAAGTCTGCCACATCATAAATTTGTCCTAACTCTTATAATCAGCTATAATGAATACAAAGCTTTCTTAAAAGAAGAATGATTTGGATAAGCAAGTTTCTTTAAATTCATGTCTTGTCTTCTTTCTCCTCCGTCTTGTAACTGACGTCGTAGCAATTAGGCCCATTCAAAATCATTCTATGCATAGGTATATCAAAACATCACTTTCTCTCCTTAAATATACACAATAAAAATACATTAAAAAATAATGAACTTTCTACTGCCTCTCTCTTGCCTTCTCACCCTCCCTTCCCAGCACAGAAACCTCCTAGTTGACCACTTCCATATGGCTCTTGCTAGGACCTTCGGTTATTTTTGCCCCCTTTATACTATGCTGCCCTCTGAACCATGTGTTCTACTCTTAACTGTTTTTATTCCTACTTCTGGGCTAATAATAGAAGCTAGTGCTTATTGAGCACTTACTATGTGCCAGGTACCATGCTAAGTCCTTTAAAGATCACATACCAGCCACAGCCTTCCAGGGTGGCAAGCAGTAGCTCAGAGAAGATAGCTCCAAACCAGACTGCAGCTGGAGGTGGTCAAGGAAGGCTTTCTGGAAGAGGCAGCTCTCAAATGGAGGTTTTAAAGGACAAGTCAGACAAAGAAGAAATAAAAGGAACCATATGTACAAAGGGCACTGATTGTGAAATAACAGGACATGTTCGAGGCACCACAAATCCTTTGATAACAGATCAGCCAGCTGTGGTTTGACCCTCCCAAGAGAATGGATAGCTAAGAATATTAGAACAACCAGAGTCAACCAAGGTTACTTGGCTGTTCTCTCTGCAAAGTACAATGATATCAACTTAAATGAAGTCATTACCAGTTTAGCCATAACCTGTGAACTAATAGATATCATAACCTTCTAGAAGCTCTCTCTTAATACATTCCATCACATTCCCATGATTTGCTGTTCCCCTCTACCCTCAAGCCTCTGCCCTCGGCATGCTCCAATAACCTTACCCTAAGCAGGGAGCCAAGCCAACATCTAACACTTCAAGGAGAACAAGGGGCAGAAGTTTAGACCAGGGTTTCCAGACCTAAACATATGTAAACATCGCAGGTCTGTTTCAGTTGGTCTGAGGATGTGGCTGAGAGTTGACATTTCTAATGGGCTCCCAGGTGGTACTGTTCCGAGGACCACACTTTGAGAAGTAAGACTCTGGTAGAGCAGATTCTGCAAGTTGCACTGACTACATTCACATCCCTCCCCAACATGTACCACCTGAAGAACCTGTTATAAGCCTCGGTTTTCTCATCCGTAGAATGTGAAGTGGCTGCTGTGGAAATCAGATGAGAATGTATAAGGACTATCCAGCATCTAGTCAACTTTCAAGAAACAGTGGCTCCCATTGTTGAACAACTTTGGGGATGTCCAGCCAGAGCTCCCTCTGTGTCTTCCCTTTCACTTCCTTCCATCTGTTATTGATTCCACTTCTTCTGGCCTCCTCCTGGGCCATGACCTGTTGATTATTCCCTATTTTACTAATGTTTCCAATACTCCTCTTCTCTGCCTTAAAAAAAAGTTCTTCACATCAAAAAACAAATAAATAAACTTCCCCAGTGACCTTCAGTCACTACCTTCTTCATTCCACAGTTCAACCTGAAATTTGAAAGGTATCAGCCTTGGCTGTCCCATCTACACCCCTATCCCCAACTCCTTAACCATTTGTCATCTAGATTCCACTCCCACAAAGCTAGGGAACTACTTTCTCAAGATCACGTACCAGCCACAGCCTTCCAGGGTGGCAAGTAGTAGCTCAGAGAAGATAGCTCCAAACCAGACTTCAGCTGGAGGTGGTCAAGGAAGGCTTTCTGGAAGAGGCAGCTCTCAAATGGAGGTTTTAAAGGACAAGTAAGACAAAGAAGAAAGAAAAGGAACCATATGTACCATTGATCCTGGAATAGGGAGATCTTATGGTCTTTTATAAACTGCCATTCTTCTTTACTTCTTGATATTAGTGACTCATCACCATAGTGACCTGGGAAGAGGCATGAGAAGGGTGGGGCCTAGCCACTGCGATGCAGTTATAGCACATCCCCTTGGGAGCTTAGCCAGTGTCCCCCACAATGCCATCATTGCATGGATTCCATAAATGGGGTTACCCCCAGAGCTGCCTTAATTCCTGAGTGAACAATGAGGGGTGAGCCTAGGATCTACACTGGAAAGGGTATTGTTTTCAGGAGATTTTTGGCTTTCTGTGTGACTCCGGAGTCCTCCTAACTCCCACCCGGCTGGTAAGATAAGCCTGGTCAGGAGCTGGAGCAGCTTCCAGAGAAAGTCTGGGCTAGGATTCTCCCAGCCCTGCTGCTTCTTCCCAGAAGGAAGTGGTATCTCTGGTTAGCTCTTCCTTCTGCCAAAGCAGTGTTCCATATTAAGAGTGTGGGGCCAAGGTTTAATAACAAGAGCCCGGAAAAATCACTATCTTCTGTGCACACATGCCCCCTAGGTATCTTGTTGAACAGAGTGGACAATTACAAGCAAGATCCAGAAGCTTCAGGGTCCCTCAGCCAAATACCATCAACATGTCACCCCACCTCTTAAGATGTAGCTCCAGTGCTAAGGGCACAAAGCAGAGGCAGAAGTGAACGGTAAGAGGGAATATGGGGAATTACCAGCTAGAGCAACCAGACAAGAGAAAGAAATAAAAGGCATCCAAATTGAAAAGGAAGTAGTCAAATTATTCTTGTTTGCAGATGATATGGTCTTATACTTGGAAAAACCTAAAGATTTCACCAAAAAACTATTAGAATGGATAAACATATTCAGTAAAGTTACAGGATACAAAATCAACGTACAAAAATCAGTAGCATTTCTGTATGCAAACAGTGGACAGTGTAAAAATCAAAAAGTAATCCCATTTAAAATAGCTACAAATAAAATACATAGGAATTAACAAAATAAGTGAAAGATCTCTACAATTAAAACTGTAAAACACTGATGAAAGAAATTGAAGAGGATACTAAGAATTGAAAAGATATTCCATGTCCATGGATTATAAGAATTAATACTGTTAAGACGTCCATACTACCCAAAGCAATCTACAGATTCAATGCAATCCCTAGCAAAATACCAACAACATTCTTCACAGAAATAGAGAAAAAAATCCTAAAATTTAAGTGGAATCACAAAAGACCCAGAATAGCCAAAGTTATCCTGAACAAAAAGAACAAAACTGGAGGAATCCCATTACCTGACTTCAGATCATACTCCAGAGCTATAGTAACCAAAACAGCATGGTACTGGCATAAAAACGGACACATAGAGCAATGGAACAGAATAGAGAACCCAAAAATAAATCCATACATCTACAGTAAACTCATTTTCAACAAAGGTGCCAAGAATATATATTGAAGAAAGGACAATCTCTTTAATGGGTGCTAGGAAAACTGGATATCCATATACAGAAGAATGGAACTAGAACCCTATCTCTCACCATATACAAAAATCAAATCAAAATGGATTAAAGGCTTAAATCTAAGACCTCAAACTATGAAACCGTTAAAAGAAAACACTGGGGAAACTCTCCAGAACATTGGACTGGGCAAAGATTTCTTGAGTAATACCCCACAAGCACAGGCAACAAAGCAAGAATGGATAAATGGGATCATATCAAGTTAAAAAGCTTCTGCACAGCAAAGGAAACAATCAACAAAGTGAAGAGACAACCCACGGAATGGGAGAAAATATTTGCAAACTAACCATCTGACAAGAGCGTAATAACCAAAATATATAAGGAGCTCAAACAACTCTATAGGAAAAATCTAATAATCCCATTTAAAATGGGCAAAAGACCTGAATAGACAGTTCTCAAAAAAGAAATACAAATGGCAAACAGGTATATAAAAAGATGCTCAACATCATTGATCACCAGAGAAATGCAAATGAAAACTACAATGAGATATCATCTCACCCCAGTTAAAATGGCTTTAATCCAAAAGACAGGCAACAACAAATGCTGGCGAGGATGTGGCGGAAAGGGAACCCTCGTACACTGTTGGTGGGAATGTAAATTATTACAGTACAACCACTATGAAGGACAGTTTGGAGGTTTCTCAAAAAACTAAAAATAGAGCTACCATATGATCCAGCAATCCCACTGCTGGGTATATACCCAAAAGAAAGGAAATCAGTATATTGAAAAGATAGCTGCACTGCCATGTTTATTATAGCACTATTCACAAGAGCTAAGATTTGGAAATGACCTAACTATCCATCAACAGATGATTGGATAAAGAAAATGTTACCACATTTCTTTATCCAATCATCTGTTGATGGATAGTTAGGAGATAGTTAGAAGAGAGTTACCACATTTTCTTTATCCAATCATCTGTTGATGGATAGTTAGGAATACTACTGAAGTACATAATGAAGTACTATTCATCTGTAAAAAGGAATGAGAGCCTGTCATTTGCAACAACATGGATGGAACTGGAAGTCATTATGTTAAGTGAAATAAGCCAAGCACTGAAAGACAAACATCACATGTTCTCACTTATTTGTGGGAGCTAAAAATTAAATCAATTGAATTCATAGAGACAGAGAGTAGGATGATGGTTATCAGAAGCTTGGAAGAGTAGTGGGGGGGTGGGGCAGGAACTGGGGATGGTTAATTAGTACAAAAATATAGTAAAATAAAATGAATAAGCTCCAGTATTTGATAGCACAACAGGGTGATTATAGTCAACAACAGTGTATTTACATTTAAAAATAACTAAAAGAACATAATTGGGTTGTTTGTGACATAAAGGAAGTGATGGATACCCCCATTTACCCCGATGTGATTATTATGCATTGTACGCCTGTATCAAAATATCTCATGTACTCCATAAATATATATATACCTACCATATACCCACAAAAATTAAAAATTTAAAACAAAATAATGATAAAATAAAAAAGAGGAACATGGGAGGAAATGAGACACTGAGAATACAAAAACAAATGAAGCTATTTTAGTGGTCAGTGGTAGTCACTATCCCTTCACCAAATCACCTCCCCATTCCTGATACCAAGTCACCCTTTCATCAGGTTTGGTTTTCTTTTTTTTTTTTAACCTGTTAAATGAAGATAATCACTAAGCTAATTTTCAACATGAAAATGCAAACTGTTCTGTAAGGAAATCTCTTCAAGGAATCTGTTCATTGGTATGTGCTTCAGAAAACATCTTATTGTAATCTCAGACTAAACAATTTCCCAATCAACTTATAGACAACTTATTGGCTCACTAAAGACACTGCCCTCACCTGAACTCTTTATTCTAACTGCTCTTGTAA
Organism: Homo sapiens; assembly: GCF_000001405.40. Lineage (NCBI taxonomy): Eukaryota > Metazoa > Chordata > Mammalia > Primates > Hominidae > Homo > Homo sapiens. The sequence goes on along the minus strand of NC_000005.10, from coordinate 77,267,815 downwards.
GCAATCTCTTGTAATCACTTCGCATACCATAACCTTATGAAAGTTGACTTAATTACTACCCATTGTCTGGGGATTGGGTCAACATGATGACTGAAGAGGCTTGTGAGAAACACGCACTGATTAGGATCAAGAGCAGGGAACAACCCAAGAGAGCTGGTGAGAGTTGGGACAGAGGGCAGCAGCTTCAAGCCAGGCAGCACGCTGGAGCTTCAGCTCTGGAAGAGAAACTGGTTCCTGCTGACATCTGCAAGGGTGGGGCACTCACAACAGCCCCCTTCCAGCACAGGGAGGGAGCTACAAACCCCAAAATAAGGCAGACCTCTCACTTCAACCCATTGTGCAATGCAATGTTTTCCACCCTTTTTTTTTTTTTTTTGAGATGGAGTCTCGCTCTGTCACCCAGGCTGGAGTGCAGTGGCACCATCTTGGCTTACTGCGACCTCCGCCTCCCAGGTTCAAGCAATTCTCCTGCCTCAGCCTCCTTAGTAGCTGGTATTACAGGTGCCCGCCACCATACATGGCTAATTTTTTTTTATTTTTAGTAGAGATGGGGTTTCCCCGCCTTAGCCAGGATGGTCTTGATCTCCTGACCTCTTGATCCACCCACCTTGGCCTCCCAAAGTGCTGGGATTACAGGCGTGAGCCACCATGCCTGGCCTCTTGCTATTTTTAAGAGTGGTACTAAACCTCCAGGAAGTAAGAAGTGGTGAATGAGTCACTCAACTGAGCAACAAATAAGCCTTAACACAGGGAAATGCATCATGTGGGCTCAAAGGATATAGAATGAATCAAATTCTATTGTTAACATCCAAAAACTCACAATGAGTATATAAATTTGGATGTTTGGAACAAAAATCTTGAAGATGAATCTGACAAGTTTTCAAAAGCTCAGTTCAACACCTAATAATATTCATAATTTGTTGAATGAAATTCTCCAGAAAAAAAAAAACAGATTCAAGAAATAATAAGCCCCATGCTGCATTCTTTGGGGCTGAAGGCAGGGGCCCACCAACATGAAGAATTATAAGAGCAGAAAAAGACATACAGTTGATTCTCTTTATGCAAGGTAGTTATGTTTTATCAAGTCACCCCAAACACTGAATTCATAAATATTGAATCATTGCTCCTAGGAGAAATACAGGGTTAGATTCCTGTGAGCCTCTGGTCACAGGAGGTATTCTCTTCAACTGATCAATACTTAACTGTGCTCTATGTTGGTTTCTGTTTAAAGATGCCACATTAAATATATATAGTGCTGATTAACCACCATGGGACTCATGGACAACAGCACCATGACTCATGCCTGAATGAAGCTCGTCTAACACATGTGCTTTCTTCAAAAGGCACATCACAGCCTTCTTTCCCCTAGGAATAGACAGCGCTTCAGCACTATGGCTGGGGGGCCATTTTAAGCCATGAAATCACCAATGAAGAGCACAAAAAATGTGAAAAACTTGGCACATTTCTGAGCCATGTGTGAGAAAAGGACACATTTATAGTATTAGAGCTAAAATAGGAAGGCAGAACATCCCCTTGTTCGATCTCAGCTGGGAACATTCACATAGGAGGATTCAAATTTTTTTTACCACTTTCACATATCCACAAATGACCACAAAAGTCCTGCAAGTATTGATGTTGGGATTAGACATAAACAAACATTAGCAAGTAGGTAAATTCTCAAATACAGAATGTGCAAAAAATGAGGATCGACTGTACTTCCCTTTCACCACAATGCCGCTGAACAGCTGGGTGCCCCAAGGCACTTGGCCATCCCTATCATGCTAGGGTGAGCACCCCTTTTTTCCTGAGCAGCGCAGTCAGGCAGCTCTCTGAAAGGTTTTAGGATCAGGACACTTCTCTCTTCAGTTTCAGAGAAAGTACTCTCACCTGCTCACTAGAAAAGATGTGGAAATGAAGGAACTATTCTGCATCTACACATCTTGATCAAGGACAACTTGAAGAACGTGCAATTTAGACTTCAGCCCATTTTATATGAAGGATATTTAATATTGAAATAAATGTCTGTTTATCAAACATTTTGCCTTTTCTTATTTAATTCTGAAAGAATACCCAAAGAACATTCTTACGCTTCCCTAGCATGACAAACATAGGATAACCCCAGATGGTCAAGAGCCCAGAGAGGGAAGGTACTATGTAGTAGGGCCAATTACCTAAATCAAATCAAATTTCCAAGAGACTTATAGTTCTGGAGAGAAAAGATAGTTATCTTTTATGGATGGGAGTTTTAAAAATTATTTATACTCCAACCTTTAAAAATAATTCAAAGGTGGCTAACAATGTTAAAGAAAACTCATAAGATTAGGACAGTTAAAAAAAACAATTTAAACAAACATTGGAAAGAGCACAGAAATTGTTATACTAAAGACACTGATGAACTAGCGATTGTGGCTGAACAATAAAAAATCAGCTCTAAGCTTTCTGACAGCAAATAAGAAAGGGAAACATTTTGATGTATAATTTCCATCAATAAAGAAAAGCCAACACACCAGATCTAGAAAGGATACATTTTATGAGTATTAAAGTCCAGCAGGTATTTATTGTGCCAACACCACCACTGATTGTCTGTGATGTCTTGGTTTCTGGGTTAGCTGATATTTACAGTATAGCATCGCCCCAACCATCCCATAAGAGTACCATGAGCTACTGCTAGCCAGATGAGTTACCTGCCACAGTGCTAGGGTGGAGGGCTAGAGACTCCCACTCAAAACATCTTACAAGGACACCATCAGTGTGTCAATAACAGTGTAAAAAGACAGAATAAGATGGCAAATATTTGTAAAACCTGAACATCTAGTACCCTGCACAAGCAGCTCAGTTGAGGCCTAGGAAAGAGATGCACTTCAATGTAAAAAGAATGTCCCTGGGAATAAAGTAAGAGTAGTTAAATTACCTGCTACAAATTTGCCTCTGGGAATCAATTTTGGACAAAATGGCTATGGTTCACCTGGGTAGTTATTTTACCTATTGAACAAAGCTGATCTCCTATTGCATCTTACTATTAAGAATAATAACATAATTGCTCCTGTAAAAATGATTTTAAAGACTTGATTCCTTTCCAGATAAATATGTGCTTGATCCTTTGAAACAGTAATATCTACCCACAGGATATTATAATAAAATTGGATATGTCCTCTTTGTTGACTATATCCAACAACCACTACTTACTGGCACTTAGCTCCACTGCCCCCAAATCACCCCCTACTTTTTGCTACTGAGTAGGCCTCATTCCCAAAAGTTCTAGAAGAATCAAATATCCTGACTAGCTCAGGATATTTGATTACTGGTTCATGCCATGCCTGGGATAATTAATAAGGGCTCACTTTCATTCTGAAAATTGTCCCCACTATTATAAAAAAGGCAGATAATAACAAGTGTTGGCAAAAATGTGAAGATACTGGAACTCTCATATATTGTTGATGGGAATATAAAATGGTACAACTGTTTTGCAAAACAGGCAGTTCCTCAAACAGCTAAACACAGAGTTACCATATGACCCAGCAATTTCACCCCTAGGTACATACCTGAAAGAAATGAAAACATCTGTCCACATAAGTTGTACATGATTGTTCATATTAACATTATTCATAATAGTTGAAACTTGAAAATATCCCAAATGTGGATAAATAAAATGAGGTATGTCCATTAAATGGAAAATAATTCAGAAATAAGAAGGATGAATTACTGATACCTGCTACAACATGGATGAACCTTTAAAACACTACGCTAAATGAAAGAAGCCAGACACAAAAGACGCACGTACTGCATGAGTTCATTTCATATGAAATGTCCAGAATAGGCAAATTATAGAGATAGAAAGTAGGTTTGTGTTTTTCTGGGGCTGGGGCTGCTAATGAGAGAAAATGGGTAGTGACTGCTAATGTAGAGGCTTTCTCTTGGGAATGGTAAGAATGTTCTAAAATTGATTATGGTGATGGTTGCACAACTTCTAAGAGTATACTAAAAGTTGTATGCTTTAAAGGGGTGAACTGTATGGTGGTAAATTATTTCTCAATAAACTTGCTATAAAAATAAATTGAATTAATAACAATAACCTCCATTAGGAAATTAGCTGTATAGTTACTCCACATAGCACCAAATACCAGGTCCTCCGACATCAGTTGGGCAAGGGGTCTTGGAAACCTTTAGCAATAACCTGATAAGACGTCTTTAACCTTAATAAACCAAATCACATGAGATAATTACCATGTTTTCAAATCCTCCTATTTTGATGGGTAGGGGAAGGAAACAGGAGGATGGGTTCCTGTAATTTCATTTTTCAGTAGAGAAAAATCAACTTCATTCTCTGTGAAAAAGTACTTATCAGATTCTATAACGGCATATCAGAAACATGGTATTCAACATAAAGCTCTTAGTACTAAAGAATAAAAACATTTATTTACTTCGATATGATCCAAGAAACAAGGCTTTATTTACTTAACTGCATTCTGAGAAAGTGCCCTGCAACATCAGGATATGTTATTTAACCTGCTGCAAGATCAGCATTGGAATAAAAGTTCGCATTGATCTTAATTCATTAAAGACAAAACATTTCCTATTCTCTTACAAAAATGTATTCTGCCCTAAACTGTCATCTCTGTTATTCTAGTTGCCCTGATCTCTCAAATACTCTCCTTGGTGGCCTCTGTATGATCCACTGATCATTTTTCTTTTTCCATCTTCCTTCTATTTTGGTGAAACCTTATAACACTGTCTCCAAAGCATATGTAAGCCTTAGAGTCAACATTCAGTGTATTTCTATGAAGTGGCAACAATGCCCATTTCAATCAGTTTCCAGGAAAGCATTTTAAAAATTACTATTACATCAGAAAAAAGGAAGGAGTCCTCAGTTGAGGATATTATGTCACAGGTCAAGTGAAGTGAAAATCTGATGCGTACTCAGCCTTGTGAAACCAGTTGAGAGTGCTTAAGTGGAAAGAGCAGGCTCCCAGTCCTAAACAAAGCAGATCTTCAGGTCATGTGGTTCACAGAATAGACTTTAGGAGAGAAAACAAGTGTCTCCTTCAAGTCCAGCTGGCATCCTTGGTAGGACCTGTCATAATGGTTTCCAGACACTGGCATATTACAAGTGCACTAAAGACAGAAGTAGAAAATCAGAGGCACAACCAATTCCGGTATGCAACAAGAAAGATAATCAAGGTGCCAAGTCAAATGCAATCAAAGAAGTTTATTTTGTGCACAAATGTTAAATGCAGACATGCAATATATGCACCTGATAATAAGGTACAACTATAAAGTATGGAAATCAATTTTTGTGACAGCAGTATGTAATCAGGCCTGTCACTTTCTACACCAGCATTTTGTCTCCAGCAAATTAGTTCTTCAATATTTCAGTAGGGGTACAAAGCGAGAGGGACATTTGTTTTCCTTTCTTGGTTCTATTCTTGAAAAACAATACTGATTATGCTTGATAGCCACACAGGGAGACTGTGGATAAAGCTAACCCATGACCACTTTAGTACTAGAGGACATGTCAGAAGAAGCATAAAGAGGCTCTTCTCTCTTCCTTTTTCTCTGTGAGCTAATCATTCAGTCTGTCCCCTGCTTCTCTCCATTTTCTGCCTTTTTGCCCTGTTTTTTTTTTACCAGGCACACTCACTAGTGCCACCCCTGTTCCCATACGCAGGATCTTTCCATTTTAACTGGTCACACTGTACATATGAAGTATACTGTTACTATTTATGCTTTGTAAAGTGAATAAAGGCTTATGTTTCCTGCTACTATTTTTAAGTCTTAGTATCCTCATTAAAAAAATTATGTACAAAAATTGAAGCCCAATTTATTTTACCCTGGAGAAAGCTGCAGAGAGGAAAAATGGAAAACAGGAGGCTGTCAGCAACCTACAGAGGGATGGCCTCAAATGTTACACAAGAATAAAAACAGTTTCCCTGTGAACGCAAGGCACTTCTCTGAATCCACACATGGAAAATCCCTTTGCTGCTGCAGGCACAGCTGGGGTAGCCTTCTAAAAGTCAGGAGTAAGGCCCGGCAACCATTGGGATTTAGAAGCACATCAGGACAATCCTCCTTCCACTGACAGCCTTAGAAGGGTCATTACTGGAATCCTCTTAGGAACCTTCTAGTACTTCACAGGTCTAGTGTGGAGAGCAGGCCCTCTGGCCGGCAATCTAGGTAGCTGCCATGAGGCACAAGGTGTGTCTGGCAATAGCTGAATAGATGGATAGATACCTTCTGATGTGGGGAGAAGACTGACAGTCTGGTTGCTAGCTATCAATTACATCATTTTGTTAAAATGCTAGTGATTAATTAGAAACAAAATGGCATAATTGAGAGTAAAATGTAGAGAAGTGTAGTTGCCATAGTCTTGCCAATCTTCAACTGCTGTCAAGCAATGTTTAATTTCATCTTGGTTAACCTTGGTCTACATTAAACAGAAATACTTAACCCTTTAACTTCCACCTCTCAAAAACCCTGGGCTTCATGCAGATCCTAAGGGATTAGAGCTGCTCCTTGTGACTGTCTTCTCCTGTCTCTGTGGAGGTGACATTCCTCACCATCACATCTGTATATATCATATGGTGAGTTCCTTTAATAAAAAACTGCAGGCTGGTTTTACTACCTCCTCTAGAGAATTCTGACAGAATGGCTTCTGGCATTTTTCTAAGCCACTGGACTTTTTCTAAACTTTTTAAAGATACCAGACCATTTTTATTTCCAGACATTTAAAAGCAACAGAATGCAACCAGCTTTCAGGCAGACTTTATGCACAGTCTCACAGATCTGAAGTGTGGTCTTGATCAATCGTTCCCAATTTGTTCTTCCATCTTCAGCCGGTATTAGAACAGTCATCATAATTCTATATTTTCATCACTTTTCTGATAAAGAAACAGGGTACTTGGGGAAAATGGCCCAACAATTAAGAAGTGAGCCACAGTGGCCAGGTGTGGTAATCCTAGCACTTTGGGTGGCTGAGACAGGTGGATCACTTGAGGCTAGGAGTTCAAGACCAGCCTGGCCAACATGGTGAAACTCCATCTCTACTATTAATAAAAATACAAAAATTAGCTGGGTGTGGTGGTACATGCCTGCAATCCCAGCTACTCAGGTGGCTGAGGCGTGAGAATTGACTGAACCCGGGAGGCAGAGGTTGCAATGAGCTGAGATTGCACCATTGCACTCCAGCCTGGGCAACAGAGTGAGACTCTGTCTCCAAAAAAAAAAAAAAAAAAAAAATGAGCCACAGTGAAAATTATCAGTAAAATACCCAAGGATATACTCACTTTTTAATTGTGAAATTCAAGTCTATGCAACTGATGTCTATGGATATATTTGCTATTTCCTAATTGATCAAATCATTAAATTTGACATAAAAGTTTTCAGAAGTATTTGCATACGTGGTAGCTAATTTTTAAATGTCACTTTTAAAATGCTCCTTACAGGAAAAGGCCTCCTCCTTTCCCAACCAAATGGTAAACTGATGAACTGATTTCTGAAAAATATGTTTAATGGTGCAGTCTTAAATTTCTACTGCCATATGAGAGCTTTTCAAAAGAATCCTGAATGACCAAATTAGCTGGTGTTTTTTATTTCATCAGTACAATTAAGTGTGATAGCTTTCTTTCTTTTTTTTTTCTTTTTTTTCTTTTTTTTTTTTTTTTGTGATGGAGTTTTGCTCTTGTTGCCCAGGCTGGAGCACAATGGCGTGATGTTTGCTCACTGCAACTCCCGAGTTCAAGCGATTCTCCTGCCTCAGCCTCCCAAGTAGCTGGGATTATAGGCATGGGCCACCATGGCCACCTAATCTTTTTGTATTTTTAGTAGAGATGGGGTTTCACCATGTTGGCCAGGCTGGTCTCGATCTCCTGACCTCAGATGATCCACCCACCTCGGCCTCCCAAACTGCTGGGATTACAGAGGTGAGCCAACACGCCCGGCTGATAGCTTTATTTCTATAGTCAAACTTTTTTCCACAGGAAACAGGATATTAAATGGCTGAAAGCTGAAATAAAGATCCCACACTATAGAGACTCATCTAGAAAGAACTTGCCAGGATGTGGGAAACATACCCCCACCACCCTGAGCTCACCTCCCATCTTCAGTGTCTTTAAGAGAAAGCTGGGGACTTGCTGGGTGAAGGGGACTTTTGAAAGAGTTGTTGGCTTAGTAGGGATTGCTGCAGAGTTCCCCCTCCTTCTTAGAGTAGAGAAGTGGGGAGGAAATTCCCCTTCCAAGTGAGGGCAGTAGCAAGGGAACTTACCCAAGGGAGCAATGTGCTTGCTGGAGGAGAGGCTGGCCTCCCAGGCAGAACTCTTGCTGGGTTGTGGAAAGAAACTCCTAGGCCTCCACAAGTTGCCACCAGAGAAGGTGCAGAAGGGTTTTTAGGAGAGTTGGGGCATGTACCACAGAGATGGGAGCTGCCTGGAGCTGCCCTTGAAGGGAGAGGGCAAGAAGATAGCGAGAGAAGCTTACATTCCAATCTCTTGTGGGGCAAAGGTTTGTAACCTGTTCTATGGGCCAAGTGGACAATGTCTTTAGAAGACAGGAGCAGACTTGAACTACCTGGAAGGGACCCTACCCAGGAGGGCTGACTGCCACCGGAGTGAGGGGATTTTAGCAGGAAGAGGCTGGAGCTGTACCCAAAAAGCAGGAACCAGGAGAGGAGGGTATGCAAACAGGTCAGCTGGAGAGCACAGTCCCCTGTCAAGAGGCAGAAACATTCGTGTGTGTGTGTGGGGGGGGGGCGGGGGTGTGTGTGTGTGTGTGTGTCTGTGTGTGTGTGTGTGTTGGAGGCAGGGAACAGAAAAATAACCACCAAAGTATTCCATGAGAGAAGGTATTCAGTACCTAAAGAGAGAGAGTTAGAAGACCCTCAGAAAACCAATTTCTCCCTTTTTGCCTCTCACTGCCCCTGCCCAGACCCTGAGGAACCAACAGTCTGTACAGGAGGAGGAAAAGCCAGGGAGCTGAGACAAAGACCACACAGCTAGCTCTTCCCTGTTGCAATTTCCAAGACAAGGGCAGTGCTGAGCTGAAGGAAGCGTAGGAGCACTGAACTGAATAATGGGAGATGGGAGTTTTGATTAAGATCAGACTGAACTTTTTAATAACTGAAAATAAGACTCAAAAGCTGTGATAGATCCCTGAGATACAATTCAGAGATGCAGATCTGACAGAACAGGTTTGAAAGAAGGGATGGGAGGAATACATATCTGTTTCCTGATGGTATCCTATCAGGTCCAGCCTGTTTTTTAAAGTGTGGGGTTCTTTGTCACCTACTGTTTTCAGTTTTAGGCTGTGGAGAAATTCTAAGATACAGCTAATGATTAAATATTAAATCAAAGCCACAGTATGAAGCAAACATGTTTAGTGCTTTTGCAAACTCCTTACAATGGTTCACAAGGTCTTATGCAATCTAGCCCCTGCCCCTGCCTATCTCCCTGGTCTACAATGGACCATGCTCCATCAGTTCACTCTGCTCTAAACACACTGGTCTGCTCTGGGTTCCTTTTTTTTTTTTTTTTTTTTTGAGATGGAGTCTCGCTTTTGTCACCCAGGCTGATGTGCAGTGATGCAATCTCGGCTCACTACAACCTCCGCCTCCCCAGTTCAAGCAATTCTCCTGCCTCAGCCTCCTGAGTAGCTGGGATTACAGGTACCTGCCACCATGCCCAGCTAATTTTTGTACTTTTAGTGGAGACGGGGTGTCACCATGTTGGCCAGGCTGGTCTTGAACTCCTGACCTCAGGTGATCTGCCGGCCTCAGCCTCCCAAAGTGCTGGGATTACAGGTGTGAGCCACTGCACCCGGCTGCTCTGGGTTCCTCTAAACACTCAAGCTCTTTCTGACCTCAGGATCCTTGCACTTTTCTTTTGCCCTGAATATTTTTCCCCAAATTGCTATTAAGAAAAGAGTGTTGCATGTAGCCGAACAGTGAGAGCACATGGACACAGGGAGGGGAACAATACACACTGGGGCCTGTCAGGGTTGGGGATGGGGGAGGGAGAGCATCAGGATAAATAGCTAATGCATGCCGGGCTTAATAACTAGGGGATGGGTTGATAGGTGCAGCAAACCACCATGGCACATGTTTACATATGTAACAAACCTGCATATCCTGCACACGTATCCCAGAACTTAAAATTAAATTAAATTAAATTTTTTAAAAAAGAAAAGGGTGTTGAGAACTCTGGCTATAAATGTTGGTTTATTTATTTATTTCTCCTTCCAGTTCTATCAGTGTTTACATATTTTGAAGCCCTATTATTAGATGCATAATATTTTAGTATTATTATGTCCTCTTGACTCACTGGCCTCTTTTTAAATTATAAAATGATAATACTTATCACTGGTAATATTCTTAGTTCTAAAATTCATTTTGTTTAATATTAATGAAAATAGCCACTTCTGTTTTCTTTTGGTTAGTACTAGGCTGGTGCATCCTTTTCTATACTTTTAAGCTTTCTGTGTCTTTATATTAAAAGTGGATGTCTTGTTGACAGCATATAGTTGGCTCTTGACTTTTCTTTTATCCCATCTGATAATCTCTGCCTTTTAATTCAGATACTTGGACTACTTACATTTAATACAACTATTGATGTGGTTGGGTTTAAATCTATCATCTTGCTTTTTGTTTTGTACTTCTCTTCTCTGTTCTTAGTTCCCCCCATTCCCCTTTTTCTGTTTTCTTTTGGATGTACTAAGTATTTCTGAAATGTCTAATATATCTTATCTTCTATGTTAGTTTATTAGATATATCTACTTTTTTGTGATTGACATCATATTCTATGTACGATCACTACCATTCAATTCACTGCTATTACCCTAGCACCTGGAAAAATGCCTGGAACCTAGTAGGGATTTAATAAATTATTCTTAAATAAATTGAATAACAGAGCTAAGCAAAATACCAGTTAAACAAAATAATCAAGAAAAAGCATTCTGGTAAAGTAAATTTTTAGTCAAATGAAGATTATTCAGAAAATCTATATGCTTCAACTCTTTTTTGGTTTGAGATTTTTTCCTAAAATGTAATAGTTGGCTCTTCATGCCTTACAAGTTTAGTATATTATAAATAACTTTGCAGTACCTCATTATTATCATTCTAAACACCAGTGATGTTGATGTCTGAATACAGAAATAAGGTACAGAATAGAATAAATCTGTACAGAGCCCAGGACACACCATAGAAGTTATTTATTTAGTTTCTCTTCCTCATTTTTTTAGAGCCAAGGTCTCCCTCTGTCACCTAGGCTGTAGCACAGTGGCATGATCATAGCACTAAAAAACTGGAAACAACCTAAATGTTCATCATTACAAGATGCGTGACTGAATAATGGCAAATCTATGGATATAGAATATTATGTTTTCTTAAAAAGAATGAGCTGGATTCAGATGCACTGAAGTAGAGGGACTTTCAGGTTATCAAGATATAAGCATTTTTACCACACCCTCAAATCCCCCACATGGCTTGTGTATATGTAGATTTGCACATATAAATGTGTGTGAGCATGCGTGTGTGTATGATATGATTGTGAATAAAAGTGTGGGAAGACCTCATATACGTACCCAATGTAAACACTGGTCACTTTGAGAGGGAGTGGAAATAGAATGTTGACTTTTTCTTTGTATACCCGCATATTGTTTGTTTTGTTGCAAAAAAATACAAATTGCTTTTACAGTTTGGAAAAAAGTTTGATAAAAGCAAATTAAAAGAAATAAGGAACTTCCAGTTTCCCATGAGATAATGACAACTGCCTAAATTCGAATCTCTCCAAAACCATATAAATCAACCACGAGAGCAAATAAAACCACCCAAAACTCACTTCTACAGCCAGGGCACACTACACAGTTGGCAGGGCTTACTCCAAGATGAAAATGAGGGCTCCAGCCCAGGGCAGAGAAATCAATTTCCCCTTCCCAGAGTCCACCCAAACCACAGTGAACTGGCAGCTTCCAAGGAATCGAAACCTCTGTGCCAGGACACACCCCGTACCCGGATCTGTAGTAGACGAGAGGCCCCACTGAGTTGCTGGCTGAATGTACCATGACACTGTCAACCAGGAACCTCAACCTTCCCACACATGCCTCCAGGTCCCTGGTGGGTGTGGAAGGCTAGGACAGAGCACTGACCTCCGCCTGCAATGCAGCCAGGTTGCTGCCTCAGCCAGAGGACCTCAGTGGCTGCAAGGCAGACACGGAGGCAGGTGGCTGAGAATTCAGCCAGGGGAGTTCGGGGCTGGGGAGGTGAGGAGTAAGTGTTGCTGGGGAAGGGGAGGCAGGCTCATGTGTGAGCCAAGGCTTCAAGGTCCTGGCACATGCTCCATTGTCCCATCAGACTTCACTTACAAAACACAAATTCAAATACTAAATTATTAAGGATTTTAAGACAGTGACTGCCAAGCATTAAACCCCAGGTGAGAGGCCCTTCTGAGAATAGGGCCCTGTGCAGCCGCGTTGGTGGCATGCCTATGAAGCCAGCCCTGCCTGTAGCATAGCCAGGACACGAAATATACTCTAAACTTCAATTAATGCATAGGGAGAAAAATGAACGTCTGAAAGCAGCAGAAACCTTTCCAGAAAAGAGAGTCAGGCAGCAGAGCCTGGTTGGGGAACAGATGAAAATCACCCCCAAAAAGAGTGTACCACCCTAAGTGTGGAAATACTGAGAACAAGTCTGATCCTTGGCTACAGAGGAAATGAAAGAAGGGGCTGAAAAGTTGCCAGGACCAAAGTCTTGGGAGGGCACCACTTCGGAGGGAGGGAGGTAACTTGGAGGGTCACCTCCCCTGGATGCTTGATGGTGAAAGGAGGAAAAGAAAAAGCAAGCAACAGAAACGAAAGATTCTCTAGAAACAAAAGAGACTCATAAAATCAGAAGACACATCCACCCTCCCTGTCTCCCCAAAAGGTTCCATTTATTTAAAACAACCGTACTCCCCTAAGGCTACAGAGAGCATACACAAATGAAGAAATATAGTGAGCTCTCACCTCTACCTATACAGAAGCATCTGCTATTACTGGTCCATCCAGGAAAACATAAGACATTTCAAGAAGAACAGAAAACAGCAGGCACAAAAGAAATCAGTTATTGTTGGAGAACTGATAAACTGATTTAAAAAATTAACTCCAATTATGATTCTTTTCATTTCAAGTTAATGTTCCAACCATTGTTCAACTGTATTTCACAAAATCGAAACTTGATAGGAAAAAAATGAAAAAAAAAGACAAAACAAACAAAGCCTGAAAGATCAGCCCCTTTGTGAGAAAGGCAGAAGGAAACTAAGTGCGTCATTACATACTTGGTTTTGGGAGCTTGGTAACGACACAATGACTAGAGAAAAGAGGTGGCTAATAAACCCATTAGAGATGGGAATCTTAAAAGAAAGCACTAACCTATCATTTTCAGTGCAATTATTTCAATTTTTTTTTAATGACTGAATTTTCTAAATTGGAAAGCAGTTATTCAAATAGTTCTGAGATCATTTTTGTCTACTTTTGAGGCAGTTTTTCACTGTAGTTCTTTTCCGAGCATAATGCATATCTACTTTTAAAAGTAAGGGATTCACGATGTCTCAGACACCTCTCAATTTCTAAAGAGTTAACACTTAAGTTCTTTCAAGGAGTTCCATCATATATAATCTAGTTGCTTAGCAACCAGATTCTTTTTGTATCTGTGATCCACAATGGATAACAAATAGATCTGAACAGAACATCGTAAAATTTTTCAAGCAAGGATACAATCATAGAGATTATCTACTTATTAGTTCCACACAAAGTCCCAATGCATTACTTTTTAGTAATCTTTTAGGCCATATTAATGAAAAGAATGTGAAAGCATACTTCATATCAGTAATAACTATAAATACTCAATAAAATATAGTTACATATTTATATATATAAATACTAAATAAAATATAGAATACTCAAAATCCATTATAGTTCAGTCTTCAATTGTATTGAATCAATCAACTTAGGAGCTAGATATATCAATTTAACTAAGAGAAAACATTTTCTGTAATGCATTTGTGACCAATGATATCACCTAAGGTTGCCCTCTTTGTAAGGTTCAATGTCAAGTCTCACATCAAGAGCCAGGGGTATACAGCTGCAAATTTCAGGTATCCCAAGCTTTTACCCAAAACTTTCGTCCCATTAATCTAAGCAATCTTTGGAGGGTAACGTCAAATGAAGACTTTTTGAAAGAGAATTATGTTCACTATAAGTTGACTTTATGCTGGTAAAATTTCAAATGAATAAAATAAATCTATAGGCGCAGTCATCTTCAATTTCTTTTTCTCTCATATTTCAAAGGTTTCTTCTAAGAAGCAGAATACAAATGTTAATATTTTGAGTGGTTTTTGCCAATCATTAGAAAGCTTGATGCTTTGGAGACAGGAATTTGGAATCCAAAGATGTGAAAGGGGAAAACTGCTAAGGAAAATACAACAGCAGCAAATAGCACCTCTCATAGTCTTTCCTCTCCAACCTCATTTACATTAATCATTAGGTGTCTCCAGGTGAAGAATTTTCAAGTGTGACTTGATTACTACGATCCTTTACCCTTTAAAATTTATACTCATTTACAATAAGATCGCAACACACATGGAACACTGTTTTCTTCATAATTACTTTGAACCAATATATTCATGTATTAAAGTACAAATTTCCCTCAGAGGAACACCTGATATTACCCTAAAAACAGATGTTTACCTAGCAAACCAGGAGATCAGTTCCTGCTCCTAGTATACCAATTAATTTTCTTGCTGCTTTTTCTTGAGCTGTGTTTATTTTGGGGGAAAAATCAGTTCTATCACTTAAATGATATTTGCCCTCTGAAAGTACAATGCTTTGCTCTACAATAAAATGTGATGTCATAATTGCAGAGATTAGACTTCGTAAAAAAAGTGACCTCAATGGAAGGGTCGAAATAGAAAATTATCTCCTTAAACTCTGATGCTTTTAAGATGGTAACAGAAAAATTAATGGAAAATATTGGCCAGAAGTATTATTCTTTTCTGTCAAATCACCAGTGTTCTACTCATCAAAAAAGCCTTACTCCTCAACGGCTACCTCTGCCAGGAGGAATGATAAGATGATTATATTTACCCCTTTCCAAATCAAATAAATATAGTTCTTATATAGGAAAAAGGAGTATCAAAAAGGGAAATGGGCAGAAAAAGGTGTCACAAAAGTATCTTCCTCAAACAAACAGCAACAGACATAATAGGGCAACCAATCTTCTTGTATCAAAGTCAGAATGGGGAACTTCCACTTCTAGTAATGGCACACTAAGAAATTAGGACCAACGTGCCCAATAAGGACAACTCAAAACACTGAATAGTTTAAAACATCCTCTTAAAAGGCCTCAAAGAGTTATCAATGTAGTAAGCACTGGAAGACCAAATTCTAGAAACTGAGAACCTACTTGGGTAAATTGAGTACCCATGAGTATTTGCTAATTTGGTAGAAAAAGTTGTAAAACTGAGCTTCTTATTTTAACAGATTCAAGGGTAAAAGGAGGCTAAAGGAAAAGCCAGGGACACCAAAAGTGGAGAATGTAGTGAACCACCCAGATTCATCTGTGCCCCAAAGGCTACAACTCTGGGAAAGGGTGAATCCCAAGTGAACCAGCTCTGGGGTGGACTGTCAGCCTGCCTTGCAGCAACGAGTCATCTAGGACACCTCAAGCCTTGCACTCAGAATAAGTCAGTCACCAGACAACACCCCACACTCAGCAGAAGCCAAAGCTGTGAAGGATAACCAGATTCATGAGCACATGTAACCACACAGGCGAGAGCCAGTAGAAACAACAGAAATAGAGGCTGCCTTCGAATACTGAAATTACCAGCTACAGACTGTAATACAACCATATGTATAGCACTCAAAGGCATTAAAAACAAAGGCTTAAATTTTAGAAAGAAATTGGAAACTATGAGAAGAGGATTTGGCAGATTTGAAAAAGAAACAAATTAAAATTCTAGAACTGAAAAAAGTAATAATCAAAATTAATAAATCAGTGGAAGAATTTAACAGCTGCTAAGATACAACTGAACAGAGAATTAAACCACAAAATATCAGAAAACTATCTGGAATACGACACAGACACAAAAAAAGGAAGAGAGAGAGCGATGCGGTGGATACAGTGGGAGAGTCTAACATTTATTTACTTGGAGTTCAAGAGGGAGAAGGGGGAGAAAATGGGGAAGAAGTATCATGGGAAGAAGTCATAACTGAAAATAATTTACAGCCAATCAGAGACATCAATCCATGGACTCAGGAGAACCAACAATTCCCAAGCAATTGGGCAGGCAAAATGCAAAAGTCTTTCTCACATGGGAAAGAGACCTTCTCTGCTTTAACTCAAGCAGAAATAAATTAATAAAGAAGGGGGGCATGCCCCAGAACTTCAAGAGGACTTGCTCTTTAAGCGGCAAAGATGGGCATTTTTACTTAGGAGTGTGGCACTTATATAAGAAGAAAGTCACACCTACACACATCACAGTGAAACTGCAGGGAACCAAAGACAAAGAAAATCCTAAAAACAGCCAGAGAAAAAAATACAGATGACCTTCAAATGGATCATCCTCAGAATTGCCACTTCTTAGCAGCAATACTCCTGACAACGCTGTAAGGTCAGTATTACCATTTTCATTTTACAGATAGAGACTGAAGCACATAAAGGTCCAAGAACACTTGCCCAAGGTTACACAGCTAAGTGGTAGGGTTGAGATACAAAGCCAGACAGTCTGACTTCAAAGTCTATGCTCCTAGCTACTATTGTTAAACAGCCTCCCTAGCTATCGAAACTGTCTTTAAGAACCTATAATGTGGCTGAATTACACTACTACAGATGGTTATTTAGTCCAGTATCTATACTATGTGCTTTTATAACCTGATCTACAAAGAAAAATACATCTCATGATGTTCAGCCAAAATGCACTTGCAGAATCATGCTATGTCTCCTGGAGTAGCCTTTTGCATCCCCTCCTCACATCTGAGAAGAGGGACCTTGGCGGCCCAGGAAACATGTCTTGTTCTTCTGGACTTGTCAGTGAATCCTGAGGCCACCAATGACCCAGGCTGGAAAGTGACTCCCAGACAATTTCAGATCATCCAAAGCTATAGAGAGACTGAGACCTCCCCACACCTCACCCTGATTGTGGACCCTGCAAAGGGAACTATCACTGGGCAGGCAAAAATACAAAAGTCATCGTCACATGGAAAAGAGACCTTCTCTGCTTTCACTGTGGGAGAAATAAGTTAATGAGGAAGAAGGGAAGGCACCCCAGAACCTCAAGAGGAACTTGCTCTTTAAGTAGCAAAGATGGGCATTTTTACCTTGAAGTGTGGCACTTACGAAAAGTGTCCCTGTCCCAGGTCCCTTGTCCTCATATACCCCAGGGTCAAGAGGGCCTCATCCCTTCCTGGAATCATCATAGAGGGAGAATGGGAAGGGAGTAACTGGATTCCATTAGCAGCGACGGCAAGGATTTCTGAGTCATCTGATCTTGTTTCAATCCCCAAGTTCCAAAGAGAAAAAGCTTGAAGAAGTTAACAACTCTATTTCTTAATTCGTAAAAATGTAAATGATACTCTCTACCTCACAGAGTTGCTGTGAAGATGAAAATGCAACATACCCATCCCAAGAGCCTGGCACAGAGCCTGACATGGAGTAAGCATGCAATAAATGTTAATTTCTTATTCCTCTCCCAGTTTGATGAGAAAGAAGCATTGCATGTTTTTCCTTTTAGATCTTAGTCTTATTACGTTGTTTTTCTCTTTAAAATGGAAGCAATTAAGCAAAGCAGTAATTCAGTGATTGTATAACAGGGACGTGTGCATAAGCCTGACCAACTGAAGAAACCTCTGCATACATCTTCTTGTACGAGGCTTGCATCGACTTGTAATGGTTTTTGTTTTCACAAATCTCTGTTTTTTCCAAGAGATCAAATGCACACACTTCAGCCAAATGGTTTTTTTCATTCTGGAATCCTTGCCCCCAAAATTTAAATCCTCTAATTTTTATCAGTGGAAAATGAAGTGCTTCTTAAGTGGCATGCTTCAGGTAAACAAGAGCAAATGGCCTTGACAGCTGATAAGGCAGGATGCCGCTAACACCTTCCCCAATTCTCCTTATTCTGCCTAGCAATTGCTGCAAATGTGGCATATTGCATCCCACACATTTTTGAGACATCCATTACTTCAGAAAATGCTGTCAGGTAAATTAAGGACAAAGACAAAACCTTCGTTCTAAATTTTCCTGATTTCTCCTTGGGTTACAGTGCCTTATTTTGAGCTCTTTTTTGCCACTTGGTAGATACAGCCATGAAAGGTCAGAGAATCTAAACTATTTCCCTGAGTCTACACAGTCTTGTCCAAAAGTCAAACACTGAGGCTAGAATTCAGCTTTGCCACTTAGAAGCTATGTGGCTTTAGATAACTCATTCAACCTCTCTTGAGCTTGAATTTTCTTGCCTCTCACAATATCATAGCACTACTCTGAGAATTAAAGTGGACAGTGTTTGTGGTGTGACTTTTGTAAACAGAAAATAGTTAAATGCTGCTTTTCGTATTGTAAAAATATGGATCATTATACCTGCTACTTATTTGGATAGAATTCATTAACTACTAGTGGCATCATTTGAAGAATTCTGCTTCTGTTGTTGAAGATTTAAAGGTCTCTCCAGCCAGATATTGGTTATATAAATGGATTAATCCTGGGAAACTACATGTATTAGTACACTTGAGTGGCCATAACAAAATACCATAGACTGGGTGCCTTAAACAACAGAAATTTATCTTCTCAAAGTTCCAAAGGCTAGCAAGTCCAAGGTCAAGGTCTGGCAGGGTTGGTTCCTGGTGAGGGCTCTCTTGCTGGCTTACAGATGGCTGTCTTCTTGCTGTGTCCTCACATGGCAGGGAGTGGGGAGTAGCTTTCTGGTGTCTCTTCTTATAGGGATACTAATCCTGTTGGATCAGGTCCCCAGCCTTGTGACCTCATCTAGCCTTAATCACCACCTTAAAGACCCAATCTCCAAAATACAGTCACATGGAGAGTTAGGGCTTCAACACATGAATTTGGAGGGACACAATTCAGTCCATAGCACCACATACGATGTGTAAATTTCCAGAGGTTTTCTGGCATAAGTAGATTGTTTCTTTCCCCAGAGACAAGCCGGATTCTGCAAGTGCATCTGATGTGTTGTTAGTGTGTCAGGTAACAACCTTGTTTCTTCACGGTAGGTACACACGGACTTTTTCCCTGTAGTGATAAGGTATACTGGGGCAAGGAAGTTTTTGTCACCAAGGCCAATGATCCGTGTTGTGGATACAGAAGAAACTGAAGCTCATTAGACAACAACAACAACAACAAAAACTAATTTAATTGGGGGTTTCTTAATTCTTGAGGATAGAAGGTATCCCTCTCAGTGCAGTTATACTCTCTCCTTTGCTTCCCATCCAAATAGGAAGCTCCTGATTCATCCGCACCTTGGCAACAATATTTGCTATGACTTCCACCCATATTAGTTGGGTACTTCCCATGAGCCAGCCAGCATTCTTGGCCCTTGGGTTCCAACAGTGAATAAACATGCAATAGCCCCTGCCCTCATCGAGCTTGCAGTCCAGTTAATGCTCATTAGCCCTCAGTTGTCATTTCTGCCTAGAACACTTTTCTGTTTCAGAGTCAGAGCTGGGTTTGTGACTGTAACTTTGGAATAATCACTTCACTTCTCTGCACCTACCTTTGTTTTCTCAGCTGTCCCATGGGGGATGAACAGGCCTGGCTTAGACGTGCTGTTATAATAGATCCAAACACCACCATGCGGGTGAAGTGCTGTGGGCTTTTCTGTTTACCTGCTTGTAACCTCAGACCTTCCTGCATGGATCCCCTGGACAGCAAACATTTACTGAATACCTACTACACATGGTGCTTAGGAGAAACCAATGTGGCCTAAGGGTGAGGGGATGAGGCAGCCAAGGGTAAGAGGCAGAAAGGATTCATAGTTATCATACTAGGACATGATTTCCACCTCTCTTGAGGGAAACCAAATCTCTACAGAACACTGGCCCTCAGGGAGGGGGAAGGAACACATTTAGCCCTAGATACAGGAGGGAGACTTTGCTGACTGCTGTGGTGACCTCCCCACTGTAAGATGGGTATTGTGCTGCTCTGCAGGGATCTCATGAGGATGAAGGGTGATGTGTGCAGAGCCCCAGCCCGAGGCCTGGCATGTGGTACCTGCTGCATAAAAGTGATATTGATGAACATGCAGAGCAGCCAGGCCCTCAGCAGGTCACACAGGGTCACCGCAGGGCATGGCTCGACCCCTGCTCTGGACTAATGTTCATGGTTGTGGCCCCACAGGGCCATCAGGGATGCACTCATTGTGATATGACACAGAGGGAGGCTCGTGTGAGAATGACATGGCCCTCATTTGGGACCCCGAGGCACCCTGCGTGACTGCAGTGCCAGGACCGCATCACACCTCCTGCTGCGGAACAGAGGGCAGGAGCCTCTGAAAGGGCTGGCATTGGGAGCTACTGGCCCAGAACAATAAGGAGAAAAGTACACCTGTGAGCCACCAGAGCCTGTGCTGGAGACAGAAGGATCTCAGGAGCCAACCAGAAGGTCTCATATTTCTAAGGGTGGGGTGCCATCCAGAGTGGCTGAGGTTTAGGGGCCAGTAGGGCCCTGTTGTATGAAGCCTAGAGGAAACGCCCATAGCACAACAATGAACCTTAATTAACTTATTTGTGTGCTACATTTATATTAAAGCACTGTTGACAAGATTAGCATATAAATATAATCCTTATAACAACCTATGAGGTAGGAACTACGATTATCACTACTTTATAAATATGAAATATGAGCATAGACAGGCAAAGTAACTTGCTCAAGGTCACACAGGTGGAGTTAAGGTCACACAGGTGGAGTCAAGATCAAAGCCAGAGTCTGAAGAACTCTTACCCAACAAGAACACCATGTTGCCTGCTGGCTCTTTTCCTTTGTAAAGCTTAGTCACTTTCCTCAACGAGCTCACAGCTTCTCCAACCTGCTCCAGTAGACCAGGGATTGGCAAACTTTTTCTGTAAAGGGCCCCAGACAGTAAATATTTTTGGGTTTGCAGGCCATTTGGTCTCTGTCACAACTATTCGACTCTGCAAGTGTGACTGCTATCATAGACAATAAGTAAATAAATGAACACAGCTATGCTTCAATAAAACATTATTTAAGTTCACCGAAATTGGAATTTCAGATAATTTTCACCTGTCATAAAATGTTTTTTTCTTCTAACTTTCTTTCAGGCATTTAAAAATGTAAATCCCTTTCTTAAGTCATGAGCCATACAAAAATAGGTAGTGAGCCAGACCGGTACCTCAGGCGGGAGTTTCAGAACCCTGCAATAAATTGTACATAAGTCAGGCTCTGCCCTTGTTTTCTCTTCCTGACCTCAGATGGCGGAGGAGTCCCCACGAACAACCTAACTGTCCTGGGACCTGCCCTCTGAGGGAACCCCCCACGCCCACAAGCCAGAATGGCACAATCATTTGTAGATCAATGAAGTCAAATAATAGCATGAATGCAATAAATCCATCAAATGACCTAAAATGCATTTTTTTTTAATATTATGACCAATTGAGGAGGAAAAATAAAAGACAATAGGGCAGGGCATGATGGCTCATGCCTGTAGTCCCAGCACTTCTGGAGGCTGAGGCAGGAGGACTGCTTGAGCTCAGGAATTCAAGACCAGCCTGGGCAACATAATAAGAACCCATCTCTACAAAAAATGTAAAAAGTTAGCTGGGCGTGGTAGTGCGTACCTGTGGTCCCAGCTGCTTGGAAGGCTGAGGCAAGAGGATTGCTTGAGCTCAGGAGGTAAGGCTACAGTGAGCTGTGACTGTGCTACTGCACTCCAGCCTGGGCAACAGAACAAGACCCTATCTCAAAAAGTTGGGGGGGGGGGGCGGGGGGGGGAGGAGGTTATAGGAGAGAGGAGGGGTACAAAATACATAGTAGTAAGAACACAGATTCTGATCAGAATGATCTCAGATAAGTTATCATATGTAAATACTAAACCTCAGTTTCCTTTTCTTTAAAATGAGGATAATAATATATCTATCTCACGGGGCTGCTGTGAGGGTCAAATAAGTGCATAGCCCTTAGTGAACATGCACACATGTGCACACACACACAAGCTGCTCCATGAAATAAAGACCAAAGAGAAAGAGGAAATGAGGCAGGCAGAGGAGGCCCAATAATAATCATCTCACTTCATTCTCTGAACTCTAAGTTCCTGAAGGTCTGGGCCTTGTCTTCTGTACGATCAGAGAGACTGTCAATTCTCAGAAAATAGTCATTGTTAATGATAATGATACTACCCATATGTCTCTTTTAAAAAATCTAATTATCTTGCATATAAAGTCACAGAAAAGTTACAAAGCATTGATAATTTGGTTTCAATGTACTCTTCTTTTTATTTTAATGCTCCCCCTAAAAAACAAAGTTATTTTATTTTACTCAAGACACTCTTCATTTTTTAAACCATTGTTAGCTTGTATAACATTTCGCTAATTTGGAGAGTAGGAGAGTATTTTATTCAAACCAATGGAGAGTAGCTAAAATCATGCAAAGCCTGTATGACAATGTTCTAGTTCATTACTTTTGGACCTATCTTAGACATAGCTCAAATATTAACTGCAGAGCTAGAGGGAGATTTTTGGCTGTTTTTAAAAAAACAATGTAAGGAATATTTCACTTAAGGTTTCCCTTAAGATACAGTATTTTCCCCTTGCCTATGATTACACATTCACTGGAATCTGTGGCCTATGTCTGCGTGATATTTTTGTATTAAACTTTCAGCTAGGGTCTTGCCTCTCCTATGCTGAGATTCTCAGCACCCCCTGCCCTGGATGACAAGTTTTTGAGTCCATTCAGGCAGAGGTGATAAGCATTACATTGAGGGGTGACTAGCTTAGTGGTCAAGAGGATGGCCCCTGGAGCCAGCCAGTCTTGGTTGGAATCCTAGTTTACCTACTTAATAGCTGCGTGACCTTGGGCAGGTCACTCCATCTCTTGATGCTTAGTGTCTTGCTTAATCAAATGAGATAACAGTATCTATCCTGTGGGGTTGCAGTGAGAATTTAAAAAATTTATATATAGAGAGAGAGAGAGCACTTAAAAAAGTACTTAGTATAAAGTGAGAACTATATACAGGTTGGTTATTATTATTATTATTTCAAAGTCTCTGCTTTCTATACAATATACTGAGGCCTGCTGGGCCACTCCCAACAGATGTATTTCTGTTAAGAAGCTTGCCTCTATGGCATCTTCACTGCAAGTTGCCCTAAGGCTGCCCCTGGAGCCTGTATGGTTTCCTAGACCCAGATCATTTCTCTTTCCTTCCTGACCTGGTCCCATCTCTATACGTGACCCTGTGACTTTGGCCACATTGGGAGTACCCCAAGGCTGCAGCCCTGCCATGAACCCAAGGCAAGTGGCTGAGGGCCCTGTTGCTCTTTCTGTTTTCAGTCTTCCTCTCTAGAGCTGAGCCTACAGCTGGAGTCCTACTGTGCCATTTCAGAGGTCTGCTGCCACCGGTTTACCCCACCCCCAAGCTAAGTCTTTCTAAAACCCATCTGATTAGTTTGTATGTCTGCTACGATCTTCAAGCCTGGGTTTCCTGCAGTCCTATCATGGCTTGGCTTGTGTCATCCAATCTGACTCCCCAGTGCCCTTCTTGTTGCAGTGGTGGTGGTGGTGGTGGAGTGTCTTCTTCAACTCTCCCACATACCCTGCTTCCTGCTCTTAAGTTCAGACCAAACATTAACCATTTAATCAAGCAGAAAAGGATGCAGCGGTGGCGGTGGAAATGCAGCATGTTACAAGTACTTTGGAAAACATTTTGGCAATGACTTAAGGAGTCACTATACAACCCTGACTTCACTCTGATGTATCTCCTCATGAGAAATAACAAAAACACACATCCACACAAAAACTTGTATGCAAATGTCCACAGCAGCATTACTTATAATAGCAAAAATTTAAAAATCACCAAAATGTCCACCAACTGATGAATGAACAAACAAAATGTGTCCTATCCATATAGTAGAACACCACTTAGCAATAAAATGGAACCAACTACTCACACATGCTACAACATGAATGAGCCTTGAAAGCATGTTAACTGAAAGAACTCAGGCAAAAAAGACTACATATTGTATGATTCCATTTATATAAAATTTCCAGAAAAGTTAAAACCAACAGAAAGAGGATCTGTGGTTGTCTGGGTCTGGGAGTGGGAGCAGGCTCAACTGTAAACAGGTGCTAGGGATCTTTTAGGGGTAATGAAATGTTCTAAAACTAGATTGTAGTGATGTTGCCATAACTATATAGATTTATTAAAATTCATGAAACTATACACTTTAATTTGATAAAGTTTATGGTATATAAAGCATACTCCAATAAAGCTGGGGTGTTTTTTCAAAACAAAAAAATGCAATGCTAACTCCTAAATGGCTTACTTAACATACAGATTATATTTTCTGGTAGTATAGTTGGCTCTGTCTAAAGGTATTACATTTTTATCTATGGACATACCATAGAAGATATCTTCTTAGACACTCCTCTTGCACTCCAAAAAAGTTAGGCTCAAGCTACTGAATTATATTTATAAAATTCACCATAAACTTTTCCCATCAACATCATTGCAAAGCCTTGATTAAAAGAGACCACTTTTAAAAAATAGAATAAACATGGTATAGTTGATATTAAAAAGTATAATTGATTGGTATTATACTTTTTATCTTTGGTATTTCTTAGAATGTTAAATCTAATAAGAAAAAGAAATTTGGCCGGGCGCAGTGGCTCACACCTGTAATCCCAGCTCTTAGGGAGGCCGAGACAGGCGGATCACAAGGTCAGGAGATCAAGACCATCCTGGCTAATATGGTGAAACCCTGTCTCTACTAAAAATACAAAAAATTAGCCAGGCGAGGTCGTGGGTGCCTGTAGTCGCAGCTACAGGCTGAGGCAGGAGAATGGCGTGAACCCGGGAGATGGAGCTTTCAGTGAGCCAAGACTGTGCCACTGCACTCCAGCCTGGGCGACAGAGGGAGACTCCGCCTCAAAAAATAAATACATAAATAAATTAAAAAAAGAAAAAGAAATTTGACTGACATTTTGATATAAAACTTCTAACAGAAGGAGCTGATGTCTTAAAGTCTCACTAATAAATTTTAGCCATAATAAACTGGATCTCCAAATCATACCTATTATTTTACCAAATTAGAAATATATCTAGCTTCTTTTAGTGGTTTACAAAGAGCCTAATCCCAAACAGCACTGGATCTCCACTATTTTGCTTTTTTGTTCATTTGAGCCTAACATTCTGCACAACTATTGTCCTTTGAAACATACTTTAAAACATGCTGATGTAGATGAAATATGTTGAGCTAATAACTGTTAACTTCTCTTTAAGCACGTTTGCTACTGATATTTGGCCACCTTTCTTTTCCTGTGCCTTCTGCCAGAACTAAGGACTCAGGGAGGTCTCTTGGAGAGCACTGGATACAGGCTGAGGGATACCAGTGAGGGGAAAATTGTAAACACACCACCAGTTTGGTAGTTCTTCCATTTCTGGCTGCCCTCCCAATCTACCTGTTACTATTTACTTTTCAAGGTTCTTAAATAATTGCTCCATGCATTCTCGCCAGGTTTTATAATTGCATTAAGTTGGAGAGAGAGAATGGAGTGCTTAATTCATCTTACCCCAAATTAGAAGCTCTGGATATTTTACAGGAGGCTCATCGGCATACACCTTGCGTGAATTTGGTGTTGGGACAAGTTAAGGAAGGATTTGAACCATGAGAAAGTTTTGCTGTTGTTTGTAGTAGTGGTGGGCAAGGCAGTGGATTTTTTCTGCTATCTTTTCCAGAGGCATTATAGCAGCTACAGCAGCTGTTCTTAAAATGATAACTTTAAAACTTTAAAGCAAAATTTGAAATGCAAGTTAGCCAGACACTTGTGGTTTCTTTAGCAAATCAATGCAGCTTTAATATTTTCCCAGAGAAATAATCTGATGGCCAACGTGAACTTTGCTTGAAGAACACATGATCTCATGAGAGAGGGAGGAATGGTGGCTGGGAACTGGCCTTGGCACCCAGACTTGGCCTCATCACTTAGTAACAGTGTGACCTTGGTCAAGCTACTGAACCTCTCTAACCTCTAATCCTTCATGTTGGTAAAATGGAGATAAGGATCATAGTGCTTATAGGACAGGATTGCTGCATGATTCAGTGAGGTAATGCACATCATGCTCTTCATGTGGTGCTCAATAAATATTAGTAACTATTCTTACTATGATTGTTTTTGTGCCATAAGTAAAATGATTATGCCTGTTTACCTCCTCAAATTACTTTAAATCTGTTGAAATATGTGACGTCTTATCATTCTTCTCTCAATATCTGAGTTCACATTAAACATCAATTAAGGTTCTTTCTTCAGATTCAAGAGCAATACACTTTGAACTATGATATCTCCAGTAGTCAAAGCATTTGAATACATATTTGACTATAATGATGAGTTACTCCCAATACTTGCCGAAGAAAAGCAATGAGGTGTGCGTGCTGAACTGACAGTAAGTGTATCAACCAGTTTTCCGGATGTTTTATTCAAAAGCCACTCTTCCAAAAATGCTATACTAGTGAGTGCTCTAGAAAAAGAACTCTTTTCATTTGGCTGCTGTCTCCCTTGTTGATTGCAACTCCTGTTTGCAACTGTCTCACTTTTTCTCCTTTATCCCTCATTTTTGCACTAAAAAAATTCACTATGTGTTACTAAAATGAATAGCAATCTGGTCACTTCCTAGGAAGTTTTGTAAACATGCTTATTTAGGAAAACGCTGCTTAGTTGCAACTACGTATTATTCAAAAGGTTAATTCAACATTTTATCCCTCTGTATTTGGAAACCTGTATTTGAAAGACAAAATAATTTTATTTTATGGAAATGCAAATCAGAAAGCTTCTTGGAGGTAAGAGTTATGTATTTTTCTTTCTTTATTTCCTTTCACAACACTTATTGCATAAAATGGGTACTGAATAATTGTCAGCTTAGTTAATTTCAATTTGAATGTGTTTGAATAATTAGTGTGGGTATAACACTTTAAATAGCATATTTTACTGAAAAGATATTAATAGCTAGCCCTAGTGATGGAGAAGATGTTGGCATAGGATTATCTGACTGGTGACAAGGCAGATGTACACTAGGTTATCTTATGGTTTCTACTTTCTTTCTACATGAGTAGAATCCTGTCTACGAGACCTCCTGTGACCTCGGAGTTTTAATTAAAATTTAAATTGCCCTTGGCCGGGCGCGGTGGCTCACGCCTGTAATCCCAGCACTTTGGGAGGCCGAGGCGGGCGGATCACGAGGTCAGGAGATCAAGACCATCCTGGCTAACACGGTGAAACCCCGTCTCTACTAAAAATACAAAAAAGTAGCCGGGCGCGGTGGCGGGCGTCTGTAGTCCCAGCTACTCGGAAGGCTGAGGCAGGAGAATGGCGTGAACCCGGGAGGCGGAGCTTGCAGTGAGCCGGGATCGCGCCACCGCACTCCAGCCTGGGCAATAGAGCGAGACTCCATCTCAAAACAAAACAAAACAAAACAAATTTAAATTGCCCTTTCAAAAAACTCTCAATTGAATGACTAAAACGAAATACAAAAAAAAAAAGCTTCATTTTAACTTTTGTCTTGTGCTGTTACTGGAGAGCTTGTTGAAAAGGAAGGATCACAGAAAAAGTACTGATGAAGGAAGCAAAACACTTAAACTTAGATGCACTTGGAGAGACTGACGTCGAAGGGTTAGGGTTGCTGCTGTGTTTTTCTGCTCAAGGACCCCCTATAAAACATTGTGTTCCCAGGGGATAATGGACCAGGAGCAGCTATAAACAAACATGCTTTAAAAGCCACCCAAGTAGAAGAGCATTCTGGAGAGACAAGCCTGGGTTATTACAAGAATGAAAGCTCTGAACAGGAAGGTGTTTAACCTCATCTAAGATCTTACAATACAGCTAAAGCTAGAGGAGCCCATGTTTGTTAGAAAGATGTGTGGAAAGTTTTAAAGTTACATAAGCATAAGAGATTGGAATTGGATCATGTTCATCAAAAGTGTGGATTTCGATTTCAGAAAGGTTAGATGTTATTTTCCACACTAAAATTATCCAGTAAAGGAGAGAAAAGATTGGTGTTGTTTATTGTACAAAGAATTAGAGAAAAGAAAGGTGGCCAGATATCAGTAGCCCCAGGGAACTTGAAAATACCAAGAGATTGCAAACAAGGAAGTGCTTGGAAAATCGAAGCCATAGGTTGTTTATGTACTGCTAGCATCACCTCCAAGCTGCATATATATGGATCTAACACTAAAAAGCACATTACAGAGAACTAAATTATGAGACAGATCACTTTTCAGGTCACAGACTGGCCACTGGGTGGCATACACATGGGACATATTCAAAGAGCATTGAAAAGGCTTTAAAAATGTAATTGATATAACCACAAAAGAAGGCTGACTAGAAATTGTGGTCTGAACCCAACAGGGTTGATTCCCTGCTAAAACGGAAATATCAAGATTCACCATAAGATTTAATCAAGATACAAAGTCTTATAATCAATCTAAAATTCCTGGACATAAGAACCAGGAAAATTACAACTTGCATGGGACAAGATAATTGACAGATGTTGTGATGATTAATTTTATGTGTCAATTTGACTGGGCTAAGGGATGCCTAGATAGCTTTTAAAACATATCTGAGTGTATCTGTAAGGATGTTTCTGGGAAAGATTAGCATTTGAATTAGTAGACTGAGTAAAGACATTCACCTTCACCAAGTGGGTGGACATCATACAATCTGTTGAAGGCCTGAAAAGAACAAAAGGGCAGAAGAAGGGCAAATTCATTCTCTCTTCTTGAGCTGGCACATTCATCTTCTCTTGCCCTTGGCCATCAGTGCTCCTGGTTCTCTGGCCTTTGGACTCGTACTAGAATTTACACATTGACTCTGCTGGTTCTCAGACCTTCAGATTTGAACTAGAACTGCACTGCCAGATTTCTCAGGCCTCCAGGTTGCAGATGTCAGATCATGAGAATTCTCTGCCTCCATAACTACATGAGCCAATTCCTTGTAATAAACCACTTTCTGTATATCTATGTGTATCCTATTGGTTCTGTTTCTATGAAGAGCCCTCAGTAATATAGATGTCAACACAAAAATGACAAAGATGCTGGAATTATCTGACAAAGACTAAGCAATTATTATAAAAAATTCCAATAAGCAAGAGTTAACACTTGAACCAACTGGAAAGATTTAAAGTCTCAGCAAAGAATAGAAGATATAAAAAAGAATCAAATGAAAATCTGATGACTAAAGGATAGAATAACCAAAATAAAAAACCAACTGGATAGGCTCAATGTTAGAATGATTGAAGAAAAGAATCAGTGAACTTTGCACATGATTCAATACAAATTATCCAATCTGAACAAAAGAGAAAAGACTGAACTAAAAAAACAGAGTCTTAGGAACCTGAACAATAACAAAAGGTCTTAAAATCATGTCATGGAATTTCAGAAAGAGAAGACAAAGAAATATTTGAAGAAATAATGGTTGGAATATTTCCAACTGTGGCAAAAGTCATAAACCTATATATTTAAGAAACTTAGCAAACTCAAAACACGATAAACTCCAAGAAATCCATGTCCAGAAACATAATCAAACTACTGAAAACTAAAGATAATGAAAAATTCTTGAAAGCATCCAAAGAAAATGGTACACTATTTACAGGGGGACCATAATTCAAATGACTAAAGGTTTCTCACCAGAAACCATGGGAGACAGAAGGTAGTGAAATATCATCTTCAAAGTCCTGGGGTGGGGGGAACCTGTTCACTCAGGATTCTATATTTTATGAAAATATTCATAGGGAATTAAGGTAAAATAAAGACATTCTCAAATGCAGAAAAGACTTAAAAATCAGTTGTCAACAGACCTGCTCTAAAAGAATTCTAAAGAAAAGCTTTCAGATTAAAGGAAATTGATACTAGGAGAAAACTTGGAACATCACGAATGAAGGAAAAGCAATAGATTGTAAATATTTGGGTAACTATAGTAGATTATTCTTCTCTTGAATTCTTTAAAGTATGTTTGACAGTTGAAAGAAAAATTTATGACATGGCCTAATGGAGTTTTCAATGTACATATAACTAGTATATAAAATAACTATGAAGAAGATTGGATAAAAAAGACACACATGAAGATTTCTTTATATAATTTGAAGACATAGAATATCGTTTCTAAGTTCACTATGAAAAGTTAAGTGTGTGTGTGATAATCCCTAGAGCAACCACTAAAAAATCTACACAAAGAGATGTAGTAAAAAACACAATAGATAAATTAAAATTGAATACTAAAAAATGTTTGAATAAACCAGAAAAAGCAGAAAAGATGGAACAGAGGAATGAAAAACAGGGGAAGCAAACATAAAGCAAATAATAAAAGTATGGACATTAAATGTAAATGGTCTAAATAAATCAATTAAAAGACAGAAATTGTTAGAATGAATTAAAAACACATGACCCAACTACATGCTATCTATAAGAAACTCACTTCAAACATAATTATACAGGTAGAATCAAATGGAAAAGAATAAACCAGGTGAATACTAATCAAACAAAGGGAATATCTGTCTAAGTAAACTTTAGATTAAAGAAAATTACTAGGGATAAAAAGGGAAATTACATAATCATAAAAAAGTCAATTCACCAAGCATACATGAAAATACTAAATATACAATTAGCAAACAACGGAGCTTCAAAATACATAAAGCAAAAACTGACAAAACTAAAGGCAAAAATAGACAAATTCACAATTACAGTTGGAGGTCTCTTTCAGTAATTAATAGAACTATTAGACAGAAAATAAGCATGAATATAGAAAAACCAAACAATACCATCATCCAACTGAACTAAATTGACATTATAGAACACTTTCCCAGCCAATATCATTTCATTTTTTTCCCTTCCTTTGTGGAAAAACTCCTCAAAATAGTTATCTAAATTTACTCTCCCCCATTCTCTCTTTGAACCACTCTAGGCAAGATTTTGCCTCCATCACCACACTGAAACTGTCCTGGTCAAGTTCACTGATGACCTCCATGTTGCTAAATCCAGTGGTCCAATATTGGTCCTCATCTTTTTTGAACTATCAGCAGCATGTGACACAGTTAATCACTTCCTCCTCTTCAAAACACTTTTTCCACTTGGCATTCAAGTGAAAGTCACTACACTTCTTCCTCCTATTCAGTGGCTACTCATTCTTAGAAACTGAATTTCTCCTCATCAACCCAGCCTCTAACTTCTGGGTGCCCCAGGTCTTAATCTAGTTCTTAGATCTCTTCTTCTATCCATACTCACTCACTTGATGATCCCATCCAGTTTCATAGCTTTAAGTGTCATCTATGCACTGATGACTCCCACATTTGTGTCTACAGGTAGCTAGAACCTTGTCCTCTCACCTCTCTTCCCTCTCACTTATTCCATCCCAAAAACACTGGCCTGCTTGTGCTTCTCTCAAAATGCCAAGCATATTCCTGACTCGGGACCTCCCACTGTCTGGGGTATTCCTCCTCCAGATAGCCACATGGCTCACTCCCTTGCTTCCTTCAAGTCTTATCTCAAAAGTTATCTTTCCAGAATATCCTCTCTGGCAACACAGCACAGCAGTTAAGAGTCCAGTCAGCCAGCCTGGGTGTCAATCGTGACTTTGCCACTTCCTGGTGGTGTGACCTTAAATAAATTACCTAATCTATCTCGGCTCCAGTTTCCTCATCTTTTAAATGGGGATAATTATAGTACCAACCAAATAAGGTTGTTAAATTTTTTTTCTTGGTGATCTCCCCCAGTTAAAATGTAAGTACTCAGAAAACAAGAATTTTTAGTTTTGTTTTTTTTTCTGCTGTAACTCAGTGTCTCAAACATTGACTGACACATATTAGGCCCCCACTTCAATCAATATCTGCCAAACAAATAGACGAATGAAGGTGTAAGTGAAAAAAAGAGAAGGATATGAAGAAAATATTCCTTATTGACAAAAAGATGAACACAGAATTTCAAGATGCATTGAATGAATGAATGGATGAATGAATGAAAATGGTGAATAAATTACAACATAAGCACTATGAGTGTAAGGACCTTGTTTGTATTCCCTGATTCAAGGTCACAGTAGGCACTCAACATTTACTTGTTGTATAGCTAAATGAATGAATGAATGCCCCGTTTAGTCTCCTAATCCTTGATCTGCAAGAATGAGACTCTAACAGGGAGAAACATGAGCATGTCCCAGAGAATCCTGTTCATACACTGGTAGGCCCAGTGCTGAAATATACACAGCAAATGGAGGCAAAATGCTGGACGTTTTACAGCAAAGGCCATTCTGAGTATTTCATCAATTGAATAATATACTAAAGGTGAATAAATATGGTCAATTAGTTAGTCTATGCTCCCATTTTCATGTTTCCCAACTTGGGGTTTCCTCAAGCACGTGCACGCACACACAAATCACAACCAACAGGTAAATACCAGAAGGAAGGTAGGGTAGGGCTATGGGATTATTCTGTGATACAAGAGGGGCCCAGGGCAGCTGTGGTGCAAGGACAAACAACAGATTGTAGGCCTCTGTGGGGCTGCTCTGTGAGATGACGGCCATGATAATTGTACTTAGACCAGGAGGGCTAAGAATAGCCCTAATGGGTTGGGGGTGAGAGACCACTGGAAGAGTGGTCTTTCCAACAATATGATGATGACAAGGCATTTACGAAGTGTCAGGCATTACATTGAGCACTTTGCGTGCATGCTCTCATTTAATCCTCACTGGTCCCAGATAAAATAGGAATTACTCTTATCCCATTAAATGAACGAGAAAACAGGCCAAATAATATTCATTTAGAGAGTGGTGGCAGCTGGAATTCTAAGCAAAAGCTCTCAATCACTTACTTCCAAAGATAACATTTACCCTGGGAGGGATTTAGAATCACCTGGTCTGGACGTCAGGGGTCTAGGAATCTTGGGGAAGAATCTGGAGGAGAGAGGATAAAGGTCAAACTTCTATGGAAAGGTACTATGTAGGGAAGGCCAGACTGGAGTCTCTGGTAGACTAGACAAGTACTGCAGCACCCAAGGGCAAACCAGAGGGTCTAGTTTCAGAGTGCTCCCTCGGCCTGTTCTATTCTGTCATCTCTGAGGTTCGGTAAAGTCCTCTTGAACATGCGAGTCTTGACTCACCTCTGCTCTGGGAACTAAATACAACCTCATGTGTATGAGTTGGCTAGGATATTAACGAGGGGAGGAGGGCCCCTTCTCTCACCCTGAAGCCCATGTGGAGTTGGGTGAGGGTGAGTAGGGAGATCAAAGCAGAAGATAAAATGCCATAGATGGAGTCAAGAGCTGCCCAGTCCTTCCAGGTCTAGGTTCTGGGGGCCATTTTACCAACAAAGGTGACATTCCCTACAGAAGGTCAATACTAGGAAATCATGCAAAATGCTGGGTACGTGTACCACATCGTCATTAGGAGGTGCGGTCAAGATTCTGGAACTGGGAAAATGACCAAAGGAATAGGAAATAAGTCACAGAAATGCAGGGACATCACCAGTGAGATTTCAGTATGGCTGCCAGATGGAATCCTCCTGGTCTGAAACTGCTCTGGACAGGTTGCAAGCTCTGGCTGGCCTTTGCTCTCAGCCCCTTAAAGTTACCTCTAGGCGCCTTCTTTTATCCATAATAGGTGCATCAGAAGTACCCAGCACAAAGCAGGTGCTCAGGAAATATATGCTAAATGAAAGCATGAAAACAGATTTGGGCCGTAAACACCAGTCAGTGAAATACTGATTTAAATTGACTCGCTTCCATTATTTATCTTAGGACTCATGCCTAGAGTCAAACTTTTTCCCCTTAAATTAAAAAAAAAAAAAACTCAAACATACCCTAAAGGTGGAAATATTAATAAAAGATATTTTGGAATGGTCTAAAACTGAAGAGCATATTTAACCTAATGCAACAAAAGTCTACTGCACACACACACACACACACACACACACACACACACACACACACACAGAGCTTCAGGGGGTTGGGGGCTGTCAGGTAGACTGAAACGCCAGTAGCTAAATCCTTATGGAGGCAGATAAACTACTAAATATAGAATCAAGTCTTCTTTCAGATCAGTTCTCCTATCCTTTCATTGGAAAGCTTACCATAGTAAGCTACTCATCCAGATATAAGCAGCATCCATTGATATCTTACAATGCTATAAGACTTTGTCCTCAATAAACAAAAGAGCAGGTTTTCTCTCCTTGAGGGCCCTTTAACCACGAAAAGGAAGTCAAGGCAGATTCTGTGCTCCAGGACCTGCTCCTGGGGAAGGGGGATGTAGGACTGCTTAGCCCAGAAAGCAAGCCTGTGGCACCATTTCCATATGACTGGCCTTCATCAATGGTAGGGCTTGCATTGTGTCACCCAGCCTTCTCTTAGGTGGAGAGAGCAGAGTGAGAGGTCATAAAGGAGAAGTACAACTAAGCAACCACCCAGAAAACAAAACCCTGGCAAGCTTGCTGAGCCTCACAGGGTGTGCAGCGCCTTCCTCTTTACTTATAAGCTCAGGAGCCGAGGTCAGTAATAAAAGCCCACAGCACTAAGCCACAGAGTGAAATCATGGTTTCCCTACTCCAATGACAAGAAGGAAAACAAACTGATTAGCTCCCCACACTGCCAAGCCCTTACCAACATGAATCACACAATACTCCTGTGACATCTTCCAATTCAAAGGATTCGCTACTTACAGCAGTATTCCCTTTACAGTTATTGGTTTTTTATTGCATTTGTATTATTTATATTTGTTAACCCTGGATTACAAATTTTTATCATTAAAAGATAAATTAGTCAGACAAGGCAATGATGCACTTGGTTTCCATGACAACACTTCACAAAAAAAGTTCAACCTGCTGCATCACCACAGAGCACTTCGAAAATCATTTCCTAGCAACCCCACGGGTATCCAGAGACACAGACCTTCATCTCAGCCTTTTACTCAGACATAAGAGAATTACACACATGATGACACAGAAAACAGGTCACTCGGTTAGCACAAACATTTCAAGTTGGTATATTTCACTAATGTGTGCAGCAAAATAATTCCCAGCTATGTCTGCAAGGAGATGATATATGCAGCTATGTGAATGTCTCAAACACACAGCATCTTCCCCCTAAGCTATGAGCTACGAAAGACATTAAACTAAATTCCACTTTGATTAACTTGATTTAAAGGCAAGTGATCACCTTTGAATAATTCACAAATATCTATGCCCCTATCTAGAAAAGAGGAATTTTTAAAGCACCCTCTGCCAATCTGAAAGACAGTGTGGCCCTCTCTGTTTCAGGCTTATCGCAATACAATGATATGCACTAATATATTGGGAAAATAAGGAGAATGTACAAAGTTTAAGAGACTTCATAACAAAGTTTACAACCTAAAAGACAAGAAGCTTTTGCATAAGTAAATGTGAAATACTGAGGAACGTTTTTTAAATATGAAAAATGGATGTTTTTCTATGCTTGCAAAATTTCTCAAAGTTCTCCAAAATAATACATTCTAAAATTAACAAAATATACAATGTGATCACTGTAAAACAGTTGATTACTGTGCAAGTTAGTCTCCAATTGTAAAAACCACTATGCCCATCCACATCCACTGTCTGCCCTGCTCTGTGTCTTGAAAGGCTGATCTGTGCAGCCTGCACAAGCCTCCCTTGTGGCTGGCTTCATGTTGGATGTGACCAGTGGGAGGCACTGGCAGGGCACTGCAGGATGAGAGCTGAGAGAGGTCAAGTCACTTCTTTCCCACTCCTTCGCTGCTTCAGTGCCCTGTCCTGGCAATAGCATGTGCCTTCATGAGTACCGCTTATGCCAGGGGCCCCTCAGTCTACAGTCCTAGGGCCGGTAAGGGCTAAATACAGTTGCTAGTCTAGGCATCTCATTGTCCCTTGTCTTTCCTTATCTATGCTCACACCTCTGTAAGCAGAACCTACACTGAAGTCTCTTCATCAGAACCATCTGGGGGTGAGCTGTTTCCCGTGGGACCGGGACTGATGCAACTTTGACAACTGCAATCAATTCTGAATTAACACGTAGCAAAACCTCTTGTCACACAGCTTCCTTTTGACATTGTTACCATTATCATCGTTCCTACTTTCTCTGATTATCACACAAAAGACAGAAACGAAGGTGATTTGAAATTCCCTCCCTTTAAACCTAAACCCAATGACTTCCACTGTAACCAAAGAAAAACAGCTTAAAGAGAAACAGTTTTTCCTTAAGAACTTTAAGTCAATCTAAAAAGCAAGACTGTTTAATCCAAGTAAAAAGCAAAAAGAACTGAAAAGTAGAAAGGGGAAGTTCCCACACACTTTCCCCTACTTCCTTTTAAGCTGGGTCTTTGTAGCCTGACTTTGTGTCTTTCCAATTTCCACACTGTCTGCTGTATCTGGCTTCATACAAGCAGGTAAAAAACGCATTCCAAAACAACTACATGTGAATTTTGTTTCAGTCACCATTTGGAAATTATTTTAACCGCCATTTCTTCCAAACTACCAAAACAAATATCAAGTACCAACACACACTGCATGACTCCATGCACCCAAACCAGAAACCTGGCCCACATTTAATTCTAGTGCTTCCAATGATTTGGGGTTAATGCTAAACTTCTGAACCAAATCGAAATCTTAGTTTCTGCACTTACAGAAATGGCAAGCAACTCTCTCAGTTCTTATTGAGAGGTCTGAACAACATGTGTTCACCAGCACCTCCTGTGGTGGCAAAAAATGGTGCTGCCTGAAGATTCTTGAGACTAAGTCTCTTGCTTTTCCTCCAGGTCCCACCAATTTCTTCTCCCAGACTGGAGTCAGGCAGTGATTCTCAACTCTTGACTTTGCATTGACATTGAATGTGCAGCCTTTTAGAAATGCACAGAATGGCCGGGTCTGGTGGCTCATGCCTGTAATCCCAGCACTTTGAGATGGCGGGTGGATCACTTGAGGTCAGAAGTTCGAGACCAGCCTGGCCAAAATACAAAAAATACAAAAATCAGTGAGGCCTGATGGTGGGCGCCTGTAATCCTAGATACTCGGGAGGCTGAGGCAGGAGAATCGCTTGAACCTCGGAGGCTGAGTTTGCAGAGAGCCAAGATCATACCACTATACTCTAGCCTAGGCAAGAGAGAGAGATTCCATCTCAAAATAAAATAGAATAAATTTAAAATGCACAGGCTGGGCAGACCCCTTGAGATTGTGCTTCCAGAGCTCTGGGATAGGGCCCCACAGGGGATTCTAGCATCCATCCCTGTAAAGCCAGTGTGAGAAGTGGTGCCTGTACTTTGGCTTCCTGAGCTAAAAAGGTGCAGTGTAAATTAAATTGACAAGGAATACCAATATAGTTTTTCTGAAGGCCCCTGGATCTAGCAGAGAACTGAAACCCAAGTTCATGTTGAGATTTCACCTATGGGAGCTTATTTAATTCTTAAAAACAACCTTGAATGAGTCATCAGGGAAATGCAAATCAAACCACGTGAGATACCACTTCACAACCACAAGAATGGTTATAATAAAAAAGACAGGCAATAACAAGTGTTGGTGAAAACATGGAGAAATAGAGACCCTCATACATGCTGGCGGGAAGAGAAACTGGTACGGCCACTTCGGAGAACAGTTTAGTGGTTCCTCAGTTAAACACATAGTTACCATACAATGCAGCAGTTCTACTCCTAGTATATACCCAATAGAAATAAAACCACATGTCCACACCAAAACCTGTGCAAGAATGTTCATAGCAGCATTATTCCTAAGAGCTAAAAAGTCAAAACAACCCAATGTCCGTCAATAGATGAATGGATAAACAAAATGTAGTATATCCATACAATGAAATATTATTTGACAGTCAAGAGGAACGCAGTACTGATATATACTTCAATGAGAATGAACCATGAAACATCATGCTAACTGAAAGAAGCCAGACACAAACCCTACATATTGTATGAGTCCATCTATAGGAAATGTCCACAATAGGCAAATCTATAGTGCCTGAAAACACATTAATGGTTGCCAGGGGTAGGAGTGCGGAGGGGTGGGGATTGGAACTGACTGCTAATAAATTCAGGGTTTCTTTTGGAGGTGTTAGAAATTATCTAGAATTAGCAGTAATGGTTTTACAACATAGTAAATATACTGAAAGCAAAGAACTGTGCACTTCAAAATGGTTAATTTTATGTTTTTCTAATTATATCTCCATTTTCAAGAAAAAGTCAGTTACATGACACTTTATAGCTTGTGAATGGTATTCTATAGCAGTATCTGCGTGCCAGAGTACAATATTGCAAGCACTGGATAGAACTAGTGAATGCGTGTCCCACCTTTGGTCTAGGTTTACTAAAATTTTGACACTAATTTTTCTTTTATCCAACTGTTTGCAAGAAAAATGAATTCCGTATTTGATTCTCTCTCCTACCAGAGGAACATATGGCTTAACTAGAAAGAAAATTTACACAGTTACATTGATTAAATTGAGAACATAAGCTCTTTAAAGAGTATTTTGAGTTGGGCTCTCCTATCATCAGCCACTTAATTTACAAACTTACATAAACTCTTACAGACCTCTCCCTTCCATCCTTTCCTTTCCCTCTGTCAACTTCTCTTTCCCCTGCTTCCTAACAAGAATGTTCTGCCAAAACCTGGACATCATTCCAGACCGTTCTATCTCCCACATCTGCCTTGCCCAAATATCAAATAACTTCCTAATTGTAAAATTAAAATGTATGCCCTCCTATTGCACTACTTTAATCCAGACCCTCTTCATCTATCACCTAAATCATTATAAATGCTGCTAAAATTGATCTTCCATACTAATGAAACCACAACTTGGACTGTGTCATTCCCCTGTTTAAAATCCTCCCTGTGATCACCTTGATAAAGTCTTCATTCTTCAGCCTGACAAACGAGGAACTCCAAAATCTGACCCTCATCTTTCATTTTCTCCATTTCTGATACCTTCTATATGTCTTCCACACATGGTTTACACAGAAAACTACTTGGATGGTGGTCCTCAGGTATTTTACCCCCTCAATGTTTGCTCATGTTAGTCTCTCTGCTTGGAATCTCTCCCTTCCTCCTCTCCCAGCTACACACCAAGTTAATCCCTATTTGTCTTTCAGGGTTACACTCAGACATCCAGACACTGCATTATTGGAGAAGCCACTTCCCTGCCAGGTAGGTTCCATGCTCTTCCTTCATGCTTCCATGGAACACTTCCTCTCTCAGGCATTACAGAACTGTAGCAGACACTTGTAGGACAGGCAGGTTCCAACACAGCCCCCAATGATTCCCACCTATTCGTACTCATGCCCTTGTGTAATCCTCTCTTCCACATCCATAATATGACTACCATCTTACTGATAAAAGAGACTGTCTCTCTTGCTGGCTTTGATGAAATATGCTGCTATATGGGGCAGGACGGTGTGGCAAGGAACTGAGGGTGGTGTCCAGCCAACAGTCAACAAGGAGCTAAAGCTCTCAGCCTAACAGCCATCTAAAAAGTGAATCCTACTAACAACCATGTAGATAAGCTTGGAAGATTTTCTCCAGTCAAGCTTTCAGATAAGACCCTGCCCTAGCCAACATCTTGATTGCAGCCTTGTAAGACACCCTGAAGTACAGGACCCAGATGAGCTGTGCCTGTACTCCTGACCCAGAGCAACTAATAATAAATGTGGGTGTCTTAAGCCCCTAAGTCTATGGTAATGTGTTATAAAGAAGTAAATATCTGCTTGTGTGTTATCCCTTTCAACTCCTCCAACTAAGTATAAACTCACCTAGGGAAGCAACCATCCTACTCAACTTTGTATTCTTAAATCTAATGCAGGTGCTTGATGCCCAGTTAAGCCCTCAGTATATGTTTGTTGAACTGAACCAGTCTGCCCCAAAGTTTCTGCATATTTGACCCCAACCTTGCTTCCCCTTCCTAAACTGAGGCAGGTAACCAACTCTGTCTTCCATTCTGCGTGGCTCACAGCATAGTTAAGATACTCCACCTCCAAGATTATCTCTTATGGACATGCACAGGCACACCTCCACTCTTTATATCATTTTCTCCATCTTTCATTTCCCATCTGTACCTCCAAAATTTTGCTATGAATCTAATTCATCTTTGCTCTCTCTCTCTCATGGGTGCCTTTGCTTCTGCCAGTCTTTCTTCTCCTGCCCCACCCAAACTTCATGAATTAGTCTTTTCTCCCAGGAACCTAATTATTTTTATTGAAAAATGGTATTTAGAGGTATGATCTCACCCATTCATGTACAACTTGTGAGCCAAGAAAACTCCTTGAGCATTGCTAGTTGATAAAGTTGATACATTTATATAAGGAAAAAAACAAGGTCAGTTTAAAAATTATATTGAACATAAGAAAGCACTACAGGATCATTATGGATCAGATATGTGATTCTATCACAAAGATAAAATCCAATTTCTGAAACATACAAAAGAATATACATCTATGCATTCCATTTCTAAGGTGGAAAAAAACTTGATTTTAGGTCTTGGTGATTAATACCAAAATAAGGTACAATTATGCTCTAAGCTCTAATGAAGGCTCAAGAAAGTTCTTTACAACAATCAGTGATACAGAGCCCCCTGTGGCATTTTGTGGGTGCTGACTGGGTTAATGCCAGTGTAAACGCATAGGACTTTAATGTAAGTGGAAAGGCAGAAGTGAAGATGAAAAGGCAGCCACTATTCTTCTCAAATCACTTTGCTGCCATCATAAGGGAGGAGAATTACAATGTCCAACAGATGCAAGACAAACCTCCTCTAAACAATTTGTCTCAGAGATCTCACACCTCCATGAAAATGAAACTATAGCTGGGTTGAAAGCAGAAAAAAGTACATTTTACTCAAAGAAAATCCTCTGAGATTAAGATCTAGAGATCTTAAGCTTGAGCTTCAGCTAAAACTATATTACTATTTTACAATTACTAAACAACTAAAGAGTCCAAGGAAAGTCTTTGTATGATAGGCAGAAGTTAATGCTCTGGATAGATAAATATATTCTTTCTGGAAAACATTATGTCACTATTGTACTAAAAAATTAGACTGTATGATATGAAAATATATAGGCATAGGGCCATTCCCTGTATCACCATTACAATAGCAAAAATTACTGGAAATAATCCCCCCAAAAAACATCAATAGGGGACTGGCTGAATAAAACAAAGTACAGCCACATGATGGTATACTATGCAGCTATGAGTAGGAATGAGGAATATCTTTATGAACTACGATGGAATGATCTCCAGGATATCTGTTAAGTGAAAAAAGGAAAATGCAGAAAAGTTGAGTTCTGCAGAACATATGTTAATGTGTATTTTAAACAATGGTATGAAATGCATAACATTTT
Source organism: Homo sapiens (assembly GCF_000001405.40). NCBI lineage: Eukaryota > Metazoa > Chordata > Mammalia > Primates > Hominidae > Homo > Homo sapiens. Next base: position 77,226,276 of record NC_000005.10, on the reverse strand, counting down.
AAAATGTAATTACCAATAAGGCAGAGGGCATAGAATGTAAGAGACAGAGATAAAATCTAAATGTCTCTGAATATACCATATTTTACGTTGATGCATATAAATAATTTACATTCTTATAACACTAAACTAAACATTAAAGAAGACCAAATCAAAAGGAAAATGAAATAAATAATCCTAACTGTATTGTGCTAATCACTAACTGGTCCATTGTTAGTAGAATAGCCACATAAAAAAGAACTGATTTAAACAATTATAAACACAGTAATTTGCCTGCTCACCCCTAGTGGGACAGACCCTAATATCAAAAATCACTGGAAAAAAATCAAACTGTTTTCAGTGTTCATATTGATCATGAAGTCGTGTTGATCACTGGTATTCTGAGATGTGTGCGTGGGGTGTGTGTGTGTGTGTGTGTGTGTGTGTGTGTGCACGCGCATGTGGGATCTAACAAATGAGGAATTATCATGATGATGTTAAGAACCAGGATTTATGTCATGGGAAAGAGGAAATAGAAACGTAAGACTGACGAGGTTGAAGAAAAGGCTTGTAGTCCTAAATTTAAACTGGATGAATAAGTATACACTCACGGTACATTTTTATCTTTCAAAAGTATCTATTTCCTGGCTATGTCCACTTAAAAAGTCCAGAAGCAATGACCAGTCCATTAGCAATGAACACCCGAGATCATACCTCTAAATACCATTTTTCAATAAAAATAATTAGGTTCCTGGGAGAAAAGACTAATTCTAGATCAGAGACAGGGAATGGACGCAACAAACCTGGAACATCTAGTCAGTCCAAAAAGGCAGGAAATCTGTCAAACATTACTAGCAGACTATGAAAAGGACACAGGAGCCAACGTGGCTACTCTGAGTAGACAAAGTCAGGACAACTGAGCATCAGTAAGGACAATAACTGCAATGGACTATGACACATCTAATATTTATAAACTGATAATTTTATAGGAATTCAAAAATCATCACTGGTTACCTTTGGAGGATGCTAGGAAATCAACTCATTATTTTGAAAACTGGCAAATGGAAGAGTAGAATCAAGCATTTGCCCTGCCTTTCTCATATGAACTGTACCTCAGGATAACCAACTATTGGATGGAGGGAAGTTTATCTTTATAGATGCATTCCAGAAGCACTGTAGAAAGAATGGTAGGCTTTTGCAACCCCTAAGGAATTAATTGATCTAGGCAACAATCATCAGTGGCTGCTAACGTCTCCAAGAGACACAACCAGACATCATGTGCCTCCTGATGGAGGTCCATGACACTACCTATAAAGTAGTCTTCCCCAAAAAAAAAAGTAAATAAACCTGAATCCTATCAAGCCTCTAGATCTAACTACCAACATACAGGGAATACAAGGCCAGAAGAATGTGGTTAATGATACCACAGGAATGTAATCAGCAAAGTCCAGACTGTGGGAAACTCTGCTGGACAAATGACCCAGTTTCTTCAACAAACAAATTGTAAGAGAAAAAGAAAGAGAGGAAAGGGAACTCACAGATGACAAGATCCTTAAGAAACATATCAATTGATTGCAATAGCTAGATCTTATTTGAAAGATGATTAAAAAAATCTTTAAATGAAAATGTTTATGAGATAGGGAAACTTCAACACTGTCTTGTATTTGATAATATTAACAAATTATTTTAATTTAGGGATTTGCTAATAGTATTGTGGTTGTGTTTTCTAAACAGTCCTTCTCTTTCAGAGTTACATACTGAAATAGTTACAGCTGAAATAAGAGGATGTTTTAGATTTGCTTTAAAAGAATCCCAAAGTATGGGGGAAAGTAGGAGGTATAAATAAAAGAATAGTCTTAATTTGTTACTGTTGAAACTGGGGGATGTACACGTGAGGTTTCACTATCCTATTCTCACTACATTTGTATACATTTGAACTTTTCCATAATAAAAAATGTTAAATTATGAGCCTTCAAAAATCGGCTTGTATATTATTATCAATAATAAGCAATATTTACTGGGTGTTACATTCAAAGCTAGCAATGGTACATATATTGATTATATCATCCTTGCAGTAACTCTATGAGGTCAGAACTTTCACTATCCTTATTTTTCTATCCTTAGACAGAAGAAGTTGAAAATTAAAGAAGCTAAGCCATAGAACCAACAGATGGTACATACAAGACCACAGTACAGCATAGTTCTCTGACATCAGATCCCAAGTGTCCAGTGAGAAAAGCAAGAACCATTTTATATATATTAAGAAGAGATACCGCTGTAGTGAACTGTTTACAAAGGTGTTAGAAGGTATGGATGAACAAAGGGAAGATGGAGGTAGAGCTGGAGAAACTAAAAAGATAAAGCAGTAACATCCAGAGACAATAAACTGTTAACACCCTGGGCTGACACCCGCCAGCCCACACTCATGCTGATCAGCGGAGGGGGCTGGCATCATCACCACTCAGGCAGCACCACTGCCACTTAGCAGGGGCCACTGCTATCGCCTGTTCCTTTCTCTCACATTCCAATTTCCTGCCAGTATCTCCTACCTGTGGAATCTAAGAGGAAACCATCTGGAAAAGTAATGTGGAAGATGCAGCTTGCAGACTTCTAGCCTCATATAATACAAAGGAGAAAATGGGGAAGCAAAAATGGAGCTACAAACTAAGAGACAAAAAACCAACACCACTACTGTGCTATGCTTGTCAAGTTACAATGTCAAATTGTAAATGCTTGACTTAGAACCTTGATGTAAATTTCACTTTCTTCCTCCGTTTTTCCAACATGGTAGCTACTTGTGTGGTCATTATGCACTTGAGATGTGGGTAGTCCCTACTGAGATGCAGTGTAATTGTAAAATACATTCCAGACTTTAAGAACTTAGTTCCAAAAAAAAAGAAAGAATGGGTGGGGGGAGGGGGGAGGGATAGCATTAGGAGATATACCTAATGCTAAATGACGAGTTAATGGGTGCAGCACACCAGCATGGCACATGTATACGTATGTAACTAACCTGCACATTGTGCACATGTACCCTAAAACTTAAAGTATAATAATAATAAAATAAAAAAAGAAAGAATGTAAACTATCTCATTAACAAATTTTATATTGAGTACATGTCAAAATAATATTTTTAATATACTGGTTAAGTGAACATGTACTAAAATTAATTTACCTGCTTATTTTGACTTTTAAAAATGTGATTCATAAAAAATTTTACAATTACATGTGCAGGTTACATCTGGGTCACATTTTATTTCTATTGGGTAATGCTGCTTTAGAGCTTCAACCCAAAGCAAGCCTTATCTGGCAGTCTCTGAACCATAACACCCAAGAGTATTCTCAGCCATCAACTCCACCAGACTTTAGAGTCCTTCTTAATCAGTTCTCTTGGATCCTATTTATGTCTGGCAGCTTTGAGCTCCAGGCTTAGAAAGCCTGACCTTAATTCTGCCTCTGGCCCCTGCCTGTGGCCGTACAGTTGTCTGCTCCTTGGCTTTTCCTTACAGTCTTCAGCTGACTTACCCCTCAGGCTCACAGTTCTTCATGCTCTCCCAGTAGGAGTGTCTCACCTGGAAGAACCCAATTCCCAATCCGTAACTCCTGCCAGCCAGCCGGCACTCAGTCAACACATTGCCTTCCCACAGAAGACGACAATATAGGGCACAAACAATGGAAGCTCCCGAAACGTGGAACTATGTCATATTCTGTTTTTTGAGATGGAGTCTCCACTCTGTCACCCAGGCTGCCTCCCAGATTCAAGTAATCCTCCTGTCTCAGCCTCCTGAGTAACTGGGATTACAGGTGCAAGCCACCACGCCCAGCTAATTTTTGTATTTTTAGGAGAGATGGGGTTTCACCATGTTGGTCAGGATAGTCTCGAACTCCTGACCTCGTGATCCACCCGCCTCAGCCTCCCAAAGTGCTGGGTTTACAGGCATGAGCCACCATGCCCGGCCATCATATTCATTTTTTTTATCACTCCAAACCTAGAGTAGCGCCTTAGTATAAGGCAGAAAATACACACACACGTACTTGAGAACCTAGCGGGTTTACAGGGACTGTACCTCTAGGTTGTACCAATCCTTTTAGAGATGCATTATCCCTACCGTGCAAGGAGAAATCATGCAGCTTCTCCAAAGTCACAAAGTTTGTACAGGGCAGAGCTGGAATTCAAGCTGGAGTCAGTGAGCACCTTTCCTTCACACCAGGTTACCCTTTTGCAGCCACAAAAATTATAGCAAAGGAGCTGCAAGGGGGCCTTGTGAAATGCCTCCTTTCAAAAGCTCCATGATGTTTGGGGCCTTGGCATGACTAGAGAGGGCTAGGTGGACACCAGGATGTGCCTCCACCCCCAGGGTGGTCAGTGGAGTCCCCATCTACAAACAATGAGTTTCGAATAAGGACACACTCAACTTAGCTAGAACTGTTTCTTCAAGAAAAGTGCCTCACCAACTTGAATAAGCTCCCTTCAGTCAAAACTGGGCAGTCTAAGCACAAATAGGTTTAATAACTGCAATGCATCAACACATCAAATACACATAAACCCATAACGATTCATAATGATACTAAGCAAATTAACAGGCAAAGAACTCCTGTCACCTTAGGAGAATGCTAGGGAGTCAACTCTTGAAAAAAGTTTCTTGAGGCATTCCAATGAATACATGAAGACAAAATGATAGCATATCACCATTTTACAACCTCTAATGACTAATGGATATAAGCAATGATCGTTAATAAGAGTTAGCATCACAGAAAAGAGACAACCAAACATCCTACAAAACTTCGCATACTCCGATTTTCTGTTAGCATCACAGAAAAGAGACAACCTCCACCCTACAAAACTTAGTATAATCCAATCAAACCTCTAAATCAAACTACGGTTTCTAGCAAACACAGAAGGCAGGGAAACATGTTAGATGCATCATGGGAATGCAATAAGTAAACTTTAGATTGGGGGAAAATCTACAGGACAAACAACCCAGGTTCCTCAACAAACAAACTGCAAGTATATAGAAAAGAGAGACTGGAAGGGGAAGCTACAGATTAAAAGAGACTTAAGAGGCATAGCAACCTACTGCAATGAGTGGAGTTACTGTTTGGATACCAACAAACAGTAAAAGAATAAGTAGTAAGACAATTAGAAAAGTGTGATTGATATTAAGTTGTCATATTTTTGGTATATAATGGTTTTATGATTTATTTTTAAAAACAGTTCTAGTTAAAAGATACCAACTGAGCTATCTGTAGATGAAACAGAAAATAAGTGCCACAAAGAAGCTCGACACACCCCTTTTTACCTGGAGATAAAATAGGACAGTGAAAACAGGACGGTTGAGCAGATGTAGCTCTGAGTCCCTAGCTGTGTGACCTTGGTCAAGCTACTTGAGCCGCCTGTGCCTCCACTTCCTCCCTAGCAATGTGAGGTTAATAACACCACCTGAGCCCCTCAGCTCCCCAGCACACAATGGATCACTAAAGATAACTACTCCCTAAAGGAACTTCACGAATTCTCCCTCATCTGCTTCATCAGCCTCTAATTAAACCCGCTTCTCCCAAAGGACACCCATACAAAAGAAATGGGAGTTCTAATTCAATTTTATGTTTCTTTCACAGCAATATTGTTTCAACAGTGTAAATATATTCCAGCTACATAATGGGCTAAAACTTTTTTGTGCTAACCTAGAAACCTAAATGCCACATATAACATGTTTCTATATGAAAGTCTTTCCCCAATAACAACTAGGTGCCTTACAAACTAATGTTTGTCATATAGTCTGCATATAAAAGTGAACACTGCCTTTCACGTTCATCCAAAGCATTTCCTGGTTGTGTTTTAGGATTCAAAGTTCTCACCTTTGATATAATAAGAGATTCCAACCTTTTGCCCCACCTCCTTGTCCCTTCTTGAAAATCTCAACAAAGTCTGCAAAACTCCCCTCTACCACTGCCCGTAGGGAGATCAGGCTAAGTGGATCACACTCCCTTGCCCTCACCTGTTCCTCCCAAGGGATGAAGGCTCCACAGTCAGTCAGCCAGTCCCAGGGTTTGACAGTCCTAATGGGCCAGATCACTGCAGAGAACAGCCTGGGTGTCAGAGACCTCACCCTGGGCTCCACATGTGACTGAGAAGAAGGGCAGGGCAGCAACCACAAGGACAGGAGGACCTGCAAGAGTCTACTGGGTGAGGAGGGGTCCTGAAACTGGCTTCACAGACCCAGCATTATAGATGTGGGAGGGGGAGAGCAGGAAGTCTCCTGAAAACTTACCCGCCTAGGTGTTCTGTCCCAGCAACACTTCCTAGAGCAGGTGTGTGCACGTGCATGCATGTGTGTGTCTGAGGCTGCACATGACAGATGGATCTGGGATGAAAGGTTGTATCCACCCAATGCTTGCACAGGCACAGACTAAGCTGATCCTTGCTCCCTTCAGTCTTTATTTGGCCATCCTTCTTTTGAGCATCACACTCTCGACTGTGGGGGAAAGAGACTTCTAGTTCCAACTAAGGCTCAGCTCCAAACACTATTGGTGGCTTTTGTTTCCTTGCAGAGACCCCATTTCTCGGCCAAGACTGTCAATCCATTTTTTAAGCTGAAAATGAGTATGTCCCACAAGGCCCCAGGACCACTAGTGGCTGAGGTGTGGATTGTTGGGTCATCACTGGCCTTCATAAATGTATTTGTCTCTCCATTTGGTCATTGCTCTCGTTTGAAGCTCCCTCAGCAGGAACCCTGGAGTGGACAAAAGCTCTGGCTATCCTGAACCCTTGTCATCACCTTCCAGTTCCGGAGCTTTAATGCTATTTGTGGTTCTGACGTCAGAACGGCATCTTTTTCTTCATATGGTACCCTGGGTGATAGGTTGCTTTAAAATCTCTCATGCATCTTCCTATAAAAATTTCCAAAATTTAGGGTCTTATCTCAGTTTTATGACTCACACAGGCAACTGGGTCCCTGGAGCTAATCATTACATCTTCCTATTTGAGAGAAAACAGGTTTTAGATGTACAGTGTATCATTTTCCCAACAATATACTGTGTCTGACAGCACCCAAAACGCAGCAATATGAAAACCAACCGAGCTCATGCAAAATGCTTCTAAGAGCAATTAGAGACTGAGGCTTCAGGCTACAAGTTTATACCAAAGAATTCCACAGGGAACCACCTCAGGATAACACCAAGGCCTTGACCTGTAAATTCTGCTGAGTGCAGGCTCAACAGTCATGGAACCCAAACCCCAGCTTGGGCCTTGGACTGGCAAGATTCTACTATGTCATCTCTGGAAATCCAAGTGAAGCAGACAAAACCCATGTCTGTGGCAGCAGTTTGCAAGGCTTTGGGATAACCTATCTGTCTATAAATCCAGTTAGTCATCTATTGGCCAAATCAATGTACTTGAAAGTGTCGGATATATTTTCCATTAAAAAAATTACATGTTTCAAAAATATCTAAATCTAAATAACCAAAATCTCATTTTGATTACCCAAAGAGTAATAATAGCAACCATAAAAATAAGAGCAGCTACTATTTGTACAGCACTTACAAAGTGTCAGGCACTGTGTTCAGTGAAAATAATGACAACATGTTGTACCAGAGCTTGTCACATTTTGTGTGCATTTTTTAATTCTTCTCCAACTTCAAAACACTCTAGTTCAAGTTAATAGAAGGGGTGACAGTGGATATGTGAAAGGAAAAATCTCACTCACGAGGCTCCCTGCTCCCCTTCCCTCTGCCTGTTTATCATCCTTCTGCTCTAAATAACTGCAGTTCCAGGACCAGCCACACTTAGGGCTTCAGGCTGTGTGGCCACAGGCCTGAGTGTGCAACACACTTAAGGGATGGGCTCATGGGGTGAGAGACCATTCGGACCCTCTTGCCTTCAAACTTCAGTCCTCGCCTTGGGAAATTTATCCCACCTCTTGCAGCCCCATTTTCCTCTTTTCTAAAGTGAAAATAATAACGTGTAGCTCATAGCAGAACAGGGAAAATCATGCAGATTTGGTGAAACAATGTAAATAAAGTGCTCAGCAAATAGCAAGAACTTAAATAACAACTAATATTATTATAGCTATCCTGTTTACCTTGTTGCAAAGTGTACAAACCATGCACTAAAACTTAAATCGCCTTGGAAACAAGAGACAACCATGAAATATTCTTATTTTCATTGATGGATTATCCAAAAGCAAAATAGTTCCTTGATTTTTATTACAGCAATCACAAGCTTCTTAAAGCAAATTTGCAGCAGGGTAGGCTAATCCTACTTCAGGAACTACTTTTCTGTGCATTCTCCCTAAGGAGGGGGAAAGGAGGGGATGAAAGAAATCAATGGTAAAGAGTAAAACAGAAAAATCCTAAATAAGAGTTGACTATTATCTGCTGATGGAAGAAAAAAAGAGACTAGGGAAGGAGCCATGAACAACTAATTTTAAACTAATATATACTACAACTTGTTGAAAAGTAGTGTTTTGGGCCAAGCATGGTGGTTCACGCCTGTAATCCCAGCACTTTGGGGGCCAAGGCAGGTGGATAACTTGAGCTCAGGAGTTTGAGACCAGCCTGGGTAACGTGGCGAGACCCCATCTCTACAGAAAATACCAAAAAATTAGCCGAGGGTGGTGGCACCACCTGCAGTCCCAGCTACTCGGGAGGCTGAGGCAGGAGGATAGCTTCAGCCTGGGAGGCGGAGGTTGCAGTTAGCTGAGATCACACCATTGCACTCCAGCCTGGTGACAGAGTGAGACCTCATCTCAAAAAAAAAAAAAATTGGTGTTTTCTACTAAAACATAACTACCAAGACTTCCACTGTAGGGTAAAGGTAACACCTATCTTTAAAAATAAATTCCTGGACACATTTTAATATTTTTAAATATGTTCTAAATGTACACATTCTTTATTGAAAATATAACCTTACAAGCACATAGCAAAATCCTTTTTTTTTTCACTTTTTGAGTCTGTGGAGAGAAGGTTATAGAAAGTGGGAAAGTAAAAACTGAGAAAAAAAATGGAATAAACTGATAAGACAGGGTCCTGAGTCTCTTATGAGGCTCAGGTCTTTCTCCCCCATTCCACCCTTGGGCTTTGAGTTCAGGATAGGGAGAAGGACAGCAGGCAGGGGACAGAGGAAGTGATAAAAAAAGTGTATCAGCAGTCAGGGGACAGAATGAACTGAAGAGAAGGATATGTTTACAGCAATAAGTTCGAGGTCTCCAACCAAGATAACTGGACATATTTTAATATCATTAGTCATCAAACAGGAACTGTAAACAGTGAATTAAGTGGCCATTTTAAAATGCCATTATTTTAGACAATCATCAAACTGCCCATCACAATTTTAGTTTATCTATACCGAGGTAGCTCCAGTGACACTGAACATCTCTTATTGCCTGTTACGAAGAGCCTTTGGGATATGCTCAGGATATTTTTCATTTGCCCCTCCAGACCCACTCTCCACCCTGCTCAGCACCCTGGAAAACCCCAATCAACAGATTCCTTTTCCCTCTGGTTTCCAGATGTGGAAACCAGCAGGAGCTTGATGAAAGGGAGGACAATGTCATGAAGGGACTTACTGCTTTGGCTCCCTCCCTGTCCACTCCTGAAGGCTACAGCTTCTGAGGGTTTCCCTGACTTACAGGTTTGGTTTCTCAGATTCCCATAACTACCCTGGTTTCTCAGCTTCCCATAACCACCCTGATATGGTTTGGCTGTGTCCCTACCCAAATCTCATCTTGAATTGTAGCTTCCATAATTCCCATGTGTTGTGGGAGGGACCTGGTGAGAGGTAATTGAATCATGGGGCAGTTCCCCCCTTACTGTTCTCATGATAGTGAATAAGTCTCACGAGATCTGATGGTTTTATAAGGGTAACCTCTTTTGCTTGGTTCTCATTCTCTCGTCTGCCACCATGTAAGACATGCCTTTCGCCTTTGGCCATGATTGTGAGGCCTCCCCAGCCACATGGAAATGTGAGTCCATTAAATCTCTTTTTCTTTCTAAATTAACCAGTCTCTGGTATGTCTTTATCAGCAGCGTGAAACAGACTAATACACATCCCCTCCCCTTGACTCTTCTGGGGTAGTAACAGCTCCCTCTTTTTCTAGCCTAGGGTGCTTCAGCATCATTTGTTGTCTTTCCTTCATCCTGCCAAAACATTTGCAGTAGTCCCTTCATTTGATTATTCTGAGTTAACCCTTTTGGATGTGCAGTCTGTTTCCTGCCCAGACTCTGTCTGATCAGGGTGCAAGGAAGAACTGGTTGGTTGGTCTTGTGTCATTTGGTGCTGGGTTCACAAAGTTACCTACAGCCCTCCGATTGGTCACCACAGCCTCCTGAATAGAATAGAAAGTAAGCAGCTTTTATTCCCCAATCAGAAGTCTCAACCTGGTTCAACAGCTGTCACCTTTGCTGAACCACTAATTTCTAGATTTCCCTTGCCTGCCTGGCCCCAACATTCCCACCTGCTCCCTGGCCCCCTCCAACTTTGCTGGTTGAACAAACTCTGGACTCTGTCTTCCCACCTGGTTCCACGGGGCTCACTCCCTCCTTCCTATTTTGATTATTATTTTGATTACTGGCCTTTACCCATGACCAGTTTAGTGCCACAGAATCTGCCCTGCCCTCACCAGCATATTCTGTCCTGCTGGCGCCCAGGCCATACCTGGTGGTCACCAAAACAGGATTTCAGTAGAAACTATATCATCTCTGAACAGCTGGCAGCTTATACTATGTTACATCCTGGCTTGAGGACTTACTTTCCTTCAAAAGGAAGAATTACCTGATAGTCCTTAAAAATTCATGGAACTACTGAAGAAAGTCATGAAAATAAGGAAAATGTGCTCATTCATTCTAATTAATGTGCTGGGAAAAGAAGGGACTAAATTGTAATCATATATACAATGGCAGAAGGCAAACTTGGATTTTATGAAATCAGCTTGCAGGACTCATTTGAGCTTATTAAACTTTATACTTCATTTTAAAATGAAAAATGATGGTGAAAGGCCTAGCAAGAATTCCAAGAGCTGAGAAGAGAATATGTGCCTGTATCATGTAACATCCAGCCTTGCTTTAGACTTCTGTTGTGGTGGCAAAGCAAGACATTAGGACCTGTACAAACCCAAAAGGATCCTGGGGAAAACTTAACCTCAAGAAACCAGAGTTGGTTACATGATCCAACACTCCTCACTTACAGACTTTTTAGCCAATCTCGGAGGCTCAGCGTTTTGACTTCCTGTACAGGGATAGCAGGTTTCCCATACAGAAGTGAACTAAGATGAAAGCAGTGCTATGACCAGTACCCCAGATAAAGACAGTGTGGTACTATGCACTCTGCTAGAGGTGGCCCCACCTCATTCGCCTGGTCAACAGACAGATAATTTAATTCACCACTGTAAAAAGCAGTGGTTCTCAAAATGGGGTCCCCAGATCAGCAACACTAGCATCTCCTGGAAGCTTGTTAGAAATTCAAATTCTCAGGCCCCACCCAAGACCTACTAAATCAGAATCTCTGGGAGTGGAGTCCAGCAATCTATATTTTAACAAGCTCTCTAGGTGATTCTTGCGTAAAGTTTGACTCCAAAACACTGACTTAGAAAACAAAAATGACTTTTTTCCAAAATAGCTCTACTCCTCCCCCAAATAAAATCTCATTATTATTTACCATAAGGTCAGTGGAATATCTATTTATTTTCCTTTTATATATAGTCAACTCAGGATTATCCTCACAAATTCTGGAGTGCTATGGAACAGAAAACATAGCAGTCACTAATAACTGGCTTAGGCACACCATTTTACAGGAGATTTATCCTCCTCATTAGGCTTTGCTTACCAAATTTCATGGATATTTCCTGAATCGCTAGCACCTACAACACAGTCTGGCCACAAATACTGAATGAACAAATGAGCACATTCTGTATGAATGGAGGGAAAACGGGGAGCTGGTGATGCTGCCATCTGGAAACTAACAACATCCTGTGTCTGATCCACAAAAGAGTGAACCTACACAGAGGTCATAGCAAGTTGACGATATTGTCAATAACGATTCTTCTCTACAACTGGCTGTCTAGTCCCAGATGCTCCCAAGTAGGAACAGCTGGTATGAGAAAACTTGTAAGAATCCCTGGTTCTTCCCAGAGAGAGGTTCAACCATCTCCTCTGAGGATTTCTGAACAAGAATTACAAAACTGGCACAATATCAAGAGTGAACATCCTGCAGGATTCTCCTGTTGGAGTACTATTTTTGAAAAGGCAAGCAAAAAGGAAAGAAATTGCTAGGAAGTTGCATTTTCACAGCAATTGGGAGACAAATCTAACTTCTTACCAGAAATGGAAACCCATGTGATATCATTGTACTGCATATGAATTATTAATGCTTATAACCCTTTTTTTTTTGCAAATTAGGTATTCAGGAAGGTTCCTGTTGACATCATGTTTGACATCATAATGCCTCATCATTCTAAAAGCTTAATGAGATGAATTATTGCTAGAAAAGAGAGAGAGAGAGATCAAGCACACATTTTTGCACTCTGGGGAATACCAGAGGCCAAGTAGATAATGAGGATACACTTCATAATTGATGTAAAATGGCCAGGGGGAGGGGGTGGAAACTATTACAACCTTCCACCACTGTAAACAGGACCAAATGGTAAAGATTTTATTTTTCCACCTGTGTGCTTTGGAAAGGGGTGGGGCACCACCACGTGCCTAGCAACTATCTCAAACTCTTACGGCAAAAAAAGAATGCTTAGTCTACAAAAAAATGAATGTAAAGTTTTTATAAAATTATCTCAGCAACAAAAGGGCACAGAACATGTGAACTTTACGATTGAGAAAAGACAATACAACACCGAGTCACAGGCCTAAAAGGATACTATTAAATATATTAGGGCAGTTCTGTGATAATAATTCTGTAAGATTTGCATAAATAACTCTGGTCTCAAATTTCACTTCAAATATATACTTTCTGAGATCCACACAATGCAAAGTAGTGTTAAGTCAATGAACCAGGGGTTTCATTTCCAACATTCCCAGTAATGGGTTAGAGTGAATTAAGCTCTTATTTGGGAATCTTCTTGATAAAGCAAAATGAGTTAAACTCCTACCCAGGTCAAGCCTTTTAATACTTAAGCCAAGTAGCAATGAGATTAATACAAGTTTATACAAGCTGCTAATAATTGGGGCTCATTGTCCCTTCAGTTTTTACTTCATTTGGTCTCTAAGCAGCCTCTTGAGGGAAGTATTAAAAATGTACAGAATGGGTTCATTCAGTATTCTTTCTTCTACTGAACAAACATGGAGTAGCTAGAGTTGCCAAGTACTAAACTGAGATTATAGATATTCTAGAAAACAAAAATTCACAATTTCTCTGGAGCAACCAAAAAAAGTATCACAAAGTTCATGAGCTGTCACAATTTTGAACTACTGCTTCAGGTCTTCAACCGTCAGGCAAAAGGATGGTCTTTACTGATAATATCCCAACTTAATATTTTCACCAAATTTAACATTTTCATCCCTGAAAATTGCTCCTAAAGCTAACTTTGTGTGAACAGGGAGGGGGAGAGAGAGAGAGCTTGACAAAAGCAAAGTATAGCGTTCAGCACATGCCTCTGTAACGAATGGGCAACTGGTAGGTTTGTACTGTCATAAATCCTAGACTCTAGTCTTCAGACATGCTATGCTAAGATCACACTGTTAACATTCAATAGTTAGGAGAGAAAGCTTACTCCTGGCACATAGTAGGTGCTCAATAAACGATGTTTTTACTATAATGGTGATTATGATTACTGCCAGAGAAACACTGCAACCACAAGCAAACATCAGTCAAGCTTCATGTTAAACAATCAGATGCTGTTAAAAAAAAAATAGGTTCATTAAAAAACTTTTGGACTTCCAGATTGAAGCCAAAACATGTTATCCTTCTCCTCACTCCTCCACTGTGGGCTGCCTTCATCCAATGAAGACCAAGTTTTTAACTATTAAAAATACAAATGTGTCTTTGACAAATAATCCATGGAATGGTTCTTGGTAACCTATTGACCAGGTAAAGGCTGTGATTCTATCTGACATTAGGAGTATTTTTTTCTCTCTGTACAATAGGATATGCCATTGTTATCTTGTTTGCTGAAAGGAAAAAAGACCCAGTGCCCAGATTTACACAATGAAAAGCCTCTTGGATTTAACGGTACTTTGAGAACATACGGGAGGACACTATTTAAATAATTATTTTTCTTCTGTCTTTAAGAAATAAATATTTAGCGACTGCTTTAACCATCTAAACAATTTTTTCCACTTCCTCAAAATCCCACTCTCTGGGAAGATCAGTTGTATGTGCAGAATCATCCTCAGACAGCTGTACTGCACTGGAAACCACGTCCCCTCACGGTGGCTCTGCTGACACTCCGAACTCATGGCCCGGTTCTCTCAATTCTGTCTAGGATGCAGCCAACCCAGAGAAACGTTACAGTGACAAACAACAGGTTCCACTCTGCTCCGTTCCCACATCTCTTAAAACACGAACACTCATTCATTCACAAATCCCTACGCTCGGTTCCTGTGCTGAGACTCCAGCCTGGCTGGTAATCCCAGGTAAAAATCGGAATATGGGGCACTATCTATCCTGGTGCTGCAACTGCACCAGTCACCTACAAGGCACGCAAATCCAGCTCAGTGCTCAGATTTCATTCAACAGGACTGGCCACCGAATGCTCTCAATGGTCCCCACCCCTCTTCCTGCATAAACCAAGCCACAGCCTTCCTGCCCTCAAGGAGGAACAGGCCAGCCCACCTGCTTCCTTCTGCGCTCCCTTCCCCGCCCAGTCCCCCAGGACCAGCTAAGGACGCTTCCAGGACCCCTCCAGGGGCCTTTTTCTGACCACATTTCCTGGGCTCCCATCATCTCCACAAATGAAAAGTAAACTCCTCCTTAGTGACAACCTCTCCAAACCAACCGCCTCACGGTCACCCAACTCCGCCGGAGCCCCCTACCCGTGCGAGCCCCGCCGACGGGGCGGACGGCCCCCACGGCGTGTGCCAGCGCGGGGCATTTACCTTCACGCTGGTGTAGCAGGTCTGAGTCTCGGCCTCGGCGCTGCTGCAGCAGTGGCGCCTCCGGCCCCTGCTGGTGGTCGCGGCGGGGGCTGCGGAACCCGCGCTGCTACCGCTGCCCAGCTCGGTGCGGGCCCTGCGGACGCGGGCTACGCTGGGGGGTCCCGACGCGCGGCTCGGGGGGATGGCGTCGGCGGCGTCGGTCTGGACGAAGAGGCCGGGCAGGGGTGCCGCCGGGCCCTGCGACACGCTGGTGGTCTGGCGGGGCGAGCTGGACTCGTCCGAGTCCCGGCAGTAGATCACGCCGCTCTGCGAGACATGGATGCTGGGGGCGCAGCCCATCCCTCGGCCGGGCTCCCCCGCGCGCCCGCCCGCGCCCGCGGCCGCCGGGACCCAGCGCACCCGCTGCCACCTGCAGTGAGGGGGCGGCCGCGGCGGCGCCCGGACTGCGCGCCCCCCGGCCTGTGTGTCCGCCGCTCCGTCGGGCTGGCCGCGGTGCCCCCCGCCGAGCCTCCGGGGACCGCGCGCGTCACCCCAACTTTCCCTTTTGGGCCATCTTCCTCCCCGAGCGGGGGAGCGCGCATACACAGCGCCCCGCGCGCACCAGCGGCCGCCACCCTCCCCGCCGCGGCGCCCCAAACACGCTCCCCGCGCCTCCGCCTTCCCCTCCTCCCTCGGCGCGGCCCCCGCCGCCGCCCAGCTCGACCTCGCCGGGCTCCCGCACCCGCGGCCCTGGGCCAGGGCGCCCGCCCGCCTGCCCGCCTGCCTGCACCTTCTTTCCCCACTTTCGGTCTGCGCCCGTCCCCTCCCTCCCTCGCTCCCACCCTCCTTCCTCCTCAGGTGCCCCGGCTCCGCGGCCGCAGCCGCCCGGGCCCCACTGCGCCCCTCCGCCCCTCCCGCCGCTCCCGGAGCTCTCCCGACAGGGCAGAGCGTGCCCGCGGCTCGGCTCCGCCGCGGGGCCCCTGTGCGCGGCAGCTGGCACCGCGCCTCGGCGCCCTCCCCTCCTCCTCCGCTGTCCAGAGGCCTCGTCTCTTCTGCACTCATCCCGACGCCGCCCCCAGCGCCCCAGCCCCTCTTCCCCTGAAGGGCTGTGTAAGCCTCTCGCTTTTCACCAACACATTTTCACACATCCCAGAGCTAAACACCAGGAGGCCCCTCCCGAAATGGCAGGGGCCCTACAGCCCAGGCCCACCCACCGCATTTGCTTGCCTCTCAACACACCCGGGAAGTGATGGAGAGACCTCATGGTTCCGTCCTCTTCCCCCAGCCCCACCGCCTACTCCGAAGGCTGAGTTGGATGGTGACCCAGTCTTCAGAAGAAGCCCATTCCATGTCTACTCATCGTTTGGAAGTTTGTGCCAAGGGATGGGAGGCCCTGCGGAGGAAGGCACCCTTGAACACATACGTTCCCCTAAGATCCAAGGCAAGAACAGAAAGAAGCTGTCTGATGGTTCTTGGCTTTCTCCCCCATTTTCACCTCTTCCTTAGGTGTCACTAAATGTTCATGCTGGTTTCTATCCCGTCCAGCCGCCCATGTCAACTGCTGTTCCTCACACTCTGGGCTGGGCAGTCAACAAGGCCTTCCCTCATTCTCCTTGGTGAGGCATGCACAGACTGAGCTGTGCTGGAGGAGAGGAAGAATGCCTTTAGAAGGATGGCTGCTGTTCATCCTTCCCTTGTAAACTCTGAGTTACAGCTGCGAGACACCACTGCCCATTCAGTCACTGGTTCCCGCAGTAATTCCTGCCCGATTTTCACAATGGCACGGGGAGATAAATTAGATGGTCTAAGAAAGGATTTTATCTAGAGTTGCTTATACGGACAAGGGCAGTAACATAGAGGCTTAATGCAAGGCACAAAGAAGTATCCAATTTTAAGGTTTGTTTTTTGTTTTTTTTTCATTCTTATTTTCCTTTTTCTTCCTGGACCACTCTTGGATGTGACTGGATGAAGACTTCAAAAGACAGTTTCTAAATTTCATAGAGAAGCAAGATATCATTCCCAATCCCAAATTCAGTTATACAGGGAGAGTCTAACCTTATTCTTCTACCTTTGCTTCTCTTCTCAGTTTAGCTCTCTTTTTTTGATACAAAAAAACTCCATCTCCAGCTAACCTGGAAAAAGTCTATGCTGTATTTTTTAATGGACAGGCAAATTGCTCATAAAATTTCTGCACAGGTTGGGTCCTCCTAGAAGCAGATTCTGAGATGGTGTTTAGCAGGCAGAGGGAGGCTTTTTAGGAAGTGCTCTTGTAGTCAACATTTGTGGGAGGAAATAAAGGGAGGGAATGGAGGGAGGCAAGCTTGAGCAGAGGGAGAAATTGACCAAGCCTCAGGCATCCCTGCAGGGAGGATTCTGAAGGTGGGATGATGCTTCAGAGTTGTTCTGAGTTGGGGCTGGGTTCTGAGTTGTTCTGGTGGGCCTTTATACCCCAGCATGGACCAGTCTTTACATGCAGGCCACCTCAGCGACCTTGGGCAAGGTGGCTCTCTTCAGCTGAGGCACTGCCCCTAGGAGATGTCAGCTGAGCCAAGGGCTTTCTGCTGGCAGCACTCCCAGTAGCTGGAGGAGTAAGTCCTTTCCTGGCATCATAGCCTCCACCCACAGTTCCCTTCCAGGCTGCTGAGATCCATGTTTCCTTGTCCCATCCATGCCTGTAAGAACACCACATTAAATGGCTGAGACTGAGATATGGGGACAGTCATTCATTTAAAACTAAGCCTCATAGCAACCATCTGCTCTACTTCCAAAGGACAATTTAGGACCTGGGAAAACAACATCAGAGTTAAATTGCAAAAACACTAGTCTCTATACTAGTCCCTGATGTAACGTTCAAGTCAGGGTTTAATGATTCCTAAAGCTTACCTGTGATAATGCATATAGCATTTCAGTCATTACCTTTCATGGAGCTATCAATGACAGCCTTCACATACTGAAATTTACAGCCATGCATATTCTCATGACACATGTCTACTTTTTCAGAGTTTTCTCTAGGAATGCAATGAAACCACCCAGAAAAAAGCACCAGTCACTCACTGAGGCTTTGAAAGGCAAGAAGACTGTGATGAAACAGAAATTACAACCAATCTTCTGGTGGAGAACATTAGGAGCTGAATCATGAAGCTAGAAGTCACCCAGAAACAAATTTAGGTTGAACTTTCTACATTAAAAAATAAGAATAATTAAGCCTTGAAAGAGTAGGTGACCTCAAGGTAGCTAGTGAATAGGACTAGGCTGCTTTAGTGGGTTAACTGAACAGTTCATATTAGGACCAGTGACTTTCATTGACTGCAACTTCTTTGTTGGAATAGAAGATAGAAGGGGAAATGCACTAGGTATACAGTTTTCTTCCCATTCCCAGAGCAGACAGTAGCTCAAACACATCTTCAACTGCCAATTCTGGCTTAGTGAAAGAAAAAAATAATGTGTCCTTATAATCTCCACCAAGTGTTCTCAGTGGGAATGTGCAACCTGCCCCCATTGCTGGAACAGATCTGGCTGCTGAAACTTGCAGAAGTGTGCAAGTGGAGGGGAAATGGTTTAACTGAAATCATTTCCACAGCTTAGTTCTGAAGCCTGAGTTCTGACCCACAGAAGAGATTTCTGAACCAATTGCCACTGACCACTTCAATGCATCCCAGGTGACAGCAAAGACTACAAGCTCAGACACTGTTGATAAAAATTAGGCCTAAGTTACAGAATAAGGCCAGAAAGACCAACATTATTAAAAAAATAATTAAGTGGAGAAAAATTTAGCAACAGAAAATATCCAAGAAGCAAATCAAAAGAAAGTAAACTAAATCAGAAACATATTGTAAAACAAAACCTCCAATATGTCCAGGGTCACCTGAATGGCTTGTGTGTTTTATAATAGTATTAAATAAGAGCTAACTGTAAAATTATGGCCCACAGGCACTGCAAGATCCTGAACAAATAAGGTCCCTTCCAATTCTAAGATGGCATGACTCTTCAGAATTCCTCTAGAGAAGCAGAAAATGTGATTAATACATTTTGAATGATTCTTAGCTGTAAAGGTTAAAACAATAGCAGCTATCTGATTGATTTTTAGATAACCAAATATTTAATCAACCAATCAACCTTACAGAGCTTCTGGATTCAAACTGTGTTCCTAATGGTGGAGCTATTGGAAATCTAACCAACTGATAAGTGAAATGATACCGTTTATTAGGCAGTCCAGTACAGTGGAAGGTACATTGAATTCAGGGTTAGACGAGTGAATCTGAAACCGAGTTCTGCCTCTTGTGGCTGTGTAACCTTGAGCAAGTCACTTAACCTTTGGGCTTCAATTTCCTAGATGATCTCCAGAGTCTCTAAATCACCAACATTCGAGAATGCTGTGAAATTTTTGCTTCATTTTATTAAATTATTTTATATTTAGAATTGTGGGACTTTTGAACAGAAAGAGTAGTCCTGAATCCACGTGCACAACAGAACCACCCTGAAATACAACAGTTCCCTGGTTCCATCCCAGAGACTTTCTTCAGGGGTTAAGGACAGGTCCAGCATCTGTCCTTTCAAAGAAAGTGAATCTAGTATAACCTTTCCACAGCCTCCTTGAAGTTTAAGTCCTTATAAGTGCCTCGAAGACCCTACCCGACGTGGATCCTGGCGACCTTGCTGAGCCCACCCTCACTGCTCCAGCCGCACCAGCCTCCTCATTGTCTCTCCAGGATATCCAACATTGTTAGCCAGTAGCTGTTCCCTCTGCCTGTTGTGCAGCTTCATCAGTACTTGCAAGGCTAACTTCCTCACCTCCTTCAAGTCTCTGCTCAAACGTTTCCTACTCAGTGATGCCTATTCCCAACCCGTGTTTGAAATTGCAACCCACATAGCTCTATTGTTCCTCTACCACTCCTGATTCCCCTTAGCCTGCTATTTTTCTTATTTCATAGCACATATCACCTTTCAACTTATTATATAATTAACTCACTTACTATTATGTTTATTGTCTGCCTTCTCCCACTAGAATATTGGCTCTACAAAGGCAGGGGTTTGGGGGCTTCTTATTCACTGATGGATCCCATACTTTTGGAACAGTGCCTAGGACATGGTAGGTGCTCAAATATTTGTTGAATTTATGAATGAATAATTTTCTCCCATTTCTTTGTCTTTTGCCTTTCTCTTAACTGTTATTACCCAAAATGGAAGGGGTTATTTTATTTGTTTGTTTTTAATAGAGTTTTATGCTCTGTGTTTTTAGTTTTTAAAGTCAGTGAATGCCTTTGATTACATCATGGTAGTCTTTTGGTAATGTACATCAGAAAAAGCCAGAATAATAAAATATAATAATTTGTACAAAGTTGTTGGTAGCAATGTTGTCTACAATAATGAAACTAGAGATAATTCAACCATCAAACACTTAGGGAATGGCTCAACAAATCACATATAAATATTACTATTTATAGTAATATAAAACCTAACAAAACAATGTTAGGTTAAAAATAGATACGTACATAGATTGATTACAAATATAGACAATGTATGAACATATCTTGAGGTTCATAAGTGAGTATAAAGTGGTGTAGACAAGAAACGACAAATTTATTTTTCTGAAAAACAGTTTCAGTGCATAAAAACCATGTAAATGAGTAAGTGTAATATTTCCTAATTCTCTCCACAAAAAGTATTTAGGTAACTCTATTTCCTTTTATGGATTTCCATTGATTTTTTTTTCCTTTGGACAGAAGGTAAAAGATGGAAAATAAATTTAAAAGGGAGAGAATCAGAGATAGGTGGAGACAGAGAAACGAATGCCTACACATTTGTAAAGGAAACCTCACAGAACCAGACACCCAGAGAGGAAAAAAGAAAGAGAGACAAAGAAAGCCATGGGAAGCCACTTTCATGGTGAAATAGTCCTACCAAGTGAGTTTACGGAGACAGCTCTTTCAAGACAGTAAAAATAAGTTGTATTTTAAACTATAGGTGCATCACTTCTTGGACCTTTTGCCATAGGCCAAGTGAAACTAAGGAGAGGATTTGGCCCATAGAACGGTTTTCTCTTGCCAGTTGTAGAAAATGCAAACAGAGAATGTGTAGGAGGAGAGTCAGCCAACATCTGACTTCCTTAGGTCAACATCATGAAACTTGGAGGCCACCGAGTGCTGGGTCCTGAGTCTGCATAGTACAAAAGTGATCTGTCCTTCCTGTTAACAAGCACCCCACAGGGAGGGGCTGGATTAGCCCTGCAGAGAGACTCCAGAATGCTACTCACCTCCAGAACTTTGGACCCCAATAATCAGGCTAGGAGAGATGGAACATTCATTTCCTAAAGTCTTACAAATATATTTCACAAAAGCATCAGACATAAAAGGATATAGAAATGAAACACAAGGTGCAGTCCTACTCCAAAGGAACTTACAGAGCAATCAGGCAGACAGGACTTACACATGAAAATATAGTACAATCCATGAGTGTCAAGGGGCCAGAACAAAGATGAGTGGTATTGTCAATTCTTTTATAGTAGTTATGGTCATTGGGAAGGGAAGAAGGCGGCATCTCAGTTGGGCCTCAACAAGAACTTTTCAATCACAGGAACAGCATGAACAAAGGCACAGAGGCAGAACTAAACTTGGTGGCACCAGAAGGCAGTGAGCAGACAGGGTAACTAGACAGTGTCTCCTTAGGCAGGGATGATAACACTGGAAGAAGAAAAAAGAAATGAAGGTGGAAGACTCTGAAACAACTTCTCTATTTAATGGAAGTCACTGTAGGTTCTACCGCCCTTAAGGAAACATTCTGTGTGAAAATCTAGATTTAGAAAACAAATCCATTGTCTTGCAAAAAATATTGTTGTTTGCCAAATGATTAACATGAATACTTTTTTTTTTTTTTTTGAGACAGAGTCTCATTCTGTCACCCAGGCTTGAGTACAGTGGTGCGATCTCGGCTCACTGCAACCTCCGCCTCCCAGGTTCAAGTGATTCTCCCGCCTCAGCCTCCCAAATAGCTGGGAATACAGGTGCATGCCACCACACCTGGCTAATTTTTTTATATTTTTAGTAGAGATGGGTTTAACCATGTTGACCAGGCTGTTCTTGAACTCCTGACCTCAGGTGCTCTGCCTGCCTCAGCCTCCTAAAGTGCTGGGATTACAGGCATGAGCCACTGCGCCCAGCCTCCATGAATACTCTCACATAGCACTTTGAGGTTTTTAGGTATTCTTAGTCAAGGTACAAAAAAAAAAAAAAAAAAAACTAAGGGTACAAATTATTAATTCATACCAATTTTTTTTTAACATTTACAATCTATAAAGCAAGGCACAAGGCACATCTGTTTCTAAATGAGTGTGAGCTTTCCTAAATGTCTCATGGGCAATTTTTTAAAGTTCAGGTTTCTAAGCAGGCCCTCTCCTGCCTGCATGCACACCTTGCTAGGCATATCATCCATTCCAGAAGATGTCATTACACTAATATGATGCTAAATTCATCCATTCATTCAGTAAATGCTTACTGAGTGGCTACCGTGTATCACATGCTAACTAAGCACTGAGAAACAAGACAGAAACAGTCCCTATTTCTATGGAGTTTGGGATATTAGGGGGAGTTGGAAGGACAAACAAAGTCTCTGGTAGTGATGAAGGTTATATAGGGATTTAAAATATGTTGATGTGATAGAGTGAGACTGGGGTAGGACAATGAAAGTTTTCTCAGAGGACGTGAATTTAAGCTAAGATTCCCAGAAAACTTTATCAAAGGGAATATCATTCTTTTTCCATCCATCCATCCACCCAGCCAGCCAGCCATGATGCCATGAGAACATGGTTTGAGCACCACCACTGTGCCAGGTGCTGTGAGGGATACGAAGAAGTAAAAGACTTAGTCTTTGCCCTCAGACAATTCAGTTAGGAACACAGACATACACACAAGAGAATTGCGTTAACATTTGCTTTGAAAAATTAATCCAAGCCCAGAGAGAAAGATCACTGTGGGTGGAAATTATCCGGGAGATGCCACTGAGGAGACAGAGTATAGCTCTTGGAAGAAAGGGCAGTATTTGAATAAGTGGGAAAGAGGACATTCCAGAGAGAATAATGTGCTTAAGGCCTAGAGGTGGGAACACTTGCTAAATGCTTGAAGAACAAAGAGGCAGATGACTCAAAAAGGTTTGTGGTATGGAAGAAGAGAATAACATGATTTTGGCTGACAAGGGAGACTATGACCAGGGAGCCAAATGCCAGACTAAGCAGTTTGGCTAAATTCTAGTCATTAGAAATCACTGATGTTTTCAATAAGACTGTAACTTTAAAATACAGCTGACCCTTGAACAACACAGTGTTAGGGGCACCAACTGCTACACAGTCGAAAATCCACATGTTACTTTTGACTCCTCAAAAACTTTAACTACAGGCCAGGCACATTGGCTCTAACCTGTAATCCCAGCACTTTGGAAGCCCAAGGTGGGCGGATCACTTGAGGCCACTTTCACATGGTGAAACCCCATCTCTACTAAAAATAAAAATTAGCCAGGCATGGTGGCACACCCCTGTAGTCCCAGCTACACAGGAGAATCGCTTGAACCTGGGAGGCAGAGGTTACAGTGAGCCTAGATCACACCACTGCACTCCAGCCTGGGCAAGAGAGCGAGACTCTGTCTCAAAAAAAAAAAAAATTACTAATAACCTACTATTGACCAGAAGCCTTACAGATAACATAAACAGTCAATTAACACATATTTTACATGTTATATGTAGTATATACTATAGTCTTACAATAAAGTAAGCTAGAGAAAAGAAAATGTTATTAAGAAAAACATGAGAAAAAGAAAATATATTTACTATTCATTAAGTGAAAATGGATCATCATTAAGGTCTTCATTCTTTTCATCTTCATGTTAAGTAAGCTGAGGAGGAAGAGGAGGAGGGGTTGATCTTGCTGTTTCAGGGATTGCAGAGGCAGAAGAAAATCCACATGAAAGTGAACCCACACAGTTCAAACTCATGGTGTTCAAGAGTCAACTGTACTATTTTACTGAAATGAATCCAGTTGCATATTCAAGAAGGACTGGTGAAGCAAGTCAGGAATGAAGATCAGTAAGGATCTATAATAACCCAGGAATGGGATAATAGGGATTGTTCTGTACTGAATTGTGGCCTCCCAAAATTTGTATTTTGAAGCCTAACCCCCAGTGTGGCTATATTTGGAGACAGGGCCTTTTAGGAGGTCACTAAGGTTACGAGGTCATAAGGGTGGGGCCCTAATCCAATAAGACTGGTGTCCCTATAAGAAGAAGAGACAGCAGAGATTGCCCACTCTCTCCTGCATGCACACAGAGAAAAGACCACACAGAGAGAATGCACCACCTGCAAGTTGAGGAGGGAGGCCTCACCAGACACCTACCCTGCTGGCACCTTTACCTGAGACTTCTAGGCTCCAGAATTGTGAGAAAATAAGTTTCTGTTGTTTAAGTCACCTAGTCTGTGCTATTTTATTATGGCGGCCCTAGCAAATACAGAGACATTGAGTAGATGGAATTTGTAAAAACAGAAAAAAAGGGTGGGGAGGGGAATTCCATGGACCTTACTGAAAACGAATCCTTAGGATCTGGTGCCTGATTAGATAAGGAGCCAGGGAGCCAGTGATATCAAAACTGATGGCAAAATTTCCAGGTTAGATGTCTAGGACAAAATGCAAATGAGATTGGGGAGCACTTCCAGGAGAAATAAGCTTTGTCTATCAAGGGAATTCTTCATCTGGATTTGCACTTTCTGGGACCCAGAATCTTGAGTCTAGAAACCAGAAAGTGTCCACCCAAAGCCAGTGCTGACACTGAACTCTCCCCAGAACATGATTAGAATGTGAGAGACATGAGGCCAGCAACCTCTTTTGTGTTTGCTGCTGGATCTCTAGTACTTGGAACGAGAAATGGTACATGTTCAATATTTGCTGAACCAATAATGAGCCTTTATGAGGAGGACAGATAGATATGTCAGCCTTCAGGTCCTCTTTACTGACAAACGCACCATCGCCCTTTTCCAGGGTGGCTAAGTAAACAGTTTCTGCCAAGACTTCCTTGGGCTTCCCCACAGTCAGGCCTACGCAGTGATGCTAGTTTTTTGCTCCATGTCTGGATTGCTAAAGTCAGCCTTTTGATACTCTTGCTTCAAGAACTGCTTTTGAGCCCTGGGATCTTATTTCTTAACTAGCTTAAGGTGCCTCGAGGCTGCAGCTCTGCCTGAAGGCCCTGCTTCTTTAGTACCTTCTGCAGTTCTGGTTTCTTAATCTTCTTACACTGTGGCTGCTAGGGCTGTGAAAGGAGGTGCTCTGGAAGCTTGTGGCAGAAAGTCTCTCCCTTCTTGGGGTTTGACATTTGCTCTGCAGCATGGCACTTCCCATGTCACACCATTAAACATCTCCAAGGCAACAGTCACTGGGGGCATGACTGATTACTTCTTCATACCTCATATTTGAGGCTTATAATATCATAGACAGAAATAGATTCAGTAAGATGTGAGAGAGCTTTCCAGGGTACTTGACACTAGTGGCTATCAAACTTTAGCATATACCAAAACTGCCTAAACACAGACTGCGAGGCCTGAGAATTTGCACTTCTACATAATTCCCAGGTGATGTTAATGCTACTTACTCAGGGATCACACTTTGAAAACTACTTCTGTACACGTAGTAAGATATTGCAAAACAAAAACAATGACAAAGAACAGAACAAAACAAAACAAAATTTTTTAAAAAAAAGCCCTTCACCTGTGATGTTTCATTTTCTGAAACAAAATATAAGGTTGTGAATTTTAGGATGTCTGCAAGCCTCACAAAACCAAGGACTTCTAAGGACAGGTTTTCAATAGTCCCCTTTACCTTTTCTGAGATGTGGGAGTGGGGCTAGGGGAAGGAGAGGCTTATTTGTAGAAGTAAACTTAATGTTTAAATACACACCAGCAAATTTTTATTTGCAAATTTTTATTCGTGATCCTATCCAAAAGGTTGCCATTTCTGAAAATGCTGTTCTATTTGAAGATGTCTTCTGGGACATTTTTTTTTCTCCATTCTTCTTCTACAACTTAAAACTATGGATATTCCAAATAAATTTGTGAGAACTATACTGCATTGTTTCTGGTTTTTGTTGCAGAATTGTCTGTTTTCCCATAGTGATCCCTATGTCTTATTCGTCTTTTCCCACACACCCACTTCAAATAGGGCTAATGTGACTTTAATGATATAAATTTCCAGTACAGTACTTGCTTTTCTTTTTCTTTTTTTTTTTTACTATATAGAGTTTAAACCTGAGAAGACAAAAGTCCCATTATGTTTTAAGAACAATAAATAAAGTTCTAGGAAGCAGAGGTCTGGAGGACAGGGCAGGGGGAGATAGTGTAAATTCAATCCAGTTTAAGTACACAAAACAGATACAATTATTTTCAAAATACTGGCAGAAAAATAATAACAATGGCTGCCACTTCGGAGGTAGCTTACTATGTAACAGTCTTATACTTTACATGTTTATCTCTATATACTTCTCTTGTGTTTTTACCCTTTAGATATGAAATCTTTCAACATCTCCTTTCTGTTTACCACTAACCTGAACACCCACCTGGCTTGGCTAGGTAATTACTTGCTTTCTCCTGAGCATGAAGTCATCAAACTTTTACAGGTTATAAATATCCTACATAGGCCTCTAAAAAAGAAATATGGCTAATGCTACATGTACTGCATTTCTCATGGAGATCTAAAAGACAAGGTTAAGATCCTTCATAACGGGGGATCTGATCTTTTCGAAATCACCAACATAAACATCAACTTTAAAAGAAAAGAAATAAACCTCAACTCTTTAGACTTTTAAAGTGAAAGTGACATGTTAGGTGATACATGTTATGAGAATTGTTTTTTGTTATTAAATTAAGAAATCAAGCTAGTATTTAAGATTTTCCTTCTCCTAACACTTTTGTGAGAGAGAAGTATATACATTTATAAGTCACTTGAAGTACTAAATTACAGAAAATTCTGTAAGGAACTCAAATCCCTTACATACTCGTACGATTCAGATGGCATGAATTTTCACACTGATTACATTTTTAATAGCCTCTGTTTCCCACTGTATGTTCGAGTGAGTATAAAGCAATGATGTTAGAGATGCCACATCTGCAAGTAATTCTCACTTTTAAGAAATGGTGGAAGCAAGCCTTGAGTGGCTGTTCTTAGAACTCCAGCTATAAGGGACTTAGAAACTCCCCTGGAAAGGTCTGAGAGCCATTTCGTAGCCTAAATCCTGTATCAAAAAGTCACATTAGCCCTATTTGAAGTGGGTGTGTGGGAAAAGACGAATAAGACATAGGGATCACTATGGGAAAACAGACAATTCTGCAACAAAAACCAGAAACAATGCAGTATAGTTCTCACAAATTTATTTGGAATATCCATAGTTTTAAGTTGTAGAAGAAGAATGGAGAAAAAAAAATGTCCCAGAAGACATCTTCAAATAGAACAGCATTTTCAGAAATGGCAACCTTTTGGATAGGATCATGAATAAAAATTTGCAACATGGACTTCTGATGAATAATCAGGGACCAAATTTACCCTCCTTCCATTAACAACTAGAAAATCAGATAAAATGTGTGAAATAACTATTATCAGACATTGAAAAATAGGTGGCTCAGGACTATAATTCATAAGAGAAGGGAAACAGATGGAATATACAATATGACTACCCCAGCTTTCACCGTGGAGGCAAATTCAATGTCTCATAGAAGGAAAGGAGTTCAAGGCAGAGCACAGTGGTTTCACCGATGTGAGAAGACCAAAATCATGGCTCAGACAGGCTTTTGTAGCTGGGATTTATGGGGCAGTATTTCAGAAAGAAGGAAATACTTATGAAAGAAACATAGAGGGGCACTTGAGAGTTTAGTAGGTACTAAAATATGTATGAGTAGGGTGAAATTCCTTAGACCAGAAACAGAGTGACTGAAAAGCTGTAAGCAAACAGTTTACAGAGCTCACACAGAACTAGGAGCTATCCAAGTTCTACCAGCCAAAAAGGATTGTCTTTCTTGGTCACTCAGGGCATTCAGTAGAGAATCCAGTTGGGTCATACCTTAATAAAAATATTAAAGAATCCCTAGAGAAAATACTGCAGACCTACCTTTAAAAGCTCAAAAACAAACCTTGAAAGGATTAAATGGAACCAAAATTAACTTGTGTACCAAAACAAAATCCAACACTCATTAAAGAAAGACAACAAAACTTAGACATTCACAATGTCTAGCATATAATCAAAATCACTAGATATCCCAAGAAGCAGGAAAATGTGACTAATAATCAAAAGGAAAATCAATAGAAACAGAAATGACAGAAATTCGCAGACAAGAACATCAAAACAACTGTTATAATTATTGTCCAAGTATTGAAAAAAAACAAGCATTGTGAGAAGAGAAATGGAAAATATTAAAAAAGAATCAAATAGAACTTCTAGAAATGAAAAATACAAGTTCTGAAATGAAATGGTCACTGGATGGAACTAAAAGCAGATTAGACACAACAGAAGAAAAGATCAGTGAACTCAAAGACATGCTAATTAATTAACCAGGAGCTGGATTTTGAAAAGATTAACTAAATTGATAGACCGCTAGCCAGACTAATAAAGAAGAAAAGAGAGAAGAATCAAAGAGACACGATAAAAATGATAAAGGGGATAAAAGCTTATGTTAGAACAGAAAATGGGTCCAAATCCAATAATCTAAGATTCTACCTTAAGAAACTAGGGGAAAAAAAAAACAAATTAAATCTAAACTAAAAAGAAAGAAGGATATGGTAAGTATAGAAACAGAAATTAATACATAGTAAATAGGTAAACAATAGACAAATGCAATAAACAAAAAAGCTGGGCAAGATGTGGTGGCTCACACCTGTACTCCCAGCACTTTAGGAGGCCAAGGTGGGTGGATCACTTGAGGTCAGGAGTTCAAGACCAGCCTGTCCAACATGGTGAAACCCCGACTCTACTAAAAAAAAAAAATTTAAATTAGCCAGGCATGGTGGTGGATGCCTGTAATCCCAGCTACTTGGGAGGGTGAGGCAGGAGAATAACTTGAACCAGGAGATGAAAGTTGAAGTGAGCCGAGATCATGCCACTGCCCTCCAGCCTGGGCAACAGAGTGAGACTCAATCTCAAAAAAAAAAAAAAAAAAAAAGTTTTTTTTAAAGGTCAGTACAATAGATAAACCTCTAGCAAGACTGCTCAATAAACAAAGATAAAAATACATCAATTAGTGTTATCAAGACCCTAAACTATTAATAGGAATAATAAGGGAATATTAGAAACAAATTTATGTCAACAGATTCACAGTTTAGATAGACATTTCCCTAGAAATATCCAAAAATATCCAAAGAAATACTCAAGAAGAAATATTTTAAAATCTAGATTTCCCTCTACTAAAGAAGTTGAATTTGTGTTTAACAGCCTGCTCACAAAGAAAACTCCAATCCTAGAAACATTCTCAGGTGAAGTCTACAAAATATATAAAGAAGAAATAATACTAACCCTACACAAACATTTCCATAAAATTGAGCGTAGGAAGCCCTTCACAGCTCATGTTATAAGGCCATCATTATCCAAATACCAAAGACAAGGAAAAAAAGATTTTGCAAAAAAGGAAAAGTGCAGATAAAAATACCCCTAAACATAGACACAAAAATCTTTAACACAATTGAGCAAACCAAACCTCCAGAAATAGAATAAAAAGGTAGTACACCATGACCAAGCGGTTTTTATCCCAAAAACACAAAGTTAGTTTCACATTCAAAAATCAATCAATGTGCAAAAGAATGAAATTTTATTTTTACCTCATCCCATGTACAAACTAACCATAAAACATGTTAAAACTAAACTTAAAAGCTAAAACTATAAAACTCTCAGAAGAAAACACAGGAACAAATTTTCATGACCTTGGATTTGACAATAGTTTCTTAAATATGATACCAAAAGCACAAGCCACAAAAGAAAAACTAAACTGGACTTCATCAAAATTAAAAAGTTTTTGTACATCAAATGACACTATCAAGAGAGTAACAACACAATGCAAAGAATGGGAGAAAATATTTGCAAATCATATATTCGGTATGGGTCAAGTATCTAGTGTATACTAAAAAGAAAACTCTTATAACTCAACTACAAAAAACTGAACAATCCAATTCAAAAAGAGACAAAGAACTTGAATAGACATTTGTACAAAGAAGATATACAAGTGGCCAAAGAGCACATGAAAAGACGCTCAACATCATTTGTCACTAGAGAAATACAATTCAAAACTCCAATGAATTGAAAACTACAGTTGACCTTTGAACAACGGGTTTCAACTTTGTGGGTCCACTTACACGCAGATTTTCTTCTGCCTCTGCCACCCCTAAGATAACAAGATCACCTCTCCTCTTCCTTGTCCTCTGTTTACTCAACATGAAGACGACAGGAATGAAGACCTTTATGATGATCCACTTTCACATAATGAATAGTAAATATATTTTCCCTCCCTTATGATTTTCTTAATAACATCTTCTTTTCTCTATACTTTATCATAAGACTATAGTATATAATATATATAACATGCAAAATATGTGTTAATTGACTTTTTGTTATTGGGAAGGCTTCTGGTCAACAATAGGCTATTGGTCTCAAGTTTTTAGGAAGTTCAAAGTTATATATTGATTTCTTTTTTTACTGTGCAGGGGGTCAGCATCCCTTACCCCCACAGTGTTCAAGGGTCAACTGTAAAATGAATGTAAATAAAGTCAAAACTACAGTGAAATGTCCCTTCAAATCTGCTAGGATGGCTATAATTGAAAAAAAAAAGTGTTGGCAATGATATGGGGAAACTGCAACCCTTAAACATTGCTGTTGGGAAAGTAAAATGGTAGAATGCTATGGCTTGAACGCATCCCCCCAAAATTCATGTGTTGGAAAATTGATGCTTAATGCAACTGTATTGGCGGGGGGCCTAATGGCAGGTATTTGCCCTCATGAATGGATTCATGCCATTATATAAACGACTTGAGGCTAAGTTCGATCTCTCTTGTACTCTTGCCCTTCTGCCTTCTGCCATGTGAGGGCATGTGTTTCCTCTTCTCTGGAGTATATAGTAAGAAGGCCCTCAATGGATGCAGGCACCTTGATCTTGGAGTTCCCAGCCTCCTGAACTGAGAGAAAATAAATTTCTATTCTCTTAAATTACCCAGCCTCAGGTATTCTGTTATAGCAGCACAAACTAAAACATAATGCCAGTGTGGAGAACAGTTTGGCAGTTCCTAAAAGGTAAAGAGAGTTACCATATGACTCAGCAATTCCACTCCCAGGCTTATACCCCAAAGAACTGACAACAGGTATTCAAACAATAACTTGTACTTAAATGTTTAATAGCAGCACTATTTACAATAGTCAAAAGGTAGAAGTAGTTCAAATGTTCATCAACAGATGACTGAATACACAAAATGTGGTATATCCATACAATGGAATATTATTCAGCCATTTAAAAAAATGAAGCACCAATACACACTATCACATGAATGAACCTTTAAAAAATGCTAAGTGAACGAAGCCAGACACAAAGGCCACTATTATGATTCCATTTATATGAAATATCTAGAATAGGCAAATCCAGAGACAGAGAGCAGGTGCTTGCCAGGGGCTGGGGAATGTAAAGGGGCTGGGGAATGTAAAGTGACTGCCGAATGGTCATGGGGTTTCTTTTTGGAGTGATTAAAAAAATTCCGGAACTTGATAGGGGTGATGGTTGCACAACATTGTGCACATACTTAATACTACTTAATTGTACACTTTAAAATTGTTACAAATCTGAATTTCATGTTATGGGTATTTTACCACAATAAAAAAGTCAATGTGATTCACCATTGTAAAAGAACAAAGGAAAAAACAAACATCATTTCGATAGGTGTAATAAAATCTTTTGACAATTCACTTCTTATTTACAATAAGAATTCTCAATAAGTAAGTCAAGAAAGGAAACTTTTTTTAACCTGATAAAAAGCCTATGCAAAAACCCTACAGTAAGCCTCATACTTAAAAGATTGAATGCCTTTTCCCTAAGATCAGGAACAAGACACAGGTGTGCACTATCACCAAAGCTACACTGGGGGCTCTAGCCAATAAAATAAAGCAAGAAAAAGAAGTAAAAGATACAATCTGGGAAAGAGGAAGTAGAATTCTGTTTATTCACAGACAACATAATTGTACACATAGAAAATGCTAAAGGCTATGAAAACAGCTGCTAGAACTAATAAGTGAGTATAATAAAATCACAGGATACAAGGTCAATAAACAAAAGTCAATTGTATTCTATATACCAGCAATGAACCATTGGAAATTGAAATACAAAATACTACTTACAATAATATTAAAAAGCATAAAATTTTTCTGTAGACCTTCACACTGAAAGCTATAAAACACTGATAGAGAAATTTAAAAGTCTAATTAAATAGAGATATACAATGTTCTTGTATCAGAAAGCTCCTTATTGCTGAGATGTCAGTTCCCCCTAAATTGATCTATAGATTCAATACAATCTCAATCAAAACCCAACAGGTTTATATCTGTAAAAATTGACAAAATGATTAGAAAAATTATGTAGAAATGCAATTGACCTAGAATAATCAAATGAATTTTGAAAAAGAACAAAGAAGACAAACAGTGCCTGATTTTAAAATTTAGTACAAAGCCACAGTAAACAATACAGAGCGGTATTGGCATAAGGACAAACAAATAGATCAATGGAATAAAATAGTGTCCAGATACAGACCCACGCATATAGGGTCAATTAATTTTCAGTAAAACTACCAAAGTAACTTAATTTGGAAAGTATAGTCTTTTCAACAAATGGTGGTGGAATGACTGAGTATCCAAATGCATAAACAAAACAAGCAAAAAAACAAAATCCTTCCACCCTTACTTTACACCATACATGAATATTAACTTGAAATGGATCGTAGAATTTAAGAAGGAAGCTTCTAGAAGTAAACATAGGAAAAAATCTTTGTGAAATTGAGGTAGGCAAAGATTTCTTTAAAAGAATGTAAAAGGCATGAACTAGAAAAGAAAAACATGATAAATTGCAATTCATTGAAAATGTAAAAGTCTGCTCTTTTAAAGATATCTTCAAGAAAATAAAAAGGCAAGCCACAGACTGGGAGAAATATACATCCAATGACTTGTATCTGGAATATATTTTTAAAAGTCTTACAAGTCAATAATCAGAAGTCAAACAACCCAATTTTAAAAATTGGGCAAAATATTTAGAGCAGATACTTCATAATACAAGAAATAAAAATGGTCAGTAATCATATAAAAAAGACTCAGCATCAATTAGTCATCAGTGAAGTGCAAATAAAACCACAATGAGATACCAGCATACAGCCACTAAAATGGCTAAAATGAAAAAGACTGACAATACCAAGTGTTAGCAAGATATAGAACAACTGGAATTCTCGTACATTACTGATGGGAATGTAAATTACTACAATCTCTTTTAAGGACAGCAGTCTCTAATATTTTCTTATTAAAAACATACACTTACCATGGAAAGGTGGAATTTCATTTCTAGGCACTTACCCAAGAGAAATAAGAACATAATGGAAAATGGCCAAAGGCTTATCTATGGACGTTCATAGTAGCTTTTAAAATAATAGCCCCAAACTGGAAACAACCCAAATGTTCATTAGTAGGTGAGTAAATACACAAATTGTGGTACACCCATAAAATAGACTTCTACTCAAAGATGAAAAGTGACAAACTACTGATATACACAACAGCATGTATGAATCAAAATCCTTATACTGGGTGAAACAAGACAGACACAAAAAGTTATGTGTATGATCTTATTGACATGAAACTCTAAAACAGACAACTCTAGTCTAGTGGAATGGAAGGAAGACACTGGTTACTTGGGGTCTCTGGTGGGGGTTGGGAATTGGCTGGGAAGGAACACGTGACTCAGGCTGATAGAACTGGTCTATATCTAGACTGTGGTGGTGATTATGTGGACACATTACAAGATGACTTACTTTGTCAAAACTCATCAAACTGTACACTTTAAAATAGGAGTCCCCAACCCCTGGGCCATGGACCCATACCAGTCCGTGGCCTGTTGGGAACTGGGCCACATAGCAGGAGGTGAGCGGTAGGCCAAGCAAGCAAAGCTTCATCTCTATTTATAGCCACTGCCCCTCACTCACATTACCACTTGAACTCCGTCTCCTGTCAGATCAGTGGCAGCATTAGGTTCTCATAGAAGTGCGAACCCTACTGTGAACTGCGTATGCAACGGATCTAGGTTGCACACTCCTTATGAGAATCTAATGCCTGATGATCTGTCACTGTCTCCCATCACCCCCAGACAGGACCATCTAATTGCAGGAAAACAAGCTCAGGGCTCCCACTGATTCTACATTATGGTGAGTTGTATAATTATTTCATTATATATTACAATGTAATTATAATAGAAATAAAGTGCACAATAAATGTAATGTGCTTGAATCAACCCGAAACAATCCCCACCTTCGATCTGTGGAAATATTGTCTTCCACAAAATTGGTCCCTGGTGCCAAAAAGGTTGGGGACCGCTGCTTTAAAAGGTATATGTTTTGGCCGGGCACAGTGGCTCACGCCTGTAATCCCAACACTTTGGGAGGCCGAGACGGGTGGATCACGAGGTCAGGAGATTGAGACCATCCTGGCTAACACGGTGAAACCCCGTCTCTACTAAAAATACAAAAAAATTAGCCAGGTGTGGTGGCGGGCACCTGTAGTCCCAGCTACTCGGGAGGCTGAGGCAGGAGAATGGCATGAACCCGGGAGGCGGAGCTTGCAGTGAGCCAAGATCGCGCCACTGCACTCCAGCCTGGGCAACAGAGTGAGACTCCGTCTCAAAAAAAAAAAAAGATATGTTTTATTGTACATAAATATTATACGTCAATAAAATTCATTTTTAAAAAAACTTACATTTACCTCATGTTATGGACTGAAGTCTGTCCCCCAAAATTCCTAAGTTGAAGTCCTAACTGTCAATATGACTATATTTGAAGATAGGGCCTTGAGGGAGGTAATTAAGGTTAAATGAGGATAAAGGTGGGACCCTAATCCAATAGGACAGTATCCTTGTGGGAAGAGGAAGAGACACCATAGAGCTCTCTCCATACATGCACAGAGAAAAAGCCATGTGAGGACACAGCAAGAAAATGGCTGTGTGCCAGCTGGGAAGAAGGGCATCACCAGAAACCAACCCTGACAGCACCTTGATCTTGGACTTCTAACCTTCTGAACTGTGAGGAAATGAGTATCTGTTGTTTAAGCCACCCAGTGTGTGGTATTTTGTTATGGTAGCTGAAGCCGACTGATATACTGGACCACCAAGCATAAGATAATAAATTCACCATCCCTTACGAATCATATTATTCTTGGGCCTACTTTGTCTTCAGCCAATTAAAACTTTCCTAGAGCATATACTGAGAGACAGAGGTTGTTTTAATTCTGCAAGGGAAGGCCTCGGCCAACAGTTCACACAACCAGTTCATATGCTAGAGCCAAAGTGATGAGGAGAACACAACTTTTAGGTCTAAAAAAGCCATGATTGACACCAGTCAGACCTTACCAGGGCCAAGTGAAAGGAAGAGACAGGAGCACCTCCATCACACTCATCTGTGTGTCAGATCAGATTTCAGTGAAGCAATTGCTTTCTCTTGGCTTCTCATTGAGCCTCACTTAGTACTGGCCGCTAAACTATAGACTGTAGACGTCCTTTTCTCTTCTATTATCCCATTTATCAAATAAATTCTGCAACAGATGACTGCATTGGTTCTCATCTTTCCACTAATTATGATTCATTTATTAAGAGTAACATTTTTCAGCTAACAAACTAGATCTACCCCTCTCCTTTAGAGCTATCTTAGTGGCACTCCAAGTTTGGTTATGAAGAAAGGCTTCCAGAGGGAAAGCAGCCTTTATTTTGACCATGGCATGTTAAACTGTTGCAGTCAAGGACTGGCCTTAGAACTCCCTGGAAGGTTTGCCCCTCCAGGGAAACCAAAGGGCATTTTGGCACTCAAGAACAAAGCCAGACCACAATCACCCTTGATAACAACCAGGTCAGCTGACTCAACTCATGGAGAAGAATTAATAAGAACATGGGCAAAGGACAGGCACCAGGTGGCAAGCCCGACCAATGGGCTGATGGTAACAACTCACACCGTGTTAGTGCTAGAAGGGGCCTTAGAGATATTCTAATGTCACCCTAGATCTTTTCTCCCTCCATATTCCATCTGCCTGCAAATCCTGTTAGGTCCACTTACAAAACTGATTCAGAATCTGACCATTTTTTGCCATCTTCACTGCTACCATTCTGGTCTAAGCTGCCAAAACCTCTTGCCTGGATGACTGATGGTCTCCTAGCTTCACCTGGCTTCCCTCAGGCTATTCTCCATAAGCAGCCAGGGTGAGCCTCCTACAAACTGTCAGACCCCCCACTTCCCATCTGACCTGGTCTTTATAGCCGACCACAGTCCCTGAGCAGCCTGGCTCTCCACAACCTCTCTGCCCTCAGCTCCTGCTGCCCCTCCTGCTCACTTCCTCCTGCTCCAGCAGCCTCCTTGCTGCACCATGGGCATGCCGACATGCTCCTTCAGGGCCTTTGCACCCACTATCCCTCCCACTTGAAATATTCTTTCACAAATATCCAAAAAATTTCACAAATATCACTCCCCACTTCCTTCAGGCTTCAGCTCAGATATTACATTATCAGGGAGGCATTCTCTGACCATGCTATTTACTATGGCAATGTTCCCCACCCCATCCTGGACAGTTATTATTGCTCTTTCCTGCTTTATCTTTCTTTCTGGTGCTCACCACATCTGACACTTGCATCCTTTCTCCTCTCCCTCTTCTTCCCTTTCCTCTCCTTCTCCTCCTCTCCTTTCCTTCTTGACTTTATCCCAACACTTGAAGGTAAGCCTCAAGAGAAGATCTTTGTCTGGCATATATTAGATGCTCACTAATTATGTGTTGCATGAATAATAGAAATATGTCCTTTAAGGATGACAAGTCAGAGTGGGGAAGCAAGTGTCCTAGGCCGCCTGTGTCCTCCCCTGCTGCTCACAGCTCTCATTGCCTTCCAGATTTCAAGCCTGGGGAAGAGGGGGTGTGAATGACAGCAGTGCTTGCTGTAGTGCAGAGAAAAACCCTGCAGACTGGGCAAATCCCTAGAAAGGCAGAGGGAAGGGCTTAGGGGAGAAAGAGAAGACCAACTACACCTGGGCCAAAGCAAGAGGCCATCTAGGTGTTTGAGACAGGCAGGAGCAGATAATGTGGTGGTCCCCAGCCTCTTCTCCCTTCCCCCACTGAGGGCTATGCTTTACCCTCAGACTTACTCATCAGGGTACCAGCTGAACTGGTACGGAAGCAAGATATTGATTCTCTAAGCCTTCAGGTCACCCATTCAGCATTTGGAGCAGACACAGAGCCTTGTCCACTGACTCAAATGTCCTAGACAATATTACATTGTCCTCTGTGTGTTGTGATGCACAGGGTTGAAATACACTGCTTTATCCTTCCTTCTACTCCCTTCACTATTTCCTCCCACTCCTTCCTTCCTACTTATTTTCCTCTTGTGCAATCCTTGCAGCCGTGAGATCTTTTCTGCAGTTGCAGAGATCAGTGGGTGAGCTGTGGTCTTTCCGACAGAAGTTATTCTCATGATATGAGTGACAGCACATTGAGAACCCCCAGTGCATGCCGTATTTAAAGATCCAAAATGCCCTTCCTTAAACAGAAAAACTTACCCAAGAAAAGACAGATTGTGAAAATACTTCAGTAGCCATTGTCCCCCTGAAAATGCTACTCTGGAATAAAACTGGGTGTTTCCTCTTCAAGATGTGAAAATGAGTACTGCAAAACGATGCACTTTAAACAGGAATGCTGTTCAATGGCTGTTTGACAAAGATGTTCATAGTAAGCCCTTTATCAATATTATTCATCTCAACCTTCCTAATATCATTCCATCGAAAGCCAGGACAGGATCTAGAACTCCTCAACTTTCTAAAGTACTCTTAGGTTACTAAGAGGGTCTTTTGTGAAGTTTTCAAACAAAGATTTAATTAAAAGCTCTCTGAGCAAGTTAATTTTCCTATTTCAATTGCATGCTATTCCAACAAAGATGGTCTTGAATTTATTTTTTAATACTAACTGGAACTAGAAAATAGATGCTAAAACCCTAGAGAAGTCATGTTCTCCTACTCTTTAATCAGCCATGGCCTCTTAAACATGTATACAATGATAAAGAGCTGGTGATAAATACATTTATTAAGCCACTTACTTTCTTAGTAATGTCCTGACCTTAGTAACACCCTTCATAAGTTTCACTCAAAAGGAGTAATATTTACAATGGAGAATATTGGCTGGCCACGTATGCTAGATGGTTGCTTTTTCATTTGTTTATGCCTCAGTGTAATTGTCTTAATCTTCTAGGGAAAAGTTTAAAAATTCTTTCGAAGATGAAAACCAAGGCTGGAGTCAGACAACACCAGGGTCAGGGAATGCACACCTTGGTATGGGTAGGAGAAAGTAGACTGCTTGAGAGATAGAAGCTCTGGATTCTAGTCCCCTCTTTGCCATTTTTGCCATATTTCATCAAATCTAAAATACCACTAATTGTAGGGAATGCCATCACTTTATGTATCACTAAGAAAAGAATGCTGCCCATCAAACAATGACAGTCCTACAAGATATGAAAATTGCTCCCACTGGCCGCTCACTGCTTTGATTTTTTTTTTCATCTATAGATTAGGCTATATCTCCTGGCTTCAGTTTAGTTACTTGACATGTAAGAGGTAACCCCTTTGCACATCTCTCAATATTGAAACATAAATCTAGCTGTAGGTACTTGTGGGTATCTTTTCTTCCTTAAAAGCACTTGGCTGCTACTTTGCAAAACAAACAAGCAAAGAAAACTGAAATTGCATCATCCCTCCAATGCCAAATATTTGCCTCATCAATATCAAATTTATCCCCATGCTCTATTTCCTTGACTCCCTGTGTAAACAATAACTTTTGTGTCAAGGCCAAATCATAGTGTAACCTTTGTGAAGTCATCTTAGCCAGCAAGTAAACTAAACACATGTATTATCAACCATGCACCTACTTCAACAAATGTTGAAAACATAAAAAGCTGAAACTGTGTACACTGTGTACATATTCATAGACAAATCCATTACAACCACTGCCTGGCTGACAGCAATTTATAAGAAGCTGTCCCACCAGCAGCAGTGATCACAGATTCAGACTTGTAATCAATTCACAAGACACAATAGGTTTTAATCTATCACTGCCTTTATTTAGCTTTCTAGTAGGAAACAGAATGGGAAACACAGCTTGCATAGTATCTGCTATCTCGTAGGAAGGCCCAGCAACTACCCACAGTTGCAGACTCTTGGCCTCCCCTCTGCGCACTATGGTGCACATAGTTGCCAAAGATGAAGGGTGTGGTTCACCCTACCCAGGAGAAACCACTGCTTTGGTTTCCTTCTGGATTCTTTCTTGCTCCAATCATGGAGGCCCAAGGCCACTGGGCAACTCATAGCTCTTCCAATCCTAATGCAGTCTCAGGAATCAATAGTTTTGCAATAATCAAGACAGATAATTCACCTCAGGTACACAGCAATCCAACTGCTGTGTTTCCAAGAAAAAGATGGCATGAGAAGGTAAGTCTGCAGTCATCTTCCCAGGCAGGTCAACGGGAAAAGGTTGCAGGCCTAACTCTCAGGTATTAACACATCCTGATTCCAGGGTCATTAAAATGGGAGAGGAAGAGGGTGCCTCTTAGAAAAACTGAAATGCTGCTTTTCCAAATCAATTTAACTGCCAATTCTCATTGTCTTAACTGTAACAAGGATAATAATTTTAAGGGGCTATTTAAGGGGATAGTCTCTTCTGTTCCTTTTGGCTGTACGATCTAATTAGGAACCTATGACTTTAATATGCGTAGGCTGTTGGAGCTTTAAAGTGGTAATGCAATTACTGCCATACTAACAAATACATGCTTCCTGGGCACACCAGGGAAGCCCTGGGAGCTTGTGTGGCAGAGCCTCTGGGTTGTCTGTGATGCTGGGACACAGGCTGGAATGCAGGACACTGGGTGTGAAGGGCTCCATGAGCTTCTGAAGCTGCAAATAATAATAGCCACCATTTTTGACACCTAGTCTGTACCAACCACTTTACATAGATTATCTCATTTAATCAGGACAATAACCCTGCAAGGGAAGTATTACTATTCCCATTTGACAGATGAGGAATACTACTGGCAAGCAATGGAGCTGGGATTAGCACCCAGGCAGTCTGCTTCAGAGTTGGTGCTCCTAACCCCTAGGTTTCCCATCTCTAACCCACAGCCACTCGGCTTCACATTACAGTCAATGCCATCAATAAAATTTGCTTGATGTAAGTAGTAACATTGGGCCGCTTTAAATATTACCCAGGGAATTCAGAAAAATAACAGTTTTGGGTTAGGAAATGGCAGGGGGTGGGGGGACAGGAGGAGATGGATGTGAGGTGAAGAGGAAGATGACTCCATAACATGGCTCAGTAACCTACAGGCCCCCTCCAATGAAAACAGCATGACTACATCTCAGGATGTGCTGTCTGACAGAGACAATGTGTTATGGGCTGAATTGTGTTCAACACAATTCTTAGGTTGAAGTCCTAACTCCCAGTACCTCAGAATGTAACTGTATTTGGAGATAGAGTCTTTAAAGAGGAATTAATTTTAAATGAGGTCATTAACATGGCTCCTAATCCAATATGACTGGTGTCTTTGTAAGAAGAGATTAGGGCATAGACACACAGAGGGAAGACCATATGAAGACAGAGGGAAAAGATGACCGTCTACAAGCCAAGAAGAGAGGTCCTCAGAATTAACCAATGCTGCTGATACCTTATAGTTCTGAGGCTTTTAGCCTCCAGAACTATAAAGAAGTCAATCTCGGTTGTGTGAGCTATCAGTCTTTAGTACTTTATTATGGCAGCTCTAGCAAACTAATACAGAGTGCTATGTATTTACCATTTTCTCTTTCTGGACACACTGAAAAGCATTTCCTTGTCTCCACGCATCAGGTTGAGGTCTGTGTGACTAGTTCTTACCAAAAGACTGTAAATACAAGAAATATGCTTCATTTCTGAGCCAAGGCATTTACAAGCAGGTGTTGATTCTCCACTGTCTCTGTTTCCTCCCCTGCCATAGGACCATCAAGACTGCATGTTCTAGATAGTGCAGTTACAAGATGGCAGAGCTCTGATAGCCTGGTGCCCTGAGTGCCTCTGTGGAGCAGGGCACTCTGCTAACCTGCTTTGGACATAAAATGTGAGTGACAAATAAATCTTTATATTTTATTTTTCATTTTTATTTTATTATTTTATTTTTATTTTTATTTTGAAAAATTTAAAGAAGGGTCTCACTATGTTGCCTAAGCTGGTCTTAAACTTCTGGCCTCAAGCAATCCTCCTGCCTCAGCCCCCTAAAGTGCTGGGATTATAGGTGTGAGCCATCATGCCCAGCCTCTTTCTATTTTTTAAGCTACTGAGGTTTCAGGGTTGATTTGTGGCTGCAGCATAGCCTAGCCACTTCTCACACATAAAGCTACCTCAGAAAAGCCAGGGTACCAAAAACAGATATTTTAGGAATTCATGTGATATTAGATAAAATCATACTAAGTTGTTGTTTTTGTAGGCAAAAAATGGTCAAATATGGACAGTTTCATTTGTGTGACCTCTAACTGCACATATTTGCAGACCCTTACGGTTGGAAAAGACCTTGGCAACCAACAAGTCCTACCATCCATAGTTTATAGACAATACTTCTGAGACCCTCTCAGATTAAATGATTTATCAAAACTCCAAAAACATGTTAGTGGAAGAATTGGACCCCAAATCAGAAATTACATTTCATTTAGGGAAGGCAAGTTAGCAGTATGTATTTAAAAGTATATATCTGGCCAGCACGGTGGCTCACACCTGTAATCCCAGTACTTTGGGAGGCTGAAGTGGGAGGATCACTTGAACTTAGGAGTTTGAGACCAGCTGGGGCAACACAGTGAGACTCTGTCTCTACAATAATTAAAAAATTAGCTGGGCATGGTGGCGCACGCCTATAGTCCCAGCTAATCCGGATGCTAAGGCAGGAGGACTGCTTGGATGGGGAGGTCAAGCCTGCAGTGAGCCAATAATGCACTACTCCCCTCCAGCCTGGACAACAGAGGGAGATTCTGTTTTTTTTTAAAAAAAAAAAGTATGTATTTAAATAGTAACCATGATCTTTCACATAATAATTCCACCCCTAGGAACAGATTCACCAGAAATATCTAAACAGGTATGCAGAAATATATAAATAAATGGATCCACTGTGTGATCTTTCACAAGTACTGTATGTGACTGTGAAAACTGAGAAATAATCCAAATGCCCATTCACAGGGATTGGTTAAATAAATTACGGTTTACCCATCTGCTCTCAAGCTTACAGAGTTAAAAATAAAGGAGTCAATCTCTTTGCTGACATGAAAAGACACCCAGATCATGTTGATGAAAGCAAGAAAGTCCAAGTAGAAAAAGAAAAGAAAATTATCACTCATAAAAGATTTTTAAATCTCTATGCACTGAGGTGTATAAAGCATCTGACACGTAGTAGGCACTTTTTGCCCTCCCCTTTTCTTCCTTCTTGCATGTCGCTTGGATCATTGTAAATACACCCAGCTGGCTGGTTCAGCTCCACCACCTACTAGCTGTGTCATCTAAGATGAGAAGTCTCAGCTCTCCCATTTGTAAAATTTAAAGAAATAGTAGCGCCCAGGCACAGTGGCTCATGCCTGTAATCCCAGCACTTTGGGAGGCCGAGGCGGGTGGATCATGAGGTCAGGAGTTCGAGACCAGCCTGACCAACATGGTGAAACCCTGTCTCTACTGAAAATACAAAAATTAGCCAAGCCTGGTGGTGCGCACCTGTAGCCCCAACTACTCGGGAGGCTAAGGCAGGAGAACCACTTGAACTTGGGAGGCAGAGGTTGCAGTGAGCCGAGATCAAACCACTGTACTACAGCCTGGACAACAGAGCAAGACTCTGTCTCAAAATAATTAATAATAATAATAATAATAATAATAGCACATCTTCAGAAGGTGTTGATAGGATTACATGATAGTGTTTACATAAAGAGCTTAGTCCAATGCCTAGCGCCTAAGTACTTAAAAAATTTTCACCATTATGTTGATATTCATCTCTGAAAACCTGAAGAAACAAGGTTCTTTGTGGCTTTTTAATCTCTTATAATAATTATCTAGTAAAAAAAATTGTCATCCTGCTTATTTCCCTTCCTAAAGCTAAATTAAAAAGCTAAAGAGCAGTGTTATCAAAAAAGCAAATACATAATATATTGAATTTAAAATGTGTTTATTAACTGATTCTCCATAAATAAAAATAAGATGTGTATATAAAGTAAAAAAAAAAAAAAGCAGTGCTTATCTCAATAAGCTCTGGCAATTAGGCATCCAATATTTAATACAGCTTTTAAAGACAATTTAACTATTTCATTACCAAACTGATAAGCTGCTTTTCTGAGAAGTTGACATTAACTGAGTCATTCCCAGGTAAGTCAATTGTTTATCAGATATGATGTAAGCGGCCTCCATGAGCTCTGCAAGACTGGGCTGTCTTCCACTGAGGGGTTAGTGTGGGGCTTCCCCTCTACTCATGCCTGTAACAGGGAGGTTGTGGCTGGAATCTTTCAAATGCACAGAAAGGATGTCTTCCAGGATTATATAACCAAGCTCAAACTTTACCAGGACTTTCTATGTGAGATCCTTCCCAGTGCATTCTAAGCATTAACTAAACCAGTCAGGCTTACTTCCACCTATCTTTAAGCCTGAATGATTTGTGTAGCCCTATGAACAGATTGGAATTAAAATTCAATTCACCCACTGATCTAGTATCTCTTCCGTCCATAAACGCTCTTTGGAACCAAGTACAATCTGTAGCAAGACTGCAAAGAACTAGTGAGCATTCACAGGCTAAGTCTGGCAGATTACTGCCAGAGTGGAATCCAGAATTAAAGGCTCTGAGCCTTCCTGGCAGCTGAGGCCAGGACAGGTTGTACCTCTTGCCCTGAGTTTCACAACTGGTCAGTGGTACCACTGAGCTTGGAATCCAACTCCCTGGCCTCCAATCCATGCTCTTGCCACTGCTGATGAATTGTCATTCTTCTGTTTTTGCTTCTTGGAAAACCGAACCTCTACAAAGTTAAAATAACTTATTCAAGGTCAAGAGGGCAGTCAAGTAGAACTGGCAATGCGAACTGCTGGGTTATAAAATCCGAGA
This sequence comes from Homo sapiens, assembly GCF_000001405.40. Classification (NCBI taxonomy): domain Eukaryota; kingdom Metazoa; phylum Chordata; class Mammalia; order Primates; family Hominidae; genus Homo; species Homo sapiens. Next base: position 77,181,893 of record NC_000005.10, on the reverse strand, counting down.
GGGCGGGTCCTCTGGCCCTCGCCTCCCCTGGGGACCTTGTGTAAATGTTTTCGTTGATTGTCTCCCAACACACAGTTTAGAGGAACTCTCTCTTCTAGGTTAGCACTGCACGTCCAACTTCAGGTTCAGACAGAAGCACTTGTAACTATCAGAGCCAGCATGCCCCCAGCCACCCTGACCTCCCGACCGACCGTCCATGGAAGGCAGCCTGGGCAAATAACCACCACTCAACTGCGGAGGTCTTACAGTCCTAGTAACTCACACCTCGCCGCCAGCAGTGTTTTTCTGGAGCTGGCAACCTGGGGACGGGTAAACTGGTGTCAGATTGAGCCAGAAGCAGAATGGATGGGCACAGCTAGTCTTGAGGGTATAGAGGAGCCTGTGGACGGTTCAAGGCTTCTAGCCAAGCTTTTGTAAAGGCTGCTGCAAGCCTCACCTCTCCCAACAGTCCTTAGGAGCACAGCTACTTTGATCCTGGTAACTAGGTGCGTTTCAGAGGACACTCTGAACGCCTAGCGGAACGCCCCCAAGTTCAGAGTGGCAGCGCCGCCTGCGCAGCTTCCCCCTTGCACTAAGCGTCCCTCCCTACCACAGACTGTTCTCCCGGGCACTTTCCTGCGACCCCGCAGCGTGGGACCCTTCTTTGTACACACGTTCCAGCTCTTCCTTTGCTTTGCTCCACCTCCAAACATCCCTTCCCACAGGGGATGAGGCGGGTGGTTTAGTCCACGCTCCGTCTATTCACCCAGCTAGCGTTGTCCCTAGAACTTAGTGCAAGGGTGAGGGTGGGGATGGTGGTGGGGGTGGGGGTTGGGGTAGGGGTAGGGGTAGGGGTGGGTGCCCCATTGCAGAGTCCCGAGCGCTGGAGCTAGGCACTGAGGTGCGCGCGCAAACACACACACACACACACACACACACACACACACGTGTACACACCCCACGCTGGGGCTGCCGGCGACTCACTACTCAGAAGGGGAGGCAGCTTTGCAGCCACTGGAAGCACGAGGAGGAATGCAGGGGCCCCACCGTCCCGCGCCGGGGAAGCGTGGAAAACACCAGGCGCAACAGCAGCCCGAGGAGCCGGCCCGACGGAGAAACAGGTCCAGCTCCTGCTGAGAAGCGCCAGGTGGACGCGAACGGCGGCTGTCTGTGGTCAATTATTATTGGGAATAATAAACCTGACGGTTACACTAGACGCTCGAGGTGCTTCCCGCCTGGAAAGGAAGGAGGTAGTTGGCACTAGGACACGCAGGGACTAAGGGCGAAAAGAAAAGAAAAAAAGCCACCCTAGCACCTGGGTGTCTGAAAGGGGGCCCTGAAGCCGGCTCTGGGCTTGTGCCAGCGGCCGGGTACCCAGGTGTGAGGGGGCGGCCGAGGGCTGCGCGGTCCCCCGCGCTGGGGGCTCACCTGGCACGCGCTCGGTGGGCAGTACAGCTGGTCCATGCCGGCGGCGGGCGGCTCCTGGGCGCCCTGGTGGTGCCCGTGCCTGGCGCCTTAGCCCCGCACAGAGGGCACCGGCCTGGCGCACCCTGCACCCCACTCCCCGGGCCTCGTGCCCACGTGAAGGCTCTGGTTGCTCCGTGGGACTCTGGCAGCGAGCCTGAGCCTCCGCGCCTTCACTTTCCAGACGCGTCCCCGGGCCGGCGGGTGCCTGGGTCCTAGCGCCCCTCCCGGGGTGTGGAGCCAAGACTTTGAGCCCGCTGAGCTGCTCCGCTCTGGGCAACACCTTCCTGGCCCCTCGAGGGAAGTCCAGCCTCGCTGGAGCTGCCAAACCTGGAGCCTTTCTTGGGACTCAGGATTCGGATTCCCAACACCCCCTTTACAGGTCTCCACTTTCCTCTCGTTGGGCCTTTGCCCCCAGGAAAACGCTGAAAGATCAGATTTGCCTGCAGCCCTCAACTCACAATCATATACACTATAATTTTAAAGAGATTTTCAAGTTAGAGATATTGGTCCCTATACATATATAACACATCATATGTAATAAAGACAGGTTTTCCTCCAAGTAGAAGAATGAATGTGAAAATAACATCTCCTGGGCGCGGTGGCTCAGGCCTGTAATCCTGACACTTTGAGAGGCCAAGGCGGGAGGATCTCTCGAGGCCAGGAATTCGAGACCAGCCTCAGCAACATAAGGAGAAAAAACCTTGAGAAAAATCTATTAGGGGCTGAAGTTATCCCTCAGCCTTAATTGTAGGGACAATTTACAAACATGAGTCAAACACGGATCAAACCAAAGGTGCAGCTAAGCTTCTAGAGCCGCCCCCCACCCAAATCCCCTCCAATCTGGGTAGGTAGCTGCTATCACTAAATGTCTAAGCAGACACTATGAAGCTTTCATACACTTTCAGGAAGTAATACATTGTACCTAATTAAATGCCTCAGCCTTAAATGGTCCTGGCATCTTGCTTGCAGCTATTACCATGCCTGGCCCATACCTGGCTCCTCTGGGGTGGAGGGATTTTGAACTAAGGTCTAGAGAGCATTTGCAAGGCCTTTTCCTTCTCAGCTGCCCACAGTGCTGAGTCAGTCCAGCCAAAACCAAGACCAACAACAATCTGTTCCTGCTGACTTTCTCATCCAGAAAGGCTGATGAGATTTCTAATGGCAGAAAAGAAAAATAAGTCATTTTTAGAAATAAAACGAGGAAAAATTATTATTTTTGACATTAGTCATAAAGGCCTACAAAAAGGCATGAATGCAGTATGAATATGGCCTTCGCCACGTTTTTCTAGGAGCCCAAGCATTTTTTCACAAAAGCATTCCTCCATGTGTGGACAAACTTCAAGATGACTCCCAATGATCCCCATTGCCTGGTGTCCATGCCCTTGTGTTGTCCCCTCCCCTTGAGTGTGGATGGAACTTGTGACTTGACTTGCTGCCCACCTATGGAACATGGCAAAGGTGACCAAATGACACTTCATAGATTAAGTTATACAGTTTTGCTAGTAGAGGCTTTCTCTTGCTGGCTTTGATAAAACATGCAGCCATACTGGGGAGGCCCACCCGGCAGGGAACTGAGGGTGCCTTTGTTCAAGGGCCCTCGGTCCAACAAACTGAAAGGAGGTAAATTCTGCCAAAAATCAGGAGAGCCTGAAAGTGAACCCTTCCCTAACTGAGCCTTGAGATGCAACTGCAGCCCCAGCTGAGATATTGATTGCCGCTTTCAGAGTAATCTTAAAACAGAGGATCTAGTAAAGCCATGCCCAGGCTCTGACCCACAGAAACTGTGAAATAATAAATATGTGTTATTGTAAACCACTGAATTTGTACTTTGTTATGTAGCAATAGCAAACGAATATACTTTGTCCTTCCACAGAAGGAAAAGTGAGGCAAAGGGGGTTAGGTAGAAGGGCCAAGGTGATTTAAATTAACAGCATGATCTATCATTATTTCACACTCATAGTCTTTTTAGGCCTGGGTAGACAAGGAAAAGCAGAACAGCAACGAAATCAGAAAGTAAAGCATTAAGTGCAGGCTGAGATTTGTGGAAGGTAAAGCAAGGCAAAAGAATAACTTTAATAAAGTCTGATGCAAAAACAACCCAACAGATTAAAGGACAGTTTGAAAAACTCAGGGTACATTGACCCAGGTTAAAAATAAATGTTTTCTGAAAGAAAAATAAATAAGTTAAATGGAAAACAAAAAGAAAAAAACAACAAAGAGATGATGAGGAAGGATAAAGGCACCAAATCCTCTGAATTCCTCTTCTATCTATAAAAGAAAAAGAAAAGCCATACTATTCACTTCTGAGAGAGTGAGAATTTTCCAGAAGAGCCAGTTAAGAAGTACTAGGAGGACGTCTGCTTACAGTACATGTCTGTGGCAACTGGGAGGTTGTCTATTTTTTCCTGAGATATTGCATAAAAATTGACAGTATCTTAAAACCACTAGCCTGAGTTCTGATGGTTTGCACATACAGTAGTCCCCACTTATCCACAGTTTAAGTTTCTGCAATTCAGTGACCCACAGTCAACAGTGGTCCAAAAATATTAAATTGAAAAATTCCAGAACAAACCATTGATAAGTTGTAAATTGCATGCCATTCTGATAACATCTAGAGGTGTCCTGCTTCCGTCCTGCCCAGAACGTGAATCGTCCCTTTGTCTAGTGTCTCCATGCTATATCCACTACCTCCACCACATCCCCCGTGAGTCACTGAGTAGACACCTTGGCTGTCAGTTTTACTGTTGTGGTATTCCAGTGCTGGTGTTCAAGGCACCCTTATTTTATTTAATAATGGCCCCAAAGTGCAAGAGCAGTGATGCTGGCCATTCTATATACCAAAGAGAAGCTGTAATGCGCTTCCTTTAAGTGAAAAGATAAAAGTTCTTGACTTAATAAGGAAAGAAAAATAATTGTATGTTGAGGTCGCTAAGACCTACAGTACGCTAAGATATTTTGAGAGCTAGAGACCACATTCACATAACTTTTATTACAGTCTATTGTTATGATTGTTTTATTTTGTTATTACTTATTATCATCAGTCTCTTACTGTGCCTAATTTACAAATTAAACTTTATCATAGGTACGTATGTATAGGAAAAAACATAGTGTACACAGGGTTCATTACTATCTGTGGTTCCAGGCAGCCACTGGGAATCCTGGAACATATCCCTTGCGGATAAGGGGGGGATACTGTATTTGTTAGGTTTTAAGTGTCTTTGGATGCCTCATGTTTAAACATGGTTTTTTTTCCTCCACTTCTGCCATCATACAGCGAAACAGAGCCCAACACTCAACCCACTGGATATTTATCACCTACCATGCACCTTGAAGAGACTGTGGAGTGGTAGAAGATTTTAAAAGAGGAAAAAAGAAGAAGGGAGAGAGAAAAAGGAAGAAGAAAGAAAGAGAAGGGACAGGAGGAAGAAAGAGAAGGAAAGGGAACTGAAGCAAAGGGAAGGAAGGAAAGAAGGAAAAGAGAAAAGAAACCAAAGGCACAGAATTCCAAGTCTAGCTGGAGGTGGGGCTGGGGTATCTAAAATCGCATAGTGAAGCTCTGCTCTCATGCTCCCCATGGCCTCCTGGACAACTCCAAGCATGAGTTCCATCAATATCACGCAACGAAAGCTTCTGAACCATAAAGCATCATCTCCCTTCCAAATCTGATTCCTAGTGGTTCATGCTACTAACAACTCTCCAAATTCAAACCATGGCCATCTGGCTTTCCTTCTTCTCCCTTGCTCTCCATATCAACCAGCCACCACTTCCATTATTGCATCACTGCTCTCTGTCTGTCCCTTTGCATCCTTACCGCCAGTAGGGAAACAGGCTCAGTGTGGGCCCGTGTCCTCTCCCTCTGGACTAACCTGGGCGAGTAGGTAGTAGTCAATATGACATCATCCAACTGAGATGTGCCAAAGAATCCACCCTCCTCCTGCTCATGCCCATGAATATCTCCTCCACCCACATTTGACAGGGCTTGAAATGTCCTTAAAATGTTTTTTTAAATTGCTTCGGCATTGCTCTATCCTTAAGTTTAAAAACTGTAAATGTTTCTATTTTGCAGTAACTCTTTGTGCCTCTAAAACCTTCATAAGACTCTGTTGATCACTCTCTTCTTCCTACACTGCTTCCCTGGGAAGGGTAGACAGCGCTAGGGTGATGGAAAAGGGCAACAAAACCAACTTCACCCCATTCACAGCTTTGCCTACGGTGCTGCGTGTCTAGTTGTTTGGAATACGAGTGGGAGTGAGGTGGCTTTCGCGTGGCTGGTGGCTAGTCGGTTTCTGGTCACCCTGGACGTGCAGTGGAATCTACCTGCTTCCGATGTATAACTCAACAAGCAAAGATATGGGAAAAGAAGAAAATAGTTTTCTAAGAGGACACAAATAGAAGCCCGACCACTCAGGGCTGGAAGAGCAGCAGTTATCTACTGATAACCCCATTCTGGTTTCACTGATGAGGTTAAAACAAATGGGATGCACCATTTAGGTTCCCTTGAACAGGTTTCCAGTCTTTCTTCTTCAAAGATTGAAGATGTTGATGATGCTAACAAGCTAACATATATATGTATGTGCGTATCTATATATATAGATATACACACATTTATATACATGCATATATATAAATCGGTGGTGAGGTATTTTATCACAGAGGCAAATTTATGCAATTATATATTCATTCATTCACTCAACAAATATTTTTGAGCAACTACTATATGCCAAGAATTATTTTAGGTGCTGAGGATAGATCTGTAAGATAAATTTGTAAGATGAATCCATACTTGTCATGATGCTTACATTCTAGTGGAGGAAGAGAGACAATTAACAAGAAAAGAAAATGATCATTGTATCATGATCTGAAGATAATAAAACAACTTACTGTAATAGAGAGAAGCTGAGGCAGAGTCCACTTTAGTTTGGGAAGTCTGAGAAGGCTTCCCTGGGAGGGGATGTTTAAACTGGCACATGAATCATCCCAAGGGAGCTGGGAATGCAAAGATCTGGGGAGAATAGGATTCCAGGGAAGGGAATTGCAAATGCAAAATCCTTAAGGCAGGAAAAAGCTTGGTGAGTTCAAGGAAGTGACAACAGTCCAGGCCAGGGAGGAGGCCTTGGGAGAATTTTAAGCAGAGAAGAAACACAATATAATTTGCTTTCTGAAAATCCCTCTGGTCCCTGTGTGGAGAATCAATTCTAGGGATGAAGGGTGGAAACTGCTAGGGCAGGAGGATGTCAGAGCCATCCACATAAGAGATGGGGGTTACTAGGCAGAAGGCAGGGGAGATGGATAGAGAGGGTCAGGTTCAGGATGCATGAATTTTGAATGCAAGGTTGACAGGACCTGTGATGGGTTGGATGTGGGGAGCGGAGTAAGGAGAAGGAAAAAAACAAGATAACCCTTAGGTTTTTGACCTGAGCTAATGGGTGGGCAGTAGTACCATTCTCTGAGACATGGGACAGGATCAGGAAGAGAATGGGTGGGAAATCAAGAGTTCTGCTTGGGCCTTGTGAAATAAGAATCTCTATTAGAGTGAAGATGTCAAAGAGGCAGCTGGATCTATGTGTGAGCTCAGTAGACAGGTCAGGGCTAGAGCCATAAATTTGAGAGTCATTAGTGTATAGATGCTACTGTGAGCTGTGGGGTTGGATGAGGTCACCTAAGGTGGTGGGGAGGAGGGTGCCATCAGAAAGGAGAAGAGGGTGGAGAACCATACTCTGGGTCTGCCAACTCTTCAAGGTCACGCAGCGGAGGAGATACCAGCAGAGCCCAGGGAGCTGAGGCCCATGCGATAGGAGGAAAACCTGCTCAGAGAGAATGAAGCTGTTTCAACGACTTGTTCACTGACACGAAGAGCTAGAAAACGGAGAGCTCCTGAAAGATTTGACACAAGGAATAGTCATGGAGATGTGTACAGTATAAATAAAAAGCTGGTGGTTGAGGGAAGCATATAGTGAAGACCAGTGGAGGAGAGAGAGATAATTAATAACAATAATAACCCAGAAAGAGCTGATGAGAGCAGTGGCTTTGGGGATGGAAAAAAAAGGAAAGAATAGGAAAGGCATTCAGGAATACACTAGGACTTGGTAAGGGATCATATACATGGATGTGAGTGGGTGACTGACTCAGTGGCTGTGAGTGGGGATGCTGGTACCTCCCATAAAAACAGAGACAGGGTGGGCAAGAACAAACACTGAGAGGGAGAAGTTTTGAGTGTGTTGACACCCAGGAAGGATACCTAATAGGTAAGAAGAAACACAGGTCTACATGTGAAGGGAAGTATTTGGGTGACAGCTAAAAATTCATGCAGCATCAATATATAGGTAAGAGAGGAAGCTCTGAGAAGGAGACCTGCAGACCAAGCTTCAAAACAGACTACTGACCTTCAAGGGCTGAACAGAGAGTAGGACAAAGGAGACTTAAGCAGATGGCCAGAAGGTAAGAGAATCAGCTCTCAGGCCAGTGGTTGGTCCCAGCATAACTTCTTCCAGGCCAAGGACAGAGTGTGCTAATAGTAAAGAAATTCATCAAAAGTCAAAATGCCTTAAAGACTGCAAATGGAGAGTTATTCCCTAACAGAAGTAATGTTCTCATAGAAAATAAAACGCATGCCACGCACCACCACCCCCGCCCCAGACACACATACACTTAACTCCGCTACACTTTCTAGAGCTAGAAGCATTTTTCTTTCCTTTGAAAAATGAGATGGGGGGAGAAAGGGAGTAAATTAAAAAGCACTTCAATTTCCCAAATGTAACTAACAATTAAAATGTATTTTCAGCAAATTCTCACAACTCTAGTAGGCTTCACATTAAAAAAAGAGGGCAATATAGATAAATTAGGAAATATTCGCCCTTCCATTTTGACTCACTTGCTATTCTTTATCTTCCCTTCTGTTTCTTCTCCCCAAATTGCTTTTTCCTCCCATTACCAGTCATAATCCTCAAGTTAAATACATGAATATCCTGATTAACAAAACCTCTGAGAATGAAGCAATTTTGTAACAAAATTGCCAATATTTAAAAATCAGCCAACAACCACCTTCTTAAGTCAGATGAATCAGTGTTAATATAGACCATGCAGATCAGTAACTTTCTGAGATCTTGTACCCAACAGTTGCTAGAGGCCAAAAAAGCCAAACAAGCACACATAAACCTCCTCACATACTTTCCATTTGTTTGCAAAGAGTTGAAGATAAATAGTACTAATCCTCCAAAATATTCAGCAGTCAGATTTGTCTACAAGATCTCCAGCCTCTATTCCTGTACCTGTCATCTCCTCCTTCCAACCCAGACACCCACTTTGTGCTCTTCTGACCTCTTGTTCTCTTTCTCTGCCAAAAACTCTGGAGGAAGGAGCATACCCTCCAAGTGTGTTCACTGATTGGCTGATGGTACCACCTCTACATGCATTCACTGATTAGCTGATGAGACTCTACCCTATATATGTGTTTATTGGCTGGGTTATGGCACTCTGGTGTAACATGCATCCAAATCAAAGAAATATGCATTACAAACCATTTGCTTACATACTGTTTGGGTGATGATGGTGGAGGGGTGAATGGCTGGTGGAGGGATGGAAGCCAGAAACAAGTAAACAAGTGGAAAAGTCCTTCCATGCTCAACTTACCTACTCCGACACCCACTGCCTGTCCCAGGTTTCCTGTTGCTCCCTCAGCAGCCTGTGCTCCCCCTAGTCAGCACTGGTACTGGTATTTCCTAATGTCTTATCTTTAGTTCCAACCAGACTAAGCTCCTTGAAGGCTGAGGCTGTTTCTGTCTTATTTCTGAATTTCCAAATACAAAATCAGCACTCAATAAATTTTCACTGGATAAATAAATGGATGAATTAATTGAGGTTGGGATATAAGTGTTCTAATGTTGCTCTTTTAAGTGACTAGTTATGATTGAGGGACAGACTGTCCTTTATCTCTCCATCACCATCAGATGTTCTTTGTTCCCTGAGAAGTGCTTAGAAGCTTTGGCATAAAAGTTACTAGAAGCAGAATTAACAAACACCGTCATTGTCTGCTTCTCCTAGGTGCAAGCATGTTAGCTCCTTACCCCAACTTTGACTTATCCTGTCCCAAGACTCCCAATTGCATATTTTATGTTGTTTGGTGCTCTTGATGTTTCATCAGTCAGGTTATTCAGACAAATGTTTATTGTGGGCCTACTAAAGTTCAGGCACAGTGCTGGCCACTGAGGAGTCAACAATGAACAAACCCAGCCCAGTCCCTGAGTTTGCCAAGCTTGCAATCTAGTTGAGTTATTATTTTATGAATTTTCCCAGTCAGAGGCTTCTTCCCCATCCACGCATTCATCTATCCATCCAATCGACTCCCTTTCTTTTTTTAATAAATAAATTGCTGAGAAAAAGTTGGGTGTTTAGAATATACTTGTCAAATGAAGGCTGACTGTAGTTTGGGTTGTTTTGGCATCACAGAAATATTAAAGCTAGAAAGGATTGTGCTGGATAGGCTCTGTCTGCCCCTCCAGATCATCTCCATCCTTCCTCCCCTCATCCTGTGCCCTAGGAGTCTGACCTGTGGGGAATTCATCAATGGGTCCCTGGCCCTCTGGCTTCCAGTCAGTCAGGTTCAGCCAATGAAAGGCACGAGCACAGGGCTGGACCTCCATCCCTCCGCGGCAACCCAGAAGTCTTTCCAAGTTCCATTGTTGGCTTCATCCCCTGCCCCATTACCACCTGCCTAGGGAGTGGAAACAGCTTCCTGGCTCTCACCAGCCCACAGACACTGCACCATTTTTTAACCCTGCCCACACCTGTGTAAATAAGCCCTCACCTGTTTCCTGAAGGGACTTGGACACAAAACCCATCTCTTGCAACCTCCAGATGTGGAATCATAAATTCCCGAAGAAAAGGGTCAACTTTCAATCTGTGGCTTTAGAGCTGCATTGTGATTTTACTACTCCCAGCATACACAGATTGATATTTTAAAAATTTTTCTATGGGCCGGACAGAATTATGCCAGGATTAAGGTCAAGCCTGAGGTGCCAACTGAAACAAATGTACAAGGAACCAAGTGACAAATGCTTGGCATTTCAAATTCCGAGAAGCCACAGCCAGTGGAATGAAGTTCAAACTATGCTGTGAGACTGACATCCATCTATTTCAGTTCTTTCCCCAAGTCATACCCCTAAATAGGACAAAGTGCCATTTCCAAGTGACCTCAGGTTTCCCACCTGTTTTGTTCACAAACTTCCATCTGCCTGGAATACCTCCCCAATGCTTGTTTCTGTTAAGTCCAATCCCTTTCCACACTACAAGGCCTATGCAAATGAATTCGCCTTCGTAAATGATCAAGCTTTCTCCAATTATTTCCATCAGAAAATAGCTTGTTTTCCTCTAGATACTTGGAGCATTTTCTTTGTACTCATCCATATCATATACTCCTGATTCGTGTTAGAATTATTTGTGTTCAGGTATTTTTCTCACTCCCAAGTTTTGAAGAGTCCTGAGCTCAAGACAATGTCTTACATCTTTTTGTTTACCCTGATGGACTATTGTAGTGCTTCAAAAATTGAAATTCCTAACTAAATGTTTGTTGACTGACTAAATGAATGAATGAATTAGCAACCAAAGTTATTTTTTTCTTGGGACAGTGATATAATTTCTTCTGAGTCTCAGAAGACCAAACCATATTTCACATATTTATCTAGAAATAGCAAATTCGTAAAAGCAAATGGCACTATATTTGAGGAGAAATATTTTCAGATTGTTTCCATATGTGTTTCTATATATATCGGCTTATGCAATATTTTAAATCAAATTTAACACCATGTGGCCATGTATCTCCTAGAAACTCATAACGATGATTTAGTTCAGAGCTTAAAACAATAACAAGAAAGTTCTTAAAGGAGATGTGTTCCTTTATCCTCAGTCCTGCTTATTCTCTAGAAGTTTCCTTTCCAGGCTTGGCTCAGATGTCACTTTCTATCTGTGACCTTCTCTGACATCCCCAGGCAGAACTGCTCCCTCTCCCGAGTTTTCCTTGCCCTCTGTGTAGACTTTTGTTGTGGCTTTTATCCCACTGCTCTGTGGTTAATTACGTGTCCAGCTCCCAGTGAGACCATGAGCTCCTTAAGAGAAGGGACCCAGTCTTGTTCACTTTTGTCTTCCCAGACTTAATATTGTACCTGGCACAGAGTAAGCGCTCAATAAATGCAGTCTGAAAGGAATTGATCTAAGGCCAATTGTGCACTCTGGCTCCAAAAACCTAACCTATGCTTCCTTTGGTTTAAAAACCTGAGACATTTATCAGTTGGGTATGATGGAGGAAAACACATACATGCCCAAAACTGCTCTTAGGAAGCGGCATCCAGATTTCTTAGCTATAGCCATCTACTCAACAGGACCCTAGTTCAGGTCTCAGGGGTAACCTCCACATTAATCCTTTTTGCTTGCAGGTGCAGGATAGCACCTCAGCACCAATTCAGGAACATGTCTTCGTATAGCTAAAATAGGGAACTTGAGATAGAGCCGTGTTTCAAGTCAGGGAGGAGAGAAAACTACAGTGCACTGAGCATTTACTCTGCACTCAGCCCTTTGCATACCTAATCACTTTCAGCACTCACACTATCCACAGGGTCGGCACAGTTTGATTATCCCAAGCTGCAGTAGCACACCTCCAGGGCTCAGTGGAACCATTCTTCTTAGACACACTGGAGGTGTGTCTAAGACAAACTGGAGGTAGCTTCGTTGGAGTGAGTTTCAGGATGGGGATGAGGGTCAGGTGTATCTCTTAGATTACCTCAAGCCACACAGCTGCCAATCCACTGCCTTCCAGACATGCTGATCTTTCCATTCCCTGCAGCCACCAAACTCCTTTTCAACTCGGGTATTTGCACATGCTGCTGCTGCCTGCTCTGACCTCCTCTCCTACTCTCTTTCCCTGGCTACTTCCTACTTGCCATTTAGGCCAGTAGTTCTCAAAGTGTGGTCTCCAAATAGCAGCCTCAGTGTCACTTGGAACTTGGAGACACAAATTCTTGGGGTCCACCTCAGACGTTGGGGGTCAGCCCTTGAAACCTGTGTTTTAACAATCCCTCCAGGTGATTGTGATGTACGTTAAAACGTGAGAAGCACCGTTCTAGGCTTTATGTGAACTGTAGCTCTACAGAGGGGTTTCCCAGCCCCCACCTCCCAAAGCTGAACTGCGCCCCTGCTATTATGCTCTCTCATCTTATCAATAAAACACAGGTCTGACTGTGTTGGTGCTACGGGAAACACTTTGTTTCCAAAAGCAAGCAAACAAAATCAAACACAACCACCAAGGTAAATGTAGTGAAAACTCACTGACACCCATGTCTAAATATCCTGGAAGAGTTCAAGTGACAGGAGCTGGCACTGCGCCAACTCTCAGGGTGTGGCTGTCCTTGTGCTTCTTGGATTTTTTGAATCCCCAGACTCTGTTGGTTTTACTAACTCAGAAGGCCTGAGGCCTCTCTTATCAGACCTCTGCATCAGAATCCTGAATAACAAACGTCTTCTGAACTGAGTACAAGGAAGTCAAGATTTCTCTGGAGTTAGAGGCTGAAAAACATGATTGCAAAGCTGGTGAAAAGAGGCCCTACTGAAAACATGGCAGGTCTGCAGGGACGAGGTGGAGCTTCCATTTCAGAGTGGGAGGAGGGACCCATGTTAGAAATGCTGTGTCTGGACCTGAAGCCATGGGGAGTAATGGAGGGAGGCTGTTGATGGAGCTGAGGCCACTGGTCTGGCAGCAGAGGAAGGAGCTGCGGTAAAGCCCACTCTGTCACTTGCTGAACACACATGCCATTCTCTTCCCCATCACAGGCACATCCCTAAAGGCTGCTTCTGCAGAAGGGATATGACTTGCCTTCGCCCCAGCATCCCTGACTTGCCATTCCATCCAGATCCAGCTCTGCTCCTGAATCTGCCCTGCCTCAGAGGGGCAGGAGGAGTGGGGTCCCACCAGGGCACAAGTGGCAGAGCAGCCCCTGCACAGGCAGTTCTGGGTCAGGGAGCTGGAACCACGCTCCTGGTGCCAGAGCCCAGTTTCATCCCCAGACGGCAGCCGAGGCTCTGTGCCAGGGCTGCCGTGCAGCCTCGCTGCTCCCTGGCCTCCCTCCAGCCCCCGTGCCAGGAAGGAACAGCCTGACACAAGTGAAGAGCAGGCAACTGGATGCTTCCAGCTCTGACTTCTCAGGCTGCCATGCCCTGTCAGAGTGTTACTCCTTTGCCCTGTTCCATAGTTAATTTAGTAATTCAAGGGGAGAGGGGCAGGATGGAGATAGACTTAGACTCTCGTATCGTCCCTGTCTTCAAATTTAAAATATTTTCCAGGCTCAGGCACAAATTTACTTGTCATCACTTGGTTCCCAACAGAGGAAAAAATACAATGGAAAATTAGATCCTGTGTCACAGTGTCATGGGTATAAATAAAATGAAAGGCTAGCTTGACGTCAGCAGTGAGGATTCTCACATTCCACTTCACTTCCTCATCATCAAACATTTGGCTCATGTTACCCCCTTGTGTGGTGAAAGCCAGCTAGTGTAAATGGGTGGGGGCTCTGTGCTGTGGGGGCTGTGTTTCTCCCTCAAGACTCCCCAGGAGTCCTGGGCACACGGTCCCGCAGGGTGGGCCTCACTCCCTGGGCTGGGTGTTTTCTGGGTTTGAGGTGACATTCCTAGCAGATGTCACAATCCGTTCTACTCATCCCTTCAATTTCTCCAAGTCTATTTTTCCACTCAAATTTTCCTGCTCAGGAGCAGCCAGCTTGTCTTTTCACCAGACTTCCTGAGCATACATTGAGGGGACATCTCTCTTCCTGGATAGGAGAAAGGTGGATGCAGGAGGGAGCAGCCGCGTGCCCCCTTGCACAGGAAGGGGCAGGTGTGGAAGGACTCCACTGCACCCTCCGCATCGACGTGCCCTGGAAAGTGCTGTGCACATCGGCCAGGGTGTCTTGATTCATATTCTATACACAATCTAAATTTGGAACTATTTAAACAAACCCTGTGGTAAATAATTTTGTAATGCAAACACTCCCCAACAGGTTCTTTCTTTGTAAATCTAGCTATTCCTCTATTGGGTTTTTCTCAAAGTGTTAAGCACCCCTGTGGCCCAAAGCCAAAAACAGACATGGTCTGGTGTACAACCCAACACATCCTTATCATTAAGGGGCATCTGACTTCAAAGAATGGTGAGGAGTGTTGACAAGCAGGGCCACACTTATGAATACACCAATAACTGTTAATGCAATACAGGAATTAGTGCCTGCTATGACCTGGTTTAATGTCTTGGCACTTAGAGCCATGTCACAGGATCTAGGAGAGTTGTGGAGTCTCTTCCCAATTCACATGCTGCCAGGCAAACTTTCAGATGTTAAATCTTTGTTTTGAAATCACTACATTCAACAAATATTTGTCAACCCTACTTTGTGCTAGGGACCAATGTGGTGCCGGGTATACAGGAATGGAGATGATCCAACTTCTGTGGCCAACTCCGGTCCGGATAGGGAAGGATGTACTGTACCGTAGGGAAAAGAGTGGTCTTTGGGGTCCAGTAGATAAGTTTAATACAGTTCTGTCTCTTCTTGGCTGTTTGACTTTGGGCTTGTTACTCAGCCTCTCTCTGTGACAAAGTTGCCTACCTCAGAGGTTTGCGAGCTTGGTGTGGGATAACCAACATAAGGTGTTTCATAGGGTGCCTGGGCCCTGACAAGTCCTGGTAGGTGCTCAGCAGCACAGGCTCTCTTCCCGCCCTCTTCCCCCACTCCAGAGTTGCATCTGCTGCCTAGAAAAATATATAAAAATAGAAAAGAAAATGACTGTTGCATATACACACAAGGGAGTGTTCATTCTCTCACCCTACCCTACACACACTTGCACACGTGCACATGCTTTAACCTGGCCTTAGATAGGCGTCATTATTCCAGGCCACAGATCACAATGTTATTTTTAGAATGAGATTTCTAACTCTGCTTCCACTCAAGGAGAAGTATATTGGGTTGATAATGGATTGAAATGGCATTTGGTCATTTTCCTCTCTGTGTGTACTCACTGGGGCAGGATTTAGTAATGCCTAGACCTCAGGCCCTTCTCATTTTGTATCCCATTATGGTACCGAAGACAAGCCGGTGGCCTGAATTCTGGGAGACCTATTTTAGAAGATGTGTTTCTTTGACCACAGAAGGTTGTGGGGTTTTTTTTGTTGGTTTTTTTTTTTTTTTTTTTTATCTTTACCGAAAGAATCTCATGAAGAAATGTTGTTCTTCAAGAACTATGCCAGGACAGGCCCAGGGCAGAATTGTGAAGTGCAGAGAGTTTCCTTCCATCATTTCTTCTGCTTCTCCTCAACCTAAGCACTGAGCATCCAAATGCCACAGCTGGCTTCCAGAACCTTCTATGATAATGTTTTGTCTGTTCTGATATAATCCAAGCTCTTATCTTTCCTTTTTTTTTTCTTTTTCTTTTTTTTTTTTTTTTGAGGCAGTCTCACTCACGATCTCAGCTCACTGCAACCTCTGCTTCCTGGGTTCGTGATTCTTCTGCCTCAGCCTCCCAGGTAGCTGGGATTACAGGCATGCACCACCACACCTGGCTAAGTTTTGTATTTTTAGTAGAGATGGGATTTTGCCATGTTGGCCAGGCTGGTCTTGAACTCCTGGCCTCAAGTGATCCGCCCAGCTTGGCCTCCCAAAGTGCTGGGATTACAGGCATGATCCACCATGCCTAGCTAAGTTCTTATCTTTCTTAGACCTCAAAACTCTCCCTTCCTATAATCCTTCCCATATCTATCTGCTACATGGATATGGTTTAGCCCATGAGGTACAATGGAATTTTTATGCCAGTAGGGAGAAGGTTTTTCTGTTTTTTGTTTTTGTTTTTGTTTTTGTTGTTGTTGCAGTTGTTGGTTAGAGAAGCCCTATTGTCTGTCTTAGACCTATTTTAGGGCACTTACCATGCCAGGGGAAAGGATGACATAGGCAGGAGCCTTGTACGTCCGAAGAGGTTAGATGTTCCACCCACACACTCAGCATTTTCTTCTTTTCCTTTGGACCCAGTGCTATGCTGAAGCAGGCCTGTACTGGTTCATGAGAGCTGAGTGTGAAAATTTCAGGAATTTTTCAAGATGGTTGTTAGACACTGTCATTTTTAAAAATTAAATTATACAGGCAAGTAATTAAATAAATTATATTGAAAACAAGAGTAATCAATACTTAAACCCCATCACTTCCTAATTATTTTATTACGCTTTCTCTTATCAGTGCACTTGAAGAGATTTGTCTCTGAGATTTGTATGGTGAGACTGTTGTGTATGATGTGTGACTGCACATCTCTTTCCAGCTCCATGTTCAGTGACATCACGCTGGTAGCTTGAACTCAGACATGGTGGGAGCATTTACACCAGAGAATTTGGCTAACACTGTAAATCAGGGCTTTATTTACTACCCTTTCTCCTACCAAGCCAGTTAAGCATGTATCAGTATACCACTATTTTGACCTGTTGTGGGCCCAGGAGCCTGGCTTGTAGTCAGTTATGAGTGCCAATATTGAACTTCATGAATGTGGAGACAGAAATGCAGAACTTCCCCAAAGCTCTGCCTGTGCCTTCCCAGAGCTGCTTTGCCTGGGTAATTTCTGACCCCCACAAGTCACTCCTGCTGTGTCCCTTCCCCACCACAAAGATACATGTTCCCCCCAACACACATATATACAAATGCTTCCATAGACAACACCTTCTGTTCCAGGTGAATCCTGTTAACTCCAATGCAAGTCTGGGAAATCTGAGAGTCTTCCAGAGTTGGGGGTGGGTTCTGAAGCAGGGCATATGGGTTGTTTTGGATATGAAGCTAGTGTGCCTACCTTCTCTTTTCACCATTTGGTCCCATAAGGTGAGAGAAGAGTGGTTCTGTAGATCTTGACAGACATATGCTGAATGAGTTGAGTAAAGGACTGAGCAAGTAGAAGTAAACCTATAGCTTTGACCTCTGCTTTTGAAAACACTTGGCTTTTCTTTCTTCTGCAGAGTGACTGGGTCAAAAGGTATCATCCTTAAAAGAATTCTTAGTGTTTTATATTTTATAAAACCCCATCACATTTATTATCGCATACAATTTTTAGAATAACACCAAGAGATAGGTACAACACACACATTACTATCCCCATGATGAATGAAAGGAGCCCCCAATTCAGAAGCTACCTAATCTACCATTGCCCACTTGGCTAGTTTGTAAAAGAGCTAGGATAGGTTCCACAATGCCAATTGGTTTTTAAATACGCCATGCCTTACAAGGGCAGGAAGCATGTGATGCCAATTATTTTAACCTCAAGTCAACCAAGTCAACCCCTGTGCTCTTCACTCCCTCTTCTTCTTCCAAGGACTCTCACGTTAGCTTGGCACTTGATTCCATAGCATTGAGCTATTTAGAATTTCATCCTGGTCATGTGCACCATTTATTTACCAGGAAGTAAGATTAGAGGTTGGCCTTCAGTGTCCTTAACAGGGACAGCAGAGTACAAAGAAGAAGACAACAAGGCCATGGGGTCACAAGGCCACGTTTAACTGATCAGTGGGGAAAGCTAGAAATAGTGAAGAAACTCTGCTTGTAAAGAATATGGAGTTCTTAAACTGTGACTCTACATACCATCAACTCCTAAACATTTTTTATGAGACTTTACTTTGTTAATTTCTAACTAAAACACTGGATGACATGAAGCCTTATTAATTTGCTGGCCAATTGGGCAGAGACTATGAAAAGGGGGAAGGAGAGTGGCCAGCTTTTGCAAAACAGCTGCCGACCCAGTCCTTGGGCCAGACCCAAAGAACTGGGGAAAAGAAACTCCTTATTATATCCCTGTAATGAGGGTTTTTGTTTTATAAGCTGTGATGGGAAAAATTTGTACCAAACTGTTCATAGTGGTTATTTGACGGGAAATGAAGATTTTTTTAAAGTCCTACTATCACCAAAGGATTTTCAGTAGATAACCACCTTTTTTTAGTCTTCATTATACTTTCAGAAGTGCAATAATAACACCTTAAATTTATAAAGCATGTCAACCTTTGCAAAGTGTTCTTGTCTATTACTTCAACTGATATATGTGAACACCACATGTAAGAACCCTACCCTTAAATAAATGAAAGCAAAATCTTCTGAAAGACAAAAGAAATGTGGAGGGAGACATTACTCGGAGAGGGCAGGGATTACCATGCAAGCCATTTCTCCAACTCCCTCTCATCTTGTATTGCTGTGTTCCCCAAAGGTTTTCATAATTTTATTTCTGACCCTCATTTCTATCACGAAACTGAATTCAGAAGGTACTGTTTGTTCTTTCTTTTGGTGTTTATATGCCCGCCTCATGGGTAAAATCAATGGCAAATGGCTACTTTGAGAAATAAGACATAAATCATTTTAATGTCGCTTTCCCAAGAGTAAGATAAGTGCTCCCTTTTAACCTGTCTTCTATATTTGAAGTCAAGTATGTTTAGTCCTTAAGTCTGGTTAAAGCAAATATGGGAACCAATTGTTTGTTCAAATAAGTCAATTACTACTAAGAACTATTGTGAATAGTTAATAATTATTTGGGGGCCACCTACAGACTTGTACCCTGAGAAAGGCAATTTACAAATTAGATCTCTGTGATTTGCAAAAGTGGTTCATTTTCTCTCTGCCCATTGGTAAATCAGGGCCACGGATTATTAGATTGTAATGGGCTAGCTTGCCATTAGCTTTAATACCACTATTTCTGCATTCTCTCACTAAGTTAACATGATTTCAATATTAAAATGAAGAATACTCTCATTAACCCAAACATAACATCAAGATTATTTGGTCAAAAATCAACTGGTTGTATATGTGCAGGTCTATTTTGTTCCATTTATCTATATGTCTATTTTTTCCCTAGTACCACATTTATTTAATTACTGTAGCTTTATTCTAAGTCTTGAAATCAGTATGAGTGTTCCAACTCTGTTCTTCCCTTTCAATTTATTTTTTCTAGCAATTCTAGGTGCTTTTTACTTCAACATAAATTTTAAAGTCAGCTTGTCAATTTCTACAAAACAGCCTGTAGAGGTTTCGATTGGGATTGGTCAAATCTACAGATGAACTTAGGGGAAACTGATATCTCATCAATATTAAATTCAATACACGGACATGATTTATTCCTCCATTGATGTATATATTTTAATTTCTCTCAGTAGTATTTTATAAATTTTCAGTGTATAAGCCTTAGATATATTTTATTTTAATTTATCCCTAAGTAGTTTAGATTTTTAAAGATATAAATAATCATTTAAAAATTTTTATTTTCCAATTTTTTGTGGCGATACATAGAAAAACAATTGATTCTCATACATTGGCCTTGTATCCTCCAACCTTGCTAAATTTACTTATTAGTTCCAGGAGAGTTTATTTATTTATTTTTAGGAAATGTACTACATACATGATTATATTTTCCTCACATAAAAATATCTTGAAACTAAAAAAAAAAGAAAAAAAATTAAACAAGATCAAAACATTTGAAAGGATACCTAACAAAAGAAGATCTATAAATACCCAATAAGCACATAAAAAGATGTTTAACAACATTAGTCATCAGGGAAGGCTAATTAAACTGACAAGAAAATACCAAAAAAAAGTCTGCTAGAATGGCGAATATTAAACATACTATAGTACTAAATGTTGATAGACCTTTGGAGCAACTGAAATGCTCATCAATGTTGGTGGGAGCACAAAATGATACTATTTCTTTTAAGAGTTTGCCAGTGTCTTATAAAATTATGTATATGCTTATGTGTATATGTATACATACATATTTATGTATGACCTAACAATTCTGCTTCTAGATATTCACCCAAGAGAAATGAAAATGTATGTCCACAAAAGGATTTGTACTCAGAAGTCCATATCAGCCTTACTCATGAGACCAAAACTGAAAAACCTCCTGTTCATCAATAGGTGAATGGATAATCAAATCAAATCAAACCTCCTGTTCATCAATAGGTGAATGGATAATCAAATTAATCAAATCAAATGGATAATCAAATGTATAATCAAAATGATAATCATACAATGGAAAACTATACAACGATAAAAAGGAACAAACTACTAATACGACAGCATGGGTGAGCCTCAAAATCATGCTTTGTGGAAAAGTATGTATTATATTATTTCATTTATATGAAATCCAAGAATAGGAAAAAAGTAACCTAAAATTATGGAAATTAGATCCATATAAAATGGCACAAGAGAACTTTTGGAGGTGACAGAAATATTCTATATCTTCCTTATGGTCATGGTTATGTTGTTACACATTTATCAAAACTCACTGAATTATATACTTTAAATGGATGCATTTTATTGTATGTAAATTATATAAATTACACTGCAATTACATTGAAAAAATTCATAATAAACATCCAAAGAAAATGACAAACTGAGAAGATTTGCAACACAGAAGGCAGATAAGTTTGTAATATGCAAAGAACTCTTAAAAAAGAATAAAAGGCCAGGCATGGTGGCTCATGCCTGTAATCCTAGCACTTTGGGAGGCTGAGGTGATAGGATCACTTGAGACTAGAAGTTTGAGACCAGCCTGGGCAACATAGGGAGACCCCAGTCTCTATTAAAAAATAAGAAAAATATCCAGGCATGGTGGCCCACTTCTGTAGTTCCAGCTACTTGGGAGGCTGAGGTGGGAGGATCACTTGAGCCTAGGAGGTTGAGGCTGCAGTGAGCCATAATCACACCACTGCACACAGCCTGGGCAACAGAGCAAGACACTGTCTCAAAACTAAACTAAACTAAATCAAAAAGAAAAAGATATACATACCGTTAAATAATTGTAAAACACCCAAAGGAGTAATTCATAAAAGAAGACATATAAACAGACAATAAATATGAAAAAGACTCCAACTCTTTAGAAATCAAGGAAATACAAATTAGTATACGACAATCTACAGTTAACCCTTGAACAGCATGGGTTTGGACTGTGCAGTTCCACTTACACGTGGATTTTTTCCAACCATAGATTGAAAATACAGTATTCATGGGATGCGAAACCTAACAGCCAAATTTTCCTGTCTGTGGATTCTGCAGGGTCGACTGTGGGACTCGAGTACGTGCAGATTTTGGTATAGCGGGCATCCTGGAACCAATCCCCAATGCATGCTGAGAGATTACTATAATTTATTATTTATAAAATTGATTATTTTTTTAAACTTAAACACCTGGGCTTGGTGCTTTGGGAAGGCAGAGAGAAAAAGGCACTTTCAGCTCTTTAGTAGGAATGTAAATTGGTACAATATTCTTGGAAGAAAACTTGTCAGTATATATGCAAACTCCTTTTGCTTTAACAGGATGCCTAGATGAAGGGGCTAGGGGTGGGCATGCCTGCATTCCCTCTTCAAATCACCTCTGGTGCAAAGATCCATAGGTTTATGCCTCTGTTATGTGTCTGTGTTCCAGAAAGCAAAATATAACCTTAACTTTAAATGTAACCATTATGTGCTTCTGTCCTGGGAAGTAAAATTTAATCTTAATCAGGGTAAACCAGTCTAGCACTGAAAGACCCCAAATCTCCAAAGCAACCAAGAATCAACTGAGAGTCTCTGGATATGCACCCTTCAAAAGACCAGAGGAGACCAACCCTTCATATCCTAGGCAGGCTCCAGGCTAAATCCTGAACAACTGCAGCACATTAGCCAGTGTGGGCTCACATGGGGCCCTGCCATTGTTAAGTGGTGCTCTCCTGCAGCTCAAGACTAGCACTGCTGGAGAGCAGGGGCTACCTGTAGTAATCAAGGTTCTCCTAGAGGGACAGAACTAATATGATATATGCAAACGCACCAATCCCCAACCCAAATACATATATGAACGGGAGTTGATTACATATTAACTTACATGATCACAAGGTCCCACAGTAGGTTGTCTGTAAGCTAATGAGTAGGGAGAGCCAGTCCGAGTCCCAAAACTGAAGAACTTGGAGTCTAAGGTTCAAAGGCAGGAAGCATCCAGCACAGGAGAAAGATGTAGGCTGGAAAACTAGGCCTGTCTCTCCTTTTCACGTTTTTTCTGCCTGCTTTATATCTGCTGGCAGCTGATTAGATTGTGCCCACCAGATTAAGGGTGGATCTGCCTCCCGCAGCCCACCGACTCAAATTATAATCTCTTTTGGCAACACCCTCACAGACACACCCAGAATCAATACTTGTATCCTTCAATCCAATTAAGTTGACACTCAGTATTAACCATCACACTACCTATTCACCAGGCTTGGCTCAATCGCTATGGCCAGGAGGATGGAGTAGTCTGATTGGCCAGCTGGGTTATATATCCTTGCCCCTATGGTAGAGGGCGACATAGTCAATCAAGTCCCATTGAGACCACATAGAGTAGGGCAGGAGTCCCCACAAGGGAAGGAATGATGGATATGCTTAAAAGATAGAGATGTTACCACAGAGGGCAAGGAGGCATTCTCTCACCTGCATGCTCAGGCTCCCTGACTCCCTCCTGGAGTCACCGGGCCATTTCCCTGTGTTACCTAAGGAGTATACCATCAAGTAAGTACACTTGATGTTGAGTCTCATGTGTTGCTTGTCATTCTATTATCCCCAAGAACTGGAAGAGATGGTCCCTCTTTCTCAGGTGTAGTGGGATCTGTCTTCCCTGCCGCGGGATCACAGGTGATGTGTGAGAAGAAAGACTGAGGACAGGCCACACCCAGAGGAAAACCTGGAGTCCTGGAAGGAGCCTATTTCAACCTAGGAACGTGCATGTGTGAAAAGAGTCGGCTACAGGTGGTTGTGCAAAGTTGGTAGAAGGTATTCCACCCACAGGCCACCCACCCAGGCTCCATCCACAGGCACTCAGAGCTCCAGAATCAACCAGATGTCCTTCTCCAGTTTATACAAATCTCTCCCTTCTTTAATTTCCTGCTGCAATTTGCACTGGCCTGCTAGTGACCTCCCAGTTGCTCTTGCATTGTTTTAGAAGAATTCAGCATGTCTCCTTAACTAGCAGGAAAGCCACAGGTTAAATACTACCTACTTCCTTAAGCCTCCCTTGATTACCCCAGCCTAGGATGATCTCTCTTTCCCCTTATCCCTATTTATACTGGCAGTCGACATTCTGCTTTGTGGCAGCTTTTCATTTGTTGACTTGAATCACTACATATTTTTAGCATCAGAGTTAATTCTTTGTGCATTCACACTTTCTCTCCCCACACGTTGTCTTCCATTTCTTTATATCTCCAGCTACATACAGCACCCAGTACCAGGCAATCTAGCCTAGTGGCTCAGAACCTGGGCTTGAGAGTCATACACCTGGGTATGAGTTCCAGCTCTGCCACTTACTAGCTGCATGACCCAGGACAAGTTATCTGCCTCTATCTGTCTTCTTTGTCTCTAAAATGAGGATAAAGGTAGCCCCTTCACTGGGTGGTTGCAAGGATCGAGATAAATGAGTGGCAAGTGTCCCACACAGTGCCAGCTATTAGTATGTAAGTGTCTGTAAATACCGTCTGATTGAATGGCTCTGATGGAGGAGGGGCAGTCAGTAACTAGAGAGAGGGATGCTCTAGAGCAGGGCTGGGAAGCCAGAGCACCCGTGGGAGGACCCCATGCTGTCCTAAACAGGGAGGCAGAAACCTGGTGACCTTAGGCAACAGACTCCATGGGACAGGTCAGAGTTTTGGTTAAGGGAAAGACATGTGGGGAACTGAGGTTTCATAACACAAATTAAGCTAGTAGAATATTACTAATTCATTCAGCAAGCATTTATTAAGCACCTATTGTATGCCAGGAAAATAAGATATTTTCTCCTTGGATATAGTTAAGAGAATAATAGCTAGAGTGTGTCCTCTATCCACATTTATCCATCACGCCTCTATGTGCATATATAGTTCGCCTCATGACTTATAGCCTGAATCGTTGTGATTGTCTCTTAACTAGTCTTCACAGCCACCCTCATGTTTTCTTTGCTAATCTATACAGAGCAGAGCTGGCCAAATGAGTTTTCTAAAATACCTGAACAATGTATTTCCTTTCTAATGTTTTAGTGGCTCTCACCTGCTGGGATGTCTGTCCCTTCTGGGTCCCCACACTCCGGTGTTTCACACCTCCAAGTATGTTTCAGACACAGTCTTCCTGTGTCTCAACCTAGCAAATATCTTTTTATTCTTTAAAAAACAGTTCAAGTATGAGTTACCCTGGGAAGCCTTTCATACCCATCAGAGCCACCCACTATATTTAAATAGAGTGAATTTAATGCATGGGATTGATTTTCCAGAGGATGAAAACATGGAGTCACCAACCAGGAGACAGTGAGACAGTTTTTTAGCACCAGTAAAAAACTGTTACCACCCAGAGGCTGGAGGGGCGATTAAAGAAAGTCACCAGAGCTCAGAAGCCATGATCACCCTGCTGAAGCTGGACCCCAGTGGACCTGTCTAGTGGGAAATGGACTCATGGGAGAGACCATATGCTTTTAAGATTTTGAAGATGCCACTCCAGGCAGAGAAAGGGGAGAGCTACCCTGACTTTCCTCTTCTCCCATCCTCCAGCCTGTCCCAGCACCTCCCACTGGCTGAAACAGCCAGCAGCCAGCTGACACTGAACCTGAAGGGGTTTCTACACCCCATCCCTTACCTCCCCACCCCATTCCTGCCTCCCCCAACTACCCAGAAAGTGGGTGAACAGAGGAAGAGTGAGGGGTGGAGCTCCTTCCTTTCCTGCCTCCCCTATGGTGATAGCCACCCTCTCTTCTCTCTTCTCTGCTCTCACTGTGATCCTGTTTTCTTGATAACACTGATTCTACTGGGCTGTGATCTCTCTGTTTATAAGCCTGTTCCTTACTAGATTGTGGAGTTCCACAGGGTAAGACAATGGCCTTATTCATCTTGGCATCCTCAGCTCTGGGCATAATTCACAGTATGTAATAGACAGCAGTACGTAATAGGCACTTAATCGTCCTTGGGTATCGATTGAAAGGAAATTCCTGGGGTCACCTCCAGCTAGCTCTCCTTCTCCATCTCCTTTTTCAATCTACCTACATTGACAGTCTGAACTCTCCTCAGCACTGAAGAATAAACAAGAAGGAGCTTGGGGTTCATTCCCCTCTCTGAGTCTGCAATCTAGGGCCTTATATTTAAATTCTCCCAACAACAAATCACAATAGTTAATTACACTCAGAGCACCAACAACCTATCAGCCTTCTACCTTCCCATAGCTACATGAACATTATCCACAGAAATTCCCCTGAATCTCAAAATATCTTCCCTCTACCACCCAAGATGTTTCTGGGCCACCTCTCTCTGCTGTTAATCAGTGCGTGCTCAGGGTAAACAAACTAATTTTAAAATCAGCTTAAGCAAAATATAATTAGGAAGATAAATTAGCTGCCCCCCAAATTGCATAATGAATGCCCAAGCAGCAATTATTTTTATTATCCACCATTTTTTATTATCTATGTAACATTTTCCCTTCCGTCATTACAGATGATACTTAGCTGACAGCAGAGAGAAATAACACAGGACTTAACTTCTGGCCTTGATAATATATCTATACAATAATTACCAGGGGAAAAATACCTGGCTTTTGTTTTTCTTATCTTGAATTTATAACACCAGCCTAGTGGTATAGCAAGAAGGTACAGAGAAAAATACCCCTGATACCAGAGTCAAACAGCCAGGGTTCAACTCTTCGTTCTGATTTATTGCTATACCATCATCGGCAAGTTAGGCAACCTCTGAGAAATCAGTTTCTCTACATGTAAAATGAGGGTGATGACAGCACCTACCTCAGTGATGATGACAGCCAACACACGCTTACTCCATGGTTCTAACCGCTTCACACGAATTCATACCTTTCATCTTTACCACAAGCTCAGGAAATACACACTATTATTCTTTGCACATAAGGAAACAGACACAGAGAGATTAAGTAATTTGCTCAAAGGGATATTGTGAAAATTGGGTGTAGTAACTGATCTTTATAGAAATGAGTCTTTTAACAAAGCTCTCTGGTCAAGAGGCCTGGATCCTACACTCCTAGCTCAGCATTTACTGCTCTCTGTTTTAGTATCTGCCTATATGAAATGTCAGACGACAGCAGCTGTCAGTTGGTGGCCTATGGGGCGGACCTGCCTGCGGCTACATTGTGTTGCATTGCATAGTGTTTACATTTTAAAAAGTAGTTGCAGTGTTAAAAATCAGATTTCCCTCTATTTCTCCCTTCTCATTTTTCTCTCTCTCCACACATACTCATGGGTGAACATGTGTGGGCACAGACATAGAGAGAAGAGAGAAAAAGAGAGAGAGAGAGGAGGGAGAGAGAGGGAGGGAGATTTCAAGCTTTTCTTGAAAACAGGCCCATCTGGCCACATGGGCTGTTATTCCCACGGGCAACATTGAGCCAAGGCCACCTCCTTTTACAAGAGGCAAATATGCCCCAATTTGCCATAGTCCCCATTTCTCACACTTGCGCAGACACTTAAGTCTGCAACATCCAGACTCAATGATCACTAAGGTCTCTCCCTGCCACCGCTGAGAGTCCATGATTCTTTGACAACTTAACAGAGTTTCCCAAAGGAAGAATCCACTGCAGGGCACCATAGATTTTTACTGAATGTTTCTGTCGCATAGGGTGACCAGTTCATCCCAGTTTAACTGGGACTTTCCCCTTTTCAGATGGAAAGTACTGCACCCCAGGAAATTCCTCAGTCCCAGGAAAACCGGGTTAGTTGACCTATGTGTCACGTCACAAGGTCACCTCTAAGGTGGGCCCTCCCATCTGGGAGATGATGATGCTATACTGCATCCTAGTAGTCCTGAGTCTCACTGGGCAACTCCTGTGGTACAAGGATGGCATGCCTAGTATCCCCACCCCACAGTATATATGCAGGGGATGTGGGCAGGCCAAATGCAGAGGACCTTAACCTGGTTCCCAGTTTCATGACCGATTCTCCTGACGGGCCTCTGCATGATCTTAGGTAGGTCACTCAGTCTCTGGCCTCTCTGCCCTGCCATTCATTCATGCAACAAATATTTATTAAATGTCTTCCCTGTGCCAAGCGCCATGCTAGGCAATGAGGATAAAGCAGTGAATGAGCAAGAACAAGGTATTTGCCCTTAGAGAACTCACATCTAGAAAAGGAAAGACAGGAAAATGAGCTAATAATATCTGATAGCATTTCAGATAGTGATAATCCCATAAAGAAACCATCAGCCATATGAGAAAAGCAGTCAATGTGGCTACAGGACCATCAGCAATTTGGGTGAGAGGCAAGAAGTACCAGAAATGAGTCAGAATTTCACTTGGCCTCCCATTTTGAACAATATGAAATTCTTTAGGGTTTTGTAACTCAAGGGATATATGTAACAATTCAGTTTTTCAATTATGAAATGTTTCTTCCTTAGCAAAAAAAGCTTTATGGCTACAATCCATATCAATATCAAATGTGGTTCTTATACAGATGGGTTGGAAATTTATCAAGTCAAATCCACCCAAACAATAGCAAAAGGATTGAGAAAAGAGAGAGGCCAAGCTTATTAGCAAATCGGACAACATTTTTTTAAAAGTACAGCTGGGCCGGGCATGGTGGCTCATGCCTGTAATCCCAACACTTTGGGAGGCTGAGGCAGGTGGATCACTTGAGGTCAGGAGTTCAAGACCAGCCTGGCCAACATGGTGAAACCCCGTCTCTACTAAAAATATAAAAATTAGCCAGGCATGGTGGCAGGCACCTGTAATCCCAGCTACTCCGGAGGCTGAGGCAGGAGAATCACTTGAATCTGGGAGGCGGAGGTTGCAGTGAGCTGAGATCATACCACTGCACTCCAGCCTGGGTGACAGAGTGAGACTCCGTCTCAAAAAAAAAAAAAAAAAAAAGAGTAAAGCTGGAGTCAGGGGCCCACGTGCTAAAGCCAGAAGCAGAAAAGTAAATAAGTAAGTAAATAAACTGTCCAATATCTATCCCCAGCCCTCCCCCTAGAACCTGTGTACTGCTTCAATGAAGGAAGTGACCATGTTATAACAAATTAAGTAAAAGACACTATTACAGTATGACATTCATTCATTGCACAAATAGGTATTGAGCACTTGCTATATGCCAAGACTGTTATCACAAATAATGAAAGAAGGTGATACTTGGGAAGTTCAGCATATTTGTCCATATTTAAAATAACCCTTTTTTTAAATTATAAAACAATAAATTGCCTTTTATAATTCTTAAGCTTAAAAGGTAATAAAAGCCCTCCTTTAAGTCAGGGTTTCTCCACCTTGGCACACTGACATTTGGGGTGAGTAATGCTTTGCCATGAGGGGCTGTCCTATGCTTTGTAGGATGCTCAGCAGCATCCCTGGCCTCCACTCACCAGATGCCCATAGCACCACCTCCCTTATTCCCCTCCCAAGTCATTACCATGAAAAATCCCTCCAAGTGTTGCAAATATCCCCTGGGAGGGGAATCACCTCTGGTTGAGAACTGCAACTTTAAGCAATTCATTTTCTCTCACAATTGGGACTCAGACGTGTAGGCACTGGGAAAGGCTCCCTTCTTCCTCCATGCAAATAAGCAGGAGATTCTCTCCTGGAAGAGCCCTTACACTCCCCTTCCCATCCTCAATGCTAAGACTCAGTCCTCTCAAGAAAAGCAGTGCTATCCCAGGTCCGGCTGCGGAGGTGAGGGTGAGGGCGAGGGCAGGGTTGGGTGGGCAGGCTCAGCCTCTGTGAAGGGGATCAGTGAGCGTCTGGAGCTTATGTGGTGTGTGCGTCATGCTGCCCATCCAGGCCGTGCCCCAGACTTGCATTCCTCTAAATGAGCTTTGTTAACAATGCTGGAGAAAAAGCTGCTTCTGTGTGGGGCTTACACACCCACATGTAAGTCCAACAGTCTGTGGCTTTTCTAAGCCAGGTATATTAAAACTGCCCCGTCCTTCTTCAGCTTTGTGGCAAGTGAGTCTCCAGAGCTGGGTGCAGGAGATGCCTGCCTGGCCACTCCCCGCCATAAGGACTTTACAAAGAGTCCATTGTGCACAGCGTAATCTAAGATAGAATCAGCGCACCCCACTGGGCTGCTTACCCCCAGCTTTGGCTGGTTGCACAGAAGTAAACATTTTCAGTTGATAAAAAATGTCATTGCGAACTCAAGTCAGGCACAGCATTTTTAGATACCTAGAACCTGGGTCCTGGCTGCTTGGAACAAGAAGAAAATTTGTGTTGTGAGTTATCACTTAGTGACTCAGGTTCAGTGGTCCCCAGTCACAGAAAAGAGAGGCCAAACGGATCTGAATTCCACCTGTATTCATTCATTTGATAAATATCCATTGAGTCCCTACTGTATGCCCAGCATTGGGCTCTACCCCTGGGGAGAACTTAGCTTTAGATGGACTCTTTCAGGGTTCACACATTCAGAAGCTTCCAGAGTCTGATAGTAACCTAAAAGGGGGGTTGGGGAGGGGGAGCAGTGCTTATGCCCATCTGAAGGGGCCCTCTCCTCAGCTTCAGCAGCCTGTTACCATAATGGTCTTCAAGCCCAGTTTTACCAGATCTTCTTAATTTTCAAGAGAAACTAGAAAACAGAATTTTTACATGAAATCTTTTAAGCATAGGCTGAAATTTTAAAAGAAAAACAAAACAAACCGCCCTGCATGGATAATACCAAACCAGTCCCTAAGCCTTCAAATAACTTTTGCTTTAGAGACAGTGGGGAGTGGTGGTGAAGTGAGCTGTCTGGAAGGAGTGAGAAGGGTATCTTTTCTCCCCCTTGCTTGCTTCATGATCTTAGGCATGTTATCTAACCTCTCCATGCCTTGTGTTCCTCATGTATAAAATGAGCATGATAAAGCATATTGTAGATTTAAATAAAAGAATATGTGCACATGCCTGAGCCATAATAACTCAATAAATGTGAGCTATGATTTTTGCTGGCCATCAGGTCCACTCTCCCAAGAACCTCTTTTTATAACATTCTTGACTGTTGAACATTCAACCACTGCTTATGCACCTCCTGAGACAGGAAGATCATGGCTTCTTAGGGAATGTCAGTTGTATAAAAATCCCTGAGTCTCAATAGCTTAATCTAATATGTGTTTATTGATTGCCCATGCCCCAGTTCACTGTGGTCAATAGTGCTCTGTTCCATCCTATGCCTGGTGGATCCATACCCTCTCTCTGCTGGCTCTGCCATCCCCCAGGACCTTCCCAGAATCCTCTGCTGGGTTCTCTGCTTTCAGCTAGCTGAGAGGGAGAGAGAGAAAGAGACAGAATGAATGAATCAGGAGCATCACATATCACATCTGCACATTCCCATTTGCCAGAACCCTGTTACATGGCCCCAATCTACTTATAAAGGAGGCTAGGACATGAAGTGTTCCTGTATGTCCAGAAACAGAACAGAGAAAACAGCATTGATGAACATCTAGACAATCTCTGCCACACACTGCATTCATATAAACACAATTCTATGGATTTAGAATGTCTACCTGCTGGTCTCTGTTTTGCCCTTCAAAGCAAAACACACAGCAGCAAGACACAGGTTAGGGGGCAGACAGGCTTGGATTTGAATCCTAGTTCCAATACCTGTTAGCTTTGGACCTTGGCAAATTCCTTAATCATCTGTGTCTCAGTTTTCTTATTTGAAAAATAAGGGTAGTTCTCATTGCCTCTGGGTTGCTGTAAGGATGGAATAAATACACTTCATAGTAGCTAGTATATAACCTGGAAGGTGCTCAGTTAAAACCAGTGTCTCCTTTGGTCCTCTTATATCTGATTACTTTGCAGGTATTTAAAGATGACTATGATTATTCCTGTAAGTTTTCTCTTTTTCTAATTTTCTCAGCTATTTTCACTGCTTTTATATTACATCGTTGCAGGACCTCTCACTCTCCTAATGACTGTTTCAAAGATGTACCCTAGTTTGTCCCTTGACAAACTGCCTTAGTTTGGGTTTCTCTAGAAGACCTTGAGACAAGGACTTGGGTGCAGATCATTTAGAGGGAAGTAGTCTTAGGAAACAGAAGTGAAGGGAAAGAGGAAGGGAGAAAAGTTAATAAATGAGTGGGTTACAGTTGTATGCAGCTGGGATTCAATTCCATTGGGAACTCTGAGAAACCATGTTGCAAGCATCTTGGATAGTCACACATTCTATGTCCTGCAGGATGGGGGAGCTGGGGCATTAATCCATGAAATCCTGTTCCCATCGACTGAGGGCTTCTATCAACTAAGGAGTATTACCTTGAAAATATGGGTTGGGTCTACATATAGCTCAGCAGGCTTCCCTGACCTCCAGAAAGCAAAACAGAAAGACACTGTGATATGAGCTTATATGGACACTGGTAAAGTGCAAGGCAAAGTTCACCACAGCTACACTGGAATCTGGTGGCTGGAGGATGTGGCTCAGTGCATCATAAGCTCTGCTACACGTCCTCTAGCAAGAGTGTCTGGAAGAATTTACCCCACATGCTCATAAATATTGTGTCCGAATGTAGGGATTATGGTAATAGTTACTTTATCTTTTTAATTTTTTTCATTTCCTCAAGGAAACTGTGATGGTCAGTAATAAATACTGTGATCCAGGTGAGGGTTTGACCAATACAGAACAGAAGACATAATAGCTCATTAAAAGCAGACTGAGAGTAAAGGAAGAATTAAAACTGCTTCTATTTGCAGATGGCATAATCTTGCGTATAGAAAACACCAAGGAATCTATACACAAAATATCTAGAACTAATCGAAGAATTTAGCAAAGCTGCAGGATCTAAGATCAGTATTTTAAAAATCTATTGTATTTGTATATATCAGCAATGTCAAGCCCAAAAAATAAAATTAAAAAAATTCTATTCACAAAGCCTCAAAAAGAATAAACAGAAATAAATGTAATAAAAGTTTAAGACTTGTACGCTAAAAATTGTGAAACGTTACTAAGAAAAATTAATGAAGATTTAAATAAATGGAGACATTCCCTGTCCATGGATTGGAAGACTCAAGCTTGTCAAGATGGCAATTCCCCCCTCAAATAGATCTATAGGTTCAACACAATTCCTATCAAAACTCCAGCAAGCATTTTTGTAAAACTTCACACATACATCCTAAAATTTGTATCAAAATGCAAAGTACAGCCAAAACTATTCTGAAAACTAAGAACAAAATTGAAAGACTTCTATCACCCAATTTCAAAATTTACTACAAAGCCACATGAATACACTGTGATATTGATGTAAGCATAGACATATCCTTAGAGATGAATGGAGAAGAACTGAGAGTTCAGATATAAACGCTTGCATTTATGGTCAATTGATTTTTGACACAGGTGCCAAAAAAATCAATGGGGAAAGGATAGTCTTTTCTCAGCAAGTGATCCTGGAACCATTGTACATCCACATGTACGAATATGAACTTAGGCCCTTCTCTCACATCATATGCAAAAAATGAATTAAAAATGGATCACAGGCCTATATAGAAGAGTTAAAACTGCAAAACTTCTGGAAGAAAATACCTTGGTAACTTTGAGTTGGGTAAAGAGTTCTTAGATACGACACAAAAATCATGACAGTTAAAGGAAGAAGTGATACATTAGACTTCATCAAAATCAAACTTTTGCACTTCAAAAGATCATTAAGAAAAAAATGTTGAAAAACAAGCTCTAGGTTGAGAAAATATTCAAAAATCCTAGACTTGATAAAGGACTTTTGCACAGAATAAAGAAAAAACTCTTACAACTGAATAATAAGAAAAACAACTCGATTTTTAAATGGGCAGAAGATTTGAATAGCCATTTCACTAAAGAATGTACATAAATGGCTAACAAGCATATGCAAAGATGCACAATATCATTAGTCATTAGGGAGACACAAATTAAAACCACGATAAGATATCACTACATCCCCACTAAAATAGTTATGATGTAAAAGAGAGACAATACCAAATGTTGGTGAGGATGTGGGAAAATTGAAACCATCATATATTGTTGATAAGAACGTAAAATGGCCCGTTCATGTTAGAAAACAGTTTGACAGTTTCTTTAAAAGTTAAACATACATTTACCATACAATCTAGTGATTCCACTCATAGGAACCTACCCAAGAGAAAGAAAAGCATGTCCACACAAAACTGTACATGAATGTTTACAGCAACATTATTCATTACAGTCAAAATCAGGAAACAACCCAAATTTCCATTAACTGATGAATGAATAAGCACAGTGTAATATGAGCAGATAAGAGAATACTCCACACAGCAGCCAGGGTGAACTTTTGAGATTACAAACTTGATCTGTGATATTAAGGTTAAAAGACAAATGAGACAATTGTAGCAAGTTTGTTAACAGTTTTAAAGTATTTGACTATATAAGTGTATATAATGTCTTGTCTTGGTACCTGTGTAAGTCATTTTGGAACTGATACACATTGTTGCTGACCTGCTGACTTGCTTCTTTGGTATGAAGCAGCATCTGGGCTTGCAATTTCTCTACTTCCCTGAATTCTCTTTCAGTTTTTCTGACTCCTAAGCCAGGTGTATGTGTTTAGCTCCATAATGAAGGACTCCAGCTTCTGTGGAGTCTGGCTCATATTCATGAGACAATAGCCTTTTTCTGATCTTCATTTCCTGCCTGCGGACTTCAGAGATTTGGCTGGGGTCAGATCTGCTCCCAAGCTCATGTGGCTTTTAGAACATTCAGTTTCTTGCAGGTTGTCAGACTGAGGACCTCATTTTCTTGCCGTCAGTTGGAGGCTGCCTTCAGCTCCTATGCTATATGGCCCTCTTCACATGGCAACTTGCTTTTTCAAAGACAGCAAGGGAGAGAGAATCTCCTGGAAAGATGGATTAGAACATTTTTTTACTAATAAAAAAATTGTATTTACTTAGAAGCATTCAGAATTCAGAATGTCAACAAAACAGCTGCCACTTTTTTTTTTGCAATTACAGAGTGGTATTCAGTTAACAAAACAACAATTATTTCATATAAGCTGCATCAGAGACAAGTGAAAATAAAAAATCTACCATCCCCATGTATAACTAATTTGTGCTGTGCACTAAGAAGAACCTGCTTTAAATTTCCTTGCCAGTTTACAACCCCCATACTGTATCAGGCAAGGTTAGTGCCCATTGAAAATACACCAGGACAGGGCTATCTAAAGCCACATTCAGTAGTGTGTTAACTATACAAAAAAGACACTGTGCAGTTTAAAAACAAATGTTACACAGCCTTACATCTCAATGTCTTTCTTTAAAAGGAGTTGTAAACAGGGGGTTTAAATGCTTTCTAGACAAGAAAAAAAACTGTGCTAGAACCAACTTACTCATTATCATCATCATCATCATCTTCATCTTCCTCTTCTTCCTTTTTTTGCTTTTTTTAGCCGTGACAACTCCCTTTTTTGCTGCATCAGGCTTTCCTTTAGCTCAGTATGAGGCAATATCCTTTTCATATTTTTCCTTCAGCTTCACAGCCTTCTTTTCATAAGGCTGCTTATCATCTGAGGCAGTGCCCTTCCACATCTCTTCCAATTTCTTTACAACTCACCAATGGATAGGCCAGGATGTTCTCCTTTGATTTTCGGGCAATACTCAGAACAGAACAAGAAAACAGCCAAAGAATGCCTCTTGGGTGCATTGGGATCCTTGAACTACTTTTTCGTCCTAAAGGGGATCTTTAGGAGGGATATAGGTTTTCATCTGTCTTTCATAACGAGCCTTGTTCGCCTTTGCCATGTCTTCAAATTTCCCTTTCTCTTTAGCAGACATGGTCTTGCACCTCTCTGAGCACTTCCTAGAAAACTGAGAAGTTGACTGAACCATCTGGGTGCTTCTTCTTATGCGCCTCCTGACAAGTTTGCCAAAGAATGCATATAATAACACCTTGCCTCTCAGGTTCCATGGATCTCTTTTGCCCATGTTTAGTTATTTTTCCTCAGTGAGGCACAGAGCTTTCCAGTACCCACCTGGCTCTCACTTGCCCCCGTGCTCTCTCTATGCAGCTCAATGTACTCAGAATCTTATATAATATAATCATGTAAACATAATCACATATATCTCATCATTTTTTGCCAAATTCTACTAGTTAGAAGCAAATCACAGGTTCCATCCACACTCATGGCGAGATCCCACAAGGGTGAAACCAGGAGGTGGGGATTGTGGGAGCTACCCTAGCATCTGTCCTCAGTTCACCCTTTTGGCCTCCAATGATTTGTGTCCCTCTCACACACAAAATACATTTACTATTTCCCAAGGTCCCTGAGAACCTCATATCATTACAGCATCTGCTTGAAGTCCAGCATCTCATCATTTAAATCAGGTCCAGGTATGCATGAGGCTCCTTGAGCGTAGTTCCTCTCAATCTATAAAACTAAAGACAAATCGTCTTGCTCCTAATGCACAATGAAGGAATGAATATAGTAAAATAGTTATAGACATTTCTAGTTAAAAAGAGAAGGAGAGGTGGGCAATGGAAGATAAAAAGGAGTTACAGTCCAAAGCAGTTTTAAAACCCAGCCTAGCAAACTTCAGTCAGAATTCTTTGATTAGATTTCAAGGGCTGGGAATAATTCACCATAGCTCTTGGTTCCACCCTCTGAGTCATCTTTCCTTTTTTCATGAAAAGTAGCACATGTTTGCAGCTGAGTAGTTTTATCATTCTGCTTCCTGCCAGTAGAATTTTGGAGATCTAACAGCCTCCTTTCATTTTGTACTCTTTCCGTCCCTTTCAGTTTAAGTTGGCAGTGTTTTTGCTGAAATACTTTTCTTAAATACTTTGTGGGTCTCCAGTAAATTTCCCTTTACATAAAGGCCACATCCAAGGTTCTTTTTGAGCTAGGCCCCCTTCTACCTTGAGTTCCTGCTGAGATGGTTGAAAGATAACTCAATTAAGCTTCCAAAAGGTCCTATTATTTGAGAGGTTCTGTGAGATACACCATTAATCTCTGGAGAGGGCCCTTTGTATGACTGAATACTACTCTGATCCCTTAATCTTCCTGAGATTTTAACAAAAGCTTGTACAATCACTACTTAGCTTTTTCTCTAGGCCAGGACTTATCTCTATGCCACAAGCTCAAAAGTGATTTCTTAATTTTAACATCTTTTGCCATCTGGAGAGACTGAGAATTTTCAGAATCATCTTTGATTCCTTTTTGTTTAACAGTTCTTCCCTCGATTTATCACTCTCCTCTTGCATTTTACTATAAGCACCAAGAAGAAACCAGGTGGTACCTTCAACACTTTGCTTGGAAATCTTTTTAGCTATATTTCATCACTTTGTATATGTATCATTGTGATGATTCATTTGTGTGTTTCTGCTTTTAAGGCATTTGTAGCATTTAAAAGACTTAGATATAGGATATTTGTGATTTTAGAAGTATATATATATTATACACTATATATTACATATATTTAGGATAATCAATTAGTTTATAAACTAATATTTAGATATTTGGAAAATGTCACATTTGTTAAATGCATAAGTTTTCATTTTTAGTCGTTTAGGGAGTATTTGAATTTTTAGGAGAATACTGTTTATTAAATAATTAATAAAGATGTAAGCAGACTACAAATAGCAGTGATTGTGCCTCTCTACACACAGAGGCCTCTCAGACATTGAAGAATTTAATCAGATGTAAACATTCCAGAAAGATTCATGGGGGTGATATTGAAATCAGGGGAACTTAGAACCTGAGAGCCAGGCCTGGCTATCAGTTGCTGCTTCGGTGAAGAGAATGGACGGCGGCCTTGCAACGCTGCTGCCCTGACTCCCTCTAGTGGTTCGGTCTGCAAAGACTGCCTTTCCTGATCACCAAGAGAAAAAATCTTTTGCTAGGTCATCTCTCTCCAAAAAGTTTCATTTGCTTGGTGAGACAAAAAAAAAAAGCTCAAAAATTCTTCCTCCAACATTTTTATATATATCTAGTCTTCATACAAACATTTCCTATATAACCAAGTATCACCACCTACTTTGAACATCTTTAATGATTATAAAATGCTTCCTTCTTTTCAGCGGACACCGTCCCTATGACTCGTACTCATTGGTCCTGTATTTACCGTTTGGAGCCACGCAATTTTCACTGCTCTTCCACCTGACAGCACTTCAAATCTTTGAAAACTTTGAAAACAGCTTCTTGTCCCCGCTGCAACTTATCTTCTTCAGGCCAACACACGTTGTTCATTCAACTGCTCCTTCTTTGACCCAGTTTCCAGATTCTTCTGTCCCCATTGCTCCCCTCTGGAGGCACTCCAATTTCTCAACAGCCCCTGGAGACATCCTGACTGCCAAGACCTGGACCCAGTGCCTGAGATGTGGTCCTACTGCCCCACAGAGCAGTGGGGCTGACACTACCCTCCTCCTGGACACTTCTCTTGTGAATCCATGCTCTTTTGAGCAGATTTACAAAATAATGGACCAAAGGCTGAGATTTCTCATGTCTGGATTCTTCTCGTATGAGGCAACTTCACGTTTGCTTTACCCTCCATGTAGCCAGGAAACATTTTCTGTTCTTGGACCGAACTTAGTTTCCCAAATACTGATGTATGCAAACAACTTCAAGCAGACCAGGGCTGTGTGAACTTGGACTGCCACTGATCAGAGCGCTAAAAAAAAAAAAAAAAAAAAAAAATCCCTCAAGAAGGACCACTCCCTTATGAGATTGAGGCTTGGGAGCTTGAGAATGCACCTCTCATCTTCAAGCTGGGGACATCTGACTAGCCTAAATCCCCTCTGCTGCTGTTTAAACTCATTTCCTCTAATATTGCCCTCTGTGGACAAGAAGAAAAAAGACTTGATGTCAATAATGTAACATCGTTTTATAGTTTGAAGACTGATACACCTCTCTCCTCTGAATGAATGTAGACATTTCCCTAAAGGGCTATTTTTCAAAACCTTTCATCAGTTACTTTGTCTCCCCTGGCTCCTTTCCAATTTCTCCATAACATCTTCCACTTATGGGCCCCAAGACTGAACAGTATGTTTTAATGACTGATATTGGCTATAGATTAAGAATTATATCTGTGAAAATATTTCCATTATAACATAGCTCATTGTTACAAAGATCTACACATGTAAGAAATCCCTGGCGTATAACAGGTTACATTTCAAAACTTTCTTTGTAGATCAATTATTTGGTATTTGGGCACATTTTTCCATAAAAACAATGTTATATCTTGTATTTGGACTCTGAGCCTAGCAAACAAGAGCCAGTTTAATCCACAGAGCAATAATGATATCAGGTTGAATTTCAAGAACAGGAGTTCTCCGATGTTGAGAATAGAAGACGCAAGATGATGGGAATCTCTTCCTCCAGTTTCTCATCAGGGAGCCGCACATAGGGAACATTAGGAAAGGGATGGCTATTAACTTTGGGTGTCTTCTCACATTCTTTTCTGGCCCTCCCCACCTCCTTGGGTTCTGGTTCCCGATATCCTAGGGTTCCCCGAAGTCTCCTAGGGTGCTGCCTCACTCAGATCTTCCCACAGTCCCCAACTCTCCATGCCTCAATACATCTTAGCTCCTCTCTCTTATGATCCAAACACACATTTCCTTAATGAAGCTAAGTTTGGGAGAGGGTTAGGATGACAAGCTTTCCTTGAACCAGCTGCCATTGAGTAAATTCTGAGCAAAGCGTCTGTTTTTAAATGAGTAGCTTACTTATCCAAAAGACTCTCATCTGTGCAGTTTCAGGCACTGCCACAAAATTAAAAAAAAAAAAAGATTACATGAAGGGAATAATTTGGGGAATGTGGAAGCCATTATAATAAGTGTGCTTATTCTTCCTGCTTGGGAATCTATCCCAAATGGTACCTGCTTTCCACAGATTCCCTCCTTTCCCCCTTTCTGAATCACAGATTATATGCCCCAGATTGTTTTCAGCAGTTCCAAGATTTTTAAAATTGTTTTTATCTTGAGAAATTACTGAATTAAGGCAGATAGACAACCCCCTGCCACCAGAAGAGTACATACTGTAGGATGCCATTTATATAAAACTAATCTATAGTGATAGAAAACAAATTGTTTAAGCAAAAAATGGATTACAAAAGGGCCTGAGAAAACTGTGGGAGGAAACAAATGTTGATTGTGGTAAAGATTCCATGGGTACGTACACTTGTCAAAACTTATCACATTGTGTACTTTAAATAAGTGCAGTTTAGTGTACATCAATTATACTCAATAAAGTTGTAAAAAAGAGAAATGCAACCAATATGCAAAAAGACTAATTGGCATTTATTAACAGCTCATATTTGCCTCAAGGATTGTTTATAAAAAATGAACTAAATAAAACAGATAAAAGTGACATCCCCAGACACAGTTCCAGTTCTTTACTGCAACCTCCAGAAGCAAGTAGCATGAATTTAGTGTATATCCAAATCAGTCCACTGGTAATAATTTTACATACATATATAGTCTTAATATAATGTATTATTTCTGTGTTTTTAAAATTTATATCAATGACATGCACATTTTATTCCATGAATCTCTTTTCTTTACATTATGTTACGTGTTGGTATTATATAGATACTTTATACATGGATATATTATGTTATATATGGGAACAATCCATTCCTTCTAATGGCCATTATAACAATTCATATCCTAATAGAATATTATGGTAATTCATATCAAAATAGAACGTGAATATGTTACATTTTATTTATAAATTCTCTCTTTGATAGGCATTTCAGTTGTTTCTAAGGTTTCATAATTATAAGCAATATTGCAATAAGCTAAGGTTTTCAAAACAAATGTCATGGTATTGGCGGTAGGAGTTACTGGGTAGTAGCCACCTGGTAGGTATATAGATAGGTCTTCTATGAGTCAGATATTGGTAAAGTAGAATGTCCTGTTTCAAGGATCCATGGACTGCACAAAAATAGCCAAAGTTGAATAAGACCCTGTCTTTAAATTCCAGAACAACAAAGTGGTGCTATTATGTATCCTGCAGAGTTGGAGATGATTCAGAGGACAATTCCAATGCCCCATAGAGTTTAAATCTGACTTGGATACAGTTGAGATTCAAAGCAGATGACCTCCCACAAAGCAGGTGGGTTAGATGCCTTTAGCAATAGGCCAAAGCAACTCAACTCTATCTGTTGCTGTTTAAAGCCTTCTTGAAGGTCGTTAATGTTAAATGAGCACCAGAAAATGTATATTCATTGCTTCTAGGTTACTATGTTTGATACATATGTATTAAATCTACCTTGTTTATAGTATTAGATCCCTCTTTTGTGCTTAATTTTTACTCTCTTGATTTGGTAAAGGTTCAAGGTAGCATGTTAAAGCATCCCATTGCTATTATGTTTCTAACAATTTTTCTAAAAACAAACATATACCAATTCCCAAAATT
Organism: Homo sapiens; assembly: GCF_000001405.40. Taxonomy (NCBI): domain Eukaryota; kingdom Metazoa; phylum Chordata; class Mammalia; order Primates; family Hominidae; genus Homo; species Homo sapiens. The sequence continues at coordinate 77,141,138 of NC_000005.10, read as the reverse complement.
TATAGCTTTGTTATAATTTTAGAATATTGAAAGGTAAAATTCATATCTCAAAAGTATAGAGAAGAGAACTTCTAGCAATATAGTGGACTGAGATTATATAGAAGAATTCCCTCTTCAGTTACTGTTACAGGGAAACACAGAGAAAATTTTTTTATATATCTATATATACACATGTATATGAGTACAAATATGTACACACACACATACATGTATGTGTATATATACGTACATGTGTATGTATATATACGGTGGATGTACCTGACAGCAATAACTTAAGCATACTCTGTACAGCAGCCTGTATGGCAAACACATCTGACAGCAATAACTTAGCCTAGGAAATGGGGGTTGCCATGTGGATGTTGCTGGAGAGAGGGTGCTGAGTGAAGGTGCTGTATAAACTGCAGGCTTTTGGAAAGCAGTTGTGGTTCTCTTATCCAGCCCACTGCCACTAGTCCATCCCTGTACATAAGTTCCCCCAAATCAAATCTTATGTCTCATTTGCTGGCTCCAGGTCTCTTCTTTGGCCTCTTGAACCTGGTGCCATTCCTATTGGAGTCAATAGGGGTCCAGCACAACAATCTCTAGACAGAGAGAAAGGGAAATCCCCAGATTCTAGAAACAAAGAGGGAGCTCAGAGGCTGGGCAGTAAGTAGGGGCTAATGTCACTGTAGCCTCTGCAGGGTTTGGACCAATGATAGGCCCTGGAGATCTGGGGATTTTAACACCCTTGGGATTTTAACACCCTTGCAGGCCAATAAAATATTGTCTCTGGTGTGAGTAAGGAAGGCAACTGGAATTGAGCACTTTGCAAAATCTGAGTTCCTGAGGGCTACAGTGTTGGCAAAAACAAATCAGGAAAAAAAGCTCCCGTGTCCTTGGGCTATAGGTTTAAAAAAATAAAAATAAATTTAAAAAAAGGTCATACAGAAAAACTTGAAGCCAAGCCCATGCCATGCATTGAAGTGAGCTCTGAATTTTCACTGTGGGCAGAAATACCAAGAAACATTAGAGCTGGTTGAGAGTTGGTGATATCGGTAGGATGCCATCAGAAGCAAACTTGCAGGCATAGTGAAGTGACAATCACATTACCCAAGGCATACAGATCTTCACCAGAGGGGAGAAATCCCTGCTGAAAATAAGCTCATAATAAAAATTACAAACCATAGGAGGAAACCACCTTGAGGGTCAGATCATGAAATTAACAGAAAAAGTAATGCCCAAGAAGTAAAGAAACAGATCAAGCCACAGATGATTATAAAATAAGTACATTTTAAATGATTTACAAGGGCAAAGGAAAATACAAATTAAAAAACAGAAAAACATGTGAAAACAAAATGCAGATTTAGAAAATAACCAAATAGTTCTTTTATAAATGAAACTTATAGCCACTGAAACTTAAAACTAAATAGAAATATTTAATGGTTGAATAGAAAATAAGCAAACTGGAACTAAGGAAATGACTCAAAATGTAACACGGAAGTAAAAATGGAAAAACAATGAATGAAAGTTTAAGATCACAAAAGACAGAACCAGAAATGACAGAAAAGACATCCACTAGGAGTTTTGGAATGAGTGAATAGAAAATGGGAAAGAAGTAATATTTGAAGTGACAGTGACCGAGAATTTTCTCAGATTTGACAAGACAGGAATTCCTAGATTGACAAGTACACTGTATTGATACCTACTGCTGTATAACAAACCATCCCAGCATTTAGTGGATTAAAACAACCACCATTTATTTAACTGGCAGTTCAGTGGGTGAGCAACTTGGGCCTGGTTCAGCTGAGAGGTTCTCTTGGGCTTGAGAATGGGTTTACTCACACATTGGTAGTCATCTGGCAGATGCAGTCAGCAGGCCACGGCCTGGCTCCTGCTGGCCTAGCAAGAAATAAAGGGGAAGAGAAGGAGCCTCAGTCCAGGGGGGCTCCCTGCAGAGAATGCTCTGTTTCGCTTAGCAACCATCATGCCACAGACAAGTTACTCTGGCAGTGACCCAAGACCTCTGTGTTCTAACTTAATGTGCTGGGGTATAGCGTGTTCTGCCCTTTTACACAGATTGTGACAGATGTTGACTAACTGGGAACGACTTGATTCCAGGAGGGGCCGTGGGAGTCATTTTAATTAATGGCTTGACATTTCTTTGCCATTGTTGCAAGCTTGAGGTAACTAATGGTTAGTTTTACCCATGACCACTTCGCCCTGCAAATTCAGCTCAAATAACCTAAATTAAAATAGAAATTGCTTTGGTCAGGGTTAAAATTTGTGCTGTTAGGACTATAGTCCTAAGACTTTTTTCTTTTTTGGATTATGGCTAATGTTTAAAAGAATCAACAAGACTTATCTGTATCTTTACATAGTGTTTTAGATCGTTGGATAGGCAAAGTAGAAAAGGCGAGTCTGGATTGTGGGAAATAAAAGCAAGTAGAAAAAAATTGAAAATGCAGATCATTTCAAAGAAGAAAACAACAAGGCTTTCCCATCTGGGGCTTCCTAAAACATGAATTCCTCTCAGCCAAGTAGTGGAACCTAAAAAGTCATTTGTTTTTCCTAAATAAACTCCATGCTGGAGTCTTTGATAAACAAACTGATAGGAAATAAGGAAACCCTGTTAAAAATCACAGTAGACTTTAGAATGAAAGAAGCCTGCTTACTTCTGTTCTGGAAATACTCAGCTCTGGAAAGGGCTTCCAGGCGGATCATCCTCACATAATTTTTATACTTGAAATATACAAGCTATGGGAGAAAGCAAAAACAAAAACAACAGAAAAACCACCCTGAGGGACAAGAGGGAAAAGTGTCACCTGTCCCAAAAATTTAATCCATTTAAGACCTAAAAGCAGGGCCAGAGGGAAGGTGTAGGGAAGGGTGGGGACAAGAAACCATCCATGTGGCTTCAGGATGGGAGGGGGCTGAAGAGAAGCCACCCCCCGGACTCCAAATTTCCAAGGACAATATCTATTTCAAATATTCACTTGTCTCCTTCTCCTCATAAATGCCCTTGGACTTGTATTACTAGATGTTCAGATAAATAGTTTTAAAAATTGTGTCACTATTATCATGGGAAGTCCAAGGGGAGTAGGGAAGTTATTACTTTTTTTAAGTATTACTTTTAATAGCAAAAACCGCAATTACTTTTGTACCAACCTAATAGAAAGGGTCTTTCCAGCTACCTTGGCAACCATGCTTATTTCCAGTGCTTCTGGGTGGGCAGCATGTCTGTGCTTTTGCTATGGTTAGTCTGTAGATTTGGTGTCCTCCTTGCCTTTCTCAGACTTTGAAGTCTCCCCTTTGCTTTAATGAAAAAAAGTCTCTCCTTGGCTTTAATGATGATCAATCTGTAGCCATTTTACCCCCACATAAACCACACCCTATTTTAATCCTTCAGGTGAAAAATGCTCAAGTTGGACAAGATCCACAAAATATGAGGGCAAAGTGGAGCTCTTAGCTGGAGCAAAGGTGTGACTTTATGTTTCCGTAGGGAGCCTTTTTCTGCAGGGTACACAGAGGGCCACTTGCTGACACTGGAATTCCACTGCTTGTGCTTCTTACTTTGCGTGAAGACACTGAGAACAGATGGCATCAAGGCGGATCTGACATGGCCACTAGAATAGCTTGGACAGGAGTTCAAATAAACTGCGTCCACCTTGACTCTGCCTTGGCCAGAGCATCTCATATCTGTTTCTTCTTCTCTAGTTGACTGAGTGCACCTCAACCCACTTGCAGTTCCCATCCCATTTTTGAATAGGCCATTTGGAAAAGAGCTCTTTCCCAGCTCAATCATGCTTTCTGCTCTTGTCTTTCAATCCAGCTGCATTTGTTCACCCCTGTGGGTCCTCCCAGCCCTGCTAGGCCAGTCTCTCCTGGGGTGTTCTGCACAAGCTAGCTATGAATTAGGCATGCTCTCTTTTAACATGAAAATAACCTGGAAGACTTTCAGCTTAAGATGATGGAGAAAAGACCTTATCTCTCCTTTCCCCTGTCAGCAAAAAGATGAGAAACAGAAGCGCACATCACAATACATGATGACAAAAAGCAACTAGAGGACTCTGGCCTTAGCGGAATAGAGAAAGGTGAAATGTAAGAACCTGCAGAGAATGAAATCACCAAGAAGCAAACTGATTTTGTCCTGTACGAACTCTCAAACTAGTGCCCAGGCTTTGAGCACTAGTTGGGGTGAGGCAACTGATAAAAATAGAGAGATTTGTTCAAAATCTATTTAATAAACATATAGTCCTCACCCATAGCCCAAAAAAAGTGATGAAAACCCTTCCTTACAAATATTTTTGGAGGAAAAACTGAACCAGAAGTTTCTAGTATATGATGGGGGTTAGAATCCAGAGTAAAAATATTGAATGATGCAAATGTTCTCCTCATCTCAGCTGCAAAAATGCCAGCAGCTAGGCTTATACCCTTCAAGAGGGAGACCGGAAGATTCTTCTCTCCAGACATCAATTCTCCAGAGAGAATTCTAACAGATATTGACATCTGAGTTTCTCCCATTGACAAAGCCACCTTACTGCCATACACACTGCAGTGGAACCAAGGAGGGTGACAGTTTTCAGGACAAGAGGAGGCTGAGGAGAGGTCACCCCCAGACTCAAAATTTCCAAGGATGGTACCTATTTTAAATATTCAGTCTCCTTTTCTTCATAAATGTCCTTGGACCTGTATTACTAGATGTTTAGATAAGTGCTTTTAAAACCCTCCCAAGCCCACAGACTTGTCATTTAGCTGGCTAGTGCTTCACTCTCAAATAAGAACAGATAGTCAAAAATCAGTAGACATTTGAAAAAGTTTCCTTACATGAAAGACAGACACAAAAGTCAAACCAAACAAAACAAAACAAAAACAAAACAGAAAAGGCTACTTAGAGGAAGTAGAGACAAGGTAGGGAATAAATAAACACTTCAAAGACAAAACTAGAAATAACATCCTTAGATAAGAAGAGAAAGTGCATTCATGAAAGGAAAACAGAATAATATAGAAAACAAGTAACTGGAAAATAAGAAAGAGCTCTTGGAAATTAAGAGTAAGAAAGCTGAAGTTTTAAAAGTTGCTAGAAAAGTTGAATGATAAAGTTGAGGAAGTCTTTTAGAAAACAGAACTGAAAGACAAAGATGTGGGCAATAGAGGAAAAAAGATAGGAAAATTAGAAGCTTGATCCTGGGGGTCAACATCCAACTAATAGGAGTTCCAGAAAGAGAATTTTGAGGCCAGGCACCTCAAATTTGCCAATGCTCATGCCTGTTATCCCAGCACTTTGAGCAGCTGAGGTGTGGGTGAGGGACCGTTGCAGGCCAGAAGTTCAAGACCAGCCTTTTCAATATAGCAAGATCCTGTCTCTATTAAAAAAAAAAAAATTCCAGCCAGGCACGGTGGCTCATGCCTGTAATCCCAACACTTTGGGAGGCCGAGGCGGGTGGATCACGAGGTCAGGAGCTCGAGACCAGCCCAACCAACATGGTGAAATCCCATCTCTACTAAAAATACAAAAATTAGCTGGGCATGGTGGCGCGTGCCTGTAATCCCAGCTACTCAGGAGACTGAGGCAGGAGAACTGCTTGAACTCTGGAGGCGGAGGCTGCAATGAGCCGAGATCGTGCCACTGCACTCCAGCCTGGGCCACAGCGAGACTCCGTCTCAAAAAAAAAAAAAAAAAAAAAAATTCCTCTGGCTGAAAGTCTTGAGTCCCTCAACTGAAAGGGTCTCCCAAGTGTCCAGCACAATGAATTCAAACCATACTAAGTCATATTATTATTTCAATTAGAAATGCTGTGGCATTTATGTCATTTTGGATCCTCTTAGATGTCAAGATGAGATTAGGTAGTCAAGAGATTTATTGGGAGAAATGCCTGTGAAGGATAAAGGAATGCAGAGCAGAAGAATATAATGCAGGTCTGCTACCTGGGAAAGAAGAGAGGAAAGAAAGTCCTGCCTAGGAAAAGCTTCAGGCTGCAGCACAGTTCTGAGAAACTGTGACACTGTGTCCAGCCAGAACAAAGGAGTGTTAGTGTCTGAGGCAAAGGCTGTTCATTAGAGTAGCCTCACATCAGGTAGGCACAAGTGGCTCTACTGTCCTCATCTTATTCAGTGATCAGCTGGGAGCAGTCGAAGGGAAGTATGGCCTCTACGTAGCTGTCACTCAGCTATGCTTTCCATGGCCGACTATCTTAAAGGGACATCTAAGCAGTGTACCTCCAGGACTGCCACAGTCCATTTCTTTTCCTCCATAGATCCAGTTCCCCATGGCTCCTGTGGGCCCTCTTCTTGAGGAAATACTTAGAAGAGAGAAGTTAATGGGAGGAACTATAGCCCCTAGTGCCGCCAGTTGTCTTGAGATCGCAACCCATAGTCATCTTCTCCTACCTGCACTATCCAATCTAAATTCCCCTCCCCCTCTTTATTATCTTCATTATCTTTATTCCAGAAGGTCTTAGCTGTTGGCAGTCACATCACAGATTGGGCAAGACTACAGAAAAACTTGACCACAGGGATCACCTGGGATCCATACACATTCCTTCCTCCCTGTCCCATTGTGTACAGGCAGCCTCACCTCTTTCTGCTGATGGAAGTCAATGATTTCTTCTTTTCACCTGCTGGTCTCTTCATAGAAAGAGTCCAAAATGCCCTGGTGGCAGCCATAGTATATAGTTCAATGGGACACTTGCTGTGTCTCCTGCCAAGCTGCACCTCATTTGAGGACCAAAACCTCTAATCTCATAGAGCCCAGAGTTGTAGAGACAAGAAGCACAAAGTTCCCCAGGAGGTCATTGGAAATGATAAGTGGGTCCACTCCTGCTTCCACTTCTTGGTTCTCAGACCCATGTATTCTTCCTGTTGAGGACATAGCACCACATGGAGAACCCCAGTTTAATGTATACAGTGCATCCTGCAGGATGGTACCCTGTTCTTTCAGAGCATTGCCTCCAGCTGGAGCTCCAGCTGTGCCTTTAGTAACCATTCCAATGCTTTATGAGGCTGGCTCCATCTAGGTGATACAGTATCTGATATGACCAGTGGATCCCATGGTCATTGTCCTATTCCCAAGCCTCCTTTGCGATGAAGTGATCCTCTGGTCAATATTATGCTGTGTGTGCTTCCATGACTACAGATCGGCCCCAGGTAGTGGGGCTTGCTGAAGCTCTGTGGCAAGGAAAGGCAAATCTAAAGCCAGGAGAGGTATCTAACCCTGTGAGGATGAACTGTGGAACCTTCCAGGACAGAAGGCCCAATATAGCTGACTTGCCAACTATATTGGAGATGCAAAAGTTTATTTTCCAACTCAGCAAGTCCCAGAATTCTTGGGCTCCCTGCATTCCACCTACATGTTCCTTGAAACCTGGCTGGTTCTTTTCTGAACTCATCTCTAGTACCTATTATATGCAGCTAAATACAACTAGCTCACACTTTTATCATTGTGCATGAAGACTTCTCAGCACAAATCCAAATATTTTTAGGTACATATGCTAACTTCCAAGTTACCAAAGGTGACAGTTTTAGAAAATGTCTCATCCCTGCAAAACACAGATTACCATTTTCTTTCCAGCCTCCTATAACAGTTTTCTTGTGCCCATCATCCAGCCTCCAAACCAATGCCACTTATTTTTTTGTTTTCTTGTGCCTATACCTCACTACAAATATCAATTTCTAATACCAATTAGATACTAATTTCTGATACCAAAAGCTATTGCCACAAAATGTTATATGACAAACATCCAAAAATTCAGTGGCTTAAAATAACAGTCGTTTATTGTCATTGATCTATGAATCAGCTGAGTGTTGGCAGATCCAAGCTGGGCTCCACTGTGCAGCTCTGCTGATTCAGGCTGAGCTTGGCCAGGAGGGTTTGGCTTTGCTCCATGTGTTACTCATCCTCCTTCTAGAACCAGTGGGCTAGTCATCAGCCTGTTTGTTCTGTGCTTCTGATGGCATAAGCCTAAGAAAACAAGCCCAACCACACAAGTGTTTTTCAAGCCCCTACTTGCAACATACTTGCTAATATCCCACTAGCCAAAGTAAGTCAGGGTGAGGGAGAAAAGTGAATATTTTGAATAATAATCTAACCTACCACATGTTATTGTGGAATCATAGGTCATCTCCAAAGAGGAAAAGTCATCAGATACAAAGGATTGTGAATGAGAATGGCAGAACTTCTCTAGAGCAATATCAGAAGCTAGAAGACAATGAAATGCCTTCCAAATTCTGAGTGAAATTGTTTTAAACCTAGAATTCCATATCCGTCTAAACTATCAGTTAATTATAAGGCTAGAATAAAGATATTTTGAGATATGCACATGTAGAGTCTCAGTTAATGTACCTCCCATAGACCTTTCCTTAGAAGCTACTAGAGAATAAGAACCACCAAAAAGACGCAACCAAAACAGAGGAAGATAGAAAACATAGGAAATCCAGTTTAGGAGAGAGATGATGGAAATTTCCAGCATGATAGCACATGAAGTTCCATATTGTTGCACAGAAGACAGCAAGACTAGTCTGGAGCAGAGGGATGGAGGGCTCCATGGCTCTCTGCAGCGTGGGGAATTTGACTGAGTGGAAAGATACATAAAATGCTATTGTAGACAGTGGGAAAACCCAAGTATAGGTAAAATGGAAAACTAAGCAAATGAAAAATAACACAATTATTTAGAGGTATGTAGAAGGACGTAAAATCATAGCCCACTATTTTGTTCAGCCATAAACAATATTTCATATTATAAGAAGAACTGTCCTATAACTATATTGAGAGAATGGGAAGAAGAAAGTGAATAATGCCATAATAGAGAGTCACCAGACAATATTCAAGGTTGATAAATCAGGAAAAACAATATAGCACATATTAGTTAGCAATATGGAGGAAATGTATTGAGTCTGGAAAGTGGAATTAGAAAATATGAGGGGTGGGACATGGGCTTGTTCTATTTGGTTGCAAATCTTTTATCAATATTGGACTGTTGTGTAAAAATATGTACATATATTACTCTGATAAATTTTTTCAGGCCTAGGGAAATGTAATACAATTAGCTTGTATACTACTTTGGTGAGAGCAAATTTCATCTATTTTATCATTTATTGAATAAATATTTTTGCTTTGTTCTAGGTACAAATATTTTTGCTTAGTTGTAGGCATCAAAATAATTATGCACCGTGTTTGATGATTACAAAACACATTTGCATATATTTAATCTTGTGATTCAATTCTTACAACTCTGTGAGTTTGATACAGAAGCAAATTTACCTTGCTGTTAATGAATTCTAAGTTGCAGGACTGTTTGTTGAATGGACCCCTTTCTAACTCTGGAAAGGGGCCCTATCAATAAGTTTACATGGTTGTATAATTTTGTAAATTATACCCAAAAAAAGCCTTTTGTTAAGATCACTTCAACTCCTAATGCATCATATTTCCCCTTATGTGAACAAGAGAATTGTTTCTAAATAAACGCACAATTTTGTACCCAATTCATATCATAAATTTTTATTCTTTTGCTTAAAGAAGGCTCCAGCAAATAGTGAAAATGTCAAGCTCACCAAAACTGGAATTCATCCCGGGTAAGTATTATCTTTCCTATTTGACAAGTTGATGAATGAGGTTAAATGGCTTTGCCCAAGTTTGCACATCTGGACTTAAACTCAAGTATTTGAATGTCCAAACCCACTTTCTTGGGTTGCTACCTTATAATCCATCTCTAGATGGTAGAAGAAAAGTTAAGAGTCATTAGTCCTGTTCCTGGAAAAATCCATCCTGGAACGTGGGTGGAAAGAGGGCAAGCCTGAGCCATTGGGCTTGGGGTTCACATGGTGGTGTTTTGAGGAACAGGTGGTGGTGAATGACACAAAAAGAAAGGTCATTGAAGACAAATTATGATGATACACAATGTTCTCTTTGTCTGCCTCTGCCTAGCCATTGGGGAACAACAACACTAAAATGCCTCCTGTGAAACACAGTCCTGTTGGGATAGGAAGAGGTCTCCTTTCTCCAGATGTCTCTCGTTTATTCCAGTCTGGTATCTGAGAACAGCTCTGAGTATCGCTCTGGAACCAGTGAGGCTGGCTGAAGTCAGAGGTCAGGGAATCGAAGGCACAAGGTTAGAGACATTGCAGGTAACTAAGCCCAACCCCTCAAAGAGAGGAGGCAGAAGAGCACAGGGAGAGGCAGTCCACACAGTGCTTAAGAGCAGGGCTCAAACCTGATTTCTGCCTGGGTGGAAGTCATATGACTTTGAGCAAGCTACTTAATCTCTCTGCCTCAGTTTCTTCATGAGTAAACTGGGAATAGCAATATGTGTCCATAATCTCTTTTCTACAATTCAGAATGCAAAAACCTAAAATTATTTCAAAATTTTTTGGTGGGAAGAGATGATCTGAACTCATTTGGCAACAAAACGTAACCCAACTCATGTAAAAGTATTCCATTTAATGCAAAAATTCACATGCCTCACTGTATAAATATCAATGTATTTGATTATGGAGAACAGCCCCATGGGGGTGTTTTCTACCATAAGGTGTATGTGTCATATACCTTTCTAAAATCCAAAAAATTAAGAATTTTGGTCCTAAGGTTTTCAGATAAAAGCTGTGGATCTGAAGTGCCTATTTCATAAGGTTGTCATGAGGGTTAAATAAATAATAAGGGAAAGGTGCTTAGAAGAGTACTTGGAAGAAAATAAGTGTTCTAGATGGGTTTTCTATTATGAGGAACTCCCCTCCCCGCCCCGAAGTATATTCCTGAGAGATGTTACCTGGCATTTATCTGACTCCCAGGAAGGAGAACTAACGTCTTTATGAGTCAGTCTAGTTTAACTATTGGATGTTTCTAATCTAACCTTATAATAAGCTGAAATTTGCTTTCTCTAACTTCCCCACACCAATCACAGCTATATTTCAACACAACTTTTGCAGATAGCTACTCTGCCTCCCCTGGGTCTTCTTTTCTACATGGTTAATTGTTCATCAGATATTGCTCAGACCTATCTGTTAGTTCCCCTCCCTCACCCCCGCCCCACTCCAGTTTGCCATTATATCCTTTCAAATGCAGTGCCCAAAATAAAATCCAGAGGTCTATATAGGTTCTGATCAGCATAGAGTGCAGTCCACATTTTCTCTATGCTCCAGACTGTGAAAAACAACTGCATCTCTGTGTGAAAACAGAATCGAGATGAGAGGAGATCTGGAAACACAATCAAGGCCATCTAGGAGTTTCATTAGAAAAACATACTTTAAAAATTCAATTTCAAACCAATTTTTTTCTGGCTTCCCAGAACCGAGATGGAAAACAGTGAGCAGCCTAGACTGATGGAAATGTGCACGTCAAACAGTGTAGAGGTAGGGTGGGTGACGTTATGCCAATTCTTTTACTGCGAAACACTACAGACAGTAATGCCAGAGCTAGTGTGAAGGTCATGGACCGCATCCCACAGTCCAAGAAAAATGAATGATATTCCAACAGAAAGAGAAGAACAGAGCTAAATAAAACTCTTGACAAGTATCAGGGCCAATCCACAGCAAATTACTGTGAAACAGGAGGACACTGCTCCCTCCGGTGGGCACAGCTAGATCTTGCCTCATGCCTGGCCCCGGCCCTGATACCCTCTGGTTAAAGGGAACCTGAGCAAACAAACCCACCAGAGGGGAAGTAATCCATTTCTAAGGTAGAAATGTGATCACTCATTCAATATGTGACAGGAATGACGAGAAAAACCATTCTCTTACAGTGACCATCCTGGCTACCTGCAAAGTATGCTTAGAATTCTAGATCCCTTTGGAGTCTCGGTAAAGATCTCCCAAGGGCTGGCTGATGGGGACACGGGGATTTATTATTTTATTATTTATACTTTGTGGATGTTTAAAATTTTTCATAATAAAATCTTTTGAAAAAATCCTCAGGTAGCTATAACTTTTTAAAACAACTAGAGACCCATGATGACAGTCTAATAATCACATCTGTCCTCCTTTTCCCCCACACTGAAGATTTTTTTTTAAATTAGATGGTACTTTCACTACTAAACTAGTTGGGAAAACGTTGGTAATTTTTTATGTGGACACAGATCATACAAAAGATTACAGACCTAATAACTGAACAGAGAAATAAACTATCCAGAAAGAATTTGGACACTGAAAACTATGTTCAAACCTAGGTTGATGAATGAAATTGTCATCAAGCTAATATCTGGGTAAAGGGAAGGACGTTAATAAGTCTGGGAATCTTTAGCCAGGTTTCTTGTTTAGTCCACTGAGAAATGGACTTGTGATCATGGTCCTCAGACTCAAACCAAACCCCGTACAACCACACAGACAAAAGGGTAGCCAGGGCATTGATTAGGCAAATAGACTTTGACCTAGTTCTGGTCCGATGCATCTGTGAATTGACTTCCAATTTATTTATTAATACTTGAGTTAAAGTAAATGCTCCAGAATGAGCTGATGATGTTTCGTGTGCTGACACTTGGCTCCAGTCAGGGCCTCCAGGGGACCAGAACTCTTGAGCACCATTTCACATCCTTTTGGCCTGGCCACTTACCCCAGTCACTGGTGAAGGCAAGCAGTTCCACACAGGCATAACCTGACCTTGCCTCAGCCCAGACACTGGATCTGTAGCTTTTGCTCCAAGGCTTGTCTGACACCAGAGTCTGTGATGCCTGTGGAAAGCTGCTTGGCAGTCATGCATGCACAACCCATAAAGGTGGGCAATTACTACTTCTGAGGTTCCCTTTGGATGGCACGTTGTAGGTGAACAGGATTAAGAATCCCCATGTCCCCATCAGCCAGCCCTTGGGAGATCTTTACCCAGACTTCAAAGGAATCTAGAATTCTAAGCATACTTTGCAGGTAGCCAGGACGGTCACTGTAAGAGAAGAACGTTTTTCTCATCATTCCCATCACAGCTTGAGTGGTAAGTGCAGATCCAGCAGCAACACAATTAAGGTTCTCACCTGTGGTGGATTGGGATGAGGTACAGGTGGAAGGGAGAGGCTCTGGGTCAAGTGGTAACTATGGTCCTTGGACAATATGGAGGCAATTATAATTGTAAAGGAATGGGGAATTCACTGGCTTTTGTTAACTGCTTTGAAAGTCTCAAAATAAGAAAATGACAGGGTCATGTTAGACAACTATCAACTCAAGCCCACGGTGAAATAGAGCAATGGTTAAAAGAATTTGATCTCCTGCAGGCACAGGGAATACTGTCTTGAAGATTAAGACAACAGTTGACAAAGTCATAGAGGAGACAGAACGCCAAGCCTTCACAGATCTCCTATTTCAAAGTTAGAACCCTGATAGGAAAAGCTTAAAATCTTAAGAGCTGGGATAGGATAGACAAGTCTGAGAATATTGAGTCACTAGATTAATTTTCATCCTCTAGGAGAGCAAAGTCAGCCTTCTTCTCCTTGCTGGGGACATCAGCCTCATCTTGCCAGGAGACCCTGAAAATACCTCACCTGAATCTTGCTTTGCAAAGTGATGTCTGTCTTCCTCAAGGTCTCCTTCCATCTCCAATTAACTGACTCCATGATAACTGGAGTCAGGTTTTGGCTCAAGCAGGTGGGGAAATGTATCCCTGCTGCAGTAGGAAATAGTTTACTAAAGAAACTGAAGGACCTGGGGTATTAGACTGTTCTCACACTGCTATAAAGAAATACCTAAGACTGGGTAATTTATAAAAGAAAGAGGTTTAACTGACTCACAGTTCTGCATAGCTGCAGAGGCCTCAGGAAACTTACAATCATGGTGGAAGGCAAAGAGGAAGCAAAGACCTTCACAGGGTGGCGGGAGTGAGAAGTGTAAGCAGGGGAAATGCTGGATGCTTATAAAATCATCAGATCTCGTGAGAACCCACTCATTATCACGAGAACAGCATGGGGGAAACCTCCCCCATAATCCAGTCACCTCCCTCCCTCAACACATGGGGATTACAGGCCCCACCCTCAGCACATGGGGATTACAATTCGAGATGAGATTTGGGTGGGGACACAGAGCCAAACCATTCACCTGGGTAATGTATACAGGCAGGAACCTGGATAAGCTTGTGAAAGTGGATCTTGAGGATGTTGCACTAGGGTGGGTGAGTGGAATAGAAAGCTGGATAATGGTGAATTTATTGACCTGGGAGCACCCTTCCTTGATCAGAAAACTCAGTGTCCTGGCAAGGATACCTGTAGCAATACACTGCAAGAGTGATTTCTTGAGGCTTGGACAAAATAGTGGCCTATAATAAATAAAGTCCAGAAGCTGCAACTTGCCTGGACTGGAGCTTGCCATAGCACTAAGGAAGGAGTCAGAAAGCTCAGGGATGTGAAAATATTAAAGATATTTATTTTTTCTTTTGATTATGTATTTATGACAGATTTCAGAAAGTTTTCATCAGGAATTCATAGAAGCAAAATGTAATTAAATTTCTACAAGCATTTATCTTCTTAAAAGTTTGTAGGGCCGGGTGCTGTGGCTCACGCCTGTAATCCCAACATTTTTGGAGGCCAAGGCAGATAGGATTGCTCGAGCTCAGGAGTTCAATACCACCTAGGTAACATGGAGAGACCCTGACAACAAATTTTAAAAGAGCCAGGCATGGTGGCACACACCTGTAGTCCCAGCTACTCGGGAGGCTGAGGTGGGAGAATCACCTGAGCCCAGGAGACTAAGGCTGCAATGAGCTGTGATTGTGCCACTGCACTCCAGCCTGGGTGACAGAAAGAGACCCTGTCTCAAAAAAAATAAAGTTTGTAGGAAACACAGATAGATCTCACTTTTCAAAACTGAATTCCATCAAGCTCTTCAATTTTTGTCATCCTCCTCAAATGACGTATATTGGCAAATAAGGCACAATTTATTCTTGAACAGTAGTAACTAACTTTTTTTTTTTTTTGAGAAAGAGCCTTGCTCTGTCGCCCAGGCTGGAATGTAGTGGCACAAACTCAGTTCACTGCAGCCTCCACCTCCCAGTTCAAGCTATTCTTCTGCCTCAGCCTCCTGAGTAGCTGGGACTAAAGGTGCCCACCACCACACCTGGCTAATTTTTTGTAGTTTTAGTAGAGACGGGGTTTCACCGTGTTAGCCAGGATGGTCTCGATCTCCTGACCTCGTGATCCGCCCACCTCAGCCTCCCAAAGTGCTAGGATTACAGGCGTGAGCCACTGAGCCCGGCTGTAACTAACTTTTAAGAGATTTAATTTTATTGTGGTAAAATATACAGAACATAAAATTTGCCATTTTAAGTGTACAGTTGAGTGGCACTAAGTATATTCTCACTGTCATGCAACCATTCCCACCATCCATCTCCAGAATTTTTTTTATCACCCTAAACTGAAACTCTGTTCTCATTAAACAATAACTTCCCAATCTACTATTCCCCCAGACCCTGGAAACCTCTATTTTACTTTCTGTCTCCATGAATTTGTTTGTTGTAAGTACTTCATATTAATGGAATCATACAATATTTTTCCTTTTGTGGTTAGTTTAGTTAGCATAATGTTTTCAAGGTTCATCCTTGAAAGGATGATGTAGGAGATACCCAAATTTCTTGTCTTTAAAAAGATGAATAATATTCCATTGTATGTGTATACATCCATTCGTCTGTTTTGACATTTGAATTGTTTATGCCTTTTGGCTTTTGCAAATTAACACTTCCGTGGACGTTGGTGTACAAGTATCTATTTGAGTCTCTGCTTTTAATTCTTTGGGGGCATATACTTAGGAGTGGAATTGCTAAATCATATGGTAATTCTCTGTTTAACTTTTTGAAGAACCACCAAACTGCTTTCCATTGCAGCTGCACAATTTTATATTCCCACCAGCAATGCACAAGAGTTCCAATTTCTCTACATTCTTGCCAACAACTGTTATTTTCCTTTTTAAAGAAAACAGTGGGGCGTGGTAATCCAAGCACTTTGGGAGGCCAAGGCGGGGGAATCATTTGAGGCCAGGAGTTTGAGACCAGCCTGGACAACATAGAAAGAATGTATCCCTACAAAAAAAAATTAAAATAAAAGAATTTAGCTGGCATGGCGGTGCATGCCTGTAGTCCCAGCTACCCCAGAGGCTGAGGTGGAAGAATCACTGAAGCCAGCCCAGGAGTTTGAGGCTGCAGTGAGCTATGAGTGCCACTGCATTCCAGCTTGGGTGACAGAGCAAGACCCTGTCTCTTTTTCCTCAAAAGTGAAACAAAACAACGTGAAAATCCTAACAGGTGTGAAGAATTTAGAAATTTCTTTTACTATTAATTCTTCAAACATTTTTCTCCCTCCTTTTTCCTTTCCTTCTTTTACTTCAGATGCACACATGATATTGTTCTCCAGCTCACTGATGTGCTGTTTCTCCATCTTTTCTCTGTGCTTCACTTTGGGTAGCTTCTTTTCCTGTGTCATTATGTTCACTGTTCTTTTCTTCTGCAGTGTCTAATCTGCTATTATATCTATCCAGTGTATTTTCAATTTTGGATGTTGTATTTTTATCACTAAAAGCTTGAGTTTAGTCCTTTATAAATCTTCTATTTCTTATAACTTTCACGTCCTTTCATCTCTTTATATAAGAAACATATTTCTTTCTTTCTTTCTTTTTTTTTTTTTGAGACAGTGTCTCACTCTGTCACCCAGGCTGGAGTGAGTGGCACAATCTCAGCTCACTACAGCCTCAACCTCCTCAGCTCAGGCGATCCTCCCATCATAGCCTCCCAAGTAGCTGGGATACAGGTGTGCACCACCACACATGAATAATTTTTTGTATTTTGTGTAGAGATGGATTTTCACATTGCCCAGGATGGTCTTGAGCTCCTGGGCTCAAGCAATCCACCCGCCTCAGCCTCCCAGAGAGCTGGTATTACAGGTGTGAACCACCAGGCCTAGCCAACATATTTCCAATAGCTATATTAACCTTCTTGTCTGATAATTCCATAGTCTCTGTTGTTTCTGGGTCTGAGTCTTGTGACCAATTTTTCTCTTGACTGTTCTTCATATTTTCTTTTTCTTCATATGTCTATTAATTTCAGATTAGATTCTAGATATTGTAAAGTTTACATTGTTGGGTGCTGAAATTCTGTATTTCTTTGAAGAGTGTTGAATCTTTTCTGTTGGACTTTTACTTGCAGATTAGTTTGATCCTTTTGAGGTATGTTCTAGGCTCTTTTAGCGTGTTCTAGAGTAGCATTTATTTGAGAAATAATTTAGCCCCACTTCAAACTGTTGCCTTTCCAGGATTTTTACTGAATGTCGTGTGTATTCACCAAGGTCTGTTTACTCTGACTAGAGGGAACTCAAATGATTCCCAGCTCTGTGTGAACTCTGGTTATTGGTTATTTGTCTCACAGCTTACACAGAACTATTCTTTCCTTGAAAGTTGTTCTTGTCCAGTCCTATGGGATTTCATCCTATTCCTGACTAGTTTGGTGTTCAGGCAAAGAATCAAGAGTCTCACCGTTGCCCAGGCTGGAGTGCAGTGGCACCATCATGGTTCACTGCAACCTCTGCCTCCCCAGGCTCAGGGGATCCTCCCCCTCAACCTCCCAAGTAGCTGGGACCACAGGTGTGCACCACCACACCCAGCTAATTTTTTGTATTTTTTGTAGAGACAGGATGTCGCCATGTTACCCAGGCTGGTCTCAAATTCCTGGGCTCAAGCGATCTACCCACCTCAGCCTCCCAAAGTGCTGGGATTACAGGTGTGAGCCACTGCACCCAGCCAAAGATTTCTTGAGAGCTCTCCTCTCAAGTAATGCTATGGTTTGAGTGTTTGTCCCCTCTGAAACTCATGTTGAAACTTAATCCCCACTGTAACAATATTAAGCGGGGGGCGGTGGGGGAGGAATTCAACTATAGTATTTGAGAGGCGGCACCTTTGGATGTCATTAGAATGAGATAAAGTCACGAGTGTGGGACATGAGTGGCTTCGTGAGGAGCTAAGCTAGCATGCTTAGCTCCTTCTCTATGCCCTACACCACCTCGGGACTCTGCAGAGATTGCCTACCAATAGGAAGGCCCTCCAGATGCACCCCCTCAACCTTGGACTTTCAGCCTTCAGAACTGTGAGAAATAGATTTCTCTTCATGATAAACTAAGTAGTCTCAGGTATTTGGTTATAACAACAGAAAATGGACTTAGACAGGTGCTCTGCCTTATAAATCATAGCTACCTTGGTCTTCTTGAACTATAATCTCTGTTCAATTCAATGACAACACTTTGTATAATTTCATCTCCCTGAATCACAATCTTGGAGCTACCTGCAGGCAGAAAGCCTACACCAGGGTGTATTTTGCCCCTTTCGTTTCCTTTTCATGGGGATCACAATCTCGTTGGACTCTTACCCAATGTCTTAAAATAGTTTTTTTCCTACATTTTGTTTAGTTTTCTAGTTGCTTACTTTCAAAATGTAATTGCAGGCTGGCTTACTCCTTCATGATTGAAAGCAGAAGTTTTTGAAAAGGATTTTTAGTGTCAGCTCAGGCTCAGGTAGAACGACCTGTTGGTAATGACACTGTCCTCCAAAATATTGTATATATGTGCTAAAACAATAGCTGATACATGGTGTTATGTTCCCAGTGTCTAGCAACATTGGTCCAGGAAACATGAGGTAGAAGTAGGATTGCCCCCCTCACCATCACTTCTCATGATCCACTTAAAAGTGTTGTGCATTTCCCATCAAATGAGCCTAGGTTCTGCTGAATTAATTGTCCCACTTTCAGGTGGGTGAATGTACGCACTAGCAGAAATGATAGCGCTTCCATTCACCTTAAAGTGTGATTATTGTTTTTGAATTTTGGGTTCCTCATGGCAGTAGACCAGCAAGAAAAAAGAGGTGTTCCTATGCTGAAAAGAGTAATCGACTCTGATTACCATGAAGAGCTAAGGCTGCTGTTACATTATGTGTGCAGGAAGGACTGTGTCTAGGACATAGAAGATTCACAGGGACATCTATTGATGATTCCATGACTGGTGATGGTGGATGGGCAATCGCAGTGATCATGACTTTACAAGGTCAACTAAAGGCTCAGACCCCTCAGAGGTAAAGTTTTGAGTCAGCCATCAGGAAAGCAACCTACATCAGCCAAATAATTGGCTAAGGTTAAGGGAAATCTAGAGCAAATGGTGGAAAATGGAGATGACAAGTACTATTTATGGATTTGGAACCTGTTGCATCAGCAGGGAATGTAACTTGTTCTATTCACCTTCCTGTATTTAGTGTTTGTAGGATTTGGAGCTAGCCACTCTCTAGAAGAAGACTCTGGGCAGACTGGACTTAATGCAGAGCACAAAAGTCCTAAGAAGTGCAAAGGTGAAACGTAATGGAAATCTGTTGTGGTTTCCAAACATGTTCTCAACTTCTTTGATGTTCCTTCCTTCAAAAAGTGAAGCTAGGCTGGAAGCGGTAGCTCACACCTGTAATCCTAGCATTCTGGGAGGCCGAGGCGGGTGGATCACGAGGTCAGGAGTTCAAGACCAGCCTGGCCAATATGGTGAAACCCCGTCTCTACTAAAAATACAAAAATTAGCTGGGCGTGGTGGCGCACGCCTGTAGTCCCAGCTACTCGGGAGGCTGAGGCAGAAGAATTGCTTGAACCCGGGAGGCGGAGGTTGCAGTGAGCCAAGATTGTGCCACTGCACTCCAGCCTGGGCAACAGAGCGAGACTCTGTCTCAAAAAAAAAAAAAAAAGGAAGCCTAATTCCCTTCTCCTTGAGTGTGAAATGTACCTAGTGATTCACTTCTAAATAATAAAAGGTGGTGGAAGTGACAGCGGGTGATTTCCAAAACCAGGTCATAAAAGACATTGTGACTTTTTCCTCCCCCCATAATCACTCACTCTGGGGGATGCCATGTGCCATGTTACAAGGACACTCAGCAGACCTACTGTGAGGCCCATGTGGCAGGGACACTGGAGCCTCCTGCCAAGGGCCATGTAATGCACCACCTTGCAAGTGGATCTTTCAGCCCCAATCAAGTTTTCCGATGAATGCAGCCTTGGCTTGAAATATTGAATATAATGTCATGGCAGACCCTGAGCTAGAACCAGCCAGCTAAGTGACTCCTGAATTCCTGACCCACAGGAATTGTGGAGAATAGCTGTTCGTTTGTTGTAAGACACTAAGTTTGGAGGGTAATCTGTTAAGCAGCAATGAGTAACTAACACAATACTTCTGGAGCACTTTCCATCCTCTTGTTTGACTCTTGGTTCTGCATAGGCTTTGACCAGCTACACACAGGTGCAATCTGAAGCATGCCACATCAGCCCATGCATGCTGTGTACTCTAGCTCCCTACCCTGGGAATTCTCTAAGGTGCAGGGCACCTGCAAGAGGGCTTTAAGCACTGACACAAGGAGAAAGAAGCCAACAGATAAATGTTTTCCCTTCCACCACCCAGGTGTTAGGTTCTGAAGTAGATTTCAGAAAACTCCTCAACGGTCCTGACAGGCTTGTACAACAGTTGCTCAGTTGTAGCCAATGTGATCATGTGTTTTTGTTTTTACCTCACTTTTTATTATAAAAATGTTCAAGCATACAGAGAAGTTGAAAGAATGCTACAGTCAAAACCCATATATCCCTATCTAGATTGTACAACTAATATCTTATTCTATTTCTTTTATCATACGTATATCCATTTATCTATTATTCTATCCATCTACTAATCTATTTTATTTTTAATGCATTTCAAAGTACTTTTCAGATAACAGTATAATTCACCCTTAACACTTCAGCATGCATATCATTAACTAAACTTCAGTATTCATTTATGATGTCTTTCTTTTAAGGCAAAATTTATATTCAATAAAATGAACACTTGTAAGTGTACCATTCAGTAAGTTTTGAAAAGTACATTGACATGTGTAACCCAAACTCCTTTGAAGATGTAGAGGAACATTCCCTCATGCCTGCTCTCTGTCAACTCCTACTTGTACGCCCACATCTGCACAGATCACTATTTTGATTTTTCTTCATTGCAGATTAGTTCTGCCTATTCTAGAACTTTAAATAGGAAAATACCATATTATTTTGCGTAAGGCTTTTTTCACCCAGCATGCTTTAATATTTACCCATATTATTATATCAATACTCTATTCCTTTTTATGGCTGGGCAATATTCCATTGCATGAACATACCACAGTTTTTTTATCCATTCTTCTGTTAATGGGCTGTTTCCAGTTTTTGTTTTGTTTTGTTTTGTTTAGAAACAAGGTCTTACTGTATCACCCAGGGTGGGTGATTATAGGTCACTGCAGCCTTGAACTCCTGGGCTCAAGTGATCCTCCCACCTCAGCCTCCTAAGTAGCTAGGACTACAGATGTGTGCCACCATGCCTGGCTAATGTCTTTATTTTTTGTGAAAACAGGGTCTTGCTATGTTCCCCAGGCTGGTCTCGAACTCCTGGCCTCAAGCGATCTTCCTATCTGAGGTTCTCAAAGTGCTAGGATTACAGGCATGAGCCACCGTGCCTGGCCTGTTTCCAGTTTCTGACTATAACACATAATGCTGCTTGCTGTGAACACTCTTTTTTTTTTTTTTTTTTTTTGAGACAGAGTCTTGCTCTGTCACCCAGGCTGGAGTGCAGTGGCGCGATCTCTGCTCACTGCAAGCTCCACCTCCTGGGTTCATGCCATTCTCCTGCCTCAGCCTCCCAAGTAGCTGAGACTACAGGCGCCTGCACCACGCCCAGCTAATTTTTTGTATTTTTAGTAGAGACGGGGTTTCACCATGTTAGCCAGGATGGTCTCGATCTCCTGACCTCGTGATCCGCCCGCCTCAGCCTCCCAAAGTGCTGGGATTACAGGCGTGAGCCACCACGCCAGGCCATGAACATTCTTAAACAAGTCTGTTTATATACAGATATTTTCATTTCTGCTGGGCAAATATCTAGGAATGAAATTGCTGGGTCATAGAAAGTGTGTGTTTAGTTTTTTAAGAAAGTGCCAGACCTTTCCAAAGTTGTACCAATTTACACCCCTACCAACAATTGATGAGAGCTCTGACTGTTCCACACCCTCACCAACATTTGTTGCTGCAGTCTTTTTAATGTAGCCATTCTAATAGGCATCTAGTAGGTATCTCGTGGTGGTTTTCATTTGAATTCTGGTGACTAGTAACACTGAGACCTTTCATGTGCTTGTTGGTCCTTCCTCTGTTGACAGTGCATGCTTGCAGTGGCTTTTCTTCCTCCCCTGCTTTACTCTCATTCCTTACTCCTGATCCCTAGTATCATTTTGCAAATAAACTACCTGTCTATGAGTTTTTGTTTTGGCTTAAGTTTAGGCATATCCAGGCTAAGATATATAGAAGCAGCTGGGTGAGCAAAGAAGGTATAACCCCACCCCTAACCTCATCCCCACCCCTGTGAAAAGGGCAAAGAGGATGCTTCTCTATTCTGGTGAAATTTCGCCCCTTATCGGTTAATAGGTGTGCTTCCACACAATGTCTGTGGGAGGGATCCAGAAAACTGCACCTCTGGCTGGGAATATTCTACACTGACCACATGCAGATACATTTTTATATCCTTTCCCATGAAAAAGAAACTTATGTCATTTAACTCCCTATTGTCATTGCAGTAAGAATCACTAAGATGGTCATTCACACCAAGTTCAAACATAAAGGGCACTGATCTGAGAAATAAGCAGAGAAATGGCTTAGAAAGAAAAATTACTCCTTCATACCTCACAGGTTTCATACAAGACCTAGGCTGGCCTCCATGTGGTGGGCACCATCTTTCCCTCCTCACCCAGAGTACTCTGAAGCACCTCATGACTCTCCAGCATCCAGGCCCAGAAGGATGAGGCTGAGAGAGAAGCTCCCCTCCTTCCACTTTCTCCTTCGGCCTGCCCTGTCCTCATGTTCGGCACCAGGATCTGTGTTTTCCTGCAACAACAACAACAACAATAAAACTTAAAATTTAGATGCTTCTAAACTTAGATACAAAACCAAAACCTTAGGCTAGGCGTGGTGGCTCACACCGGTAATCC
The DNA here is from genome assembly GCF_000001405.40 of Homo sapiens. Classification (NCBI taxonomy): domain Eukaryota; kingdom Metazoa; phylum Chordata; class Mammalia; order Primates; family Hominidae; genus Homo; species Homo sapiens. The sequence continues at coordinate 77,118,215 of NC_000005.10, read as the reverse complement.
CAGCACTTTGGGAGGCTGAGGCAGGAGGATCACTTTAGATCAGCAGTTTGAGACCAGCCTGGCCAACATGGTGAAACCCCATCTGTACTAAAAATAAAACAAATTTTTAAAAAATTAGCCGGGTGTGGTAGTGCATGCCTGTAGTCCCAGCTACTCAGGAGGCTGTGGCAGAAGAATTGCTTGAACCTGGGAGGCGGAGCTTTCAGTGAGCCGAGATTGCACCACTGCACTCCAGCCTAAGGGACAGAGCGAAACTCCGTCTCAAAAAACAACCACCACCACCAAAAAAACAAAAAACAAAAAGAACTACCACCTTAAAAAGATGCATTGAATTCACATTCAATAATGTGAATACACAGGCATTCAGTAACTATTGGTTGAAAAAAAATGAATGTATAAACGAATGGATGCATATTTCAATCGCAGTACAAGACAGTATGTGATTTATATGACTCCATTGCTCTTCCTGCTCTCAGGTCACCTTTTCTTACTTCCTGCCTCTGGCTCTGTCCACCCCTTTTGGCTGCTGGCTTCTGAATAAACATCTTCCAGATCATCACCAGCCTCGCTGTCTGGTATATAGTAAACAAGGATCTCCGGAACTGGTGGACCCAGGTTTCCTGCCAACACACAAAAGATTCCTAACCGTATTCCTCCCCCTAAACACCTCTCCACTCCTTACCCTGTCCCCCAGCACCCAGGAACCATACTATCAGGCAAGTGGTTGGGGTGACAGTGAGACCCTGTCTTCATGGTAAAGGTAAAGATGGAGTCCTATCCAAGTACCAGGCATTGTCAGTCTCAATCAGCAAGTTCACATAAAACCTAGGTTCCCTGTTTGTCTGACTTCCTCATCCTGAACATGACTGAATGCCAGGGGAAGTACACTTCTTCTCTCCGATTGAAAAAAAATGCATATATATAACAGAAACATCCATGAAAGGAAGCCTTTCTGTTTAATGTGGCTCTTGTTACCATTTCCAGAGACAGAGCGCTTGTCCTGAAAAACAGACTACCAGAACTTTTTGCCCCCTCTGCTCTCATTCCAACCTCTACCCGCCCCTTAGCAAGGCCTAGAGGGTTCAGAGGCAAACAATCTAGATGAAGGGTGATTTCTATAAGAGTTCAGAATCGTGGAAGAACTAAAGAGAATGGGGTGTGTGCCCCAAGCAGGGAAAGCTGAACAAAAGGCCAGAGGCAGAAATGAGCCAGGTGGAAACCGGGTGTAGAAGTAAAGCTGGACTGGCTGAGAGCCTGGGGGGAAAGGGCACTTACTCTGGCAGTGGTGGTGAGAGAAGAAATGCTTTTCTCAGGATTGTGATGGGGGAATTGAAGAGGGTTGGAGTGTCAGATATGTTACCTAGAGAAGAGTTCCATAAAGAAACACAAACAGTACAACTTTGGGGGTTTGCTCATGTTTGCATGTGACCTTGTTTATGTGGAAGATTAATACTATGTTCTTTTTTTCACTAGTATTTAGTAAAATCCTATTACTTTCTTAGTTTCTGTTTATGGAAAAATTGGGCTGTACAGGCTTACATTTGCTCTCAACTTGGAACTTTTAAGGAATATCAATTTTACTTTACTGTACAATATAGAGGCAGGTGAAAATTTCTAACAGTTTTAAGTTTGTTGTCTCTATTAAAACTGTGTCCTTAGAAATATAATTTGAGAGGCTGGGCGTGGTGGCTTACGCCTGTAATCCCAGCACTTTGGGAGGTCAAGGCGGGCGCATCACTTGAGGTCAGGAGTTCAAGACCAGACTGGACGACATGGTGAAACTCCATCTCTTTTGTATTTCTGTAAAAATACAAGAGTTAGCCGGGTGTGGTGGCACATGCTGGTAATTCCAGCTACTCGGGAGGCTGAGGCAGGAGAATTGTTTGAACCCGGGAGGTGGAGGTTGCGGTGAGCCGAGATTGTGCCACTGCACTCCAGCCTGGGTGAAAGAGTGAGACTCTGTCTCAAAAAAAAAAAAAAAAAAAAAAAAATATATATATATATATATATAGAAGAACTCGGTCTTCTCAGACTCTGAAGACTTTGGAAACTGCTATCTTCCTGGAAACAAAACCTATGAAAATCTGTGTCTTTGATTGTCTTACTTGGTAATTTGCCCAGGGAACAAGTTCGTCATTGCTGTATCTCTTTTTCTAAATAGCACAAGTTCTTGTGAGACCGTTCTATCGAATTAGAAGGGTATTATTGGCATATTTGTCTTCCTTTATATGCATTACAGTAAAATAAAAGCATGTCACTCTGCTAGGTTTCTTATTTTTCACTCTGCCCATAAACCTTCTTGAATGAAATTGTTCACGTTAATGAGAGATTATGGAATCATTAAGTTCTCAGATGGATACAATAGGCATTATCCCAAAGCTAAGAGAACAGGACACAATACTGTACCTCCAGCGTCAAGAGGGTCGTTGCTGTTGTCTTGTTTTGCTTTCAAATGTTAACAATGGCAACGGCCGACTCGTGGCTGTCACTTTTTCCCATGTTCCTTCTGCTGTGCCACCACCCCTTCACTCCCTCCATTTCTAATTCCACAAAGTAGATCATCCTCAGGTCCTTCAGGTTCTTTCTTTTACCTATTTGTGTATTTATTAAGCAAACGTTCAGAAAGTACCCACCATAAGTGATGTACTTCTACTCCCAGACTTTCTCATCTGAAAACTCCTATTCATTCTTTCCCTCAAACTTCCTTCTTATCAGCTTCTTCAATTGTGTCAAGTCCTTCAAGGCCTGGACCATATGTCCCCTCTGCCTTATATTCCTTTCTATTCTCCATCAGAAAGATGAAATGTTTCTTTATATTCCTAGTATGCTTTGTAGGGACCTCTGTTCTAGAAAATAACACACATTTATTCATCCATTGCAGTGGATTCCACACGTATTTATTAAGGCATTCTCCTAGGTCCCAAGAAGATAAAAAGAATAAGAAGATATAGTCCATTCCTCTCACTCCAGTTAAAGAAATGGGGGTAAACTAATATTCAAACAAATAATAGACACAGAATGATAATCATCAAATAAAACACAAAGATATGTTTTCCCATGTCTTTCACTCTCTTTCTCTTTATCACTACTTTGGAAGCTTTGTGAAAGCAGACATGGGGTATATTTCACATCCCTGCATCTGGCACATTTGGCCAATAAGGTGTCAGCAGGTATTTACTGAATGGCAGGATGAACAACTCTTTTTTTTTCTTTATATAATTGTTAAATATACTAGAGACTCTGAGACAATTTTAATGTTATTTAAGAGACTAAAAAACATTAATGAGTTATGTGCCTCTTCATTATTGCAATTCAGGTTATCTCTTGGGAAACTCAAACACAAGTAGTTAGTTACCTGTGCTAAAATGGTACCATTGTTGGTTATCAACTTGCATTTTAAAGCAATAAGTTAACAAAATTGCATTATGTTTATTGTTGTCATCAAAATATAACTGGCAACATTAATCTTCTAGAATTTAATTTCAATTGGATTTTATTTTTTTAACTTTCCTCTCGTCTATTATAGATTTTAAAATGTTTAAATCTTTTTTTTTAATATACTTTCGGTTCTAGCGTACATGTGCACAACGTGCAGGTTTGTTACATAGGTATACATGTGCCATGTTGATATGCTGCACCCATCAACTCATAATTTACATTAGGTATTTCTCCTAATGCTATCCCTCCCCCAGCCCCCCAACCCCTCAACAGGCCCTGGTGTGTGATGTTCCCTGCCCTGTGTCCATGTGTTCTCATTGTTCAACTCCCACCTATGAGTGAGAACATGCGGTGTTTGGTTTTCTGTCCTTGTGATAGTTTGCTGAGAATGATGGTTTCCAGCTTCATCCATGTCCCTGCAAAGGACATGAACTCATCCTTTTTTATGGCTGCATAGTATTCCATGGTGTATATGTGCCACATTTTCTTAATCCAATCTATCATTGATGGACATCAGGGTTGGTTCCAAGTCTTTGCTATTGTGAATAGTGCCACAATAAACATATGTGTGCATGTGTCTTCATAGTAGCATGATTTATAATCCTTTGGGTATATACCCAGTAATGGAATTGCTGGGTCAAATGGTATTTCTAGTTCTAGATCCTTAAGGAATCACCACACTGTCTTCCACAATGGTTGAACTAATTTACACTCCCACCAACAGTGTAAAAGCATTCCTATTTCTCCACATCCTCTCCAGCATCTGTTGTTTCCTGACTTTTTAATGGCCGCCATTCTAACTGGTGTGATGGTATCTCACTATGGTTTTGATTTGCATTTATCTGATGACCATGATGATGAGCGTTTTTTCATGTGTCTGTTGGCTGCATAAATGTCTTCTTTTGAGAAGTGTCTGTTCATATCCTTTGCCCATTTTTTGATGGGTTTCTTTGTTTTTCTCTTATAAATTTGTTTAAGTTCTTTGTAGATTCTGGATACTAGCCCTTTGGCAGATGGGTAGATTGCAAAAATTGTTTCCCATTCTGTAGGTTGCTTGTTCACTCTAATGATAGTTTCTTTTGCTGTGCAGAAGCTCTTTAGTTTAATTAGATTCCATTTGTCTATTTTGGCTTTTGTTGCCATTGCTTTTGGTGTTGTAGTCATGAAGTCTTTGCCCATGCCTACGTCCTAAATGGTATTGCCTAGGTTTTCTTCTAGGGTTTTTATGGTTTTAGGTCTTACATTAAGTCGTTAATCCATCTTGAGTTAACTTTTGTATACAGTGTAAGGAAGGGATCCAGTTTCACCTTTCTACATAAGGCTAGCCAGTTTTCCCAGCACCATTTATTAAACAGGGAATCCTTTCCCCATTGCTTGTTTTTGTCAGGTTTGTCAAAGGTCAGATGGTTGTAGATGTGTGGTGTTATTTCTGAGGCCTCTGTTCTGTTCCATTGGTCTATATATCTGTTTTGGTCCAAGTACCATGCTCTTTTGGTTACTGTAGCCTTGTAGTATAGTCAGGTAGCATGATGCCTCCAGGTTTGTTCTTTTTGCTTAGGATTGTCTTGGCAATGCAGGCTCTTTTTTGGTTCCATATGAACTTTAAAGTAGTTTTTTCCAATTCTGTGAAGAAAGTCAGTGGTGGTTTGATGGGGATAGCTAGCATTGAATCTATAAATTACCTTGGGCAGTATGGCCATTTTCATGATATTGATTCTTCCTATCCATGAGCATTGAATATTCTTCCATTTGTTTGTGTCCTCTTTTATTTCATTGAGCAGTGGTTTGTAGTTCTCCTTGAAGAAGTCCGTCACATCCTTTTTAAGTTGGATTCCTAGGTATTTTATTCTTTTGAAGCAATCGTGAATGGGAGGGCAGTCATGATTTGGCTCTCTGTTTGTCTATTATTGGTGTATAGGAATGCTTGTGATTTTTGCATATTGATTTTGTATCCTGAGACTTTGCTGAAGTTGCTTATCAGCTTAAGGAGATTTTGGGCTGAGATGATGGGGCTTTCTAAATATACAATCATGTCATCTGCAAACAGGGACAATTTGACTTCCTCTTTTCCAATTGAATACACTTTATTTCTTTCTCTTGCCTGATTGCCTTAGCCAGAACTTCCAAGACTATGTTGAATAGAAGTAGTGAGAGAGGGCATCCTTGTCTTGTTTTCAAAGAGAATGCTTCCAGTTTTTGCCCGTTCAGTATCATATTGGCTGTAGGTTTGTCACAAATAGCTCTTATTATTTTGAGATAGGTCAGAATGAACAACAACTGTTAAGTGGAGAAATAGAACAAAATAACTAGGTGCCCAGACAGACTTTCAACGAGATAATGGAAAGAGAAAACCAGTCTGCAATGTGTTTGTAAAAATGATGTCAAAAAGATTTGCTTAGCCACTCTTCAATCACAGTAAAATGTCTCTTGGTAATCAGATAATGTCCAAATGCTACGATATTTTGTCTTTCACTTCCCATTTTAACACAGCATTATTTAATTTTGGATCAACTATTATGTACCTCTTTTTGTACATTTTAAGGTGAGTATCACACTGAAGGTTAGATTGTAAACCTGTGCTGTCCAGTACAGTAGCCACTAGCCACTAAGCACTGGAAATGAGCCTACTTCCAATTATGATTCATTGTAAATATAAAATACGTGCTGGGTTTCAAATATTTGGTACAGAAAAATGTGAAGTATCATTTTTATATTGATAGCATGTTGAAATTATACTATTTTAACATATTACATTAAACAACATATAATTTAATTTTTTTTTAAATGGAAGTAATCAGTAAGTAGGAATGGGTGCAAAAGATTTACAGGAGATGAACAATCTGAACAGAGTCTCGAAGGATGAGTAGGATTTAGCTGGGTGGGAGAAAAGAGAAATAGCCTATTAGAGAGGACCCAGTCTGCAGACCTGAATTCCTTCCAATGACTCTCTTCTTAGCTGAAATTAACTTTTACTGTAGCATTGAAAAGATTAGGGACACTGCAATCAGGAGATTTACACTTAAAAGCCTTTCACCATTGAATAGTTTTGGACAAATCACTTAATAAATTGGGACTCCAATCATCATCTAAAAACAGGTATCAGAAAAATTCTACCTCACATGGATGTGGTCATACTTAAATCAGATAATATGTTAAAGAGCTTGTTGTAAAGCACCTTGAAATATACAATTCTCCCCTCTTCTCCAGTATTTCAGTATTGGCATGTCTTCCCAGTAATTTATTTCATAAGACCTGCTTTTTCCCTCAATTGCTTTCTGCAGTCAGGGAGCCCTGTGTATGTAAACACAATTTCATGTACTTGAAAATACCTCACCTCCATTTTGAATATGGATATCTTCCACAGATATCAGACTTTTCTAATTGACTTTTGGGGGCCATGGTATAGAGAAAATCATCCTGATTTTTCTGCCCAATGAATGGCAGCACCATCCATCCAGCCGAGTAAGCTAATACCTAGCAGTTATGTTTGGATCTCTCCCTCAATTTGTGAATAATCCCCAATCTGTGAATGAGCCCCATCTTCCCAAATACCTCTCATTTCTATTGCTGCCATCCAAGTCTAAGCTGTCATCTTCACCTGAACTATTGCCATAACTTCCTAGATGCAATTATATCATTGACTTTTACCCATCTCTCCACAAGCCATTCTTCATTCTGCAACCAAAGTGATTTTTTGACATTAGGGGAAAACATTGTTTCGTAGCATTAAGTACAATGTTACCTGTAAATATTTTGTAGATGCCCTTTCTCAAGTTGAGTCCTCTTCTATTCAAGATTGATTATAACATTTTATCATGAAGGGGTGTTGAATTTTGCCAAATTCTTTCGATATGGTGAATTGCAGGAACCCTGCCTGATATCTAACTACTAAAGGAAACTGGCTGAATAGCAGATAGGTTTGGAAGGATAGGGGAAAATGGTATAGTCTGAAATAACTGGATGCATCAATGGCCTAGTGGAAGGGGATCAGCTAGAGGCCATGCGGTAGTCTCTCTGGTTCCATGATTCAAAGGCAATTGGGTACACACTGCATTACTTGAAACTGCTGACTTCATCGCAGTCTGTGGTTGACAACTGGGACCTTTTCTCCAACTCTCAGAGCAGCATCATGGAATTCCTTTAGAAAGCTGCAGCTTGTATCTATTTGCTCTGCCTTGCTGTCCTGTGATATACAGCAATTATGACATCTCCAACATGAAATTGGGGATGCAGATTACCCACTATTCACTGGCAGCCCTTGTAATTAGCTATTAAGCTTCAGGTGCCAAACCTCCAGTGCAAATCTATTCAGAGGATAATTAATTAAACTTGACTTTCTCATTAGAAACCCATAGTTTTCCTAACCTTTCATTCAGGCCATGGATTCCATGTGATGAATGTCACCTTATAATTTGTCATATCAGTCATATCTATCTCACAGTACTTGATGCAACTTAAAGTGACATCTCCTGATTTTGCAGAATGACAAGTTTGGAGAAAAAAAAAGCGCTGGCCATTTAATAATTAAAGATATTGTGAGGCCGGACACGGTGGCTCACACCTGTAATCCCAGCAATTTGGGGAGGCAGATTACTTGAGGTCAGGAGTTCAAGACCAGCCCGGTCAACATGGTAAAACCCCATATCTACTTAAAACAAAAACAAAAACAAAACTTACTGGGGCATGGTGGTGCATGCTTGTAATCCCAGCTATTTGGGAGGCTGAGGCAGGAGGATCACTTGAACCCAGGAGGCAGAGGTTGCAATGAGTCAAGATCACTCCACTGCACTCCAGCCTGGATGACAGAGTGAGACTCCATCTCAAAAAAAAAAAAAAAAAAAAAAAAAAAACTGAAATACAAAGGCAGTAAAATATGTTTTAGTGATTCATTTCTATTGTATCAGCTTTGAATCATTTTAAAATCCTCACTCTCTTGGCCATTCTTCTATACGAATGGTGCTCAGACTTCAGAATGCATGATACTAATCGTCATATAAACATGTTTATGGCAGATTCCTGGGCCCTGCCTTTAGATTCACTAGCTCTGGAAGCATTCCATGATTCTAATGCAGTTGATCCATGAACACAGAGCTCTCACCTCTGGTGTTGTACCTGGCTTTGCCAGCAACAGGACAACATTGGGCATGGGTCTCTGTCTCTGCTGTCTGAGCACACCGAAAATTCCCAGGTAGAGATGGGCTTGAGCTGAAGGGCAGATATAGCATTGGTTAGCCACCACTGCAGTCTGCCCTCTGCAATTTAACTTAGTAAAGATCCCATAGCCTTGGGAATGAGGTATAAGGTCACAGCCAGTGACAGTAAGCCCAATTCAAACAGCTGAGGACAAGACTCTCGAATTTTACTTTAGAACATTTTTAAATATTTAACTGTCTTGCTGTCCTTCTGCCCCACTGGTCAAAGTTTCCAGAGCCTCTTCTTTGTTCATTAATACAAACAACAAAAACAAGAGTAATAATAACCCTTTATATTTCATAGTGGGATAACAGACTCATTGAATTTCAGGACCAGAAGAAATAAAGATTGTCTCATTCAACCCCAAGGGGGAGAAAGCAGATAATGTGGTGACAGGGCAGAGTCCTGACTCTCAGTGCAGGGTTTTCTGATAGAACTTTGCAAAATCATTTCATGGCTATGCATCATTAATCTGTCTGTTTTATCTGTGCCTTTGCCTCAGAACAAAACTCAAAATAGTCCCTAGAAGACAAATAATCAGAGGCAACCAACCAAACCCCACTCTATCTGACTTGTAGGATGGTCAATGGGCTGACAATTGCCTGGGGCTGGACCTGCACAGACTCCATCTTACCAATGGCAGAAGCAACATACCAACCCCTGGAGCAAATGTGTCTTCTCTATACTAAAATTATTGTCACAAATAATCATGAACTGAAATGAATCATAACAATAACCAAAAAAGCAATGCTGACAACAAAAATTATCTTTTGTTGAATGTGGTGCAGATAAATATTTTTTACTTTACAAAAAGTAAAAAATAAAAATAACATATTATAGCACAAATATGCAAAAATAACTATTGATATTTTTTTCATTGCATTTATATATATGTATATTTTGAGACAGAGTCTCGCTTTGTCACCCAGGCTGAAATGCAGTGGCGCAATCTCGGCTCACTGCAACCTCCACCTCCAGAGTTTAAGTGATTCTCATGCTTAGGCCTCCTAAATAGCTGGGACTAGAGGCGTGCGCCACCATGCCCGGCTAATTTTTGTATTTTTAATAGAGACGGGGTTTCGCCATGCTGCCCAGGCTTGTCTCAAATCCTGGCCTTAAGTGATCTGCCTGCTTCGGCCTTCCAAAGAGCTGGGATTAAGGGCATGAGCCATGTGCCTGGCCTGCATTAATATATTTTTAAAGGGAAAAAACCTTAGACCTATATAATGGCCTGTCAAAGAAATGAATAGTGTTACAATTAAATAATAAATAACAAGAATAGAATTTAAAATGAATGTCAATTTTAAGAATATCACTCAAAATATTTCACATAAGAATAAAAATTTGCCCTTACCAAATAAAAATATTATACCTCACAGTTTCACTGTTTTAAATTCTAAACACAAAACCAAAAACTCCAAGGAATCATATAGATGATAGAATTGAAGCAAGTGAGGTTCTGTTTCTTCATCTTTGCAATCCCAGTGCTATAACTGTTTCTTTGGACTCTGCAGTGTAAATGCAGGAATATATGCATCCCAGGAGTTGGAGGCACAAACTACCCCTGAAGGAAGCTGGAATGACTGCGATCTGTTACAAATTCTTCTCCAAAGAAAGCATGCTGCTGGGTCAGTGTGTGGGGTAGTGGTGGGAGGGGGAGGGGAATACGAATTCCCTGTATAACTGGGAATTCTCTTAATTAACTTCCATATAGAATACAACTACTAAAGGATAATTGATACAAATATGTAAATTTGAAGGTTAGATATATATTAATCAAACTCAGAAGTAATTTCAGCAATTATTTGGAACTCAGACCAGCAAAAGATATTTTAGGAGTGATAAGTATTTTATCATTGGCTTTGTTTAGAATTGCCAGACCATGATAATAATTAAAAGCAGACTATGTTTTAGGACATCTACAAAGAGCCTATAGCTAACTATCATACTTAATAGGGAAAGACTGAATACCTCTCCCTAAGATGGTGAACAGGCAAGGATACCCTCTCTCATCAGTTCTATTCGATATTGCACTAGAAGTTCTAACCATTGCAAAAAAGGCATGAAAAATAAAGAAAAGACACAGATATTGGACAAAAAAAATAATAAAACTATCTTTTTCACACATAACATTTTTATGTTAGAAAATCCTAAGGAATCTATGGAGGAGAAAAAGCTACTAGAATGAAAAAGTTGAATTTAGCAAGGTCATACGATACAAGGTGAATGTATAAACTCAATTATATTACTATATACCAGCAATGGACATTTGAAAAATAAAATAAGATAGACTGGATTAAGAAAATGTGGCACATACACACCAAGGAATACTATGCAGCCATAAAAAAGGATGAGTTCGTGTCCTTTGTAGGGACATGGATGAAGCTGGAAACCATCATTCTCAGCAAACTATCGCAAGGACAGAAAACCAAACACTGCATGTTCTTACTCATAGGTAGGAACTGAACAATGAGAACACTTGGACACAGGAAGGGGAATATCACACACTGGGGCCTGTCGTAGGGTAGGGGGAGAGGGGTGGGATAGCATTAGGAGATATACCTAATGTAAATGACGAGTTAATGGGTGCAGCACACCAACATGGCACATGTATACATATGTAACAAACCTGCACGTTGTGCACATGTACCCTAGAACTTAAAGTATAATAATTAAAATAAATAAATAAATAATAAAATAAAATAAAAAATACAATTTCATTTACAATGCCGTCAAAAAATATGACATAGTTTGGGGTAAATGTAACAAAGTTTATGTAAGATCTGTACACTGAAAACTATAAAACATTGCTAAAAATTAAATAAGACCTAAATAAATGGAGGTACAAATCATATTCATGGATCTGAAGATTCAGTATTGTTAAGATGGAGATTCTCCCCAAATTGGCTCACAGATTGAACATAATCCCTGTCAAAAATCCAGCAGATTTTTTTAAAAAACTTGACAAGCTGATTCTAAACTCTATATAGAAATTAAAATGATTTAGATAACCAAAGCAATTTTAATACTTTCTATAAAACTATAGCAATCAAGATCTGATAATGGCAAAAACATAGATATGCGATCAATGTGGCAGAGACAGTCCAGAAATAGACCCAAACATGTATGGTCAAGTGATTTTTGTGCCAAGCCATTTCAATGGGGGAAAAGGGGTGCTTCGGCAAATGGTGCTAGGACATTCATTGCAAAAGATATAAGTATTGGCCCTTGCCTCACACCATACTCAACAATTAACTCAAATTATATAATAGACAACATGTAAAAGTAAAAACTATAAAACTCCTAGAAGAAAACCTAGGAGAAAATCTTGGCAACTTTAGTGTAGGCAAATATTTATTGAATAGAGCATAAGACCAACAAACTATTAAAAACATAATTGGTAAACTAAGCTTTTATAAAATTAATTTTTGCTCATTGAAAAACACCATTAGGAAGATGAAAGAGAAACCACAGAATGGGAAAAAAATATTTGCAAACATATATCTAACAAAGGACTTGTACGTTGAATATATAAAGAACTAATACAACTCAACTGTGAAGGCAGACCAATTAAATATAAGCAAGATAATTGAAAAGACCCTTTGCTAAAGGAGGTATATGAATGACTAATAAGCACATGGAAAGACCCCAACCTCATTAGCCATTAGGTGAAGGAAAATTCCATTAGGCATTAGGAAAATGCACATTAAAACTAAACCAAGATACCATTTCACACCCACTAGAACAACCAAAATTAAAGAGACAGGCAATACTAAGTGTCAGTAAGGATGTGGAGCACCTGGAACTCTCAGACAGTCCTGGTAGGAGTGTAAAATGTTACTATTACTTTGGAAAATACTTTGGCAGTTTCTCATAAATTTAAATACATATTTACCATGTGATCTAGCAATCCCACTCCAGGTATTTATCTGAAAGAAATCAGAACATGCATTTACAAAAAGACTTGTATACAGATGTTCATAGCAGCTTTTTAATATACAGATGCTCCTTGGCTTACTTACAATGGAGTTATGTCCCAATAAAGCCATCGTAAGTTGAAAATATCATAAATCAAAAGTGCATTTACTATACCTAACCTACCAGACATCATAGCTTACCTTAACCTACATTAAATGTGCTCAGAACATTTAAATTAGCTTATGGCGAGGCAAAATCATCTAACACAAGCCTATTTTATAATAAAGTGTTGAATATCTCACATAATTTATTAAGCAATGTACTGAAAGTGAAAAACAGAATGGTTGTATGGGTACTTGAAGTATGAATTCTACTGAATGTGTATTGTTTTCGCATTATGTTAAAGTTGAACCATCATAAGTCAGGAACTGTCGGTTTATACAAAATACACCAAAACTAGAAACAATCCAAATGTCCATTAACAGAGAATTGATCAATAAATTGCAGTATATCTATATAACAGAATGAAACTTAGCAAGGAAAAGGAAGAATCCACTGATACATGCAACAATATGGGTGAATCTCAAAAGCATTATGATACATGAAAGTCTGACTCATTCCCTCTATACAAAATTCTAGAAAATGCAAACTTTTCTAAACTGATAGAAAGCAGATTAGGAGTCACCTGGGGGTGGGGAGAAGGGGAGATTTACTGCAACTGGATACAAGGGAACTTTTGAGGGTTATGAAAACATTCTGTGTCTTGATTAAGGTGTTTACATGGTTGTATACATTTCTAAAGCCTACTCAAATGCATATTTAAAATGGAAGCATTTTATTGTACATAAAATGTCTAAAATGTTTTGCAAAAAGATTCACTCAAACCAAAACCAAAAACCAAAAAAACACCCAAATTCTCAAATCCTCAACTAGCTGCTTTTCTCTCAGTCCATTCCTGCTGCTATAACAAAATACCACAGACTGAGTACATTATAAACAATAGAAATTTATTTCTCAGAGTTCTGGACCCTGGGAAGTCCAAGATCAGGGAGCCAGCAGATTCAGCGTCTGGTGAGAGCTGGTCTCTGCTTCCAAGATGGCACCTTTTTGCTGCATCCTCTGGAGCGGGTGATCATTGAGTCCTCACATGGCAGAAGGCAGAAGGGGAAAAAAAGATGAAGACCCCGAGAAGCCTCTTTTATAAAGGCCTTAATCCCATTCACGAGGAAGGAGCCTTATGACTTAATCACCTCCTAAAAGTCCCACCTCTTAATACTATTATTGCATTGAGGATTTAGTTTCAGTATGAATTTTGAATAGACGCAAACATTCAAACCATAGCACTGCCCATTGTCACACTGGGTGCAGGGTTATAAAGGGAACATCTACTATACTGAGCTCCCTCCCGGCAAACATGTACTTCAGCTCCCAAGCCTTCACGTGGTTCCTTACTGTGTGGAAGAGCGATAGGCCCCACATAAACCTCTACGGGAAGCCTGGGATACAGGTAGGCTAAAGGGGCCTGCTCTATGCTCCCTTGACTCTTGGATCCCACTTAGCTTTCTGTGGGGAAGGAAGGGTACTTCCTCCCAAGTAAAGAACTTAGCTGTCCTCAGCCACCAGGCTTCCAAAGGGAAGGGGAAGAAGGGTGCAAGGAACAGAAGACACTTGTCTTGCTTTAGAACTCTCTAGAATGACAAGCATTTATTTTTTTTATTGATGACTCTCTCAATGAAAACACTAGTGTGGAAGCTTTCCATGCATTACCTTATTCAAATCTTTATCATAACTCTAAGTGTAACTCCTTCTGTTATGCCAGCTTACAGAGGAAAAAGCAAAAGGACCAGAAAGGCTAAGAAGCTGTCTCAAGCTTTCAGAGCTAGTACACAGCAGAACAGAATCCAAGATGCAGGATGTCCAAGCTATGTTCTCACCACCACATGACCTTTGATCCTGGTTGCTCATGCCCATCCTTCCCTCATCACCCTTCCCCACATGCACACAGTTGGCAGTGGCAGGCTCATGTTCAGAACAGACAGTGCCTGGGCCTGGAACACAGAGTTCTGTTCCCCTCTCTGCTCCAGCTACATCAAGAGTGCCCAAAGTTCAGACTCCCATCAAGTCATTTTCTCTATAATTCAAATACAGAAGTACTTTTAAGAGACATACAGCATTCCTGCTATTCCCGTGTGCTATAAATATGTAATTTATGGGGAAAATGGGAACTCTGTGTCATATCCGAATTGAGAGGTATTTGCAGAAAGGAAAAAAATATCCCATCGTGTTGAGTCACGGAGAAAAATAACTACTGCATATCATACTAGTAAATAGGAAAGTAAAAATAGCTTCTGGGAGGAAGTGTAAATTAAATGTTAATATGGCCTTGAATTTATTTCAAGTATTTTCCATTAAGCGTTTTCATTTTTCATTTCCACAACCTGATCAATTTCTCCCTATTAAACCAAGGTCAAATAATTTTAGATGCTAACTTGGAAAGCCTTAAGATCAATGTGCTTGACTCCCTTTCAAAAGAAGGAACATAAGGCATCTTTTGTTTGCAAACAGATATCATGGTGCATAGGGCATTCGTCACTGAAGAGCAAGATGGCGGTGGGGCCATGGCTGCCTTTTCTCTGGCTTGGCCAGGGCATGCAGTTCAGTGAGGGGTGGATGCTTCATTTTTCCTTGCCCACCACTCCTCTTCACATGGAAAGCTGCCCGACCTACTCTGACCACGTGGTCAAGTGAGTGCTGGCATCTTGGCCACGCAGGTGAGAAAGCCAGCCAAGCGGGTCTCTTCAAGTCCTTTCTCAAGATTTTTCTAATGTGAACTAAAGAAAGAGAGCACCGCAGGGAACACAGGAGCCTAGGCGTGGCTGGCAGCTGGGTTTCTGGCTGAGTGGGGAAAGTCTGACCAAAAAACCCCTGACTCTCCAGACCAGATTGTTTCCCCAGCCACCAACCTGGTGCCTCCCAAGGGTTTTGTTACACATAGGATCACACGTCATAGACAAGGCACTGTGTCAGGAGCCCTGTGGGCTGCTTCTGTCCTTCTGGAACCCAAGCTGGAGTCACAGAATCCAAGAATTCTCAGCTGCCATTGATAAATAATGAACAACGCTTCCTAGCTCCTGCCCTGCCTCAGGTACTCTGCAAGGTATTTGATGCAACTCACTTCATTTAATCCCCACAACAACCTAAGGAGGTAGGGACTATTGAAATCTTCATTTTACAGATGAAAAACAAAACCAAACTAAATTGGAGGCTGTGAGATGTCAAGAAATCTCACCATCACTAAGCTTTTCTCCATTACCCTAGGGAAACTATAACCTTGCTTGCTCTAGATCTGGACTCTTTCCTAACAATTCTTGTGCAGACAGGAACTACAAAAAAAAATCTAAACTAAAAGCCTGGTGCAAATGACCCCATTTTCAAAACAAAAATGGAGCTGCCAAGTGGGAAGCTGAGCCCAGTATCTGGGGCCTGGCCAGCACGGCCATCCAACTGGACATTTCACTCGCACACGATATGGATTCTGCACATGGGCACCAGGGAGGGCAGCTGAGGGTGGACTTAGGGAAGAGCCTCAAATTTCTACAGTATAGGCTTTTTAAAAATTTAAACTTTATTGTGGCAAAATACACATAAAATAAAATTTACCTTTTTAGGTGGACAATTTGGTGGCATTAAGTACGTTCATATTGTTGTGCAACCATCACCACCATGCATCTCCAGAACATTTTCATCTTCACAAACAGAAAGTCTGTACCTCTTAAACAATGACTCCCCATCTCTCCCCCACCCCGCAGCCTCTGGCAGCTACCATTCTGCTTTTTATTTCTATAAATTTGACTACCCTAAGCACCTCATGTAAGTACCTACACAGTATATGTTTTTAGTGGCAAGTTTTCAATCACTCCAAGTATTCACTGAATACTTTGCCCAGCATTGTGCTAGGCTTTATGGGCGAAATGTATGAGCTCTCATTCCTGCCACCGAGATCATTCTAGTTGAGCTGTGAAAGCAGGCTAGCTTCTAAGAAACAACGTGTCAGATGCACGATACTAGCTTGGAGGACAAGAGAAACTTAGGTGAGGGAGAGATCCTTCTAACATAGTGCAATCTAAGTAGTTTTCATAAGGGTGATGACTCAGTGAATGAGTAGGAGGTTTGGTTGGGCAGAGAGGAGGATTTTGGATGAACTGAATCATAAATCCAAGCAGGCAAGCTGGATCATCCTGAGTAGTGCCAGCCAACACCAAAAGCAACAGCATGCTGATAGTTTCTCTGAGGACAGAGCGATATACCCTAGATCTGCTTGTGCCTCCAAGCCACACATACTCAGATAATGGTTTGCTTTTCTCCTATTGCAAAAGAAATGCAAAAGAAAAAAATTGACCTGGTGCAGCGGCTCACTCCTGTAATCCCATCACTTTGGGAGACTGAGGCAGGAGGATAGCTTGAGCCCAGGAGTTCAAGACCAGCCTGGGCAACATGGCATGACCCCACCTCTACCAAAAAAAAAAAAAAACAGGCAGGCGTGGTGATGCGTGCCTGTGGTCCCACCTGCTAGGGAGGCTGAGGCAGGAAGATCACTTGAGCCCAGGAGGATGAGGCTGCAATGGGCTATGATTATGCCATGGCACTCCAGCCTGAGCAACAGAGTGAGACCTTATCTCAAAAAAAAAAAAAAAAAAAAAAGGAAAAAAAATTTTTAGATGATTGGGAGTTGGGGCTTACTACTGTTTTTTATAATTGTCTCAGAAAACAGCTAAACCAGCTCTCCTGTGCAAGTTTATTTTTCCTTTGGCAAAAAGTTTGTAAACACTTCTGAAACTTGTGTGGATGTCTGAACACCAGGGTCAGGTCACATCAACCCTGACTATACTTGGAGAGTGAGACCCCTGAAATCACGGTGGGATAAGCCTCCAGATGTCCACTCTAACCAGTCATACCACCCTTTAAACAAGCAGGAGGGAGCCCGGCCCCCAGCCTGCCAGCTCTTTGAACAAGTGCACCAGTGGAGCAGTGCTCCCTGGAGACAAGGCTCTCTGTACAAGGGTTGCCTCCCAGGTCTTTTCCATATCCCCTCCCACCGGATCTGTCTTTTGCTTTTCCAAGTATAAGCCTCATTTAGGGACCCTGATAGAGAGGTAAGAACAAGAAGGCCTGTACCACTGTTGGTCATATTGGTTTGCCTTTTCTTTCCTTTCTTTCTTTTTATTTCCTCCCCACCTTCCCTGTATGATGTAGCAGTAAATAAAAGTACTCCTACCTTTACACAAAAGCATTTCTCATTGTGTCTCACAGCAGATAGCTTTGATCCTGGCCATCCATTCAACTGTATGCATGTTAACAGAAATTGCAAATGCGGAGCTAAGTGAAGTAGACAGAAAGTACACTACGGGCCTTTATGAGGCATCCTAGAACCCTAGGAGAGGAAAAACGTGAGATGGCAGTGAGTGAGTCCTGCCTGGATCCCCTGCCAGCCTCCTCCATTCTTAGGCAGTAGTAGTAGTAGTTTATGGTGAATAGATGTACATAAACCACAACAAAACAATACAGGGTGGTAGAGTAATGAATCCTGAAAAGGAGTTGAAATTCTGGGATAAATCTCTGTACCAGTTCTTCCTAACAGTTCTGAGAAATAGAAATCAGTATCAAATGCCTTGCTGATGATTTCCATAGGAAAAGAGCCATTTCTTTCTGCAACCAGTATTTTCCTCTCATTCCAGTGACATAGAAAAGGTCACCCCGGGCCGGGCGTTGTGGTTCACGCCTGTAATCCCCGCACTTTGGGAGGCTGAGGCAGGTGGATCACCAGAGGTCAGGAGTTCAAGACCAGCCTGACCAATATGGTGAAACCCTGTTTCTACTAAAAATACAAAAATTAGCTGGGTGTGGTGACGTGCACCTATAGTCCCAGCTACTCGGGAGGCTGAGACAGGAATCGCTTGAACCTGGGAGGCGGAGGTTGCAGTGAGTTGAGATCGCACCACTGCACTCCAGCCTGGGTGACAGAGTAAGACTCCGTCTCACAAAGAAAAAAAAAAAAAGAAAAGAAAAGGTCACCCTGGGGAGCACTACTCCCTAGAGTCGCATGCCCCAGCAATGCTGTCCTCTGCACAGCAGCTCAGGTTCCTCAAGTACACTGAGGCCAGTAACACACAGCAGTGAGACATGGGAACCGCAGACCACATTGGAGTTACTTCTTACCAACTCCATCTCCCATCTATTCTCTTGTTTATTACTTCCTGCTACATATTGAACAGGCTGAATCTTAAAAATATCTCAGTTCTGGCCTACAGTATTCCAACAGTCCAACTGGTCTACTCAGCTCTAGTCTGTACTTTTTCCAAACACATCCCTCATACTTGCCTGAGGTGGTATATTTAAAACATAGTTCTCACCATGTAACTCTCTTGCCTAAAACTACCTCAGGATAAACTCCAAGCTTAGCGCACTATGTTTCAAGCAAAAAGAGACTTCACATATATAATTACAGTAAAAATTTCCAGTCTCAAAGATAAGTTTTAAAAATTTCATAAGTATCCAAGCCAAAAGCCAACCAACAAAATAAACATAAAGTATACATTAATGTTTTTCTAATAATAAATGGCAGAAGATGATGGCTATGGTTTGAATGTGTCCCCAAAATTTATGTGTTAGAAACTTAATTCCCCAGTGCAACAGTGTTGACAGGTGAGACCTTTAAGAGGTGACTGCAGACTCTTCTTGAATGGATTAATTGTGGGAGTGGGTTTGCCCTAAAAGCAAATTTAGTGCACTCTCCCTCACTGTATCTCTCTCTCTTTCTCACTCTCTCTCTTTCTGTCTCTCTCTCCCCCTCTCCCTCTCCCTCTCTCATTCTTTCTTGCCCTTCTGCCTCTGCCATGGGATAATGCAAAAAGGCTCTCACCAGATGCAGCTCCTTGATCTCGGACTTCCAAGGCTCCAGAACTGTAGGCCAGATCAATTTCTTCTTTTTATTAATTACCCAGTCTCTGGTGTTCTGTTATAGCAGCACAAAACAGATTAAGACAATGTTAAGTTAAACAATGGGGTAGAAGTGGCCCAGCACAGTGGTTCACACCTTTAATCCCAGCATTTTGGGAGGCTGAGGTGGAAGGATCACTTGACACCAGGAGTTTGAGACCAGCCTGGGAAACATAGTGAGACCCTGTCTCTACCTTCAAAAAAACAAAAGATAGATAAATTAGGTGGGTATAGTGGCATGTGCCTGAAGTCCCAGCTGCTTGGGAGGCTGAGGTGGGAGAATCACTGGCACGCAGGAGTTTGAGGCTGAAGTGAGCCATGATTATGACACTGCATCCCAGTCTGGGTGACAGAACAAGACTTTCTTTTTTTTTTTTAAAAAAAAAAAGAGGAAGGTGGGTCTGAAAAAGCCTAAAGGTGAACATTAAAAACAATTCACCATGTGGGAATGGGTTTTGTTACAATCATCATCAGTATAAAATGAAGACATTATTTGAAAGACACACAATCATTTATAGTTAGAAAAGCAAAGCCTCTTTATTTTGACATACGTTTCTTCCATTACTCTCCTTGCTCCCTTAGACCTGCTTCCTGCAGTCGGCCCTCAAATTATCTGCATCCTAGGCCTTGTCTTAGCCATTGCATTTAGGGAAATCCAAACTAAGAAAGCATGTAGAGAGTGGCCCTAGAAAATAGAAGCTACCTGTAGCTACTTGTAGGTCTGAACCTACAAACCTCAGGATAGAATTCCGGTACGGGATCATTCACCCACCAAATAGTAACAAGGACCTCATTTCTAGTGGTAAGTGGGTTGATGGTAACCCTTGGTGTGCTGTAGTATTAGGATTAAGACTCTTACCTGTGATGGGTTAAGATGAGGAACAGGTGGAAAGGGAAATGTTGGTTTATACAGTAGCTTTAGCTGGTCATATGTATGTATATATATATATATATATATATATAGATATATATATATAGATATATAAAATCTCCACAAACAGCTAGTCTGATAGACAATTGGAATAGCCTATTAAAGTTTCAGCTAAAGTGATATTTGGAGGATGATACCCTGCAAACATGAGATACTGTCCTCCAGAATAAATTGCATGCAGTAAATCAATGATTTATGGGTCTGTGTCCACAACAGCTAGGATACATGAGTCTTCAACACTGTATAAGCTTCCTATTACCACAAAACTTCAATCCATATTGTGTCTACTAATAATCATATAAAAGTAGCTGGACAATACCTTTACTCTCCTAATTCTTAATTCATCAAACTATCTTCCAACTTTTCCTAGATCAGCTAAGCTTCAAGCAGCTGCTAGCCACTGCATCCATCCCCTCAAAAAAAGTAATTCTGAGGTTCTGATGAAGCACACAGCAAAAACACTTTCCCAGTCAGTCTCTCCCACCGTGGCTCCCCATTCCAGCAACTCTGTTCCCCTGGTTTCATGTCTAATTTTAGGGGACAGGCTTTTCTTCCTCCTTCGCCTTCTCTCTTTTCCTCCCTCCTTCTCTTCTTCCTTCCCTTCCTTTCTGTCTTCTTCCTTTCAAATCCAGCCAAAGATGTATATAATTAAGGAAAAACTAAGTAATCTAGGTAATAGGGACAAAAGGAAAATAGAGAAAAATAAAAGATGAAATAAGAAGGGTAATATTAGCACACAGAGAAGTTGACCATGTGACACTTGTAGGTGCTTTGAGTTGAACTGTGTCCCTGCAAAAGATCTGTTGAAGTCCTAACTCTGGGTACTTGTGAGTGTGACCTTACCTGGAAATAAGGTGTTTGCAGATGTAATCATGTTAAGACACCCATTAGGGTGGGTCCTAATCCAATATAACCGGTATCCTTATAAGAAGGGGGAAATTTGGACATAGACACCCAGGAACAATGCCATGTGGTGACAGAGGCAGCGATTGGAGGGATGCAACTGCAAACCGAGGAACACGAGGTACTGCTGGCGCTATGGTTTAAATGTTTTTGTCCCCTCCAAAACTCATGTTGAAACATAATCCCCAATGTGCTGAGAGGAAGAGCCCAGTGGGAAATGTTTCAGTCATGAGAGCCCTACCCTCATTAATAGATTAATGTAATTATAAAGGGCTTGATGAAGGGAGTTTCTCCTCCTACCCCTTGCCTTCTGCCATGTGATGATGAAACCAGAATGCTCTCACCCATTGCTGGCATCTTGATAGGGAACTTACCAGCCTCCAGAACTATGAGCTAATAAATGCCCGTTCATTATAAATTACCCAGTCTCAGGTGTTCTGTTATAGTAGGCATGAAATGGACTAAGACAGCCAACCACCACCAGAAGCTAGGGAATGGTAAGGAAGTACAAAGGGTACTTCAAAAAAGTTCATCAATAATGTGTATCATGCTCAGCGCGGTGGCTCATGCCTGTAATCCCAACACTTTGGGAGGCTGAGGCAGGCAGATCACTTGAGGTCAGAAGTTCAAGACCAGCCTGCCAACAAAGCAAAACCCTGTCTCTAATAAAAATACAAAAATTCGCTGGGTGTGGTAGCGTGCGCCTGTAGTCCCAGCTACTGGGGAGTCTGAGGTGGGAGAATTGCTGGAACCTGGAGGCTGAGGCTGCAGTGAGCAGAGATCACACCACCACACTCCAGCCTGCGCAACACAGTGAGACTCCATCTCAAAAAAAAATGTGTATCATGAAAAAATTATGCAAGGATTTCAATGCTTTTCCACACCAATAAGCTGGTACTAACTTGTATAACATGTCTGAATAGGGTCTAGTTTGAGGCATGAAGAAGGATAAGACTTCAGTTTGAAAAGAGTCCATATCAGAGCAATATGAAGTCGGCTAAAGCAAGAATCAACCTCAAATTTGTGGTGAAGCTTGGGGAGAAGAATGGTAAAATCATCGATACTTTACAGAAAGTTTATGGGGACAATGCCCCAAAGAAATTAGATGTTTACAAATGGATAAGTGTAAGAAGGGATGAGACAATGTTGAAGATGAAGCCCATCACGGTAGGCCATCTATGTCGATTTGCAAGCAAAAAATTCATCTTGTTTGAGCCCTAACTGAAAAGGAACAATGATGAATAGCACAAACAATGCCCAACACCAAAGACATCTCAACTGGGTCAGCTCACACGATTCTCACTGAAAAATTTTAGTTGAGCAAAGTTTCTACTCAATGGGTGCCGAAACCACTGTGCTCAGATCAGCTGTGCAGAAGAGCAGAATAAACAATGGGATCATTTCTTTGAAGAATTGGAACAGGAGATGAAACATGGCTTTACCAGGATGATCCTGAGGACAAAGCACAATCGGAACAATGGCTAACAAGAGAAGAAAGTTACACAGGCAAAGCAAAAGCAGACCAGTCAAGACCAAAGTTCCTGGCAACAATTTTTGGGGATGCTCAAGGCATTTCACCTGTTGACTTTCTGAGGGGCCAAACAACGATGACATCTGCTTATTATGAGAGTGTCTTGAGAAAGTTAACCAAAGCTTTAGCAAAAAAAAACATCTGGGAAAGCTTCACCAGAGAGAGTATTTCTCTACCACAATAATGCTCCTGCTCATTCCTCTCATCAAACAAGGGCAATTTTTTGAGAGTTTCATAGAAAATCTTTAGGCATCTACCTTACAGAGCTGACGTGGCTCTGTCTGACTTCTTTTTTTTCTAATTGATATAGTTTGAATATCTGTCCCCTCCAAGTCTCACGCTGAAGTTTGATTCCCAATGTTGCAGGTGGGGCATAATGGGAGGTATGTGAGTCATGGGGGCAGATCCCTCAAAAATAGATTAAAGCCCTACCTGGGGGGTATGAGTTCTCACTCTTACTTCCCTCCAGATCTGGTTGTTAAAAAGAGTCTGGTGCCTCCCTCTACTCTCTCTTTCCTCTCCTCTTGCTATGATGTCTGCTCCCCTTCCCCTTTTATCATAAGTGGAAGCTTCCTGAGGTCCTCACCAGAAGCAGATGCTGACACCATGCTACTTGTACAGCCTGCAGAACTGAGAGTCAAATAAACCTCCTTTCAGATAGCAATGCAAAATGGACTAAGACACTAATATTTAAAAAAAATGGCAGGCATAGTGGCTCATGCTTATAATCCCAAGACTTTGAGAAGCCAAAATGAGAGGATCACTTGAGCCCAGGAGTTCAAGACCAGCCTGGGCAACATGGTGAGACTCTGTCTCTACACAAAATACAAAATTAACCAGGCATGGTGGTGCCTGCCTGTCTCTGCTACTTGGGAGGCTGAAGTGGGAGGATTGCTTGAACCCAGGAGGTCGAGGCTGTAGTGAGCCATGATTACACAACTGCACCCCAGCCTGAGTGGCAGAGTGAGACTCCCTCTCAAAAAAAGTATGTAAAGTGTACCCATTTTTCTTCAGTTAATGATGTAAGAAAGACTGCATTGACATGGCTAAATTCCCAGGATGCTGGGAATGGACTAGATGGCTGGTGTCATCACTTAGAAAAGTGTCTTGAACTTAATGGAGTTTATGTTGAGAAATAAAATGTATATTTCTCATTTTTATCTTTTAATTCCATTTTTCCACAACCTTTTTGAAGTCCCCTCATATTCTTCCCTACAGGTTCCGAAGGTAACATAGCCCAGCTGACACCTTAATTTTGACTTCTAACCAAACCTCCAGGACTATGGAAGAATAAACACCTGTTGTTTTAAGCCAATCTGTTTGTGATACTTTGTTGTGGCAGCTCTAGGAAACTGATAGAGTAGATATTCAACATTGGACTCAGCCCTCCCGGCGGCCAAAGCAGGAGACATAATCCACAGTGGGATTAAAAGGTCCCATTTGTTCAGGGCATGCAGAGCTTTTCATGACACCGAGAGATCAGAGAAAGGTCTCCTCTAGATCCTACAGAGAAAACACTGTGGGATGCAGTAGATAGCTGTAGCAGATGACATCATGACACTAAATCTGATAATGAAGTTTATGCATCTGTTTCCTACAAGGTGCCTTGCTGAAGGTAGTTGGCATTACCACAGGGATTCATCTTGTTTGAGCCCTAACTGAAAAGGAACAACGATGAATAGCACAAACAATGCCCAACACCAAAGACATCTCAACTGGGTCAGCTCACACGATTCTCACTGAAAAATTTTAGTTGAGCAAAGTTTCTACTCATTGGGTGCCAAAACCACTGTGCTCAGATCAGCTGTGCAGAAGAGCAGAATAAACAAAGTTTAGTAAAAGCACATCCAAGAACCAGAAAGGAAAGAGGGGACATTACCATCAACCTTATAGAAATAAAAAAAAGTATAAAAAATACTATACTATGAAAAAGTATATACCAACACCTTAGATCATGTTGATGAAACCAACAAATTCCTGGAAAAAATACAAACTACCAAAACTGACTCAAGAAGAAACAGACAATCTGAACAGACATATAATAAATGAAGACATTGAATTAGTAATCAACCACCTATGCATAAATCAAAGCCTGGGTCCAGATGGCTTCATTGTTGAATCTACCAAACATTTAAAGAAAAATTAATAGCAATTCTTCACAAACTCTTTCAAAAATAGAAAAAAGCACTTGCCAACTCACTTTATGAGGCTAGCATTACTCTTATACCAAAAACAAGATAAAAACAGCCCAAGAAAGAAACCTACAGATCAAAAGCACATCTGGGATGCACCAGAACAGTGTGGTCCAAAGGACACAGCTCCATAATTGCATGTCTTTGAGACAATCTTGATAAATATTTTTCTCAAACTGGGTTTGGTTTTGAGACAGGATCTCACTCCATCACCCAGGCTGGAGTGTATTGGTGTATGTGATCAGGTCTCACTGCAGCCTTCATCTCCTGAGCTCAAACAATGCTCCCACCTCAGCCTCCTGAGTAGCTGGGACCACAGATGTGTGCTACCATGCTGGGGTGATTTTTGTATTTTTTTTTTAAGAGGTGATTTCACCATGTCGTCCAGGCTGGTCTCGAACTCCTGGGCTCAAGTAATCCGCCTGCTTTGGCCTCCCAAAGTGCTGGGATTACAGGTGTGAGCCGCTGCACTGGGCCCAGCCTCAAAGTGGGTTTCTGATAGCAGATTTCAAGGCTGTAATTTCTGAAGAGAATAGGGAGAGTAAATATTCTGTATTTCCAATGAAATGCAGGTCCTTACTTTTTGCCAACTTCCAGGGCAGGGTACAGAAATGAGATCCTCCTGTGAAAATTAAATGTTATTTATTTATGGTTACACGCGTGATGAAAGTTAGGGGAACTGCCACTACCAAGAAAGCAAGAACTGAAGGTTGTTTTTTTTTGCTGAAACTTGAACAAAGGATGTAGGGCAAAGAAGAAAAGTTATTAGATATTTGAGACATATTTTGTAGTTTGATTTTAAATTTAACACAAGAAAGAGATTTCTGATTACACGAAAATTTAAGAATTTAGAAAATTATTAAATTTAAGCATTGACTCACAAAATTTAAGAAAATTTAAGCACTGACTCACAAAAAAGCTAAGCTCCTTTTATCTGACTTTAAAAATAAATAAAAAATACATCTTGTTAAGATAATAAACATATAATGCCAGGAATCCAAATCCTACTCTTTTTCAAGCCTTGATTAAATGCTGCCACTTTCAAAAATATGTAGCCATTCTCAATTTATTATGGCACTTGAATATTTCCTCTTATATAATTTTTCACTTTCTTCTTAGAGTTGCATATGTCTTACTGTCATACTGGAGTGTAATCCTCTTGAGGGCAGGAATAGTCTCCAGACTCCTGCTTAGGCTTAAGATGGTGCTTTGCCCATAACCAGCACTTACTAAAAACTCCTCTATGAACTAATGAAAATATCATGTATCTCATTACGTGGTCAGTTTAAAGTTAAATGGATTCTTTTAGACACTCAAAGCAATAAAGCTTCTTCTTAAAAGAATTACCAGATACAATAAACTGTAAAAAATTGTTCAAATATTGAAACATGAATTAGAGATGACTTTAACCTGATTTGTTTATACTAGTTACTTTTCTTTTTTATTTATTTATTTTATTTTATTATTATTTTTCAGACAGAGTCTCACTCTGTCGCCCAGTCTGGAGTGCAGTTGCACGATCTCGGCTCGCTGCAACCTCCGCCTCCGGGTTCAAGCAATTCTCCCGCCTCAGGCTCCCAGGTAGCTGGGCTTATAGGGACCCACCACCACACCCGGCTAATTTTTGTATTTTTCTAGTAGAGATGGGGTTTCACCATGTTGGTCAGGCTGGTCTTGAACTCCTGACCTCAGGTGATCCACTCGCCTGGGCCTCCCAAAATGCTGGGATTACAGGCGTGAGCCACTGCACCTGGCCATTTATACTAGTTACTTTTCTTTTTCATTTTTTTATTGATACGAAATATTTGTATGTATTTATGGGGTGCATGGGATATTTTGATGCATGCATACAATGTGTAATGATCGTCAGGGTTATCAGGATACCCATCACCTTGAACATTTATCATTTCTTTGTATTGGGAACATTTTAAATCTTCTCTTCTACTCGACATCACTAATTAGCAGAGAAATTGCAAGTCAAAATGACATCACCTCACACCTGTTAGGATGACTATTATCAAAAAGTCAAAAGACAGCAAGTATTGGTGAAGATTAGAGAAATGGGGATGCTTGTACCCTATTGGTGGAAATGTCAATTGGTGCAGCCATTATTGAAAATAGTATAGAGAGGTTCCTCAAAAAATTAAAAATAGAACTACCATATGATCCACTAATACTACTATTGGGTATATTTCCAAAAGAAATAAAAATACTATCTCCAAGAAGTATCTGCAGTCCCATGTTAATTGCAGCATTATTTACAGAAGCCAAAAGATATGGTAACAATCTAAGTGTCCATCAACTGATGAATAAAAAAAGAAACTGTGGTGTGTATTCACACATACACACACACACACACACGGATATTATTCAGCCTTAAAGAAAAAGGAACTCTTACCATTTGCAACAACATGGATGTCTTAGAGAAGAGTATGCTAAGTGAAATAAGCCAGACACAGAAAGACAAATACTGCATGATCTCATATATATGTGGAATCTTAGAAATTAAAGTCAAACTCATAGAAAAAAAATCTTCTCTTCGGCTGGGTGCGGTGGCTCACGCCTGTAATCCCAGCACTTTGGGAGGTTGAGGCGGGTGTATCACAAGGTCAGGAGATCGAGACCATACTGGCTAACACAGTGAAACCCCGTCTCTACTAAAAATACAAAAAAATTAATGGGTGTGGTGGCGGGCGCCTGTAGTTCCCTTAGTCCCAGCTACTCAGAAGGCTGAGGCAGGAGAATGGCATGAATAAAAACACTAGCTCCACACAAGCTCCCGGGAGGCGGAGCTTGCAGTGAGCCGAGATCGTGCCACTGCACTCCAGCCTGGGCGACAGAGCAAGACTCCGTCTCAAAAAAAAGAAAAAAAGAAAAAAATCTTCTCTTTGGAAATACAGTCACCCTTCCGTGTTATCAAAAACTAGAACTTATTCCATCTTATCTGTTTGCTTGTACCCATTCACCAACCTGTCTTCACTCCCCCACCTCTACACCCTTCTGCTCTCTACCTCCATGAGATCAACTTCTTTAGCTCCCACATATGAGTGTGAACATGTGATTTTTGCCTTTCTGTGTCTGATTTATTTCACTTAACAAGATGGCCTCTAGTTCCCTGCATGTTGCTGCAAATGACAGGATTTCATTCTTTTTTATGGCTGAATAGTGTTCCATTGTGTATATATATCATATTTTCTTTACTGATCTGTTGATAGACTTTGGTTGATTTTGTATCTTGGCTATTGTGAATAGTGTGGCTATAAACGGGAGTACAAGAATCCCTTTGATACACTGATTTCCTTTCCTTTGGATAAATAACCAGTGGTGGAATTGATGGATCATATGATAGTTCTATCTTTAGTTTTCTGAGAAGCCGCCATACTGTTTTCCATAATGGGTGTATGGCTATACATTCCCACCAACAGTGTACTCATTACTTTTCTTTTTATCAGATGTCCGTAGCTGTAAGTGTCCTTTGGGCCAGAAGAAAAGTAGTAACCTAATAGTTGGCCTTCACATTGCAAAATTATCCCTTTGAACAGCAATCCCCAACCTTTTTGGCACCAGGGACTGGTTTCGTGGAAGACAATTTTTCCATGGACAGGGGTGGGGAATAGGTTTGGGATGATTCAAGCGCATCATATTTATTGTGCACTTTATTTCTATTATTATTACATTGTAATATATAATGAAATAGTTATACAACTCACCGTAATGTAGAATCAGTGGGAGCCCTGAGTTTGTTTTCCTGCAATTAGACAGGCCCGTCTGGGGGTGACAGGAGATAGTGACAGATCATCAGGCATTAGATTCTCACAAGGGGCACACAACCTAGATCCCTTGAATGTGCACAGTTCACAATTGTGCTCCTATGAGAATCTAATGCCCCAGCTGATGTGACAGGAGGTGGAGCTCAGGCGGCAATGCTAGTCATGGGGAGCGGATGTAAATACAGATGAAGCTTCCCTCATTTGCTTGCCCCTTACTCAACTCCTGCTGTGCCACCAGGTTCCTAACAGGGTACAAAGGGTACTGGTTCATGGCCCGGGGTTGGGGACCTCTGCCTTTGAAGATACCCAACCAGTTTCTTCCTCCAAAACCATTATTGGAATGGTGGATTGTATTATTGTACCCAGTTATTTCTTGTTCTTCTTTTAAGGATATTATTCAGCTCACTTATTGTTGATAGGGACAGTAGACAGGGAACTACTGGGTAGAATAAGGCCGTTCCCTGGCAAAGGCCCCACCCTCAAGCCTGGAAACCCATGGCCCTAAATGAAGAGAGGCATTCCCGTTCTTGTGCCCAAAAGTTACCTTTTGGCCCTCCATGACCCCCTATCCTGTACCCGTATAAACTCCAGACACCAGGCTCCAGCAGCAAAAGATGAGCAGATGAACAGAAGAGCAGAAGAGCAGAAGAGCCGCAGATAAAGAGAAAAGAGAAGGAATATTGGGTGGAGTTCAGCTGGGGACAGTTAGAGAATCCACCGCTGGACGGTTAAACTCCAGGGGAAGATCATCTCCCTACTCCACCCCCTTTCCAGCTCCCCATCCATCCTACTGAGTGCCACCCCTACCACCTAATAAACACCCCCAACCTTCCCCCAACTCCTCTACCCCCGCCCCCACCCCGGCACTCACCATCCTTCAAGTCCATGTGTGACCTGATTCTTCTGGGAGGTGAGACAAGAGCTGAGATACAGAAACTGTCACACTGACCCTCTGCGCTTGCAAAAAGGCAGAGGGTCTATTGAGCTGGTTAACACTTAAGCCGTCAGCTGATGGTAAGGCTAAAAGAGCACACTGTAACACACGCCCATTTGGGCTCCGGGAATCACGGGATCCTGCCCCTGGACACTGCCGTGGGGCTGGAAGCCCAGCGCCCCAGCTTTTGCACCCTGGCTCCTGCACCCGTCCGTCTGCATGCTCCACCTCCCATAAGGGGTTTCAGCAGGCAGAGACCGAACACACGAGCCACAACCCTGTTGCACGTCCTGCAAAGGGCTGTGGGAGGGCGGGGGCCGGGAGGAAATCAGGGAACTCTCCTGTTTCATTGTCACAAGACTTGCAAGGCTTCCTTAAGAGAGGGGTACACTTCCCCACCCACTGACAGCAAGTTTTGACCAATAGAAAGTGAGCAGAACTGAGGCATGCGGAATGTGAGTTTGGAAAGCAGCTTGTGCCAGTCATGTACAGGAGCTAATTGTTAAATTTCCAGGAACTTGGCAAGCCACTTGTTGGACTGTTTGTAGCTTGAAATCGGCCATTGTGGGAGCATTTACATCATAGAAATAGCAAACACTACATATCTGGACTTCCCCCTTCTCCCTCAAAGTTGGTTTACCAGCCCAGCAGGGAGCATGGCCCAGAAAAGTTGACCTTTCAGCCTGGAGTGAAGAAAACTGGTGGAGTACTGCCAAAGCTCCCTGCAGCCACAGTAATTCGCTTGAGAAATGGACCTTTAAGCCACTGAGTTGCAGGGGTTGTTCGTTACCTGAGCATCATCTAGCCAAAGCTGGTACACCATGCTGGTGTTTTGGTGAACACCAATAAGCGCCGCCTTCATCTGTCCCAACCTAGGTTGGAGGGATTTCTTCCAATAACTTGTGACATCATGCGCCTACAGCCTGCAAAGATGCAAACCGCGCTCTGAGACTCAGGCCCGGGAATTCAGGTCTTGGAAGGTTAATGCAAAGTTGTAAAACAATAGTTACATTTCAACCACACTCAGCTATTGCGTCATCTTAAAACCCTGGCCAACACAAATCTGTCGCTCGCGATCCTTGGCGGTTTCAGAGCGACTCCCCTACCGCTTTCGGGCGAAGGCCACACGTGACGGCCCCCCTTTCCCCGCAGACGTGTGAATGCAGCGCTGTGTCTTTAAGGGGCACGCGCGGAGGTTTTCCGTCCGGGACAAAATGTCAGCGAGGCGCCTGGAGGGGGATCTACCATCTCGGACTCCCGACCCGCCGCCGGCTCCGGCCGCGTTTCCCGGGTAAAGGGGTGAGTGTGGGCTTCCAGACTCGGTGGCGAGGCGGGCTGGGCCGGGCAGCGGGGAGCGCAGGTGAGCAGCGACCGCGGACGCCCCTGCCGGCCTCCCTGGCACCCGCGCGGGGCGTGCCCTTCGCTGGGCTGCCCTTCTCCGGGCCGGCTGTCGCGACTGTGAGAAAGCAGGTGGGCCCGGGATTCTGTGGCAAGGCCCCGCTCACCGTCTTCCAGTGCCTCATTCTTGCTCCTTCCCTGCACTCCTCTTTCGACAAGCTTGTTCGGAATGTGGAAATTCGTCACCACTCTCCTGCTCTCCCTTTATTAAAGTTGTCTGATTACAGTCTTTTCACTGGGCAAGTGACTGGACGCCCTGCAGTGGGTTCTTTCTGTAACTGGGACTTGCTTGATGTCGCCCACTTTCGGAGGGAGAAAGCGAATGCAAGCCAAAAGCTTACACCAGAATCCCCACCCCTCCCCCACCCCTCATGGCCCCCAAACAAAAGAATTTTCCGCTCCTTTCGGAGTCCGCTGGAGCAGTTTCTGTGATTTCTTGCACGAACCAAATGCCCGAGGCTTAGCAAAGCAAAAACCCCCTTGAAGGAAAAAAATAAATACTTACCACTAGTCGAATTTCTAATGAGCCAAGACTACAAAGATAAGGTGTTTAAGAGAAACAGTTGTAGAAACAGCTTAATACATTGACCTAATTAGGGTAATTATTTTCTGCTGTTTTTATTCATATGCTGACACCTTTTGGAGGCAAGAATAGCTTGAGGCAGCCAAGAATAAAAAAAAAAGTAGACAGCAATACGTATTATAAAAAGACCAAAAGCCCAAGCCAGGTAATTCTCAATTTAAAAATTAAATTAAAAAAATCTTTGAGTCACAAAGGCCTTCAAAGTAGGGCAGCTTTAAATTCCTATAACTCAGATTAAATTATGCATTTTTACAAGATAAAATGGATCACCACCTTAATCTTTAGGACCATATCTATTAAGCAAAGTAATGCAGACCTGAAATAAAGGTCCACTTTAAGGGCAGAACACTTCACAATTTTCATTTTTAAAAGTGCATTAATAGAGAGAGAGAGTGCTTCTCTGCCTTTTAGCTAATGGTAGAAATATCTAAGAGTTTGGCTTATGCCATTTAGGAAACAACTCTGATTCACCCCTTAATTACCTGTGAGTCCAGTGTATTTTTTACAGTCCACATATAACCTTTTTCTAAATTTTTACACATTTTACCATTTATTCCCCAACTCAGGTTTTACAGTTTGGAGGCATTTTTACTTGTCTTTTAACTTCAGCTAAGCCTTCAGCCTGGTGATTCCAGACTAATTTTTCTAATTGTCTGGATCTCTTTATAAATAGATTAATATATGGCAGTAAACTAATATTTCAACAGAGATGGACGGATAACAGATGAACTGTGGTTTTCTTGACACTTCAGTTGTCAACTCTAATTACTTGTATTAATTATTATGCTCTGCTTTCATTAAAGTCACTGGTGGATGAAGTAAAAGAAAATGTTTTTAGTGTTTCCACATATGTCTGTGTGAATTTCACGTTAGTGTGAATTTCTCATCTAAGATCCAGGCTCAACCAACATATATTGATTTAAACTCTGCCTGGTCAACCCAACTACAGTAAGTAGCCTTGAGTATAGAAGGACAAATAGAGGTGTAGTTAATCTGCTATGTCCTTTTGAGAACAGTGCCTGGTTCTTTGGCCTTTAGCCTGCCAAATATTTTTTATGTGCACAAGCATAAGTATAAAATAATACAATCAACTTTTGTAGGTGCTTTATAGGATGAGTCTCAATATTATAGTCATACCTTGTGTATATGCCCATGTTTATACAGATTATTCATCCAGGTTTTGATCTCTTCCTTTATTCTTTATATTGGTATTCAGGGACATCATACTGAGGAATCTGGGATTTAATCTGATAGTTCATCAGAAGGATAGAACTTCTTCAGAAATTGAGTCAAATGGAGAGATAATTAATGTGAATTTATTGTCTTCCACAGGCTTAGATTTAAGAACTCCTTCCAAATAATGGATACTCAAATGAAACTCAGCTATAGCAAGTGCAGAGGCATGGTACCAGCAACACTACTCTCTCTCCTTCCTTGAAATATCTAAAATCTACATTTGTCTTTTCAGTTTTTTTCACCCTGAAATTACACTCAAAAATTTCCACTGTTAATTTCATGTTAGCAGTGCTTTTATTTAGCTTCAAGAAACTTTCTTTTAAAATAGGAGCTTGGAAGCCTCGTTATACAACTGAGGAACTGGAACTTCATTAGAGTCGAGTACTAAGGGTAATGTGTTTTGGTGATGGACAACAATGCGTTTGTGCCCTGTGGGGCATGGGAGGGGAAGGGATGCTGAACTGCATGAACTTTTGTGTTAGGGCCCCTAAGACATCAGCTCCCAGGAGCTGCCCATGCCCACCCCTTCCCCAGTGGAGATTATGTGACGGAATTCACCCGAAGGAGTGAGCACTGATTTCACCTTTACCACAGTGTGTTAGTAATCTGTTTTCGCGCTGCTGATAAAGACATACCCAAGACTGGGCAATTTATAAAAGAAAGACGTTTAATGGACTTAAAGTTCCACGTGGCTAGGGAGGCCTAACAGTCATGGCGGAAGGCGGAAGGCGAAAGGCACTTCTTACCTGGCTGCGGCATGAGCTATAATGAGGGTCAAGCGAAAAGGGCTTCTCGTTTATAAAACCATCAGATCTCGTGAGATTTATTCACTAGCACAAGAACAGTATGGGAGAAACCGCGCTCGTGATTCAATTATCTCTCACCAGTTCCATCCCACAACACGTGGGAATTATGGGAGTAGGATTCAGGATGAGATTTGGGTGGGGACACAGCCAAACCATATCACACAGGTATCAGAATTATTGTTGGAAGCATCTCTTTCCCAACCAGACCGTACGCTTCCTGAGGGCAAAGACTATGTGACGTTCCTCTTGGAATGCTTGGCAGAAAGCACGCACCTGACCTTAGCAGGTGCACAATGAGCATTTGAATGAGAGTTGGATGGAGTGAATGGATGTAAGCAAAATACTCATTCATTGGCATCTTTGTGTTAGTTTAAAAATTTTTTCAAGGAAAAATTAAGGGAGCTTTTTTCATTTTCTTATTAGCTAACCACAGAATTAATGATATGCATTCTCATTGGGTATTTGGTAAGGAAGAAACGCGTTATCACAGGGCTTTGGCTAATTAAACCTCCCCATTATCTTATTTTACCCTAGTGATAAATAACCTATTTTGCATGAAGTTCAATTTAGGAAGTGAAAATAAATTTAAGGGGTAAGGGTCTTGGATCTGTTACTCTTTTTTATTTGCTCTTTGTAGTCAATTCCCAAGGGGATTCCTCCAACTTAGACTACTTACTCTGTTGAATAACATAATGTCAGATGGAAAAACAACTGCCTTTTAGCCATTAAAATCTTAACGTGGGCATGTCTGAGCAGTAAATATCGGTAGTTTCTTTATTGTTCATGTCTTAAATTTATATAACACCGGAGAGTCCAACAGTGACATCATTTGCACTATCTATGATCTCAGCCACCTGTTTAGAGGCAAATAATCTTATTATTTCTCTTGACAGATGGGAAGATTGAGACTCGGGTGGGCTGGGGCTAAAGAAACAGAGTCAGGTTCACTTCACTTAATGCAGCATCCCCCAAGTGTCTACCCTGTGCCAGGGAGATGAATGGGATGAGCTCCTCTTCCATGACATCCTGGGTGTGAACACAGAATCTCCTTCTGCAGAGCACAGCAAACCACGTGACAATGAGCAGCCTCACATGCTGGGTTTCCTCCTCCAAGCGGCGCAGCAGTGGGCTTCCCCATGGGACTGTCCCACCAGCCTCCACAGTTAAGGCTGGGCTGGCCCTGCCTGAGCTCACATGCTTGAGGAGCCAAGGGTTGTTTTGCTTTTTTGTTTTTGTTTTTTGTTTTTCTGAGATGGAGTTTCGCTCTTACTACCCAGGCTGGAGTACAATCGTGCAATCTCGGCTCACTGCAACCTCCGCCTCCCAGGTTCAAGCGATTCTCCTGCCTCAGCCTCCCGAGTAGCTGGGACTACAGGCACCCACCACCACGCCTAGCTAATTTTTTGTATTTTTAGTAGAGACGGGGTTTCACCATGTTGGCCAGGCTGGTCTTGAACTCCTGACCTCAGGTGATCTACCTGCCTTGGCCTCCCAAAGGGCTGGGATTACAGGTGTGAGCCACCACACCCAGGCCCAAGGGTTGTTTTATAAAATTATTTTTTATTTATGTAGAGATCCTGTGATATACACACTTTCCCTAAATGTATACACGTGATCACATGCATGCTTTCTTAGTACCTCATTGCTTTTACTTTTGTGTTTACCTCTTCCCCTTCTCCCTCCTTTCACATCAGTTACCATTGCCTCAACCATAGTATCTCCTTATTTTTCTTCATCTATAGCTATATATTGCCTCTACAGATATGTATATTACTTAATAATAG
This sequence comes from Homo sapiens, assembly GCF_000001405.40. Taxonomy (NCBI): domain Eukaryota; kingdom Metazoa; phylum Chordata; class Mammalia; order Primates; family Hominidae; genus Homo; species Homo sapiens. The sequence goes on along the minus strand of NC_000005.10, from coordinate 77,082,602 downwards.
TGGGATCATATTATACACTCTTCTGCATCTCTCTTTTCTCCCTGAACAGTTCCTCCAGATATCCTTGTAAGACATTGAACAGAACTTCATCCTTTTCCTCTTTAATGGCTGTATAATATTCCCTGGTATGAACATATGTTATATACTCAGCCATTTTCCTGGTGGTAGGCATTCCCTTGCTTCCAGTTTCTTGTCATTCTACATGATTCTGATGTAGATTCTGATGTCATTCTACGTGAACATCCTGATACAAGACTGTGTTTATTGGTGCTGATAGTTCTATAGAAGAGATCCCCAGGAGTAGAATCTCAGGTTATCTTTTTTTTTTTTTTTTCAATACAGCATTTCGCTGTTGTCACCCAGGCTGGAATGCAATGGTGCTATCTCGGCTCACTGCAATCTCCACCTCCCAGGATCAAGCCATTCTCCTGCCTCAGCCTCCCAAGTAGCTGGGATTATAGGCACCCGCCACCATGCCCAGCTAATTTTTGTATTTTTAGTAGAGACAGGGTTTCACCATGTTGGCCAAGCTGGTCTCGAACTCCTGACCTCAGGTGATCCACCTGCTTGGAACTCCCAAAGTGTTGGGATTACAGGCGTGAGCCACCGAGCCCAGCCTCTATTTTTAATTAATATAGAAATTGCAGCTGGCCCTATCACACAGGTATCAGAATTGTTGGAAGCATCTCTTTCCCCACCAGATGGTACGCTTCCTGAGGGCAGAGACTATGTGACATTCCTCTTGGAATGCTTGGCAGAAAGCACGCACCTGACCTTAGCAGGTGCACAATGAGCATTTGAATGAGAGTTGGATGGAGTGGATGGATGTAAGCAAAATACTCAAATTCATTGGCACCTTTGTGTTAGTTTTAAAAAATGTTCAAGGAAAAATTGAGGGATCTCTTACTTTTCATTTTCTTCTTATTAGCTAACCACAGAATTAATGACATGCATTCTCATTGGGTATGCTCACGACTGTAATCCCAGCACTTTGGGAGGCCGAGGCAGGTGTATCACTTGAGCCCAGGTGTTCAAGGAAGACCAGCCTGGGCAACAGAGACCCTGTCTCTACAAAAAATACAAAAATTAGCCAAGCATGGTGGCATGCACCTGTAGTCCCAGCTACTTTGGAGGCTGAGGTGGGAGGATCACTTCTTGAGCCTGGGAAGCAGAGGTTGCAGTGAGCCATGATTGTGCCACTGCACTCCAGCCTGGGTGACAGAGCAAGACCCTGTCTTAAAAAAAATTAAAAAAAAAAAAAAAAGAAAGAAAGAAAAGAAATGGCCAGAATGCTTTCCTAAAATCCATCCCATCTTCACTAGTAATTGAGGAGTGTGCCTTTTCTCTACCTCCCTTGTAACTTTGGCTGTTAGACCTCTTAATGTTTCTTGGTGTGATGGATGTAAAACGATACCTTATTGCTACTTTAATAGCATTTCCCTGAATATAAGTGATGTTGTGCACCTTTTCATAAATTTCCTGGCCAGTGGAGCTGTTAGGTCATTTGCCTACTCATATTTCTCGTCTGTTTTTCTGTCGGTCTTTTTGTCTTTTTATTGTGTTTGAAGAGCTCTTTGTGTGTTACGGTTGTGGCTGAAGTGTCTGAAGAGGTTTCTCCCCCTCCACATTGCAGGGGCAGCTGAAATGCACTCGAGTTTTTTGTTTTTTGTTTATACTTTAAGTTCTAGGGTACATGTGCACAACGTGCAGGTTTGTTACATATGTATACATGTGCCATGTTGGTGTGCTGCACCCGTTAACTCGTCATTTACATTAGGTATATCTCCTAATGCTATCCCTCCCACGCCACCCCACGACAGGCCCCTGTGTGTGATGTTCCCCACCCTGTGTCCACGTGTTCTCATTGCTCAATTCCCACCTATGAATGAGAACATGCGGTGTTTGGTTTTCTGTCCTTGTGATAGTTTGCTCAGCTAACCAGGCTGTTACGGCCTGTGGCCATAGACTGCTGGTCACTCAGCAGATACTGAGACTGAGGATTGTATTGAGCTAGAATATAGCCGCATGATGTGGAGGACTGAGAAGGTGAGGCAGTTTTGCCCCGTGCTGCCTTCCACCGGTTAAGACCTCCAAAATCGAAGGGCTGCCCAGGCAGAGGATGTCCCCTTGCCACCCTTGGAGGGGCAGCGCTGTGCTGGCCGACATTTGTGATGCAGCCTGTCCCTGGCTCAGGTGAGGCTTCCACTAGGTCAAAAGGATTAAGACATCGAAGTCAGTGCTTCTCATCCTTGTGCCCACTTTAACTCCTAACAGATGGCATTCACCTGTGCGACACTCCCTCTGGGCATTCCAGTTTTTAAGGAAACCCAGAGAGGTAAAAAGCATGACAGTAATCAGTCACCTCTGGCACTATCAGGGGCACATCAGTAAGGATGACTCTCAGACTTTGGCACAAGTAAGAGAATCTGCGGGTTTATGTGCAGTTTCCAAGCTTTGGCTCAAGAAAGCATATCAGAATGCAAAGCAATACTCTTGATGTTATAGGAAACGTTTACATCCCTTTTAATTTATAAAGTAAATTAGTCGTAAAGATTCATTATAATAGTCTCTGCACTTTTGTGTTTGTCCAGTAATAAAAAAGGACCTCAGGAAAGATCAGATTCAATATAGAAGGAAATAGAAATTTTAAAAAAGAAAAAAGTATAGGAAAAATTTTAGGTAAAGTTAGATAATTAAAAATGTTTATAACACTTAAATCTTACTCTGTTTAGCAACCATAATGTTATATAACCATAATATTTACTGGCCATAAAAACACTATTCTTGAAGGTGGTCTGTAACTCCTCATCCTACTTTCCCCCACTTTTGAGACTTTAGCAATGTAATACATCTCTTGGGGGAAAATGTAGCCTTTAATTTCTAAAGATTTTCTATGCTAATTGGTCTTTATCATGAGTGACCATATTTAAATCAATGCCTGTGTATCAGAAGACATGTAAATAGCCATTTCTTTGTTAGAAGACGCATGGTACTTGTCTTTTTTGATGATTCTGGTATATTTGTTATCTTTTTAAAAAAATGATATGTTAAATGTCATACCTGATCCGGAGTGGACTTGCTTGGTGGGAAAAAGAATACTTAGGTTTAGAAAAGTACAGTGCATCTGCAACAAGACTATTAGCAACTGAATTCATAGTTTACACTAAATGCTACTGTAACTATAGCAGCTTATTTTTCCTATTCTCATCTTTGTCTTCAGTTTTTCCCAGTTGTGTTTAACAAGAAAGATTCTGGAACTTTGTCATCTCCATGGCTGCTGGTTCAAAATCTGACAGTATGAGCAGCATTGATCTCACTGTGCCTGGGTCTCACCTTGCCCTTGATTTTCTCCCTAAGTTCTCAGAAGAGCTCAAGAAGTCTGTCATGTGTTTTCTTCTCATTGTTTTTCAACTTTCAAAGCAAATTTATCTAGAATCACACATTTGGTCCTTTGTGAACTTATTTCCTAACTAATAAACTTCACCTTTTTCTGTATTCCCTTTTCTTTAATAGGTTATTGCAGTAGTGAATTAGTTTCCTAATAAAAAAGACTGTGCAATGACATTGCATTATGTTTGGATCCTTTTAACAGATTTTGTGTTGAACAAAGCAAGACGTTATTTTATTTCTTTTTCTTCCTTAATTAAAAGTATTGAGCAAACTTTGTATCTTGCAAATATGTAGAGGGGATCTTTTAGTTAGCACAAACAATAAAGAAAACTAATTTTATTTGTTTTATGCCTTGGGTATCTATGAAAGGGTTAGAAAAAGTGAACCAGGGCATGGCGCTGCTCAGTATTTCTAGTATCTGTCTTTAAGGTGGTTTGAATGCATTTCTTTCACTGGCCTGCCTGTCCTCTGAATTTACTCCTAGCACTGCTGATGGTTCTTCAGAACTCAGGAATCGTGTTGCATGCATTGTTTCTACCCACCTGAGATGGTTGGAAACCCTGAGGCAATGACAGGGACCCCAGAATCCTTGGGAAATTACCCACTGTCTAATTTAAAGGTAAAAATTTAGAATGCTGCTTTGGATATTGCTATTTCCTAAATGTGCATATCTTAAAAGCATTGCTTTCAGTACTGCCGATTTTCTCATAAGTAGATTGTTTTTATAATCACAAAAACATATTTTTATCTTGAAAAACATACAGTCTTTGAAAGCTTTTTAAAAGGCTGTTCACCACTGGCTCTTCCACTCCTGAAGTTTAAGAAACAAAATTTTCATTCCCAAAGCTGTCTTTTCTGGTCATTGCTCAAGTGTGCTGTGCAGCACCCAGAGAAGACTGCATAAGGGAGCCTAGCTGTTATTCTGAAGACAGTACCTTTTTTATTGTTGTCGTTGTTGTTATTAAGAAAGCAGAGACTAGTTAAAGCTAATACAGACACAGCACGGAGTTAGCTAGTTCTTTCTGTTCAAGCAGCTTAGCCTCCCGCTATTAGAATAAATACTTGTTGACTGGGGACCCACTTGATTTCAAAGAGGATTCCTAGTATAGGAAGGGCTAGATATTTTTAACAGTTTTTTCTGAGGAATCAACACTTAATACTGAAGATTAATTAGAAAGAAACTTAGACTATCTACACACACTATAGGCTTTTCATCGGTAAGAAAATGGAGGGCGGCATGGTTTCTTAGGCTAACTGTAGTCTAGGAGCTGTGTGCGTGATCCTAACACTCATTATTATTCTTCCCCTGCTCCCCAGCGTGCGGGCGCCGCAGAATGAGGAGTGGCGAGCCGGCCTGCACCATGGACCAGGCCCGCGGGCTGGACGACGCGGCGGCGCGGGGCGGTCAGTGTCCGGGACTGGGGCCGGCGCCGACGCCGACGCCTCCCGGCCGCCTGGGGGCGCCATACTCCGAGGCCTGGGGCTACTTCCACCTGGCGCCGGGGCGCCCCGGGCATCCGTCGGGCCACTGGGCCACCTGCCGTCTGTGCGGGGAGCAGGTGGGCCGCGGCCCGGGCTTCCACGCGGGGACCTCGGCGTTGTGGAGGCACCTGAGGAGCGCGCACCGGCGGGAGCTGGAGAGCAGCGGCGCCGGGAGCTCCCCACCTGCCGCGCCCTGCCCGCCGCCGCCCGGCCCCGCTGCGGCCCCCGAGGGCGACTGGGCGCGCCTGCTGGAACAGATGGGCGCGCTGGCCGTGCGCGGCAGCCGGCGGGAGCGGGAGCTGGAGCGGCGCGAGCTGGCCGTGGAGCAGGGCGAGCGCGCCCTGGAGCGGAGGCGGAGGGCGCTGCAGGAGGAAGAGCGCGCCGCGGCCCAGGCGCGCCGGGAACTGCAGGCCGAGCGGGAGGCGCTGCAGGCGCGGCTGCGGGATGTGAGCCGCCGTGAGGGCGCCCTGGGCTGGGCCCCCGCTGCGCCGCCGCCGCTCAAGGACGACCCCGAGGGTGACAGGGACGGCTGCGTCATCACAAAGGTCCTCCTGTAGGGGTGTGGCCACTTCCCCACCCCAGGACAGCGCTTCTCCGTCCAATGCCAATGCCTTCAGACCCCGCTGGGACCGAAGCCGTAACCGAAGCCAGGCCCGCAGCCGCTACTCACTCGGAAGCTCCAGCTAACTGTAGGATCTTCCACACCCTAAGGCTTCAGCTTGAGAAGCACTTCGAAGCCAGAGCAGAACCAAAACTCACTTCCATGGGGTCACCGGGGGTGCCTGGGCGGCCTTTCGTGGGCATGCACGCAAGGAATTGGGGTGGCACACGGGACACCCGAGAGCTCCAGGAGCCCCGTGAACCCAGACCACCCAGTGCCATGGCCACTTAGGGCTGGGAACCCGAACCTGGTGACTTTGAAAGGATAGAGCTTCATTCCATACCAAAGACTTATCACACCATGTGCCTATACACCCAGCAGCCCAAGGTGGAGGGTGCGTGGAAATGAGAAAGCTTTTTACCCAAAAAAAAAAAAAAAAGAGTTCCTAATGCATAATCTGCCCAACACCAAGTTCTGAAGGGTGGGTGAGGGACGTCCCCTCTAGTTTCCATGACTGCTGTAGACCCGCATCATCTCTAGCCCTCATCGGGGCAGTCCCAGAGCCCGCTTTTTTACTGCCCATATTATTCAACCAATACCAGGTGCACTCTGTCTCCCCTCGGCCATCCTTCCCTTGCTTCAGACCTAATGACAAGTGTGGCACATATGTCCACTTTCAGGCCTCACATCTGCCACCTTAGCAAGACATCACCTCATCCCCTTGTCACTAGGAAGAGGGCTTCTTCCCCACATGTCGTCATAGTGCTCACCTCTGGGCTGAAGGGGAAAGCATCCCTCCGCTTAAGGCCACATCTACCTGTCATTTTCCATCCCATTCCTCTCCCACGTTTACTGGGTCTTTCCTCCTGTAGTATTCCCCCTTTCGCTGTCTCAGTCCCTCCCTTTCCCCCAGGCTCTTCTTCCTCAGCAATGTGCAGTCTCCCTTTCTTACTGAAAAGAAAGACTTAACCCAGAAGGGCCAACAAGTCCTGGCTGCCTATCCTTCCTCCCCAGTTTTTACTCCCTCACTCTGGGTCAGTTTTCTTTTCTTTTTTTCTTTATGTGTGTATATATTATATATATATATACATATATACATATATATATACATATATACATATATATATACATATATACATATATATATACATATATACATATACATATATATATATATATATATATGTATATATAATACTTTAAGTTCTAGGGTGCATGTCAGTTTTCTATGCTTCACCAGACTATTTCCAAGCTGCCACAATCTCCCAGTGACCAAATATGATGATCTATTTGCAGCCTTCATTTTGCTTAATCTCTCCCTTGAAATTGCTCTCTTGGTAGGTGGATCCTGTTTTTCCTTCAAAGAATTCCTTTTCCTGTTGCATACTGGTTCCCAGTTTTTCCATAGGCCTCTTTTTTTTCTTATTTTTTTATATTGAAAAATTCCACACATCCAGAAAAAGTTGAAAGGCTAGCACAATGAATACTCAGATACATACTCTCCACTTGGATTGAATAGTTGTTAACATTTTGCCAGATTTACTATTCTCTCCACCCCATGCATGTGTACATAGAATGACATTTCGACCCCTGAGTATTACCACATAGATTTCCTGAGCACAAAGACACCGTTCTACATGATTACATTAAGATGATCATGCCTAAAAATATAAACAGTAACTTCTTTATAGCCTCTAATACAGAGCCCTTAATCAGTATTCAACAATTGTCTCCAGAATGTTTGTCTTTAAAAACAACGACAACAACCAGGTCCCATCAAGGTTCATACATTCTTTTGGTTTCAACTCTAGTCACTTTCAGTCTACAACAACCCCAACATATTTTCCCATGATACTTTTTGAAGCATCCAGGCCAGCTGTCTTAGCAAATGTCCTCTATTCTGGAAGTGTCTGATTGCTTCCTTAGGCCTATGTCTACACTCCACTCGTGGCTCATATCCCTGCAGAGTTGTAATCTCCTCTGGGCCAGGGACTCCTGAATATCTCCAGGCCGAGTGTTCTCCCCGGGCCTGGAGAAAACCTTCATGCCCAATCCCTTGCTGCATGTCTCCACCCCTCCTTGCACATCCTGCCTCTATGAGTGGACGAGGCAAATCTACTCAACCCCACATCCCACCCCTCACCTGATAACTAACATTTACTGGGCACTAACAATGTATCAGGCACATACTACACACTTAACATGCATTGCTTTCACATACCAGCTCCATGGTAACATTGCGCTGGCTTTACAGCTAAAGAAACTGAGCTAGAAAGGGGTTAAGTATCCTGTACAAGATCACAGCTGGCCAGCAATAGAGGTGGGATCCCACTGCAGACAGTCTCCCCCACAGATGCCATGCTCCCACTGTACCACCATGTACTGCTTCCTGAGATCTCTGCTTCCTTCAGTCGACCCAGCTGACACCTGTTTCCTTCCTAACTCCAACTAATTAATTCCAGTTAATGGAATTGACTGGAATTAGTGACATTAATATTTACTGAGCATTCCCCATGTGTCATCAGAGCTGTGCTAAATGCTTTACAAGAATAATTACCTGCCATAAAGCAACCCTATGACATAGGTGCTACTATGCCCATTTTGTAGATGAGACAGGTTCAGGGGAGTTAGTATCACCTTCAAGTCATACAGTGGCTAAGAATCTGTGGTCTCGCTGAATGCTGGGCGCCTGCTCTGCTAAGTCTATTTCTACAAAACATTGCACTGCCTTCCTGTTGCCTGCCAAGCTCAGGGCCCATTTATCATGCATCTTCCCATCCTTGTCTCCCCCAACTGTCCCTTACCTGAGTCACAATTTCGCCAAAGCCAAAGGGATTGTCCTAAGCCAATGTTGATTTATCACTCTTCCTGCTCAAAAGCCCCCAAGATCACCTATCAATCACCTACTTGAGTGCAAGCTTTGACTCTGTCACCTGACATTCAAGTCCCCCTCTGCCCCCATGCCAGTCTTATCCCCTCCCCTACATATGCCCTATCCTGCAGCCAAATTGGACTCTGTTCTTCCTGACAAGACCTGGTATTGGCATCTCTATGCCTCAGTTTGCCTTCCCTCCACTTTAAAAAGCCTCTTCAGTCTCGATACAAAAAACATCCCACACATGTTCTAAAACCATGCTTTCCTTGATTTCTCCTCATGTCAAGACATTTCTTACTTCTCTAGTCTCCTAGCATTTTGTGCCTCACAACCCTCAGGACAGGCCAGCTAGTGTATGGCTGTGGGTTTTTATCTCACCTCCCCTGCCTGACCCTGAGCCCTTGTGGGGAGTATACTCACCCTACTCCTACAGTGCCTTGCATTCCGTAGCTGCTCAGTACATTAACCCATTCAATGTCTTTAAGATTTTTACAAGTTAGTTTTCCTGTAATTACTAATCATTTATCTTTAATTCTGAGTAAAATTCACAACAACAAATAAAAGGAAATAGTAGTAATTTTTTAAGCTGTTTAGTCAATAAAGATTTAATGCGTCAGTTATTGGACTGTTTGGTTTGAAGCCAATCAACCATTCTGGTATGTAAATCTACTTTTTTATTATACAAGTAACACAAAATGTATTGCCTCAGTCAAGGAAGAAGAACAGAAAAAAACAACACCCCAAAATCCTGTCACCTCTGTAAAACTGCTATTAATTAACATTTTAATATATTTTCTTTTGTCTTTTGCAATTTTTATATTACTCTAAGTTATTTTCAAGTATTGGAACTTAACTTCTTCATATGGATTTATAAATTGGGCTAGATGATCTGAATTTCCTTTTTAGAAGGAAAAAAAAAGACTTCCACAAATGTTACTCTTCTATCTCACCAATTGTAAGAACCATTAAAACATAGGAAAGGATTTAGAATCTTAACTACTCCCTCAAAGATGGCTAGTGCGAGCCTGAATGTCCTGTTCAGGAGACAGAGAACAATTAACCTGAGTGCTGAGTTAAGGGAAGAGGTTTTTACTTTCTGCTTTATACACTTCTGCATTGTTGTAATTTTTTACACAAAGTATGAATTACTTTTATGATAAAAAAATTTTGTTTGTAGACAACATTCCTCTCCTTCAGCATTCAGCATCCTTAGTTAAAATAAAATCTCCAACGAAAGCATGGATATAATCCCCATTTCCAGAAAATCCCAGAAAGAAATGCAGCCCTTGTTCAGTCCAACTCCATCATTTGATAGATTAGGAAAATAGGTTCTAGAGAGTGACTTGTCCACTGTCAGGAGATGGTGACTGTGGCGCGTCATCTGACTCCAGCCTACTTAATGCATTTCAGTCTCTTTGGCCTTAAGGGCTCCTGCTGCTCACCTGAAATCATTCCCAAGGAACCCACAAGAGCAGGTTCCCTGGGAGGATTCCTGAGAACACCTACACACAAGCCTCAGAGATCTGCCAAGACATTCTCTTTCTGATAAATACTATTAAATATTTTTCTATCAAATAGTTGCCAAATGACCTGCTCCAGTCAAAACTCAATCTGACTTGTGACTACAAAGTAATCTGAGGAATCCCAAAGGTATATAAAAATCTATCCATCTAAGTCATCTCTCTTCAAAGTAGAAGACCTGGAAGACTATACAGTTATTCCCAAAATGCTTCAACATTTCTGGAACTCCTCTTTTAGAGTGGCCATGAGTCCCTAGCACATTCTTTAAAACATCCTTGAGTTGGCAAATACTCCTCTTTCCAGGATAAATTTGATTTTTTAAAAGAACTGCCAATTATTCAGTCTGGTGAATATGGTAGATGATTAACCAGATTAACATTTCTGGTTAATAAGGTGAGATTATAATAAAACAATGATAATTATTTTAGTGTGGCTCATAAATTGGTCTTGATAGTGGTATATTAAGGTTAAGTAAAGGCAGCATGGTCACCATACAGATTAAAGCCCATTTTAGTTGGTTTATGATGTGAATGAATTCAGGTAGCACTGGGAGTCATTATATGTTTAAATAGTATTAAAGGTTTCTTTTTATAAAAATCTTAATTATGACATTCTCTGAAATCTGGTTTCACAGTATTAAAATGAGGCTTTAAGGAAAAACATTAAATGGTAATGAAAGCTTTATTCTTTCAGTATATATTCTCGTGGGCTTTTGGTCAAGATAAGTAATGACCAGATGAATAAGCTGGCAACCTTCTGCCCTCTGAAGTCTACTAGTAATTGGAAGCTAAGTAAAACGTTGTCACATGTTTAAATACATTTGATAATATTCCACCAGCTTCTCCCTGTATTCTACATGCTGGGCAATGAAATACCATAGAATTTTAACATAGATGAAGAGTGAGTTTTTTAAAGGAAGAATTTCCAAAAGCCATTCTTGGCTGGGCATGGTAGTTCATGCCTGTAATCCCAGCACACTGGAAGGGCCAAGGCGGGAGGATCGCTTGAGCCTAGGAGTTGAAGACCAGCCTAGGCAACAGAGGGAGACCCTGTATCTACAAAAAATTAAAATTTTTAGCTAGGTGTGCTAGTACACTCTTGTCATCCCAGCTATTCAGGAGGCTGAGGTGGAAGGATTGCTTGAGCCTGGGAGGTGGAGGCTGCAGTGAGCTATGACCATGCCACTGCATTCTAGCCTGGGCAACAGAGGAAGACCTTGTCTCAAAAAAAAAAAAAAAAAAAAAAAAAAAAAAAAAAAAAAAGACATTCTTACATAGCAGGCAGATATTCTTTGCCTCTATTCACATTAACTTTCTGATCTGTTTGCTCTTCACCCTCCAAAGACTTTTTGATTTACATGTTTTCCATCACTTCCAGTTTCCAGTGACCTGATTCCTGTTGCATCTTTTTTTGTATAGTTATGAACTGCATAATGCAGTTTCATTTTTTTTTGGTAGAGTCACGCACCACATAACATTTCAGTCTATGACATACCACACATACAATGGTGGTCCTGTAAGATTACCATACTGTATTTTTACTGTACCTTTTCTATGTTTAGGTATGTTTTGATATACGAATACTTAACTGTGTTAGAATTGCCTACAGTATTCAGACCACAGAATGCTGTACAGGTTTGTAGCCTAGGAGCAATCAGTATACCACACAGCCTAGGTGTACAGTAGGCTGTACCATCTTGGTTTGTGTGAGTACCTCTACGATGTTTGTACAGTGACGAAATAACCACCAAGGCATTTCTCAGAACATATCCCCATCGTTAAGTGATACATGACTGTACTTAGTGTTCAGATTTAGAACCATAGAACCCAGATGTCTGGGCAGGCAGTTATTATTCTCAGGTAGAGGAGATACATAATTGAACAAGGGGCTGCAGCCTCAATGAGGTCTGTTGTCTACATACCCAGAACTCTCAAACACATGACTAAAAAGATTTTGAAAGCACAGTTTATAAGATTCCCCTAAATAGATCTGGTTTAGAAACAGTCTGAGAACATTAAGAAAAAAGCCCCAAATCCTTCCCGCGTCACACACTCCACCCAAATTTTTGCTTTAAAATGTTGGCTTTAAGACTTTGGAATGAACAGAAACTATTTTGGATTAATACTCTCTGGAACTATCAAGGCCTGCATGTATTACTTGGGCCTTACATTCTGCCAAATCCTATCTAAAAATAAATGTAAGCTCCATGAAGGCAGGGAGCCTTGACTGTTTTATTCACTGTTGTATCCCTAGTGCCTAGAACAGTGCCTGGCCTATGCTACGTGCTTCATGGCTATTTGCTGAATTAATGTATGCTGTTGAAAGATTTTTACATATGGGGACCGGAAATCTACTTCTTGGAATTCTCCCTGTAGCTCTCATGCTCCCATAGAGTACTGAGAGCCAGGGTTGCCTGGCTACATCTCCCTATCATTCCTCCAGACGACTCCATTTCCAAAGTCATGTAGAATCCATTCCTCCTCCTTTAAGGATGATGAGAGTCACCTACAATAACTTCTGTCCTTTCTCACTATTGTCTACCAATCTCCTCCTCATTCTCCAATATTCACTTAGAAAGCCAGCTCCTGACTCAGTCTTCTTGTCCACATCTATCTCCTATTGCCTTGTGGAATGAGGATGACCCATCCACTACTTGCTAGCCTCATTCCTCATCCTACCTGACTTCCATAACCACCATCTCTACTCTGGGATTCTACTCCTACAACCATGTCCTTGGTATTGCTAGCATGGATAATAACAATGCTAATAATCACTAATATTTGGAGGCTTATTATGCACCAGACAGTGTGCTCAGTGCCACACAAACCTTATCTCATTTAATCTTCACCAAAACTTGAAACCACCTTTGCAAAAATTATGACAGTGAAAGAGATTTGACCTAACTGACTCCGTCTTGCTTCTATCCTCCACGCTGTCCTTGTTCATTCCTCGGCAAAGACCAAACTAACTTTTAGAGGAACTTAGTTTATATTTTAACTTTAAAACAAAGATGATAACAACCCTTTCTTGAAATAAACCCCCTTCTTGCTTGGGGACCAGACTGCCTTTGTAAGACTAACAAATTAGCCTCAAGATTAGAAATTATTGTTTAGGAGTTATGCAACCAGAGGCCATAAGATTTGAACCTCTCCAATTGCTCCTAGGGATAAAATCACTATTGTAAAACCTAAGATTGGTGGTTGAGATATCTTTCAGACCCTGCATTCTGATGCACCAGCTGGAGCCACCCAGACTGATAATCTGGCTCAACCAGTCCTGGCTCACCCAGGAACAGAAGACAGCAAGAAGAACCCACTTTGACCCCCTATGATTTCAACTCCGACCAAACCCATCAGTACTCCCCACTATCCTAGCCCCCATCTGCCAAATTATCCTTAAAAAAAAAACCCAGTCTCCACATTTTCAGGGAGACCAATTTGAGTAATAAAACTCATCTCCCACTTAGCCAGCTCTGCATGAATTAAACTCTTTCTCTATTGCAATTCCCCTGTCTTGATAAATCGGCTTTATCTGGGCAGCAGGCAAGGCGAACCCGATGGGCAGTTACAAACTCCATAGAAGACACTTGGGTAGAGAGGTTCAAATAAATTTTTAAAGGTCACTCAGCTTGGAAGTGGTAGAATTTTAATTTAAACTCAGCTCAGTCAGACTCTTCAGCCTGTGCTCTTAATCATCCCTGTGGGATGGAAAGAATCAAGATAGAAACCTCAGCCCTGCCACTTCTGTCACACCGGCTTTTTGACTTTGAGCAAAATAAAAACCTCTTAAGCCTCAGTTTTCTAATTCATAAAATGGTGTCCAGAATAAAGAATGTATGTTAAGGGCCTAGCACAGTGCCAGATGCAACACAAATGTGCATTCCATCCATTCCACCAACAAATGCTTATTGAGGACCTCCCAAACATCCAATCCTGTGCTAGGTGCTGAAGACAGAGCAGTGAATAAGACAAAGAAGGTTCCTGCCTTCCAAGATGTGCACAGCATTTGGTGGATGCTCAATAAATATTTGAACAAACTCTCAAAGAGGTCAACCTACACTCAAGATTTCCAGTCACCACTCTGCCTTTCAATCAACCATAGTTATTCTGCTATAAAGCAATCTAATGAGGTTCCTTTCCTGCTTAAAATCCTTCAGTGGATTCCTCATTGTCTCACAGATAAAATCCTTCATTTCTTAATTATGTAAATTTCTCAACACAATATGCGGTTTTGGCTACAGGTAAGAGGCTCGGTTTTGTTCACCCCTTCTTTGTTATGCAATCAAACCTATCTGGAAGCTTGAACTGCAAATCAGATGAATGTAGACCTATTGTAGTTAATGAGCCTGAGAACTGGAGTCACCACAGTTTGGCATCCTAAACTCTCCCCACCTCATCACACAAACATAGACTCACACAGCTGCAGCTCCTAAGGCAATGCAATGGGTTCTTTGAAAAGGTTTGAAAATCTGATTGTAGGACACAGCCCATTAGTGCATTATGAAAGCAATTTAGTGGATGCAATCAGTGATGTGGAAAACGAGTGTATTACATGAGCTTATGGCAAAGTACTGGTATACAAAATCTATGTTACATATGCTATGAACATGCTCGTGTACTGAACTGTAATACAAATTGTATTCACATTGTAGATCATCATCAAAATAGTTTGAAAGCCATTGTTGTAGATCCTCTATGTAGCCTCAGTTCCCATGTTTCTTCAGTCACAGCTTGATAAGACTCCATCAAGCCACTTGCAGTTACCCATTGTGTGCTTCAGTGCCTATGGTTGTATAAACCAGATGTGGTGCTAGGCTCTACGGATGCAATAGTAAGCATACCCAAGGTCCTGCTCACATGGCACTTAACAATCTAGAGAAACTGAGAAATATTACACTAACCACACTAATATGTAACTGTGAACCAAGCTAAGTGGTCTAAATGAAAGAAATGGTTTTTCAAAATACTTATCAAAGGCAATTAATCTAGTCCAGGGCTTCAAAGGAGGCATCCCTGAAGATTCAATCAGCAGAGACCTGAAGACTATGTGAGAATTAACTATGTAAAATGGGGGAGGAAGAGCATTCCATACATGTAATACAATGTTAAGAGGCTCTGTGATGAGAGAAGGCAGCTGTGTTTGACAAACTGAAAAAGGGGCCAGCATGCTAGGGCCCAGAGAACAAGTAGGAAAGTGACAAAAGATGAGACCAGGAAAGCTGGCAGTGGCCAGATCCCTTAGGGTTTTATGGGCCTGGAGTTTGTTTTATGGCCTCAAAGTAATGGGAAGCCAAACAGGAGACGATGAGATGGAAGTTGTCTGCAGTGTGGAAGATGGAGGAAAGAATGCCTGCAGGAAGACCAGTTAGGAAGCCCTCAGAATAATTTTGGTGACTGGTAACAGTGAACTGATTTAATATATTGGAAACAGACAAAGGGGAGAAAAGCTAGTGGTTGTGAAACAGAGGCTGACTCAGGCTTCTGACTCACACAACTGGATGGATGGTGTTACCAGCTGGAGAGAGTAAACTAGAAGAGACTAGGTTTGGAGAAGATTATGGAGTTAGTCTTGGAGTTGCATTTAAAGTGACTCTGAGATGGATATGTAAGTCATAAGCTCAGAATCAATAACCTAAGACAGCCTAGAAGTCATGAGTTTATAGATGGTAAGTGAAACTGGGTATATATGTGAGAAAAATGCCTGGGTTTGAGCCATGAAGGCTTAACCACAAATTTAACCACTTCTGGGTAAATTCTTACCACAAGTGTGTATATACATACACATTAACCACACACCTGTTTACTTTTTAAAAGTTCAAATATAGAAATAATAAAATGTGAAAGTCTGCTCACTCTGGGTTATCAGCAACTCAATACACACCTTTGTAATTTAAAAATAAAAATGGGATTATGCCATATATACTTTGCTACAATCTGCTTTGTGAGATATTCTTCTACACTAGGGTATACACAGTTCTATCTTATTCATTTCAATGGCCAGAAAGTATTACATAGTAGGGATGCATCACAATTTAAGCAACCCTGTAGTCCCCACTGATGGACAAGTACGTTATCTGGCAGTTACCTCTACCTGCCCATTCAACATCCACTGCCCCCTTCTGCTTGGTTCACTGAACCTATTTCATTCCAACGGCAACATTCTCAGCTGCAGGTGATGGTTCATGACTGGCTTAAGCCAAATGTGACCATCTTGTTACCCACTTTTATAGCATCTCTTCTATGGGTAGCCATGCTATCTGGTTCTGGCTAATGACCCTAAGAAGTCAGTTTCTGAGTAAGCTGTTGTTTTCCTAAAAAAAGAGAACTAACACTACACTCTGCTCTTTCTTCTTTCTTCTTGCTTTAGGTATGAATATGATGTCTGAAATTTCAAAAGCCATTTTGCAACTACAAGGCCATAAGCCAACACTAAGATTAGTAAAACAGAAAAGCAGAAGAGATAGCCTGGGCCCTGAAACACACAGAAATATAAGTAACCACTGCCTCATTTTAAAGAATCAAAATCCATTTCCACTTTAAAGGCTGAAAAAGTAAAATGAAATGTTTGAATCAAAGATTCAGAGCAGAAATATAAGTTATGCCCTAATAAAAGAAGCACACTTACAACAAGATGGTGGGGAAAATACTTTCAACTGTTCCTGAGACTGCCTTTGAGTTTTGGGTCCACAAGTGCTTTCTTGCCCCCTGCCAAGGACATCCCTCTGTCCTGCAACTTTACAGAATGGCCTTCGTATGCAATCTCCAACGTCTCTTGCTTTCCCTTGTTTGAGATTTCTATCTTCTTTGCCTGCTCTTTAAAAATATGTCAAATTAAGAAATAATCTTTTGGACAGGCATGGTGGCTCACGCACGCCTGTAATCCCAGCACTTTGGGAGGCTGAGGCAGGCAGATCACCTGAGGTCAGGAGTTGGAGTCCAGCCTGGCCAACATGGTGAAACCCCATCTCTACTAAAAATACAAACATTAGCCAGGCATGTTGGCATGCACCTGTAATCCAGCTACTTGGGAGGCTGAGGCACGAAAATCGCTTGAACCCAGGAGGTTGAGGTTGCAGTGAGCTGAGATTGCACCACTGCATTCTAGTCTGGGCAACAGAGCAAGATTCTGTCTCAAAAAAATAAATAAATAAAAATCATAAAAAATTAAAAATATTCTATGGAAAGTCAGAAGGTTTTTGATTTGCGTAAACCATTACGTTCTATAAATGCAGGATAAAAATGACACATCAGAAGTAACACTTGTTTCAAAAGCAGAAAAAAGTTCCTCTTTTTGAGGATAAGGGTGCTTCCTCTATTTAATACTGGAAAAAATTTCTATTTTACTCTAATGTTGAAAGTTTCTTCTGTTCTCAACTTTGCCAGCTTATGTTCTGGCAAAAATATTAGATGTTAGATTTCTTAAAATTCAGAACTTGCAGCTCCACTTAAAATACATACTTAAACGCTACTCAGAAAATGTGTAGTGTGATTAAACAAATATTTAAAATTAGACACAAAAAATTTATGCAAAATTCAAACTGTATATAATTCACATTTATGCTTCTAAACAAATAGAAGCTCACATCTGTACTACTTTTACAATTTACAAAGTGCTTTTATATACATTTTCTCATTTGCTATTCATGACAGACACGTGAGACAAATATTCTTATTTTACAGATGGAAATAGACCCAGACATTATTCAGTACTTTAACCACTAATAGTGGAACCCTGAGACTTTAGATCTGCAAAGGGGTTTAATAATGCAAATATCACATATATTTCCATTTTTAACACCATATTTAAGTTTTCCATTTTCTTAATAGAAAATGATAAAAAATGTTTTCCCCAATATAATAATACAAATGGAAAATATTATAGACAGTCATATACTAACCCAATGACCAAGATTCACCAGAAGCAAAACCTATTTGGAGGGGTCCTATATTGTTACATATATACAGGGCACCAGCACCAGAACCACATTTAGACTAATACTTTTTATTTCTAATTAAAAGAAAACAATGCAGGGCACTCCTGCAGCCTGCAAGTCTAACTGTACATACGTATGTGTCAGACTATGCAGGTGGCCAAGAAGAATGCAAAGAGATATTTTATCCAAATTTGGAGTTTAGGGCCTGATTGTCCTAGCTTAAGCCCATAGGAACCTGACAACTCGTTCATACCTCTCATCTTTAGTCATAGTTTCTCCTTCTCCATCCCCTTTTCTCCGTAACTACCCTGTGCCATTTAGACTGGAAATTCTAACAGGTAGCTTTTTCTTTCTGAATTATCTTTACTACTGTATAATTTTTATTTTCAGAATATTCCTTATTTCTACATCTCGAAGACATTTCTTTATAGTAGATGGGGGAGCTAGAGCTTACATTCACTGCCAGAAAAGGGTCAGTTCCAGTGTTAATTTCCCAGCAAACACCTGAGAGAAAAACTGAACAGAAAAAGAATAGTGATAGGTGGCAGAGCAGTGACACCTGTGCCCAGAAAGCCGCACTGCAATTGTCTAATATTTGAGGCTCTCCTTTGTTATAACTCTGCCAATTTAAACTAGAAAATTCTGGCTGCTTGAAAATTCAAAGCAGATCAATACATTTAAATCACCGGTTCAAAAAATCACTCTTTTTCATGTTATAATGTTTTTATTGCAATTGAGGATGTTTTCAATAAGTATCTTGAGCTTGAGGCCCTGGCTAAGTATTCCTTTTGTACTAGAAATCAGATTTCTCTGGCACAATTCCATTGCCTGCAATGGTCTTTATCAAAACTACAAAAGCCAGCACACTATTTCAATATGTATTCAGTTGTTCATATCTAAATACCTCATTAGCTATGAAACAAACCAAATATAAATGCTGAATATACAGTACATAGCAACAGATTCTTCACAGAAGAAAACAATGAAAGACTAATTTTCTACAATATGTTACCTGTTCATTAGTTCTTCAATAACATTACTTAGGCTATTTCAAGGATAACAAAATGTATGCGCCACTACCCATGTTTTCGCAACATTTTTTACCTAGGTTCTAAAGGGAATAAATGAGGATGCATATAGTCAGATTTATTTTTATAAACTTCTGATGTTTCTTTTGTTGTGCATCTTACATGAATATATGGAGACAAGAACAGATGTACACTTAAGTCATTAGTAGTTCTATGAATTTTGCTTATATGGCTAGTTGCTTATATGGATGTTGTAAATGACAAGATAAAATAACGAAGTTTGATAAACTCATCCGTGCCCTGTGAACTTTAGTCTATTTACTGCATAAATTGGTTCAGTCACTATTTATTAGTTTTAAAAAAATGGTTTTTAAAAGCTGCAAACCATACACATTTCTGAATCAGGAAGAGGTAAACTGTGACATAGTTCCCCTGTGCTGCTGATTCTTTTGGGGAGAAAAAATAAGTTTCCAAATTCTATTTTTAAAAAAACTAGAGGTTTTTTTTCTATGATTAGCCTTCACTCTAAAGTCCCTTTTACCCAAGGCATGGTCCCTGGGTCATCTTTTTGAGGCTTAGTTTCTGGGAAGTTTTCAGTAAACCGCTCTCGTGCTTTGTCCCAGTTTTTTTTGTTCTTGTTTTGGAGAAGGTGAACATCTTCAAATGAGGATGGTTTGCCTGTCCCCAAGCCTGCATGTGTTCGCCGAAGCTGAAGCTGGATCTGTTACCAAAAGTTGAGCAGAGGACTTATTTTAGAGTCTAAACACATTGAAATCTGCTGTGTCCAACTTAGGACTCTACAATTTTTTGATTTATTAAAGATTGATGCAAAAGAAAAACCTGTCAGATGCATCAAATACATACAGGAATATATATACCTTTATACATGGAACTTACATTCATTTTTCTATGTTGTCTTGCCTTGTCAATAAGTACAGCCTACTTTACAGAAAATAGAGTGCTCCTTAACTAGCAATCACCAAATTTCATTTAGATGCTGCAGAGTATGTCATTCCACCCTAACCAGAAATAAAGGCAATGGATATGTTTAAACCCACTGTCCTATCCTTATCTAAGTAAGTGAACAAGCAGGTTAAACATTAATAACCATAAAAAGAATTTGATTGTTTTCATAACAGGAGGGGAGCACTTCTCAATATTTTAAGAACATTCAAAGCTACCATTTACTGAGTGCCTAATGTAAGGTACAATGCTTAGGGGCTTTATCTTCAAGACAACCCTGAAAAAGAGTTCTTATCCCCATTTTTTCATAAGAAAACTAAAGTCCAAACTTGCCCAAAGCCACATAGCTAGTAAATGATAGAGCACATATTCTAACCTAGGTCTGACTACAAAATCCTTGTTCTTTCCACTGTACCTCAAAAAAAATGAGAAAGCTGGTATATACTCACACTGATCCATCTATTATTTCTTTAGGTACTAAGTTCATTATCCAGAAAGTTCTACAGTCAGGTTACTTATTAAGGTTTGTGTGAAAGATAACCTAAACCTCCTACGAACCATGGGACCATTAATTAAACCACTATGTCATTTTCCAGAGATTATTCTCTATATTTCATGTTACATGCTCTGATTCTTGAACCAAACAGATTTTTCAGCTCATACACAATCCACCTGTTTGTAAACTAACACTGTGATTGTTCTTGAGTGCTCTGACAGTTATTAAAAATGACTCTAAAACACAGAAGAACCTTTGGCTCAGGAAACAGCACTTCTCACCCTAGCTTTAATGTAGGGAAAAAAACTCAAAAAGAGGCTTTCTAAAAATATAAAACACAAAACAAAGCACATGTATATATTTGGTAATTGTGAATGCCACAAAGGCAGTAATCATGTCTCCTTTTGCTTTCTACTATATTCTTAGCACTTAAGGCAACGTTTGGCACATTAATGTACACGGTAAATGTCTGCTCTAGGAATAAATGAATAAAAGAAAATCCAAGTCTTACCGGCGTTTTCATTCCTCCACCATCCTTCCCCAGGCCCTCTCCTTTCTTCCAACCCATCTTCTCCAACATCTTCCGACCTTTGTTGCTATCAGTAATTTCACTTTAAGGAATATTAAAATGATAGTTGATTTATAAAAGATCTTTTAGGTCACATTTATAATAAATTCATGAATTAAAAGTAATTGGTACAACTACTTTAGAAAACCGCTTGGCATTACCTAACAAAGTTGAAGACACACAAATTCCACTGGTACATATCCTACTTAGAAAAGCATGTGCATGTGCACCAAAACACACATACAACAATGTTCTTCCAGCAAATCTAATAGCAACAAATCAGAAATGATCCAGATGTCTGGCAATGATTAAAATGGATAAATTGTGGTATAGTGATACAGTAGAATATTATTCAGCAATAAAAATAAACCATACCTAACAAAATAATGTGGAACACAAAAAATATAGACACAAAATAAATACTGAATTGTTCCATTTCATTAAAATTTTAAAATAAGTGAAATTAATCTATTGCTGTTAGGATGGTGATTACCTTTCGGGAGGACAGCAGGACAGTGATTAGGTGGGGCACAGGGAGAATAAGCTTCTGGGGTTACTGATAATTTCCTATTTCTTGTCCAAGAAATGTGTATTCTGCAATATGTTAATCTTATGATGTATCATTGAGCTATATACTTATAATTTGTGTAATTTTCTGTACATGTTACATATTAAAAAGTTCAAATTGAAATAAAACTTCTTAATCAGTTTGCATTTTTGTCCTATGATTCTATACTCTGCTAATTTAAGAGTATTTTATGTTCTATCTTTTCAGTTCCACAAAATATGCTGTTAGCCCTTCAGTTAATAACCAAGCAATGTCAAACCAATGTGTTTTATTTTAAATTTGTCTTATTTAATTTGAATGCACTCTTTATACTCTCCAAGATTATATTTTAAACATTAAACTTAAAAAAAGTGTCATGTTGCTTAGTGTACCTACTTTGTAATCCTATATTTCATCAAATAAAATGTTGGTAATGGATCAAACTCCATCAACTCTAAGGTACACCATTATTTTATGCACCATTAAGAAAAAAATGTTGCCATTTGTAACCATAAAACTCTTAGAGTCAATGCAATATGATATTGAATCAAAACTTTATAATTAGTTATCAGTTCTACATGAAAAATTTAAATTTTAACTAAACTCAAAATTTATATTCTGAGGAAAAAAATGCAGCTAATATTTGATTAAATGCAGAAATACGGTCATATTACAAACCTCAAAAATCACCTTTTTCATTTTTATCCAGACTACTTTGCCAAGAGAAAACTGAATCAGAGAAAAATAAATAAGAAAAATTATATTTCAGGGTCATTAAGAACAAAAGTATTTGAGTATTAAAAGAATTATTAAAAAATACCAGTCCATACCAAGTTCTTACCAATCTAGGCTTCTAGATATCTAGCATATAAAAGTATATACACTCAACTGTGTGGCTAGACTGTTAACATACATATATGTGTGTTTAAGTACAGGTGCTCATGTATTTGCTCAGCAATTTTTTAGGGGATAATAGAATTCCAAGATTAGTGGAAAGTATAAATAGACTTAGTGTCTCCATTTTGTTGTTAAAGTGTTAATTTTAAGGCCACTTATTGGCCAGACGTGGTAGCTCACGCCGGTAATCCCAACACTTTGGGAGGCCAAGGTGGGCGGATCATGAGGTCAGGAGTTCAAGACCAGCCTGGCCAACAACATGTGAAACCCCGTCTCTACTAAAAACACAAAAATTAGCTGGGCGTGATGGCACGCATCTGTAATCCCAGCTACTCAGGAGGCTGAGGCAGGAGAATCGCCTGAACCCGGGAGATGGAGGTTGCAGTGAGCCGAGACCACACCACTGCACTCCAGCCTGGGCGACGGAGCAAGACTCCATCTCATAAATAAACAAATAAATAGGCCACCTATCAGGATATATAGCCCTGAACATCAGACCACCCTATGAATGTTATTATGAACAAAGGATGTTTCGAGCCACTGTAATTCAAAACTTACGAATGAACAGATGCAGGAGCATCATCTCTTTGGAAAGTTCCTTCACTTCCAACCTGCTCCCTACGTTTTCCAGCTCTATCTTTATATTTTGGATTCTTCAATGTCTTTTCATCTTCGTATTCTGTATTCTTAATAAACACAAAATATTCATTCAGGAAAAGAAAGCTGATAAATAAAACAATTTCTGTACATGTGCCTTACTTAACGAATATGATTCAATGTGGCCTCTATAAACAATGAAATAAAACAAGCTATGATATGAAGAAATTACAGGTGGCTCATGCCTATAATCCTAGCATTTTGGGAAGCTGAGGCAAGAGGATAGCTAGAGGTCAGGAGTTTGAGACCAGTGTGAGCAATACAGCAAGACCCCCATCTCTACTTGATTTATATTAAAGTTATAAAAAAAAGATATGAAGAAATTGTCATATTAGATATGCTACTTTTAGTCTATTCCCTTTAAAATGTTTATATTTCAAGTTATGCCACAACATACATATACATAAGAAGATGACATGGTGAAAATAACAGTATATTCTGACTTAATGCTGTGTTCTCATCTTGTCATATGAACTACTAGTATTCAAAGAAAAATACAGAATCCCTGGGGTTTGGGGGGAAAAAAATCTATCTCCCCTTTTCTCTAAGGAACTGAAAGTTCCAAGGGACCTATAGTAGTTTGACACTGTTTCTTGGAAGGGAGAAATGTAGAGACTTTTAAAAAACCCATTTACCCTGGCAACAATAGTTTTTTGCTTCAATAAAGCTCCATTTAAGTGACTTATTAGTCACTTAACAAACATTCCCTAGAAAAAGAGTATGTCAAGCTCCATGCTAGGTAATGGAATGCCAGAGGGAAGACATGCATAATCTTTCTTTGGCCTGTTGCAGTACGAGTGGTTCAATAAAGGTATACACAAGGTGTGGTGGTGGCACAAAGAAGGGGTAGTCAATTCAGCATTCATAGAAGCCTTCCCTTTCCCTTTGTTATAACTTGCTGATCTTTATATAAAAAGTATGATACTCATCCAGAGAGATGCTAGGGACTGGAGAGCAACTCAAGGAAGGTACGACAGAAGCTTTTAATTAATTTTGCTTTTAAAAAGAGAAGAAAAATATAGAACTATCTATCCTAGTAAGTTTTTCCTCCAGAAGACAATAAAGAAATTGAGCTAAAATTTTTGGCAAAACAATTTTATTCTCTCCTTAAATGTCTTCTATTTTCCCCCCAAATTGGCCTATCTTGCTTTTTTCTATGATTTCTCTACCTAAGTAAAACAGCAACAACAACGAAAGATACAATTTGACAGAAAAAATATGTTATTTTGGCAGCAACTTCTTTTTCCACATCTTCTTGAAGTATAAAAATTTAGCACAAATATACTTAAGACCTAGATTCTATATCTAGCTCTACAATTTAATAGCTGGGCTACTAAGCTTTAGTTTCTCAAAAGTAAACTAGAAATATTAATTAATTGCCTTCCTGGTCTATTTACAGGATTAAGTGGTAACTTTTTTAAAAAACAACTTTATTGAGGTATAATTAATATAAATAAATCATACATAGTTAGTGTACAATGAGATGCTTTTGGGATTTATGGACCTATGAAACTATCACCATAAGCAAGATAATAAACATATCCATCTCTCCCAAAAGTGTCCTTGTCTCTCTTTGTAATCCAACTCTCCAGACCTTCCCTGTGTAGCATTCCTCCCTTGTGTCTAAGCAATCACTCATCTTCCTTCTGTCACAATACATTAGTTTGCTTTCCTAGAAGTTTACATAAATGGTGCAGAACAGTTCTTCCCACTTTCTTGTTTGTAGTTCTCAACACCAACCAGAATGTGCTGGGAATGCAACATCCTGAGGTAAGGAGGGATTGGCTAAAACAGTCCAGGCTCTGTTCCAGTCCCCACCTGGAAACAGGATGTCCTTCAACATTTTAGCCCAGTGCGTCAAATAACCCTGAGGTACATAACCCAAGGTGCGATGCTTTCCAGGGTTGCTCAACTGCTGTGCAAGTAGGGCACACACAGTTGAGACTCCATTCACCCAGAAGGCAGCTTTCTGAGCTTTGGGGGTTGGTTTCCCAATAAATCCTAGGCTTCTGTCATCTCTTGCTCACTATTTGTAAGTAGTAAGTTTGCTTCATGTAACTTGTATGAGAGTGTGTTCCGTCTCACAGACCTCAGACAAGTTGGAAACCAGTGAATAGTGAAATTGTTCCACAAGTGGAAGCACATACACGTGTTTTATCTGGCTTCACTCAACATAACTATTTTGAGATTCATCCAGGTTGTGGCCTATATTACTAGTTCCTGCTTTTTTATTGCTAAGTAGTATTTTCACCATACAGATAACACCATAGTTTGCTTATCCATATATGACAGACATTTGAGTTTTTCTCAGTTTTTGGTTATTCAAAAAAAAAATGCAATGAACATTTGTTTACTGGTCTTTTTATGCACATATGGTTGCATTTACCTTGGGTAAATATCTCAGAGTAGAATGGCTAACTTGTAAAATAGGTGTATGTTTAACTTTTTAAGAAACTACCAAAGCAACCGCACCATTTTACATTCCCACCAGCAGTGTATGAGATTTCTAGTTCCTCCACAACCCTTCCAATACCTGTTATAGTCAGTTTTGAAAATTTTAGGCATTCTAATAGATGTGTAGTGGTATCTCATTGTGGTTTTAATTTGCATTTCCTTAAAGACTGATAATACTGAACATTTTTTCAGATGTTTATTTGCCATCAGCATATCTTCTTTGGTGAAGCATCTATTCAAATCTTTGGCCCATTTTTTAACTGAGTTGTTTTCTTATTATTAAGTTTTGAAAGTTTTTTGTATATTCTAGATATAGAAGTCTTTGACCAGATACATGATTTGCAAATATTTTCTCCAGCTGTGGCTTGTCTTTTCATTCTCTTAATAGTGTCTTTAGAAAAACATTAATTTTTAATTTTGAAGAAATACAGATTATCAATTTGTTCTTAAGGATTGTGCTTTTGGTGTTAGAATCTTTGCCTTTAAAAAAAAAGTTTCTAGAAGTTTTAAAGTTTTAGGTTTTACTTTTATATCTATGATCCACTTTTGGATCATTTTTATAGATGGTTCAAGGTATGGATCAACATTCTTTTTGTCTGTGTTTTTTTTTTTGGTAAGGCCATCCAATTATTCTACCACCATTTGTTGTAAAAGACCACTCTTGGCCGGGCACAGTGGCTCGCACCTGTAATCCCAGCACTTTGGGAGGCGAAGGTGGGCAGATCACCTGAGGTCAGGAGTTCAAGACCAGCCTGGCCAACGCTGTGAACCTTGTCTCTACTAAAAATACAAAAATTAGCGGGGCGTGGTGGCGGGCCCCTGCAATCACAGCTGCTTGTCAGGCTGAGGCAGGACAATCATTTGAACCCAGGAGACAGAGGTAGCAGTGAGCTGAGATTGTGCCACTGCACTCCAGCCTGGGTGACAGAGTAAGACTCTGTCTCAAAAAAAAAAAAAAAAAAAAGACCACTCTTTCTCCACCAAACTGCCATCACACCTTTATCAAAAATTAATTGTCCACACATATACATGGATCTACTTCTGGACTATTATTTTGTTCCATCCATTTATCTTTATGCCAATATGATACTACCTTAATCACTGCAGTTTAATTATAATAAGTCTTTACATCAGGTCATATTAGTTCTCCAACTATGTTGTTCAATCAATGGCATCATTTTGTAGAGATAAGATCTCGCTATATTGCCCAGGCTGGAGTGCAGAGCCTATTCATAAGTGTGATCACAGCTCACTGCAGCCTTGAACTCCTGATCTAAAGCGATCTTCTTGCCTCAGCCTCCCAAGTACCAGGGACTACAAACTACAGACACTATCATGTCTAGTTATGTCAAGGCATCTTAATGCAAGTTTTCTGAAAACCAGAAATGTATATTCAAATGTAGGCTATTATCATTTTTCTACTCCAACTTCAATAGTTTTTAGGTTATGAATACCAGAACAGTAAACTAATACAAATCACGAAATCATACTACACAACTATTTATATATAAAATGTACTGAGCATATTTAAAGACATTTTTACTCAAAACCAGATATACAGCTTAACAAATGAAACAATATTCAACATCCTCACCTGTAAACCATATTTTACTCGTATTTTCTTTAATTCTTTTCTTCTTTCCAACTCTTTTTCCTCCTTACTTAGTGTTGGACCAACTGAAAGAAAAAAAGTTTGGTTAAAAAAAAGCCACTAAATCTGATTTTGTACAAAATTAAAACTAATGTTATTTAATTAATAAAAAACTAATATAACCCATTCCAATTAACCAGAAGTTGAAATAAACATTAATATAAAGGATATTGGGTTGTGATGATGTCCTTTCAGCATTTTGGTAACTAAACCTAATTGAGAAGTAAAGCAAAAACCACAGATAATAGGAATCTTATAGCTACCAAAATGAACAATGAACATCTCGATTTTTCAATATGATTATTGTAATAGAATCTCAAATGCAGAAATATTAAGTAAATTTTGCAAAGGAACATAGCCATATGCAAAATAAAAGCCAGAGAAACCAAAATTCATGTTATTGTGTAATGCAACATATTCATTTTCAAATTAGTATCAGAAAACAAAAAATAAACAATGAACATGCAAACTTGGCATTTAGGGGGAAAATTTATGTCAAAAAAGATGACCTCTTACTAGTTCAAAGCATCTATTTAAATTTTAAGAGCTTTCGATGGCTGGGCTGAAAGCAAAACAGTAATATCCTACAGTGCTATTATAATAAAGAATAATGGTACATAGACAATATACAGCACGAGCTATCAATAGGACAGAAAACGTATCAATCAATAACCCTTCATGCCTTGGCTTATTATTTCCTACGTTAATATTATATGACAGAGTTCAACTGTGGATGACTTTTTTTACATCAATACATACCTGTCAAAAGGAAACCAGTCTTTATTAAATTATTACTTAAGTCATAATTACTTTTTAAATTATTTTAATTGATAAAAATTGTATATATGGTATACAACATGATTTTTGATGTAGGTATACACTGTTAACTGGCTAAATCAACCTCATTAACATACCCATTACTACTTCATGTACTTATCATTTTTTGTGTATGGTAAAAACACTTAAAATCTACTCTCTTACCAATTTTCAATTACAACTGCTCTTAAGTACATTTGACTACCACTACAGTCTGCCTCAAAAGCCTACTAAACTGGATTAGCAGAAAGAGAGCTTATCAATCTCTTTCCTGGTCAAAAAGCAGACCAATGCTACATATCATGAAGCTAAATTATTACACAGAAAAATCAACTACAATTATAATCTATTAGCCTAGGTCTCAACTTCCAAATATATGTTATTTCTTAGTCTCATTTGGTAATATTTACGAAATATATCTCAATCTATTATTAGATCAACTGGATACAAGACTGATAGCTTTGTATAAAATATCTCTCAATGCAGTATCGTATCAATTAGACATGTAGCCAGTAGCTGACTGATGTTTTTTAGAACATTTAGGTAATGAAAGAGAAATGTTATCACAGCCACATTTAATCTGTTTCACATACCAAAAGATTCATCTTTCTTATCAAGGCGAAGGTGGGCTCTAACCTGCCCTGGTTCACAGCCATCACAGGTATCACTGCCAGGATGAATGTGAAAGGATAAGACAGTTTCTCCAATTTTGACTTCATCTCCATGCTCAAGTACGTAAGGGTCACATTTAGTTTTCGGCTAGAGGGGAAACATTTTACAAAACAGAAATCAAAACAATCACTTATGGTTACCTTACATCTACTGTAAGTAATGTCTGATTATAATTTTTAAAATATATTTAAAATAGCTATAAATGAAATAGACACATACACATACACACATGCACACACTTCCCCAACTTAATGACCCATAAAAAAAGTACTACTATTGGAGATGAAGATAGCTGAACTGAGCAACTTGTCAAACCCACCAGTCTCCCTATCCAATCAGAAATATCCAATTCTAGACTTCAATCTATTACCAAAACATATAATCATCACAATAAAAAAAGATGAAATGTTAAGAGAATGGGATAAATGCATCACATCTCCCTTTTCTTCTCTCTTGATAACTCAGTTTTATTTCCATTTTTACTCTTACAGACTAAGAATAAGGCCTCCCGCCTTCCTATATTTTTTCTTTTTTTGAGACAGTCTCACTCTGTAGCCCAAGCTGGAGTGCAATGGCGTGATCTCGGCTCACTGCAACCTCCACCTCCCCGGTGCAAACGATTCTCCTGCCTCAGCATCCCAAGTAGCTGGGATAACAGGCACACACCACCACGCCCAGCTAATTTTTGTATTTTTAGTAGAGATGAGGTTTCACCATGGTGGCCAGGCTGGTCTTGAACTCCTAACCTCAGATGATCCACTGGCCTCGGGCTCCCAAAGTGCTGGGATTACAGGCGTCAGAACCAACACGCCCAGCCCCTATATTTTCTTATTTATGCCAAATACTTTGCTACATGCTGAGGATGTTAAGTGTTAACTGAATAGACATAGCTTTTCCCTTTAATACAGTTTTCAATTTAGTAACATTTCCATTAAGACAATAAAAAAAGGGACGACCTTCAAAGTTGCTATTGAGACATTTACACACTTACTCTGAATAGCTTTACAATGGAGTCATAACTGAAAATAAGGCATAGATACATAATTAGAAGTCAAAACTCAACAGCCAAGTAAGTACCCACTGATTATACACTTTTTTCAGCCTTTCTGGAAATTCCTTCCGAAGTAACACATTTGGGCTTAACTCTACTCTGAACCAAATGATAAAGATTATGCCCTTCAGAAATAAAAAAAAATCAGTTTAAAAATAATGTGCAGGTAACAAATTAACACATATACACTCACCTGAAGAATCTGTTTTCCATTAACAATTGTGCCATTTTGACTGCCTTGATCCACAAGGACATAACTTTGTAAGTCATGGTCAAAATAAATTTCTGCATGAAACTTAGAAAGTGAAATCAAGCAATTATTAATTATTATACTTTTCAAAACTATGGACAATTTCTGTATGATATGATGATGTTAACTTGAGCCTTTGATAATTTAAATTTTATTATACTTAATACTTTTTTAGAAACACAAACTATTATATGCTTCTGGTAGAAACAGAGGCTATAGAAGAAAATGTCATCTATAAATCTACCTTTAATTACCATGAAAAATTTAGAATATGTCCTACCTCTTCTCCTTTGGTACTAGAGATTATAATTTGAAAAATTTTGACCTAATGTAAGTATTTGTACATATCATTAAAAACTTTTTTTTTTTGGTCCATATCATCAAAAACTTTTTTTTTTGAGACAGGGTCTCGCTCTGTCACCCAGGCTACAGTGCAGTGGTGTGATCACCGCTTCCTGCAGCCTTGACCTCCTGGGCTCAAGCGATCCTCCCACCTCAGCTTCCTGAGTAGCTGGGACCACAGGCATGTGCCACCATACCTGGTTAATTTTTGTAATTTTTGTAGAGACAGGGTTTCACCATGTTGCCCAGGCTGGTCTCAAACTCCTGAGCTCAAGTGATCCTCCCGCCTCAGCCTCCCAAAGTGCTGGGATTACAAGCATGAGCCACCACACCTGGCCAAAAATTCTTAATACAAAATGTGATTTGAAACACTCAAGGCCAACTTCTCAGAGAAGTTTCCAAGATGTTCAATAGTTAGGACTAATCTTTCCCTCCTTGTTCCATAACACTCTATCTATTCCTCTTATTTTGCTTCTTTAACATTAAGTCATGAGGTTCATCCAGTTGTTATACACAGTTATAGAGTTGTCGTTCATTCATTTTGCTGAATGGTAATCCATTGTGTGGATATACCACAATCTATCCACCCATCCTTCTGAAAACAGACATTCAGGGTTTTTTTCCAAGGTTTTACTATTTTTAAAAATATTACTATAAACCTTCTTGTACCTGCAATCTATTTGTGTACAAAATGCAAATGTTTCTCTGGAATACACACTTAGGAATGGAATTGCTAAATCATAACATAAGCAAATCTTCAACTTTACTACATAACTGTTTTCCAAAGTGGTTGTATCAATTCATATTCCCACCAGCAGTCTGTGAGAATTCTTGCTGCTCTATGTATACTAAACCAAAACTTGATGTTGCCAAAATTTTTAATTTTTGCTAGCCTAAGAGGTGTGAAATTGCCTTATCATTGTGATTTTAACTTGCATTTCCTGGATTACTACCAAAACTCTTTTTTTTTTTTTTTGAGATGGAATCTCGCTCTGTTGCCCAGGCCGGAGTGCAGTGGCATGATCTCGGCTCACTGCAAGCTCCACCTCCCAGGTTCATGCCATTCTCCTGCCTCAGCCTCCCGAGTAGCTGGGACTACAGGCACCCGCCACCACACCTGGCTAATTTTTTGTATTTTTAGTAGAGATGGGGTTTCACCGTGTTAGCCAGGATGGTCTTGATCTTCTGACCTCGTGATCTGCCTACCTTAGCCTCCCAAAGTGCTGGGATTACAAGCATAAGCCACCGCGCCCAACCCCCCAAACTCTTAATATTTATTAGCCATTTGGGTTTCCTCTTCTGTAAATTTTCTTTTTATGTCCTTTGTACACTTTTTTCCAACTGGATTGTTTAGAATAAGTCTTTCTGTACTGCCAAACCCTATTCCAAAAAGCTTTTCTAAATTACATTCCCAAAAGGAGTGATATTTAATAAATGATGAATGAAAATTCACACCTTGGCTTCATCTGTATTTCTTAGATTACTAGAAAGACTAAATGGTTTTTCATATATTAACCATGATATTTCCTTTACTGTGAACTGCCTGATGTATCTTTTGCTCATTTATCTACTGGTGTCACAGTGGAGTTTGAAAACATAAATTTGCATGAACTTTTCAAAAATAAATAATGTATATTGTGTCATATTTGTTGTGCCTGTCCGAGTCTGCCTTCTAAATTGGTTTCTTAACATATAAAGAGCAAGATCATTTTGTCCTTTGTAATTTTTACCATTTTTTAAACTCAGAAAGTCTTCTATCTAGTGGTCAAATACTTGTTTTTTCCCCTAACATTAAGCTTCTTTTTTAAAAGTTTTTCATCTATTTGGATACATGTTATATGTGCTATCAAACTGACTTCACCAACAAATTATCCACCCCACTAGCGGATGTTAGTTTAAATGAAAGAAAAAACAGAAATGCCACCAGAAGCCTGGTGTGGTGGTGTGTGCCTATAGTGCTAGCTACTCAGGAAACTGAGGCAGGAGGATCACTTAAGCCCAGGAGGTGTCAGAGGCTGTGGTGCGTGCCACTGCATTCCAGCCTGGGCAACACAGTTAAGACCCTGTCTCTATAAAAAAAAAAAAAAAAAAAAAAAAAAAAAGAAACAAAGAAAAAGAAAAAGCCACCATAGAACTATCTATGGTTTAGACTGGAGGTGGGGAAGGATCTCAGATCGCTTTGCTATTTAAGTTACAGATTAGGTGTTGTTTTATTTTTTTGGAGGCAGGAGACTCAAGGTCATAGTAAAAA
Source organism: Homo sapiens (assembly GCF_000001405.40). Lineage (NCBI taxonomy): Eukaryota > Metazoa > Chordata > Mammalia > Primates > Hominidae > Homo > Homo sapiens. The sequence continues at coordinate 77,050,157 of NC_000005.10, read as the reverse complement.
AGTAAAAAAGCAACATAATCTGCTTAGAATTAAAATTAAGAGGACTTTTTCCTCTTTCTGAATGAGTCCCCAGAAAGTGAAAGTAAATGGACTTTCAAATTAAAAATGAGAAATTATATTCCAAAAAGACAAACATCACATAAAATCTACTTTAGGTCCACATTACAGTCCGTTAAATAAAAGCAAAATGGGAACAATGGAAGGTCAAAAAAAGAGAAAAGCAAAACAGGAAAAAAGATAACAACCATAAGAGAGGAGAGAGAAAACACAGAAAACATAGTACAGGAAAGAGAAATATAAAGAGCCTCAGCCAGACGCGGTGGCTCACGCCTGTAATCCCAACACTTTGGGAGGCAGAGGCAAGATCACTTGAGCCCAGGAGTTTGAGACCAGCCTAGCGAACACCCAGGTGAAACTGCATCTCTATGAAATACATAAAGATTAGCTGGGCATGGTAGAGTATGCCTGTAGTCCCAGCTACCTTCGGGGCTGAGGCGGGAGGATTGCTTGAACCCGGGAAGATGAGGCTGCAGTGAGTCGTGATCACATCACTGTACTCCAGCCTGGGTAACAGAGTGAAATCCTATCTCAAAAAAAAAAAAAAAAAAAGTAAAAATATATAAAGAATCTCAGCAGCTAAACCTTTAGTTGTTTTCTACTTATAACTTGAGTTGCAATTCTGTTCTATTTGTTTTGAAAACTCAATTGTTCTTTTTCCTGAAACCATTAGATGCTCAATTAGGAGAAGTTTTAAACAAGAACCCTGAGTGGTATAGGATATATTCTTGGGTTGTGAAATCCTCCGGCTCAAAGTAACCACCTACTAAAGTAGCCAGAAGCCAGGTAAGATTCATTTTTTAAAGGTCATAAAATGTAGCCTATTTATTTCACTCAATAAATATTCATTAAGTGGGTACTACTTTAAGACTTCATATGCTTTCTACTCTTGTCCAGATTCTTAAAAATAAACATAATTTTATTTATTCAAATTGTGATAAAGAATTATTTTCTCAAGCACTGGAATAAACAGATCTGCACTGCCTTTATTACCATTACTACACTGCATGTTAACCTTCCTATTAAATGAGAAAAATCCCTAAGCTTTCTACTGTAATAATAATATAAAAAATTACATCTAGGGGACTATATTTGATAAATCAAAGAGCTTACCTTACTGACACCAACTTCAGGGATTCGGAGAGTATGTTCCATATCCTTTTCTCTGCAGAGTTAAGTAAAGTGTCTTTAATAATTTTTGAAGCATATTATATAAAGTGACATGGAAAGAATTTTAAAAAACAGATAATGTTAAAATACACGTCTATCAACAGTAAATCTCCTGGTTATGGATTATCCAGTTTCCTTACTGCTACTCTAGATTTCCTGTGCTTTCACACAGTGATTATTTACTCATGTCTTCTTTCCCCCTAGACTGTGCTTCCTTTGGGTAGACATTTTGCATTAGTCCTCTTTGTATCCACAGCACATAGAATAATGCTTAACATAATGGCCAGGCGTGGCAGCTTATGTGCCTGTAATCCTAGCACTTTGGGAGCCTGAGGTGGGTGGATCACTTGAGGAGTTCGAGACCAGTCTGGCCAACATGGTGAAACCCCCGTCTCTACTAAAAACACAAAAATCAGCTGGGCGTGGTGGTGCACGCCTGTAATCCCAGCTACTCAGGAGGCTGAGGCAGGAGAACTGCTTGAACCCAGGAGGCGGAGGTTGCAATGAGCCGAGATCGTGCCACTGCACTCCAGCCTGGACAACAGAGCACAACTCTGTCTCAAAAACAAAAAACAAACAAACAAACAAAAATACATGCTCTTAATAAAGCCTTTCTGAAATAACTGAAAGAATGATATAATAATATTAACCATTTTACCTTCCAATTGTAGCAGGGTTTACAGCAGTAATGATAAAGAGTGATCCTATCTGCAACACAGGTGATCTAATGACAATTACTCTAATACATGGGGGCCAAATTTTGTCTTCATCTGCCAAGGAAAGAAGTGAGTAAATATTAATTTAACTACTATGAAAAAGAACTTCATAGGGATAACTAGGAGGCATCCATAAAATAAAAATGTGTTGGTCAAAAATCTTAATTCTGACTAAAACAAACTTCTTAAATTCTGCTGTATAATACGCAGCAATGGGTAAGGCTTAACACTGTTATTAAAGTGATCCACATAAAGGTTGCTGCATATTTAGCATCTATCACAGTTATCAAATAATCAACTCTTTCTTTTTTAAGGTTTCAGAATCTGAAAAAATCCCAAATATTTTTATATTATTTTAAGTTATAAAAATTGAGTCCATTAAAAAAAAAAAAAAAAAGGCCAGGCACAGTGGTCCACACCTATAATCCCAGCACTTTGGGGGGCCGACGCAGGCAGATCACCTGAGGTCAGGAGTTCAAGACCACCCTGGCCAACATGGTCAAACCCTGTCTCTACTAAAAATACAAAAATTAGCTGGGTGTGCGTGGTGACATGCGCCTGTAGTCCCAGCAACTTGGGAGGCTGAGGCAAGAGAATCACTTGAACCCAGGAGGCGGAGGTTACAGTAAGCCGAGACTGCGCCACTGCACTCCAGCCTGGGCAATAGAGCAAGGCTCTGTCTCAAAAAAAATGCAAGAGAAATGCCATTGAGAACCAAAGAACAAAGTAAGCTCATATACTACACAGTTGGCCCTCGGTATCTGTGGGGGATTAGTTCCAAGATCCCTCCTCATATGCCAAAATCTATGGATGTTCAAGTCCTTATATAAATTGTATCGTATTTGCATATAACTTATGTGCATCCTTCTGTATAACTTAAATCATCTCTAGATTACTTACACCTAATACAATGTAAATGCTATATAAATAGGTACACCATATTTAGGGGACAATAACAAGAAAAAAAGTGTGTACATGTTCAGTACAGATGTAGCTATCCATTTTTTTCCCTGAATATTTTTGATCTGAGGTTGCTTGAATCCACTAAAGTAGAACCCATGGATACAGAAGGCCAACTGTAATATGAAATCCTGTGTTTTAAAAGTATGTCTTTATATATTCAAGTAAAAAAAAATTAGATTTACCATAATATCCATGTAGCTGAATTCATAATGTATACTTTTTAAAGACAACTTGTTTTTCTCTCTCAGTTACAAAAGTAGACTACAAATATCTAACCCACTAAAACAGCCTTAATCTATATTTTAAGATTAGAATCCAGGTAACCTGGCTTTGTATTCTACTGACTATGCCATTCAATACAATGAAACCTTCTGAAGGTCTAAGTATTAGTCATTTATTCACATCCTACTCTCTAAGAATAACCAAGTGGCAACCCACAACATTTTCAATAACATCATTAAAATAATGTTTACTTTCTGGCAGATATACTACAACTCACTAACATTTTTAATGGTTTTGCTCTTTTATAGTTACCAGACTGGGCTATTTACTTAAATAATGATTATTTACTCACCTTCATCCTCACTATCTTCTGCAGTTACATTGCCTTCACTGGTAATGGCTTCGTCATAACTATCCTCAGTCTGAGAGTCTGTAATTTCACCTTCCTCTGGTTCACTATCAGTCTCCATGATTTTCTCATCTTTAAATGATGTTGAATTAGAGATGTTTTCATGAAGAGGAGACTCTATAGTATTTCCACTAGTTGGAACAGTGACTTTGGGGGGACTATTTTTGTGATGAATGCCTATTTTGGCCTTCTTTTTCATATTTGCGAAATTTTCTTCCTCATTGCAGCTTGTATGTTCAACACTGAAGGCTTTTTGATCCTCTGAGTTCAAATCCTGGAGAAGGGTGGGTAGATACGAGGGAACAGGGGAGAATACTCTTAAACATCACTATCTTATAACATTACATCAAGTTTCAACGAATTCGTGAAGATATGTGTCAGTAAAATAACAATGGTTACAATCTGTTCCCCCTCTCCTTCTCACATTTCCTTTCTTGGTTAATGATATTACCATCTTCTTATTATCCAAATTAAAAATCCTATAGTTATCTCTGAGATCCCCTTAACCATATATAAAATTACGAAGTGCTACAGACTTTTCTCAAAATATATCCAAATCTGTCTCTCTATTCTCAATGTCTTAACATTCCTAGTTCAGGCCCTCATCACATACTGCCTGGACTATGGGATAGCCTAGACCAATGGTGTCCAATAAAAATGTAACACAAACCATATTTGTACTTTTACATTTTCTAGTAGCCACATTTAAAAAGTAAAATTATTAATGAGATAGTTTACATAGTCTGCAACATCCAGAGTGTATTTTACACTTAACAGCACATTTGAGTTTGGATTAGCAAAACTTCAAGTGCTCAACAGCCACATGGAGCTGCTGGCTACCTTACTGGATAGTGCAGGCCTAAAGAATACCTATTCTAAATTTTCTTTTTAAACTGGTAATCAATTAGCTAGTCAACACAAATAAAATACAGAATTAGCTTTACTTATGACATGAATTTAAAGATCCAAATGTACTCAATATGTAGCAAAATTGTAGTTTTGCTAAAATTTAGTACTTCAGATTCAGCTTGATAATACATAAAAGTTTAAAGTACAAATTAACTGTGACTATCTTATTCCAAAATTTTAACTTGCCTGGCATAAGTCTTTTATTATTTATTGTACATTTATAGTTGATATGCCTTATAATAAATGAACATTTTTTAATTAACAAAAATGATGTATTTTTATCATGTACAACATGAAGTTTTGAAATACGTACACAATGTACAGTGGTTAAATTGAGCTAATTAACATGTACATTACCTCAAATACTTATTTTTCTGTGGTAAGAAACTTAAAATTTGCTCTCAGCAGTTTGCAATAATACAACACATTGTTATTAACAATAGTCACCGTGTTATACAATGGTCAAATCTATCATTTCAGCCTTAGAAAAAGTAAATAATTATTTTCCATTTTTTTCCCTTGGTTTCTAACGCACTCTCACTTTTCTTTCTACCTCAGAGCAACATGAGGCGAATTCATATGCTCTTCTGTTATTTTATAAAATATGAGAGCATCTCACACACCTTTCTTTCTTTTTTTTTTTTTTTGAGACGGAGTCTCGCTCTGTCGCCCAGGCTGGAGTGCAGTGGCGCGATCTCGGCTCGCTCCAACCTCCACCTCCCAGGTTCAAGAGATTCTACTGCCTCAGCCTCCCGAGTAGCTGGGACTACAGGCATGCGCACCACCATACCCAGGTAATTTTTTTATTTTTAGTAGAGATGGGGTTTCACCATGTTGGCCAGACTGGTCTCGATCTCTTGACCTCATGATCCATCCACCTCACATACCTATCTTTGATAACAGCGTAAGTTCAGCTTGGAGACTGGCTAAACATTCACAGTGTGATAAATTATACACACTTCTAGCAATACAAATTCACCCAGAACAAGAACAAGGGCAAGGAGCTGAAAAACCATGAGGAGCTTTTACATTATAAAATTATAGCAAAAAAGTTCCCTATCTGTATATACTCTTAAAAAAGCAGTTTCCAATCTTGTATATTTATTACTTACTGAACAACATATGCAGGGAAAGCTATTTGCCAGTACAGAACATTAGATAGTCATTAAGTGAAAAGAAAGGAGGGCTTATTTATGGGCACTGAGGCACATATGTATATTTCAAATTATTTACTCCTATCTCCCCTACTGTCTTCCTTCCACATAACCTTCACCTACAAAAAGTGAGGCTCAAAAATATCTTTAAAAATAAAGAAAACAGATGAAGATACTCTCTTGGCCTCACAGGTACCTTTTAGAATCCTCAGGAAATTCTCAAAATTCCAACAGGATTTTTCTTAAAAGTTCTTGTCGAGTGCTCAATGGTGCCCAGGCTGGAGTGCAGTGGCGTGATCTCGGCTCACTACAACCTACACCTCCCAGCCGCCTGCCCTGGCCTCCCAAAGTGCCGAGATTGCAGCCTCTGCCCGGCCGCCACCCTGTCTGGGAAGTGAGGAGTGTCTCTGCCTGGCCGCCCATCGTCTGGGATGTGAGGAGCCCCTCTGCCTGGCTGCCCAGTCTGGAAAGTGAGGAGCGTCTCCGCCCGGCCGCCATCCCATCTAGGAAGTGAGGAGCGTCTCTTCCCAGCCGCCATCACATCTAGGAAGTGAGGAGCGTCTCTGCCCGGCCGCCCATTGTCTGAGATGTGGGGAGCGCCTCTGCCCCGCCGCCCCATCTGGGATGTGAGGAGCGCCTCTGCCCGGCCGAGACCCCGTCTGGGAGGTGACGAGCGTCTCTGCCCGGCCGCCCCGTCTGAGAAGTGAGGAGACCCTCTGCCTGGCAACCACCCCGTCTGAGAAGTGAGGAGCCCCTCCGCCCGGCAGCTGCCCACTCTGAGAAGTGAGGAGCCTCTCCGCCCGGCAGCCACCCCATCTGGGAAGTGAGGAGCGTCTCCGCCCGGCAGCCACCCCGTCCGGGAGGGAGGTGGGGGGGATCAGCCCCCCGCCCGGCCAGCCGCCCCATCCGGGAGGGAGGTGGGGGGTCAGCCCCCCCGCCCGGCCAGCCGTGCCATCCGGGGGGGGGGGGGTCAGCCCCCCGCCTGGCCAGCCGTGCCGTCCGGGAGGGAGGTGGGGGGGTCAGCCCCCCGCCCGGCCAGCCGCCCCGTCCGGGAGGGAGGTGGGGGGGTCAGCCCTCCGCCCGGCCAACCGCCCCGTCTGGGAGGTGAGGGGCGCCTCTGCCCGGCCGCCCCTACTGGGAAGTGAGGAGCCCCTCTGCCCGGCCAGCCGCCCCGTCCGGGAGGGAGGTGGGGGGGTCAGACCCCCGCCCGGCCAGCCGCCCTGTCCGGGAGGGAGGTGGGGGGGTCAGCCCTCCGCCCGGCCAGCCGCCCCGTCTGGGAGGTGAGGGGCGCCTCTGCCCGGCCGCCCCTACTGGGAAGTGAGGAGCCCCTCTGCCCAGCCAGCCGCCCCGTCCGGGAGGGAGGTGGGGGGGTCAGCCCCCCGCCCGGCCAGCCGCCCTGTCCGGGAGGGAGGTGGGGGGGTCAGCCCTCCGCCCGGCCAGCCGCCCCGTCTGGGAGGTGAGGGGCGCCTCTGCCCGGCCGCCCCTACTGGGAAGTGAGGAGCCCCTCTGCCCGGCCAGCCGCCCCGTCCGGGAGGGAGGTGGGGGGGTCGGCCCCCCGCCCGGCCAGCCGCCCCGTCCGGGAGGGAGGTGGGGGGGTCGGCCCCCCGCCCGGCCAGCCGCCCCGCCCGGGAGGGAGGTGGGGGTGTCGGCCCCCCGCCCGGCCAGCCGCCCCGCCCGGGAGGGAGGTGGGGGTGTCGGCCCCCCGCCCGGCCAGCCGCCCCGCCCGGGAGGGAGGTGGGGGGGTCAGCCCCCGCCCGGCCAGCCGCCCCGTCCGGGAGGGAGGTGGGGGGGGTCAGCCCCCCTGCCCGGCCAGCCGCCCCGTCCGGGAGGTGAGGGGCGCCTCTGCCCGGCCGCCCCTACTGGGAAGTGAGGAGCCCCTCTGCCCAGCCAGCCGCCCCGTCCGGGATGGAGGTGGGGGGGTCAGCCCCCCGCCCGGCCAGCCGCCACGTCCGGGAGGGAGGTGGGGGGGGGTCAGCCCCCCCGCCCGGCCAGCCGCCCCGTCCGGGAGGTGAGGGGCGCCTCTGCCCGGCCAGCCGCCCCGTCCGGGAGGGAGGTGGGGGGGGTCAGCCCCCCGCCCGGCCAGCCGCCCCGTCCGGGAGGGAGGTGGGGGGGGTCAGCCCCCCCGCCCAGCCAGCCGCCCTGTCCGGGAGGTGAGGGGCGCCTCTGCCCGGCCGCCCCTACTGGGAAGTGAGGAGCCCCTCTGCCCGGCCACCACCCCGTCTGGGAGGTGTGCCCAACAGCTCATTGAGAACGGGCCAGGATGACAATGGCGGCTTTGTGGAATAGAAAGGCGGGAAAGGTGGGGAAAAGATTGAGAAATCGGATGGTTGCCGTGTCTGTGTAGAAAGAAGTAGACATGGGAGACTTCATTTTGTTCTGCACTAAGAAAAATTCCTCTGCCTTGGGATCCTGTTGATCTGTGACCTTACCCCCAACCCTGTGCTCTCTGAAACATGTGCTGTGTCCACTCAGGGTTAAAAGGATTAAGGGTGGTGCAAGATGTGCTTTGTTAAACAGATGCTTGAAGGCAGCATGCTCGTTAAGAGTCATCACCACTCCCTAATCTCAAGTACCCAGGGACACAAACACTGCGGAAGGCCGCAGGGTCCTCTGCCTAGGAAAACCAGAGACCTTTGTTCACTTGTTTATCTGCTGACCTTCCCTCCACTATTGTCCCATGACCCTGCCAAATCCCCCTCTGTGAGAAACACCCAAGAATTATCAATAAAAAAATAAATTAAAAATAAATAAATAAATAAATAAATAAATAAAAAAAGTTCTTGTCTTGGAATTCGCACATTTTCAAAGAAGAATGGCAAAGATGAGTAGTTATGGGAGCGAGGCTGGACCAAAATATCACAGAATGCTTTCCATGTCTATTCTCTAGTTTTTCAGGCAAGGCCATTTGAGGAGCCCTACATATTCTTCTTCTATTGTTAGGGAGAGGTGCTTTCACAACCTAGCCTTCTTCTTTTTTTTTTTTTTTTTTTTGAGATGGAGTCTCGCTCTGTTGCCCAGGCTGCAGTGTGGTGGTGCGATCCTGGCTCACTGCAACCTCCGCCTCCCAGGTTCAAGCGATTCTCCTGCCTCAGCCTCCCAAGCAGCTGGGATTACAGGCATCTGCCACCACACCTGGCTAATTTTTGTATTTTTAGTAGAGACGGGGATTCACCATGTTGGCCAGGCTGGTCTTGAACTCCTGACCTCAGGCAACCCGCCTGCCTCGGCCTCCCAAATTGCTGGGATTACAGGCATAAGCCATCACACCCGACCTACAACCTAGCCTTTCAAACAATCAAACCACTAGTAACAAGCACAAGCCATTAAAACAGAGATCTTGAAAGCAAACAGAAAACTGATTTTTAGTATTTTAGTCACATACTCTTCTATTCCTAAGTATTGTTCACAAAAAAATAGAACAGAAGCAAATCAAATAGGAGAACAGAAAAAATCTAACAGAATCCTAATTCCTTATGTGAACTTTACAATTTAGTATCAAGTAATTTTTCTTTGGTTAAGAAAAGAAAAACTGGCTGGCACAGTGGCTCACGCCTATAATCCCAGCACTTTGGGAGGCTGAGGTAGGCAGATCACTTGAGCTCAGGAGGTCGAGGATGCAGTGAGCCATGATGGCACCACTGCACTCAACCTGGGTGACAGAGCAAGACCCTGTCTCAAAAAAGAACAGGACAGGACAGAAGGACAGAACAGGACAGGACAGAAGGACAAGACAGGACAGAGATAGGACAGGAAAGGACAGGACAGGAAACCATGAGATAAAATTTCAAGAGTAAGATATCAAATAGTTGCCACAGTTCATAAAATATCAATAAAACAAACAAGCCTCCTTTATAACCTATAAACCACCAAACTTACCTGTTTAGAGAGTAGAAATAAAGAACACTGTTAACTTTTTATATTTTCCTTCTTTCAATTTAACATTGCATCATCATAAGCATTTTTGGGGTTCCCCTTAGTCTTTACAAGTACCATCTGAAAGCCTACATAATACTTTTTTAAATTAAATGTAACTATCGCTTTCTTAACCATTGTCTTGCAGGCCATTTAAACTATTAATCCTAATAAATATGTTATCTCACTCCACAGTTGTCAGCAATGGATTTTTTTTTTTTTTTTAATATTTTCCTGGCCGGGTGCGGTGGCTCATGCCTGTAATCTCAGCACTTTGGGAGGCAGAGGCAGGAGGATCAGCTGAGGTCAGGAGTTCGAGACGAGCCTGACCACATGGAGAAGCCCCGTCTCTACTAAGATTACAAAAAAATTAGCCAGACGTGTTGGTGCATGCCTGTAATCCCAGCTACTCGGGAGGCTGAGGCAGGAGAATCACTTGAACCTGGGAGGCGGAGGTTGCGGTGAGCTGAGATCACGCCATTGCATTCCAGCCCGGGCAACAAGAGTGAAACTCTGTCTCAAAAAAAAAAAAAAAAATTGTCCTAGTAAGTAAAAAATTGCTCCACATAACTAAGAAAGTTGAACCTGTATCTATGTCTACCTATAAACTGTGTTTATCTTTTATTATGAACTGTGCATTGACATCAACTTATCAACTGAGGATCTGAATTCTTCTTCCAAACTATATACGAGATATTTTATCTGACCTTAATCTATCTCCTTCAAATTTTAAGAAATGCTTTCTATTTCTAGTGACAGAGTTTATGAAAAAGTCCATGTTTGCTCCATCTAAACTTTCCTAGGTTATCTTAATGGGTATGTTTGAAATGCAGAGTTATTGAATGATTGTCAGTTTCATAAAAAATTTTGTCTTAATTATCATGTTATCACCATTATGTCAATTTTTAAAATTGTAAAGACATTACCTTTTCCTCATTTGTTGCAGAAGAATCTGGATCTTTTCTTTTCTTCTTCAATTTTTTATCTTTACTTTGTTTTGTGCTAGAAGTCGGATAAGGTTGCAAATCTACTCGAGAATGAAACTGATAACGACCACTTTCCACATCACAATAGTAATAAATTCCAGTGGAAGGATCATAATAGAGTTGATTTTCCTTTGAAAGTCAAGAAAAAAATAAATTCTATTCATGTAAGATAAAATAAACTTAACGAAAATGCCAAATACATTCAAATGTGGTAAATATTTCTTTGAACAACTATAGTATTTTCAGAAGACAATGAATTAAAGATAACAATAAAAAATGCTTTAATCTTCCAAAATACTTTACCATTCAATAACTGATCTAATTTTCCTAGTGTGAGAAACAAGTAAATCTAAATATTAAATTTAATCATATAAAATTGTCAATACTTGACCACTTTTAACTTATAAGAAACAGCAATTTCATATGGTTCCACTTAATACATTAAAAAAATTGATAATACTTTTAAAGGCATGAAAACTAAAGCAAGCATAAGAAAAAGCTGACCATATGAGCGCAATTCTAGACTCCTGATTCTTAATGACTGCACAATAATGGTGTGGCAGTATAAACCCCTAAACCCTCCTCTCAATGTCATAAAACAAAGATTTGTCTTTTGATGTTCATAACTTAAAATTAGAGAAGAAAATTTTGAAAATAAAGTTCATGCATACCAAAAAATAACATTCTATAAAATGCAATCAATAAACTGTCTCCACTAATTAATCAGTTCTATAGTAAATAAGACTTACAAGCAACCATGCATAAATGAATTTGGCAAATTACAGATTTAAAAACCAGAAAGATAAAATTAGGTAATCACCTATATTTATGATATACTGGCCAGTACTCTAAAACCAAATTTAATTGAACAGTCTATATTTTATTTACATCCTAAATCCATGCAGACCAGACCCGGAAACATCTTTAATGTACTGAGATTGAGCAACTAAAACTTCCTGAAAAAGAATAATTTATTTTTCTAACTATTGACACTTGCAATTTATTGTCTTTAATCCATGCATTTTGCAGATCTCTTACAAAAAATATTTAGATTTCTCACCATCTTTCTCTTAACTAAGAAACTGAGTGGAGGCTTTCCAATCTTTATTTCTAGTAATAATGGAACTTTTATAATTCAAACCTTTTAAATCTGTTTATCAGTCCAAAATATAGACATTTTCAAAATATAAAAAAAATTTATTAAAATATTAGCACAATGAAAATGGCAACACAATGAAGTTCCTAATTTACTCAGAAATATAACCTGCAGAACGTACTAACCATTTACAAAACAACTGATGTCAAGAGAAAAGATACAGAAAGACAGGCAGAAGATTGACAAAGACTAATGTCTACTTGAAACTATTGTTTTCCTAGAAACTAAATAACTACTCCCTTTGGATAAGTGTTTAAACATTAATTTCCTGGTTATTAATTAGCATTGTCAATTAGCAACCCCCATGAAAGAAAACCCTCTCTTTACAAAGGACTTACAGTTTACCATATGCAGATTGACAAACTAATGACACCTCTTATGTTAATTGAGATATTTAGTATTATCTTATGTTCTCTAGATAACAATAGTTCCAGTAACAGGAATGATGAACGTCAACTCCACTTTTGTGTACCACATTCTATAATTCCTCAGAAAACCAGATTACATTACTAGATTCTTGAGTTTGAGGTATGTGACTGAGTTCTATCATTGTCATCAAATCTTCAACGAAATATAATTATTAGACTTCAACAGCTATAACACTGTATTATAAATCAAGAACTTTATTTTCTGGTTCTATCCTAGTCAGTGGTCCATTATATTTTAGATCCCATATTAATTCCCTAGTTCTCATTGCTAACAGATTGATTTTTGTTTGCTTGTTTTTTGAGACAGGGTCTCACTCTGTCACCTAGTCTGGAGGGCAGTGGTGCAATCATGGCTCACTGCAGCCTCCATCTTCCCAGCTCAAGCGACGCTCCCACATCAGCCTCCTGAGTAGCTGGGACTAGAGGGTGAGCCACTACATCCAGCTGACTTTTAAAATTTTTTATAGAAAGAGTCTCACTGTGTTGCCCAGGCTGGTCTTGCACTCGACTCAAGCAATCCACCTGCCTCAGCCTCCTAAAGTGCTAGGATTACAAGGAGTGAGCCACCATGCCTAGCCAACAGACTGAATGTTTAAAGTGAAATAGTTAAAAGGCACAGGATATAAAACACTGGCTAATAATAAACATACTACTAAGAATTCAAGAAAGAAGTCTCCTTATGTGGCCTAAAATGAATTCATAAAGTATTTGATATAATTTTTAAAATTCTCATTCCAAGCCTAAAATTAACCTCACTTCTCTATTAATTCTATGAAAAAAATACTGGTTTAGGTTCTAAAATATTTACGATGTAGTTAACTATCTGCTTTTATTAACAAAAGCTCCAGTATTTTTGTCTGTTATTTTTATACATAAAGACTTCTCCAAAACATTGTCTATAATAATCACAATAAAATTTATTTTAACCTTAACCTTATTTTAAAAACTTAGAAGTGTAGCATCATAAGCTATTTTAGAATTCTTCTGTCAAATAGTTTTGAGTCAAATATAATTTTAAATGCAGCTTTTTGCTTTCTTACTTCGGCTTAGGGTTTAATATTTGATATCAGGCACTGAGTATGTATCATACAGTATTAAAAGGTCTGAGATGTAATTCGAGACCAGCCTGGCCGACATGGCGAAACCCTGCCTCTACTAAAAATACAAAAAATTAGCAGGGTGTGGTGGTGCATGCCTGTAATCCCAGCTACTTGGGATGCTGAGACATAAGAATCACTTGAACCTGGGGGGTGAAAGTTGCAGTGAGCTGAGATCACTCCACTGCACTCCAGCCGGGGTGACAGAGGGAGACTGTCTCAAAAACAAAACAAAACAAAAAGGTCTGAGATACTTACAGAATCATAATAGAAACCAGTGCTGTGGTCAAAATACAGTCCAGTATTTTCATCATAACTAAATCCAGTCTGTGATACAGCCGCTTCTGCTGCAGCTCTCAAACTTTCAGCTAATGATGAGCCTTCTAAGGAGGTATCTTCTGTTGCTAATGCAGATGCTGGCTCCTATAAAAGATATAGTCATGCCAAATAAGACAAAAGCTTCTGTATATCAATTAAAAAGTTGGCTGAACTCAAGACCTGAGACTATGTTTAAGTAACGACTTCAATTTCTACAAAGGAAAAGCATGACTATCAATTATGACTTGAACCACTTATTACAACATTTACTAGTGTGTCAGTAACTTCAACTTTGACCCAGTTTTGAAGGCACTAAAAATGAGTGACAATTATTCGAGAATAAATGTATGATGCCACAGGGAAGCCATCCACAAAATACAGACCCTGAAATATTGGCTAAGACAAAGATCTAGGTTCTTCAATGATTATATGTTCAATTGGAAAAAAAATTTCAAAAAGACAAATGAAGGAGAAAACTGTAGATTAAATGAGATATATCAAACACAATAGGGATCCTAATTCAAACAAACTATAAAAACAAATTTATAGATTCAGGGAAATTTGAATAGTGGCAGGGTATCTGACATAAAGGAACATTAAAATTTTTTTAGGTGTAAATGTGGTATTGTTGTCCACAGTTCTTTTGTTCAGTCAAAATATCTGGACAAATTTTGTTTTAGTTTATGTAGATCACAAAATTTTGGAACACAATGTAGTAGGAAAACCACTACATATATGAAGAAGTTCTAATTCTGGTTTTGGAAAAACTACAACATTCTTTGCATAATTACACATAAGAATGTTTATAACCCTTATATATGCTGTGACGGACCAAAGAAGTCTATCTTTCCACATAATAACAACAAAGAAGGACAGGTTCTTGGGCATCAACAGTTTCATGTTTAGCATTTTATTACCTGTGAATTTGAGGCAAAATGGTCCACTTGTCTATATTTAACATTTTCTGTTCTATCGGTACCAGGGTAAGCATCATTTTCTACTTGTAAATGGTCTTTAGAATTCAAAATAGAAGTTTCGATAGCTTGATCTTGTTGATCTGACAGTTCAGTCACTTTATTTGGAAGACTAACGTCATTGTAGTACGTCTGATAAAAATAATCTGTAGCAAAAAAATGAAGTGAAATCGTATCATATTAGAATAATGTATATAAAAAGGACTTAACTACAAAACACTGGCATTTAAACACAAAAAGCACATACTTCAAATAAATCATGATTTTTACAACTGTACAAATTTTAAAAGATTAAAACAGATGGCACAGATAAATCTGCAGAAGTGTGTATCTTTGATTCTAATGTCTCCTTCAAGACCCTAGCTGTCAGTTAAAAAGAAAAAAAAAAGGTAAGTTGGTTACATTTTCTACAGCAAGAGTAAAATAAAAATCTGTAGATAGGTTGTGTTCTATTTAAAAAACTTAACTCTTAACTTCTAACTGGATACCTTAATACTGTTGCTTATCAACTGATAATGAAATAAAGGCAAGGAATTAGGGATTGATTTATTTTTTGGCAAATTTCTCTCCCCATGCAGACTTTTTAAAACGTATCATGCAGATAAGAAAAGTTAGCACTATTGCTATGTTTAGCAATTTAGCCAAAAATTATGTCCTGACTGAAGCAAGGCAAAACTTAATAGG
The DNA here is from genome assembly GCF_000001405.40 of Homo sapiens. Classification (NCBI taxonomy): domain Eukaryota; kingdom Metazoa; phylum Chordata; class Mammalia; order Primates; family Hominidae; genus Homo; species Homo sapiens. Next base: position 77,035,002 of record NC_000005.10, on the reverse strand, counting down.
AAAGATGATTTCTTCTTGTGACACATATATATTAAAACTCAGTATCTCAGCTATTTTGCCTTATAACATAATGCCATTCATAAGGCCATGGTGGTGGGCTCACCATTCCCACAAGGGTGAGAGACTGATACTATACATAATTCTAATTAGAACACATCAACAAGAAAACAAATGCCCCTGGTCACAAGGAAGGCAGATATGGAAGTAGATGGCTAACTGCCTGCCAAAAATTACTCAGTGAGTGTGCCACTGAAAACATTAGCAACATTATAGAAATCACAGGAATGACAATACATTTCTACTTTTTCCTCCAGAAGAACAAATTGATTATCCGAAAATACCATTATCATATGGAGAGACGTCAACAGTATTAACAATTCTCATTTACCTTGATCTTTGTTTATTTTAAATTAAAAGAAAACGCAACATTAGCATGATTTGAATGTAACAGTGTTAGCATATCCTCACTATAAGCTAAATACCTGAGATTGACCAAGGAGCATGGTTCTCTGTTTGTACTTCTACATCAGACTTTTTATTATCTTCATTTCTCCCACGTTGGAGTATTTTACTGAGTTCTTCCACCTGAGAGAAAACAAGGCTTTAGGAAAAAGAAATCATGTAACAATCTAATAATATATATACCAGTCTCCTACCGTTACAAATAATTGTTTTAGAGAAATGTCAAGAGCAGCAAGTTTCCCTTTCAGAAAAGCTAAAATTATTATTTTACTTTATACATTTAAAAGGCATTTTTATTCCTAATCTCTCTTACTAAATGTCCAAATATCTCCTCCAAAAATCGAACTAAATAATGAGACTTTGTGAACAAGGTCCTTTATTTCTAACAAATAAGAATGCTTTTATGTTAACATTTTAAAGTCAGTTCTAAAGAATTCAAAAATTCAAAATTTACAAATTCTCATCCCTACTGGATTATCTAATACTCATTTGGTATTCTCCACTGGGAATTAACTATCCACCTGAATATGTTAATGCCACTTACAAGCTTTAATACATTTTTTCATTAAACAGTAGTCCTATAATTAAGTAACTGTAGCAGAAGAGAACAGGGAAGGTGACGGCCTGAGAGGGGCATCTGTCCTCCATGTACTTCACACACTAAAATACCCTTAAAAGGATGCTACTACATAGGACAGAGAGAAACAAGTGTGTGGAAGTGCCCAAAAGCAAGTAACATGCTGCCTCGGTCAATACGCTGCCTCAGTCAATACACCTCAGCCTGAGAGGACCTCAATGTGAGACAATGTCTACTACACACAAGAAACCAACTAAAAAACAAGCTTTTAAATATTTATTTAATGATACATAAAGCTTAAACAGAGAAAGGTGATAAAACTGATCTGTTGCTAATACTAGGGCAGGAACTACAGTGAGGGAAGCAAGACACTGATCGTGAAAAATCTGAGGCGCTCCTCTGATTCATGCAAGTACAGAGTTCATCGCTGGGAATTAGTGCCCCATTAAATTCCTCGCCCTAGGAGCCTGATTGCCTTGCCCTAAATCCTGGCTCTGGCTACTGTCCCTATCACTATGAATTAGATTACTTAGTATCTACTACATGCTGGGCACTATACTTGATGCTTTAGATAACATCTCATTAATTCACAAAACCACCTGAAATATTCGTTGTCCTAACCCCAATTTTACACATAAAATATCAGACAAGACAAAGTAATTTGCACAAGGCTATTTTGGGGTCTTGTACAAACCCTATACATATTATGGTTCTCCAGTTATCATTCTCAAGCAAAACTTTTTAACTGCTCCAAATAAAACACATTCAGTAATTTGGAATGACAGTTAATCGAATCCACCCTCTCCCCAACCAAGGGAGGCTGACTAGGAGAGTAAGGAGTTATCACTATTCAAAGTAGAGTCAAGACTTTCTATGAGATTAAATTTTTAATATTGGACTAAAATGGAGGCATGTGGAGGACAGATGATCCTCTCAGGCAATTACCTTCTGTTCGCTTCTGCTGCAGTTTAGTCACAGAACTACTATTTTTTTAAAGTGTATTAAAGCTTATAAGAGGCATTAACATTTAATAACTAAATCCACGTGAACATTGAATGATATTAGATAACATGAATGGGAATTGATAGCTCTTAAATTTTCTAATTCTTTAGGGAGAATTGCTGACCTCTCAAAATATTAGCATAAAAACATTCTTTTCTGTAAGAAATAAAGGATCTGTTCACAAAGTCCCATCATTTAGTCTGATTTATCAAATTAACAGTAACACCAAAATGCTGGCTCTCTGAAGATTAGCAAAAAACGTTTTCTTTTAGAATCTCTAACGCAAGCAGTACTTCAACAATTTAGAATTATAAAGGAGCTTTTCAAAAGGCTGTCATGTAAAAAAGGCTGTTATATTTTGCTCCCGTCTCCCCATTTTTTTTTTTTTTTTTTTTTTTGAGACGGAGTCTTGCTTTGTCGCCCAGGCTGGAGTGCAGTGGCGCAATCTCGGCTCACTGCAAGCTCCGCCTCCCGGGTTCACGCCATTCTCCTGCCTCAGCCTGTAGCTGGGACTACAGGCGCCCGCCACCACGCTCGGCTAATTTTTTTTGTATTTTTACTAGAGACAGGGTTTTACTGTGTTAGCCAGGATGGTCTCGATCTTCTGACCTCGTGATTCGCCCGCCTCGGCCTCCCAAAGTGCTAGGATTACAGGCGTGAGCCACCGCGCCCAGCCACCTCTCCCTGTTTTTTTTTTTTTTTTTTTTTTACCATATTTGTATTTTCCTAGCATAGTTATTACACACCGTAGGTGTTTAAATTGACTAAACAAAAACTTTCCAATAATGTCATGTCAGGAACTCCATGTAATGGTCATACAAAGTCATTGCAACTCAACAGTTATTTTCATAGTCCATTTGGTAACAAAACAAAGAAGTCTGATGACGTTTCAGTGTTCAGCCTATATACTGGTTTTAGGAAACCACCAATAAATTATGAAGGACTAGACAACGGTCAAATTGAAACTAGTTACTATGTGGAAATAATCTGTTGGCAGAGAGGGCCTGCCAACAAGGTAGAAAAAAATACTATGCTCTTGGTTTTTTGGTTTTTATTTTGAGACAGAGTTGCACTCTGTCGCCCTGGCTGGAGTGCAGTGGCACGATCTCGGCTCACTGCAACCTCCACCACCTAGGTTCAAGCAATTCTCCTGCCTCAGCCTCCCGACTAGCTGCGATTCCAGGTGCCCGCCGCCACGCCCGGCTAATTTTTGTATTTAGTAGAGACGCCCGGCTAAATTTTGTATTTCACCATGCTGGCCAGACTGCTCTCGAACTCCTGACCTGGTGATCTGCCCGCCTCGGCCTCCCAAAGTGCTGGGATTACAGGCGTGAGCTACCGCGTCCAGCCAAGGTTGTTTTTAATGTGACAGTTTAAGTATTAACATTTGCCCCTACCATCTTGGAAACGAAATAAGCTGCTTAACGTCTCCAACAAAAGCAGTTATATATCGTCCCTACTTACACAAGAAAGCCGAAGATGATAAACGCCCAGAAGAGCAACCTTAAACAGGTATAGCATTCAAAAGTTTGTAAAATTGTTTGTTTTACTTCACCTTTACTACTGTGAGCTATCATTCTCATTTAATGGGGAACTGAGACTCGGTATATAAGTTCACACACCCAGTGAATAGCAGAGATGGGATTCTGACTCAAGTCCAGCATTTTAATAAACTCAAATGTGATCTACAGTAAATGCGCCTACTGCCAATGGGATGTTAGGTCAAGTGAGAATGAAGACAATGTAGCCACAGTACTTAAGTTCAATTCACGCCAGCCGCGAGACATTGATTTAAATCAAGTAACCTGAACTCAGGTTTGCTCCTAAGGTACTTGGAATTGTAACTGCGCTGAGCTTCTACTTATTTACTTTAAGTACTCTACAGTAGTTCTGAGCCCCTGCCAGGGACCCCTTCCGAGGCTATCACGGGCTTCGAAGGCCTCGCCTGGGCTGGATGGGGCGCGGGGCTGAGGAGGACCGCGCACCTGCGTGCGGAGCTCCTGGTTGTTGCTTTCTGCGTTCTGGTACAGCCGTTCTGTGTGATGCAGCAGCTTCTCGATCTCCCGCACCTGCCGCTTGCAGCTCCGCAGTTCACGTTCCAACTTCTCCACCTTCCGCCTTAGCTGGGCCAGCTCAGGCTCGGGGGAGGTGGGCGGCGGCGGCGACCGCGGCGGGGACGGCGCCTCCGAGGCCATGAGCTCCGGCGCGAGACTGCTCGTCGCCGCGGAGGGGCTGCGTTCAGGCCGAAACGGACGCCGGCGGACCCAGAGACCACTGGAGCGCGCGGGCAGCGAAAGGCAGCCTCACACCCGGCTGGCCGCGGTGGCCCCTGGCCATGACGCCCTGAAACTCACTTGTAGCCGAACGGGGCTGCGAGCAACGAGCAAGGGGACCGAGGATGGCCCCTGCCCGATGTGCGCGGCCTGCAAACCGGAAAACTTTCCTGGAAACTACCTTCTCCAGCTACAGAGACAGAGGGAGGAGCGTCGGATAAGCAGTCGGAAAACCAGAGGCCAGAAGAGCTCCAGCAGCTCCCCAGTTGAGCCGGAAACAACGGCGCCAGCGGCAGGCGGGACCAAGACGGAACAGGAAGCGACGGAAAGCGGGAAGACCTGACAGTGTACGTGCCGACGTCTCGGCCTGCGGAGGGGCGTTACCTGAGGGCGTGGAGAGCTGTGGCAATGTGGCTACCGAAGCCCTAAGAGCGACAGGGAGGCTTGCAGCCTCTGGTCTCAGACATTTGCACGTGCGGATGTTCTTTGAACAAACTTTTAGTATAGCATGCATTTCCTATCTCCTTGTTTTACAAATAAGAACAGAGTATCCCAGAAATGATTTGTGGGGACTATGATGCTCTACTTATGTCAACTGAAGAATGAGGAGGTTAATAAATTTAGAAAAGGGCTTTATTTCTCATGAAGGGTTACAGCCTGCAGGGTGGCCTTTCTGACAGGCTTGGAAGCATAGCCTCTGGTCAGAAGCTGAGAACAGACACTTGGAAGGAAGGACAAAGGGAACAGAAATTTATGCTGAGCAGGGTGGCCAAATATATTCAATGAGCTGTAGGAGGATTCATGAATATTTATGAAAGGAGAAATATGCACATGCACAATTAAGCTTCCTGCCTCTCTATGGGACCCATATTCAAAAAATGGTGGTGTTAGCATGATCCCAGTGTGAAGTTTTCAGCCCTCTGATGTCAAATGGCAAAGCAGAGGACATGAAAACCCTCGCTGTGAGTCCCTGGTAGATTGGCCAGAACTTCTCTGTGGTTGGTGGTCTCTTATCAGGAAGGAATGCTGGTTGGTGTGAAATCAGCCCAACTGTCCTATAGAACTGATGTTTATGGTTTCTTTTGAATAAACCTGGAAATTTACCCTCCCAGTCTTAAAACTTCAGAAAGTTACATCTTTCTTATCTGAGTTCCTTTCTTGGGAAACCAACCATGAGGCCTCCCAGATAGTATCAAGGAATTGAAACTTACCAGATCACTGCATCTGGACAATGAGGCACCATACCCCTCACCCATCATGATTGCCTAACCAGCCACCTGCTGCCTGTTGAACAAGTCCTCATCCTTACCGCTCACTAATTCCTGTTTTCTCACATGTAGTCACATTTCTCCCTTGCCATATAAACCTCTAATTTTAGTTGGTTGAGGAGATGGATTTGAGACTGATTTCCTATTCTCCTTGGCTGCAGCACCCAAATAGAACCTTCTTCCCTGGCAATACTCCTTGTCTCAATGACTGGCTTTCTATGTAGTGAACAATGGGTCTATTCAGTCAGTTCAGGGGCTCAGAATTTTACTTTTATTTCTCATTTAGTCATTCTTCTGGTTCCTGAGTTTAGACCCCCCGGGAAAATAGAGCAAGTACATTAGGTCTGAGTCGCAAAAAGGAGCATCCCTGGTGGGAAAATAAGAGAGAGACAATATTCTGTGGAAAAGGGGAGAAAAATGCTCTGGTTTGGTGCATTTATTTGGTCTTTTGTCTGCATGACCCTGGCATTGGTTTGCCAATATTTAAACTGATGTGGCCTTCTTTGGAACACACTTCCTTCCTTTGCCAAAGTCATTTAGAATTAGATCATGAGCTCAGAGTCCTGGGCCTGAGATTTGTGGAGGTCAGCAGCTGTGTCATGCAGATGCTCCTCTCTCAGGGCCCAGCACAGTGCCTGTCGCAGAGCAGTATCCGTAAATGCTGAACACAGCTGAACAAGAGAATCCTGTTTGGTGTCTTAGATCAGTGGCCACTTCCATTAACTATATTTTCTTATTTTTTGTATTCTTGATGCTCTGGCATCTGGGGTCTCCCTGACCAGGGAGATAACCCCTCCAAGGGTTAGCTAATTCCTAGACATAGCAAACAACTCACCCAGCATGCCACACACTGATCATCTACCTTCTTTATCAGGCTGTTACACTCCATGCCAATATTCCCCTGCCCTAATCACTCCAGGGCAAAGTACCAGACAACTAGGAACAACTCCTACATCTCAGATCCCACTGAAATTATGCAAACTAAACCTGCTTATCCTGATTTGTCCATTCCTTCCTGCAAAAATCACATAATGTTTTTTGCCATGTTTCCTCCCACTCCTTCTGCCTCCTTTGGACCTTGGTGCTTCTCCACATTGCCTTGTGTGGCTTGGTGTGCATCCTCCTCTTGGGCTGGGTGAATAATAAACTGTCTTTTTGATAGCAGACCATCTCCTGATCTGTTGGCCTCACCATACATAAATAATAATAAAATCTAAATTTTAAAATATGGCTCTGTATGTATTTTTGTCTTGTGCACTGCCCACTAGATTATTCATAAACAGTGAGCTTTCCAGCAGAGACCTGCCCTCTCTAGGGCCTGTACACATTCCTCCTTAGGCCTGAAGAGTTCTTCACAAGGCACTGTATCTGGAAACATAGAGATTCTACCTTATTGTCATGTCAAGAGTAACCTTAAGCCATCAAAGGAAGTTTAGTGAGAAGACATGGTATGTCCCCTGTGATGCAAAAAAAAAGATGTATTGCAAAAAATTTCTGACTTCCCTTGATGCATTATGACTCCATTAATGAACATATTGAAGTCCTTTTAAAAAGATGCTATTTTCTACTTTCTCCACCTATTTTCTTTAGGGGATAAGAAATTCCATAAATACCATTTGAAAGGTATCTTTAAGATGATATTTCAGTTTTTAGTAATTAACTGGAGAAAAAATAAATAAGCTTATTGACTGCTACTTGAAGCAGTGCTCCTCTTATTTGTCTTAATCTGTTCAAGGCTAAGTTATCTTTACCTTGTAATACCAGTCTGTATCCTACCTCTGACCATTAGAAAAGAATGACATTTTTTTAGAAAAAGCCTTGAATATCAGGAATTGCATTAAGGTGCTAGTATCAGAGGTGGTCTATAGTGGCTTATTAAACAAATTAGGGTGTTATCCTGTTACATTACAGAAGCCTAGAGAGGGGCAGTCCATGGCCAGTGACTCCACAGTTCTTCAGGGACCCAGGCTCGGTATGTCTTTCTGCTCTGCTATTCTCGGAGCATGTTTCCAGAGCCTCCAGGTCGATCCATGGTGCAAGATGGCAAGGGATGAAAGGACTTTCCCAAAGCCCCACTCAATGGTTCCTGTCTACCTATCAATAGCCACCCCTTGCTGCAAGTGGGGCTGGGAATTATGTGTATATGTGTGTTTTTCTAAGCTAGACGCATTATTCTCCTAATAATATAGGGGTTCTACAAGTAAGGAAGAAGGGCAAAATTCATGTTGAGTATGTAAATAGCAGTCTTTGCCACACCTAGTTTTCAGATCTAAGAGGTACTTAGCATAGTGGGCAGAGGCGCTGCCCTAAAAAAGCATTCTACTTGACACCCTTCACGATTTGATTTTGTTTTGTAATGTTTTTTTCCCACATCCTCTCCAATAAATGATATGAACCATTTTTTGTACTTTTTGCCATTATGAATATAATGAGCTATTTCCTTGCTGTTTTAATTGATACTCCTCTGATTACTAGAGAATCTCATACATTTGTTGAAATGTATATATGTTGAAATGGCTATATGTCCTTTCCTTTCTGTGAATTGCCTATCCATATCTTTTTGCCCATTTCTTTCTTGTTATTTTGCAGTTCTTTATATAAACAAGGTATTCCTTCTTTATCAGTTTTAGATATTACAGATATCTTCTCCCAGTTTGTCATATATTTGTTAGCTTTGTCCAGTGTTCTTTGTTAGCCAGGAGTTCTTAATTTGTATGTCATGAAATCAGTCTTTATTTTATTTTACTTTTTAAAATTTTATTTGGCTTTACAGTGTAGGGTTTCATGAAGACTTTCCTTACCCCAAGTCATATTTTCTTCTATTGATCTTATAATTTGAACTTTCACATTTGTTCTCTATTCCAGCTGGGGGTATTCAGACATGACCTAGTTTTCTCAAGACCATCCCCTTTGCATTGCTTTGTAGTACCACCATCATCTTCCATCAGGTTCCCATCTTTATATATGGGCCTAGTTCTGAGCTCGCCATTCTTTTCCACTTGTCTATTAGTCTGCTCCCATGCCAGAGCCACTCTGTTTTTATCACTTAGGTTCTTTAGTATGCCTTAACTGGTAGGGCAAGGCCCTATTTTGTTTTTCTTTTTCAAAATCAGCTTATTCATAAACCTCTATTTTTCCATATAAATTTTAGAATGAGTTCGTTGAGTTCCTCAAACAATCCAATGGGATTTTTATTAAGATTACATTGAATGTATAGATTTATTTAGGGGAATTAACATAAAACTTTATTTAGATAGTCAATTCACATACATTTTTGCTTAATATTTTTCTTGGACTTTAGTACAATTTTAACACTTGTTTCGGGAAAGGTCTTGGGTATTCTTTCTTAGGTTATTTCCTAGACACACCGTAGTTTTATTGTGAATAAAATTGTATACTGTAGTATATTAGAGAGGGAAAGAAAAGTCAAAGTGATGAATAGGTTTCTAGCTTGGATGAGGAAGATAGGGACTATTGGAGAAGAGTATGTTGCATGAGGAGGAAGGGATGCTTTAGTTTCGATATTGTTAATTATATTGAATTTGAGGTGTTCAGTAAATAGTGAGCACTGCAGAAGCCTATCTGAAGCTTGAGAAACAGATCTGGCTGTAGAACTACTACTGTGTAAAGCAAACTCAAATGGCTCCAAGGGCTAGGGAGATAAAGCAAATGAATGGACAGGGCAGCTGCTACTCAGCTCCTGCGAACTGTGGAGACATATGGGAATGTGGACCCTGTGTTGCAAAGCTTCTGATTTTTCGAAAAAAAAAAATCAATCAGGATTTTTATGTGAAATCTCTCTGTTTTAAAAAAATGATTCAAATTAGAAAAGTGATTTCTGTAACTTCAGTGTCATATGATTTATTTTGTTTTGTTTTGTTTTTTGAGATGGAGTCTCGCTCTGTCTCCCAGGCTGGAATGCAGTGGTGTGATCTCGGCTCACTGCAACCTCGGCCTCCCGGGTTCAAATAATTCTCCCACCTCAGCCTCCCGAGTAGCTGGGATTACAGGCACCTGTCACCACACCCAATTAATTTTGTATTTTTAGTAGAGACACGGTTTCACCATGTTGGTCAGGCTGGTCTCAAACTCCTGACCTCAGGTAATCCACCTGCCTCGGCCTCCCAAAGTGCTGAGATTGTAGGTGTGAGCCACCGTGCCTGGCTGTCATATGATTTATCATAAGGAATTGGCTCAGTGATTATAGAGGCTGAGAAGTCCCACAATCTGTTGTCTGCAAGCTGGATACCTAGGAAAGCCCGTGGTGTCATTTGAAGGCATGAGAGCCAGGGAGCCAATGGTATAGATTCCAATCCGAGTCTGAAGGTCTGAGAACCAGGAGTGCCAAGGGCAGGAGAAGATCAATGTTCCAGCTCAAGCAGTCAGGCAGAGCAAGAATTCAACTCTACTCTGTCTTTTTCTTCTATTCAGGCCGTCAGTGGGTTGGAGAATTCCCATCCACATTGGGGAGGGCCATCTGCTTTACCTAGTTTGGCAATTCAAATGTCTTCTGGAAACAACCTCACACACACACCAGAAATAATATTGAAGGAGATAAATGAGCATCTTGTGGCCCAATCAAGCTGACACATAAAATTAACCATCACACTTTGGAAATTGCATGAATGGCCCCAGTTCTTTATCGGTCTTCTTCCTCATCCTTTGACATGTGATTTTGTGGTTTTCCTCACTAAAAGGGAAGAATCTCCCCTTCACCTTTGAGCTGGTTTGGCCATGTGATTTGCTTTGGTCAGCAGAATGATGTGATGTGCCAGAAGAGTGACACATCTAAGCCTAAGTCCCAAGGCCTTAGTGATTCTGCTTGCCCTCTGGATTTCCTGCCATTGCCACAAGAAGAACATACCCAGGCATGTGTGCTGGTCTCAGGAGAAAGATGAATAATACAGGGAGCAGACCTCTCCTAGCTTAGATGCTCCAGCTAAGTCCAGGCTAGAGCAGAGACTTCAGGAAACCCTCAGACACATTAGCAAGCCTGGTGGTGGTGATCAGCCAGCCCACACATCACCCCTAGGCTTGTGAGAAATAATGAAGGATGGTTGTTTAAAGCCACTGAGGTTTGGGGTGTTTAGTATGCAGCAATAGCTAATTGATACTCAATCTGATCTAGAGCCATTCCAGGAGCCTATGAATTGAATCAGGCTGGAGTTCAAATGCCTGAGATATTATAATATTCCACAACAGAAGAATATTGTCAATTCAATAAAAGCTGATTTATGTCCAATTTCTTTTAGAGTGTCATCAATTTATATTTAATTAATATCCACCTGTCATAATTTATATTGGATATGGTGGGTAGCCAACTTTTCCTTACCTGATTCAACTTTTTGATGCCACAGGAGAATATCTGGGGGAACCATAGCATTTCAATAGTTCTGATTTATTGCCCCATGTTACTTTTGGTCAATTGACCATTACCCGTTTCCTCCCCTGGAGGCCCAAGAAAAAAATGGGGGGATATAACATTAAAACACTGGAGTGATGGTAAAGGAAGCCCGAGGAAGCTAAGTAAGACACTATTCTCCACCCCCAGCTAAAATTCTTACATTTTGTACCTTCCTTTTATGATGGTATAATGAGTTAAAACATTGCTGTGTTACGAATCTTCCCAAGTCCTCCTCCCTTCTACTCTCCCTTAATAATAAGAATTCGAACTCTCAAAGGACAGTCTGTCCCACTGGACCAATTCTAGGTCTTTAGAAGGCAAAATCAATGGTTCATACTAGAGCAGTACTTAAACTCTTTGTGGTGAGGATGTTTTTAAAAATTCTAGTTCATTATGGATTAATATTTTTGTAAGATACAACAAAATGCGTGAGTGAATGGGAGAGGAGAGAATAAGGGATGTAAGAAGGGTTACTGGGCAGTGCGAAATGATGCCCTTTTAATAGTTCTCAAGAAATGCCAAGTCAGTTTGGATTTTTTATTTTAAAAAGTTTTTTTGGCTATTTGAACTGTGCTTTTTTGAATGCAACTGGCCCATTCCAACAGGAATTTTTTAGTGTTAAAATTGGATACCAAATACAAAAATCAGCAATCATTGTTAAATTCTTCTGAGGTTGTTCGTTGCTTGCTGGTGCCTTTCAGGTATCCTACAGCATAAGCAGGAAGGTGCCTGCCTAGTTCTTTAAAAATCACTCAAGCTAGCCCTTGCTCAACTATGTCTAATTGCCTGCTGGTGGGAGCAAAGGTCATATCTTTGCCCTCAGCCTGAACCTGAACATGAGCCTGGGGCTGTAAATAATTATGTTCAAAATATTAAATTATTTCATTTTCTCACAGTCTCCAAGGTTCCTGGGAGTTAAGCCCTTTCTGGCTGCAATTTTAAAAAGTGTTTTTGTGGTAGGCACTGCTAGTTGTCAACCCAACAGCCATATTTTCCTCTTTCTGACAAGAGAACCTGAATTTCGTTTTGGGTAGCAATACACCTAGCTAAAGTCTACATTTCTCACTCTTGTTTGCAGCTAGGTGACCATATGTCAAAGTTTTGGCCAATGAGGTATAAGTAGTAGACTACAGGCAAGGTTTCTGGAAAAGCTGTAGTTTCCTGTTGTATTAGTCCGTTTTCTCACTGCTGATAAAGACATAGCAGAGACTGGGCAATTTACAATAGAAAGAGGTTTAATTGGACTTACAGTTCCACGTGGCTGGGAAAGCCTCACAATCATGGGAGGAGGCAAGGAGGAGCAAGTCACATCTTACATGGAGGTCAGCAGGCAAAAGAGAGAAACCGTGCAGGAAAACTCCCATTTTTAAAATGATCAGATTCAATAATCTCCCACCAGGTCCCTCCCACAACACGTGGGAATTATGGGAACTACAAGATAAGATTTGGGTGGGGACACAGAGCCAAACCGTATCACCTGTTTAAAAAAGATAGATTCAGTCTTTTGTTTTTGCCCTTCTCTTTCTTCTTCTTCTCCCTACCTGAAAGATGGACATTATGCTCAAGGTGGAGAAGCCACTTCCTGACTGTGAGATGAACACCACACCCTAAAGAAAGCAAACCAGAAGGATGGGAGGATCCTGGGATGTTAATGTCACTGTGAACCACCTGTTTCTGAACTTCTTCTTGATTAAGTCACCATAGCAGGGTTTTTATTTCATTCAGCCTAATGTAATGCCTAAATGACATAGTCTTTTTTAATGTAGTTTATCTACTTTGTTAAACATCTCTACTTTGTTAAACATCTTAGTAATTTTTACTAACCTAACTTTTAGGTGAAGCATTTACTGTACTGTCCTCTAGGAACACTTTAAGAGAATTCCAACTGAAGGAATAATTGCTGACATTATGATAAAATAAGAGTAAGTTTAAGAACCTCTGGCTTCCTGGTGCTACTTCCATTAGCTGTGGAAGATTTGAGAACATGCAGGGTTCTTCTTGACCATCTTTTGTTCTTCCTCTGTGTGAATGACCTAGGAAACCTTTCAGTTAAGAAATATATCAGTTGGCTCAGAGTGAAAGTTTTATGTCCTCCAACATTTTCCCCAGAAGTCAAGTGCAGTCATACACCAAATAACATTTTAGTTGATGATGGACCATATATATGACAGTGATCCCATGAGACTATAATGGAGCTGAAAAATTCCTATCACCTAGTGATGTTGTAGCCTCTGTAACGTCATAGCACAATGCATTAACTTTTCTATGTTTACACAGTATTCAGTACAGTCACATGATGTACAGGCTTATAGCTTAGGAGCAACAGATTATACCATGTAGCCTTGGTGTGTAGTAGTAGGCTATACCACCTAGATTTGTGTAAGTCTTTGTGTAAGTACACGCTATAATGTTTACACAATGACAAAATCGCCTAAAACTGATGAATGTCTCAGTATCCCTATTGTAAAGCCACAAAAGACAGTTGTATTAATTGACAAGTCTCCAGCAATTAATACCTTAAAACTTACCAGAAATTTGGTAAAGAAATGTTTGTGAGACTGGGCACAGTGGCTCACGCCTGTAATCTCAGCACTTTGGGAGGCCGAGGTTGGCAGATCACCTGAGGTCGGAAGTTGCAGACCAGCCTGACCAGCATAGAGAAACCCCGTCGCTACTAAAAATACAAAAATTAGCCGTGCGTGGTGCCGCGTGCCTGTAATCCCAGCTACTTGAGAGGCAGGAGAATTGCTTGAACCTGGTAGGTGGAAGTTGCCATGAGCCAAGATCGCACCATTGCACTCCAGCCTGGGCAACAAGAGCGAAACTCCGTCTCAAAAACAAACAAACAAACAAACAAACAAACAAGGGCCGGGCACAGTGGCTCACTCCTGTTATCCCAGCACTTTGGGAGGCCAAGGCGGGCAGATCACGAGGTCAGGAGATCAGACGATCCTGGCCAACATTGTGAAACCACGTCTCTACTAAAAATACAAAAATTAGCCGGGCGTAGTGGTGCGTGTCTGTAATCCCAGCTACTCGGGAGGCTGAGGCAGGAGAAGCACTTGAATCCGGGAGGCGGAGATTGCGGTGAGCTGAGATCCCGCCACTGCACTACAGCCTGGTGACAGGGTTAGACTCCATCTCAAAAAAAAAAAAAAAAGAAAGAAATGTTTGTGAATATTTTTCAACCAGTATGACATAAAAATGCTCCTGGTGTGTTTTGAAGTTTTGGGCTTTTCTCCTTCCCCTTTGACAAATATTAACCAAGAAGTGATATACAGAAGAAGTTGTAATGATAGTGGAAAGAAGAGGGTAACTGGTTGTGTGTGTATGTGCATGCACATATATATATACTACATGGGTTGATGCAAATTGCAATTGGTTACATTTGCAGATTACCATTTGAGTCAGACTTTTCAAAATGAGTAGTAAAATTTGCTTTTAACTTAAAACTATCCTAGAAATAAAATTTATTTTTAAAATGATTACTGAACAGAATCCCTGTGTATTGAGCACCACCAACACATTCCCATGATAGTAAGGGTTGAGCGTATGCTACTGAATTAAGTTGAAAGACCACTAAGTGCACAGGAAGACCCGAGTTACTTATGGACAGATGTCTGAAGTGGTGTAGGACTGTGGAACTCACAGAGTTTATGAGCTAAAAAAAGTTGTGTGAAACACTGGATATGTGTGATTATTCCTTGGTCCCACTTCTCTCAGCAGGGTGATCATGTCAACGTGAGGTGTGATTAGCACATACACAGCAAGGATATAGCCATTCTGTACTTGGCTCTTTCCCTCTGAGCCCAGGCTTGGCTCCATAATCCTTCTCAACACAATTGCCCCAGGTGGCTATAACCAATCACTGAAACTGTCATGTGGGATGAAGCCTTAAGTCATCTGGGTAAGACCTAGAGAGTTGTGGCACAGGAAACTTACATCTTTAACATGGTTCTACCAATATTCTTGTTCATGCTTATCTCTAAAGTGTAGATAAAATCTTCAAGAAGGTTTGAAGGCAAAATAGAGAAATGTTTATTTGTTCAACAAATATTTGTGGAACACCAACTGTGTGCTAGGCCTGGTGCAAGGCTCTAAGAGGGAGGGGTACAAGGTTGAGTGAAAATAGGTTTAGGTCCTTGTCATTTAAAGTCTAGTGGGAGAGACAGACAAATTAAGAAATCACAAAAAGTGCAATTGTAAAATAAGATTACCAGCATTAGAACTATATCATCCATTGAATGCAATTTATTCTATAGAAGCACAAGTCTAAGAATGTCATGGGAGTTATGTTTAAAGGACAAACATGCTACAGATTATTAGAGAAAATAGAGTAAGTGAAGTCTTGCAACAATTTCTTTGGTTATACTAACTAGACGTTAAAAAAAAAGCAATGCAAATTTTCTTTCAGAGGATCAAAATAGATACCTGAAATATCTATTTCAGGACAAAATAAACACCCTCTCCTTACTAGGTAAACAAAATGTGCTCAGAACCTTTCCACAATTCCCCCACACTCAGACGATCTCCCTGGAGCAGTTACATTCACACAAGTTAGAGTAGAAAGATAGGAATGTTCAAACCATTTTAATATAATAATAACTAGGTATATGATTTTAAAGTAAATTTATATTTTAATGTTTATAACATTATAACAATATTATAATAATATAATAAATATTAAAACAGTTTATAAGGTGATGACATGTTACAATATTATAACAAGTGTTATACAATACTGTTATAATAATAACAATATTATAACAATTATAATAATTTAACAATATAATGTCCAAATATTATAAAATATTACGACAATAATTATATGTTGGCCAGTCATGGTGGCTCATGCCTGTAATCCCAACAGTTTGGGAGGCCAAGGTAGGAGGATCACTTGAGCCCAGGAGTTTGAAATCAGCCTGGGCAACATAAGGAGACAAATAATAATTTAAAAAATTTTAAAAATAAGCCAGGTATGGTGCTGCACTCCTGTGGTCCCAGCTACTTGGGAGGATCATCCGAGCCTGGGAGGTCAAGGCTGCAGTGAACCATGATCACCCCATTGCACTCCAGCCTGGGTGACAAAGCAAGGCTCTCTCTCTCTCTCACTGTGTGTGTGTGTGTGTGTGTGTGTGTGTGTGTGTGTGTATACATACATATGTGTGTGTTATATAACAATTATAAGTCATATAATTAATATAGTATCATTTTCCCTTAGATTCTGTCTGAAAGGAAAGGAATGGGTTCTGAGTCTGATGAACATCAGCCTATCAGAAAAGAACAAAAGACTAGAGTTTGAGGAAAAGCAAGAAGTACCCTAGAGAAGGTTAGGAGCTAAAGGAAGTAAGAATTTTTTCCAAGACCAAAAGGAAACAAGAGGATACAGTAAAGAGGAAACAGGGTCTGGGGCTGGGTTGGGCATTAGGAAAAGGTGTTCAAGAAGAGAGAGAGCGCATTGCCCAGGAAGAACTGGGTGGGCAGATCTGATAAGGGACCACCATGAGGGCTATTGGTGCTCAGGAACTGCTTGGGAGCTGGGCCATCAGCTGCAGTTGGCTCTACTTTCATTCATGGGAGTGTCACCCCTGCCTGCACCAGGGAACTCTGGTAACCATCCTCCCTTGGTGCCCACGAGGACTTCATTCCTCCAGCATCCTCCCCCACTGACTCATAGGAACACTCACTTCATCCCCAGTGAAGCTGGGGAGCCAGCTTCACTACCCAATGCACATAATACCCCAAGACACTCATGAACCGAAGGAGAGGGAGAGGACTGATGGAGTCCTAGATTGGACCCTCAGTGGAGTGGGTGTGAGGAAGCATCTCCCACCTGTACTTGGGGGTGGAGTAGGGTGCTGAATTAATCAAGAAATGTGAAAGCATTTAACTCTGTAGGAGTCTTCTCCTTTCCTCCCTTCCCTTTTTTCCCTGAGGTGGAGCAAGTTATTGACAATTCTCTTATAATATAAAATATTTAAAAATATAAGAAAGGAAATTAAAATGATTCGAAGGAAACATTGGAATGCCACAACTACATATTTACCTTCTTGCTGTTTCAAGGAAGATCCTGGTCATGATCCCATCGTTTATTGATATGTACTTCTCGCCGTGTGTTAGTTCATGAGGATTCAATCTGAGATCATGATGAGTAAATATTTAATTACCAAAGTTATAGATTAGTTTCTTGGAACAGTCTCCTGATGAGCAAGGACAGAATGTAAGCCTAACAACTTCTTTATTATCATCATACACTTATTAAATATAGTCATGGCATTTCATTTGGCATTGAATATGTCTGCATATAAAATAGCCATGAACAAATTAAGATTCATCTGAATGTGTACCAAAACCCTAGAAGAGAAAGACAAAGTTGGATGCTTATGTAGCTCATTAGGGTTACAGAGGATTCCAAATAGTATAGAATTAACTTGATAAATGGGTGAAATGCTTTAGTTGTAACACAGACATGTGTTATGTAGTAAAGTAACAACTTCTAGACAGAGACACGTTAACTAAATCTCAGTTCTGTTACCCACATTAGCTGTGTGACTTTAGGCAAGTTACTTAAGCGCTCTGTGTTTCAGGTTTCCTCATATGTCAGATGGAGATTAAATAATAGAGTGGAAAGCTCTAAATTTAGAACCTAGCACATAGCAAGTTTGCAATGAATATTAATTATTGTTGTTCTGTTTTATAAATAGTGTTTGCTACATGCCAGGAGCTGGTTTAATTACTTTTCAAAAATAATTATTTATGTGCTAGGCACTGTTTTAAGCACTGTATTGATATTAACTCATTTAATTATCATAACAGTCTTGTGGGATAGGTATCATCATCATCATCACCATCATCATCATCATCACCTCCATTTCACAGAGAACAAAAATGAAGTCCAGAGATTAAGTAACTTGCTTAAGATAATACAGCCAGAAAGAGTCAGAGCTGGGATTCAAATTCAGACAGTCTGCTTCCAGAGGCAGTGCTCTTAATTCACATGTTACTGTCTCATCATCGTCATCATCATGAACCATAAATTCAGGTTTATGCATCAGCATGAGGCATTAATGTATACATGTTATTAATTGATTATTAAAGTTTTATCTACACAATAGATGGTTTAATATGATGCGTACATTATTCTTGTAAACTAAATTACATTTTAAGTGCAAAAGTGGGCTTGCTAATGAAAAAGTAGATATAGAACCATTCTAGAAAGCTTAAAAAGATTAATAGGAGCACAAATCTGCAAGGAAAGTTAGAGTTCATTGACAGTTCCCTGTCTTTTTATAGGATGGCCAACAGATCATTCTATTAATACATCCTACTTGCCTCTCAAGTTATTATAATGACCAAATGTGAAAGCGCTTTGTAAACTGTTTTTTAAAAACAAAGCTCTGTAGAAATGTAAGCTATAATGACCTGTCTTTTATACCCTACAAGATTCAGAACAGTATTCATTTGTGTGACATATACATGCATTCACATCCTTGGGAAATTTCTCAAGGGATATATAACATTCTGTCCATGTTGGCTACCACTGGAGAAGTGGGATTTCTGCTCTGACAGGGACTTCATTTCTCTCAGATCCTTTTTACTGAGACCAAATGACGTCTTGAAGAAGTAACACAAAACACAATTGACCAGAAGGTGGCAATAAAGCATTGACATTTTCAAAAGGTTTCAGGCACAAGTTTAAGGACTAACACGGTATTGTCTATCTGAAGAGCCAAAATGTTGCCTGGAGCTTCTAATGGTCCACATTCTGGGCCTGATGTTCTTCAGATGATTATGGAATTAGAGGCCTGTGTTCAACTATGAGGAGCAACTCCCCACCTTCCCACCATCACCCCAGGTGTCCCTACCCTGGAGGAGCCCAGACAAGAGGTGACTTGAATGTAGTGAGATAAATGCCAGTGCCAGGAATGCGCAGGGAGCTCCAGGAATGCTCAGGGTGCTCCAGGAGCAGGACTATTTATCTGAAGAGTATGTCCCCATCTTGGGGCATTATGGGAGGAAATTAACATGAAACTAAGAATCCCCACTTGAGTTAACTTTATTGTGTAAGTGGAATGATTATTGTGATAGTGTAATTATGTTATTTTTAATCCTTTGGTGAAGTTTTCCTATGTACCCATTTTACTGCATCTAGCAATGTGATGTCTTCTTGTTCTTCATCTAAGGAATGGGAAAGAATGTCGGGAGAAACGGGTGTACTCTTTAATTTGGTCCCCCACACCTTCTATCTCAGGTAATCAAAGAAGAGGATCCTAAGAAGACTCCCTTACTTCTGGGAGGTGCACATTAGTGCTGGATAGAGTAGGCTGGGCCCAGGTTTGTTAGAGAAAAAATCATTCTGACCCTTATTAACATGGTAAGGAGGATCCTAATCAGAACTATTGCAATAGGTAAAAGTGTCAAGACCATTGCAATAGGGGAGAGAGACTGGGTTCAACACTGAATACGACAAGAACAAGTGGAGATTTACAGCCAAGGAGCAGGTTGGGAGTAATGGTGGATGGAAATTTACTAAGAAGAGAAATCAAAGACGGGGCATTCTTGCTAGAGTGGCCAAACAAGGCTCTTGCTGAGGGCAGGAAAGGCTGATGAGATATCAAGGGTAGGGTATGAGGAATTTGATTGACATCAACAGCGATCAAATATTGAGGGTGGGGGATTCTCTCTAAATTGACTTTGTGGGATTCTTGTGAAAACTGGGCTATGCACGTTGAGGCCTAGTTGAGAAGAGGGCTCAGGAGAGATTGACTAAAGTTTGGTCAAGGAGAGAGTCTTTGTTAGGTCCAAATGTACAGAGAGCATCAATACCTTATTTTATTATTATTATTTTTTGAGACAGGGTCTTGCTGTGTCACCCACGCTGGGGTGCAGTGGTGTGAATTCGGTTCACTGCAGCCTTGACCTCCCAGGCTCAAGCAATCCTACCACCTCAGCCTCCTGAGTAGCTGGGATCATAGGGAAGCACCACTGTGCCTGGCTAATTTTTGTATTTTTACTACAGATGGGCACTTGCCCTATTGCCCAGGACAGTACCTTAATTTAATGCAGAATCTGCTTCATAAACTGGCAGAGTTTTGATCTTCTGCCAAGTGGCTAGACAGCCACAGAGATTCAGTGGGAATATGAATGTTTGTATATTTTGCCATATATATTTTATTCCAATATAAAATTGTTAGAGAATTTATTTGCATAAACTTATAAGAACATGTGTTTGGGTACTTCTCTTTAACAGCACAGTTCTTACTTCAATTAATCTGTATATATTGATAAGCAATGTACCTCACCTGTGTTATGGCTGTGTTGCTTTTGCTGGGAACTTGAAGAACCAAGCGTGTTTATGGGAGACGTGTAGGCTGGCTTACACCCTGACTTTCAAAAACCAGGTTAATCCTTAGCTCTTTAGCAGTTCTAACTAGGATGATACAATAGCTGGAAGATTAAAATATAATTAAATAGTAATCCATAGCCTTCTGAAGACCCTTATTTAAAAAAAAAAAAAAACCACAGAACAAAGACGTGCTAAGTATCTTCAAGTTTTTATGGGGTTTAAGTATGCACATGCTTATTAAACTCTTTCTGTGTCATTAACTTTGTAGGTGCCATTCTCTTTTTTCTTTTTTTTTAGAGATGGGGTCTTACTTTGTTGCCCAGACTGGAGTGCAGTGGTGCAATCATGGCTCACTGCAGCCTCAAACTTCTGGGCTCAAGCAATCTTCCCACATCAGCCCACCTAGTAGTTGGGACCACAGGTGAATGCCACCATGCCTGGCTAACTTTATTTTTTTATTTTTTATTTTTTTAGAAATGGAGTCTTGCTATATTGTCCAATCTGGTCTCAAACTCCTGGGCTCAAGCGATCCTCCCACCTCAGCCTCCAAAAGTGCTGGGATTACAGGTGTAAGCCATCATGCCCAGCCTTGTAGGTGTCATTTTCAGTGATGGCTAATGTGAATGTAATATTGGATAATTCAGGAATTAACGCATACTGATGTAGAGAAAAGTGGTATGTGAAGCTGTGTCTGCATCTTGTGCTCACTTGTCAAATTGAATAATGTTAGCTACAGCATTATATCACAGACAAAAGACAATAATTACAAAACAGCAGACAAAGGAGCTTTAATTAATCACAGCAGATGATACCGGTGAACCAATTCATTTGAAAACATGTAACTTGTATAATTTATCCTCCCTTCCTATATGAACCATGCCATTGGCTCACCAAATGATAGATGAAGGGAAATTTCTCTTTATAGAAAGATTTCAAGTGATAAGTAAAGAAGGAATGGTGGAATTAGAATATCAGCATTTCATAGCCCCTAATAAATTAATGGACCTAAATATCAATCATCAATATCTGCAAACCAGATATTATGTGTCTCTTGACAGAGGCCCATAACAATACCTACAAATTTGTCCTGCCCCAGAATTCTAAACTGAATCTGCACGCAAGCCTCTACCAATTTATAGGAAGTCAAATATTCTCACTTGAATGGGCATATCTCAGGTTTGATCATATAATTTGAGGACCTGGAGGTGGCCAAAGGGTTGTGGAAAAGCACATGTTCCCATTCTTCCAGCTTGATCCCTCTCAGAGATTTTTGACATGACTAAGAGGTTACCCACCCGCCCCCACTACCCAGCCAAGAAAATGAAGCTCCACCTTAAATGCTTACAGGATTCACTTGAGAATCTTTTAAAATGACCAATGTGTGGTTTCACCTTGACCTATTGAAGCAGGACTTTGGAGATATGGCCTAGTACATTTCAAAAGCTGCCCAGGCAATTCCAATGGGCAACCAGGGTAAAGAATATATTTGGAGACGCACAAAAAGGCAGGATAAAATGATCATTCTACATATTTGCGTAGTAAGTTGAATTTTCAAAAACTCAACAACCTTTCCCATTGCTTCATTGACCCCCTGAAGCCCATCTATGAACCCAGAATAGGAATGGTTATCAGCATAAAAAGCAAAGCTGAAATGGAGAGGTCATTCAGAAGGGAAATAAGATAGGACCGATCCAAGCTCCAAGATGGAATCACTCAAGAGCAGGAGTGAGATCTGGCAACACCATGTAGTGAAGTCTCAAACTGGTTGGCAGGCAGTGGAAGTCTAATAGGATGATAAGGATGAGGCTCAGGAAGGTGCAGGCTGCAAGGTGAGTCAGACTGCGGGTTGCCCCATAGCAGAGGCCAGGAACCTTGAGTCTCTTGAGTCAGAGGACTGCCACAGGAAGAGGTCCAGCATGAGTTTCCTGGAAAACAGGTTGACTGTGAAGTCTTCTTTGCAGAAGCAAAGGCATCAGTGGGCCATGCATGAAGCTCTTTTGTTTCATGAGGAACACTTGCTAAGAAGAATTAGGTTCTCTCCTACTCATGTAGACACTGATGCTGTGGAAATCTGCTTTGTGAGTTAAGGTCAAAGAGGGAGATGGTAAGTCAGGAACTGAACATTTCCTGGGTACTTACCATGTGCCAAATTCTTTCACCTATTTCTTTGGTGAATTTTTTGCTCTAAACTGGGACCTCTCAGTCTGAGGGAAGGCACACATCCATGTTAGACAGATTTGGCTCACTTTGAATGTTCTAGTTTATATCCTTCCAAAATAGAGTTAATTGGGGCTCGAAGGATATTTTTTAATGTACCAGGGATTTTGTTTTGGTTTAGTTAGGATGAGACAAATAGATCAGAAGACTATTGCCATTGAAAATACAGCTTGTGGTGGGGTGCAGTGGCTCACACTTGTAAATCCAGCTCTTGGGAGGCTGAGATGGGATGATTACTTGAGCCTAAGACTTTGAGACCAGCCTGGGCAACTAGTGAGACACCATCTCTACATAAATAATAATAATAATAATTAAAATTTAGCTGGACATAGTGGTGCCTGCAGTTCCAGGTACTGGAAAGGCTGAGGCAGGAGGATCACATGAGCCCAAGAATTCAAGACTACAGTGAGATATTATCGTGCCACTGCACTCCATCCTGAATGACAGAGGGAGACCCTGTCTTAAAAAAAAAAAAAAAGAATAAATAAAATTCACAGCTCCCAAGAATAGGGGGCGAGCCACACAGGGAAGCACCAGAGTTGATCAGGAGAGAGAAGGAAGGAGGGAAAAGCTTGTATTGTGTTTCCATGGAAGGAATGGGTGAGGAAGGGTGAGCAGCTGAGCAGGCTGGGCACGCACTGGATACATTGAAGAATCTCGGCGGGCTCTGAACTACAGGGTGATCTCTGGTTAGCCAGTACCTGGGTCTGGGGTGGCTGAGGAGAAGGGGATAGTGTCCCAGGCTGCAGAAGCCTGATATAAAGAGGTGGGTGGGGTATGGGCCCAGATTGGTTGGTTTGCATATCAAAGGTATGCTCTCACAGGCAAGTTGCTTGCCATCTATAGGAATCAGCTGCGCCCTGTGAGGGACAGTTTCTCCTCAGGTCGGCAAGGGCCCAAGATGACAAAGCTTCATAAAATAAAAAAATTTAAAAAAAAAATTAAACATGATTAATACAAAAAGCCTTATTTCTAACTTCTAAAATACTGTCTATGTCAACCAACAAAGTAACTCATATAATTGGAAAGCATTGAATAAGCAACATCATCTGATTTAATCTAATTAATACTAGTAGGTAACATTTCACTAGTTTCTTCTATGTGCAACCTCTTGTGCTAAGTACTTCAATGCTTAATTGTATTTAAGACACATATTTTTATCTTGATTGTAATAGTAGTTACATGAATCTATACATGGGATGAAATGCCATAGAATTATGTAAAACCCTACCCTTGCTCCCGAAAGAAGAGTGTGTGCAAAAACTGGTGAAATTTGAGTATGAACTGAGTCTAGTTAATTGCATTGTGCCAATCAATTTCCTGGTTTTGATAGTGAACTGTAGTTATGGAAGATGTCACCATTGGGGTAAGCTAGGTGGTGGATACCTGGTACCTCACTATACTGTTCTTGCAACTTCTTATGAATCTACAATTATTTCAAAATAAAAAGTTAAAAGAAAACGCTTTGACACCAATATTATTTTGCCCATGAGGAAATTGAGGCTTGGTGAGAGGTTAAGTAACCTGCCTAAGGTCACTCAGCTAGTAAGTGACAGTGTGATTCTAACCCAGAGCCAACCTCCCATCAACATAGATTATATTATTCAACATAATCTTTAAATAAAATATATGGGATGTGTCCAGGTTCCAATATGATCTGAAAAGTATGTAAATAAATTCAATTATACGATGGTGCTTGAAAGTTAAAACTGCAGCATACTTAAAACTTAGTATAGAAATTGTGACCGGTCTGTATCAAGAAACAATGAGATGATGGCACTCCATTTTATAGGTTTCTTTCAGCAATGAATTGTAAAATGTCAACACTTTCCTTTTTACTATTGAAATACCAGAGATCAGATTAATGGTTATATAAAGGTTTTATTCATTTACCAAGAAAAATTTTAGATCTGAGTCATAAATAACAGACAATGCACTTATTTTGTACAATTTAATCCTCTCTAATGGCAAAAAAAAATCTGGCGACACATTTCCAGAATTCTAATTCCATTGTAAGTAGATGAATCATAGCACTTTGTATGACATACTTGTTAAAAAGCGTTTTCACTTCATTTAGTCTTAATTGCAGTGGCGATACGCAGTGCTGAATCGATTGAGTACTCATATCTGATCTCAAGGTCTATAAAATGTCAGAAACACATAGTAATCAGAGATCTAGTACTTTTTCTTTAACATATTATATGTCTATAGAATTAAATTCATAAATACAATCTTTACAGTTTTATTATCCACTTCATTTCATTTTCCAAATGTTCTCAGTTACTTTTACCCTTGGCTATTTCTTTTATTTGGTTTAGTGTGACATGGTCTTATAGAACTTCTGATAATTTGGTATCATAGGCATAAATAATCCAGGATGCCTGGGATACATTTTAGTGCGACTGTACTCTGACTGGATTAACGGACAGGAAGAGACTGAGATGTCCTCAGCATGTGGTTGCCATATTTCTCATTTCCTTACCCTTAACTGTCTTTACAGAGCAGGTTTTTCTGTAACAAGTAGGAAGATGGTGGCCCAGTGCGGATAAGGGCACACCGATTGTAACTGATGGTGGCCCAATGTGGATAAGGGCACATTGCACCTTCACCTTAGCCTGCAGTGATGAAAACCAGCAGTTTGGTTTCATCAGCCAATGACCACAGGTATAGCTTTTAGAATTGGTTTTTAGTTTATCTATGTAAAATGCTACACAAATTATCTGATTATCATTTTCAAAGAGAAAAAAAGGAAAGAAAGGCTAGTCTGAACTCATTAATATTTTTGAGCATTCTAATTAATAAACTTCTGTGTTACAAGTTTACCTTCATTTTTGGTCTTATTCACTGTGATGATGGCAGTTTCATAAGTGTTTCTTTACAGTTGACCTGGAGTTTGAAGATACCAAGAAACTTCTATAGACAATGGATTCTACTCAACTACTAGGTGTCTTAGAATGTGCTTGATCATTTAAGTTTCTAGTATATTCTCAGATATATATTACTTATTAAGAGAATTAGAGTCGATGAATAAGTAGAATTTTAAAAATTATATTCCATATAATTTTATTAGGGATACAGTAAAGATTCTATGTAACCAGGTACCAGGTAACTCTTCCACATCATGATGAAATTAGGGGTTGCTATAACCACTTAGGATAGTGTACATTCCTTTGATGAGTGGCCTCAAGCTAACAAGATAGTAGAAGTCAAGAAACAAGACCTCGATTGGCTTTGTAAAGACAAATATTGGGAAGTTATGCATGTGTGTATTAGTCCATTTTCACACTGCTGTAAAGAGATCCCAAGACTGGGAAGAAAAAGAGGCTTAATGGACTTGCAGTTCCGCATAGCTGGGGAGGCCTCGCAATCATGGCAGAAGGCAAGGAGAAGCAAGTCACATCTTTTTTTTTTTTTTTTGAGATGGAGTCTTGCTCTGTTGCTAGGCTGGAGTCGGCTTGCTGCAAACTCCGCCTCCTGGGTTCAAGCAATTCTCCTGCCTCAGCCTCCTGAGTAGCTGGGATTATAGGCACGTGCCACCACGCCCAGCTAATTTCTGTATTTTTAGTAGAGATGAGGTTTCACCATGTTGGCCAGGATGGTCTCTATCTCTTGACCTCATGATCTGCCTGCCTCGGCCTCCCAAAGTGCTGGGATTACAGGCAAGTCACATCTTATGTGGATGGCAGCAAGCAAAGAGAGAGCGATTGTGCAGGGGAACTCCTCTTTTTAAAACCATCAGATCTCATGAGATGTATTCACTATTGCAAGAACAGCACGAGAAAGATCTGCCCATGATTCAATTACCTGCCCCATGATTCAATTACCTCCCCATGATTCAATTACCTGCCCCATGATTCAATTACCTGCCCCATGATTCAATCACCTCCCCATGATTCAATTACCTACCACTGGGTTCCTCCCACGACACATGGGAATTTTGGAAGTTACACTTCACCATGAGATTTGGGTGGGGACACAGCCAAACCATATGAATGTTAAAAAAGAAGATCCCATGAGTTGATACTATAGGAATCTGAAAGTTAACAATTCAGTTGCCATTATTCACTCAAAAATCCTCAGCAAATATTTATTGTCTGTCTAGTAGGTGCACAGAACTTTGCTATGTCCTGAGGGAGATTCAAATACAAGTAACAGATTCTCTACTGTCAAGGAGCTTAATTTTTGTTATCATAGAGGCACACGTCTAAACAATCAAAATTAACCCAAAGGCAAAATGCTGTAGGAAAAGCACAAACAAGGTGCTGTGGGAAGAAGGAGGAAGAAGTCAGTGACTCCTGACAAGATGCTGACAATCACAAAACAGAGGACCAGAATGAGAAGGTGACCCAGTCACCAGTTAGGAGGCACTTGGAGGCGGCCTTCAGTGCCACACCCAAACCAAGCCAAAGGTCTCTGATGCCAGAGCTAAGTCCCATCTTCTACTTGTATCAATTACCAACTACAAGCTGAGACTCTTGAACAGTCTTCAGTGTAAACAAATTGAAACAAACAAGAGTTCGTGCTGATGTCTGGTATTGAGTGTTCATCAGGCAGTATATGTACATGTTGTCATTTGATGGATGAAATACATTTCTTGTCATTGGAACCAATATACCCAGCAGAATTCCCAGCGTATTGCAAGCAGCCAGGCAAGGCCAGCAGACAAGCTGAAAAAATGTGTGGAAGACAATTTAGGAGAAATAGAGCCTGGGCACCCATTTTAGGGAAGCAGAAAATGAAACTTTTTCTTTCTGGGGACTCCATCTGGGCTGAGCTGTTTAGGTGTCCAATGGACTAAGACACAGAGGCAGTGAAAATGGGAGACAGTGGCTATGACTGTGGAGGAGGCATGCATCTCATCACCAAATTACACTGCAGATATCCAGCAATGGACCAGTTGTTACTTAGCAGCACACTCTGCATTCTCTCTCCTGCTTATCGGTTTCATATAGAGATAAACGTTTTCTGCTCAATTTCAGACCCTGTTGCAAATTTTCCTCTGTCCTGGAGTGCAATCACATGGTTAAAAAGAGGATGCAAATGGAATCAATAATTACCAAAATCATTAAAGTCCAAAGGATCTTGATAATGAATGTTCTCTTACAAATAAGCAGCTACAGGGATTAGCAGATGGATGTATCAGAATCTTAAGAATATTATAAGAACATCAAATAATAATCTCATCCTTGTCTCACTCCATGCTTACATTATTGTTCATCTTACTTTCCTTGATTAAGAGGCTCAAGAATGCTTTTCATCATTTTTCCAGTGCTAAATATATACCTATTTTGCAGCAAAACATAAGGACTGAAATCATTTTCTGATATGTAATACCGAGTAGGATGCCAATTGTAGCAACTTATCAAAGGTTGAATTTTCCAATTCCAAGGAATAAAATTAAATGTAATAAAGGTGTGAACAAAGGAGTAGCTAAGCACTGTGAGTGCAGCACCCCTCAGGGTTTATCCTACTTTTCAAGCCCTCACAATAAACCTGTCCATTCTGCTTAGCAAGCAGGCTGATCTCTTTCCCGAGCTGGTAAGAAAGTGTTACCTTGCTGTTTATCTGTAGTAACATATAACTCTTTTGCAACTGGAGATAGCTCATTCATTTCTATTACAGCTTACCTTGCCACTAAAATATGCACAGAAATGACTTTCTTTATGCAGTGATGTTTTCTTGGGGAAGGTTATTTGACAATAGGATTGTTTCCTCACTGAGTTGCATTATAATTTCATCAATGAGTTCAATGATCTTTTTCTAATGGCAATAATTTGATTTTTAAATTTTTAAATTTTAAAATGTTCTAGTATTAAACTGCTTATTTAGGGTGGATCATATGTGTGTATGCAATTTTTCCAATTATTACGAAGTACCCAAAAAAATGTAAAATGTGGTCTCTGTTCCTCCAATAGCCTGAAATCTAATTATGGAAGCAAGACATACAGACTTTAAACAATTGACAAAGTAGGAAAACAGTGATTGAGTGCAGACAATACCCTCAAAGGAAGGGATGGGAGTAATCTGGAAGAAATAGGTCTTCAGCTGGACTTGACTGACAGAGAATATTTAAGTAGGTGAAAGGGAATGAGGAGGGCATTTCGGGCAGTAGGCCAGCCTGGGAACATATCTGGAACCACTACTGGGCCTGGCTTAGAGGTGGGAGGATTGTTTGGCAAATAGAAACACTGGGCATGTACACATGTAGTGATTTACCCATATGTTAGTTTTCTATTGCTGCTATAACTAATTACCACAAATTTAATGGCTTAAAACAACACAAAGCACAACAACATGGCACATGTATACATATGTAACAAACTGCACGTTGTGCACATGTACCCTAAAACTTGAAGTATAATAAAAACAAATAAATAATTAATTAATTAAAAAATAAAAAATAAAAAACAACACAAAGGTATTCTCTTACAGTTGTGTAGGTTAGAAGTCTAACACGAGTCTCACTGGACTACAGTCAAGGTGTTGATAGGGCTGTGTTCCTTTCTGAAGACTCTAGGGCACAATTTATTTCCTTGCCTTTTCCATTTATTTGCTTGTGGCCTCTTTCTTCATCTTCAAAGCTAGCAACGTTGCATCTCTCTGACCTTTCTTTCAGAGTCACATCTCCTCTCTCTACAACCTGGAGAGCTTCTCTGTTTTTAAGGACTCATGTGATTACATGAGGCTTACCAGGATAATTCCAGAGACTCTTCCCATCCCAAGGTTCTTAACTTTAATCACATCTGAAACATTCTTTTTGCCACATAAGGTACCATATTTAACATTGCAAGGATTAGTATGTGGACTTTTTTTGGAGGGAGAACATTATTCTGCCTACTACCTCATTTGCAAAATGTTTTTATAAGTGATATCATGGAGAGAACTCGGAAGTTGATAAGAAAGGTAGATGATAAAAGGCTTTGAATGTTATGATGGGATTAAATGCCATCCACACTGGGCAGCCCTTGAGTGTGAACAAGAAAGAGATATAATGATATCAGTGCTTTAAGATGATCTGTATGAAATTAATGCACGGGTTGGATTGAAGTGAAAGCGATAAGCTACTCTAAGGAGAGCAATTAGCAGGTTATTGCTATAATTCTAAGTTTGGGTGTAAGAACCCAGACTAAAGCCATAATGGGAATTAGAGAAAAATTTGGGAAGAAGATTCAAGAAACTTAGAAACTAATTAACTTACAGGGGATGAAGAAAAGGGATGGACATTATATTAATTCTTTCTCTCCTCTCCTGTCAGGTAGGCAATGATCAGCAAACTGGTACTTTAGACCAGTAGAAAAGCCATTGCTTTAAAGGATCTTGCAGTGAAAATTTTTGCAAAGACAAAAAGCTTTTAAAAATCTCACATACTAGCATATTATGATATGAATAATATGCTAGTATATAAGTCAATTTTATGCACAAAACACACATACTTGAGAATAAGTAGCACATTAAAATAATAGTTTTTCTGTGTAGCC
Source organism: Homo sapiens (assembly GCF_000001405.40). NCBI lineage: Eukaryota > Metazoa > Chordata > Mammalia > Primates > Hominidae > Homo > Homo sapiens. The sequence goes on along the minus strand of NC_000005.10, from coordinate 77,004,975 downwards.
AGTGCAACTCTAAAAACAACCTTTTGTAAAAGTCATTGAGAAAGTTTGGGTTTCCATGAAAGAAAGGTTTAAAAAAGTTTCATTTTCCAGAAAGCTAAACCCTATTATAAGCTTCCTTGGAAAGTGTTTCCAGTGAAAAAGAGAGAGAAGGGAGAGGTTAATAACTTTGGGAAATGAGGCTCCCTAATTGTCCACTTTCAGTTAACTCATAGAGCAGTCTTCCTTGGTTGGGGCACATGGTTCGGGAAATATCTGTGTGACCTCAAATACAGGGGTCTGCCCAAGACCCAGGCAGCCCTGTTCATCAGGAGCCCGTACTGGAGCCAATCATCCTATCAAATTTGGCCCTACTGACTCAGGATTCAGGTTACTTCATTTCATCTTCACCAACAGAAAAGCTAGAATTCAAGCTAAAGGTACGGTAGCCAAAAAGATGTGAACAGAGCAGAAAAGGGCAAAGTTATGCCAGACAGGATGCAGATGCTTGTGTGTGTGTGTGTGTGTGTGTGTGTGTATGTGTGATGCATATGCATGTATATGTATATGTGTGTGTATTTGTATCTTTGTATGTGATATTTATATGTATATATGTGTGTATATTTACATGTATGTGTGCTTGTATCTTTGCACCATGTTTCTGTTATAAAACACTGAATGATGCTTGATTAAAGTAACAATACAATACTTTAAATTGCTGCTTTTCTTAAAAGTCTATGACTACATTAGCATAGATTCAAAAAATTTGGGGATGTTTTTTACATTATATGAATTTTTAAGTAGTTATCCATTCAATAACTACTAATCACAGGCTTTACCAATTTGCTGTGGAACAATATAAGGAACTTCACTTATTATCAGTTTATTTCTGGCAGGTAATATTAATGCCTCAGAAGACTTTCACAGATATTTAAGTCATCAGCAATATAGATTGAGGCCAGGTGCGGTGGCTCATGCCTGTAATCCCAGCACTTTGGGAGGCTGAGGAGGGAGGATGGCTTGAGCCCAGGAGTTCCAGACCAGTCTGGGCAATGTAGTGAGACCCTGTCTCTACAAAAATTACAAAATATCTATGTATATAGAGAGAGAGTGAAAAAAGCAAGTTGTAGAATATGTAGAGTATGATTGTGTTTTTGTAAAATAAAAAAGCTATACAAGTGAACGTGTGTGCATTGATCTCTGGAGAGAAAGAACTGACTCAGGCAGGGAGAGTATGGACCCTACACTTTTTCTTTATAATGGTTTATACCATTTAACTTATATACAGAGAGAGTATGTTTATATGTGTGTTATTTTTCTAAATGATTTTTTAGTCTAAAAAAAGAGAAAAAGAGTTGTTGTATTGTAAACATTATTTGCAATTGTTCAAAATAAACTTTTCTAGATATGTGTAATTAAGTAGTCAAGACCAACAGAGTGATGCTGTCTGTGTTATTGTCCAGTCAGGCTGACCACAAGAGTCAAGGCTTCATATCTGCCTCCTCATATCTAGTGTTCTATAAATAGTAGGCAACCCACAATACTTCAAATCGCTGCTTTATCAGGATATGCCCTCCACAAGTATCAGAGTATGCTCCTCAGGCAGTATGGCTGAATAATCACATGAATCTCACCCCACAAAGCTGATCTTTGAATTAACTGTAAGTACTTCATATTAACTCAGCCCAATAAGTATATTAAAACTAATTGTTCACCAGGAATATAAATGCTTAAAGTGTGTGTAATTTCCAAGAAGTTGTACTAGCCAAATCCAATAAATATGACTTGATCTGAAATTTGGCAAAATTCCTAAGTGAAGATATACAAAGCTATGACTGTTTGATGATAGCATCTTTCTCCCAGTACCGAAACCTGTATCTTTGGACTGATTCAGTTCAGTTTAGTGCAATAGAGATAAAGGCTTAGTTCCTTTTCTCTGATAATCTTTGAATCTGGCCCATCCTTTGTTCTTCTTGACCCTAGTCTCCAACAGATCACTGAATTCTGCTGAAGGTAGGTCCTTTTTTCCCCTAAGCATTTATCCTGCCATGCCTGGGTGACTCAACTGCCTTCTCACTTATTACCTTGCCTCCAGTGTCTTCCCCAATCCCCTCCACTTTGTGATCAACTAAATCTTTTGTTTTGTTTTTGCGACGGAAACTTGCTCTGTTGCCCAGGCTGGAGTGCAATGGTGTGATCTCGGCTCACTGTAACCTCTTCCTCCCTACAGCCTCTGCCTCCAGGGTTCAAGCGATTCTACTGCCTTAGCCTCCTGAGTAGCTGGGAATACACGCACCCACCACCACGCCCGGCTAATTTTTGTATTTTTAGTAGAGACGGGGTTTCACCATGTTGGCCAGGCTGGTCTAAATCTTGTTAAAATACCTTTGCATTTCTTATTATTAAAAATGTATTATAAAGATAGAGGAATTTTAAAAGTTTGGTACTTAAGCAGAAATAGCCCAGAAATAAATTCATGTTAAAGATGTTATTTTAAGTTCATGGGAGTAAAATATAGTTTACACTATAGATGGTGTTGGGTTAATTGGCTGGTCATTTAGAAGAAAAGAAGTTGGGCTGGGTGTGGTGGCTGACGCCTATAATTCCAGCACTTTGGGAGGCTGAAGTGGGCAGATCACTCAAGCTCAGAAGTTCAGGACTCACCTGAGCAACATGATGAAACCTGTCTCTACAAAAAATACAAAAATTAGTGGGGTGCAGTGGTACATGCCTGTATTTCCAACTTCTTGGGAGGCTGAGGTGAGAGGATTGCTTGAGCCCCAGATGTCAAGGCTGCAGTGAGCTGTGTTCGTGCCACTGCACTTCAGCCTGGATGACAAAGCAAGACAGTGTCCCAAAAAAAGAAAAAAAAAAAAAAAAGAAGTCATATCTTACTCCTTACAGGAAAATCAATTCTGGATGAATGAAAAATTTAAATATAAAAATGAAACCATAAAGGTACTAGAAGAAAACATGAGTAAAACTTTTTAAAATGAAATATTGGATTGGGGAAGAACTTTCTCAGATTAATATAAAATCTAAATCATAAAAGAAAAATACTTAATAAATTTTGCTACTTAAAACTATAAAATGTTGACACGGCATAAATATCTAAATAAAGTTAAAAGACAAATTACAACTTGAGAAAAATATTTGTCACATACATGACATAAAAGGGCTAATTTTCTTACCAAAGAGCTCTCGTCGATGAGAAAAACATCAACAACCTAATAGAAAAATGGACAAAGAATATAATCAGTTACAGAATTACAGTCAGTTAGTACCTGAAAATCTCCTTGACCTCCTTCATAGTCAGGGTTCCACATCAAACAACAATGATATAGCACCATTACTTGTCAAATTGGCAAGTGTCTCTGAATATAATGGGAGTTTTTAAGTATTTAAAATTTTAAAATGTATTCATTGTTGTGATTGCAAAGGAGATTATGCCACAGTGGTTTTAGTAAGTCAGGATTATCTTATTAAAAGCTAACTCTTTTATTAAAACATCTTTCTTGAATTGCAGATAAGATGCTTGAGAACACCGACAATGAGAAACGACACTAATGTGATATTTGTAACAGGCAGACAGACAAACCCCCCACAGAGGTCAGTGGGAAGGAGGAAATACACAAGCAGCAAATCCTCAGACCACTATGGCTAGGCATCTGCTTCTGCCCAACTCCAGGAAGCTACCTGCCACGTTTTACTTGGTTCACAGTCTTCAGAGGAAGAAGCTGTGGGAAGAGGGCTGTGAAGTCCAGAAATTGCTGCTAAGTGCATCTTTAGAATATAGTACCATTTCTGAACCTCCCTACCACAAACAGTCCCTCAGGCCAAAGGGAGCAGTAAAAGTGCTTCCAATGCAAAGGATCCACCAGGGAAATCCGGCTGTTTAAACCAGTGCTTCTTAAAATGGGGTCCCTGGTCCAGCAGCATCAACATCACCTGGGTACTTGTTAGAAATGCAAATTTTCAGGTCTCACCAAGGTCTACCGAAACAGAAACTCTGGGGGTATGTTTTTAAAACAAGCTCTCCAGGTGATTCTGATGCAGGATATAGTTTGGGAACCACTAGTTTGTTTGTTTATTTATTTATTTATTTATTATTCATTCATTTTTTTCTGAGATGGAGTCTCACTCTGTCGCCAGGCTTGAATGCAGTGGCACGATCTCGGCTCACTGCAACCTCCGCCTCCCAGGTTCAAGTGATTCTCCTGCATTGGCCTCTCCAGTAGCTGGGATTACAGATGCCCGCCACCATCCCTGGCTAATTTTTGTACTTTTAGTAGAGGTTGGGTTTCACCATGTTGGCCAGGGTGGTCTCAAACTCCTGACCACAAGTGATCCACCTCCCAAAGTGCTGAGATTACAGGCGTGAGCCACCATGCCCGGCCTAGAGAACCACTAGTTTCAATCAACATTTTTGTCCACTTTCCTGATGATGACAATCACTTAGATGGGTGGCAGGGAGACAGGGAGCCTGTAAAAAGTGCATACTCCCAGGTCCCACCTCAGACCTACTCAGTCGGAATCTGAGGAGCGGCCTGGGAATCCAGATCAATAACAACTAACCCAGGTGAATCCATAACTAGGGATGTTTGGAAAACTGGCTTAAGCGATTCCTATTACCAGATGCACAATGTTAGAAAAACACACTTGCCTTACGCTCCAAACACACCAATGTTTATTTTTCTTGTAAACAAACATCCAGGCTTGCCTTACAGCTCAAACGAGATTCTTTCAAATTACCTATTAAACAGCAGCCTTGGCCGGGCACGGTGGCTCACGCCTGTAATCCCAGCTCTTTGGGAGGCAGAGGTGGGTGGATCACCTGAGGTCAGGAGTTCGAGACCAGCCTGGCCAACGTGGTGAAATCCCATCTCTACTAAAAATACAAAAATCAGCTGGGCATGGTGGCAGGCACCTGTAATCCCAGCCACTTGGGAGGCTAAGGCAGGAGAATGGCTTGAACCCGGGAGGCGGAGGTTGCAGTGAGCCAAGATCATGCCACTGCACTCCAGTGACAGAGTGAGACTCCCTCTCAAAAAAAAAAAAAAAAAAGAAAACAAATAATTAAATAGCAGCCTCTTCAGGACATGTTCGGCACCTCTAACCCGCAACCGTGTTATGTAGTGTTCTGTATCTCAGAGATCTTAATTCAACAGTATTCATAATAAGAAACTGTAGATCATTGAATGTTTGAAACCTGGTGGAATTTGGGAACATGGTGCTGCTTATCACCCTGAGTAATAGCAGGCAGCTCTAAGGGCCTGGGGTGAGAAGCATCTGGAGGGAAGAGTTACAATTTCCTCCATTGAGTCATACCCTGTAGACGATTGAGTGGTTGCATCACTCCTTACTTGCTAAGAAGAAGAGAACTTCCCGAGGCCCAACCTTCCATTCCAAACTCCCTCATCCCCTGCCTTAGGCTGTGGGGACAGGAAAGTGGAAGTGTGCTGGGTGAATATATTCTAGATCTTAGCACTGGGTAAGCACCACATTCTGAAAGCACTCTGAGAAGCTCCTGCCCTGGCAAAGCCCAAAGGGCTCCCAGCTTCTCTAGGAAAGCAACCACAAGCTAATGGAGACTGAAAGGCAGCCCAGTCCAGAAGCTCAGAAGATAGTATATTCAGGAAAATAGAGGACAAAACTAATTTAACTTAAAGAATATCTTTATATTTCCTATTCATTATATATACTATGAAATAAGCAAAGTCTCCAGCAGTTTTCTTCCAGTTCAGCTGTGCTTCCAAGTTCAGGTGGCTGGTCTGTAGTGTAGTATGTGACCAGAGAGATCACAGGTTCCAAAGTCAACATTGTTGTCTTGAGAAACATGAGCAGCTAAGAGCATCACTGTTGTAGGAGAAGAGGCCACAATTGTTACAATCAGCCAGTGTTTCTGAATAGCATTGCCCCGTGGACCACTCCAGGGAAGTCTGGGGGCCTATTTATTCTCTGCATAATCTGGTGCAGTCAGCTCTCTTCGATAGCAGAAAGAAACGTCATAATGGGAAGACAGCACAGGGCAGGGATGCAATGATTCTGGGGAATTCCTGGGGGTGGGAAGATGGAGGAGACAACTGTTATACAGTTGCTTTTGAAGGAGAAATACCAAGAGGAACCTCTGCCTCCACTTGCTGAGTGAGTTGGTGTTTTGCTTTTCATTCTGGGCTTATAAATATCTCAGTCCTTTTTTTTTTAATAGTTTCAACTTTTATTTTAGTTTCAGGGGATACATGTGCAGGTTTGTTACCTGGGTATATTGTATAATGCTGAGGTCTGGGGTACGAGTGATTCCATCACCCAGGTATTGAGCATGGTACACAGTAGTTAGATTTCCAACCCTTCCCCTCTCCTTCCCTCCCTCCTCTTGTAGTCCCCAGTATCTATCGTTGCTATCTTTATGTCCATGAGTACCCATTGTTTAGCTCCCACTTATAAGTGAGAACATGTGGTATTTGGTTTTCTGTTCCTGTGTTAATTGACTTAGGATAATGGCCTCTAACTGCATCCACGTTTGCTGCAAAAAGCAGGATTTTATTCTTTTTTATGGCTGCGTAGTATTCCACAGTGTATATGTACCACATTTTCCTTATCTAATCCACCCTTGATGGGCACCTAGGTTGATTCCATGTCTTCACTATTGTGAACAGTGCTGTGATGAACATACACGTACATGTGTCTTTTTGGTAGAATGATTTATTTTCTTTTGGCTATATACCTAGTAATGGTATTGGTGGGTTAGACCATTTTTCAAAAGCCACTTTTCCAGGCTAATTTGTTCTAGGAGATAAAAACTATCAAGTTAAACATGGAGCTGTACCATTGCACAAGTTCACATGGGGGATACCTCAAAGCTGCACTTCAAACTCTCATCCCTTCCTGGGTTTCTCCACTGCCATTCAATAGGCAGGGAATTTAAGATGTTTTTGGTGTAATACCTTTATTCCTGTCTAATTTTACACAACTTGATACATTTTACCCAGTAAGAGCACTAAAAATATAAATAAGCATCTGAAAAAAAAAAGGACAAAGTGTGGCTCCATCCAAAATGAATATAAACTCCATGAGGACAAGGATGTCAGTTTTATTACATAATCCCCAGTGCCTGCCACATAGCAGGTGCCCTATAGGCATTTACTGTGTAAAAAAGATGACACCCTGGTCAAGAGTAGAAGAAGAGGTAATTGACAAACAACAATGGATTCTGCCCTCCACGTTGACACCTGTTTCATTTGCTATACTGAGGAGAATCAACAAATGCCTACATTTGTTTGGGTTTCATGAAATTCCTTTGCATTATTTTTCATAAACTGAATATTGCTTTGTCACTACATATACTTGTTTCACTTTATTGGCACTTTTGTCCTTCACATTTGCTTCAAGTGTCTCCCAGAATATAATGGAACCCTGGGTGTCAGGTGCCCACCCACATCCCTGGGAAATAGTGAAGCTGAGATCAGTAACACAGACATGGAAGGAACCTTAGCCATCATGCAGTTCAAAATTCTTGACATAAAGACAAAGATGTTGAGTTCCAGAAAGAAACCATCTGCCTGGGCATCCATGGACTATCTCGCTTATTCAGACGCATCATGGCCCACTAATATCATACTAATATCATAGTTACATTAGCATCGCTCCTTTGGCTTTCCAGCTAAACAAAATGTGTTATTCAGGAAAGTTGATTGGCACTGGAATCTCTTAAAATCTTTGCTTCCCATGCTCATTTTAGAGTGGGATTTTTGATGATGGGTTTATGAATAAGTTTAGAGTGGGATTTTTCATATGAATTTGGATGATGAATAAGTTTATCCAGTGAGGTTTATGAATGGAATGCAGAACAAATTAGTTCTAAGTGGGAATGGAAAGAGATGGAAAAGGTTTTAATTCACTTACAAGAAAAAGAAAAGTTTAACAATCCCTTTGGAGAGGCAGCATAGCATAGACAGCAATGACGTGGGACCCAGAGCCTGAGTTGAAAGCCCAGCTCTGCCACTCACTAGCTGTGTTATTCACTTGCTGTATGTCTTGGTTTCCCCATATGTCCTTACCTGTAAATGGGAAACAATAACAGTGGGGCTTGTTATTTGCAAAGAACTCAGTACAGTACCTGTGTGTCTGAGGATTCTAATGTGCAACCAAAGATGCAAACCCCTGCTGTATATAATCGATCCTATTGATCAAAGTCTAACAAGTTCTCTTTTCTTTTTTTTTCTTGAGATGGAGTCTTGCTCTTGTCACCCAGGCTGGAGTGCAATGGTGTGATCTTGGCTCACTGCAGCCTCTGCCTCCCAGGTTCAAGCGATTCTCCTGCCTCAGCCTCCCGAGTAGCTGGGATTACAGGCACCCACCACCATGCCCGGCTAATTTTTGTATTTTTAGTAGAGACGGGGTTTTGCCATGTTGGCCAGGCTGGTCTTGAACTCCTGACTTCATGATCTGCCTGCCTCGGCCTCCCAAAGTGCTGGGATTACAGGTGTGAGCCACCGCGCTCAGCCATAAGTTCTCAATATATGGAAGCTATTGTTTTATTCTCTTCAGGTCTCTTCAGGTAAAACTTTGCTTACATTTGTCACTTATTTCTAGAATAAAACATATTCAGATCTTTGGTGCATGATCTGCTAGTCTTAACCAATTTTATTGTCCTTCTACTTTGACCCAGAGTGGAGGGATGGAGAAGGCGCTGGGGAGAAAAGCCTCCTGGGATGCCATGTGTGGTGCTCGCGCTAAGGGCAGGCTTTGTAGAAGTTAAATTACATTTTGAAAACACTCATTCTAATCTATTTTAGGATAGTTTTAGAATTCAGTTTAGTGTTTATTGTTATTACTTTAGAGTTTTGGGGGGATTCATCTAGGGAATGTAAATATGGAGTCTCACAATGCAGTTGAGTAATTTAACTAAACAAATATTTGAACTGATATTGAATGCAAGACAGTGTCACATACAAAGGTCTGAGGGATATGAAGATGACTAAGAAACAGTCCTCACTCTTGGGTTTAAACAAGAAAGTCTACTGAACAGGTAGCTGAATCCGTCTAATGACATTCCTACATAAAAATAGGTGAGGAAAGAATAATTTATAAAAGGGTATTGGATTGGCATGAATTCCTTCCAAATGTCTCTTATCTACTTTGCTTCTAACGTCATAACATTATCTTAAACATCCATCTTTGAGGTTCACTGCCACAAATATCCTCTGGTGAACTGAGAAGAAAATTACATGATGTGGAGATTATTCTGAGTGTCATCTAAAAGAAATGAAGGTTTACTTTCTGATTCAAAAAATAAAGTGACAGTTCCATAAAATAAAGTGTGTTCTCTTCTCCAGCTCACAAGGATATAAAGTTCCAAAAGGAAGAGCATTTTCATGTTAGCTGTCTGAGGAATATCCAATAAGACTTTATTTTAAAATTTATTTTTTAAAAATCTTTACATACCTGTAGTTCCAATATTCATTCAGGAGTTTTATTGTAGGCATTAATTGGTTACTCAGACCAGGCACAGTATCTCATGCTTGAAACCTCAGCTATTGTGGAGGCTGAGGAGGCAGGATAGCTTGAGGCCAGGAGTTCAAAACTGTACTGGGCAACATAGCAAGACCCCCCATCTCTATAAATAAATAAATAAATAAATAAATTTAGTTACACAGAACTATGGAAAAAACTATATATAAAACTAGAAAAATGTATCTTGAAATGAAAACATTTTATTACCTATTATTATGACTTTTTCATGTGCATTCTATAGTAGTTTGAACTAGTTTATATATACAATGCTGTTGAACTAGTTTATATATACACTGCTAGTTTATACATACAATATACAATGTGGAGTTCTAAATGGAAGCCTTCAGTGGTAGGTAGCTAGAGAGTAGTATAGCAACTCAGGCATTTTGAGTGCAAATTCTAGTGTGGCATTAACTCACTATTAATCTTTCCACGAATCTTTTTTTTTTTTTTTTTTTTGAGACAGAGTCTCGCTCTATCGCCAGGTTGGAATGCAGTGGCGTGATCTCAGCTCACTGTAACCTCTGCCTCCTGGGTTCAAGCAATTCTCCTGCCTCAGCCTCCCGAGTAGCTGGGATTACAGGCATGTGCCACCACACCCAGCTAATTTTTGTATTTTTAGTAGAGAAGGAGTTTCACCATGTTGGCCAGGATGGTCTCGAACTCCTGACCTCGTGATCTGCCCACCTCGGCCTCCCAAAGTGCTCGGATTACAGGTGTGAGCCACCACGCCCAACCCTCCACAAATCTCTTAATCCTGTGTTTTCCTGTGTAATTAGGTGAAGATACCCATATTCACCTGATTCACAGAGTTAAGTCTATGCACACTGTAGAGAGTACATAAAGTAAGATGCATGAACGTCCTTTATAAAGCGTTAATGCAAATAGAATTACTCACTATACCTATTAGAGCACAGCATGTGTGCCAAGCAAACTAAATCATACTAATACAGTGGATACAAATATTATGCTATGTTGAGTACATTATATACAGGATCTGACTCTGCCTATCGTAGTGACATCCAACGAAAGCCTTGTTGACCCATATTATATGACTCATATTAAATAAAACGCTTAATTTTCTTTACTAATCACATCCATTCATTCACTCTATATTACTGTAAATCTTTCCTATGACAGCACAACCGTGAATAAGATAGACAGGGTCCCTGCCTCCTATAGCTTGCCTCCTGGAGGACAACTTCCTATAGACTTGTCTTTCTTTAGCTTTAGTGTGCATATGAATCATCTGAAAATTTGACTTAAATGTGGATTCTGACTCAGTCTAGGGTTGGGTCTGAGGGTCTGCTGCTCCAGAACTCCATTTTGAGCAGCAAAAAATGAGGTAAACATTGTGTTAACCTTCCAGGTAACATGATGTCTTAACTAAATGAAAATATCCTTCTTCAGAAGAAAAGAGCCCTTAAGGACGGACAATAATATTGGAAATGTCAGTAGGTGGCAGAGGAAGAGGAAGTGGAGACACATGAGCAAATGGACTTTCTGTGACCTCTCAATAAAAAGGCTGGCTTAGGCCAGGTGTGGTGGCTCACACCTGTAATCCCAGCACTTTGGGAGTCCAAGACGGGTGGATCATGAGGTCAAGAGATAGAGATCATCCTGACCAACATGGCAAAACCCCATCTCTACTAAAAAAACAAAAATTGGCTGGGCGTGGTGGCACGCGCCTGTAGTCCCAGCTATTTGGGAGGCTGAGGCAGGAGAATCGCTTAAACCCAGGAGGCGGAGGTTGCCATGAGCCGAGATCATGCCACTGCACTTCAGCCTGGCGACAGAGCAAGACTCCATCTCAAAAAAAAAAAAAAAAAAAAGGCTGGCTCAGAGCCCAGGAAGTAGAAGACTCACAGGCAGTGCTCTGCTCCAAGTTCTCCAGGAGAAAATCTTTGCCCATAGGAAGGCTGCTTTTTTTTGTTTTTGTTTTTGTTTTTGTTTTGAGACAGGGTTTCACTCTGTCACTCAGGCTGGAATGCAGTGGCGCTATCTCGGCTCACTGCAACCTCCACCTCCCAAGCTCAAGTGATCCTCCCATCTCAGCCTCCTGAGTAGCTGAGACTACAGGCACGTGCCACCACATCTGGCTAATTTTTGTATTTTTTTGTAGAGACAAGGTCTCACTATATTACCCAGGCTGGTCTCGAACTCCTAAGCTCAAGTGATCTGCCCACCTCGGCCTCCCAAAGTGCTGAGATTATAAGCATGAGCCACTACGCCAAGCCAGGAAGCCTACTTTGATCAATAGGATCAATTACATACAGCAGAGGTTTGCATCCCTGGCTGCACATTAGAATCCCACACCAAGCTTTGGTGAGGGCAGGTGCCAGGCGTCAGTACTTTGAAAGTTCTCTAAGTGATTCTAATGTGCAGCTAGGACTGAGAAACACTATCTCCTAAGTATGGATGTTCAAGAATTGTTCTTATTTCAGGATATTTTTTATCACTTTATTTAAAGGTATATTGTTAGATTATAACTAAGTACAATTTGTTTTTATGAGTTTTTGTAAATCTTTTTATCTACATCAAGCTTGTCCAACCAGCGGCCCATGGGCCATGTGGCCCAGGACTGGTTTGAATGAGATCCAGCACAAATTCATAAATTTTCTTAAAACATTATGAGTTTTTTTGCAATTTTTTTTTTAGCTCATCAGCTATTGTCAGTTTAGTGTATTTTATGTGTGGTCCAAGACAATTTTTCTTCTTCCATTGTGGCCCAGGGAAACCAAAGGATTGGACACCCCGATCTACATACATAGGTAAACCAGATAAACATCCTTTTACATAGCATTTATCATAATTTTTAGTTCGGAAAATATGAAAACTATATGGGAAAATAATATCTGTCATATATATGGCAAACATTTACTATCATTAACATATAAAGAGTTCTTTGAAACCTTCAAGGAATAGACAAACACAATAGAAAAATGGGCAAAAGAAATGAACTGGTAGATCAAAAAGGAAAAAAAATGCGTGTGACTAATCAGCTTTTAAAGATTTAACTTTATTACTAATGAAATAGATGCAAACTAAAAGGATAAGACTCATAAAAGATAGAGCATAAACCAAAAAATTGGAAGAAAGAAACTATGGAAGGAGATGAAAACAAGAAAGGGGAAAAAAAGGCATCAATATCCTTAGAGAAGGAAGAGAATATCCTATTCTTGAAACAAAAAAACTCTAAGTCACTAAACGTGCTGTCTTATTCACTGGGATTCACACTGTGAAAGCCTTCAGCCACCATATAAAGGGCCTCACTGCCCTGACGCTGCCAGGCTCTGAGGTAGCCCATGTGGAAAAACCACATGGAGAGGCCTTGGGACTATATGTAAAGAGAAGGATGCCCAGGCCAGGTGCGGTGGCTCATGCCTGTAATCAGAGCACTTTGGGAAGCCGAGGCTGGTGGATCACTTGAGGCCAGGAGTTCGAGACCAGCCTGGCCAACATGGTGAAACCCTCTCTCTACTAAAAATACAAAAATTAGCCAGTTGTGGTGGCGGGCGCCTGTAGTCCCAGCTACTCAGGAGGCTGAGGCATGAGAATCGCTTGAACCTGAGAGGCAAAGGTTGCAGTGAGCCAAGATTGCACCACTGCACTCCAGCCTGGGCAACAGAGTAAGATTCTGTCTCAAAAAAAAAAAAAAAAAAAAAAAAAGAGAGAGAGAGAGAGAGAGAGAAAGAGATGCCTGGTCAGCTTCAGCTGCTCCATACTCCTGCCATCCCAGCCCCAGCCACCATCAGACTACAACCATGGGAAGACACTGAGCCAAAACCTGCCAGTTGAATCCTTTCCAAATCATACACAGAAACTGTGAGAGATAATAAAATAATTATTGTTGCTTTAGGGTGGTTTTTAGGCCGGTAATTGATTATCAGAAGAGAATTTGGTGCCTTAAGTAAGGTGCTGCCATAAGAGAAGCCTAAAGCAAATGGCATTGGCTTTAGGACTAGGTGGTGGAGGAAACTAGAAGGGACCTGAGGGAACCATTAGTGGAATCACCCTACTGAGTGCTTCTCAAATACCCAACTCATAGTAACCATGAGAGTTAATAAAATGATGACTGCTGTTTTAAGCCAGTATATGTTGAGATGTTTTACTACATAGTAATAGATAACCAGAATACCCCACTTATGGCACCAAATTCTAGATTGGTTACACTATTCAAAAGGAGAAGCAGAACTACCATGAGTGAGTGACACATAGGGATAGATATGCAGATGTGGGAGGTGGTTAAGCCATCTATGTAAGAAGGCAGCTTCTGCTTCTGGTGTTGGGCTTGAAATCAGCAGACCCAGCACTTGGGAATGAACGGTGAATATGAAGCAAGGACAAACTGAAACCTGGGAGGAGAATGTGGAACTCGGGATGTAACTAGTTCTACGGGTTCTAGAACAGACTGCCAACCTTAATGATGTCAATAACCTGCAGGATAAGCTCGTGCCCTTCCCTGCAGAGCTGTACATATCTACAGAGGGAACTAGCAGATTAGCAACAATGTGCATGAGCTGCAAAAGCCACTAGCCCTGCATCACACTCTACTATCAACAAAACGGCTGCAGCTGCATTTCTACCTTCCATCAATTTCCACTCATACATTTCTCCAACTGTAACCAAGAGCCACCAAGGGAAGGAAATTCTAGGGAATATAGTTCCAGCCAAGTTGACACAGTAAAAACGCACCACAGGATTGACTAAATAAATATAGAGGCACATTTGTAAACAAGGGAAAGATATTCACACAATATAGTTTAGGGAGAGAAGCAGATTATAAAACAAAAAATATAATTCCATCTTAAAAATAACATATTAATGATATTTATAAATACAGAAAAATCCGACCGGGTGTGATGGCTCACACCTGTAATCCCAGCACTTTGGGAGGCCGAGGCGGGCGAATCATGACGTCAGGAGTTCAAGACCAGCCTAACCAACATAGTAAAACCCCATCTCTACTAAATATACAAAACTTAGCCAGGCATGGTGGCAGGCCCCTGTAATCCCAGCTACTCAGGAGGCTGAGGCAGGAGAATTGTTTGAACCTGGGAGGCAGAGGTTGCAGTGAGCCGAGATTGTGCCATTGCACTTCAGCCTGGGTGACAGAGTGAGACTCCGTCTCAAAAAAGAAAAGAAAAGAAAAGAAAAATTCTGGAAGAATGTTAGTAATATTAGTAAAAATATGAGTTATTTTTGCATTGATGCTGCTATAAGCTTTTATTTTCTTTATTTTGCTTACCTATTATGATGGTTAATTTTATGTGTTAACTTGATTAGGCCATGAGGTGTCCAGATATTTCTGGGTGCATCTGTGAGGGTGTTTCCAAAAGAGATTAGTATTTGAATCAGTGGACTCAATAAAACAGATGGTCCTGGACCCCAATGTTGAGGTATGATCCAATCCATTGAGGGCCTGAATAGAACAACAAAAAAAGGTGGAATTAGCCAGGCATGGTGGTGCGTGCCTGTAGTCCCAGCTACTCAAGAGGCTGAGGCAGGAGAATTGTTTGAAAATGGGAGGCAGAGGTTGCAGTGAGCCGAGATCGTGCCACTGCACTCCAGCCTGGGCAACAGAGAGAGACTCTGTCTCAAAAAAAGAGCAAAAAAAGGTGGAAGAAGGAGGAAATCGCCCTTTTTCCTGCTTCACTGCTTGAGCTAGGACATCTCATCTTCTTCTGATATAGAGATATAAATTTATAAATATGTATTATATCTCCTATGTCCCACTGGGTCTGTTTTTCTGGACGACCTTGACCAACAGAGCTATCTGTTGTATTTATGCTAAATACCTGCAGTATTTATGCTAAAAAAAAAAAAAAAAAGCCTTTTAAGTGTTTAAGAGTAGCACAGCAAAAAGACACAAACAGGAATTTTTTTTCTGAGCCACTTTAATCAACTGAAAACTTTGAAAGTGTATTTGAATGAATTTTGAGCTCAACGAACACAAAACACTCCTGATTATAAACTAGGAGAGGCAATCCACCTTAACACCAATGGCCGGAGTTCTCCCCAAGCCCGTCTTGTGGCAGAAGTCGTATCATTTTTTGTAAAGCAAGGACACTTATCTAAGGTGTTAGAATTCCAAAGAAAAAGTGAGCAACTAAACAGTCTTTTTACTGTTTAGATGCAGTCTCTGTGGCCCAGTTCCAACATGTCCACTTTTTCTTTCCATTTCTTTTTGTTCCATTCAAATCTCTTTTTTTTTCCTTTCTTGCTTTATGATTTGCCCAAATTGGTGCTGGCTTTATTCTTCGTGCCAGAACTCTTGTTTTTATTTTTATTTTTTATTTATTTATTTTTTTTGCGGGACGGAGTCTCGCTCTGTCACCCAGGCTGGAGTGCAGTGGCGCGATCTTGGCTCACTGCAAGCTCCGCCTCCCGGATTCACAACATTCTCCTGCCTCAGCCTCCTTTGTAGCTGGGATTACAGGCGCCCGCCACCAGGCCGGCTAATTTTTTGTATTTTTTTTAGTAGAGACGGGGTTTCACCGTGCTAGCCAGGATGGTCTTGATCTCCTGACCTCGTGATCCGCCCGTCTCAGCCTCCCAAAGTGCTGGAATTACAGGCATGAGCCACCGCGCCCGGCCAGAACTCTTGTTTTTAACTGCTAGAAAATGAAAATATGATTTGAAGAAACAGAGAATGGCCAAAAGGATTTTTTGTCCCTTTTTTCAATGCCACAAAATATCCAAAGACGATCAGATTTTTGTCCTCTTGTTTGAAGGTGAAAATCCTGTATTATCGACATCTGCATAGTAGTAGTAATGTAAGAGTTATGTTATATGATGTCCTATGTCCACTACAAGTCCATTAAGTCCACAGGGTGGCTTTGCTAATTATTCCTCCGCTGGATTGTGTTGTATCTGAGAGTGGATGTTTGTCCTAGAGAGATGTAGGGCTGTGTGTGTGTGTGTGTGTGTGTACGCACATTCACATGTTTATAGTCCCAGAGTTACCCTCTGGACCTTCAAAAGAATGACAGGGCGGATCTACAACTACAGGGTAGGAGACCCTGAATAAACCTAAGTCGCCATTGCTTGTTCTGGACATCCTGCTGGAGGTTCTTCCCCTGTACTGTGATTCTGGGCTGGATAATTCAGAATTAGAGAAAAACACAGCTGGGGACTATTATCACAAATTGTGGGGGAAGGGAAAGCAGCCCTAGGGTGAGACCAATCCCTAATGGAATTGAGCGAGATTTCCCAAGAGTCCTAAATGAATAAAATCCCCTACTGGATGGAGATTTCAACTGTGGAGGTTTGAAAAAGATGCTCCCACAGAAAGCTGTGACTTGAGCCTTGAGTAAGGTGAGCAAATGAGTAGGCCCTATTCATTCTTAGGGATTTCTTTTTCCTTAGACAGTAGAGGGAAAGTCATGATTTTCACATAGCTTTAAATTCTTTCCTGCACACCTTTTAATTCCTTTACTTTCCCTTACTCATTGTGTTAGTTTTCCAGGGCTGCCGCAACAAAGCACCACAAACTGGGTGGCTTCAAGCAAAAGAAATTTATTTTCTCACAGTTCTGGGGGCCAGAAGTCCAGAACCAAGGTGTCAGCAGGGCCACACTCCCTCCAAAGGCTCCAGGGGAGAATCCCTCTGTGTTTTTCCCTAGCTTCTGCTAGCTGGCCTTCCCTGGCATTCCTTGGCTTATAGTTGTGCCACGTCAGTCTCCGTACCCATCATTACATGGGCTCCTCTGTGTATCTCCTCTGTCTCTTTGTGACCTTTCCTCTTACAAGGACACCAGTGATTGGATTTCAGGTTCATCCTAACTCAGTATGATTTCATCTTAACTAATCACATTTGCAAAGATTCTATTTCCAGATAAGGTTGCATTCTGAATTTCTGGGTGGACATGAATTTTGGGAGGACACTATACACCCACTGCACTCATCAATAACATCTTCAACTCGATGAGGTGGTGTCATGGAGGGAAGTGAAAGAGAGAGCCATGAGGGGAACTGAGGGCTGCGCAGCCCTCCCAGATGATATCTCACTGGGTGTCAGAAGGGACTGCTGTCCATGAGGCCTCTAGGCCACACCCAAAAGTGAAGGGCCTTCCAGGGGTGGGGAGTGACAGGAGGCCACAGGCTTGAAACAACCTTCTTCCCTTCCCCAAGTTGAGGCCTTAGCCTCAAGCATAAATCATGTTGCTGAGAGGAACTTGTGTGCTCTTCTCAGTTCTTCATCTAAAGATAAAAGTCACCGAAGGATAATAAATAGGAGTTTCCAACCATTCAGAATATCTAAATGTAGATGGTTTTGTGTGTGATGTGGGCAGGGGCTTCTGCTGAGTAGAGATAGCTAAGAAGGTGATTTTTCTTCTCAGGAAAAGTACATCAAATGTTTGGCTATAAATGGTCAGGAAGCATACTTAACAAGACAAGGGTATCGATCAGGAAGTAATTGTTTGCTGGAAACGGGCTGTCTTTTCACTGGGTAATTAAGATGGTGTCACTTGATAAGGACTCCAGGGGAATCACTCTTCCAGCTCAGTGTCATTAGCCCAGCGTCACGGCAACAGGCCAGCTTGAGTTCTCTCTCTGGAGCTTTATTTCATTAATGTGTCTCCTGTTCACAAGTTACAGCTTGCTCCTTCCATTGTGTTGCTCCAAACACAAGTGACAAGGTGGAAAGAAAGTGAGGTAGATTTTATTATTTAGCACAAGCCTTCAAGAAAAGCAAAAACAAATAAACCAGCCATGGCTAGCTCCACTGAAAGGCAATATTCTTCCTCCATACAGGTCTGTATATCCTTGTGGTTGAGAGACCAGTAGTGTCAGCATCACCCAGGAGCTTGTCAGAAATGCAGACTCTCCCCACAAATATAGACACCTACTATGTACCCACAAAAATTTTAGAAATGTGAAAAAGACTCTAGCACACTAACATGGATTGACAGCTTCAGAATTTCAACAATAGTGTAATTAATATATATCTAATGCTTTGCAGGTGAATTAGCACAGGAAAATAAAAATAAAAGAAAAGAAATACTGAATCTTGGACCCTACCCAGAATCAGAATCTGAGCTTTCACAGGATCCCCAGGTGATTCGTAGCCACACTGAGGTTTAAGAAATATTGCCAAAAATGGCCAGGCATGGTGGCTCATGCTTGTAATCCCAGCACTTTGGGAGGCTGAGGCGGGTGGATCACTTGAGTCCAGGAGATCGAGACCAGCCTGGGCAACATAGCGAAACCCTGTCTCTACTAAAAATACAAAAATTAGCTGGGTGTGGTGGCACATGCCTGTAGTCCCAGCTACTTGGGAAGCTGAGGTGGGAGAATCACTTGAGCCCAGGAGGCAGAGTTTGCAGTGAGCCGAGATTGTGCCACTGCACCCCAGCCTGGGTGACAGAGCAAGACTCTGTTTCCAAAAAGAAAAAAGAAAAGCATTGCCAAATATATACTTCCCACTAAATGACACACCACCTGTAGGTGCCTACAAGAAGTTTCTCTTCTGAAGCTTTTTTCATCAGCCTTGGTGGCCTGTTAAGATTTTAACAAAAGTCCCTCTCCCTCTCCCTCTCCCTCTCCCTCCTCTCCCTCTCCCTCTCTTTCCACGGTCTCCCTCTCCCTCTCCCTCTCTTTCCACGGTCTCCCTCTCATGCCGAGCCGAAGCTGGACTGTGCTGCTGCCATCTCGGCTCACTGCAACCTCCCTGCCTGATTCTCCTGCCTCAGCCTGCCCAGAGCCTGCGATTGCAGGCGCGCGCCGCCACGCCTGACGGGTTTTCGTATTTTTTTGGTGGAGACGGGGTTTCGCTGTGTTGGCCGGGCTGGTCTCCAGCTCCTAACCGCGAGTGATCCGCCAGCCTCGGCCTCCCGAGGTGCCGGGATTGCAGACGGAGTCTCGTTAACTCAGTGCTCAATGGTGCCCAGGCTGGAGTGCAGTGGCGTGATCTCGGCTACAACCCCCACCTCCCAGCCGCCTGCCTTGGCCCCCCAAAGTGCCGAGATTGCAGCCTCTGCCCGGCGGCTACCCCGTCTGGGAAGTGAGGAGCGTCTCTGCCTGGCCGCGCATCGTCTGGGATGTGAGGAGCCCCTCTGCCTGGCTGCCCAGTCTGGAAAGTGAGGAGCGTCTCTGCCCGGCCGCCATCCCATCTAGGAAGTGAGGAGCATCTCTGCCCGGCCGCCCATCGTCTGAGATGTGGGGAGCGCCTCTGCCCCGCCGCCCCGTCTGGGATGTGAGGAGCGCCTCGGCCCGGCCGCGACCCCGTCTGGGAGGTGAGGAGCGTCTCTGCCCGGCCGCCCCGTCTGAGAAGTGAGGAGACCCTCCACCTGGCAACTGCCCCATCTGAGAAGTGAGGAGCGTCTCCGCCCGGCAGCCACCCCGTCCGGAAGGGAGGTGGGGGTCAGCCCCCGCCAGGCCAGCCGCCCCGTCCGGGAGGGAGGTGGGGGGTCAGCCCCCCACCCGGCCAGCCACCCCGTCCGGGAGGTGAGGGGCGCCTCTGCCCAGCCGCCCCTACTGGGAAGTGAGGAGCCCCTCTGCCCGGCCAGCCGCCCCGTCCGGGAGGGAGGTGGGGGAGTCAGCACCCCACCCGGCCAGCCGCCCCGTCCGGGAGGGAGGTGGGGGGGTCAGCCCCCCGCCCGGCCAGCCGCCCCATCCGGGAGGGGGGTGGGGGGGTCAGCCCCCCGCCAGGCAAGCCGCCCCGTCCGGGAGGGAGGTGGGGGGGTCAGCCCCCCGCCCGGCGAGCCGCCCCGTCTGGGAGGGAGGTGGGGGGGGTCAGCCCCCCGCCCAGCCAGCCGCCCTGTTCGGGAGGTGAGGGGCGCCTCTGCCCGGCCGCCCCTACTGGGAAGTGAGGAGCCCCTCTGCCCGGCCAGCCGCCCCGTCCGGGAGGGAGGTGGGGGGTCAGCCCCCCCGCCCGGCCAGCCGCCCCGTCCGGGAGGGAGGTGGGGGGGTCAGCCCCCCGCCCGGCCAGCCGCCCCGTCCGGGAGGGAGGTGGGGGGGACAGCCCCCCCGCCAGGCGAGACGCCTTGTCCGGGAGGGAGGTAGGGGGTCAGCCCCCTGCCCGGCCAGCCGCCCGGTCCGGGAGGTGAGGGGCGCCTCTGCCCGGCCGCCCCTACTGGGAAGTGAGGAGCCCCTCTGCCCGGCCACCACCCCGTCTGGGAGGTGTACCCAACAGCTCATTGAGAACGGGCCATGATGACAATGGCGGTTTTGTGGAATAGAAAAGGGGGAAAGGTGGGGAAAAGATTGAGAAATCGGATGGTTGCTGTGTCTGTGTAGAAAGAAGTAGACATGGGAGACTTTTCATTTTGTTCTGTACTAAGAAAAATTCTTCTGCCTTGGGATCCTGTTGATCTATGACCTTACCCCCAACCCTGTGCTCTCTGAAAGATGTGCTGTGTCCACTCAGGGTTAAATGGATTAAGGGCGGTGCAAGATGTGCTTTGTTAAACAGATGCTTGAAGGCAGCATGCTCGTTAAGAGTCATCACCACTCCCTAATCTCAAGTACCCAGGGACACACACACTCTGCCTAGGAAAACCAGAGACCTTTGTTCACTTGTTTATCTGCTGACCTTCCCTCCACTATTGTCCTATGACCCTGCCAAATCCCCCTCTGCGAGAAACACCCAAGAATGATCAATTAAAAAAAAAAATAAAAAATAAATAAAAAAAAAAAGAAAAAAAGATTTTAACAAAAATTGGAAAGAGTCACTGTTTATCCAGTGAGGGGAAGACTTGAAAATTTAGCTCCCCAGTCACCCCAGAGACACCCATCTGTGAATCAAGAGCCATATTCCAGCAGCACCAAACAGAGGAGGATATTGTTCTAAAAATACCACCTAGAAACTTTGCCAAACAGTAGCAAGCTTTGCTGCTCTAGCCAGGATGTAGGAGGATGTTGTTGCCTCTGTACACCATAGCAATGAATTTCTCATCTAAACCTTGACCTAAGGATCATTATGAAATTGTCTTGAGGCCAGGCGCGGTGGCTCATGCCTGTAATTCCAGCACTTTGGGAGGCCGAGGGGGATGGATCACCTGAGGTCAGGAGTTCAAGGCCAGCCTGGCAAACATGGTGAAACCCCATCTCTACTAAAAATACAAAATTAGCTGGGCATGGGGCACACCCCTGTAATCCCAGCTACCTGGGGGGCTGAGGCATGAGAATCACTTGAATCTGGGAGGCAGAGGTTGCAGTGAGCTGAGATTGCACCACGGCACTCCAGCCTGGGCAAAAAGAGTGAAACTCCATCTCAAAAAAAGAAAGTGTCTTGATATCCTAGAACACCAAGTCTGAAGGATTTTCCTTAAGTCCTAGTAGACATGTGAAATACCATTAGCCAGGTCTCTATAATCATAACGAAATGAAAAATGAGGGAAATTATCCAGATACTTCTACTAAAAAGAAAATAATACTTTGGGAGGCTGAGGCAGGCGGATCATGAGGTCAGGAGATCGAGACCATCCTGGCTAACACAGTGAAACCCCGTCTCTACTTTAAAAAAATACAAAAAATTAGCCGGGCATGGTGGCGGTCGCCTGTAGTCCCAGCTACTCACGAGGCTGAGGCAGGAGAATGGTGTGAATCCAGGAGGCGGAGCTTGCAGTGAGCCAAGATCACGCCACTGCACTCCAGCCTGGGCGACAGAGCGAGACTCTGTCTAAAATAAAATAAAATAAAATAAAATAAAATAAAATAAAATAATAAAAGCAAAGCCATTGACTTTTCTAGATATTTTTTTCCCAGACTATGAACATTTCTTATTTGGAGAAGGGAGGGTGGAATAGGATGAGTTGTAATGGAAGAGGAGAGGAAGGAGTATAAAATAGGTCATATAAAAGAGTGGCTTATAATTAGGAATGAGATGAGTCACTCCTGCAATGGGTTAACCTTGACAAACAAATGTGAATTGTTTTCCTTTATGAATGAGTAGCTGTATGACCTTGGGCAAGTATCTTAACCTATTTCGTTCTCCATTCCTTCATTGTAAAATGAAGAAAATAACACTACCTTCCACTTTTGATTGTTGTAAGATTAAATGAGATAATAAATGTAAACCGTTTTATAGTGCTTAGTATAATAATAAACACTGAATACATGTTAGCTCATATAATTTTTTTTGAGACAGGGTCTCACTCTGTCATCCAGGCTGGAGTGCAGTGGCACAATCACAGCCCACTACAGCCTCAACCTCCTGGGCTCAAGCAATCCTCCTACCTCAGCCTCCAGAGTAACTGGGACCACAGGTGCACACCACCATGCTGGCTAAATTTTAAATTTTTGTAGAGATGGGGTCTCCCATCTCCCAGTCCAGGCTGATCTCAAACTCCTAGGCTCAAGTGATCCTCCTGCTTTGGCCTCCCAAAGCACTGGGATTACAGGTGTGAGCCACTGTACCCAGCTAGATCATATTATTTATTAAATAGAAAGGCATTCAATACATGAAGAAGTGAAATGAGGAATTGAGGTGCTTTATGAGATTATGTAAGAATAAGAAACAAAACAAAATGATTGCAAGAGAAATTAGCAGATAGGTCATGCCTATAAGGGGTTACCTTGAATTAATAATTTTGTTCATCTGCATTCATCCAATAAAAGTGATCAGTTCTTCAGAGTATCTTTATGAATGTCACTTTTAAGGTAGTAATTTTCAAGAGAACTATTTTTAAAACCTGCAAAGTATCTGAGAATACCTATCTTTATAGTGAGGAGAAACAAAATGCCTAATATCCTAAACCACTGGCCCACTCAGATGCATGCTGGTGCACGTCATTCTATCCTCCATATCTTCCAACTTTTCTTCCAGAACTCATTTTCTCATTAGCTACGTCCAGTCTACTCTTGAGATCTATTGAGCTTTATATTTTAAGATGCTTTTGTTCATTTCTTAAATTTAGCTATTTTAAAAATTAGTCTTCTGGGTTTTCTTCCCCCATAATGTTCTGCTCTTGTTACACAGCGGCATTCCAGATTTTTCTGCAGTCCAGAATAGAGCACCATCACCATAGCATTTCAAGCTCATTCTAAGTTCATCTTATCAATGACAAGAGGAGACACGTTGTTCATTCATGTATGAGGTAGTACTTTCCAATTGAAGACATTGCTTTGAAAGAGACTGCCAAATTGGTTTCATTGAGAAGGAATGAAAGAAGCTAAAAGGCTTTCACCTGAGATTTGACAATAGCCAGAAAACCTCTGTTAATAATGAATGGTAAGTGATAACATTTAATTAGCATGGGTTATAAATAGAAAGACTATTGCTTGGAATTAACGTAGGCACAATCTTAAATTTCTGTGTAACTGTTGGCTGTTCCTTTTATAGTTTCTCCTAAAAATGGGAAATGACATCTCACAACCATTTTCTCCTCTTTTTAGAGATATTTTATTTGGTTGAGAACTGGGTTTTATTTTGGATCTCGCCATCTTCAACAGCTGTTTCTCAGTTAAGTGGACTGAGGTGATATTGAGGAGGTGCTAATGAGTCTATTGGCATCCATTCCTGTGCCTTTCGTGCTCCTGTATGTGGAAGTCAGTTTGATAGTGAACAAGGGGTCATGCAGGACTGTGCAGAGAAAGAAAAAAAGGACATGATGACCTCAGACCATTCATTGGTAAACAAAGATTTTGCAACAGCTTTGCTTATAACACATTATAGCTGAGTACAAGGAAAAATTTTTCGGAGCCCTTCCCGCAAAAATTAATAGTATTTGGCACATTAGGAAGGTTCTCCAGAGAAACAGAACCAATCAGATGTTCTCCTTCCCTTGGGGAAACTCCGTCTTTTTCCATATAAGGCCTTCAGCTGATTGGTTGAGGCCCACCCAACTTACGGAAGTAATTTGCTTTACTCAAAATCTACTGATTTAAATGTTAATCTCATCTGAAAATTGTCTTCACAGCAACATCCAGATGAGTTTGACTAAATGTCTTCGTTCTATGGCATCGCCAAGTTGACCAAATATTCAATGAGCTGTCCCATTAGGCCATTCTGAGAGTTGGAAATGGAATTGATTTGTTACAAAATCTTCAGACAAATACTCTAAAATAACTTTGAATGGTGTGTTTCGACAAAGAAATAAGGACCAGAATGCTTTCAGTGTCACTGCCATGCTGGTGGAAACCCTCCCTGAGAGCGGTGCTTCACACTCTATTCCAGCCACAGTCTCTAGCAGAGTAGTGCAGCAATAAAGCCAGCAAGCTTTGATGTCAGATCACTGAAGTCTGAATCCTGGCCCCACTGCTTTCTTTTTTTTTTTTTTTTTTTTTTTGAGACGGAGTCTCGCTCTGTCGCCCAGGCTGGAGTGCAGTGGCGCGATCTCGGCTCACTGCAAGCTCCGCCTCCCGGGTTCACGCCATTCTCCTGCCTCAGCCTCCCGAGTAGCTGGGACTACAGGCGCCCGCCACCACGCCCGGCTAATTTTTTTTTTGTATTTTTAGTAGAGACGGGGTTTCACCGTGTTAGCCAGGATGGTCTCGATCTCCTGACCTCGTGATCCGCCCGCCTCGGCCTCCCAAAGTGCTGGCATTACAGGCGTGAGCCACCGCGCCCGGCCGGCCCCACTGCTTTCTAACTGTGTGATTTACTTCTCCATGCTTCAGTTTCCCTATCTGCAAAGTGAAGATAGGTTTCAATGCTTCAACGCATAGGAAGTCTGTAGAACAGTGCAAAGAATATACAGGCATACCTTGAAGATATTACAGTTTTGGTTCCAGACCATCATAAAAAGGTGGATATTGCAATAAGGTGAGTCATACCAATTTTTTGGTTTCCTAGTACATATAGAAGTGATGTTTACAGTATAATGTAGTATACTAAGTGTGCAATAGCATTATGTCTAAAACAATGTACATACCTTAATTTAAAATACTGTATTGGTTGGGCACGGTGTCTCACGCCTGTAATCCCAGCACTTTGGGAGGCTGAGACAGGCGGATCATGAGGTCAGGAGATCAAGACCATCCTGGCCAACATGGTGAAACACCGTCTCTACTAAAAATACAAAAACTAGCTGGGTGCGGTGGCACGTGCCTGTAATCCCAGCTACTCGGGAGGCTGAGGCAGGAGAATTGCTTGAACCCAGGAGGCGGAGGTTGCAATGAGCCGAGAACACACCACTGCACTCCAGCCTGGAGACAAAGCGAAACTCTGTCAAAGAAAAAAACTTTATTGTTGGCCGGGCACAGTGGCTCATACCTATAAACGTAGCCCTTTGGGAGGCTGAGACAGATTGCTTGAGGTGGCAGGACCACCTGAGCCTGGGGAGGTCAAGGTTGCAGTGAGCTGTGATTGCACACTACACTCCAGCCTGGGCAACAGAGAAAGACCCCATCTCGAAAAAAAGGAAAAGAAAAGAAGAGACAAGAAAAAGAAAGAAAAGAAAAATACTTTATTGCTAAAAAATGCTAAAGGTCATCCCATCCTTCAGCGAGTCATAATCTTTTTGCTGGTGGTGAGTGTTTGATGTTGATGGGCTGTTGACTGATAAGGGCAGTGGTTACTGAAAGCTGGAACAGCTGTGGCAATTTCCTAAAATAAGACATCAATGGAGTTTGCCACATTAATTGACTCTTCTTTTTACAAAGCATTTCTCTGTAGCATGCAATGCTGTTTGATAGCATTTTACCTATAGTAGAACTTCCTCCAAATTAGAGTTAATTTTATCAAACTCTGCTGCTGCTTTATCAACTAAGTTTATGTACCATCTAAGTTTATGTACCATTCTAAATTTGTTGTTATTTCAACAATATTCATAGCATCTTCACTAGCAGTAGATTCCATCTCAAGAAACCGCTTTCTTTGCTCATTCAAAAGAAGTAACTCCTCATCCCTTAAAGTTTTATTGTGAGATTGTCCATGGGCTGCAGAATGGATGTTATGTTAGCAGGCATGAAAACAACATTAATCTTTTTGTACATTTCCCTCAGAGCTCTTGGATGACCAGGTGCATTGTCAATGAGCAGTAATATTTTGAAAGATTATTTTTCTCAGCAGTAAGTCTCAACAGTCAGGTTCAAATATCCAGTAAACCATGCTGTAAACAGATGTGCTATCATCCAGGCTTTGTTGTTCCTTTAGAGCCCAGACAGAGTAGACTCAGCATACTTCTTAAGGGCCCTAGGATTTTCAGAATGGTACATGAGCTTGGCTTCTTAAAGTTACCAGCTGCATTAGCCCCTAACGAGTCATTCTGTCCTTTGAAGCTTTGAAACCAGGTATTGACTTCTCTTTAGCGATAAAAGTCCTAGATGGCATCTCCTTCCAATAGAAGGCTTTTTTGTCTACATTGAAAATCAGTTGTTTGGAGTAGCCACCTTCATCAATGATCTTGCTGCAGCTTCTACATCAGCACTTGCTGCTTCATCTTGCACCTTTTTTTTAATGGAGATGGCTTCTTTCCTTAAACCTCATGAAGCAACCTCTGCTAGCTTCCAACTTTTCTTCGGCAGGTTCCCTCACCTCTCTCAGCCTTCATAGAATGAGAGAATATTAGGGCCTTGCTCTGGATTAGGTTTTGGCTTAAAGGAACGCTGTGGCTGTTTATGTATCCAGAACACTCAAACTTTCTCCACATCAGCAATAAGGCTGTTTTGTTTTCTTATCATTTGTGTATTCACTGGAGTAGCACTTTTAATTTCCTTCAGTAACTTTTCCTTGGCGTTCACAACTTGGCTAACTGTTTGGAATAAGACGCTTAGCTTTTAGCCTCTCTTGGCTTTCAACATGCCTTCTTCACTAAGCTTAATCATTTCTAGCATTTGACTTAAAGTGAGAAAACCTGGGACTCTTCCTTTCACTGAACACTTAGAGGTCATTGTAGAATTATAAATTGGCCTAATTTTAATATTCTTGTGTCTTAGAGAATAAGGAGGCCCGAGGCAAGAGAAAGGGAGACAGGGGAACAAACAGCCAGTAGGCGGAGAAGTCAAAACACACATTTATCCATAAGTTCACTGTCTTCTATGGGCACAGTTTGTGGCACCCTAAAACAATTACAATAGTAACAACAATTACAATAGTAACATCTGATCACAGATCACCATAACAGCTATGATAATAATGAAAAAGCTTGAAATATTATGAGAATTACCAAAATGTGACACAGACACATGAAGTGAACACATGTTGTTGGAAAAATGGCACCAATAGACTTGCTCGACCCAAAGTTGCCACAAACCTTCTACTTGTAGAAAACATAATATCCGCACAGCCCAATAAAGTGAAGTGCAATAAAACAAGGTATGCCTGTACTTCGTATTCAATAAATATTAGCTTTTACTATGATTCAAGAATAAAGCCAAACATTTTCTTATTATCAATCTTAGAGGTTTTTGAGTTTGTTTTGTTTTGTTTTTAAACCTGCAGCCTTACAGAACGTTACACCAGCCTCATCCCTTCCTACCTTTACCTGGCAGTTGGCGTGTCAGTGTCCCCTAAGGGGCACTCAATGTCAGCACTGGTTGTTTTTCATTGGAAAGGCCAGGATAGGGAAGGATCATAGAGGCCTCTGCTAATAAGCCTGGATGTGATGGGTGAAGGGATTGGCTTTTGCTGAGCAGATGGCAGAGTTGATCTACCATCTTCTTAGCTTTGCCAATGGACCACCCTATTTTAATTAATCGATGAGTAGATACTGTAGAGGTAAAGCCATTTCAAGAA
The DNA here is from genome assembly GCF_000001405.40 of Homo sapiens. NCBI lineage: Eukaryota > Metazoa > Chordata > Mammalia > Primates > Hominidae > Homo > Homo sapiens. The sequence continues at coordinate 76,976,865 of NC_000005.10, read as the reverse complement.
AAAAAATAGTAATTGAATGTTATAAAAACAAGCTATTTTCTCTTTGCCAAATAAATTCTCATCAATTAAGGGAGCCAGCTCTATTTCCTTGAAATAGAAAACATTTTAGAAGCATTTAAGATAAAATTATATTACCAAAGACTTGACTGATAAGTTTTCTGAGAAAGGAACACTCATAGTTATAGTGTCTACCATGTGCCTTGACTGGTGCGTGGTACTTCATGCAAGCCATCGCATTAAAACGTAGGTGCTCCTGTTATACCTGACACGTAACGAAGCTGCTCAGAGCAGTGCAGGAACTTGCTCAAGGACATACAGCTGGTTAGTGGTTGAATAAGAACTCACCTCTACATTGGGTTCCTGAAGTCTGGGTTCTTCCCTCTCCATTCTGTTGACTATACTTATAGGTCTAGATCTTGCTTCTAAGGCTGGGCCCATCCATCTCTCATCCCATCCATTCCACACAGGATAGATTGCATTCTGGGCTGGTCCTAAACAAAACTAAGGAAATACAGTTTGTCTTTGATAACACTCCCAAGTCTATAGCAAACTTTGCTTACCTCTACAAACTTTCAGCCAGCTAGTGGCTTCATCAATACCTTGTTAGTTGTCCAGGTAGCTTTAATGGAGTATTTATTTACCTGGGTCTGTTTGCTTTTCAGCATCTCATACTCTTTCTTTTCCTGCTTATTACCCAATTTATTAGAGAGATCTCTTTGATGTAAAAAGAGAGGGTGAGGATGGGTGGGTAGGGGCCAGCATCTTATTATATATAAGATCACAGAGGCCTCTGCTAATAAGCCTGGATGTGATGGGTGAAGGGATTGGCTTTTGCTGAGCAGAAGGCAGAGTTGATCTACCATTTTCTTAGCTTTGCCAATGGACCACCAACATATATATATATATACACGCATATATATATATATATACACACACACATATATATACACATATATATACACACATATATACACGTGTGTATATATGCATGTATATGTGTGTGTATATATATATGCGTGTATATATATATATATATATATTTTTTTTTTTTTTTTTTTTTTTGAGACAGAGTCTCGCTCTGTTGCCCAGGCTGGAGTGCAGTGGTGTGATCTCGGCTGACTGCAACCTCTGCCTCCCGGGTTCAAGCAATTCTCCTGCTTCAGCCTCCAGAGTGGCTGGGATTACAGGCACGCACAACCACATCCAGCTAATTTTTTGTATTTTTAGTAGAGATGGGGTTTCACCATGTTGGACAGGCTGGTCTCGAACTCCTGGCCTTAAGTAATCCACCCACCTCAGCCTCCCAAAGTGTTGGGATTACAGGTATGAGCCACCATGCCTGGCCAGGACCTAATACTCTTAATTGCACTCACTACCCTCCCCTGTATTTGAGACTTTCCTGCCAATTCTTGTCATGTCATAATGATTAGCGATAATATATGGTCAAATTAATGACTGATTTATAAGTTAGTTCATTAACTAGTTACCACTATATGGTTTGAATCTTTAAAGTAATATGTTACTAATGAATTACTTGCTTAATTAAATATACATTTTGATAACAGAAGAAAAAGGGTTGTAAGGGTGGGCATTTCAGTAAAATGCAATATTTTCACTTAAGTGCTATCCCTGAAATCACAGTAGCTACCTGCTGTGCTGGTGTCTTTGGCTGGCTTGATTACATCTGAACCGTTAATAACACAAGACATGTTTTCTTAAACTTTAAAAACCTGGAAAGGAGAGTCAACAGGGGAATTGCATTTTCATACTAGGAACCCCCAATATCTAATAATTCTTCTAGTTACAAAGAGCATGGTTATTTCTAGCTCATCCAACTGTATGTCTTAATGTTGACATGAAATCTTTCCCCTAAAGCAAAAACACTTCCTGTTTTCAGTTTTTCAGCTGCAGAGGGATTGAGTACATGGTTGTTATCAAGAGCAAAGCCCAGAATCCAATTTAGAGACCTCTATTTCATTATGTTTTCAAATCCTCTAATCAAGCTTCTTTCTCTCACCCATATTTCCTCTCTCGTATCTCTGTTTCTTTTCTCTTTGTGTAGTTTGTCTTAACAAATGAAGAAAAAAACTTTAAAATGCAAAGAGAAAAATGGATGATAATCATTACAAATGACCCATTAGAACTGATGCCATTCAACCTACTTATTTGAAGATACAAAGGTGTTTCTGTTTTCTGAAATACTTCACTGCACAGATAAAAGTGTATTCAGATATAATTTCATATGACTACCCTACAATAGGCATTTCTTTCCACAACTCTCTTTTGGGTGCTTTTGAGCACATAAACAAACTGCCTACAAGTAAATCCTGTCCATCAAACCTTTGTTTTCCTTTCATGAAGATTCTACTTTGCAGACAAACTGGCAATGTTGCCTCCCAATTAAAATAGCAAGCAGCCTGGCATGGTGGCCCATGCCTGTAATCCCAGCACTTTGGGAGGCTGAGGCCAGCGGATCACCTAAGATCAGGAGTTTGAGACCAGCCTGGCCAATAGGGTGAAACCCCCTCTCTACTAAAAATACAAAATTTGGCCGGGCACCGTGGCTCACGCCTGTAATCCCAGCACTTTGGGAGGCTGAGGCGGGTGGATCATTTGAGATCAGGAGTTCAAGACCAGCCTGACCAACCTGGTGAAACCCCGTCTCTACTAAAAATACAAAAATTAGCCAGGCATGGTGACACATGCCTGTAATCCCAGCTACTTGGGAGGCTGTAATTCCAGCTACTTGGGAGGCTGAGGCAATAGAATCACTTCAGCCTGGGAGGCAGAGGTTGCAGTGAGCCAAGATCATGCCACTGAACTCCAGTCTGGGTGACAGAGTGAGACCCTGTCTAAAAATAATAATAATAATAATAATAATAACGATTTAGAAAATTAGCCAGGTGTGGTGGCACGTGCCTGTAATCCCAGCTTCTCGGGAGGCTGAGGCGGGAGAATCGCTTGAACCCTGGAGGCAGAGATTGCAGTGAGCTGAGATCGCGCCCTACACTCCAGGCTGAGTGACAGAGCAAGACTCTGTCTTAAATAAAATAAAATAGCAAGCAAGAGAAGTTTGAAATTAGGAGAAATCTGGAAAAATCTGTGTCACAAAAATTTGTCCTGAGTCAAACATGTTTTCTCTCTAATGAAAAACTACATAGCAGATGAAGAAAAACTCATCTGGTAAAAGGCAAAATTAAATAAATATAGAAGCAGAAAGACTAAGTTGTTATTATGGACTTATTTTGCAGCCAGATTCACTAATGAATGTTTTAAACTAATATTGAAGAGAGGGCAATTCAGTGTGAGAAGACTGATATAAAACTGACTTTCATCCATTGCTGAATCCAATAGCAGGAGTTATCCTGAAATCCTTAGATGCTCTTCAGGGGTTTGTGAACTCTCAGGTATTTGCATGGTATTTTTGTATGTATAGAGATATTTTACTGGAAAACAATTTCTAGCTCCTGTCAGATTTTCAAAGAGGTCTAAGGATCACTGTTCTAAGACTATTTAAAGAATGTGGAAAGGTTGCATATGGTTATACCAGTTAAAGCTTAGTTTTCATAAGATCAAAGATGTGCATTTGAGGTATTTTTCTTTGGAAGAGTCAAGTCAGGCCTGTCTGGATAGTTGCAACGAAAACAGACAGAATAGCTAAGAATTGGATTTAGACAGGCCCATTGTATGAAGTATGATAATAGTGCTATATATATTTATCTCAGTGGCTTAACAAAATAAAAATTTATTTCTCATTCATACAAAGTCCAATGTGGATATGCATAGTCAATAGGCAGCCGTCTATGTGGTCATTCAGAGATGCAGGCTTCTTGCATCCTATGGCTCTGTTTTCCTGTATGGCCTTGGAGTCCTCTGTTCAAGCCTCTGTGTCTAACAGATAGTAGGTATGGGAAGAGAGAGAAGGTGTGGAGGATCATATCAAGGGGTGGACATCATATCCACCCACATTCTTTCTGTGATAATTCAGTCACGTGACCAAGCCTAACTGTAAGAGAGGTTGTAAAGTGAGTTCTGATGAACATATAGCATTTCTGCCCTACCCACTTAAATGAAGCAACAGTACCAGGGAGTAGTTGGAGGTAAAGAAGACATGCTGCTTTATATACTAGGAGAAAGTCCAGTATCATAGGCAGATCAAGATATTCCATAGATGGCAGGCTCGAAGACAGTGGCAGAAGAGGCAGGATTAGAGGAGGTAGAAAAGGATCCACAAGGCTGGGTGCAGTGGCTCATGCCTATAATCCTAACATTTTGGGAAGCTGAGGTGGGTGGATCGCTTGAGCCCAGAAATTTGAGACCAGCTTGGGCAACATAGTGAGACCCTGTCTCTATAAATTTTTTTTTTTTGAGACGGAGTCCCTCTGTTGCCCAGGCTGGAGTGCAATGGCATGATCTCGGCTCACTGCAATCTCCGCCTCCCGGGTTCAGGCGATTCTCCTGTCTCAGCTTCCCAAGTAGCTGGGATTACAGGCGCCTGCCTCCATGCCCGGCTAATTTTTGTGTTTTTAGTAGAGACAGGGTTTCATCATGCTGATCAGGCTGATCTCGAACTCCCAACCTCAGGCAATCAGCCTGCCTCGGCCTCCCAAAGTGCTGGGATTACAGGTGTGAGCCACTGCGCCCAGCCTATAATTTTTTTTTTTTTAATTAGCCACAGGTAGCATGCACCCGTGACCCCCAGATACTTGGGAGGCTGAGGTGAGAGATCACTTGACCCCAGGAAGTTGAGGCTGCAGTTAGCTGTCACTGCACTCCAGCCTGCATAATAGAGCAAGACCCTGTCTCAAAAGAAGAAAAAAGAGAAGCATCTAGAAAATTAGATGGTGACAGTGACATAAAACCTATGAGCAAAAATGCTCAGAATTTTAGACATGTAGGCAGGAAGAATTTGAGAAATCAGTTATTGGTTGTAGAAAGCAGATCCCTAGTCCCCTAATTGGTATTCAGAAAGACCTATAGGTAGGAGTGAGAGATAAAAACAGGGCCAGACAAGAACTACTACAATGAAATAACCAAGATCTGAAAGATTACAGAGATGGAGAATGGGGCAGAAGGGCAGATAGTCCAGACAATTTATGAGACAATTTGCTCATGACCAGAACGTCAGACAAGAGCTATTCAAATTCCTCTTGCCCAAGGTCAGGATTGGTCCTGGAGCAGTGCAGTGCCTGCAGACAGGGGTGAGCTGTGAGAAGAGATGTGTGTGAATTAGATAAATCCTGACATGATCTACCCTCAAACGTTAGGATTAGGGTGAGGATTAGGGCTGGGGTTACTATGCTTCTCAGTGACAGGCAACAACCTTAACTAACCCTAGCTTCCTCACAAATGTCCTGGGATGAAACAGTATAATTGAATTAGTGCAAATCCTTCAGCGTACAAAGCAAATGTCCCAATAAGAGTACGGAGGACCCAGAATGGCATATTTGCTTAGAAGAGAGAAAAATAAAAATAACAGCCAACACATGTGAGACACAGGTCTTGAGCTTTAAATATATCTAACCATTTAATGTGGCCAAAAACCTTTTGAAGAAGGCACCTTTCTCCTTCTGTAAAGGTACTGTAAATTACCCAAATTTTACAGATTAAAAACTAAGGAATGGAGACTTATAAGTGACTTGCTCAAGTCAGTGGTAGAGCTGGGATTCCAAGAGGGTTGGCTGCAGAGTCAATGACCTTAACCACTACGCTATACTTCCTTTCTTAGAAAGTCATATTGTTTCATATAAACTTTTACTCGCTTGATGGATATACCAATGAAGACACAACCTATAAATCTCCCCCGGAGATTTCATTTACCATTTTGTTTCCAGAAAGCTGCCCCATCCTTTTGGAACATAGGCTAAGTAGTAGACAGTCCAAGAAAAAGACATGGACAGTTCACCAGGGTGGACATCCTCTCAAAGAATGTAACCTGTTGTTCACTAACAAGCTTTGAAGTAAAGCATGTCACAAATGACCACAGAATGTCAGGGCTTAAGGACCACAGGAGCACCTGTCTTACTGCAGAGAGGCTAATCAGCTTGCAAAATCCCTTAGGAATAAAAGAAGTTTCCTAACTTTGATGGTGAGATGTAATAGAAAAGTGTATTTTACTCAGCATGAGGGAATCATGAAGGTTAAGAGCCAGAAACTTCTGATGGTGATAAAAGTAACTTCCTTAATTCTTGGGTTGCTAGAGTGACTATCTTTTTTAAGAAAAGGGTTCAACCTCCTGCTTCATAGAATTTAGTTTCTATGAAATGAAGAATCCAATATTTTATATAACTAATCAAGAATTATAGTCATCCGTCATCCATCCATCCATCCATCCATTCAAGCATTTATTCATCATTTGCTAAAGTAGTCACTCATTCCAAAATACCTACTGAGCCAAAACTTGTGCCAAATCCTAGGTATTTGAAACACTTCCAATTAGTTGGGTTTTTTTTTTCTGCCTGGTTTTCAGATTTTGTGAACAAGCCCAGTGTATAGGATCCCAGTATATGCCAATCATATTAAATATGTTTCAGGAACCATAATAAGGCCATTAATTATGGCATAGTTTGAAGCTTTCATCTACTAATCCAAAGTAAAGAGTTCCCTTAAAAGAATTTTCTAGCCGGGCACAGTGGCTCATGCCTGTAATCCCAGCACTTTGGGAGGCCAAGGCTGGTAGATCACTTGAGGTCAGGAGTTTGAGACCAGCTTGGCCAACATGGTGAAACCCTGCCTCTACCAAAAATACAAAAATTAGCCAGGCATGGTGGCGCACATGTAACCACAGCTACTTGGGAGGCTGAGGCAGGAGAATCGCTTGAACCCAGGAGGTGCAGGCTGCAGTGAGGTGAGATTACATTACTGTACTCCAGCCTAGGTGACAGAGCCAAGACTGTCTCAAAAAAAAAAAAAAAAAAAAAAAAAAAAAAAAGAATTTTCTTTGTAGCTTAGAACCTTCCTTTTTGCTCCAAGATGTCTTTTACATACTACACACTCAGTTTTAAGCCAAACACGGAACAAAGCTCAGTCAACAGTAAACTGCCTTCAGTATCAAAGAAGTATTCAGATTTCTGCAAATTGTGTCTATGAGAGTTGTTGTAAGGTCCTTGCTGTCTTTGTAGAAATGTATATCGTGACAAAAACACGTATTCTGAGGATAGCGGAAAATGAATCTCTGCACCCGCTTCCCTGCCAGGACCAGCTAGTGTTGCCTGTGCAAACACTGCAATTCTACCTCTCCTCTAAATAATTCTACTTCAATGGCCCAGAGTTCTAGCTCTGAGAAGTCCAAAATGATTTAGTTCAGCATTTGGCTCTGCACCACATGATAACATTATTTTCTGATGGTAACAAGAAAGAGGACTACTCAGGAAAGCAAATAAAGCCCAACATCATGGTGCCAACATTCTGAATGTATTTATTCATGTTTGTATTTGTGGATGGAAAATTTTTTCCATGCTACAAAGTTTGGTTAAAAACAAGTTGTTACAAATCAATAAATAATTGCTATAACTATTACCTATTGTAACAATAATAAATAGAAAATAAACAGATGCAACTACTTTGCTATACACAAGACTTTATCCTGTTATAAAACTAATATAAGTGCTGCCACTTTTCTTTCTTTGAGTATTTTCCCTTGAGATACGATTTTTGTATTGCACGTTGCTTTGTGCTTGTCTTACCAGTTTCAGGTTTGTAGCACATCAAAGAATTACAAACATTTCCATTTAGAACTATGATCCTACCAATCAGGGGTTATTTTCTGCCATGTGTTCATTTACAGATTACAAACATAAAAGAAGCAAAGTACAAAAATTAATGCGTGTGTGTATGTGTGTGTGTGTGTGCGCGCGTGCGCTCAAGGCTGGGAATACTGACTGGTATGAAAGGCTTTTAACTAGTTGTGCATCAAAATCATACACAATGGCCATTAAAAACTCACTTAGCTATCAGCATGTAAATCACTGGGTTGGTTATTCAAAGACCAGACAAACAGAATTCCCCGATACTGTTTCCATTTGGGTTTTCCAGCTCGTACGGCTCCAGCTGACGATACTCAAAAGTCACACGATTTACGTGTTTTCCACTGGAGACCATGCGCACCACAGTGTTGTCACAGCCAACTTTCATCTGGGCTATAATGGATGGAAAAGATAAAAGTTTCCCAGCAGGTTAGAAACCACACAGTCATCATTTAAATGACGGGATCACTTAAACATAATGAAAGCAAGGAGACCTATCTTCCTCTCATGTACCCAAACCATGCATCTACTATCAGTTGAAATGTTTTTGTTTCATTTTTATTATAACTTATAATTAGTTATAGAATAGTGCAATTGAATTCAGTCTTTCTCCTCATGTGCAAGAACACTATTAAAAAATAAAACTAGCTGGAAAGAGGCAAGAAGATGTCTCCTCGGCCTTTTTTGCCTGCAAAGCCTAAGTAGTAAAGGCAGGCAAAGGCAATCAGTCTGGAGTGTGCACAGTTGCTCGGGTTCAGGGATTGCAGTGGAAACAGTACGGCCCTCTAAGGACAGGTCGGAAATTTGCAGTGGCAGTTTTTGGTTGTCACCGATCTAGGGTTGCAAGGGGCATTTAGTGGGGGCTAGAGGATGGAATGTACTGCGGGACATTTATGTAGACCAAAAAAAAAAAAAACAAAAAAAAACACCTGTTTATCATTTTCTGAATTTATACAAAAACTGTTTTATACATAAACAAAAAGATCATTTGCATCGTATAGACATACACTGAACATACTAGTTTTTGTTTTATTATCCACTTACAACTTTTCTCTGATTTTTTCTGTACTATTTATATGAAATGGCTTCTGATATCCTTGCTTCTCTTAAATCCAATCTTATTCAGCTGGGCACGGTGGCTCATGCCTGTAATCCCAGCACTTTGGGAGGCCGACGTGGGTGGATCACGAGGTCAGGAGTTTGAGACCAGCCTGGCCAACATAGTGAAACCCCGTCTCTACTAAAAATACAAAAATTAGCCAGGCATGGTGGTGCGCACCTGTAGTCCCAGCTACTCGGGAGGCTGAGGCAGAAGAATTGCTTGAACCTGGGAGGCAGTGGTTGTGGTGGGTCGAGATCACACCACTGCACCCCAGCCTGGGCAACAAAGTGAGACTCCATCTCAAAAAAAAAAAAAATCCAATCTTATTCATTATTTATATAAGATCTGACAACTTTTATATCTCCTCTGTATGGGTTATATATTGAAACTCATATTACTTTTATTAAGAATTACTTTCCTTTTATTTATTCTATTTGTTTATCCAAGCTGATTCCTGAGGCAAGATTTATCTGCTCTACAATAATCATTTCTGCTGTTTTAGTTTTCTCAATCTTTCTTTTCCTCACTTTGTCTCTATAAGGTGTTTTTAAATTTTAAGAAATGCTATCATTGTCCTCGTGTAATGGGTACCACTCAAACACATACCTGGGTTTAAATGAAGTAAACAGTTCAATAGAGTTATTGAGATAAAAGTCAAATGGATGACATAATAAATAAAAGCCCTATAATTATTTTAATATAAGTACCAGGTAGTCTAGTTAAGCTTCTACCAGGAGGTCCAAATTTCTTTTTCTTTTCCTTTCCTTTCTTTTTTTTGTGGCAGGATCTTGCTCTGTCATCCAGGCTGGAGTGCAGTGGTGCCATCTTGGCTCGCTGCAACCTCTGCCTCCCAGGTTCAAGTAATTCTCCTAACTCAGCCTCTCCAGTAGCTGGGATTACAGTTGTGTGCCACCACACCTGGCTAATTTTTGAATTTGAATAGAGATGGGGTTTCACCATGTTAGCCAGGCTCGTCTCAAACTCCTGACCTCAAGTGATGTGCCCGCTTCAGACTCCCAAAGTGTTGGGATTACAGGCATGAACCACCACACCCAGCCAAATTTATTTTTCATTAAACAGTTTGGAGGTCATTCTTTTTCTGATCTTACTCTGGACTTTAATCTTTATAACATGTCCTATTTTCTTTACTTATTATTTATTTATTATTTTGAACTAATTCCTAACAAAATCCAATGTAAAGGGCAGGGTCCTTAATAGTTCAACACTGAACAACTCAGGAGGGGCTCATGGAAATATGATAAAGAAAGAAAAGAATTAAGGCAGGAGAATAGGGTCTGGAGGCAGGGAACTTAAGGTCAATTCATGCTGAATCAAGGAAAAACACCAAGGCCTGGTGGCAGGGAAACTGAGGCCAATTTGTGCTGACTTCCCAAAGCTGGATCAAAAGGAAAACACCTGGGTCTGGGGGCAGGGAACCTAAGCCCAATTAATGCAAACTTCCTAAAGCTGAACCAAAAGGAAAAACCGCATCTCCCCCAAGCCCAAGTAGCGACGGATCAAAGGCTAGTCTCCCTACAACCCTCCCCTTCCACCACATCTCACAAGGAAAGGGAGAGTGCCTTGTACTGGCCGTGGAACAAGCATGGGCTATCTCTTCATCTGCATAGGGTGCCAATTCACCTCAGCCTTTACCCACAAACCAAATCCTTCATCCAGATAAAGGGTAATTGATAGGAACCTCAAAAGGAGCAGTGGCTCACACCTGTAATCCCAGCACTTTGGGAGGCCGAGGTGGGCAGATCACCTGAGGTCAGGAGTTCGAGACCAGCCTGACCAACATGGAGAAACCCCATCTCTACTAAAAATACAAAATTAGCCAGGCGTGGTGGCACATGCCTGTAATCCCAGCTACTCGGGAGGCAGAGGCAGGAGAATCACTTGAACCCAATAGGTGGAGGTTGCGGTGAGCCGAGATCGCACCATTGCACTCCAGCCTGGGCAACAAGAGTGAAACTCCATCTCAAAACAAAAGAAAGGAGTACTTGAAACCCAGAAAACTTTTGTAACCGGGCCCTTGAGCCGCTCGCTAGGGTCCACTCCCACCCTGCGGAGTGCTTTCTCCCTTTAATACATCCCTGCTTCGGCTACTTTGTTCCTGTGTTTCATTCCTTTGTTACTTTGTGCGTTTTGTCCAATTCTTTGTTCAAAACGCCAAGAACCTGGACAACTTACACTCAAGGCCCTCCTTCCAGTAACGGAATAAAGTCTAAAATGAACCAAAGAGTGATATAATTCAAGCCTTAAAATTGTCTTAAAAGTGGTTTCAGTTACCTAGGTAATGTAGGCAAAAGTGGTTTTCTGGCTTTAGAATCACCTTTTTTTCTAATTCAAGTTATATCACTCAAGCGGAAAAATGACTTTGGCTTCAATTATCTAAATTGTAAGGCCTGATTGTTCTTTAATCCTTGTCTTACTTTTTAACCCAGCTGAGGTATATCTCCTCAAAGGTGCTCTCCAATCATGAGCATGGAAGTACTTTAGTGCCTCAGATCATGCACCCAAAAGGCTAAAGAAGCCGCATGCACTGACAGTTTAAACCATGGCTCAAGTGTCAATTAGCATTAGAGAATCCTCTAGTTTTCCGCAAAGTGGGATTTTGGAAATCTTTTGCCTTTACCTTGATTAGAAAGCTTGCTTTGAGCCCACTCCTACCTTAAATCTCATCTGAAACTTTTAGAATATAGGTGTATCTGGGGGAGGGTGGAGTGCATATCAGGCTTTAGTGCTGACTTTTGTATAATTCATCCTTTGGTATCCTCAGGAGATTGGTTCCAAGATGCTCCCCATCCCACGGATACCAAAATCCACAGATGTTCAAGTCCCTTATGTAAATGGCTACCTTTTACCTTTACCTATTTCCATGTAAACTACACACATCCTCCCATATACTTTAAATCATCTGTAGATTACCTATAGTACCTAATACAATGTAAAAGCTATGTAAATAGTTGTTATACTGTATTTTTTTGTGTGTTTTTTTTTTACCTGATTCTTTTCTTTTTTTTTATTTTATGGGGTGTGGTCTTGCCATGTTGCCCAGGCTGGTCTCAAACTGCTGGGCTCAAGCGATCCTCCTGCGTCAGCCTCCCAAAGTTCAGGAATTACACTGAATATATATATATTTTTTGAGACAGAATCTCACTCTGTCTAGTCTCGCTCTGTCATCCAGGCTGGAGTGCAGTGGCACAATCTCAGCTCACTGTAACCACCACTGCCCGGGTTCAAGCAATTCTCCTGCTTCAGCCTCCTAAGTACCTGGGACTACAGGTGTGCACCACGATGCCTGGCTAATTTTTTTATATTTTTAGTAGAGACGGGGGTTTCACCATATTGGCCACGCTGGTCTCGAACTCCTGACCTCAGTAATCTGCCCGCTTCGGCCTCCCAAAGTGCTGTGATTACAGGCGTGAGACACCGCGCCTAGCCTACGCTGAATATTTTCTATTACAATTGGTTGAATCTGTGTATGGGGAACCCACAGTTAAGAAGGGCTGACTGTATGTTAATTCTATTTTGGAGATGTTTTGTCCATCATCAACTCAGAGTCAGAAAATACTGGTGGTCTGGCCTGGTTTTAATTATTACAGGTAACAGCTGATCAAGAGGACTGTCTGCTTTGCAGCTTCATTGCCTAGCTGGTTAATGATCTGCAGTGACAGGAGAGGAAGGAGGCTACAGTAAGAATTAACTGAGATTAGAGACTGCTGTTCTTCTTCTGTTTTGTCTCGTTAATGTTAATCTAGGACTCCTGTGTCTGAAGTAAAGCTATGGGAGTGACCTTTACAGGAATGTTTTATGACTCCTCTCCCCCACCTCCCCGAGACTTCATTGAGTTATCTGGTCATGAGGTCATGAAGTCCCATCCATCCTCACCTGACATGAGCATAAAAAAGTGAAAATACTCACTTGTCTCTGACATAGATCTGGTTCTATTTGGCATATGCTGTGCCAAATAAACCAGTCTTCTATTACTGGTGACCGCTTTTAGATTTCAGAATTTACCTCTGTGTTACACTGGCCTTTGAGAGGCTAGTTTAGCCATAAGAAGTTATAGACTTAGCAGTTCTAAGAATTTCTAATAAAGCTTATCACTTTGTTGTTTATTTACTATGAGTAACACACACACATACATACACATACATAAAAAACAGTTATTTCATTATTATCCTATTACTAATTGATGATACATCTACTATTTGAACCATAAGTGTTTCAGTTAGTAAACTCTTTAGTCTCTAGAAAATGAAAGCAGAGACCCCCAAGAAAATGGAAAGAATGCAGATTTTAAAAGCTTTGTCTTTTTCATAGTTTTACTTAAGGCCAACCTTTATTGCTTCAAAGGTTTCTCTCCCAGTGTCGGATATTTTGGTAAAGATACTGATGTTATATATAGCCTCAAATCCTCATACTGGCTCAGTGTGAAAAATTGAAGGCTTTTTTGGCGAAACTCACCTTCCAATGTAGAAAATATTAGGGGAGTGCTTATTTTTTTTTAATCTTGATAGGCACATACATAACAATCAAAGAAATACCTCACCCGGGCCATGAAAGGGGTAGCAGAGATCAGCTAAAGGCGTCATCTTGGAAGGGTCCAATCCAGTTCCTCCCAGCAGCTCCACAAAGTCTCCTATTCCCTCGCAACCTGCTGAGGATTTCTAAGGGAATAAAGCAGCAGAGAAAGACACATTTAAACCAATTACAGAAGTCAAACCATTTGACCAACAGCGGGTCCATGAATTCACTCAATCAGCCCTCAACATCCTGGCAATACCATTTAATTTAACATCTGGGACTCTGGAAATTAAAAGACATTTAAAAGAGAAAAAATCATAAAAATTGCTTTTCTAAATCAGTTGAGTAATCATTTTTTTTAGAAATGTGTGTACATGTTTTTTTCATTTTTTTTAAGCTCAAGGACTGGAATGATAAAATGGAAATCTGTAAACTCCATATAAGATGTGTGGAAATTCAACCAAAAAATGCTTTACTTTTCAAATCATTTGGACATACATACTGAATCACTCCAATTTCTTAATGCATGCAGTCACAGCTAAGCGAAGTCAAATACCTACATTTTATAAATAGGGCTTTCACATCCGTTTTTCCTTCACCTCATCTCTTTTCTTCTTCTTTGTAAAGGAAATTTGTGTGCTATTGGAACACCTCATTTCTAACAATAAGAATTTTGATTAATTATGAGTATGTTAAAGAAATAATAAAACCCTGATTTGGGGCCCAAGTTAGCTACAGTTACCATGATCTTTCTCCTTTCAACTAAAACAAATTTATTTCAAGCTACTCAAAAGAATTCATTCTAAAGCTTTGTGTGGTCCACCATGATCACCTTTTCCTGCTTCCCCCTTTTTTTTTTTTTTCAATTTTGTAGAGATGGGTCCTTGATATGTTGCCCAGGCCGGTCTTGAACTCCTAACCTCAAGGGATCCTCCTGCCTCGGACTCCCAAAATGCTGGGATTACAGGTGTGAGCCACCTCACCCAGCCTTTTCATTTTTTCCACACTGTCTTGTCCATAGCAATCCCCGTGCCTCACTTTCCAACACAAACAAAGCAACCACTCTTAGTCCCAAAAGTACTCTGAGCCCCCATCTCCCCAGGGCAGTCTCACAAGTATGCCACCTGTGCAGCCACAAAAAGCCAGTGCCTAGAAGGGCTCTATGCTTGGTTTAATGTTCTGCTGCATTTTCATAAAATTGTAATAAGGGCTCCCACATTTTCATTTGTACTGGTCCCCACAATTTTGCCTGTGATCCTCTTTTTCATTGAAGTGTGCTCATTAAGAGATCTAGTAGAATGTGACAAGGTGCTCAGTACTTCACTAGATAGACCTTAACACATAGGAACCAAAATCTAAAATAGAGAACTTAATACACACACACACCCACACACACACATAAGCACACACATTCAGGCATTTAGAAGGGCACTGACCAGCATGGTGGCTCACGCCTGTAATTCCAGCACTTTGGGAGGCCAAGGCAGGTGGATCATTTGAGGTCAGGAGTTCGAGACCAGCCTGGCCAACACGGTGAAACCCCGTCTCCACTAAAAATACAAAAATTAGCCAAGCGCGGTGGCACACACCTGTAGTCCCAGCTACTCGGGAAGCTGAGGTGGGAGAATCACTTGAACCTGGGAGGCAGAGGTTGCAGTGAGCCAAGATCACGTCACTGCACTCCAGCCTGGGCGACAGAGTGAGACTCTGTCTCCGAAAAAACAAAACAAAACAAAACAAACAAAAAAACACAGAAGAGCATTGGAATACAACTGGAACTAAACAGCAAATTGGAAAATAACATAATGGCAACTGCTTCACTAATGAGCAGGGGCAGGTGGGGATACATATTTTTAAAGGGCCTACCTACTATGTACTGGGTTTGATGCTTAGAGGCTTTATACATAATTGCATCAAATGATGAAAGAGGTTTAATTAGCCCCACTGTATACAGGGCTTCATGTTCTTGTATTGAGAGTGGAATAAGCAATTTAGCAGTAAAGGAAAAAAACTTTAATTGCCTTTCCCTTGAGTAGAGGATGTCCAGGAGGAACATCTCTTACAACTAAATTTTCCACTTAGTTTTATAGGTTCCAAAATTCAGCAGGTGCTGTTGCAGGCAAAAAGGCAGACTCAGGAGAGAGAAGTAGGAAATAAAGAAGCTAGGAAGAAATAGAAACTAAAGTGAGGGGAACAAAACAAAGAAACAAGAAAGTTAAGTGCACTTATTCCTTGCTGTTCAATGATTTTTCTCCCTTCTTTGCAAACCTCTCAGCTTTTCTTACAATGGCAGAAACTGAGTTATGCAGGGACCTCTCAAGTTCAGTTTCTCAACAGGGATTCCCTAAATTTCTTTGTTCAGGTTCTAAGCCACTACTATCTTTTGCCTAGCCCACAATAATGTACCAAAAAAGTACTTGGCCAGGAGCAGTGGCTCATGTTTGTAATCCCAGCACTTTGGGAGGCCGAGGCGGGCAGATCACAAGGTCAGGAGTTTGAGACCAGCCTGGCCAATATGGTGAAACCCTGTCTCTACTAAAAATACAAAAAAAAATTAGCCAGGTGTGGTGGCTCATGCTTGTAATCCCAGCTACTCAGGAGACTGAGGCAGGAGAATTGCTTGAACCTCGGAGGCAGAGGTTGCAGTGAGCCGAGACTGCATGTCTGCACTCCAGCCTGGGCGACAGAGCGAGACTCCATCTCAAAAAAAAAACAAAAAACAAAAAACAATAAAAAGTACTTACATTCCTTGTACCAAATGTAAGATCCTCACACCAACTCAATGTGCAAAATTGAAGGTTTTTTGGTTTTGGTTTTATTTTGGTGGAACTCATCTTCCAATACATAGAAATCTGGGAGGTTTAAGAAAATAATCTTGATAGATATGTTAATAATAACTAAAGAAACATCTCACCAGAGCCATAAAAAGGGTGGCATGGCCCTACAGCCCATTCATTGCATGGAAGCCACAGTGACGTTTTAGACAGCATACATCAGATCATGTTGCTTTCCTCCCTGAACTCTTTCAGTGGTTTACCACTGCACTTAAACTCCCTAATGTGGCCTGCAGGGCTCACCACACTCTGGCCCTGCCCATCTCCCTGAAGCTGTTTTATGCCAATCCTCCTCTTCTTTCCATGTCTGGAATCCAGCAAGCCCATTCCTGCCTCTGAGCCCCTGCACTGTTCCCTCTGCTCCCTGTTCTCACAGCTGCTGGTTCCTTCTGATCTATCACCCAGGTCTCACTTCTCAAAAGGTTTCTTTCCTGACCACTTTATCACAAGTAGCCCCGCGCCTCTCCATCCACCCCCATGCTCCCAGTCACTGTCTACCACACTACTCTGCTGCATTTTCTGTATAGCACTTATCACCAACTGAAATACATGGCAATTTTGCCTGTCTCATCCCACTTGAATGCAGGGTCCCTGTGAGCAGGACCTGTCTTGTTTATTGCTAATTTCCAGCATCTACAATAGTGCCTTGCACATGGTAAGCATTCAAAAAATATTTTGTGAAGGAACAGATGCCTAGAACACTGTAGGCTCTAAATTGTTCGGGAGGAAACACCAAGATTACCCCCATAGCCCCAATAACTAAAGTGCAGATCTCCCAGTCTGTGCTCACACCTTTCATCTTCTATATTTTACATCAAAAATGACATACAAATAATATCAAGCCAGTAAAACTGTACCAAAGATACCCAAAAATGTCCTTATCAAAGGACTATTCTTCCACTAAGTTCCAACTTAAAAAAAGCAGGCACTAGTCCATGAATTTAGGGCTTAAAGGAAATTGGATATACTCCTTTTCTCAGTCCTAGTTCTATTTATTTGGTTTTCACTAAAATCTGTCTGATTAGGAATTATGACTGCCTTTGATAGCAGCAAATACATGAGTTATCTTAACCTAGTCATGTGAGAAAGTAGAAGGAAATGAGGATGACTCAGAGGGAAAATGCTACCAGTGCAAGAAAATGCGGTCAAACTCAGCATGAATTTTAAGGTCCATACAGAAGTTTATTCAAAAACAAGTTGATAGGGGTTCTTGGCTAATATTTTTTAGGCAAAATGTATTGAGTTAAATGTCATGCCAAATACTTTTCAAAGCTTTACTGTATTTTGCAATCTAAAAATCCAATTTTGTATTTTATGCTACAGTTAGCACTCCTTCACAACGCAGTTCTGTCAATGAGATACTTCCTTCATGTCAAAAGAAAATTCCAATAATCAGAAAAACAGCTGTGTAGATGACTCACACTACGTTCTGCTAGGAGAGAATTTTTGTAAAAGAGGCAAGTACAAGAGAGTTCAATTGTAATTATATACCACAACTTTACCAATTGAAAACACTTCTTACATCACAGGGAAAGTATTCAAGTAGTCAGAAGGGGCACCTGAGTATGCAACTTGCCGCATAACTGAAATAGAAGAGGGGGTTAGTCAAAGCAGCTAGGGCAAACACATTTGAGATTTAAGAGTTCATCAGAGCAACGTACTACGCCAATTTGCTAGTGTCCAGGTTTTCCCTATATGATTGCTTCTGCTCTGATAAAGTTGTGGCCTTATCAAACGGTTAGGAAACAAGTAAGCAACTCACCTTTAACTGAAGACCATTTACGTGTCCCAGGGTAAGATCAGATATTTTGATCACCACAGGATAAATTATGGAGAAGCTGCAGTTTCGATGCTGGTGTGGAACTACCAGGGTAAACTTTCCATTTGGAGTCTGAGAAATGACATTGCAAGCTTTGTAGAAAAGAAAAAGAAATTCACGTTTCCTTTACTTGGTTTGCTAGGTTTTTATAGACATTTATTGTATCTTATTCTAGGGCTCCTGTTCATGATCTAGGGCCTTCTGCCCAGGAAGAGAGCATATATACCACAAAAGCAATTTGGAGACAGGAAGGATTTGGGGAACAAAAACCATCAGTGACACGTGGATATTGTCAGGAGGCCCTGGGCTGTGAGGGGGCTTCTAATGTTAATCTTAGGGGGTTACCTTGTTTATAACAATCACAAGACATAACACAGCACCCAAACAAATACTAGCTGGTAGTAGTTCTAGGAACACTTGAGTTAACTAGAGTCCAGCTTAAAGCTAGGAATCTGGAAAAATCGAGGCTTAATGGTGAGTCCAAAACTCAAACTCTGTCTATTTTTAAATAATAAAGTAAATAATTTTAAGTATTTTCTTTTTCATTCTTACTTATTTTCTTTTTTAAAAAAACTTAATTTTTATTTTAAAACTGGGGGCCTAGGATGCAGCTCGGCAGCTTCACCATGGCCCCAGGCTTATTTTAAGTATTTTTCTTTTCTTTTTTTTTTTCTGAGATGGAATCTTGCTCTGTCACCCTGGCTAGAATGCAGTGGCACCATCTCAGCTCACTGCAACCTCTGCCTCCCGGGTTCAAGTGATTCTCCTGCCTCAGCCTCCTGAGTAGCTGGGACTACAGACATGTGCCACAACATCTGGCTAATTTTTGTATTTTTAGTAGAGACAGGGTTTCACCACGTTGGCCAGGCTGGTCTCGACCTCCTGACCTCAAGGGATTCACCTGCCTCAGCCTCCCAAAGTGTAGGATTACAGGAGTGAGCCCCCATGCCAGGCCTATTTTAAGTATTTTTCTAATAGTGAGAAAATAGGCTGAGAAAAAAATGAAAGACAGCAGTATTAAGTCTGATAAATATTTGCTGCATGTTAAGTGATAAGTTAACTAAAAGGTGCATTTTTAATGTTTAATTTACTCCCAAGAACTTCTACAATTTTTTGTTTTATATCTCAAATCTAAATTTACAATACATTGGCCGGGAGTGGTGGCTCACGCCTGTAATCCCAGCACTTTGGGAGGCCGAGGCGGGTGGATCACGAGGTCAGGAGTTCATGACCAACCTGGCCAAGATGGTGAAACTCTGTCTCTACTAAAAACACAAAAATTAGCCAGGCATGGTGACGGGCGCCTGTAATCCCAGCTACTCGGGAGGCTGAGGCAGAGAATTGCTTGAACCCGAGAGGCAGAGGTTGCAGTGAGCCAAGATCGTGCCACTGCACTCCAGCATGGGTGACAGAGCAACACTCCGTCTCAAATAAATAAATTTACAATACATTAATTAGTCTAGATATGAAACTAGAAGCATCAGAATTTGTACTTTTTTTTCTGATTACTGGATGAATCAACATTGATCAGAACAGATCAGAAACACCTCTTGCCTCCTTTTCATATTTTTAATTATACTTACTTTCAAAAAGGACTGAAATTCCTTGATGGTTCTAGGAAGTTTCTTTTTTTAATAAACTTTTTTAAAAGTTTTAATACAGACAGGGTCTCACTTTGTGGGCCAGCCTGATCTTAAACTCCTGGGCTCAAGTGATCCTCCTCCTCGGCCTCCCAAAGTGCTAGGATTACAGGCATGAGCCACCACGCCTGGCCCAGGAGGTTTCTGATTTCTAACTAAACAAAATATAGGGGAAACTCTTTATTTTGTCTTCTAGAATTCTTCTGTTGCAGTCCTCAGGAACAGCCTTTTTGGGGGGCTTTTTCAAAAATTCTTTTGTTTTTTCAGAACTAGAAATCAAAAGATCAGTAGTGCATTATTCTTTGGCAGATAAAGGCCCCATCTTTCAGCCGCATGAAGTGTTACCATTAATTCTACTGTATGCAAAAATGAGTGATATGTGTTCCTTTTCTAATTTTTTAAACAGATTTTTCTCTTAATGGGGAAAAAACAATTAGCAGATGAGTAAATTCATTTTTTTTTTTTTTTGAGACAAGAGTCTCCCTTTGTCACCCCGGCTGGAGCGCAGTGGCGCGATCTCAGCTCACTGCAAGCTCCACCTCCCAGGTTCACGCCATTCTCTCCCAAGTAGCTGGGACTACAGGCGCCCACCACCACGCCCAGCTAATTTTTTGCATTTTTAGTAGAGATGGGGTTTCACTGTGTTAGCCAGGACGGTCTGGATCTCCTGACCTCGTGATCCGCCTGCCTTGGCCTCCCAAAGTGCTGGGATTACAGGCGTGAGCCACCGCGGAGTAAATATTTTTAGTAAGATAATATGCTTTAGACCTGGGCTGTTCAGTTGTGTAGCATAAGCTACGTGTGTGTCCATCATAAATGAATTGAATTAGAGTGGTGGGCTCAGAATCAGAAGGTAACATTGAGGTGCTATAATCCAACCCTCTGGTCAGGGCATGACATCGGTCTACCACATTCAGGCACAGGCTGAAAGACATGGAGACTTTCAAGCCTGTGCCTGAATATCTCTAAGACTGCAACTTTATATCTGATCACTCAAGCTTATCCTGGATTAGTGAAATGACTTGGAAGATTAAAGCTTATCACTAAATGCATTGTAGAACCTGAGAAGCTCAGAGCAAGACTTTGGAGAAAAGATAGAATTGTACTCTTCATAAATTAGTATACTACCTAACCTGGGAAATAAATTAAAAACTGTGATTTGATTTTCATAATAAAGAATAGAAACTATCCTTTAGGTCATTTCTAATTACAAAAAAATTTCCATTCAAATCATTCCTCAGTTCAAATTTCTTTAAGTCTGTGCAATGATACTACTTTCAAAAAGCGGGTCTATATCCGAAGTTCTGCCTTTTGACTGAGAACACTTACGAAAGAGGTTGGGGTCTGTCTTTATGGTTAATGTGAATCCATTTCCTGGTTCATGGACTCGGAAGAAGATCATGGCCACATTCTGGGAAGATCTGATGCTCCTCCTGCTAAGACCACTCTCACAGAAATCTATGTACCGCTCAGCTGAGGGGAGAGGATGATCCTGGGAACTGGGGAACTTCTCCCCCTTGAGAATCCAACCATCAAATACCTTTGAAAAAAATACAGACATAGATGCTATCATTTCCATCAACTCCTGAAGTCTGAAATGAGTTGAAAAGGGGGGGAAAGTCATCCAGCAATGGGCCTTCAGTCATAAGTGAGAATCGACAGTCCACACTCTGCCTGCTCGCCTTTTCATTTGTATATATTGGATGGTGAGGGTTGTTTGCAAGTAATAGTATTAATTAATTTTTTATAAGCCTTAAAGCTTCCAAAGTAAGTAAACTTCCTTATACTTTATCATTTCAACCACTTTGGTAAATAAAACAACGTACAATGTACATTTTTACCTTGGTCATATTTTCTACCTCTCACCTTCAGAAGAATTCCACAAAAGCATAATTTAGGTTTCGTGCAGCTTCTCTCTTTCCTCTAGTCATTGAAATGTGAACAAAATATCTTGAAAATAGATAGCAAAAGAAAAAACTGGAGCAGCAACTTTACCTGCTAATGACTATATACACCCATTTTTCTCATTTTTTAAAAATATCATCACATATTACTTTAAAATGTCAAGAACTGCTTCAACAGCCAGGCAATGATGGCTGGTATGCTACCTGGAACATTTTTCCTTCACTTGTTAAAGTTTGCAGTTGAACAAAGGGTCAGAGTCTATTGACTTGACCCTCAAAATCACCACAGGTCTCCAGTTTAACGAGTCCAATCTAGTCCACATTAGCAAAATTACCAACAACCCAGCTACAAATTATTTCTAACGCATGTGACAGGTTCCAAAATAATCCTACTTTGGAGATGTTAATCATGATTATTTTAATTGGACAGTAGAGCTCCATCAGCCATCCCATGCTGCCCTGTTATACTTATGGAGTCTGACGACTGGAATCGAGGAGGCAGTGAGCTTAGGGGTCTTGTCCTGCCCTCCCACCTATCTCAATCTAGATGCCCCCTCGGCAGCCAGTCCCCTACTGCTCCAAAATCGGGTCACCCGCGCACTGAAGACAGCCTCTGTGCTCTCGGAACGGCTCTGCCGAGCGTGGACCAGCAGGAGCGAGGCGGGCTCAGATGTGAGACGTGTGGGGCGGGCCTTCTAACCAAGACGGCCCGCTTGGTGGACCCCAGCACTCGAGCTTGTTGGGTTTTAATCATTTTTCCTCGGCCCTGGATTGCGTCAGAGTTCCGCGCTGCGAGTTCAAGTCTTTAGAAGTTCCTAGGGCCTCGAAAGCGCCCAGAAGGGAATTTAAACCATGGCAGCGTCCAGAGGCACCGGCCCCAGCCCCACTGGATGTGTGTGGGTCGAGGTCTTCGGGTAAGGGCGAGATTCTCGCCGTGTGGGGGTCCTCGAACGCGCCTCTCCGACTCGGGCACCAGCGAAGTGTCTAAGAAGTGCCACTGGCTACCTACGCTCAGCAGCCCCACGCTGGGTGCAGCGCCCCAGCCCTTTCCAACCCTCCCGTGCCGCCCTCCGGCTAGGTTGGCTGGCCGTGGGCGCCTCACCTTCAGGAAGTCGCCGCCCTGACAGTCGATGGAGACCTGGTCGTAGTGGATGGTAATGAACTCCTCGGGCTCGCTGATGAAGAAGGCTGCGCAGTGCAGCTGCGGCCGGTCGGCGGTGAAGGTGAACTGGCCCTGGAGGCTCAGCATGTCCAGGCACCCTGGGGGAGGAGGGCATGGGGCAATAAGTCCCGGGCTGCAGCCGCCGCAGCGCCGTCCTCGGGCGGCCGCTCTCCGCGCGCCCCATTCCCGGGCTCTGTAGTGCCCAGCGCCCCGACTTCCAGCCTAGGCTGCGCTGGGTTCCTGCGCCCCGGGCGCGCCACCCTCTCCCGCTCCTGGCGCGCCTCCGCGGACCGATCCTTAGCTAAGGGGACCGCGCCCCTGGCGGTTCCGGCCAGCCCCTTCCCCGAGATGTCCGCGAGCCCTCTGCCCCCCGCACAGAGTCCCACCTTCCCCGCGTCCCGGGCGCCCGCGAGCCGGGCAGCCTCGACTCACGCAGAGCGCGGCGGTACGGCTGCTCCCCAGCCAGCTCCCGCTTCAGGTTGGCGCTGAAGAGCAGGAAAGGATCGTAGTCCGCCGCTTCCCTCAGCTGGCAAGAAACATAGGTCAGTCCGGAAAAGTTCAAGGGCTGGGGATAAAAAAGGGGACCAGGAGCGGGGCACCCTCCCTGCCACTCAGCATAGCGAATAAAGAGAGAGGGGTAATGTTTTCCCGTGTCCGGAGAAGACGGGAAGGTCTTAGACCCTCTCCATCAGGCCAGGGTATCCCCAGCGGCCAGAGGAAGGCAGGCAGGCAGTCTGGGATGCTCAGAGGCAAGGAGGGAGAACAGGATAGGGGAAACCAGGGGCAAGACAGCATCCAGCAGAGAGGGAAGAAACAGCGAACCCCAAAAGGCTGCGAGCAGAGGCAGCCTGCCTGCCGCCTAGGGCTAACACGCAAGGAAGGTGAGATGGGTCAGTCCAGGGGTGGCTCACCTCTAGGTACCGGCTTTCCCCTCTTAGAGCCGTCAGGAAGATGAGAATGAAGTGACACTGAAGTTTGAAGTTGGGCGACATGCTGGCCTTGCCTCTGCAGCTGCTGTGCTCTGCTCCGGAGGTCCTGGGCTTTCCTTCCTACACCCTCGCGCAGACTGAGAGCTAGAAGCTGGTAGGGTCCCTTTGCTGGGTCTCTTTTATAGAGCAGTGGGGAGCGGAGGCTCTCTGCCCCTTAACTGATCGGAGCTCAGTAACCATGGGTTACCCTGTCTCATTGACAGAGTACGTGGCGATGACGAGGGTCCAGCTCTCAGCCACAAATTTTCAGCGTGGCCCAGCATTATTCACCAAGAATGATTTCAGTCACTACAACTTAGTGCACTAAAGTGTTGGAGAATGAGGCGGAGACAAAGAATAAGGGAGTGCATTTTGTTGACCTGCTAAATGCTACATTATACTTTTCTGTGGGCATTCAGGGAATTTTCCATTTTGCAAATCAAAGTGACAAAGTTACATACACGCATAAAATACCCAAACATATAGAGCCTATATTATGCAGCCTCATCACATAACCTTGGATGAAACCATGCTAGAAATTGTCAAAGAATTTAGTATTCATGGAATTTCTCATGTCTCTCAGTAAGAAACTTGAGGCATTTTCAGCTTTAAAGAGGTGGAACAGAAGCAGAAGTCTGATTTTGCAGAAGATTGCAGTAATGCAATTATAAGCTTTCTTCCTGCCCCTTACTCTTTGCTTTATCCTGGTCCAGTTTCTTATAGGCATTTCTTTCATGGAAAACTAACTCTGGTGTCAGGGGACTTCTGGATTTTAGCTGAGCTCTGTCACTTGACCTGGATGTTTACATGATGTACACACTCCTAGACCAGGTAGCTGTAGCCATGACCTTCGCATCCATCTGAACCACTGAGAGATGAGATTAAGTCATTCCATTTCGTGCCTTCAAATACCTGGATTACTTTAACACTCTGGTAGAAGGAACTGCCAGGAAGCTTTATTGTAACTGCTCACCAGCAAATTTGCAGGGCTAAAAAGATGACTTAGGGATCCGGAAATAAGTATAAGCTTATCTCTGCTTATCAGGAGAGAAGAGAATTTCTTCTTTGTGTCCAAAACTGTGGGAAACATGAGGATGCTCCACTATTGGCTTTCCTACCCCTTTCCAGTCTCTGCACCAAGCATTGTTATTACAATTATTACAAATAGACCATAATACAGAGTTATAAAGGAAGGAATGGCTATATTTTCAGTTTTAAAATACTCGAAATTAAACAGTAATTATCCTGGCAGTGTCAGAACTTGATTATTTTCATGTCAGGACAATTCTGAGCTCTGGAGAGGCGGCCTCTTTGTTGGTTTAATCAGGAGGCCTTCGTGCCACAGTCCAACTTTGTAAGCAGTCCTCAGACCACAGACAGTGAGAGGGAAAAGAGTACCTAAAGCTCATGGACACTGGCCACCATGTCCTTCTCATCCCAAGGGCTGTTTAGATGCCTGAATTTTGAAAAGGTTATAAAGAAACCTGGGAGGAATAAAAGAGGAGAAAAACAAACAACTTAACCCCAACTTGCTGGCCTCAAACATGCCAGGCCATCTTCAGCTCTATCTCCCACCCTTTTTGTGCCTAGAGGGAGCCTTAGGCCCACTCACCAGGCATGCCACAGGCCCTCTTCTCTTTCCCATTGATGTAGCCACAGCCCTTGGCCTGTTCCCAGAATTCAGTCCAGCACCCACCTTGGAGACCTCTGCCTTTACCTCTTAGGGGGTCTGGCACCTGATGTCACTCCAGCTCAATGTTGCTTTGTTAGCATCACCAAGGAGACATTCTTCTCCAGCCAGCCCCTTTACAAGCATATGCACATGTGCACATGTGCACACACACATGCACGCATGCACGTGCACAGACAACAGTGATGTTCCCACCCTGCTGTCATGATGCCCACTCCTCAGGAACCACACACAGCAAGAGCTGGGATGAATGAGCACTAACATAGTGACTGATTTTACAAACATCATAGCATAGCATCTGATTTTACTTAATCCACAAATTATAGTACAAGATGGACCTCATTCCCACCAAATTCTAGGTGGATAAATTAATGTGTAGTTTTCACCAGTTTGGTAAATATCTACTAAGCCAGTGGAAACTACCTTTTCTAAAAAAAAAAAAATTAATGGTAATTAAAAGATGGAAACTACAAGCTATCGAGAAAAACTAAGAAGATTAAATTGGAAGACAAGGAGAAGCCAGGTAGCCATTCTCTCTGAGAGAAAGTATTAAAAATAGGTGAGAGAAATGGAAGAGTAATTTGGATTAGGCCGAAGAAAAATTTTCTGGGCAATAAGTAGGCCTATGTGTGAAGACTAAGGATAAATTATTTTCATGGACTGCTTTGGTCATTCAAACAATTAGCTTAATATTTGAAAGTTGTTTGTTCAAGCAAACTGGATTTTTTTTTTAAATATGTTCTGGGAAAACTCAGAGTCCCCAAGTATGCTGATTGGAAATTACCTGTATGTTAACCTCCATTACTTTCAAATATTTCAGTTTTTCTCCATATTTTTCCAGATAGCTTCTCCAGTGTTGATGTTATACAGTCCCGGATAGGTGTTTTTTGGGTCTTCGACTATTGTTAGGCAGGGTTAATACTTTCTTTTTGTTAGGTAGGAATAAGACATTTTTTCTTTCACAAAGCCCCAGAGCAAATTGTCACCTATGTTAAGCCTGAAGGCCAGGGTGGCCACACAATAGCAGATCCATATTCAATCCATGGACATGGGGGCAGGTGCAGAATTTAAAATTGTGCCTAGACTGATGAGACACACACAGAGAACTTCTGACACTTCATGGCAGAGCCTCCACAGGCTGCACTTGGCTTTCACAGTCACATTATAGGCCATGTTTTCAGGGTGACCACAAAATCCCTATGCACGCAAGTTAGAAGTTGTAATATGACCTGTGATAATAAATTTTTTCTTTTATTTATCACGTCAACTTAGAACATCACTAATCCATGCTTTAGATGAACTTCCTTTTTCCTTTCCTGATTAATCGATTAGTTGAAATGTTAGAAAATAGAACATATCATTGCGTTCTTTAAGAAATAAAGACTACTGAATAAAACTCATTGTAGTTAGCCAACAACAACAACCACCAAATAGTTTTCCATTGCTTTCAAGATGATTTGTTTGAATGAATGTAGCTATTATTTTTATTTTATTGTGGTAAGAAGAGTTAAAACACGAGATCTACTCTCTTAAAAGATATTTAAGTGCACAACACAATATTATCAACTATAGGCACAACGTTGTACAACAGATCTCTGGAACTTATTCATCTTGCATAGCTGAAACTTTATACCCATTATTAGCGATTCCCCATTTTACCCTCCTCCCAATCCCTGCAACCATCATTCTACTGTCTTCTTCTACGAGTCTCACTATTTTAGATAGCTCATGTAAGTGTAATCGTACAGTATTTGCCCTTTTGTGGCTGGCATCTTTCACTTAGCATAATGTCCTCAAGTTTCATCCATGCTGTAGTATATGACAAGGATTTCCTCTTTTCTCAGACTGAGTAATATTCCATTGTATGTATATACCACATTTTCTTTATTCATTCGTCAACATTTAGGTTGTTTCCACATCTTAGCTATTGTGAATACTGGTGCAACGAACATAGGAATGCAGGTATGTCTTCAACATACTGATTTCAATTCTTTTGGAAAAATACGCAGAAGTGGGCTTGCTGAATCATATTACCATTCTATTTTTATAAAAACTTTTATTTTTTCATTATTTTTTTTTTGAGATGGAGTCTTGCTGTGTTGCCCAGGCTGGAGTGCAGTGGCATGATCTTGGCTCACTGCAAGCTCTGCCTCCTGGGTCCACGCCATTCTCCTGTCTCAGCCTCCCGAGTAGCTGGTACTACAGGCGCCTGCCACCACACCAGGCTAATTTTTTTGTATGTTTAGTAGAGACGGGGTTTCACCGTGTTAGCCAGGATGGTCTTGATCTCCTGACCTCGTGATCTGCCCACGTTGGCCTCCCAAAGTGCTGGGATTACAGGCGTGAGCCACTGTGCCTGGCCTAAAAACTTTTATTTTAACTTCAGGAGTACATGTGCAGGTTTGTCACATAGGTAAACATGTGTCATGGAGGTTTGTTGTACAGATCATTTCTTCACCCAGGTATTAAGCCTAGTACCCATCAGTTATTTTTCCTGATCCTCTCCCTCCTCCCACCCTCCAACTTCCAATAGGCCCCAGTATGTGTCATTTCCCTCTATGTGTCCATGTGTTTGTTCTCATCATTTAGCTCCCACTTATAACTGAGGACACACGGTATTTGATTTTCTGTTCCTCTTGTCAAGGGGAATGTTAACCTTCTCTCCTTTCATACAATACTCCTCTATTTTAATTTTTTGAGGAAAGTCCATAGTGTTTTCCATAATGGCTGTGCTAATTGCCATTCCCTCTAACAGTGGCCAGGGTTTCCTTTTTTCCCTGCCAGCACTTGTCATCTTGTATCTTTTTGATGATAGCCATCTGAACAGTTTCGAGGTGATGTCTCGTCGTGGATTTGATTTGCATTTTCTTGATCTTGGTGATATTGAGCATCTTTTCATATACTGGTTGGCCATTTGTATGTCTTCTTTGGAGAAATGTCTATTCAAGTCCTTAGCCCATTTTTAAAATGACTTAATAGGTTTTTTGCTGAGTTGTAGGAGTTTCTTATATATTTTGGATATTAACCACTTATCAGATACATGGTTGGTAAGTATTTTCTCCCATTATGTAGGTTACCTTTGCACCCTGTTGATCATTTCCTTTGCTGTGCAGAAGGCATTTATTTATTTATTTATTTATTTAGAGACAGAGTCTCACTCTGTTTCCCAGGCTGGAGTGCTGTGGCATAATCTCAGGACACTGCAACCTCTGCCTCCCAGATTCAAGCAATTCTCCTGCCTCAGCCTCCCCAGTAGCTGGGATTACAGGTGTGCACCACCACACCCAGCTAATTTTTGTATTTTTAGTAGAGACGGGGTGTCACCTTGTTGGCCATGATGGTTTCGAACTTCTGACCTCAAATGATCCACCTGCCTCGGCCTCCCAAACTGCTGGGATTACAGATGTGAGCCGCGGCTCCCAGCCTGCAGAAGAAGCTTTTTGGTTTGATGTAGTCCCACTAGCCTATTTTTGCTTTTGTTGCCTGTGCTTATGGTGTCATATCCATTAAATCATTGCCAAGACCAATGTCATGATGCTTTTTCCTGTTTTCTTCTAGGAGTTTTATAGTTTCAGGTCTTACACTTAAGTCTTTAATCCATTTTGAGTTGATTTTTGTGTAAGATTTAAGGTAAAGGTTCAATTTTATTATTTTGCACTTGGATATCCAGTTTTCCCAACACCATTTGTTGAACAGATTATCCTTTCCCCATTGTATATTCTTGGCACCCTTGCTGAAGATGAGTTGACCATATATGTGTGGATTTATTTCTGGCTCTCTGTTCTGCTCAATTGGTCTATATGTCTGTCTTTATGCCTGTACCATATTGTTTTAACTACTGTAGATTTGTGATATATTTTGAAATCAGGAAGTGTGGTGCCTCGTGCTTTGTTTCTTTCTCAAGAATGTTTTGGCTACTTGAGGTCTTTTAGGTTTCATACGAATTTTATAATTGTTTTTCTATTTCAGTAAAAAAAGGATTTAGCTATTTTTAATGCAACTGTTTTTAATAGATAAGATTTATTTTTCATGTGTGTTTGAGATCAGGAAGGAAGAAACGAAGCACATAGCCTTTGGGGAACTAGTATAAATCAGCTTTTGAATGAAATTCTAATGTGCCAGCTATTTTCAACCCAAATGATGATCAACAGTTGGTAAAAGTTCAGACTTTTCAGGGTTGCAAGTGACTGATAACAAACTTGAGCGTAAGCCAAAAGGGAAATTTTTTATCAGGACACGAAGACTTCTTCCAGAATACATGGGGGGGCCAGGACGTGGGGGATTAAAGGCAGGAGTGTGAATGCCACTCCCCAGTCTCTCTGTCTGCTAGCTGACTTTACTGACATCTGCAGTCCCTGTGCTGGTAAACAGGCCACCAACAATTCTAAGTTTTACATGTTACTGTTAGACAAATAAAAATAACATAAACTAATGTGCTTCACACAATTGTAGGACGAGGCCCAGAGGCCAGGGGGTAGGATGTTGTCATAACAGGACTGTTCTCAATGCAGCCATAGGGATAGAGAAGGGAGAAGCAGTTTTCAGAAGAAGGGATGCTGAATCCACAAAATGATAGGTTTCCGCAAAAGAGTTAAACAAAACAAAACAAAGGCCCACCTCGATTCAATGTCTTTGATTGTAAATTTTCTTACATGTGAAATGGTGATATATACTAAGAATTATTGTAGGGATCAAATATTATAATATATATAATACATAGAGAATGTATTTAAATGGTAGCTGTTATTGAATTATACCAACCATATTATATGTCTTTATCCCTAGGGTTTTACTCCTAATAATAATAGTTTTATATGAGTGCATGCATAGGATATGTTTTTCATATTATTATTAAATTAGAAGGAATGACTTCATATTAGAACATTAACAGACTTTAAAAGCCACAGTTAGAAAAAGAGGGAACTAAGTTAAAATATAATTACAGAACTGCATTTCAAAAGATTAGCTAGGAATGGGTCCCATTAAAGATTATGCACCATAATATAGTAGTTTAGCTGCATCAGAGAGAAGAGCTGAAATGTAGAGTGTAGTGAAATTGAGAAGATTGAAGAAAGGGGGAACTGGAAGTTATAAAGCAGAAACAGAAAATAAAATAATTAGGAACTGCCCAAAAGAAGTAGTATTTTGATCCCATATCAAGGATTGTTGAATGACATCATCTATTAAGGCCCAGGAACACTGGGAATAAGAAAGTGGTGATTTGGCGAGAAGGCTTTTGAAGAGTAATAATGGGAGGAAAGGGTGAGAGATTAAGTGATCTATCTACCCAGATTATCGCAGTGAATCAGAAACAAAATCCAGACTAAAGAGATCCCTGTGTCCAGCCAGGCAGTCAATCCTTCACAGACAATAGCCTTGGAAATTAACCAAATGACTAGACTAGCAGCAAAAAAATGAGATGGTGCAGCCTAAAGCGAGATGCCTGCAGATGGATAACTGTGAAGGAGATTGGGGATTGTTCTTGTTTGCACAATGGCCTTTGGAGTACCTCAATTCCTGAAGGGGTGGCCTGCCCCTCCACACCTGTGGGTATTTCTCGTCGGGTGGGATGAGAGACTGAGAAAAGAAATAAGACACAGAGACAAAGTATAGAGAAAGAACAGCGGGCCCAGGAGACCGGCACTTAACATACAGAGGACCAGCACCGGCACCGGTCTCTGGGTTTCCTCAGTATTTATTGATTACTATTTTCACTGTCTCAGCAAGAGGAATGCAGTAGGAAAGCAGGGTGATAGTGGGGAGAAGGTCAGCAAGAAAACATGTGAGCAAAGGAATCTGTGTCACAAATAAGTTCAAGGGAAGGTACTATGCCTGGATGTGCACATAGGCCAGGTTTATGCTTCTCTCCACCCAAACATCTCAGTGGAGTAAAGAGTTGCAGAGCAGCATTGCTGCCAACATGTCTCGCCTCCCGCCACAGGGCGGCTTTTCTCCTATCTCAGAATAGAACAAATGTACAATCAGGTTTTATACCGAGACATTCCATTCCCAGGGGCAGGCAGGAGACAGAGACCTTCCTCTTATCTCAACTGCAAGAGGCCTTCCTCTTTTGCTAATCCTCCTCAGCACAGACCCTTCATGGGTGTCGGGCTGGGGGACGGTCAGGTCTTTCCCATCCCTTGAGGCCATATCTCAGGCTATCACACGGGAAGAAACCTTGGACAATACCCGGCTTTCCAGGGCAGAGGTCCCTGCAGCTTTCCGCAGTGCATTGTGCCCCTGGTTTATGGAGAATGGCGATGACTTTTACCAAACATACTGCCTGTAAACATTTTGTTAACAAGGCACATCCTGCACAGCCCTAGATCCCTTAAACCTTGATTCCATACAACACATATTTTTGTGAGCTCAAGGTTGGGGCAAAGTTACAGATTAACAGCATCTCAGGGCAAAGCAATTGTTCAGAGTACAGGTCAAAATGGAGTTTCTTATGTCTTCCTTTTCTACATAGGCACAATAACTGTCTGATCTCTCTTTCTTTTCCCTACAACTCCCTTCAGCCTTACTCTAAAATATGCCATGACTAACATCTAGCCAGTAGATCATAATGAAATGCCATTTAACATCCCTCACTGCCTGCATCAAAGGGAAAAATACTGCCAGGTCCAGAACCGTTGGTGTGTCTGTCGTTAAATAGTGGTGACGCATGGGCACGTAACATCAGCCTCTTCCCTGACAGCAGAGAAATGAAGTGTAAAGAGCCTCATTCCTTAGTGCCTTAGAATAGATCTAAAAGAGAAAAGTCTGCCAGCTACGTGCAGTGACAGAAGAGGATCTAAATAAGGACAGCAGAAGAGAAAACTGCAAGCTAGCCGGTGTTTAGTTATCTGTGGTGCCTCCTAACCTCACCTTGGTGGGACTTGCCAGCAGCCAGCCTGCTCTTCCTCTCTGCCAGCCTACCCCTTCCTACCCACCCTCCTTCCTTCTTTGAACAAACTCTAAACAACAGATTTAGTTGTGTACTCAGTATTTTTTATATAGCTTGAAGAGCCTTTGTCATATTTTATTCTAACTTTTAATATGTCTGTTTTCCACCCTAAATGCAAATGCCTCTAAGTTCCACCATGCATCTCACCCATCTTCCTCCAGAGCACCAGGCATACATACACCTGGCACTCCTGGGAGGTGCCTAACAGAAAATTGAATAAAGGAGCTTTTATTTCCACCTAGTTACAAACTAGGGATTCGTCACCACTCAAATGCTGCTGACAGCATCCGAAGATGTGGCACCCACCAGGCAATGAGGGTTCAATGGTAAAACCTCAGGAAAAGGAGGAGGTGCTGAAAGGATTCCTGGGTGGCCTCTAAAAGCCCAAGCCAGCTCTGCAGTGTGGTAGCAGCACAAGGTGGGGAGCAAGCTGGAGGGATGGGGCCGGGATAGGGTGAGGCAAGTAGGGGACTCCCAGGGACACAAAAGTTAAGGGGATGCCAAAAAAAAAACTCAGTCATGATAAATAATATTATAACGCAATCTGTTATAAAACAAAAATTAATGCAAAAATCCGTGCTGAAAAAAATGTCAAAGTTTTAAATAAATACACTGTGTCAGTGACTTTTCCTTTTGCCTCGGGCCCCATTCTGGTTTCTGCATGTGTTGGCTAATAGAATGGAAACAAAAGGACCCTGGATTGGGTGTCCCAAGTCCTGGACCCCTGGCTGGGAGCATGGGGTCATTCTCATCTCTAAGGTGAAGGATGTGGGAGTAACTATCAGAATCACTGCAGGAGACAGATGGTGTCTCAAATTGGGTAATTTGAGGAGTTGAATAAAAGGACTGTTTACAAAGGTGTGGGCAATGTGCAGGAAAAATGCAAGGAAGCATGCAGTGTCCCAGGACCAAGAGCAGAGAGGAGCTGTCACTCTGCCTCCTGGGCACCGAATGGGTAGGAGGGCACAGACAGGAACAGGAGGGGCAAAGGAAGACATCCAGCCCTGGAGCTATCAGGCCTCTAAGGTCCTGCCGTGGTTTTAAAACTTGTCTGCAAATTCTTTGACACTCTTCTCACAAAAAGGTAGAGGCTAATTCTCTTTCCATATGACCTCTTAGGCTAAGTTAGAAAAAAAGCAAAATGCCTTCAGCCTGGAGTTTTCTCTCTCTCATGCAATATGTGCCTTTGGTACCCTGAGCCACCATGAAAGAAGTCCAGCTACCAGGAAGCCACTATGCTGGAGAGGTCACATGGAGAGACCACATACAGGGAGATGCCCTGGAGCCCTAGCTGTTTCGGTCCTCAAATGTTTGATCATCACAGTCTGGGTACCAGATGTGTGAGTAAAGAAGCCCTAGAGGTGACCCGGTTCCAGCCACCATCTGACTGCACCATCATGAGAGAACCCAAGACAGAACCCCCCCACTGTGGCACATGTATACATATGTAACAAACCTGCACGTTGTGCACATGTACCCTAAAACTTAAAGTATAATAATAAAAAAAAGAACCACCCCACTGAATACTTCACAATATCTAACCCATAGGAACCACGAGAGATAATAAATGACTGTTGTTTTAAGCCACTAAGTTTTGGAGTGATGCATTATTCAGGAATAGATAACTAATACAGGCCCTTTCCATTTCTAATTTTCTACATTCTCTGGGGCTCTGAACTAGGGAGTCCCCAAGTGCTCCAGCTGTATGACAACCTTTGTCTGTGAAACCCTTGAGCTGAATCACCATCTGTGAGGCATAGCCTTGGGCCCAGATGGCTATTTCTAAACTGAATCAACATCTGTAAAAACAAGCTGACTGGTGCCAAGCTCAACTTATGGGGGCATAGGAAGTGGATGAAGAGCTGATACTAAACACCCCAGTGTCTCAGCCCTGAGCCCAGCACACTCTCACCAGCTGGTGTTGGAATTATGTATGAAAGATCAATAAACCCTGCTCCTTTTTCAATGCTGACATTTTAACATTTCTAATCATTACTATTGTGCAAACAAACAAGTTTCCTCTAAGTCATTTAGGAGAAGACAGTCATTTAATATTAAAGAAATAGAGGTTTTTGCTTTTTTTTTTGGCCAATATAATAGCTATACTGGGCTAGGTATGGTGGCTCATGTCTGTAATCCCAGCACTTTCAGAGGCCGAGGCAGGTGGATCACCTGAGTTCAGGAGTTCAAGACCAGACTGGCCAACATGGTGAAACCCCGTCTCTACTAAAAATACAAAAATTAGCCAGGCATGGTGGCGGGCGCCTATAGTTCCAGCAACTCAGGAGGCTGAGGCAGAAGAATTGCTTGAACCCAGGAAGCGGTTGCAGTGAGCAAAGATCGCACCACTGCACTTCAGCCTAGGCAACAAAGCAAGACTCTGTCTACAAAATAATAATAATAAAATAATAATATTTATATGGTAGGTCCCATTCATGTTTTTAAATATCATGGTATAAAACTCACCAGAACACTGAATACTTTTAGAGTTAAAAAGTAAACATCCAGAACCAACTGAAAGTGCTCTCGATGGCCAAAAATGGAACAATTTGAGCAACAAAATAAAGTAATATTGGATTATAAACCAGTGAATAAAATAAATTTCTACAAATCCATACTAATATAAATGATTGAATAAATTAATAAATGGGGAGAAGAGACAAGTCTCCTGCCCAGAAGAATCCCAAATATTTTATCTGGATTCCCTGCCATCAAGGGGGGGGAGCATAACTCCCCGCTCCTTAAAAGTGCACTTCACATAGTGACTTCCCTCCAAAGAGGATAGCATGAGAAGGGGGAAGGGAGGGGTGGAGTGGGTGGGGAGTAACTCTACAGTGGAGAAGCCTGACAAACACTATCTCAATCCCAGTCAATATCAACAGTGATGAATCACATTGGTAGTATCCACCCTTGTGTACTACTCTGTTCTCACGCTGCTAATAAGTACATACCCAAGACTGGGTCATTTATAAAGAAAAAGAGGTTTAATGGACTCACAGTTTTACATGGCTGGGGAGGCCTCACAATCATGGCAGAAAGTGAAGGGGGAGCAAAGGCACCTCTTACATGGCGGCAGGCAAGAGAGCGTGTGTAGGGGAACCACCCTTTATAAAACCATCAGGTCTCATGAGACTTATTCACTATCACAAGAACAGCATGGGAAAAACTCACCCCATGATTCAATTACTTCCTGCCGGGTCCCTCCCAGGGCATGTGGGGATTATGGGGGTGACAATTCAAGATGAGATTTGGGTGGAGACACAGACAAACCATATCACTTTGACATTGTAAAAGGAAAACAAAAATCTTGGCGCCCCAATTCACTATGTCAAAACGAAAAAAATTAAGCTGAAAGTTGAGTCATGCAAGAAACTGTCTTTCCTTTTGTTCTTGCATGTACAGCCTGCAGAACGGTGAGCCAATTAAACCTCTTTTCTTTACAGATTACCCAGTCTCAGATATTTCTTTACAGCAATGCAAGAACTGTATTAGTCAGGGTTCTCCAGAGAACCCTGGAGAATGGACTAATACACACCCATAACCCAATCTGATCATGAGTAAAACAGACAAATTCCAACAGAGGGGCATCCTGACCAGTACTTCTCAAAATTGTCAAGATCATCAAAAACAAGAAAAGTCTGAGCAACTGTCCTAGTCAAGGGGAACCTAAGGAGACACGACCAGCAAATGTAATGGAGTATCTTAGATGGGATCCTGGACCAGAAAAAGAACATTTGGTAGAAACTAAAGAAATCTGAATAAACTATGGACTCTAGTTAATACTATTACATAGAGATTGGTTCATGAGGCTGGGCATGTTGGCTCACGCCTGTAATCCCAGCACTTTGGGAGGCCGTGGTGGGTGGATCACTTGAGGTCAGGAGTTCAAGATCAGCCTGGCCAACATGGTGAAACCCCTTCTCTACTAAAAATACAAAAATTAGCTAGGTGTGGTGGCAGATGCCTGTAATCCCAGCTACTCAGGAGGCTGAGGCAGGAGAATCACTTGAACCCAGAAGGTGGAGGTTGCACTTAGTTGAGATCGTGCCGCTGCACTCCAGCCTGGGTGACAAAGCAAGGTTCCATCTCAAAAAAAAGAAAAAAAAAAAAGAAAAAAATTGCCACTTAATTCCATTCACATTCACCTATAGTTATTCCCTGCATTTTCCTCAGCCTCCTTTGCTCCAGATCCCATCTCCACCAGGCTGCAAAACCTTCTCTGTTAGGTTCCTCCTAATTTTTACATCTGCTGATCACGTCCTTTGTTCCTTGACTTCTCTGCATTTTTTGACAGTTGCTTTTTTTCTCTTTTTGGAATTTATTCCTTTGGTTTTAGGTAAATTTGATTTTTTTTTTTTTTTTTTGAGATGGAGTCTTGCTCTGTTGCCAGGCTAGAGTGCAGTGGCATGATCTCGGCTCACTGCAACCTCCGCCTTCTGGGCTCAAGTGATTCTCCTGCCTCAGCCTCCCAAGTAGCTGGGACTACAGGCATATGCCACCATGCCCAGCTAATTCTTGTATTTTTAGTAGAGATGGGTTTCACCATGTTGGTCAGAATGGTCTCGATCTCTTGACCTCGTGATCCGCCCGCCTCAGCCTCCCAAAGTGCTGGCATTACAGGCGTGAGCCACCGCGCCTGGCCCAGTAAACCTGATTTTTTAAAGGAGTCAGACGTGCCAATTTTAAAAACATTGAAAAAATGAATTAGGCTGGGCGTGGCGGCTCGCACCTGTAATCCCAGCACTTTGGGAGGCCGAGGCAAGTGGATCACCTGAGGTCAGGAGTTCAAGACCGGCCTAGCCAACATTGTGTAACCTGGTCTCTACTAAAAATACAAAAATTAGCCGGGTGTGGTGGTGTGTGCCTGTAATCCCAGCTACTCAGGAGGCTGAGGCAGGAGAATTGCTTGAACTCAGGAGGCAGAGGTTGCAGTGAGCCAAGATCGCACCATTGCACTCCAACCTGGGCAACAAGAGCAAAACTCCATTAAAAAAAAAAAAAAGTTAAACACCAATTTTGTTTCATACTATTTCACCCTTTATATGATATATAAAAATTTGCAGCCCCAGGCCAGGCGCAGTGGCTCACGCCTGTAATCCCAGCACTTTGGGAGGCCGAGGCAGGCGGATCACGAGGTCAGGAGATTGAGACCATCCTGGCTAACACAGTGAAACCCCATCTCTACTAAAAGTACAAAAAATTAGCCAGGCGTGGTGGTGGGCGCCTGTAGTCCCAGCTACTCGGGAGGCTGAGGCAGGAGAATGGCATGAACCCGGGAGGCGGAGCTTGCAGTGAGCCGAGATCATGCCACTGCACTCCAGCCTGGGTGACAGAGCGAGATTCTGTATCTAAAAGAAAAAAAAAAAAAATTTGCAGCCCCAAACTTAATAGTTGATTTTATTTACATCTTAGACATTGGAAGAGCAGAGCAGTCAAAGAATAATAGTGCCAAGGTTTTTCCTTTCAAAATCTATTTTTCTCTAATCTGAAAATATGATCCTAAAGAAATATATCATTTGTAATTATCTGGGGTGGGGAGCTGTCATAATAGGTGGTCCTTAAAGTTACTGGCCATGTCATAGGGAGGCAGTGAGATATGAAGACAGGGATGCATATTTCAAAATTTCAGGTTTAGGTTTAGAATTTTTTTTGCATGATGAGCAAATAAAGGGATAGAGGCACATTCTATTAGTTTAAAAACATGGGGCCCTGGAACAACTTAATATCTACATGGGAAAAAAACATGATCTCTACTTCACACCATACATAAAAATTAATTTGAGATGGGTCACACACATAGACGTAAAAACTAAAACTATAAAATATGTAGAAGGAAACATAGGGGAATGCCTTTGCAATGTTGGGACAGGTAAAGATTTCCTAGGTTACAGAAAGCACTAACCATTAAAAAACTAATAAATTAAACTTCATTAACATTAAACATTTCTGTTCATCAGAAGACACTGTGGGGGCTCAGAAAGTGATGCCCCCAAGTGAAGGCTTCAGAAGCAGCCTCAAAAGCAAAGTTCCTCTGGCTCTCTCCTGCTTTCCTGTCTTTCACCTCTCATTCTTCTTCAAGACAAGCCACAGAAACTAGAATTTCTCTTCTGCAAAGTGGTTCATAAAAACCAGAACCCAAAAATCCCCAAAGCCAGCCATAAAACATAAAATACTACTCTAACCTTCCCCTGCCTTTTTGAGTAAGAACTGGACATAAAGAAATTCTCTTACCTACTTTGTTTGATTGTAGGTCATGCAACTACCTTTCCACAAAGGGTCCTGGCCCATACCCAGGAGGAAAGAGTGAAGCCAAGAAGAATCTGAATAGACAGGCATTGATTGAGTCCCCTGTCTATTCCCATTAGGTCATACCTTTTTGACCAATCTCATTTCTTTTTTTGTTTTTTTGTTTATTTTTTGTTTTTTGAGACAGAGTCTCATACTGTTGCCCAGGTTGGAGTGCAGTGGCGCGATCTCGGCTCACTGCAACCTCTGCCTGCTGGGTTCAAACTCTTGCCTCAGACTCTTGAGTAGCTGGAATTACAGGCATGCACCGCCGTGCATGACTAATTTTTGTATTTTTTGTAGAGACAGGGTTTCACCATGTTGGCCCAGCTGATCTTGAACTCTTGACCTCTATAAAGTTCTAGAAAAGAAAAAGGGAATGAAAGAGCAGCAGAAACATAATAGGGATGAAAAGAAGAAAGGGAGAAAATCACACAGAAAGGAAGAGGTCTTAGGTTGCCTCCTTTTTTTTTTTTTTTTTTGAGACAGGGTCTTGCATTGTTGCCCAGCCTGGAGTGCAGTTGCGCAATCATGGCTTACTGCAGCATCGACCTCCTGGGCTCAAGCAACCCTCCTGTCTCAGCCTCCTGAGTAGCTGGGACCACAGATGTGTGCCACCACATCCAGCTATTTTTTTTTATGGTAGAGACAAGGTCTCACTATGTTGTCCAGGCTGATCTTAAACTCCTGGGCTGAAGCAATCTGCTCACCTCAACCTGCCAAAGTGCTGGGATTATAGGCATGAGCCACTGTGCCTGGCCTACCAACATTTTGTGAATTGTAAAATATAAAATAGGTAGGGAAGAATATATAAAATGCACATCTAAAATTTAAATAAGAATAATAAAATGTATTATTATACTATCTATATTCCTATCACTCTAGTTCTTTAAAAAAAAAATCAAACATTACCAAGGTATTACCCCAGGTGCAACCCCTTCCTCCTCATTACATAGGGCAAGAGTATTCATTCCCCTGCTTTTTTTTTTCTTTTGGTTATATCACCTACATATGTGTCCTTAAGTGATATGTTGCTTAATTTTGCAATCTTGAGGGGCAAGCATAAATTTAGCCTTTATGAAGAAGCCATTTCCAATATCTTATCTGGAAGGGTCAGAGTCTGGCTGTTGGTGTCCTGGACCTGAGTGGAAAGGTCAGGGAGGGCTCTGCAGCCGGGATTTGCTGAGCATAAGATCACTTATTCTTTCTGTTTTGCGTATGACGATCAGACTTCCAACTGTGTCTAGTGTCCATAATACAGAGAATAAGCTTCCATACTCCTGTTGGGTGAAGGATGAGGGGCTCAAGGGCTGAGGAATGACGAAGGAGAGACCGTCTCTTGAGATCTCGCAGCTTCTCAGACAACCTTTCCCAGTGCTCCTTCTTTCAGTGCCCTTGCCTCTTCCCTCTTCCCATCTCCATCCCCAGTGGCAATCCTAGGCAGGATTCTGCAGCCTAAAGCAGCTTGGTTCATTTACCTACTGCAGCCTTGAGGTTAGGCTTTTGCGAGCCTACCAAACCAGTTTCCAAAATGTTTCCAGCTTCCAAAACATTCTTGCTGTTGTTTCCTTCATGGTTGTGTGTGTGTGTGTGTGTGTGTGTGTGTGTGTGTGTGTGTAGGAACTTTAATGGAGTTTTGGGAGAGAGTAAAATTGGATGCTGATTCAATCTGCCATCCTCACTTCACAAATATTTTTTTGATTGACTTTTTTCTCTATTACACCAAAAAATTGTATGTTCATGGTTTTAAAAAATTGTTTAAAATATAAATAAAAAAGAAAAACCATAAATCAGCCTTAATCCTACCATGTAGATATAACCATGGTTAACGTTTTGATATTTATCCTTTTAGATATGTACATAATTTTTCTTATAAAAATAAGCTTATAGTGCACATACTAATTTGCAATATGATTTCTCGTTTTTATTGTTATTTTTCAGAGATGCAATATGATTTCTTCATGTCACATATCACAAACATGTTTTTATATCATTAAATATACTTTTTCCACATCATTTAAATGGGCACACAGCATTTTACTCGCATACGATATTATTTTATTTTATCAATTCCCTATTAATAAACATTTCTATTATTTCTAATAGAATAATTTACTATTGTAATCAAACTGATATACAATTTAAAAGTCATTATTTTGGCCGGGCACGGTGGCTCACGCCTGTAATCCCAGTACTTGGGGACGCCGAGGTGGGCAGATCACCTGAGATCAGGAGTTCAAGACCATCCTGGCCAACATGGTGAAACCCCATCTCTACTAAAAATACAAAAATTAGCCCGGTGTGGTGGTGTGCACCTGTATTCCCAGCTACTTGGGAGGCTGAGGCAGGAAAATTGCTTGAACCCAGGACGTGGAGGTGGCAGTGAGCCGAGATCATGCCATTGCACTTCAGCCTGGGTGACAACTGGTGACAAGAGTGAAACTCCATCGCAAAAAAAAAAAAAAGTCATTATTTTGAGTCTTTAGACTTAAAGCTAAAGGCTTAAGCCAATTAATTCTCAAAGGTGATATCCTTTGAGTCTAGATTCAAGGATAAATCAACAGACCAGGGAGAAGGCAGTACCACATCTAGTATCAGAGGCACGTTAGATCAATTACTTTTCATAAAATTTTGAACACTGTGAATCAGATATGTTCCCCAATATTCACTCATTGCCTTCCTTTCCATTTAGAGAAGAGATGGAAAGAAAAGGAATAGAAACATGAGGCCAGACTGAGCAAAGTGGTTGCTTACTTTATGATGCTAAGATGGTGGATTTTAGACTGCATTTCATAGCACACTATTCCTGTCTGTGAAGACCTCTAGGTATTCTGAGATCGAGAAAGGTCAAATTAATCTCAATGATGTGTCAAATTAGTAATCATATTAATTCCATATTGTCACCTGCTCTTTGGCAGGTTTGATAAACCATGTGTTAAATCGATTATGCAAATAATTTTAGCTAAATTAAAACATCTGTTCCACACATCACCAGATTTCAAGGTGAAAGTCTTCCTGAAGGTGAGTTTTTAGTCCCACATTAAATATGACATGTATTTTGGCTACGTTGTGCATTGGTTTGCCAGCATCACAATCACCATTTGTGTCTTTCTTTTCTTATGCCAGACATTGAGATGCTACATTTTGGCAGCATTTGACAAAAAGCTAGTTTGTTTTTCATACATAATACATATTGACATAAACCGTAAAACTTGGAATGAAAAATATGGCATGACTATAAGAGATGTATCTTTTCACTTCATGAAAGGATGACTCATGGGGCCACAAAGGGCAAATAGGGTGGATGCGTTGGAAATCCCTCCAGGAGACCCCAACAAAATATATAGGCATTTGACAACTCCTAGAGCTTATTGTCTTAGTCTGTGTTGCTATAACAAAATACCACACACTGGGTAATTTATAAACAATAGAAATTTAAATTCTCACTGTTCTGAAGTCTGGGAAGTCCAAGATCAAGACACCAGCAGATTCAGTGTCAGGTGAGGGCTGCTCTCTGCTTCCATGATGGTTCCCATTGCTGCCTCCTCTGAAGGAGAGGAACACTGTGTCCTCACATGGTGGAAGAGACAAAAGAACAAGAGAATGCTCCCTTCCACCTTCTGCCCTTTTATAAGGGTGCTAATCCCATTTATGAGGGTGGAGCCTGCATGATTTAGTCACCTCCCAAGGGCCACACCTCTTAATACTGTTGCATTGGGGATTAGGCTTCAACATGAATTTTGGAGGGGACACTATTAGTCAAACCATAGCACTTGCCTACTCATTTCTCCTTTTCCATGAGATCACTTGGCCTTGAGTTTGTAACTATGTCTTCATTTTCTCTGCCGCCATCTTTCCTTAGTTGCATTTTCAATAGAGAAGAATGAAGTAATTCACAAACTTTAGTTTTGCATAAGAATCAACTGGGGAATGTGTTAAAAGTACAAGGATTATCGTTTAGAAGGATTATCTTAGTAGGGTGGAGCCCAGAAATCTGTGTTTTTTAAGCACTCATGGTCATTCTGATTTAGTGGTCTGTGGTCTGCATTGGGAGAAACACTTGGTAGAGGATGATTAAGAGCATGGACCTTGGAGTGTGACATCCCTGGATATGAATTCTTCCTCTGTCACTAATTCTTCTGTGGTCCTGGGCAAGTTATTTAGTATAAGTCTCAGTTTCCTAGCCTATATAATGGGATACTACAACATGGATGAAACTTGAAAACACTATGCTAAATGAAATAAGCCAGAAATACATGATTCCACTTATATGCAGTATCTGTAACAGGCAAATTCATAGAGACAAAGTAGACTAGTGGCTACCAGGTGGTTGGGGGAAGAAGGAATAGGAAGTTTTTGTTTAATGGGTACAAAGTTTTTGTTTGGGATGGTGAAAAAGTTCTGGAAATGGGTGGTGGTGATTGTCCCACAGCATTGTGAATATACTTAATACTGAATTGTACACTTAAAATTTTGGTAAAATTTTGTTATGTATATCTCACCACAATCAAATGAAAGGTGTGGCCATGAAGAAATGAGAATAAATTTTCAAGTTGTATTCTTAAAAAATAGGAACAATAATTCCTGTACCCTAAGGTTGTTGTGAATATTGAGTGAGATAGTATATGAAAAGTGTTTAC
Organism: Homo sapiens; assembly: GCF_000001405.40. NCBI lineage: Eukaryota > Metazoa > Chordata > Mammalia > Primates > Hominidae > Homo > Homo sapiens. The sequence goes on along the minus strand of NC_000005.10, from coordinate 76,933,594 downwards.
TTAGTACAGGGCCTGACATGTAACAAATGCTCCGGGGATGGTAGGTAGCTACCACCCAGTAACAGGCGACAGCTCCTTCTGGTATTCAGCAGCATATCACGGGCCGTTCTGAGCAGGTGAGTGGTTATGTCGACCAGGTCAGAGACTGCTCAGCTCTCTAGGGAACATTCACACTGTTTGAGGTGATTCCTCCACCCGCTGGGTCCCAATTCTAGAAATCCTCTCGAAGAGGCCGTCTCACTCCACAGGATTCTTCCCTGTTCCACTGTACTGACAGAGGAGACACCACTGGAACAACGTTTTTCTTTCCATGCTATCCCTTGAGGGAGGCGAGAACTCCACCCAGCAACACAGTAGAGAACAGGAGATGGGAAGCCTCATCCGGGCACTCCGCCTGGCTTCTCTGAAGCTCTCAATCCCCCACCACCTGACACCCCTTCCTCTTTCTCTCTCCTTTGAATCATCTCAATTTTATCCCAAACTTGGAATACTGTGGACTCTAAAACTTTATCCTTAAACATCCTTTTGAGAATAACTCCCACAGTTGCAAATAGCGAGAATTGAGATTATGACAGTAAGTTAAATTTAATTACAAAAGTACCTCTTTGTTTTCCCTTGGATTTATTTTAGCATTGATGAAGCAAATATAATTTTCATTTTAATGAGTTTCAGCTCCCACTGGTACTAAGCCGCTTTGTTTAGGTGTTAAATATTACAGAGTCATTAAAGGCTTTTCTTACACTTTTTTAATCTTTCTTCCCAAATCCCATCAGAAAAAAATGTCTAGCTTTATTTTGTTTTTATTTTTAAAGCGTTGATGAAAAAATAAATGAATTTTCTTTGTAAAAGGTAATGACTAAGTCATTCATCTGTGGATGGGAAGGGGTCGGCCACACAGTGGGAGACATCTCCCTAACTGGAGTTTCAAAAATGGTCTTCACAGCCAGGCACGGTGGATCACACCTGTAATCCCAGCACTTTGGGAGGCCAAGGCGGGCGGATCACTTGAGGCCAAGAGTTCGAGACCAGCCTGGCCAACATGATGAAACCCCATCTCTGCTAGAAAAACAAAAATAAGCTGGGCGTGGTAACGGGTGCCTGTAATCCTTGCTACTTGGGAGGCTGAGGCAGGAGAATTGCTTGAACCTGGGAGGCTGAGATTGCAGTGAGCTGAGATCACACCACCGCACTCCAGCCTGGGCAACAGAGTGAGAGACCCTGTCTCAAAAAGAAAAAAAGTCTTCACTTCGGTCTCATCGTGAGAAGGGCATAAAAATCTTGTGCTGTTGAAAGCCTAGGAGAAAGCTCTGCAAAATGCTTATTTTCCAACTTAACCAAATTATATTACTTAGGTTGTGCCTATAAGACATCAAAATAACTTGTCAGTCCTGCGCAAAAACCAGACAAACAACAGCAACAAATCTCCTATCTTTTCACTGGGGAGAAAAAAAAGAATTTAAATGCTTGAGTTTACAACCTATGATTTTGAAAGATGCAGACACAACACAAGTGACCTTTGAAAATAACTGACATCTTATGAAAAGATATATTGGGAAGTTTTTGTTATAAATTATATATATAAATAATAATCCATGTTAGAAAAATCCGCACTAGTGGTCAATGAAAAAAGATAAAATAACATAATTTTACCATCCAGAGATAACTACCATTATGGATATTACCCCTACTATGTTCCTCTGTCTCTCCTATGTGTGTGTGAATGTGTATATATGGACATCCTGGTGTCAAATTTTACACACTGAGACTTATGTGTGCACAAAAAAAAAGAAGAATAAAAAAAACCCAAATGTTCTTTCTTTCCTGTAAGTGATCTCATCTTGTTCTTAAGATTGCAGCTTACTTCTGGGTATTAGACTCCCACAGTCAGTGGCCTCCTAATGCAACCTTAATGTTCTCAGATTCGCTATCCATCTGGTCTTTTCTATAGCACTTCTCCATCCCCACCAAGGTTCAACCACGCTACGGGGCTGAAGGTAAGGACACCTCCTATTATGGACTGAATGTCTGTGCCCCTCCCCACTAATTCACAGGCTGGAGCCCTAATCCTCCATGTGATAGTGTTTGGAGATGGGACCTTTGGAAGGTAATTAGGTTTAGATGAGGTCATGAGTGTGGGGACCTCATGATGAGATTATTGTCCTCAAATAAGAAGAGAAAGAGGAGCCAGTCATGGTGGCTGGAGACTGTAATCCCAACACTTCGGGAGGCTGAAGTGGGTTGATTGCTTGAGCTCAGGAGTTCAAGACAAGCCTGGGCAACATAGTGAAACCCTGTCTCTACAAAAAAGTTTTTTAAAAAATTAGCCAGGTGTGGTGACACACCTCCATAAGTCCCAGCTACTCGGGAGGCTGAGGCGGAAGGGTCACCTGAGCCCAGGGAAGTGGAGGTAGCAGTGAGCTGTGATTGTGCCACTGCACTCCAACCCTCGACGACCGAGTGAGACCCTGTCTCAAAAAAGAAAAAAAAAAAGGAAGAAAGAAAAGGAAAAAGAGAGACTAGAGCTCTTTCTCCCTGCTCACCCACCTACAAGCCAGCAAGAATACCTGTTCCATACCCCACTGCCCCCACTCCTTCAGGCAAAAAAGCTGTTAACTTTGCCGACCCCATTCTAGCTCTCATAGGCTGCTCTCGAATTGATTTAGGTGTCCATTTCCACAAAACCTCTGCCAAGCTGGAGTTTTAAAATATCTCCTCCAATGGACTCCTACACAATTTCCCAGATGGGTAATATTCCAGGAAATCATAGGGCCTCAAACACTCTTCTTCTCCTTGGATACCCGCTTTACCCTACACTTCAGACATAATGGTCAATTCCTCAAAAACATCAGTGCTGAGTCAAGCCCAGTGATCAATAGAACAGAGCTCAGTGGTATTAAATAGAATTATGACCTAAAAGTAAAATTAAAGCAGCCCCAGCTGACAAGCTAACAGGGAATTTTCAGAGTCGAGTGATTGCATCTTTTCTAAGGTATCGAGCTGCAGAACTTCTTGCTGAGGATTGAATAGAAGGGTTTGGTCCAATCACCTACTGCCCTAAGCAACCAAACCTTAGGCTTTGTGGTCCTGAAACCCACACTGTGAGATGTGTGCCTCCTTACCATGGAAATTAAATAAGATTGGATTTTTATGTGCTTGAGACCTAAGTTCAGTCCTGGTTCTATTGTGTTCCTAGGGACCTTGGGTGTATCATTTCTGTGCACCTGTTTTTCTTTTTGGTACAATTTGGATGTGCAATCATCATGTTGCCAGACCTGCCCACGCCTGAGCATAAGCAGGGAGCTTGCTCAGTAGAGCGATCCCAGCTATTTCTCTGGAGATGCTGTCAGAGTCTGAGAATCTCTGTCTAACACGCATCACAGATAATTCTGTAGCACAGACGAATTTAGGAAACACTGAATTTGGAAATCCCTGGCTGTTTTCTAGCTTTCAGATTTCTTTGTTTTAAAGATTTAAAGATGAAAAACTACTCTTTGTGGGAATAGAAGATATCTTCACTGCAAACACCTCCCCATGTTGTAGGAAAATCAGACCAGCAGCTGCAACAGTAGAATTTTAGGATGCTGATGCACAAGAAGTTTTTATTAACATTCTCCTCTTCACATGAAGGTCTACAAATCTCTTGTGCACATGCCTGTCTGCTTTCCTTTTACCTGTTTCTGTTAGCTCCTATTAATTGAGCCTCTTTCCTTTTGTGGAAGTGGGTTGGGATCTCAGATCAATTGAACAATGTGTCCCTGCAGGTTGGGTTTTTGGTATGGTAAATAACACCCATCAACCAGCTATTGGTTATTTGGATACTGTTGGTGACCATTCCATCCAAACATTGCACCTGTTTTGCAATGTATAGTTTAGCCTGGTTCTACCATTCACTCTGATTCACAGGCTGCATATAATAACATTCAGCCTCTGCTTGGTTTCTGACACATTCAGGTTAACCATAATGACCCCAGCTTCCATCTCATGTCACCTCTTGGTGTACAGACCCAAAATACTGAGTTCTATTGGAATAACTGTAAAGCAAAGTGCAAGACCATAAGAGGATATTGTCATGCACTTATATTTGGCCAAATTTGTCTGGCACAATCAATTTGGAAACAATGCTTTTAATTCCCTTTTACTGCATGTATCAGGACAATTTTCTGTTAACTAATAGGATATTTCATTTTCCTGCATATATCTGAGAGACAAATTGTTCAATTGGTCCAGCAACTCTTTCCCTGAATTAGTAATGGAGTTCCCAGATGAAGTGGACATATACAAATCAAAGCCTCATTTGCAAACTTTTTTCAGAAAACAAAAAAGGTACAATATGCATCTACCTTCACCCTTCTCTCTGCCATGTAAAAATCCAGGCTGATTATATAACTCAAAGACCAAACCTCTTCCTATGTTTTTCCATGTGTTGGGTGCATTGTCCAGCGAGGAGCTGTAATTTTCTCTCTGCCACATCCATCATTAAGGTTGACTATTAGGTTTCTCCTACTGTGGCTCAGATTCTAATACTGAAGGTAACTCAAGAGACAGCCAAATAGCCAGGCACAGAGGCTCACGCCTATAATCCCAGCACTTTGGGAGGCCTAGGGTGGAGGAACACTTGAGAGCCCCGGAGTTCGAGACCAGCCTAGGCAACATAGTGAGACCTTGTCTCTACGAAAAATGTTTAAAAATTAGCTGGGCATGGTGGCACACCTCTGCAGTCCCAGCTGCTCAGGAGGCTGAGGTGGGGGAATTGCTTGAGCCCAGGAGTTTGAGGCTGTAATGTGCCGTGATTGTGCGCTGCACTCCAGCTTGGGCGACAGAGTGAGACCCAATCTCTAAAACGAAAATAAAAACAAAAAGAGACAGCCAAATAGTCAACTTCTACCCCAGTAAGTGACACTGGGAATTTTCATAGGATTAAAGAGTCCCATCTGGATATGAAAAGACCTTCTGTTTTTTACTGAGCCTGAGCTGCTTCTGTCTTCAACTAATCTTCTGTCATTTTAAGGGAAGATGGAATCTGTGTGGCTTTGATATTTTGCTACTTTCTGTACCATAATGCAGAAAGAAAGCAGCAGCTTAAGTAGCTTCACCTTCCCAGCTCACCCCTGCTCCATACAAGCCTTTTTTATTATATAAAATATGCCATGAGGGACAAAGGCTTCTCACTCCCATCCTAAAGGTGCATTATCTAATTTTCAAAATGTCTGTGAAGCCACAAGCACAGTGGCACTTACAATTGATTCTACCAAGTAAAAGATTATTCAGGAAGCAAACAAATTATAAAATTTCAGACATCTTTTTGCAGCTTATATGTTCAGGTCCTCTGCGTTGGGGAGATTATTGATGGCCCTGTTATGGTCCTTGTTTCCCTTGCAAGTGGAGGACCAAAAAGCTGTAATTTATAAAGGTCTCCATTGTGTAAAAATGACAGTGAACTAGACCCTTTGTTTCAAAACAAAGGAGGCAGTACTGACTCGGGTGCTCCTAAAGGATACGTGAAATCCATATAGATGGTGAGGGCATGGGAAGTATTCTTGCCCATGTGTCTTTCAATACCTGTGTAATGCCAGCACATGCCCCACCCAAACCCCCACGTCCTCAGAGCAGAGTCTAGGCCTGTGGACAGGGAACAGCACACACACAGATGGGCTTAGAGTCAGCTGGGCTTCAGCTTGAACCTGGCTTTTCCATGTATTTGCTGCAGGATCCTGGGAAATTTGCTCAACCAGAGCCTTGGTTTCCTTATCTACGAAATGAGGATACTAACCTTTCCCTGTAGGCTTGTTGAGAAGTTTCCATGTCATAACATGGGTAAAACATGGGAATGAGGCTGGACCTAAATGAATGTTAGTCTTCACCTTCCTAACTCTCCTCTTTCTACAACTGTTGTTCATAAGCTGAAATTTAATTCCTTATTTCTTCTTTCATCAAAATGCCCTTTGAGTTTTCTTTTAAAATTTCCTGACAGCTTTCCTCAGGGGCCTAAGCCACTATTGGAAGGGTCTTTAACTTCTCCCAGCCATTGAGGTGACTGATTTTTGCAACCCAGACCGGTTGTGGCTGAGTAGTGGTGGAAGCCTAATCAGTTACCAGGAAGGGATTTAAATGCCAAGAAAATGGGTCAGCTTGATATTTTGAGACTTGGAACATCTGAATGGAGGTGAGAAAGATGAAGGACCAGCTATGTGAGGATCTGGGGCAGAGGGAGAGCACAACTTGGCATCTTCCACTGACACCTGGAACCTCAAAAAGGGGCCAGTGGACTGGAGCTTGGGGGAACATGGTATGAGTTGAAGGTGGAGAGGTAGGGCCAGATGCTGAGGGCATCAAAGCATAGGTCAGTGTGAGGCAATTGGGCTTTAGAATCCCTCTCCCCCAGAGCACAGAAAGGACCTGAGGTATTCAAACCTGACTTGTTTTAGGGCCTCCCTGAACAACAATTATTTCCACGCTTCACTTTTTGTGGGTCAGTGTCTTTGCTTTGAGTTTTGATGTCTTATGTTACTACTATTAGCGTAAGAAGGAAGTAGCAGGAACATCTTACAATCATGCACAGGCGAAAGAATCACAGACTGAATTGGGAATTGCCCTAACCATTGAATGTTAAAGACATTGTCTTAAGAGATAAAGAGTTCATAACAAAACATCCAGATGAAAAAGAAGGAAATTGAAGACAGGAAGCTGGGGGAGACAATACCTAATCCTTGTGTTTATACAGACGTTTCTAAGGCAATAAATCATGAATCAGATGGTTTGCAACTCTTCAGGGGGAATCTTTTCCTTTCTATTTTGCAAAGCTGATTCTACTGCCGCAAGCTGGAAACTGTCAATTCCTGAGAAGAGAATTTTAATCTGGGCTTCACGAGCCTGTTCTTTCTCCAGATCCCCTCTTTGCTTTCTCATCTTTCTGTTGTTCTAAAACCTGCTTGGTTCTTTTCCTGTCTTGGGCATTTAGCCTTTCTCTCAGGTCTGGGCCTTAAGCTTTATGCTTCGTTTTCTCTGGAGCTCCCTCCCCTGTTCCACAGCTCCTAACCAGGCTCTATAGGACTTTCTTGCAAATTTCACAGCAGATCCTGAGGAGCAGCCAGTCCAGGGAGGGCTCTGTTTTAGCCCCACCCACTTCCACAGCCCTCCCAGCTCCCACACTGAACTGCCACTTTCATCTTTTTTTTCCTCAAAGCCCATTACCTGAATGTTGTGGAAAACTGAACTTGTTTTTGTATTTCCTTATTGGTGAAACAAACATAAAAGTACATCTTCCTGGAGTATTATCAGCTCCATTTGGCAGGTAGGACTACAGCATCACACTGCCCCAACCCTCACGGCTACTAATCACCAACTCTAAGTTCATCACTCACCAGATTGGACAATTCTATCGCCTTAATATCTGCAGTTAGGCCAGAGTATACTCCTGGGTGAATTCTAATCATCATTCCTCAGAAAAAAAAACAAGCTTCTCCACTATCCTGTATCTAAACCATCCTCTGCTCTGCCCAGTAATTTTACCTCCCAGCTGTCCTTTGTAGCCCAGATGCCACAATGACACACACTGAATGACTTGTTTACCAACCTTTGAAACTATGTGCCCTTATATTTTTATGTATCTTTGTTTTATTTTGTTTCTTAAGATGGAGTCTCACTCTGTCACCCAGGCTGGAATGCATTGACACAATCTTGGCTCACTGCCACCTGCACCTCCTGGGTTCAAGCAATTCTCCTGCCTCAGCCTCCTGAGTAGGTGGGACTACAGGTGCACGCCACCACACCCTGCTAAAATTTGTATTTTTAGTAGAGATGGGGTTTCACCATGTTAGCCAGGGTAGTCCTAAACTCCTCACCTCAAGTGATCCGCCCCCCTCAGCCTCTTAAAGTGTTGGGATCACAGGCATGAGCCACCACGCCTGGCTTTACATACGTTTATATTAAGTGATTTCTTACTGTCAGCCACTAAGTTCTTCCTATAGCAAGCAGCATAGATTATCTAAAGAAGTTACTCAAGCGAAAATCTGTAACTTTAAAAAAAAAAAGTGCTTGTGGGAATTGAGAGCGTTAGAACAAATCATGCAATTGCAACAGAAATGAGAGTCTATAGACTCAGGAGGACAGAGAGATAAGAGCCAGGCAGGTGAACCCTGTTTCTCCTGGAGTAGAGGACTGAGTGTGAGACCTACTCTGTTTCCAGGAGGAAGTTTCCCATCCTCTTCACAAGGCGAAGCCCCGGTTATGGTTACTGCAGTGGTAGTGAGCCTATGAAATGGTCCCCAAGCATCCCTGCCTCTTGGCGTTCACACCCCCGCATACTCCCCTCCCATAGAGTGCTAGGTTAGTGTGTACGACCAATAGAACGTGTTAGAAGTGATGGCATGTCACTTCTGAGATTAGGCTATTAAAAAAACACTGTGACTTCTCTCTCCCTTCCTCTCTCTCTCTCTATCTAGCCACTCATCTTTGGGGACCCTCATATCATAAGCAGTCCTAGGGATCGGACCTTGTGGCAAGAAACTGAAGCATTCTGCCAACAACATGAGTAAGCTTGGAAGTGGTTCCTCTGGCCAATAGCTCGACAACCCAACAGCAACCTTGTAAGAGTCCCATGAGCCAGAACTCACCAGCCAAGCCACTCCTGCTTTCTGACTCTGAAAATATGTGAGATCATAAATGTATCTTTTTTTTTTTTTTGAGACAGAGTCTCGCTCTGTTGCCCAGGCTGGAGTGCCGTGGCGCCATCTTGGCTCACCGCAATCTCCACCTCCCGCGTTCAAGCGATTCTCCTACCTCAGCCTCCAGAGTGGTAGCTGGGATTACAGGTGCCTGCCACCATGCCCGGCTAATTTTTGTATTTTTAGTAGAGATGGGGTTTCACCATGTTGGCCAAGCTGGTCTCAAACTCCTGGGCTCAAGTGATCCGCCTGCCCTTGCCTCCCAAAGTGCTGACATTACAGGCTTGAGCCACCACACCCGGCCCATAAATGTATCTTTGTTAAGCTATTAAGTTTTAGGGTAATTTGTTATACAGAAGCAGGGAACTAATACTACTGCCCTTATTCCTCTAATCCAGACCTAACTTCTCCGGGGTCCTGAGGACCAGGGGTTCTCAAATTTTAAAGGGCATGCTAATCACAGGGAGAATCTTGTTAGAACGTGTAGGAGCCAAGGGAAAGCTCTTCTTCACCCTCTGAAGCTTTGCTGAAAGTGAACAGAGAATGAATAGGAAGATTAATAGGAGAAAAAGGCATATACATTTATTTAACACACATAAGCACAAGGGAATCCCAGGAGGATGATTACCTAAAAACCCAGTGAGGTCTAGATGCTTATATACTTTTCTTCACAGGGGAGGAAAGAGCAGGGAAATGTGGCAATTTATATAGTAAATGATTTTTAGGGGTAATGAATGGGCCCAATGTTCAGTTCATGGCTAGCAAATAATTCTCTTTGGGAATCAAACAGGACCAGAGAACAGTGTCTGGGCTCCAAGTGTGGTGTTTAATTATCATCTCTTCCTCTGAGATATGAGTTTTAATCTTTTCTGCTTAGCGATATTTTAGGGGAGAGGATCAAAGGCAATTGTGTTTCTCTTTGGTGGACCCAGTTTCTAGATAGATCAGGGATCTTCGGAGAACAGCCTCATCCTATGCTTTGGGAGACACAGAGAATTGGGGGGTGGGGAAGGAGGGCAGAGAGGCCTTGTGGCTGCTTCTCTAGTTCAGCATGTCAAAGTGCCATATTTTGGAGTGTCATTTCTTTGAGCCCCAACAAATCCAATTTTTAATTTGGTAATTATAGGGTAAGAGTTTCTGCATTTCCAACAAGCTTTCAGGTGCAGGCTATGCTAATGCTGCCGGTCCACAGACATTAATTAGCAAGTCTATAAAAACGGTTTGCCCATGATGGAGCTATGGTGGTGTTGTGGATTGGGCTGAATGAGGAAACCTCTCCCATCTCAAAGCAAAATCTGATTCTACACCCATGAGGGTGTAGTTGGAGGTGGAAGAGGAACCATCGTGGGTGGGAGGGTATCTTGCATTTGTCTTGGTATTGCCCTCCCACCCCTCTAGCCTGCCCTCCCCCATTGGGGTGGCATAGCACTGGGCCCACTATACTCTAAAAGTGGGCAACTAGGCATTAGATAGCTCCTAATGCAATACTGACTGCACAGCACCACCTGTGAAATACTCTTAACAGGAGTCCAACTTGACTCTAATCCAGGCTCTAGAGCTACCTTCACTGATGGAGATATAGGTGATAGAGGAAACAATTAAATAACATGGGAATAAATGGGCAAATCCAGAATATGAAGCTTTCCACAGGGCTACCTGGTTTCTACAACATAGGCATGGGGGGAAATTACAAAAGACTGCTGAGGATTGATATAGATTTAGGAGCCTTAAGAACCAAATGTAATCTGTGGGCCTTGTTTTGTTCCTGATTCAAACAAACCCAATGTAAAAAGAGATGTTTTGAGATAGTCATGGAAATTTCATTTTGAACTGCATATTAGATGATGTCACGGAATTATTAAATTATTAGGTGTGATATGGTATTGTGTTTTTTTAGAAGCCCATTTTTTTTTTTTTTACATAGGCATTGTAGGGGCAAAGGGAAAACTTCCCCTTTGTCTTCTGAAGGCTTGCTAAAACTCAGCTGACAAAAGGCAGATTATTGGGAAAAAAGGCATACAAATTTTATTAAGATGCATATATGTGCATGGGATTCATACAAAATGTGAATTCTAAGAGGGGCTAGATGGTTGCTTAAATACTCTCTTTGGCTAGGCATGGTGGCTCATGCCAGTAATCCCAGCACTTTGGGAGGCCGAGGCGGGCAGATCACGAGGTCAGGAGATCAAGACCATCCTGGCTGACACGGTGAAACCCCATCTCTACTAAAAATACAAAAAATTAGCCGGGCGTGGTAGCGGGTGCCTGTAGTCCCAGCTACTCGGGAGGCTGAGGCAGGAGAATGGCATGAACCCAGGAGGCGGAGCTTGCAGTCAGCCGATCGTGCCACTGCACTTCAGCTTGGGCAACGGAGCAAGACTCTATCTCAAAAACAAACAAACAAACAAACAACAACAAAAAAACTCTCTTTATGGGAAGAGATGTATGAACCTGGGAGGTGGGAGGGAGACATTATGGGAAGGTGATGGGCAGAACTGCACAGGAACAAAGGTCATCTTATTTTGCAGATTAAGTTTCCCAGGTAATCTCTTGAAGCTTCCTTCAGAAGAATAGAAGAAAAGTCTGTCTGGGCATGGTGATGACTTCCAACATCTTCTCTTCTCTGGTGAGTGATCTTTCCTGGTTATTTGCTGAGACCCCCTAGGGAGGGGATCCTAAGAAAAATTGCATTTCTTTTGGAAAAAAGCTTTCTTGGTTAGACAAGGAAATTCCAGAGAGAGTCTCTCCCTATGCTTGGGAGGGGGTGGAGACAAGACAAGGTTAGGGGAACCTTGATTCTGAGGCAGCTTCTAAGGCCTCTCAGCATGTCAAAGCACAGTCTTTGGGGTATCACTTTTGAGCCCTAACAGCATATCTGAACATGTAGGGATAAAATGAAATGGTACCTAGGATTTGCTTTCTTTTTTCTTTTTTTTTTTTTTTGAGACAGTCTCTCACTCTGTTGCCCAGGCTGGAGTGCGGTGGCATGATCTCAGCTCACTGCAACCTCTGCCTCCTGAGTTCAAACAATTCTCCCGCCTCAGCCTCCCAAGTAGCTGGGAATACAGGCGTGCACCGCCATGCCCAGCTAATTTTTTGTATTTTTAGTAGAGTTGGGGTTTCACCATGATGGCCAAGCTGGTTTCTAACTCCTGACCTCAAGTGATCCGCCCACCTCGACCTCCCAAAGTGCTAGGATTACAGGCGTTAGCCACTGCACCCGGCCTAGGATTCGCTTTCAAAGGAAAGAGATAGATGAAGCAAATATGACAGAAACTTGATAATTGTTGACTCTGGGTATTTATTGTAATCATTTCCTTTTAAAATCTTCAAGTAAAAGGACATCGTGGTTTTTGAATATCCAGTGTCATAATGCCATGTCTTACTTTTATTATCAGAAAATTATGAATACTTTTAAATAATCGTTAACTCTCACAAAGAAAGGAAGGAAAGAAGAATAGAAAATCGTGCCTAGTTCTATCTCTGTTACCTTCTGGGACTTTATTTCTTCATTTGTAAAATTAAGAGTCTGAATACCCATCCAAAGAGAAGGAACAAGAATTTTATTCAAGATTCAGATGTATTGACTTAAAAGCTCCCTTAGTATTATTAATAGAAAAATTAGAAATAATCTATATGCAATAGGGAATTGGAGTAAATATATTGTGATATATCAATGAAAATACTATTCAGACAAAAATAATAATACAGTTGTATATTTATTAAGCTGGAACTATATAGATAACAAAAGATATTTTTTGGTGTAATCTCATTTTTATGAACCATAGATATATAGATACATGGACCTAGGGAAAATTCGAATGAAGAAGTTAACAGTGATTATATCTGGGTAATGAGATTACATTTGATTATTTCCCCCTACAATAAACTTATATTACTTTTTTAATGAGAAATGGTAAAAGATTTTTCTTTTTTGTGGAAGTTGTGGATTTCAAGATAAAATCAGAGAATCTACTTCATACAGCTGTAGAGGCACATCACATTGGCTGAGGTTGCTGTAGACACTTCCTCACTGCTCCTTACCTAATTTATGAGCATGGGAAGGGCTCAAGCAGCTTTCTCCAAAGCCCCCAAGCCAAAGGCACTACTAAACACATTCAGTGCTATTCCAGGCAGACCCCGTCCTGAGAGCGATGATTTTCAAGGATGCTGCTTTCCACTTTATTTAGCCCTTGATTAGCATTCACGAACTTCCTGAAATCAAAGACCCACACAGTCACTTGAAATCCAGCCAATGGCTGTGTAGTATGTTTCCTGCTGATGATGGTAACATTTAAATTGGACACATTTACTATAAGTTTATCTACCACTCTGCTGTGACTATTTCTGCTCTGCATTGAGGAGAGTGAGGAGCGCTCCATTACAGTCAGATGTACAGCTTCTTGTGGAAGGTGGGCAGGCATGTTCTTTCTAAGTCAGGTAAATTCCGACGAAGCATTGTGTATACCATTATGCTATGCATGAAAGCCCAAGTGGGGAGAAGTCTTAGCAGTGGATTCAGCTAATGCCAATTGCAAGAAAATGTGCACTTCACAAAAAAGAGCCATAAATGGCCAGTAAACATATAAAAAAGTTACTCCAACACATTTCATGAATTTTAAATGGCAAATCACACCTGGTAAAGGACTTATCCAAAATATGCAAAGAACTTTTAAACTCAACAATAAGAAAACAAACCACCCAATTTAAAAAATGAAGGCTGAGCCGGGCGTGGTGGCTCATGCCTGTAATCCCAGCATTTTGGGAGGCCAAGGGAGCAGATAAACTGAGGTCAGGAGTTCGAGACCAGTCTGGCCAACATGGTGAAACCCCATCTCTACTAAAAATACAAAAATTAGCCAGGCATGGTGGTGGGCACCTGTAATCCCAGCTACTTGGGAAGCTGAGGCAGGGGGAACTGCTTGAACTCGGGAGGCGGAGGTTGCAGTGAGCCAAGATTGGACCACTGCACTCCAGCCTGGGCTACAGAGTGAGGCTCTGTCTCAAAAAAAAAAAAAAAAAAATGAAAGCTGGGCATGGTGGTTCACACCTGTAATCCCAGCACTGTGGGAAGCTGAGGCAGAAGGATCACTTGAGCCCAGGAGTTTAAGACCAGCCTGGGAAGGATGATGAGATCTCATCTCTACAAAAAAAGAATTTTAGCCAGTATGGTGGCATGCACTTGTAGTCCCAGCTACTCGGGAGGCTGAGGTGGGAGGATTGCTTGAACCCAGGAATTTGAGGCAGCAGTGAAATATGATCACTACCCTACAGCCTGGGTGACAAAATGAGACCTGCATCTCTTTAAAAAAAAAAAAAGGAAGAGAAAAAGAAAGAGAGGGAGAGAGAAAGAGAGAGAGAGAGAAAGGAAGGAAGGAAGGGAGGGAGGGAGGGAGGGAGGGAGGAAGGGAGAAGAAGAGAAGACCTGAACAGATACCTCACCAAAGAAGATACAAAGATGGCAAGTATATAAAAAGATCCTCCACAAAATATGTCATTAGGAAATTGCAAATTAAAACAATAGTGAGATACAGCTGCATACTTATTAGAATGGCCAAAATCCAAAACACTGATAACACCAAATGCTGCCATGGATGTGGAGCAACAGGGGCTCTCATTCATTGCTGGTGGCAATGCAAAATGGCACTGCCACTTTGGAAGACAATTTGGTGGTTTCTCACAAAACTGAACATGCTCTTACTATCCAATCCAGTAGTTGTGTCCCTTGATATTTACCTAAATGAGTTAAAAACTTATATCCACATAAAACCTGCACATGACTGTTTATAGCAACTTTATTCATAATTGGCAAACCTTGGAAGCAAGCAATATGTTCTTCAGTGGGTAATTAGATAAATGAACTGTGGAATATCCAGACAATGGAATATTCATCAGCTTTCAAAAAAATAAGCTATCAAGCCATGAAAAGCCACGAAGAAAACTTAAATGTGTATTAAGTGAGAGAAGGCAATCTGAAAAGGCTAGGTACCATATAACTCCAATTATATGACATTATGAAAAAGACAAAACAATGGAAAGAGTAAAGGGATTGGTGATTGCCAGGGACAAGTGGGAGGGAATGTTGAATAGATAGAGTACAGAGGATTTTTAGGGCAGTGAAGGTATTGTGTATCATACTGTAACAGTGGATACGTGTCACTATGCATTTGTCAAAACCCATAGAATGTACAACACTAAGAATGAAACCTAGTGTAAACTACAGACACTGGGTAATAATGATGTGTCAACGTAGGTTCTATTGTAACAAATATACCACTGTGGTGGGAGATGTTGATAATGGGGAAGTCGGTGCACATCTGGAGGCAGGTATAACATGGGAGCACTCTGTGTATCCACTAAACTTTACATGAACCTAAAACTACTCTAAAGTCTATTTTTTCAAAAGCAAATTAAAACCCTTATTCTACTGGGCACAGTAGCTCACTCCTGTAATCCCAGCACTTTGGGAGGCCAAGACGGGAGGACTGCTTGAGCTCAGGAGTTTGAGACCAGCATGAACAACATGGCAAAACCCTGTCTCTACAAATAATGCAAATGTTAGCCAGGCATAGTGGCACGCACCTGTAGTCTCAGCTACTCAGAAGGCTGAGGTGGGAGGATCACTTGAGCCCGGGAGGCAGAAGTTGCAGCGAGCTGAGATTGTACCACTGCACTCAAGCCTGGGTGACAGAGCCAGATTCTGTCTCAAAAACAAAGTAAAAACCCTATTCTAACGACAAAAAATAAAGTTGGATAATATCTAATGTTAGTAAATGTGTGGAAAAACAACACGTGCATAGAGGTATGGAGGTACAAATTGGTATAAGGTTTTTAGATAGAAAATTGACGTTATCAATCAAAATTTTAAATACGTATACCTTTGACCACAAGTCCAATTGTAGGAATTAACCTACAGATAGATACCCTAAAGACTACACAGATATATATTTAAAGATTGTCATTGTAGAACTATTTGTAAGAGCAAAAAGCAAGAAACCAACTAGACGTCCACCTACAGGAAACTGGCACTTTGACATAAAAATATTGGGCATTGAGGTTCAATACCAATTTTGACCTTGGTATTCAATTTCTGATTTTTTTTTTTTTTTTTGAGACAGTCTTGCTCGGTCACCCAGGCTGGAGTACAGTGGTGTTATCTCGGTTTACTGCAACCTCCACTTTCTGGGTTCAAGTGATTCTTGTGCCTCAGCCTCCCTTGTAGCTGGGATTACAGGCATGTGCCACTACATCCAGCTAATTTTTGTGTTTTCAATAGAGATGGGGTTTCGCCATGTTGGCCAGGCTGGTCTCGAACCCCTGGCCTCAAGTGATCCAACCACTTCCCAAAAGTGCTGGGATTAGAGGTGTGAACCACTGTGCCAGGCCAATTTCTGATTTTTGACCCAAGCTTTCCCTCTGGAAAACCATATAGCTGAATGGCTACTTCAGTCTCTTTTCTGACATTCTTAAACTTGTGTGTGATCATGAAACTGTGTAAGTACCACCTCACACCTAGGCAGCCTAGCAATGTCAGTAATACCAACAAGGCCTGTCATTCAGAATTATTGTGACTATCTATGAATAGTATATGGAAGCATGCTACAAAAAAGTCAAACTGGAAATCTCACATTTTATGTTTTGAAGCTCTATTAAATGATTGAAATATGTATGTTAATACATAATTATAAACTTATTTTGAAACAATTATAGATTCACATGTAGTTATGAGAAATACAGACTTGAGACCTTCCTTTTTTCTTCTTTTCATACAACTTTTTGAAATATCCTTTTTTTTTTTTTTTTTTTTTGAGACAGTCTCACTCTGTCACCTAGGCTGGAGGGCAGTGGTGCAATCTCAGCTCACTGCAACCTCCGCCTCCTGGGTTCAAGCCATTCTCCTGCCTCAGCCTCCCAAGTAGCTGGGACTGCAGTCACCTGCCACCATATCCAGCTCCTTTTTGTATTTTTAGTAGAGATGGGGTTTAACTATGTTGGCCAGGCTGGTCTCGAACTCCTAACCTCACATGATCCACCTGCCTTGGCCTCACAAAGTATTGGGATTAAAGATGTGAGCCACTGCTCCCAGCCTTGAAATATCCTCTTTTCTAATGCAGGGATTTCATGCTATAACTTTGCCTCTCAAGACTTCTTTAGCAGTATCTTACAAATTTTGATATATCGTCTTTACATTTTTATTTAGTTGAATGTGTTTTTAATTTTCCTTAAGACCCTCTTTTTGACCCAAGTATTATTTACAAGTGTGTTTAGTTTGCAAGTGTTTAAAAATTTTCATGTTATCTTTCTGTTATTGGTTTCTAGTTTGTTTCCACTGTAGTCAGAAAACACACTCTTAGGATTTCAATGGGTATTAATTTTTCAAGGTTTTTTTTTTTTTTTTTGGCCTAGGACATGGTCTGTCTTGGTATATGTACTGTGGGCACATGAAAATAATGTGTGGCCTGTTGTTGAGTGTTTCACAAAAGTCAGTTCAATCCTGTTAATTGATGGTCATGTTATTTCTTCTATGTCCTTGCTGATTTTCTGTCTAGCTTTTCTATCAATTGTTGAGAGAAGGATGTTGCAGTCTTCAATTGTAATTGTGGATTTGTCTGTTTCTCTTTTCAATACTATCAGTTTTTGCTTTACATATTTTGTAGTTCTGTTATTTGGTACATATATAATTAGGATTGCTATGCCTTTGTGGTAGATTTATACTTTTATTATTAGTAATGTACTTCACCATCTCTGGTAATTTTTTTTTTTTTTTTTTTGAGATGGAGTCTCACTCTGTCTCCCAGGCTGGAGTGCAGTGGCACAATCTCGGCTCACTGCAACCTCCACCTCCTGGGTTCAAGCGATTCTCCTGCCTCAGCCTCCCAGGTAGCTGGGATTACAAGTGTGTACCTCCACGCCCAGCTAATTTTTGTATTTTTAGTAGAGACGAGG
Source organism: Homo sapiens (assembly GCF_000001405.40). Classification (NCBI taxonomy): domain Eukaryota; kingdom Metazoa; phylum Chordata; class Mammalia; order Primates; family Hominidae; genus Homo; species Homo sapiens. Next base: position 76,915,985 of record NC_000005.10, on the reverse strand, counting down.
TTTCACCATGTTGGCCTGACTGGTCTTGATCCTAACCTCATGATCTGCCTGCCTTGGCCTCCGAAAGTGCTAGGGTTAGGTAATTTTGTTTGCTCTGAAGTCCACTTATCTAATGTTAACATAACATTTTAAATTAATGCTTGTGTAATTTTTTGTCCTTTTACTTTCAACATACGTTATTGTATTTGATGTGAGTTTCTTGTAGAGAACATATAATTAGGGCATGTTTTTAATCCATTATGCTAGTTACTGTATTTTAATTTTTATAGTTAAACCATTTACATTTAATGTAACTATTGATATGTTTGGGCTTAAGCCTACCACTTTATCTTTTTTATTTATTTATTTATTTTTATTTTTTATTTATTTATTTTCTTTGAGACGGAGTCTCGCTCTGTTGCCCAGGCTGGAGTGCAGTGGTGTGATCTCGGCTCATTGCAAGCTCCACCTCCCGGGTTCACGCCATTCTCCTGCCTTAGCCTCCGGAGTAGCCAGGACTACAGACGCTCACCCCCATGCCTGGCTAATTTTTTTTGTATTTTTTTTAGTGGAGAGGGGGTTTCACCATGTTGGCCAGGATGGTCTTGATCTCCTGACCTGGTGGTCTGCCCGCCTCGGCCTCCCAAAGTGCTGGGATTACAGGTGTGAGCCATCACGCCCAGCATTTTTTTTTTTTTTTTTGAGATGGAGTCTCACTCTGTCACCCAGGCTGGAGTACAGTGGCACAATCTCAGCTCACTGCAAGCTCCGCCTCCCAGGTTTACGCATTCTCCTGCCTCAGCCTCCCGAGTAGCTGGGACTACAGGTGACTGCCACCATGCTCGGCTAATGTTTTTGTATTTTCAGTAGAGACGGGGTTTCACTGTGTTAGCCAGGATGGTCTTGATCTCCTAACCTCGTGATCCACCTGCCTCGACCTCCCAAAGTGCTGGGATTGCAGGCGTGAGCCACCGTGCCCGGCCTTATGTGTCCGGAATTGATTCCTTCCAGTGGATTCTTGGTCTTGCTGACTTCAAGAACAAAGCCACAGACCCTTGCGGTGAGTGTTACAGTTCTTAAAGATGGTCCGGAGTTTGTTCCTTCAGATGTTCAGATGTATCCGGAGTTTCTTCCTTCTGGTGGGTTCGTGGTCTCGCTGACTTCAGGAGTGAAGCTTCAGACCTTCACTGTGAGGGTTACAGCTCTTAAAGGTGGTGCGTCAGGAGTTGTTTGTTCCTTCCAGTGGGTTTGTGGTCTCGCTGGCTTCAGGAGTGAAGCTGCAGACCTTCGCGGTGAGTGTTACAGCTCTTAAAGGTGGCACGTCTGGAGTTGCTTTTTCCTCCTGGTGGGTCCATGGTCTCAGTGGCTTCAGGAGTGAAGCTGCAGACCTTCACGGTAAGTGTGACAACTCATGAAGTTAGTGCGGACCCAAAGAGTGAGCAGCAGCAAGATTTATTGCGAAGAGTGAAAGAACAAAGCTTCCACAGCATGGAAGGGGACCTGAGCGGGTTGCCACTGCTGACTTGGGTGGCCAGCTTTTATTCCCTTATTTGGCCCCACCCACATCCTGCTGATTGGTCCATTTTACAGAGAGCTGATTGGTCCATTTTACAGAGTGCTGATTGGTGTGTTTACAAACCTTTTAGCTAGACACAGAGCTCTGATTGGTGCATTTACAATCCTTTAGCTAGACAGAAAATTCTCCAAGTCCCCACCCAGCCCAGAAGCCCAGCCGGCTTCACCTCTCAATCCCCCCTCTAAACAGGATGCCCCAACTGCTGTTGGGAATTTGGCCGATGACCGCTTTAGCTACTTCCTGCTGGATAAGGGCAAAGAAGGAGCCCTGCAGTTGTAATGTCCTCCAGAGGGGAACTCTTTAGGCCAGTGGAAGGGCCAGCAGGTCAGTCCAGGGGTCCTCGGTAGAAGTTGTTGGTTGAACTCATTTGGTGTTCCACTTGTAAGACCATCTGTGGCTTGATGGCCTTGATTCCAGAGGAAACAAATTTGACAAAAAGGTTAAAAATATAGGGCCCAAAGGTGAGTAACAGCAAGATGGCTGCCATGGGACCTAGAAAGGGGAGAAGCCATGTTGCCCAACTCCAGAAGTTGGTATAAGAGCTTGAAAGGTGTTGTCTGATTTCAGAAGCCTTTTCCTGTAAATGCCGGGCAGCATCTCGTACTATCCCTAACTGGTTAGTATAAAAACAGCACTCTTCCCCTAAGACGGTGCAGAGATCTCCTTTCTCAGCAGTGAGGAGGTCTACGCCTCTGCGGTTTTGGAGAGTCACTGCCGCCGAAGAGTCTATTTGGGATTGTAGAGTAAGGATAGATTTTGTTATCTCTTGCAAACTGTCTGAGAAATCCTTTGAGAGTGTGTGGTAGTAGGATAATACATGTTACACTGTTAACTTTTAGCAAACTTTAGTTGAAAATCTTGTAAGTTTGGGATTTTTTCTTTGCTGTTAATAAAACCTTGTTCAGTCCATATTAACTTAGAATTGGTATAGATAATTCCTTCCTGATTCTATAAGATGGCTCCTTCCTGATTCTGTTTGTCTGAGTGCAAACAGCTCGCAGGTTTGAGCAGACATATCATTAGGCAATTTTCCTAACTCTGATTTTACAAGAGTTTCTTTATCACTTACTGAATATCCATTGTGTCTTTTTCCCTTAATCGCCTGGGAGGAAACATCTATCTTCCTGTCCTGAAGGGAGTTCCTCCTTGGTCTGATCGGACCTTTGTATGGTAATTAGTTAAGATTTAGATCCCCTGTTAGGAAACCTGCTGGGTTAAGGATTTTTGATAGGAAGGCTATGGGTTGTCAGTGGCCTCAGTGCTTTCAGGCTACGCCCTTGTTTACACTGACAACAAGGTGGTATTGGAGTGTTATAGGGTTACAGAGAAGACCTTCAATTATCAATTATAGGTTCTAAAGTTACCTTGGCTTTTAAAGGAATAGGGTATACGTTTTTTCTTTACTACTTCCATCTCTCTTTCTTCTCTTTGACTTCTTCTTTGTCTCCTTCTGACTCCCTTTTTGTCTGTCTCTTCCTCTCTCTGACTCTCTCTGTCTCTCTGACTCCCTATTTGTCTCTGTCTCTTCTCCTCTCTCTCTCTCTCTCTGACTCCTTCTTTGTGTCTGTCTCTTCCTCTCTCTCTCTCTTTCTGTCTCTTTCTCTCTTTTCTTTCTGCTGGTCTTTCCTTGCCTCTGCCAGCCACTTATGCTGCTGTTCTCCCTTCTCCTTCCCCTTTTTGATGGCTTTGGCAGTGTAAGACTGCCACCTCCTTGAGTATTTGCACTGAGTGCAATCACTCCATGATTTCCTTGTCGTATTTTATGGGGGTTCCCCCCAGAGGTAACTCTCTTTCTTCCCATATTACAGCATGGGCATGTAGGATTAGATAAGCACATTTGCTATCCGTATACACATTTATTTTTTTTTCCTCTTTCCCAGTTCTAAGGCTCAGGTAAGCACCACTAGTTCTGCTAACTGGGCCCTTGTCCCTGGGGGAAGAGGCTTACTTTCAAGTACGGTTACATCATTAACTATGACATAACCTGCCCTTCATATCCCACTCTCCACAAATGAACTTCCATTGGTATATAGGTTAAGGTCAGGATTAGCTAAGGGGACTTCTAAGAGATCATCTCGGGTGGCATAAGTCTGGACTATAATTTGTTGGTGATCATCCTCGATTGGGTCCCCATCCTCTGGGAGAAAAGTGGCAGGGTTGAGGCCATGCACATATGTATTTGAAGCACCGGTCCCTCAAGGAGTAGCACCTGGTATCTAAGTAGGCGGATGTCTGATACCCATAAACTTCCTTTGGCACCTAGTATGCCATTTACATCATGAGTAGTCCAAACAGTGAGATCCTTTCCTTGTATTATTTTGATAGCCTCTGACACTAAGCCAACGCCGCAACTACCCTTAAACAGTGAGGCCAGCCTTTTGCTACTACATCAATTTCCTTACTTAGGTATGCCACTGGTTGTGGGGTTGTCCCACGAGTCTGAGTAAGGACTCCAAGAGCTAGCCCTGCACTCTCTGTGATGTATAAAGAGAAGTATACAGGGGCCTGGCTATCCCTCTGTATCCAGGGATCCATAGTCAGCAAAAGCCGGTGATTCCAAGGAACCCCCGCAACTGTTTTAATGTCTTAGGGTGAGGATAAGCCAGTATAGGCTGTATTTGTTCCTTGCTGAGGGCCCTGGTACCTCTGGCTAAGATCAGGCCTAGATATTTGACCTGCTATAGGCAAAGCTGGGCCTTCGATCTAGGCACCTTGTACCCTTGATTAGCTAGAAAGTTCAAGAGATCTAGAGTAGTCTGCTGGCATGAGGCTTCAGAACTGGTAGCCAAAAGTAAATTATCCACATACTGAAGGACCAGAGTGCCTGGACTTGAGAAATGGCCTAGATCTTGGACCAGTGCCTGACCAAACAGGTGAGGGCTATCCCTAAACCCTTGGGGCAAGACGGTCCACATAAGTTGAGATGTGTGGTCTGTGGGATCCTCAAAGGCAAAGAGAAACTGGGAGTCAGAGTGCAGGGGAATACAGAAGAAGGCATCCTTGAGGTCCAGAACAGTGAACCATTCTGCTTCCTCTGGTGTTTGGGAGAGCAGGCTATAGGGGTTGGGTACAACTGGATATAGAGGAATTACTGCCTTTTTGATGAGTCTAAGATCTTCCACTAGTCTCCACTGACCGTTCGGTTTTTGTACTCCTAGAATTGGGGTGTTGCAGGGACTGTTGCATTTCCTTACTAAGCCTTGAGCTTTTAAATGTTTAACAATATCCTGTAATCCTTTATGAGCTTCAGGCCTTAAGGGATATTGCCTTTGATAAGGAAAAGTGGTGGGATCTTTTAGCCTGATTTGGACTGGGTGGCCATTTTTTGACCTTCCAAATTGTCCTTCCAATGCCCAGACTTCAGGGTTGATTCCCTCCTCAAGTAGAGGACAACAAATGGGTAACTTGTTCCTCATATTCATGTAGACAATAGTTCCAGCCTTGGCTAATATATCCCTCCCTAATAAGGGTGTGGGACTTTCAGGCATAACAAGAAAGGCATGTGAAAAGAGCAAAGTCTCCCAATTACAACTGAGGAGGTGGGAGAAACAACTGGTTACAGGCTGTCCCAGGATTCCTCGGATGGTAACGGACCTTGAGGACAGTCATCCAAGACAGGAGATTAACACTGAGAAGGCCGCGCCAGTGTCCAGGAGGAAGTCAATTTCCTGGCCCTCAATGATTAAATGTCCCCAGGGCTCAGTGAGGGTGATGACATGAGCTGGCGCTTGCCCCAGGCACCCTCAGTCCTGTTGCTGGATCATCTGGTTGGCAGCTTCTGACCCAGAGAACCTTTGTCCTCTGGGGCAGTGCACCTTCCAGTGATTGCCTCAGCATAGTGGACATGAACGAGGGGGCAGCTTGTTTCTCGTTGGACAATCTTTTTTAAAATGTCCTTGTAAACCACACTGATAACAAGCCATCCCGGGTGATTGGCCTGCTCTGTTTTCTGTCCTCTCTGAACCATGAAGGTTTGTTTGTGTGAGGGCCATGACTAAGGCTGCGGCCTTTCTCTGATCTCACTTTTCCTTTTGGGCCTCTTCCTCTTGGTCCCTATTATAGAACACCAAGGTTGCCAGGTTTAATAATGCCTCCAGATTTTGTTCAGGGCCCAGGGCTTGCTTTTGGAGCTTTCTCCTGATATCTGCTGCAGATTGGGCAATAAACTTATCTTTTAGAATCAGTTGACCCTCTAGTGAGTTGGGTGACAGGGGAGTATATTTTCTTAAGGCCTCCCATAGCTGCTCAAGGATAGCAGAAGGATTTTCTTCCTTTCCCTGAGTTATGGTGGACATCATTGAATAATTCATGGGCTTTTCCTAATTCTCCTTAGTCCTTCTAGAACACAGGTCAACAGATGTTTATGACTCCAGTCCCCATGATCTGAGTTGAGATCCCAGTGGGGATCCATACTGGGGATGGCTTGCTGACTGGTAGGGAATTTGTCCCTTTCTTTGGCTGTCATTCTATCATTTACTTGACTAAGATACCAGGTATCTCCAAACTTTTGGGCTGCAGCTAAAGCTGCATTCTTTTCATTAAAGGCCAGGGTTTGATCTAACAATAGCATGACATCTCTCCAAGTGAGATCAAAGGTTTGCTCTAGACCCTGTAGGACATCTATGTACCTATCAGGATCATCTGAAAACTTCCCCAGGTCTGCCTTGATCTGCTTTAAATTAGAGAGGGAGAAGGGGACATGTACCCAGGTTGGGCCAAATTCCCCTCCCCCTACAGCTTGAAGGGGACATAACTGATAGCCCAGGGGTTTTTGTGATCATTTGGAGATTTCTTTGCTTATTTCCTTCTGGGCGGGGGAGATTAGAGGAGGCTTATCATTAATAGGAAGGGGAGCTATAGGGAGGCTAGGATAAGGGGGTAAGCTGAGAGGTCCTCCTGTAGGATGTAAATTGCAAGCTTTGCATAGTTGTATGTTCTCCTCCAGTGAAAAGAAAGCTTGGACATAAGGTATTTCACTCCATTTGCCTTCCCTCTTACAGAAAAGGTCAAGCTGCAGGATAGTATTGTAATTTGTACTTCCTTCAGGTGGCCATTTTTCCCCATCAGAGAGAGAATATTGGGGCCAGGCCGTAGTGTGGAAACAAATGAGCTGCCTCTTTTTCAGGGTTTATGGATCAAATTGGTCCCATTGGCTTAGGATGCATTTCAAAAGTGAGCCTGTTGATGCCTGAGTGTTTCCCATCTGAAACACAAAACTGCCCACAGTTTTGGTTTGTTTGTTTCTCCCCCTGCCCAAGAACCCGTAACGGTCCCTGGAGCCTGCTGATTGGAATAGCTGTGCTCACCGATGCAGTAGCCGAAAACACCTCTTGTCCAAGAACCCACAATGGTCCCTGGACCCTGCTGATCGGAATAGTTGCGCTTACCAACACAGCAGCAGAAACACTAGTTTTCCTCCTAGACCACAAGGAGGACCAAAGAAGGTTGGATTTAGTGGCCCTTACTGATGCATTCTCAAAAATCTGCACACTTGCCTGTCCTCCTAGACCACAAGAAGGACTGAGAAAAATCGGATTTAGTGGCCCTTAATGATGCATTCTCGAAAACCTGTTAGAGTCCTAAGCATTCTCCTGTTAGTATTGAGACTTTACGCCTGTCCTATAAAGATATTATGCCTCCAAAATGAAGTGAAGGGCCATACCCTGAGGGAGGAAAGGGATCTCCAGAGTTAGAAGAGTGATGCCTTTTGTCCTCATTTATATGAATAGGAAGGATACAATTTCTGAGGCTCCCCATATCCTAGCTTTAGGAATAGCTTTGCTTTTGTTAGGCCTGCTTGTCTGAGGAGGGATCTGAAAATTCCAGATAGTCCCACCTATGATGGGGCTTTGGGCAAAAAATATGTCTTTCTCATTGGTGAGCCCAGGTGCCAAAAGGAGGTAACAGAGTCCTGAAGTTTATACGAGAAATCATTCTCATAGGAGAAACTAGAAAAGCACCAGAGACAGGGAGTGGTTTTTAGAAGCGTGACTAGCCTCAGAGAAGAGAAGTGAGAGGAAGTTTGTCTGGCAGGCATTAGGACCCAGGAGGCAAGGGTCAGGGTAGATAGGATAGATAGGCAAGTCTTGCTTGGGCGACATGACTTTGAGAGTTCCGCTCATGGCTGCCGGGTCAACCAACTTGTTGTCAGGACCCCGAAGCTGAATGGCTTCCTCTCCGTTGACCCTTGGCTCAGCCCAGAAGTACAGGAAAAGCAGAAACTGGTTCCAGGTAAACCAATGTTCCCAACTCCAAAGAGTTGCAGGTTGTTAGAGAGACCTTTGATTATTAATTTTTTTGAGACAGGGTCTCACTCTGTTGCCCAGGCTGGAGTGCAGTGGCAAAATCATGGCTTACCGAATCCTCAACTTCCCCAGGGTCAGGTAGTCTTCCCACCTCAGCCTCCCGAGTAGCTGGGACTACAGGCAGGTGCCACCACATCTGACTGATATTTTTGTATTTTTTGTAGAGAAGTGCTTTCACCATGCTGCCCAGGCTGGTCTCAAACTCCTGGGCTCAAGTGATATGCCTGCCTTGGCCTCCCAAACTGCTAGGATTATAGGTGTGAGCCACTGCACCTGGCCTTATTTATTACAATAAGATCTCAAATTAATTTTTTTACATTAGAATTTTTTTCTGCAATGATGATACTTAATTTCAGTCTCAGCTTTGGCCAAATATTGAATTTAATGTTTGGCTACTTGGCAACCACTATAAGCAGCAATCAAAAATAATAATAAAGTAAACTAGAATAGCAAATATAATTTTGAAAAAGAAGAACAAAATTTTAAGACTCAGACTATCTTATTTCAAGAATTACTATAAAGCAGCTGGGCGCAGTGGCTCATGCCTGTAATCCCAGCACTTTGGGAGGCTGAGACAGGCAGATCAAGAGGTCAGGAGATCGAGGCCATCCTGGCTAACATGGTGAAACCACATCTCTACTAAAAATACAAAAAATTAGCCGGGCATGGTGGCGGGCCCCTGTAGTCCCAGCTACTTGGGAGGCTGAGGCAGGAGAATGGCGTGAACCAGGGAGGCAGAGCTTGCAGTGAGCCAAGATCATGCCACTGCACTCCAGCCTGGGTGACAGAGTTAGACTCTGTCTCAAAAAAACAAAAGAATTACTACAAAGCAATAGTCATCAAGACTATATGGTATCAGGAAAGGATAGACATATAGATCAATGGAACAGAATAAGTGTTCACAAAATAGACGCACACATATATGCTCAATGGATATTCAGAAAAGGTGCAAAGATAATTCAACAGAAAAAAAGGATAGTCTTGATAATATTGAAACAATTAGGCAATCATCAAAAAAGAACCTTCAATAGCCAAAATATGGAATGAATACCATATTCATTGATAAATGAATGGATAAAGAAAATTTGGTATATATATATGTATATATATATATATATATATATATATATATATATATATATATATATACACACACACAATGGAATACTATTCAGCCTTTAAAAAGAAGGAAATTTGGCGGGGGCAATGGCTTTCGCTTGTAATCCCACCACTTTGGGAGGCCAAGGTGGGAGGATCATGAGATCAGGAGTTTGAGACCAGCCTGGCCAACACAGTGATACCCTGTCTCTACTAAAAACACAAAAATTAGCTGAGCGTGGTGGCAGGCACCTGTAATCCCAGCTACTCAGGAGGCTGAGGCAGGAGAATCACTTGAACCTGGGAGGAGGAGGTTGCACTGAGCTGAGATCGCACTACTGCACTCCAGCCTGGGTGACAGAGCTTGACTCTGTCTCAAAAAAAAACAAAAAACAAAACAACAACAACAAAAAACACGGAAATTGTGTCATTTGCAGCAACATGATAAACCTGGAGGACATTATGTTAAGTGAAATAAGCCAGGCACAGAAAGACAAGTACTGCATTACTGTACTTATATGTGAAATATAAAAAAGTTGAACTAGAAGCAGAAAGTACAATGATAGTAGCAGGTGCTGGCAGGTGAGGAGGCCAGAGAAATGGAGTGATGTTGGTCAAAGGCTACAAAGTTTCAATGAGACAGGATAAAAACTTTTGGAGATCTATTGTATAGCATGGTGACTATAGTTAATAATAATGTATTACATACTTGAAAATTGCCAAGAGATTAGATTTTAAGTGTTCTCATCACCAAAAAAATATGTGAAGTGATTAAATGTTAGCTTAATTATTCACAATGGATACATACACCAAAACATCACGTTGTCTACCATATATATGTACAATTTTGTCAATTATACCTTAATAAAGAATAAAATAAAACATAAAAGATGTTTTTGGCTGGGTGTGGTGGCTGATGCCTATAATCCCATTACTTTGGGAGGCCAAGGCAGGGGAATTGCTTGAGCCCAGGACTTCAAGACCAGCCTGGGCAACATGGTGACATCCTGTCTCTATTAAAAAGACAAAAAATTAGCTGGGTGTGGTGTCACACACCTGTAGTCCCAGCTACTCAGGAGGCTGAGGTGGGAGGATCACTTGAGCCCAGAAAGTCGCAGCTGCAGTGACCACGATCATACCACTGTACTGCAGCCTGGGCAATGGAGTGATATCCTGTCTCAAACAAACAAACAAAAAGTTATTATTTGTAAAGTACTGTGATGGCTCAGCTACTAAACATAAAACCTCGATTTAAAGTTGAAAAAGAACAAACCTCAATCCATACCTTGCACTAGCTACAAAAATTAACTCAAAATGGCCAGGCACGGTGGTTCGCACCTGTAATCCCAGCACCTTGGGAAGCCGAGGTAGGCAGATCACGAGGTCAGGAGATCGAGACCATCCTGGATAACGTGGTGAAACCCCATCTCTACTAAAAATACAAAAAATTAGACGGGCGTGGTGGTAGGCGCCTGTAGTCCCAGCTACTCAGGAGGCTGAGGCAGAAGAATGGTGCAAACCCAGGAGGTGGAGCTTGCGATGAACCGAAATCATGCCACTGCACTCCAGCCTAGGCAACAGAGTGAGACTCCATCTCAAAAAACAATAAAAATAAATAAATAAAAATAAACTCAAAATGAATCATAGATTTAAATGTGGAGCCTAAAATTGTAAAAAAATTTTCAAGAAATAAGCCGGGCACAGTGGTATGTGCCTGTAGTCTCAGCTACTCAGGAGGCTGAGATGGTAAGATTGCTTGAACCCAGGAGTTTGAAGCCAGCCTGGGTAACATAGTAAGACCCTGTCTCTAAATAATAATAATAGAACAAAATCTTTGTGATCTTGAATTAAGCTTGTCAACCTTGGTACTATTGACATCTTAGATTGATAATTTTTTGTTGAAGAGTTCATACTGTGCATTGTAGGATGTGTAGCAGCATCCCTGGCCTCTACCCACTAGAGGCCAGCAGCAACTCTGTCCCCAATCAACCAAAAATGTCTTCGATATTGCCAAATGTTCTGGGGAATGAGAGTTGCCCTTCGTTTGAAAACCACTGGATTAGGCAAATATTTCCTGATACATCAAAAGCCTAATCCACAAAAGAAAAATTTGATAAATTTGACTTTTTCAAAATTAAAAATTTATGTTCTACAAAAGACAATATTAAGAGAATGAAAAGTGAGGCTGGGTACAGTGGCTCACAACTATAATCCCAGCATTTTGGGAGGCTGAGGCAGGAGGATTACTTGAGCCTAGGAGTTTGAGACCAGCCTGGGCAACACAGGGAGACCCCATCTCTACCAAAAAAAAATTTTTTTTAATTAGCCAGGCATGGTGGTATACACCTGTGGACCAAAAAGCATAATGTTTTATCTCAACTCTACTTGAAAGTTCTAGTTTGAAATTAATTTCATTTCAAACATAAATGCAGTCAGTAAAAGCCCATCATTACTTGTAAAGAAATGTGTGTTTAATAAGCAACAAGTTAATAATTTTCTTGATTTTATCTCATGAGGTCAGGAGTTCAAGACCAGCCTGGCCAACGTGGCGAAACCCCATCTCTACTAAAAATATAAAAATTAGCCAGGCATGATGGCGGGTGCCAGTGATCCCAGCTGCTCAGGAGGCTGAGGCAGGGAGAATTGCTTGAACCCAGGAGGCAGAGGTTGCAGTGAGCTGAGATCATGCCAATGCACTCCAGCTACTTTGGAGGCTGAGGTGGGAGGATCACTTGAGCCTGGGAGGTGAAGGTTGCAGTGAGCTAAGATCACACCACTGCAGTTTAACCCAGGGCAACAGAGTGAAACCTTGTCTCAAAAAGAAAAGTGGGGTTAGGGGGGACAAATATTTGTAAAACACATATTTGGCAAAGATCTTATATTTATAATATATAAAGAACTCTTAAAACTCAAGAATAGAAACATAACCCAATTTTTAAAAAATGGCTCAAAGATGTAAACAGATACTTTACAAAAGAAAACATATAGATGTCGGCCGGGCACAGTGGCTCATGCCTGTAATCCTGGCACTTTGGGAGGCCAAGGTGTGTGGATCATGAGGTCAGGAGTTCGAGACCAGCCTAACATGGTCTCTACTAACAGCCATCTCTACTAAAAATACACACACACAAAAAAAATAGCCAGGCGTGGTGGCGGGCGCCTGTAATCCCAGCTACTTGGGGGGCCAAGGCAAAGAATTGCTTGAACCTGGTAGGCAGAGGTTGCAGTGATCTAAGATTGTGCCACTGCACTCCAGCCTGGGCAACAGAGTGAGACTCTGTCTCAAAAAAAAAAAACAACAAAAAAAGAAAACAAAGATGTCAAATAAGCACATAAAGAAATGCTCAAAATCATTCATTGTTAGGGAAATACAGATTAAAATTACAATGAGATAACACTTTACACCTATTAGAAAGGTAAAATTTTTAAATATAATGATACCATACTACCCAGCAATCCCACACTTACTACTTACCTTAAAGAGAAATGAAAATTTACATCCATATGAAAATCTGTTTGTAGCAGATTTATTCAGTCAACCAAAACCAGAAACAACCCAAATCTTTTTCAACTGAATAAACAAACTGTGGTACATCCATGCAGTGAAAGACTACACAGCAATAAAAAGGTATATACAAAATCATAGATTAATATCAAATGTATTCTGCTAAGTGAAAAAAAACCAGACTCAAAGGCTACATCATGCCTAATTCCATTTATATGACATGATGGAAAACGCAAAACCATGAAAACAAAAAACTAATCAGTGGTCTCTAGGGGATAAGACAGAAGTATCTGGTGATGATGAAAAGCAACCAGCCTTATTCTTATATATATTTTTTGAGATGGAGTCTTACTCTTCACCCAGGCTGGAGTGCAGTGGCATGATCTCAGCTCACTGCAACCTCTGCCTCCTGGGTTCAAGCAATTCTCCCTGCCTCAGCCTCCTGAGTAGCTGGGATCACTGGCACCCGCCATCATGTCTGGCTAATTTTTATATTTTTAGTAGAGATGGGGTTTCGCCATGTTGGCCAGGCTGGTCTTGAACTCCTGACCTCAGATGATCCACCCACCTCAGCCTCCCAAAGTGCTGGGATTACAGGTGTAAGCCACCGTGCCCAGCCGCCTTATTTATTTTTAAGCAGAAAAATCCAAGAATGTTTGTTTTAAAAATTATCTTCGTGAAAGGTAACGTATATAGTTTGCAAAATTTATTTATTCCTCAAGATAGTAAGTCTGTCCTAATGTTCTGTGGAAAGAGAGCATCTAAAATTAAAATGGTGGGGGGCAGACCAAGATGGTGGAATGGAAAATCATCCTGCCTCCCCCAAGGACAGCAAGTTAATAACTATCTACACAGAAAAAAAAACAAACAACAACAAAAAAAAAACAAAAAAAACCCACCTTCATAAGAACCAAAAATCAGGTGTGCACTCACAGTACTCAGTGAAAGAGTACTGAAGAGATTTCAAATCACTGAAAGAGGCACTGAAGAGATTAATAAAACAGTTCTAAATAGCTAATGCCACCCCTGCCCCACCCCTGGCAGCAGTGTGTGTTGCAGAGGGCATTTCTGGGCACTGGGAGAGGGAGAACACTGCAATTGTGAAGCATTGAACTCAGTGCTGTCCTGTTAGAGCAGAAAGGAAAACTGGATCAAATTCAGCAGAGCGCTACAGCACTCTGTGTCTCCAAGAATATTTGAAAGGCAGTCTAGACCATAAGGACTGAAACTCTTCAGTGAGTCCTGTGACTGAACTAGGACTAGAGACAGTGGGCTGAGAGGGCATGCAACATACTGAGACATCACGTGGGGCAGCCAAGGAAGTGCTGGCATCACCCCTTTCCTAACTCTGGGCTATACAGCTGGAGGCTCCAAAAGAGACCCCCTTCCTTCTGCTTGAAGAGAAGAGAGGGAAGAGTGGAGAGGATTTTGTCTTGAGTCTTGAATACCAGCTCAGCCACAGCGAGACAGGGCACCAGTCAGAGTTGAGAGGCCCTCATTCCAGACCCAGGCTCCAAGATGACATTTCTAGACACACTTTGGGCCAGGAGGGAACCTGCTGCCTTGAAGGAAAGAACCCGGTCCTGGCAGCATTCATCACCTGCTAACTAAAGAGCCCTTGGGCCCTGAATAACCAGCAGTGATACCCAGGTACTACACTGTGGGCCTTGGGTGAGCTGCTGAGACTTGCTGGCTTCAGGTTAGACTCAGCACATTCCCAGCTGTGGTGGCTATGGAGCAACGTTCCTTCTGCCTGAGAAAAGCAGAGGGTAAAGTAAAGGGGACTTTGTCTTGCACAGCCACAGGGGAATAGAGCACCATGAGGGTTCTTGGGATCCCCAATTCCAGGACTTGACTCTTGGACAGCATTCCTGGACCCTCCCCGGGCCAGAGGGGAGTGCACTGCCCTGAAGGGTGAGACCCAGGCCAGGCAGCATTTACAAACCAGTTGACTGAAGAGCCCTTGGGCCTTAAGGGAACATTGGTGGTAGTCTGGCCGTACTTGTGACCTGGGGTCGGGGTGGCTATGAGGTGAGGCTCCTCTGCCTTTGGAAAAAATGATGAAAAAGTGGGAAGAACTGCATCTTGTGGTTTGAGTGCCAGCTCGGCTGCAATACAATACCAGGTAGACTTCTAATGTTTTTTACTCTAGTCCCTGACTCCTGGACAGCACTTCTGGACCCACTTGAAGCTTGGGGGACCTTAAAACCCTTAAGGGAAGGACACAGGCCTGGCTGGCATTGTTACCTGCTGATTGTAGAGCCCCAGGGCCTTGAGTGAACATAGGCAGTATTCAGGGAGTGGTTAAAGCAGGCATTAGATGAGATCCAGTGCTATGCTGGCTTCAGGTTTGACCCAGCACAGTCATTGTGGTGGTGGCCACAGGAGTGCTTGTGTCACTCTACCTCTAGCTGTAGGTGGCTCAGAACAGAGAGAGAGAGACTCTGTATGTTTGGGAGAAAGTAAGGGACGAGAACTAGAGTCTCTGTCTGGTAATCCAGAGAATTCTTCCAGATCTTGTCCAAGACATTCAAGGAGGTACCTTTACAATTCTGCAAGAACCACAGTGTCACTGGGATTGGGGTGTCCTCTAAAGCAGATACAGCTTAGATCACAACACCCAAGTCCTTTCAAATATCTGGAAAGCCTTCCCAAGGATGGCTGCAAATAAGCCCAGACAGTGAAGACCATGATAAATACCTAATCCTCAATGCTCAGACACTGAAGAACATCTACTAGCATCAACACCACTCAGAAAAACATGACCTCATTAAATGAACTAAATAAGTCACCAGGGACAAATCCTGGAGAAACAGAGATATGTGACCTTTCAGACAGAGAATTCAAAATAGCTATGTTGAAGAAACTCAAAGAAATTCAAGATTACACAGAGAAGGAATTCAGAATTCTATCAGACAAATTTAACAAAGATATTGAAATAAAAAGAACCAAGCAGAAATTCTGAAGCTAAAAAATGCAATTGGCATACTAAAGAATATATCAGAGTCCTTTAATAGCAGAATTAAGCAGAAGAAAGAATTAGTAAGGTTGAAGAGAGGCTACTTGAAAATACACAGAGGAGACAGAAGAAAAAAGAATAAAAAACAATGAAGTAATCCTACAGAATCTAGAAATAGCCTCAAAAGGGCACATGTAAGATTATTAGCCTTAAAGAGGAGGTAGAGAAAGACATAGGGGTAGAAAGTTTATTCAAAGGGATAATAACAGAGGACTTCCCAAACTTAGAGAAAGATATCAATATTCAAGTGCAAGAAGGTTATAGAACACTAAGCAGGTTTAACCTAAATAAGACTACCTCAAGGCATTTGATAATCAAACTCCCAAAGGTCAACCAAAAAGAAAGGATCCTAAAAGCAGCAAAAGAAACAAATAACATACAATGGAGCTCCAATACATCTGACAGCAGACTTTTCAGTGGAAACCTTACAGGCCAAGAGAGAATGGCATGCCATATTTAAAGTGCTGAAGGAAAAAAGCTTTTACCCTACAATAGTATATCCAGTGAAAATATCCGTCAAACCTGCAGGAGAAATACTTTCCCAAACAAAAGCTGGGGGATTTCATTAATACCAGACCTATCCTACAAGAAGTGTTCAAGGGAGTACATGAATCAAAAAGAAAAGGACAATAATGAGCAATAAATAATCACCTGAAGGTACAAAACTCACTGATAATAGTAAGTATAGAGAAAAACAAAGAATAACACTGCAACTGTAGTGTATAAACTACTCTTATCCTAAGTAGAAAGACTAAATGATGAACCAACCAAAAATAATAACTACAACAACTTTTGAAGACATAGTCAATACAATAAGATATAAATAGAAACAAGAAAAAGTTAAAAAGCAGGAGGACAACGTTAAGGGCATAGAGTTTTTATGTTTTTGCTTGTTTGTTTATACAAATAGTGTTGTTATCAGGTTAAAATAATGGGTTATAACATAGTATGTGCAAACCTTATGGTAACCTCAAACCAAAAAATATGCAATGGATACACAAAAAATAAAAAGGCAAGAAACTAAATCACATCACCAGAGAAAATCACTTCACTAGATAACAAAAGGAAGGAAAGAAAGAAGGAAGAGAAGACCACAAAAACCAAAAAAAAAAAAATAGCAAAATGGTAGGAGTAAGTCCTTACTTAGCAATAACAACATGGACTATAAATGGACTGAACTCTTTAATCAAAAGACATAGACTGGCTGAACAGATGAAAAAACAAGACCCATTGATCTATTGTCTACAAGAAACACAATTCACCTATAAAGAGGCTGGGTGCAGTGGCTCACACCTGTAATCCCGCACTTTGGGAGGCTGAGGTGGGTGGATCACTTGAGGTGAGGAGTTCAAGGCCAGCCTGGAGAAACCTGTCTCTTCTAAAAATACAAAAATTAACCAGGTGTGGTGGCACGTGTCTGTAATCCCAGCTACTAGGGAAGCTGAGGCATGAGAATCACTTAAACACTTGAACCTGGGAGGTGGAGGTTGCACTGAGCCAAGGTCGTGTCATTGCACTCCAGCCTGGGCAACAAGAGCAAAATTCTGTCTCAAAAAAAAAAAAAAAAAAAGAAAAGAAAAGCCCAGGACCCAATGGCTTCACTGATGAATTCTATCAAACATTTAAAGAACTAAAGCCAATCTTACTCAAACTATTCCAAAAAATAGAGGAGGAAACACTCCTAAACTAATTCTATGAGGCCCATATTACCCTGATACCAAAACCAAAGACACATCAAAAAAAGAAAACTACAGGGCAATATCTTTGATGAATACTGATGCAAAAATCCTCAACAAAATGCTGGCAAACCAAATTCAACAATACATCAGAAAGATCACTCATCATGACTAAATGATATGTATTCTTGGAATGCAAGAGTGGTTCAACATAAATCAATCAATGCGATACATCATGTCAACAAAATGAAGGATAAAAACCATATGATCATTTCAGTTGATGCTGAAAAGGTATTTGACAAAATTCAACATCCCTTTATGATAAAAACCCTCAAAAAACTGGGGATAGAGGGAACATACCTTGGCTTGGCGCAGTGGCTGATGCCTGTAATCCCAGCACTTTGGGAGGCCGAGGTGGGCGGATCACCTGGATCCACCCACCTCAGGAATCAGGAGTTCAAGACCGGCCTGACCAACATGGAGAAACCCCGTCTCTACTAAAAATACAAAACTAGCTAGGCATGATGTGCATGCTTGTAATCCCAGCTACTTGGGAGGCTGAGGCAGGAGAATCACTTGAACCCGGGAGGTGGAGGTTGCAGTGAGCCGAGATCATGCCATTGCATGCCAGCCTGGGCAACAAGAGCTAAACTCCATCTCAAAAAAAAAAAAGAATATAACTCAACATAATTAAAGCCATATATGACAGACCCATAGCTAGAATCATACTGAATGGGGAAAAACTGAAAGTCTCTCGTCTAAGATCTGGGATACAACAAGGATGCCCAGTGTCACCACTGTTATGCAACATAGTACTGGAAGTCCTAGCTAGAGTAATCAGACAAGAGAAGGATATAAAGGGCATTCAAATTGGAAAGAAAGAAGTTAAATTATCCTTGTTTGCTGATGATATGATCTCATATTTGGAAAAACCTAAGGAGTCCACAAGAAAACTATTAGAACTGATAAACAAATTCAGTAAAGTTCCAAGATACAAAATCAACATACAAAAATCAGTAGCATTTGTATATGCCAACAGCGAACAATGCAAAAAAAAGAAATTTAAAAAGTAATCCCATTTAAAATAGCTACACATAAAATTAAATACATAGGAATTAAGATAACCAAAGAAGTGAAAGATCTCTGTAATGAAAACTGTGAAACACTGATGAAGAAAATTGAAGAGGACACCAAAAAAATAGAAAAATGCTTCATGTTCATGGATTGGAAGAATTAATATTAAAATGTCTATACTAGCCAAAGCAATCTATGGATTCAATGCAATCCTTATCAAGATAACAATGACATTCTTCACAGAAATAGAAAAAACAATCCTAAAATTTATTTATTTTTTTATTTTTATTATTATTATTATTATTTTTTTTGAGACAGAGTCTCGCTCTGTCGCCCAGGCTGGAGTGCAGTGGCACGATCTTGGCTCACTGCAAGCTCCGCCTCCTGGGTTCACACCATTCTCCTGCCTCAGCCTCTACAAGTAGCTGCGACTACAGGCGCCCACCACCACACCTGGCTAATTTTTTGTATTTTTTTAGTAGAGATGGGGTTTCACCATGGTCTCGATCTCCTGACCTCATGATCCGCCCACCTCAGCCTCCCAAAGTGCTGGGATTACAAGCATGAGCCACCGCACCCGGCCAATCCTAAAATTTAAATGAACCCACAAAAGACCCAGAATAGCCAAAGCTATCCTAAGCAAAAAGAACAAAACTGGAGGAATCACATTACCTGACTTCAAATTATACACCAGAGCTATAGTAACCAAACAGCATGGCATTGGCATAAAAACAGACACACAGACCAATGGAACAAAATAGAGAACCCGGAAACAAATCCCCACACCTACAGTGCAAACTCCCCATCTGACAAGGGATTAATAATCAGAATATTTAAGGAGCTCAAATAACTATAGGAAAAAAAACCTAATAATCCAACCAAAAAGTAGGCAAAAGATTTAAATAGACATTTCTCAAAAGAAGACATACAAATGACAAACAGGTATATGAAAAGGTGCTCAACATCACTGATCAGAGAAATGCATATCAAAGCTACAATGAGATATTATCTCACCCCGGGTTAAAATTACTTATATCCAAAAGACAGGTAAAATGAATGCTGGCAAGGATGTGGAGAAAAGTGAATCCTTGTATGCATTGATGGGGATGTAAACTAATACAACTACTGTGGAGAACAGTTTGGAGGTTTCTCAAAAAACTAAAAATTGAGCTACCATGTGATCCAGCTACTGGAATCCCACTGCTGAGTATATACCCAAAAGAAAGGAAATCAATATATCAAAGAGAAACCTGCACTGTTTGTTGCAGCACTGTTTACAACAGCTCAGATTTGGAAGCAATCTAAATGTCCATCAACCGATGAATGTACAAAGAAAATGTGGTATATATACACAATGGAGTACTATTCAACCATGAAAAAGAATGAGATCCAGTCATTTGCAACAACACAGATGGAACTGAAGATCATTATGTTAAATGAAATGAGCCATGCACAGAAAGACAAACATCGCATGTCCTCACTTATTTATGGGATCTAAAAATCAAAACAATTGAACTCATGGACATAGAGAGTAGAATGATGGTTACTAGAGACTGGGAAGGGTAGCAGGGGGTTGGGGAGGACGGTGGGGATGATTAATGGGTACAAAAAACAGTTAAAAGGAATGAATAAGACCTGCTATTTGACAGCACAACAGGGTGACTATAGTCAATAATAAAATAACTGTATAATGGTTGGGTCTGGTGGCTCGCACCTGTAATCCGTCACCTTAAGAGGCCGAGGCAAGTGGATCACTTGAGGTCAGGAGTTCAAGAGCAGCCTGGCCAACATGGTGAAACCCCATCTCTACTAAAAATACAAAAATTAGCCAGGCGTGGTGGTGGGTGCCTGTAATCCCAGCTACTCAGGAGGCTGAGGCAGGAGAGTCACTTGAACCTGGGAGGCGGAGATTGCAGTGAGCATGCCACTGCACTCCAGTCTGGACAACAGTGCCAAACTCTGTCTCAAAAAAAAAAAAAAAAAAAAAAGGAAGAAAAGAAAGAAAGAAAGGGAAAGCAAAAAAACCCCTCTATATTTTAAAATAACTTAATGTAATTGGATTGCTTTTAACTCAAAGAATAAATGTTTGGGGGAAAGGATACCCTATTCTTTATGATGTGCTTATTTCACATTGCATGCCTGTATTAAAACCTTTCATATACCCTATATACACCTACTATATACCCACAAAAAATTTTAAATAATTTAAAAATTAAAAAATTAAAATGGTAAGCCATTGGACATCAGGGTAAGTTGGACATCAGGGGTTTTTTTTTAAACTGTCATTGGGCTTTAACTTTCAATTGTTTCTTTGATGGCACTAGATAATATTTGATGACCAAATTTCTATCATTTGGGAATTGTTGATAGGGATGTTTGGCAATAACTCCTCCTTTAGATAATTTCCTTATTCCTGAGGAACTCCAGGGACTAGCATATTATAAGTTGCTCTCTTTCCATGAAGGGGCAAATGGCTCTGTTATTTGGTTGGTGCTATACTTGTACCGTAAACAAGTTTTAAAACGGTGATGATATTAACAAAGAAAATCCTGGGCATTCTCAAGACAGGTTCATTTCAGAAAACATGCGCTTGACTTCTCTGATTTGTTGGTGCTATGCTAGGTGCTAGGGTCATTTTAAGAAATAACTGACAATGCAGAGGGGGAGTGGCCACGCATGGCTAAATAAGTGGTCTCAGAGAAAAAGACACTACAGTTTGTAAGAATAGGGTTTGTAAGGGAGGAAGAGAGACATTTAAAGTTAGACTTCAGGGAATTCTCTACTAAAAATAAACAACATAGCGCTTTTTTCTGATTATTGTTCATTGTTGAAACATCAAAATTTAAAATATAAAGAAAAAATTTAGGGTGGGCGCGGTGGCTCACACCTGTAATCCCAGGACTTTGGGAGGCCGAGGCGGGTGGATCACCTGAGGTCAGGGGTTCAAGACCAGCCTCAACATGGAGAAACCCTGTCTCCACTAAAACAAAATTAGCTGGGCATGGTAGTGCATGCCTGTAATCCCAGCTACTCGGGAGGCTGAGGCAGGAGAATCACTTGAACCCGGGAGGTGGAGGTTGCTGTAAGCCGAGATCATGTCATTGCACTCCAGCCTGGGCAACAAGAGTGAAACTCCATCTCAAAAAAAAAAAAAAAAAATTTAAATCACCGACAATGTCACCATCTGTGGTAAACACCTTGGTGGGTTTCCAGTCTTCCAGTCTTTCTTCCATGCGTACGTATATGGATGTTAAAATTTTGGCTGATGTCTGTCAATGAAAAAAGTCAAACTCTGTAACATGTTTTGGAGAGATTTATTCTGAACAAAATATGAGTGACCATGACCCATGACACAGCCCTCAGGAGGTCCTGAGAACATGTGCCCAAGGTGGTGCAGCTTGGTTTTATACATTTTAGGGAAGCATGAGACATCAATCAAATACATTTAAGAAATACATTGGTTTGGTCCAGAAAAGCCGTAAATTTTAACATTTTCTGGTTGACAATTGGTTGAGTTTGTCTGAAGACCTGGGATCAACAGAGAAGAATGTCTAGGTTGCAATAAGAGGTGGTAGAGACCAAAGTTTTACTATGCAGATGAAGCTTTTAGCTAGCAGGCTTCAGAGAGAATAGGTTGTAAAATGTTTCTTACCAGTCTTAAAGTCTGTGTTGATATTAATGCCAAAGAGGTACAATGAGGCACGTCAGACCCCCACTTCCCTTCATGACCTGAACCAGTCTTTCAGGTTAAATTTTAAGAGCCCTGGGTGAGGAGGAAGTCCATTTAGATAATTAGAGGGGCTTAGAACTTTATTTTTTGTTTAAATGCCTCAAGATAATGGATTCTGTATTCCAAAGGAAAATCAGAGAACACAATCCAAGATTTGCAAAAGGAGATAGTAGAAACCCAGGGTGCACCCTTAGTTGATGAAGGAGAAGCTGAGAAAAGGTTAGCTATTAGAAGAGGATTCTCCAGAAAGGTCATATGCCCATCTGCCCCTGGGGACCCACACACCTCTTTCTCCTAGTGCTCAAGGGAATCTCTTTTTAGTCCCTAAGAAAGTGTTTTCCTCAGGGCGAGGGGAGTATTTACTTCAAGAGCAATTCCCACAGTTTCCCTGGAGGCACCGAACATAATTGTCTCAATGGTTTAGACTTTTGAAAACAAAAGCTAGAAAGTGAAGTGGTTTTCTGGCAATTTTTTTTTTTTTGAGATAAGATCTTGTTCTGTCACCCAGAGTGGAGTACAGTGATGCAATCACAGCTCACTGCAACCTTGACCTCCTAGGTTCAATCAATCCTCCCACCTCAGCCTCCCAAGTAACAGGGACTACAGACATGTGCCACCACACCAGCTAATTTTTGTATTTTTTGTAGAGTGGAGGTTTTGCCATGTTGGCCAGGCTGAACTTTTGCTTTCTACCCCATCACAGACCTTCCCTTTGAAAAGGAGCCTGTTCTCTTCTTGATGGGGGTGCAGAAAATTAAAAACTGCAAGTAGAAACAAAGCAATACCTTAAAAATTCATTCTGCCGCAATTTTTACACCAAATTTGGGCCAATCAAACATTCTGTTGTTTAAAGTTAATATTATATAGTAGACACTTTCCATTGTGAAAGGAAAAAGAAATCTTGAAACCCCAAACTCACTGTGCCAAAGGGAAAAATTAAGATTGGGAACTGAATTGCACAAAACTGCCTCCCATTTTGTTCCTAAATAGAGAGCTACAACGATAAGTCTCCTGGAGGGCCTGGAAATTCCTTGTGGGCCCCAAGATCTTTACCCTAAAACAGAGTTCTGCTGAATTTCACCCTATGTACATCAACAACGTCTCTTCATAGGTAAGGGACAAAGAGAGGAGGAGAGTCATCCCTCCACTCACCTGAGACAAATGCATACTTGATTGCTTCTTCTACTCTAAGTTTACTTTATCTTCTGTAAAATGCAGATTCACAGAGCTACAGAAGAATGCACAGTTGACTATTCCTCTACCCCCTTTTAGCACATAAAATGTGAATTCAATGAGCGCTGATCAAAGCCTCAAAAGAATGCAACTGCTTGCCTCTTTTATTTATTCTCCTGCCCCTGCCTTTTTTTTTCTTTCTTCTTTCCCTGACTGCCCACTCTTTCCTCTTTAAAAATGGAAGTCCCCAAACCCTCTTTGGAAAAAAGCACAGATCACAGATGTTCTTGTGATTTTGTGCTTTTTGTTATGCATGCCCCCAATCTTGGCAAAATAAACCTCTAAAGTAGTTGAGACTCACCTCATTTTCTTCGGTTTTACACCATCATAATAAATGTTCTTTGAGAACACATTGTTTAATGAGTTCCCCTTGAAAAGGACCTTTTGAGAAAGCTGGAGAAGTCAAGAGAAATATAATCATGTGGAAGTGCCCCCACTTTTCCTGTGGCAAGCAGCTGGCAGACATCTTTGGTAGGGACCAATTTGAAAGAGTAGGATGGTCTACAACCATACCATCCTACCGATCTCATCTGAAAGAGTAGGATGCATAAAACTCTTGTTCTGCCAAGTCTGGGCTGGACCAGAGATGTTTACTGTATCACCATTACCATCATCATCACCATGGTTACCACCTATTGAGCACTTCATGTGTTCTGGGTGCTTGCTATCTTATTTTAACAATCAGAGTTCCAGTTCTCCACATTGAAGGTACATAATAATAACCTGGTGTGCTTGCTGTAAGTGCAGGTTCTTACCCTTCCTCCTCCTTCATTCTGAATCATTCGGACTAGGTTGGAAAAACTGCAAATCCTAATGTTTGATAAGTACCCTTAGTTGGCTCTGATGCAGGTGAGCCACTGTATTTGAGACATGCTAGAAAATGAGGCTTAAAGAAATTAAATAAGTTGCCCAAGACCTTTACTCTGAGATGGTCTGGTGACATCCTTTCCCTCCCCCTCCTCCCTCTCCCAGGCCCCTAATGCATGTTCTTCCTTGGTGTCTCCCACCTCTCTCCTCTTCCCCTGCACCCTCTGTCTATCTACTGTTCTTGTGTTGTCTGATTTTTTCCAAAGAAAGTATGCCCCAGCAAGAATTACTCTACAGGTGCCAGTGTTTCCAAACGACTCCTCCATACTTCCATTCAAACCCCTTCCTCTTCATCCTAGAGTCTAGACCATCTCTATTGGCACCATCAGCAACACCTGGGAGTTTGTTAGGAATGCAGAATCTCAGGCTCCACCCCGACTTACTGAAGCTGAGTCAGATTTCCAGGTGATTCACATGCACATCAAAGTTGAAGCAGCTGCCGTCCTAGACAGTTCTCAGTCAGATGTTGATCTGATTATTTGGTTGAAGCAATTCACCATAAAAGCAATAATTTTCAACCCTGGTTGAATTTAGAATCCCCTGATGCCCTTTAAAAAATGCTGATGCCTGGGCCCCATCCCTAGACTAATTGAATTGGAATCTGAATGAGGTGGAGTTTATTCATCTATATTTTAAAAAATACCACAGGTAAGTGTAACGTAAAGTAAGGACTCAAACCTACTGCTTTTAAGATGTAAAATTTTTAGGAGGATATTTAGAAACATAAACACAACTGCTTTAATTTAAAGGAAGAAACTGGGGGCCGGGCATGGTGGCTCACGCCTGTAATCCCAGCACTTTTGGGAGCCCAAGGCGGGCAGATCACCTAAGGTCAGGAGTTCAAGACTAGCCTTGCCAACATGGTAAAGCCCCATCTCTACTAAAAATACAAAAATTAGCCAGGCGTGGTGGTGCATGCCTGTAATCCCAGCTACTCAAGAGGCTGAAGCAGGAGAATTGCTTGAACCCAGAGGCGAAGGTTGCAGTGAGCCGAGACTGTGCCATTGCACTCCAGCCTGGGTAACAGAGCAAGACTCTGTCTCAAAAAAGTAAATAAATAAAAGAAGAAACTGAAAAATCCTATAATGGCTTCCCATAATATGGAGGATAAATTTCAAATTTCTCACATTAGCACCCAAGGCCTTTTCTGATTCTGAATCCTGTTCACCTCTCTAGCTCCATCTCATGCCCTTGGACACCCCACACCCTAGGGATGCCACAAACAGAACTTGCATTCTCCCAAACAAATCCTGTTTTTGTTTGTTTGTTTGTTTTTGAGACCGGGTCTTACTCTGTCACCCAGGCTAGTGTGGTGGCACAATCATAGATTACTGCAGCCTCAAACCCCTGGGCTCAAGCAATCATCCAGCCTCAGACTTCCAGGCAGCTGGGACTTTAGGTGCACGTCACCACATCAGCAGATCCTGTTGTTTCATACCCGTGTGATTTGGGTATGAAATCATATTCTCTTTTTTAATAATCTTCCTCCATTTCTTTGCCTTATCAAAGACTTGACTCAAGCCTCTGCCTCTGGGAAGCCTTCCTTGTTTCCACTATCTTTGGGGGAAAAAGAAATATATATTTTCAAAATTAAATTTTAGGCTGGGCATAGTGGCTCACACCTGTAATCCCAGCATTTTGGGAGGCCAAGGTGGGTGGACTCCCTGAGGTCAGGAGTTCAAGACCAGCCTGGCCAACATGGTGAAACCCCATCTCTACTAAAAATATAAAAATTAGCCAGGCATGGTTGTATGCACCTGTAGTCCCAGCTACTCAGGAGGCTGAGACAGGAGAATAACCTGAACCTGGGAGGCAGAGGTTGCAGTGAGCCGAGATTGTGCCACTGCACTCCAGCCTGGGTGACAGAGCGAGACTCCATCTAGAAAAACAAAACAAAATTAAATTAAATTTTAAGGTTTTGTTTTGTTTAAGCTTTCTCACTATTGGCATTGTCAGTCACATCTCAAACCCAGGGTCTCAAGCAAGCCTAGGCTTTTGTCTCCATAAGCTGCTCTATCTAATAACCACAATGAGAAAATGTTAAACATTAGCTGCTCATTCAGAGATGGTCCTTGAATTTTAAACTTCAAATTTATTTAAACTCCAGCAAATGCAAAGGCCAGTGCCCCCGGGCATAAGAAACAACCAATTTTGCCTTCTACAAAATTGTGTGTTCCTAACATGAGGAAAAGAAAGCCTCTCCTTTACTGGAAAAGAGCTTTTGGTACATCATGTAATTCTTACTTATTTGAAATCTAATTTGAAACAGAGATTGCTTTTCCCCACTTTTAATCGATTTTTAGAAATGCCATGAAATTAACATTGTTTTTCCATTTATTTCTCTGTGTTAATAATGTCTATCCTGGACTAGAAGGTGAAGAAAATTCTGGATTTACTTTTCATGTTTTAGTGACTCACTTTAGAATATGTAAACTTTGCAGTAAATTAAAATGAAAAGCTTAAAGGCCCCTGCGAAATGTCGAGATCTTCTCTTGCATGAGTAGTATATTAACTTGTAAAAAACAAACTTAAACACATCCAACATATGTGTTCAATTTTTAAAAAATTTTTTCTTCTAAATGATACGGCTTCAATGAGCGGACGAACACCAGGGCTCTTGTCTTACGTTGAATTAGATAAAACAACACAGACATACGTGAAGTGGTTTTAAGGAGCAGAGAGTTTAATAGGCAAGAAGGGGCAAGAAAGAAGGGAGAAGGAAGCTCGCCTGTACAGAGACAGAGGGAAGGGGGCTCCAAAGCCGAGAGAGGGAAGTCCTGCTCAGGTAATATCAGCCAGTTACATGCGATGGCTAGAGGAGGCGGTGCTTGATTTGCATAGGGCTCAGGGGCTTGGTTTGACCAGGCATGTCACTCAGGTAGCCCCAAAAACGCTGGCCCTCCCACCCTAGGCTCTTAATATGCAAATGTAGGGCACCTTAATGTTCTACACACATGGGGACATGTGGGGGTGGCCGTGTAGCCAGTCACATGTGGGGCAAGGGCAAAAAGGCGGGAGAATCACCATGTTTGGTGGACCAAGTTTCTAACAGCTGGCATTTTCATATTAAAGGTTGCCAGCCTGGCCATGTTGGGTGGACCCAGTTTCTAATGGCCTTCATTTGCATATCAGAGGTTGCTGGCCTGGCTCTAAGAGCCGGGGCTTTACAAGAAACTTTTCCAGAGATGCTTTAAAAAATGAAAACTTCCGTCAGACACGGTGGCTCACGCCTGTAATCCCAGCACTATGGCTGGGCGCGGTGGCTCACGCCTGTAATCCCAGCACTTTGGGAGGCCGAGATGGGCGGATCACAAGGTCAGGAGGTCGAGACCATCCTGGCTAACACGGTGAAACCTCGTCTCTACCAAAAATACAAAAAAATTAGCAGGGCATGGTGGCGAGTGCCTGTAGTCCCAGATACTTGGGAGGCTGAGACAGGAGAATGGCGTGAACCCGGGAGGCAGAGCTTGCAGTGAGCCGAGGTCACGCCACTGCACTCCAGCCTAGGTGACAGAGCAAGACTCTGTCTCAAAAAAAAAAAAAAAAAAAAAAAAAATACCAGCACTTTCCCAGGAAAAAAAAAAAAAAAGAAAACTTCCCAAGGACCCCTTTTCCTCTCTATCTGCCTAAAATAATTTCTTTCTTTCCTTTTTTTTTTCTTTTTTTTGAGATGGAGTCTTGCTCTGTCACCCAGGCTGGAGGGCAGTGGCATAATCTTGGCTCACTGCAACCTCTGCCTCCTGGGTTCCAGCGATTCTCCTGCCTCAGCCTCCTGAGTAGCTGGGACTACAGGCACACACTACCATGCCTAGCTAATTTTTGTATTTTTTAGTAGAGATGGGGTTTCACCATATTAACCAGGCTGGTCTTGAACTCCTGACCTCATGATCCACCCGCCTCAGCCTCTCAAAGTGCTGGGATTACAGATGTGAGCCACCGTGCCTGGCCAATAATTTCTTAATAACTCCTACAACATAACTTTTGAAAGACAGAAGTGAGTAAACACCAATGGTCTACATTTCTTCTCTTAAATGTTCTGCCCTCTAAATTCTCCCTGTCCTATCTGCTCAGAACTGGCTTAAGGGAGACAAAAATATTCTATTTAAGGGGGAAAAAAATGGCAGGTCTTAGCACTAGAAAGTCAGCAATTGGCAGATTCCTTCATTTGTTCCCTAAGCATAGATTTATTGAGCAACTTCTACCTGCCAGATTGAAAGGCTCTTCTGGGCTGGGCACAGTGGCTCGTGCCTGTAATCCCAGCACTCTGGGAGGCCGAGGCAGGTGGATCACTTGTGTTCAGGAGTTCAAGACTGGCCTGGCCAACATGGTGAGACCCCGTCTCTACTAAAAAGACAAAAGTTAGCCAGGCGTGGTGGTGTGCCTGTGATCCCAGCTACTCGGGAGGCTGAGGCATGAGAATTGCTTGAACCTGGGAGGTGGAGGTTGCAGTGAGCCAAGATAGTGCCACTGCCCTCCAGCCTGGGCACAGAGCGAGACCTCATCTCAGAAAAAAAAAAAAAAAAAAAAAGCCTGGCACAGTAGCTCATGACTGTAATCCCAGCACTTTGGGAGGCTGAAGCAGGCAGATTACAAGGTCAGGAGATCGAGACCTTTCTGGCCCCAACATGGTGAAACCCTGTCTCTACTAAAAATACAAAAATTAGCTGGGCATGATGGTGGGTGCCTGTAATCCCAGCTACTCAGGAGGCTCAGGCACGAAAATCGCTTGAACCATGGAGGCAGAGGTTGCAGTGAGCTGAGATTGCGCCACTGCACTCCAGCCTGGTGACAGAGCAAGACTCTGTCTCGAAAAAAAAAAAAAAGAAAAGAAAAGAAAGAAAGATAGGCTCTTTTGTAACCAAAACCCAACTCCTGTCAGTGTTACTGATGTTGCAGATGATCTCTTTCAGGCCTCTGAGCCCAAGCTAAGCCATCATATCCCCTGTGACCTGCACGTATACATCCAGATGGCCTGAAGCAACTGAAGATCCACAAAAGAAGTGAAAATAGCCTTAACTGATGACATTCCACCATTGTAATTTGTTTCTGCCCCACCCTAACTGATCAATGTACTTTGTAATCGCCCCAACCCTTAAGAAGGTTCTTTGCAATTCTCCCTATCCTTGAGAATGTACTTCGTGAGATCCACCCCCTGCCTGCAAAAAATTGCTCCTAACTCCACCGCCTATCCCAAAACCTATAAGAACTAATGATAATCCACCACCCTTTGCTGACTCTCTTTTTGGACTCAGCCCACCTGCACCCAGGTAATATAAACAGCCTTGTTGCTCACACAAAGCCTGTTTGGTGGTCTCTTCACACGGACATATGAGACATTTGGTGCCAAAGACCCCGGTCAGCGGGACTCCTTCAGGAGACCAGTCCCCTGTTCTTGCCCTCACTCCATGAAGAGATCCACCTACGACCTCGGGTCCTCAGACCAACCAGCCCAAGGAACATCTCACCGATTTTAAATCGGGTAAGTGGCCTCTTTTTACTCTCTTCTCCAATCTCTCTCACTATCCCTCAACCTCTTTCTCCTTTAAATCTTGGTGCCACCCTTCAATCTGTCCCTTCTCATAATTTCAATTCCTTTCATTTTCTGGTAGAGACAAAGGAGACACATTTTATCCGTGGACCCAAAACTCCGGCGCAGGTCACAGACTCGGGAAGGCAGCCTTCCCTTAGTGTTTAATCATTGCAGGTCGCCTGCCTGATTATTCACCCACGTTTCAGAGGTGTCTGACCTCACGGGGACACCTGCCTTGGTCCTTCACCCTTAGCGGCAAGCACCACTTTTCTGGGGGGCAAGCACCCCTTGACACCTTCTCTCCATGTCTCCACCCCTTCTCCACTTTCCTGGGGGGCAAGCACTCCCCACCCCTTCTCTCCGTGTCTCTACTCTCTCTTTTCTCTCCACTTTTCTGGGGGACAAGCACCCCCCACCCCTTCTCTCCATTTCTCTACTCTCTCTTTTCTCTCCACTTTCCTGGGAGGCAAGCACCCCCCACTCCTTCTCTCCATGCCTCTACTCTCTCTTTTCTCTCCACTTTTCTGGGGAACAAGCACCCCCCACCCCTTCTCTCCGTGCCTCTACTGTCTTTTCTCTCCACTTTTCTGGGGGGCAAGCAGCCCCCACCTCTTCTGTCTGTGTCTCTATCCCTTCTCCACTTTCCTGGGGGGCAAGCACCTCCCACCCCGTTCCCACTTTCCTGGGGGACAAGCACCTCCCACCCCATTCCCACTTTCCTGGGGGGCAAGCACCTCCCACCCCGTTCCCACTTTCCTGGGGGGCAAGCACCTCCCACCCCATTCCCACTTTCCTGGGGGACAAGCACCTCCCAACCCGTTCCTACTTTCCTGGGGGGCAAGCACCTCCCACCCCGTTCCCACTTTCCTGGGGGACAAGCACCTCCCAACCCGTTCCTACTTTCCTGGGGGGCAAGCACCTCCCACCCCGTTCCCACTTTCCTGGGGACAAGCACCTCCCACCCTGTTCCCACTTTCCTGGGGGGCAAGCACCTCCCACCTCATTCCCACTTTCCTGGGAGATAAGCACCTCCCACCCCGTTTCAACTTTCCTGGGGGGCAAGCACCTCCCACCCCTTCTCCACTTTCCTGGGGGGCAAGCACCCCCTACCCCTTCTCTCCATGTCTCTACCCTTCTCTTTAAACTTGCCTCCTTCACTATGGGCAACCTTCTACCCTCCATTCCTCCTTCTCCCTTAGCCTGTGTCCTCAAGAACTTAAAACCTCTTCAACTCTCGCCTGACCTAAAACTTAAACGCCTTATTTTCTTCTGCAATACTGCTTGACCCCAATACAAGCTCGACAATGGTTCTAAATGGCCAGAAAACGGCACTTATGATTTCTCCATCCTATGAGATCTAGACAATTTTTGTCAAAAAATGGGCAAATGGTCTGAGGTGCCTGACGTCCAGGCATTCTTTTACACATTGGTTCCTCCCTAGTCTCTGCTCCCAGTGAGACTCGTCCCAAATCTTTCTTCTTTCTCTCCTGTCTGTTCCTTCAGTCTCCACCCCAAGCTCTTGAGTCCTTTGAATCCTTCTTTTCTACGGACTCATCTGACCTCTCCCCTTCTCCCCAGGCTGCTCCTCGCCAGGCCAAGCCAGGTCCCAATTCTTCCTCAGCCTCTGCTTCCGCACCCTATAATCCTTCTATCACCTCCCCTCCTCACACCCAGTCTGGTTTACAGTTTTGTTCCGTGACTAGTCCTCCCCCACTTGCCCAACTATTTCCTCTTAAAGACGTGGCTGGAGCTGAAGGCATAGTCAACGTTAATGCTCCTTTTTCCTCTATCAGACCTTTCCCAAATCAGCCAGCGTTTAGGCTCTTTCTCATCAGACCCCACTAAATATATACAGGAATTCCGATATCTAACTCTGTCCTACAATTTAACCTGGAGTGACTTAAATGTCATCCTGACTTCTACCCTCTCCCCGGATGAATGGGAAAGAGTTTTTTCTCCAGCCCAATCTCACACTGATAACCACTGGCTTCATGAGCCAGACCTCCAGGAAGGCATTAGAGCAGTTCCCCGAGAAGATCCCAATGGAACTATCAGGCAGATTCCCCAGGTATAGCTAGGCGAGATTACATGGTTTCCTGCCTAGTTAAAGGGCTTAAAAAGGCAGCTTACAAAGCTGTTATGACAAACTTAAAGAAACTACCCGAGGTAAAGACGAAAGCCCAGCCCAGTTCATGGCCCTCTTAGCAGCAACCCTGAGACACTTTACTGCCCTAGACCCAGAGGGGCCAGAAGGCCGTCTTAATCTCAATATGCATTTTATTTTATTAACCAATTTGCTCCCAACATTAAATAAAGCTCCAAAAATTAAATTCGGCCCTCGAACCCCACAACAGGACTTAATTAACCTCGCTTCAAGGTGTACAATAATAGAGTAGAGGCAGCCAAGTAGCAATGTATTTCTGAGTTGCAATTCCTTGCCTCCACTGTGAGACAAACCCCAGCCACATCTCCAGCACACAAGAACTCCAAACACCTGAACCGCCACTGCCAGGGGTTCCTCCAGAAACTCCTTCCCCAGGAGCTTGCTACAAGTGCTGGAAATCTGGCCACTGGGCCAAGCAATGCCCGCAGCCTGGGACTCCTCCTAAGCCATGTCCCATCTGTGCGGGACCCCAGTGGAAATCGGACTGTCCAACTCACCTGGCAGCCACTCCCGGAGCCCCTGGAACTCTGGCCCAAGGCTCTCTGACTGACTCATTCCCAGATATTCTCAGCTTAGTGGCTAAAGACTGACGCTGCCTGATCACCTCGGAAGCCCCCTGGACCATCACAGACCCTTTGGGTAACTCTTACAGTGGAGGGTAAGTCCGTCTCCTTCTTAATCAATAAGGAGGCTACCAACTCCACATTACCTTCTTTTCAAAGGCCTGTTTCCCTTGCCTCCATAACTGTTGTTGGTATTGACGGCCAGGCTTCTAAACCTCTTAAAACTCCCCAACTCTGGTGCCAACTTGGACAATATTCTTTTATGCACTCATTTTAGTTATCCCCACCTGCCCAGCTCTCTTATTAGGTCGAGACATTTTAACTAAATTATCTGCTTCCCTGACTATTCCTAGGCTACAAGCACACCTCATTGCCACCCTTTTCCCCAGTTCAAAGCCTCCTTTGCATCCTCCTCTCGTATCCCCCTACCTTAACCCACAAGTATGGGATACCTCTACTCCCTCCTTGGTGACAAATGATGCACCCCTTACCATCCCATTAAAACCTAATCACCCTTACCCCACTCAATGCCAATATCCCATCCCACAGCATGCTTTAAAAGGATTAAAGCCTGTTATCACTTGCCTGTTACAGCATGGCCTTTTAAAGCCTGTAAACTCTCCCTACAATTCCCCCATTTTACCTGTCCTAAAACAAGACAAGCCTTACCTTAGTTCAGGATCTGCGCCTTATCAACCAAATTGTCTTGCCTATCCACCCCATGGTGCCAAACCCATATACTCTCCTATCCTCAATACCACCCTCCACAACCCCTCCATAACCCCTTATTCTGTTCTGGATCTCAAACATGCTTTCTTTACTATTCCTTGCACCCTTCATCCTAGACTCTCTTTGCTTTCACTTGGACTGACCCTGACACCCATTAGACTCACAAATTACCTGGGCTGTACTGCCACAAGGCTTCACGGACAGCCCCCATTACTTCAGTCAAGCCCAAATTTCTTCCTCATCCATTACCTATCTCGACATAATTCTTCATGAAAATACACATGCTCTCCCTGCTGATCACGTCTGACTAATCTCCCAAACCCCAATGCCTTCTACAAAACAACAACTCCTTTCCTTCCTGGGCATGGTTGGATACTTTTGCCTTTGGATACTGGTTTTGCCATCCTAACAAAACCATTATATAAACTCACAAAAGGAAACCTAGCTGACCCCACAGATCCTAAATCCTTTTGCCACTCCTTTCCGTTCCTTAAAAACAGCCCTAGAAGCTGCCCCCACACTAGCTCTCCCTAACTCATCCCAATCCTTTTTCATTACACACAGCCAAAGTGCAGGGCTGTGCAGTCGGAATTTTTACACAAGAGCTGGGACTGCGCCCTGTAGCCTTTTTATCCAAACAACTTGACCTTACTGTTTTAGCCTAGCCTTCATGTCTGTGTGCAGTGGCTGCCGCTGCCTTAATACTTTTAGAGGCCCTCAAAATCACAAACTGTGCTCAACTCACTCTCTATAGTTCTCATAACTTCCAAAATCTATTTTCTTCCTCACACCTGACGCATATAATTTCTGCCCCCCTCCACTACCTCTCAGCAAGCCAAACTCATTGTCTTAACTCAAGCCCTCACTCTTGCAAAGGGACTACGCGTCAATATTTATACTGACTGTAAATATGCCTTCCATATCCTGCACCACCATGCTGTTATAAGGGCTGAAAGAGGTTTCCTCACTATGCAAGGGTCCTCCATCATTAATGCCTCTTTAATAAAAACTCTTCTCAAGGCCGCTTTACTTCCAAAGGAAGCTGAAGTCATTCACTGCAAAGGCCATCAAAAGGCATAAGATGCCATCACTCAGGGCAATGCTTATGCTGACAAGGTAGCTAAAAAAGCAGCTAGAGTTCCAACTTCTAACCCTCATGGCAGTTTTTCTCCTTCTCATCTGGTCATTCTCACCTATTCCCCCACTGAAACTTCCACCTATCAATCTCTTCCCACACAAGGCAAATGGTTCTTGGACCAAGGAAAATATCTCCTTCCAGCCTCACAAGCCCATTCTAGTCTATCGTCATTTCATAACCTCTTCCATGTAGGTTACAAGCAGCTAGCCCGCCTCTTAGAACTTCTCATTTCCTTTCCATCATGGAAATCTGTCCTTAAGGAAATCACTTCTCAGTGTTCCATCTGCTATTCTACTACTACTCCTCAGGGATTGTTCAGGCTGCCTCCCTTCCCTACACATCAAGCTCGGGGATTTGCCCCCGCCCAGGACTGGCAAATTGACTTTACTCACATGCCTCAAATCAGGAAACTAAAATACCTCTTGGTCTGGGTAGACACTTTCACTGGGTGGGTAGAGGCCTTTCCCACAGGGTCTGAGAAGGCCACCGTGGTAATTTCTTCCCTTCTGTCAAACATAATTCCTTGGTTTGGCCTTCCCACTTCTATACAGTCCAATAACAGACCGGCCTTTATTAGTCAAATCACCCAAGCAGTTTCTCAGGCTCTTGGTATTTAGTGGCTCCAGGTTTTACCTCAAACTGCCACCCTTAAGTCTCTCTTTAAGTGGATAGAAGTTCTTCAGTGACAAAGTACACTCCAATACTTTCACCCTGATGAAGTCCTATTCTTTACTTTTATACTTGCTCTTATTCTTGTCCCCATTTTTATGCCACTCTCTACCTCTCCCCAGCTATCTCCACCACACTATATCAGTCTCAGTCACTCTCTCCTAGCCATTTCTAATCCTTCTTTAACAAACAATTGCTGGCTTTGCTTTTCTCTTTCCTCCAAAATTCCCGAGGCCCTGACTAAAAAAGGGGTACTCTTGTATATTTTTAAATGAAGAAAAAAAGGGGACTCTGTATATTTTTAAATGAAGAGTGTTGTTTTTACCTAAATCAATCTGGCCTGGTATATGACAACATAAAAAAACTCAAGGATAGCACCCAAAAACTCAACAACCAAGCAAATAATTATGCTGAACTCCCTTGGACACTCTGTAATTGGATGTCCTGGGTACTCCCAATTCTTAGTCCTTTAATATCTGTTTTTCTCCTTCTCTTATTTGGACCTTGTGTCTTTCATTTAGTTTCTCAATTCATACAAAACCGCATCCAGGCCATCACCAATCATTCTATACGACAAATGTTTCTTCTAACAACCCCACAATATCACCCCTTACCACAAAATCTTCCTTCAGCTTAATCTCACCCACTCTAGGTTCCCACGTCACCCCTAATCCTGCTCGAAGCAGCCCTGAGAAACATCACCCATTATCTCTCCATACCACCCCCAAAAACTTTCGCCACCCCAACACTTCACCACTATTTTGTTTTATTTTTCTTATTAATATAAGAAGACAGGAATGTCAGGCCTCTGAGCCCAAGCTAAGCCATCATATCCCATGTGACCTGCACATATACATCCAGATGGCCTGAAGTAACTGAAGATCCACAAAAGAAGTGAAAATAGCCTTAACTCATGACATTCCACCATTGTAATTTGTTTCTGTCCCACCCTAACTGATCAATGTACTTTGTAATCTCCCCCACCCTTAAGAAAGTTCTTTGCAATTCTCCCCATCCTTGAGAATGTACTTTGTGAGATCCACCCTCTGCCCGCAAAACATTGCTCCTAACTCCACCACCTATCCCAAAACCTATAAGAACTAATGATAATCCGCCACCCTTTGCTGACTCTCTTTTCGGACTCAGCCCACCTGCACCCAGGTGAAATAAACAGCCATGTTGTTCACACAAAGCCTGTCTGGGGGTCTCTTCACACAGATGCGTGAGACAACCTCCACCTTCCCAAATCTAGTGGTCAAGTCTTCGTTCTCATCCTACTTCACCTCTGAATGGATTTCTCTCTTTCCTTCTCCACGTGCTGTCTTCTCTAGGCTTCTGAGACACTACACTCTCCTGGTTTTCCTTCTTTCTCCCTGGCCATGCCTCTTTTGTATCACTTATGGGCTCTTCCTTTTCTTTACAGCAAACTGTCAGACGTTTCTTCTTCTCTATCCACATTCTCATCCGGAGTGACCTCCTCTAATCCTGTGGCTTAAGATCACAAATGACTCCCAACTCTATCTCCAGTCCCCCATTTACCCTGAGATCCAGACCAGATCATATTTCCAACTTCCCATGTGATATCTCCACCTGGATGTCCAATACCACCTTAAACAGAGCTATTGATCTGCCCACATGCCTTCACACCAAAGTGATTCTTCCCTCAGTCTTTCCCATTTAGTAAAAGGCATCATTTGCTTGATCAAAACCCTAAACCTTACAGATTGTGTTTGGTTGCATGTAATAGAACCAGATAACCAGAGAGCTGTCATTTTTTTCCCCCCACATAATGAGAGGACCAGAAGCAGGCAAGCAAGGCTGTGCAGAGGCTCCTCCATGACAACAATGCCCAGGCTCCTTCTATCTTTTTTCTCCACGGTCCTCATAGTTGCAAGATAGCAGTTCCACCTCCAGCCTCACATCCACATCCCAACAACAACAAAAAAAGACAAGGAAAGACTCAACAAGGTGGAAGACAAAGAGCTACATGGGTTCTTGTCTACAATAGCAAAACATTCCCAGAAATTCCCAGTAGCCTTCTGCTTGTCTCACATTGTCCAGAACTATTACAAGCCCCACACCGGCTGTTAGAGAGGCTAGGAAATATGGCTTTTTAGCCAGGCACATTGCCACCCTGCACAAACCAGGGTTCTGATACATAGAAGAAAGGAAGAACAGATATCAGATGGGCAAACAGCAACGGTTGTTTTGTCATCCTGGACTTCTCTCTTTTCCTCACACTTCACTATGAATCCATCAGCAAGTCCTATCAGTCCCAGCTCCAAAATACTTAACCAATTCAGCTGCTTCTCTTCATCTCCAGTGCTGAACTGCTGGTCTGATATACCATCATCTCTTACCCAGACCACAGCAACAACCTCCTAGCTGGTTGCCTGCCACGATTGCCATCTCTATAGTCCTTTCTTTACACAGTAGTTAGGGTAATCATTTACACGCATAAATATAATCATATCACTCCCTTTCTTAAAATTCTCCAAAGGATCTATCATAGTTTGGGTTCCCCAAGAGGGAGACCCTGAGGCCAGGGTTCGTGTAGAAGTCATTTATTTGAGAGATGCAGAAAACTCAGGGTTGGAGCAGGAAAGTGAGATAAGGAAGAAAAGGTGGCCTCCCTTGGGGCCTACCGAGGCTCAGCCCCAGGGGGAAACAGTGGGAAATAGTGTCAAACACTTGCCTCAGAATTATCCAACCCAAGGGGCAAAGGAGGGTATTTATATGCCAGCTCACAAGAGCTGCTGGCTTCAGCTCTCTCGGCTTGACCACCTAGCCCTGAACCTATCCATTCCCTGACGAAATCACTGAAAAAGCCAGCACTTCTGCTTAGCCGCCTTTCTGCTCATAGACCCTCACACCTTCCATCTGAAACACAGTCACAAGAGAATGAGGAAACCCAGTTAATTTTTTTTAATAGGGTAAGAAGTTCAAAATACAATTTAAGGATATGAATGTCCATCTTAGAAATTTGCCAAATTCAAGTCTCATTTGAAAGTAGCTAAATTTTTGTAATGCCCTCGTTTTGACAAACCAAAAAGATGCATATAGCCTCTTAATAATACAGGCAAGTTTCAAGTAGGGCATATGAGATTTAGAATATCTACATAAAGTCAATATTTTAAGGGGCACATAATTCAATAGTAGCAATTAATTATTAATATATGCACTGGATATTATAGCTATAAATGACATTACTGGGTCTATAGATCTGAACGGTATAAATGAACATTAAGTACATAACTTTGGATATATTTCTGCCTTTAGATGAGCTTATTACTTACCTTTATTTTCCTTTCTTCTTCAATTGTTCTACAAAGTAATCATTACAAGCAACTGTCAGAGCTGCCACCATGACCACGAATTCATTAAAATCCACTTCGTTGTCCTTATTGGCATCCAGGTCCTGCACTATCTTATCAACCAACTGGGTTTCCTTTTGGCACTAAAATGAGAAAGGAAATTTCTAACTCCCTGGCTCTGAGGTTCATGATGACAATTGAAATTCATCTTCCTTTTATTTACATTAAATTCCTAATTTCCATTTATAGCATCTAAAGACATTTTCTAAGAACCTATTTACAGGTAGGTGTAAACCAGCCACGAATTCTAAACGAATCTAGCCCCCTGCCCCAGCTCCATATAATCCTGGCTCAGACCTAGAAACCAAGAAAAGCAAACAGCAGCTGATCAAAGTGAGTGACTGTTGCTAAAAACACATTTACAGGACATCACAGGTTGAGAGCCAGGACACTAGGAGATAGTCGAGTGACATAGAAAGAGGGAGGATTTGAAGCCAAAAAGGAGAAAAATACCAACGAGCGAATTTGAGCAAATCGCGTAACATTTTAAATGCTTTTATTTATAAAATTGGGAGGATAATTTCTATCCACACATTTCAGGGATACTTCATCACACTTTTGAAAGTGCTTAGAGCACCAGGGTCGCTAGATTTAGCAAATAAAAATACTAGATACCTAGTTAAATTTGAATTTCAAATAAACAACAAATAACTTTTAGTTTTAGTATGTCTCAAGTATTGTATAGGACACAAAATATTTTATCTGGCAGCCTACTTAGCACAGTGTGCCTGACACACAGAAGAGAGGCACCCAAAGAAAGGTAGGTCTTATAAAGATGCCTGCATTTTATGGGTGGAAAGCAAAGAGAAGAGGGAAGACAAGGTTCACGAAGGTTGGAACTGTGAAGCACCCACCTCTCCTGTGACTGGTGTTGATGAGGAGTGTTTCCAAAAGCAGTTCATTTCCTCCAGGAAATCCCCATGCCCCCCTCATTTTCTGCTAACCATTAAATGGTCAGAGAAAAACTTAATTGATCAAAACCAACTTGATTAAAACAATTATAAATTGTACTTGATTAAATAAATGTGCGAAGTTTGACCTACTGAGTTTTTATGCTAAATGTTAAACAGTACAGTAGCCAAAGTTGGCCCCACACAGTGGCTCACGCCTGTAATCTCAGCACTTTGGGAGGCCGAGGCAGGCAGATCACTTGAGGTCAGGAGTTCGAGACCAGCCTGGCCAACATAGTGACACTCTGTCTCTACTAAAAATACAAAAAACTTAGCTGGGTGTCGTGGTGCATGCCTGTAATCCCAGTTACTCCGGAGGCTGAGGCACAAGAATCACTCGAACCTGGGAGGTGGAGATTGCAGTGAGCCGAGATCGTGTCACTGCACTCCGGCCTAGGAGACACAGCAAGACTCCATCTCCGAAAAAAAAAAAAATACAGTAGCCAAACGGAATGAGAGGAAAAGAAAAGTTTGTGGGAATTCTAAGATCACTATAAAAATGTCGTGAAGACTAAGTTAAAAAATACTTTATAGAGCTTTTCCCAAATAGAGGGTGGGGAGAAACATGTGTTGTAATTAACAGTCTCTGTAGTCTTAACACAAGGTTTGGAGAGAATAACATCACACGAGGGTAGCATATTGTGCTAAAAATCAGTTTAAGTCAACTCTATAAACACCAGCGTGAAGTGTTTTCCTTGGAGGAGGCCCCAAACGCTACAATGTACGGCTTCATATATTAATCTCTCAAACTCCTGGCTATTTTGAGAAATGAATCTGTTTGCTACCCCACTGGTCACTGGCCAAACACATCCTTCTATCAATCCCAATCAGTCTGTGCTCGGCTGACAAAGCTCTCTAAGTATTTGCCATTCACTAGAAAATTTGCCACCATAGCATGAAGTACCCCACCTCTGAAGGTAAAGTACCCCTTCACCTCTGGCCCAATACATAATTTACAGACAGCTGGACCAAGCTCCAGGTATAACTAGCTGTAACTAGTTATAACTATAACTCTGGCTATAATTAGCTACATCTTTGCCGCACCAGAATGTTAATTGGTGAAAGTCAAAAATACAATTTTTACCACTTAGAAACCCTAACCCCAGGTAACACGAAAAAGGGCACATGCCTATGTACACAGAAAACAAACGTCTCCAGTGTTTGCTTCCCCTATATTTTGAATCTCTGTACAAATTTGGCTGCATTTGTGACAGAATCACAGGACAGTATGAACCCAAAGGCTGTCCTGGAATCTGCACCTCATCTACCCTCAAATGAATACAGCATTTACAAAGGCCTGACTCACCGAGAGGAATTCCGTGAGCTCTCGCTGCAGGAGCAGTTTCAGTTCCCCCTTGCTGAGCTTGAATCTCTTCCTTTCCTTGCCAGAATAGCGGTGGAAGATTCTAATCATGGTGTCCATGGCCATCTCGAGCTGGGTGGGCATGTCGGCAGCAGAACTGACCACTCCAGAAGCAGGCCACCAAACCCGGGGAGAAGACACTTGTTCAGAATAAACAGATGAGGAAACACCAACACTTTCATTAAAACAGAATATTACAATCCCCCGAGTCAGCTCGCCACACAAGTGATGGTTGTTAAAAACATAATAGTCTGCGCAGGCGCGGTGGCTCAAGCCTGTAATCCCAGCACTTTGGGAGGCAGAGATGGGTGGATCACAAGGTCAGAAGATCGAGACCATCCTGGCTAACACGGTGAAACCCCGTCTCTACTAAAAATACAAAAAAAAATTAGCCGGGCGCGGCGGCGGGCGCCTGTAGTCCCAGCTAGCTACTCAGGAGGCTGAGGCAGGAGAACGGCGTGAACCCGGGAGGCGGAGTTTGCAGTGAGCCGAGATCGCGCCACTGCACTCCAGCCTGGGCGACAGAGCGAGACGCCGTCTCAAAAAAAAAAAATTAATAATAATAATAGTCTTTCATTAAAGAGTGTTCCACCCTTGCTGGGGCAAGCTGCAAATAAGCACTTCGCAGCTGAGTTGTTTCTCCTCGCTAATCCCTACACCCCCAAGAGGTAGCAGCTCCAGCATATTCATAAGACAACCAGGTAACAGGTACAAAGTCAAACTAAAATATAGAATTTAAAAATAAATAAAAATAGGAAGGAAAATACCTACCTGTTCAACAGATACACAGCTCTGTCAATGGTTGTTTACCATTAAACTATAAGCATTTATACGTGGGGGAGGGGGAAACGTTCTCCCCAGCACACCTGTTTCCGGGAAGATGAAAATTGCCAGTGACAAGAGATTCAAAGGGAGGTGCCTCTGCTCCGTATTTAATCACCAAAATGAACAGGTGTGAGCTGCTGCCCCAAGGGTCATTGAAGAAGGCTAGTGCTCATTGGGTGCATTAGATAAGAAGGCAAAGACAAAGCAAGAGGAAGCCTTATCTCTCTTTAGGGGAGTGTGGATAGAAATGCAATTAGTTGCTAGGAAGCTGATGATGGGGAAGAACTCTAAAAATAGGGGAGCAAAGAAGAAACACTAGTTCCAACCTGGAGATGACTCAGCAAAGCCAATAGCAAGGACAAGGGAGTAAATTCATAGTAGATTAAACTAACCCAAAGGACAGTTGAAAAAAAAAAAAAAAGAGGAAGTGCTCCACGCACTGATTTAGAAAGGTACAAAGCAGTGCTCCCAACTGTGTAAAAAAGAAATAATACATGTGTATGTGTGCTTGCAGTTACCTAAGGAGTCACTGAAAGGAAACAAAATATAATACTATGTTGGGAGCTGTCAGGGGTAAGGGGGGAAAGGGTAGAACAGAGTGGTTGGGAGTAAGACTTCCCAGTGTACACCTTTTTAAGTGATTTTAACTTTTTCAGTTATAGGAATGTATTACCTAATAAAAAAGTTGAAATAAACCTCAGAGCAGCTGTGTGTGCAGGAATCCACAACAGATTTCCAAGTGAGAGAAACTTAATAAAGAAAGAGTCCATGTAAAAACCAAAGCCAGATATTGGCCACTGTGCTTTTAAATCCTGCCTGTTCTCTCAGGACTGAAACTTAATTATACGGAAAGCAAGCCAGGATCTCCTTTTTATTTCCCTTCAACAAAGTAGTCAGTATGTAACCTCAACCATCCCATCTGCCCCTGGCCTTGCTGCCTGGCTACTCCACTGCAACCTCCCTGCAAGGTTCCCAGGAGGTGTTCACTGTACACCTAACACAAAATTTTCAAACATATTCAGGCTGGGCACAGTGGCTCAATCCTGTAATCCCAGCACGTTGGGAGGCAGATCACTTGAGGTCAGGAGTTCGAGACCACCCTGACCAAAATGGTGAAACCCTGTCTCTACTAAAAATACAAAAATTAACTGGATATGGTGGTGCACGCCTGTAGTCCCAGCTACTCGGGAGGCTGAGGCAGGAGAATTGCTTGAACCCAGGAGGTGGAGGTTGCAATGAGCCAAGATCACGTCCCTGCACTCCATCCTGGGTGACAGTGAGACTCCGTCTCAAAAAAAAAAAAAAAATTGTTAGTTTTTATTGTCAAAGTAATATAGGTAAAATAATATTTTGAATACTTAGGAGTATGAAATAGTAAAATTCTCTCTCACCATTCCCTACCCTAGTAATTACCCTTTGTAAATTTTTCCTGTGTGGGAGGCAGTATCATGGTGGCTAAAAGCATGAACTGCCTGGCTTTACCTCTCACCTCTGCCACTAGTTGTGTGATCCTGTGCTGGTCAATTAGCATCTATGCTGCATTTTCCCCATTAGTCTAAATGGGGATGACCATAGCACCTACTCAGAATGGAAAAAACAAACTCTATACAATATTTATTTTATTTATTTATTTATTATTATTTTTGAGGCAAGGTCTGACTCTGGTTGCCCAGGCTGGAGTGCAGTGGTGCCATCACAGCTCACTGCAGCCTCGACCTCCTGGGCTCAGACA
This sequence comes from Homo sapiens, assembly GCF_000001405.40. NCBI lineage: Eukaryota > Metazoa > Chordata > Mammalia > Primates > Hominidae > Homo > Homo sapiens. The sequence continues at coordinate 76,872,886 of NC_000005.10, read as the reverse complement.
ATTCTTCCATCTCAGCCTCCCAAGTAGCTGGGACTACAGGTTCACACCACCATGCCTGGCTAATTTTTATTTTTATTTTTGTATTTGTAGTAGAGATGGGGTTTTGCCATGTTGCCCAGGCTGGTCTTGAACTCCTGAGCTCACGCAATCCGCCTGCCTTGGCCTCCCAAAATGCTGGGATTACAGGTGTGAGCCACTGCACCCAGCCTTATTTTATTTATTTTTTTAAGACAGAGTCTTGCTCTGTCACCCATGCTGGAATGCAGTGGCCCAGTAATGGCTCACTGCACCTCAACCTCCCAGGCTCAAGCGATCCTCCTGCTTCAGCCACCTGAGTAGCTGGGACAACAGGCACATGTTATCATGCCTGACTAATTTTTTTATTTTTGTAGATATGGGGTCTCCCTATGTTTCCCAGGCTGGTGTCAAACTCCTGGCCTCAAGTGATCCTCCTGCCTTGGCCTCCCAAAGTGCTGGGATTACAGGCTTTAGCCACCTTACATTGTCTCTGTGAAATACTTAAAGAGGTTTATTTTGAGCCGATATGAGTGACCACGGCCCAGGGAACTGTCTCAAGAGGTCCTAAGAAGGTATGCCCAAGGTGGCAGGTTACAATTTAGTTCATTATTTATTTATTTTTGAGATAGGGTCTCCCGCTGTCACCCAGACTGGAGTGCAGTGGTGCAATAATGGCTCACTGCAGCCTCGAACTCCCAGGCTCAAGCAATCCTCCCACTTCAGTTTCCTGAATAGCTGAGACCACACACAGGTGCACACCACCATTCCTGGTTAATTTTTTATTTTTTACTTTTTTTAGAGATGAGGTCTCACTATGCTGCCCAAGCTGGTCTCAAACTCCTGGGCTCAAGTGATCCTCCTGCCTTAGCCTCCCAAAGTGCTGAGATTATGGGCATGAGCCACTGTACCTGGCCAAAATTTGGTTTTATATGTTAAGTTATAGGCGAAGTCATAAATCAGTATATGTAAGGTGTACATTGGTTTGGCTCAAAAAGGCAGGGGTATGGGGCTTACAGATCACAAGTGGATTCAAAGATTTTCGGGCAGGGCCCGGTGGCTCACGCCTGTAATCCCAATACTTTGGGAGGCCAAGGTGGGTGGATCATCTGAGGTAAGGAGTTCGAGACCAGCTTGGCCAACATGGTGAAACCCTGTCTCTACTAAAAATACAAAAAAAAATTAGCCGGGTGTGGTGGTGCATGCCTGTAATCCCAGCTACTCAGGAGGCTGAAGCAGGAGAATCACTTGAACTTGGGAGGTGGAGGTTGCAGTGAGCCAAGATCATGCCACTGCCCTCCAGGGTGGGTGATAAAGCGACACTCTGTCTAAAAAAAAAAAAAAAAAAAAAGAGTTTCTGATTGGCAATTTGTTGAAAGAGTTAAGCATTGTTGTCTAAAGACTTGAAGTCAGCAGAAAGAAATTCTTGAGTTAAGATAAAGGGGGCTGTGGAAGCCAAGGTTCTTCTTATGTAGATGAAACCTCCAGGTAGCAGCCTTCAGAGAGAATAAATGATAAATGTTTCTTTTTGGACCTTAAAAAGTGTCAAATTCCTAGTTAATTTCTCCTAGATCTGGAAAGGCCTAGCTGCATTAATGGAGATTCTCTATAGATGCAAAATTTCCCCCATAAAAGACGGCTTTACAGGACCATTTCAAAATATGTCAGAGAAGTCTATTTTGGGGTAAAATATTTTGATTTCCTTCATGGTCTGCTATCTGTCATGTGATGCTACCAGAGTGAGGTTGGAATTTGGTATCCCAAAAGGAAAGAGGTACAATGAGGCCTGTCTGACCTCTCTTCCCATCAAGGCCTGGAATTCAGTTGTTCAGGTTTCTCTGGGGTCCCCTGGGCCAAGAGAGGGTCTGTTCAGTCAGTTGAGGAGCTTAGGATTTTATTTTATTTTTTTCTTTGTAGAAATGGAGTCTTGCTATGTTGCCCACGCTGGTCCCAAACTTCTGGCCTCAAGCAATCCTCCCACCCCAGCCTCCCAAAATGCTGGGATTATAGATGTGAGCCAGCGTGCCCAGCCTCCTCCTCATTTTTTAAAGCACTTTCCCCTCTCCAGCTCTTAAATGTTGTTCCCACTGTGGTCTCAGCTACTCCTATAATTTCAGTCTCTCCCAAGATTATATTTCTTGGCCCAGATCTGTCTGCTAAGCTCCAGAACCATCTATCCAACAGCCTGCTGGACCACATCTCTACCTGAATGTCCCACAAGCTTTTCAAACTCAATTCGGACTGTCCACTAAAGAAAAAAAAAAATCAAGCTTTTAGAAAGTTAAAACTAGTTTTACTCAGGAATCTTACTGAGGACTATAGACCAAGGTCTACATCCTGGGAGCAGCCCTTCAGAGGGGTTCTGTGAGACTGCTCCAGCAAGGTAGCTCCACCCGCAGCTTCTACACAGGCCTTGGGGGTTCACTACATGCAAAGTCACATCAAACTTGCAGAAGTTACATTAAAGCAGAATCACATCAAGGTTTGTGTATAAGAGTACATCTGGTATAGATTACAGAGGCATCATCCCTAACCCCATCAGACATTATGTTACCTATAGGAAAAGGCATTAATTAGGCTTATTTACCTATTAAGGAATGCGATGACTCAGCCGAGACACGGGACTGTATGCTGTATCCTTTGTCTTCAAAGCATTTTTCTGGAGAGCTGGGTGTCTACACAGAGTCAGGGGCTTGTGAAATTACACTGGCAAGCAGAAATGAGTAAATACGTCTTTTTACGTTTTCTACTTTATCTCACGGGACCTAAGCAAAACTCATCCCCTCAGTCATCTCAAACATCCAGTTCCTTGGTCACACCAGCTTCTGTCACAATTTTTTTTTTTTTTTGAGACGGAGTCTTAGTCTGTCACCCAGGCTGAAGTGCAGTGACAGGATCTCAGCTCACTGCAACCTCTGCCTCCTGGGTTCAAGCAATTCTCCTTCCTCAGCCTCCTGAGTAGCTGGGATTACAAGTGGGCACCGCCACGCTGGGCTAATTATTTTGTGTGTTTTTAGTATAGATGGGGTTTCACCATGTTGGCTAGGCTGGTCTTGAACTCCTGGCCTCAAGTGATCCACCTGCCTCAGCCTCCCAAAGTGCCGGGATTACAGGTGTGAGCCACTGCACCCAGCCACAATTCTTAAATACCAGCTAAACTGGTCCACTTCTCTCCATTCTTCACCACCTTTGGGGCCTTTTAATTTTTGGTCCCTATTACTGCAGTGGCTTCCTTACTGCTCTTTCTACTTTCTACCATGCCCCTCCATTCTCACGTCTATTCTGCTGTCAGAGAAGCTGATCTAAATCACAAATCAACACCCACGCTCCTGGCCATTCAAAGGGTTGGCCCTGCCTGCAAACTGACCATGGTGTTGGGAGCTCCCATTCTTCCATGCCTTTGCAGGTTCTGAGCACACTGTGTGGAAAGCTAATTCCATCTGCTCCTTTAAGATCAGTTCAAATGTCATCTCCTCTTGGACATTTTCCTGCACTCTTCCCAACTACCCACCCCACATCCCCCCATCTCTGATAGGTGCCTTCTCTGTCCTCTCCTATTTCCTACCTTATGTTTGTTTTTCTCATCATTGCACTTACCATACATTCCCAACATCACGTTTTTTTTTGTCTGCCGTATGTTCCCCACCCTCCACACTTTGAATGAGTTCCTTGATGTCAGGGTTGATATCTGGTTCATCTATGCATTCCACAGCATTTAGCACAGGGACAGGCATATGGAAGTGCTCAGAAATCCTCACTGATGGATGAATTCATAAACAAATCAATCAGAGAGGGAAACATAAGATTCCCCAAGAGTTGGCCTTGTCTAGTTTAACTGCCAAATAATTATTTGATTGCCTTTATTCCACATAAAAATTTGCTTCATCAAAGGGAGAAAGAGAAACAGACAGACAGACAACAGTCATGTCAATGAATATAAAGAGTTTGAGCTGGATGTGGTGGCTCACGCCTGTAATCCCAGCACTTTGGGAGGCTGAGGCGGGTAGATCACTTGAGGTCAGGAGTTTGAGACCAGCCTGACCAAAACGGTGAAACCCCGTCTCTACTAAAAATACAAAAAGCAGTGAGATGTGGTGGCATGCGCCTGTAGTCCCAGCTACTCGGGAGGCTGATGCAGGAGAATCGCTTGAACCCAGGAGACAGAGGTTACCGTGAGCCGAGATAATGCCATTGCACTCCAGCCTGGGTGTTGCAGCCAGACTCTGTCGCAAAAAAAAAAAAAAAAAAGAGTTTGAATTTGGAATAAAATATTATTTAATTCCAAATTAAGTTGTTGAAGTTATAGATGCACTAAAATCAGTAAATCTTACAGAGTATATGGGTCTCAACAGTATTATATTTATATCATATTTAACCATAAAATAATTTACTCGGAGAACTCAGTTGGCAGGTAAAACTCCTAATAGAATAGATATTGAAAATTGTAATGCTGTAATTTGATTCAAGAGATGAAAATGTGGCTTCTACATCTTGGCTCTTGGGGTTTAAAAGCAAGGTGATTTTCTCTTTGTTTCTACTGGGCTTTGGCAGAGCTAAATATATCCTTTGGTACATGCTGCCCCTTAGTGTCAATCTCCAGGACTGCACCTGGCAGCCCTCTAATTCCCAGAATGCACTTGAAATCCTATTTATAAAGCCCTTTCTTCAGGGGCTTATCTTTATATAACCCAGCCTCAGCCCCTGCCCTCCAGGAGACTTTCAGAAACAAAGGCAATGTCAAAAGGCTCAAAAAGAATCTGTCAGGCTAGAGACACAAATTTACGGGTGACATGAAATCCCAGGAGGGGGAGACACACCTGTTGATAGCACAGAGGGTTATCCTATGCACCTTGCTTGCTCTATTAATTATTTCCATTGCACTTTGCAATTTTGGTATGAGTCATAGCCCTTAGGGCGTAAAGGTCTGAGATAGTGTGCAAAGAATGGGAGAAATGATCAGATTTGGGGGGAGCTTAAAGGTAATGACTGTGGCCGGCCGCAGTGGCTCACGCCTGTAATCCCAGCATTTTGGGAGGCCAAGGTGGGTGGATCACCTGAGGTCAGGAGTTTGAGACCAGCCTGGCCAACATGGCGAAACCCCATCTCTACTAAAAATACAAAAATTAGTCGGGCATGGTTATGCATGCCTGTAATCCCAGCTACTCGAGAGGCTGAGGCAGGAGGATCATTTGAACTCAGTTGCAGAGAGCTGAGATCACACCACTATACTCCAGCCTGGGAGACAGAGTGAGACCCCACCTCAAAAAAAAAAAAAGAAAAAAAAAAAGTAAGGATGATTTTAGAGAAAAAAAACTGGTAAATATCCACAAAGGTGGGAGCAAAAGGAGAAAAGATATTTGTAAGTGAGGCATTGGTCATGGACTCTGAAAGACAAGACGTATGTGAAGAAGAGGCATCCTGTCAACCGGGCAGGCAGACACCCTCCTTAGACTGAGGATACCCCCAGAGTGTCTGAGCCAGGAACTGCCCTGGGGCCAAGACTACAGTCATACAGGAGGCTAAGTTGCTTCCTCCTAAACTCTCCAGTTTTTGTCTTTTTATGTAACCAGATTCAAATGTTCTATCATTTTCCTAGCAACAGCATGAGGAATCTCAGTGGGAGGGACGGACCTCAGAAGGGTGGACACTTTTGAGGGTGGTGAGTATGTTTATTATCTTGACTGTGGTGATGGTGTCACTGGTGTATACAGATGTCAAACTTACCAAAGTGTGTATTTTAAATACGTGCAGTTTATTGTGTGTCAATTATAACTCAAAGCTATTTTTAAAAGGAAAGAAAGAAGCTTTCCTAGAATCGCACAACTATGTCGTAGCAGAGCTGAGACTCAGACCCATGCTTGTCTGACAAAAGATAAAATCATGCAGCCATTTAAAATTAGAATTATAAAGACTACAAAAATGCAAAAAAAATTTCAGGAAAATGGTAAGTGAAACTAACAAAGTAGAAATTATACATATGCTGTAATGGATAAATGTTGTGTACCTAAAGAGGGAAAATGAAATAGTCCTGTGTTACTTAATGACAGAAATATATTCTGAGAAATGCGTCATTAGGTGATTTTGTCATTGTGTGAACATCATAGGGTATACTTACACACACGTAGATGGTACAGCCCACTACACACCTAGGCCATATGGCATAGCCTATTGCTCCTAGGCTATAAACCTGTACAGCATATAACTGTGCTGAATACTGCAGGCAACTGTAATGCAATAGTATTTGTGTAGGTAAATATAGAAAAGGTACAGTAAAAATATGTATAAAAGATAAAAAAAATAGTACACCTTTATAGGACACTTACCATGAGTGGAGGCTGCAGGACTGGAAGTTGCTCTGTGTGAGTTGGTAAGTAAATGGTGAGTGAATGTGAAGGCCTAGGACCTAGGACACTACTATACACTGCTATAGCCTTCATAAACATTGTACAGTTAGGCTGCACTAAATTTATTTTATAATACTTTTCATGGCCAGGTGTGGTGGCTCATATCTGTAATCCTAGCACTTGGGGAGGCTGAGGCAGGCAGATCATTTGAGCCCAGAATTTCGAGACCATTGTGGGCAACATAGTGAAACCCTGTCTCTGCTAAAAATACAAAAATTAGCCGGGCATGGTGGCGCATGCCTGTAGTCCCAGCTACTTGGGAGGCTGAGGTGGGGGGACCACTTGAGGCTGGGAGGTGGAGGTTGCAGTGAGCCAAGATCACTACACTGCACTCCAGCCTGGGTGACAGAGCAACACCCTGTCTCAAAAACAAGCAAACAAACAAAAATTTTTCTTTCTTCAAAATAAGTTAACCTTACCTTACTGTAACTTTTTTTTTTTCTTTTTTTCTTTGAGATGGAGTCTCACTCTGTCGCCCAGGCTGGAGTGCAGTGGTGTGATCTCAGCTCACTGCAACCTCTGCTTCCCGGGTTCAAGTGATTCTCCTGCCTCAGCCTCCTGAGTAGCTGGGATTACAGGCACCCGCCACCACACCTGGCTAATTTTTTTTTATTTTTAGTAGAGACGGGGTTTCACCATGTTGGCCAGGCTGGTCTCGAACTACTGACCTCAAGTGATCCACCCACCTCAACCGCCCAAAGTGCTGGGATTACAGGCATGAGCCACTGCGCCCAGCCAACATTCTAGCTTTATAAGCTTTTAAATTTTTTAAACTTTTTGACACTTTTGTAATAACACTTCACTTGAAACTCACACTGTACAGCTGTACAATTTTTTCTTTATATTTTTATTCTATAAGTTTTTTCTATTTTTAATTTTTTTTTTAACTTTGTAAACTTTTTCATTAAAAACTAGGACATGGGCCGGGTACAGTGGCTCACGCCTGTAATCCCAGCACTTTGGGAGGCCGAGGCAGGTGGATCACCTGAGGTCAAGAGTTTGAGACCAGCCTGACCAACATGGTGAAATCCTGTCTCTACTAAAAATACAAAAAAAATAGCCAGGCCTGGTGGTGTGCACCTGTAATCCCAGCTACTCGGGAGGCTAAGGCAGGAGAATCACTTGAAGCCGGGAGGCGGAGGTTGCAGTGAGCCAAGATCGCACCACTGCACTCCAGCCTGGGTAACAAGAGTGAAACTCCATCTCAAAAAAAAAAAAAAAAAAAAAGAGCTAGGACACAAACACACACATTAGCCTAGGCCTACACAGGGTCAGAATCATCATTGCTGTGTTCCGTCTCTACATCTCATCCCACTGGAAGGTCTCAGGGACAATAACACCTGTGGAGCTGGCATCTGTGATAACAACGCCTTCTGAAGGGCCTGCCCAAGGCTGCTTTACAGTTAGCTTTTTTTATGAATTGAGGGAGTACACGCTAAACTAACAGTTAAAAGTATAGTAGGCCGGGCGTGGTGGCTCATGCCTGGAATCCCAGCACTTTGGGAGGCTGAGGCGGGCTGATCATGAGGTCAGGAGTTTGAAACCAGCCTGGCCAATATGGTGAAATGCCATCTCTACTAAAAATACAACAATTAGCCAGGCATGGTGATGTGCGACTGTAGTCTCAGCTACTAGGGAGGCTGAGGCAGAAGAATCACTTGAACCCGGGAGGCAGAGGTTGCAGCGAGCCGAGATCGTGCCACTGCACTCCAACCTGGGTGACAGGCGAGATTCCCTTTCAAGAAGAAAAAAGTATAATAAATGAGGCCAGGCCAGTGGCTCACGCCTATAATCCCAGCACTCTGGGAGGCTGAGGCGGGTGGCTCGCTTGAGCTCAGGAGTTTGAGACCAGCCTAGGCAACATGGCAAAACCCTGTCTCTACTAAAAATACAAAAATTAGTTGGATGTGGTGTCATGCGCCTGTGGTTCCACCTGCCTCTGGGAGGCTGAGGTGTTAGGATTGCTTGAGCCCAGGAGGCAGAGGTTACAGTTAGCCGAGATTGTGCCACTGCACTCCAGCCTGGGTGACCGAGTGAGACTCCATCTCAAAAAAAAAAAAAAAAAAAAAAAAAAAAAAAAATATAGTATGCATTAAGCAGTAACATAGCTGTTTATTATCAGGTATCATGTAGTGTAATTGTATGTTCTATACTTTTATACAACTGGAAACACAGCAGGTTTGTTTACACCAGTATCGCCCCAGACATGTAAGTATTGTGTTGTGTTATGACAGTGTGATGGTGTGACTTCACTAAGCAAGAAGAATTTTTCAGTTCTATTATAATCTTATGGGACCATTGTCATATATGTGGTTGGTCCATCATTGAGCAAAATGTCATTATGGGCACATGACTGTAGTTTTATTCATTGTTTAATAGAATTACGGAGGATTTAGAAATTCTTTAATGCTGCTGACAAATTGCATTTTCAGTTAAAACATTAATTGTAATAATACAGTATTTAAAATTGTAACCTATCTCCATATTAAGCACTGTCTTTTAAGGTATAATGTTGAATAAAGATTTAGCATATAAAATTCTAGATTTAAGTTTCCAGTTTATAAGGCTTCTTTCACATACTTAGGGCAACCATTTGCCCTGTGCTGGAGCCTTCAAGAGATAATATAATTGGCCGGGCGCAGTGGCTCACACCTGTAATCCCAGTACTTTGGGAGGCCAAGGTGGGTGGATCACAAGGTCAGGAGATCGAGACCATCCTGGCTAACACGGTGAAACCCCGTCTCTACTAAAAATACAAAAAATTAGCTGGGTGTGGTGGCGGGTGCCTGTAGTCCCAGCTACTTGGGAGGCTGAGGCAGGAGAATGGCGTGAACCCGGGAGGCGGAGCTTGCAGTGAGCCGAGATCGCGCCACTGCACTCCAGCCTGGGCAACAGAGTGAGACTCTGCCTCAAAAAATAAATAAAATAAAATAAAACAAAATAAGAGATAATATAATTGAGGACACATGCTCAAAATATTACTAAAAATGCATTACAGGTTATTATTAAGTGCTAACCAACCGTAAGTTATGTGATATAAATGGGCCTCCTTTTTCACAAGCGTAAAATGACAACCTTGGGCTAAATGACCTTGAAGTTCCCTTTCCTTTAAACAATTTTTTGATTCTAAAGTGTGTTAAGGACCACTGTGTGAGTGAGTGCTTGTGTGTGTGCACACTGGTGTGCATGTTTTACCTCCTCCAGCAAAACAATTCAGACAATGAAGTAGAGGTCAAAGGTCCCTGGAGGAAGTTCAAGGAGAGCCTTGACTATACTCTTTTCCTCCTGGCCCCTACCGTCCAGAAAAACAGGTTTAGATAATTCACCCCACATTTCTGCCAGGAAAGTCAGATGTCTCTCTACTCCAGGAACTACAGAAAGTGTTCTCTCTTCTTTAAATGGTGTTGCCTATTGTTACCAGATAGAAGGTCTTGACTGTGAGTTGTCCAGGTTCATGGTGTGTTGAACAAAGAATTGAACAAAACACAGAAACAAAGCAAAAAAGAAGCAACGAAAGACAAAACAACAAAAGAACAGAGTAAGGAAGTCACAGATTTCTTAAGAGAAGGTACAATTCACAGAGCAGGAGTGAACTTGAGCAAGCAGCTCAAGAGCCCCTTTATTGCAATGCTCCTCAGGGTTTTTGTTGTTGTTGTTTCGCGATGGGGTCACAAGTCTCACTCTGTCGCCCAGGCTGGAGTGGAGTGGCTTGATCTCGGCTCACTGCAACCTCCGACTCCCAGGTTCAAGCCATACTCATGCCTCAGCCTCCAGAGTAGCTGGGACTACAGGAATGCGCCACCGTGCCCAGCTAATTTTTTTTATATTTATAGTAGAGACATGGTTTCACCATGTTGGCCAGGCTGGTCTCGAACTCCTGGCCTCAGGTTATCCACCTGCCTCGGCCTCCCAAAGTGCTGGGATTACAGGCGTGAGCCACCGCACCTGGTGGCTCCTCAGGGTCTTATAAAGCCAAGAGAATTCTGTAACACTCCTAGGTGCTCTTCAGAGGCCTCCAATTGGCTACACCCTATGAAGGATTGGCCTGTGACCAATCAGCGGCTGAAGTGGAGACTTCCATCTTGTTATCACAGGAGTGAGGATGTGGCCTGTATGCTGCCCAATCTTGCCTAGAACTGGCTATACCTTCTGTTCCCTTGCTTATGCGATCTGGCTGCCCCTGCTATTCCTTGCTTATGCCCCAACCCTTCATTACCCTAATTCCCTATTCTCCTTCTTCAGCTGGGTACATGGGAGTTCATTAGGCTACTCTACTTTTCTATATATTTGAAATTCTACCTAATAAAGTTTACACACACACACACACACACACACACGCACACTCCTTATCCCTGCCAGCATGAGAAAAAAAGGTAACAAAACTGGAATTATTTCACCAGAAGAAGAGAAGTAATTTCATGGCATTGAATACATGGAGAATTAATGACAGAGGAGAAATACGAAACTTCTTTGTGTCACTGCTGCAGTCAGATGAAGGTGAATAACTTAAACAATGTTAAAGGAAAAAAAAATCCCTAACCATGAAGGCTGTTAAACATTGAAATAAGATACTGGAGAAGACAGCTAAGAAGATTCTTTCTCTGAAAATAGGGAGTGAAAATGCGTTATTTATACTGATGACTAAGAAGTATAACATGAATGCTTATTTATTTCCCAAATTTATTCTTGAGCCAAATGAAGTAGATGAATCTTGATCTGAACCTCAGCCAGTCACATTGGCCAAGCCTAAAATAAACACATAGAATGTGTTCCCAGTGGGAAACTGTGAGTGACTTCTGAGACGGGGGTATAAAAGACATCCTGGCTTTGGCCGGGCACAGTGGCTCACGCCTGTAATCCCAGCACTTTGGGAGGCTGAGGTGGGTAGATCACCTGAGGTCAGGAGTTCGAGACCAGCCTGGCCAACATGGCGAAACCCCGTCTCTACTAAAAATACAAAAATTAGCTAGGCATGGTGGCAGGTGCCTGTAATCCCAGCTACTTGGGAGACTGAGGCAGGGGAATCACTTGAACCCGGGGGCAGAGGTTGCAGTGAGCTGAGTTCACGCCACCTCACTCCAGCCTGGGCGAAAGAGCAAGACTCCATCTCAAAAAAAAAAAAAATCCTGGCTTTTGCCTCGCTTCCTCTTGAATCACTCACTCTGGAGGCAATCAGCTGCCACATTGTAAGGATATCCAAGAAGTCCTACGGAGAGATCTACAGGACAAAGGACTGAGGCCTCTTGCTGGCAACCAGTACCAACTGACCAGGCACGCAATGAACCACCTTAGGAGTGGATCCTCAGCCAGGGTCAAGCCTTCAGCTGACTGCAACACAACCTTGTGAGAATCAAAAGCCAGAGCCATAACCAAACAACTCCTGAATTCTTGTCCCACAGCTGTATGAAACAATAAATGTTTGTTGCTGTTTTATGCTAAATTTAGGGATAAATTGTTACGGAACAATAGATCCTAATATAGCTTGTTATTTAAAAGTTTGGAATCCTTTTTACATGACTCTTCAGAAAAATAGTGCAATGTAAATAGATACGTTTCTTCTATTAGAATGTTCCAGAAATTAATATGTAATGAAATCATGCGTGGCCTCTCAAAAAGCACACATGTCATGCTCTTACAGGAGAAGGCGCTGTTTCCTATTTTGTATAGCACCTTTTATTACAATCAAGGAAATGAAAATTTATGGGAAGTAACAATGAGTTTTCTGCAAATGACCTCCTTGAATATCTTAACAGAATTAATAATAGGCTTTTAACTTATCACAGTTTAAACAAAAATCATTGTTTCTGATTCCGAAGCATCACCTCACATCACAAAGCATTACCCTGTCCCTCCTCAGCATCAGCTGAGCAATGTCTGCTTGGAGCATATCTGATTATTTCCATAATTCACTAAAAATAATTAGGGCTTACTTGTCATGAGTCTGTTTCTGTGATTTGCAACATAGAACTCCAAAAGCCTCCCATCAGCCCCTCTTGAGCAGCTGAGAGGGTCGGGCCATCTCAGAGTCTCCAGGAGAAAAGTTGCTCCTCACTCTATCTATAGCTCCCTTCATAAATGGCAACTCTAAAAGTTTTCTGTCTTTGAAATTTGATCTGTGATGCAAGCCCATATTTTCCCTCTGTTTTCTGCCACAGATGAGGTGAAAGTTGCTGGAGTCGATGTAGCATCTATACTGGCTACAGTGGCAATGGCTGCAGAGTCAAGCAGAGCCTCGGTGCTTGGTGGCCACAATGGGAGCGGTCTTCTCATCTGGCCAATTCTGTTCTGTGGTTTTGGACATCATTCCTGGAAGATTCACCTGAAGCTCTCAAAAGAGTTCTGTGAGCCACCCAGAGTTCTTTCTCTGCCTCAGCATCTAGAGTCAACTTTTATTGCCGGCAATTAAGAGCCCTGTCTGATATACCTCATTCAAGACTGATTTCTGCCAAGCTGGTTGAATCTCCAGAGTGCCCTGCCCTTGATCCAGAAAACCAGCAGATTCTCCACAAAGAATTAGCCTTAAAAGACTGGATTTGCCAGTTTTGGGTTAGGTTACAAACCCAATTTACTCAAAGTCCCAGAGTTGCAGAGGCTAATTGTGGTTGCATCATTCTAGACAGATGGTTTCCCTGGAGTTGGGAGTTCGCCTCCCTGTGATGAAGGCTTCTCATTTTCTTATTTCTTTTTTTTTTTTTTTTTGGCTCTGTTGCCCTGGCTGTAGTGCAGTGGCGCAATCTTGGCCCACTACAACCTCCACTTCCGGGTTCAAGCGATTCTTCTGCCTCAGCCTTCCAAGTAGCTGGGATTACAGGCGCCCGCCACCACGCCCAGCTAATTTTTTGTATTTTGAGTAGAGATGGGGTTTCATCATGTTGGCCAGGCTGGTCTCAAACTCCTGACCTCAGGTGATCTGCCCACCTCAGCCTCCCAAAGTGCTGGGATTACAGACGTGAGCCACTGCCCCCGGCCGAGGCTTCTCACTTTAAACAGAGCTGGATGCGGTCCTGAGGGTAAAGATCCTGCATTATTTGCTTTTCTTGGGAGCTTTAATACTACCTGTCTCCAAAAGACCTCGATTCTAGAAAGAGCATTCTCTTGTTTTCAATGTGCTAACTCCTTCTTTTCTCAGCAGTTCAGACATAGTTGTGTGGTGGTGAAAGCAGCTCCGAATCCTAATCTTAGTCAACACTGGGTTCCAAAGTTCCTGTAATAAGGATATATTCCTCCTATCTTGATTTCACTCCTAATTATATGAGCATCATATGTTCTAATATTTACATCTCTCCAGCCAATGCAAACTCTCTGGCTATAATTTAATAATCTTTCAGATTATCATCATCATTATTATTATTTTGAGACACTGTCTCGCTCTTTCACCCAGGCTGGAGTGCAGTGGTGCTATCTCAGCTTACTGGAACCTCCGCCTACTGGGTTCAAGAGATTCTCATGCCTCAGCCTACTGAGTAGCTGGGATTACAGGCGTGCACTCTCATGCCTGGCTAATTTTTTTTGTATTTTTAGTAGAGACAACACTTCACCATGTTGGCCAAGCTGGTCTCAAACTCCTGACCTCAAATGATCTGCCTGCCTGGGCCTCCCAAAGTGCTGGGATTACAGGCCTGAGCCATCCAGCAGGGCCTCAGATTATTTTATAGTCTGTGTATCCACCAAGTTAAGATATTTCTCTTTGGAAGTTACAGTGTTTCTTTTGTATCATCTCTCTATAGGGATGTGAATTGAAAAACTCCCAATCTTAATCATTTATAAACATAATTTATCATTGTGAAATAAAAGTTTAGAAGCTAATTGTGAAGACTTTGTGTTTTAGACTGTGTAACAATTAGCCCCCACCCTACTTGTCATCGTCCAGGCAGGACAATGGATGATGGGCACGCTGGACTTAAGTTGGATCAGCCATTTCCCATCACCCCCTTTTTTTTTTTTTGAGACAGGGTCTCACTCTGCTGCCCCGGCTGGAATGTAGTGGCATGATCTCAGCTCACTGCAATCTCTGCCTCCCAGGTTCAAGCGATCCTCCTGTCTCAGCCTCTCTAGTATCTGGGACTATAGGCAAGTGCCACCACACTCAGCTAAATTTTGTATTTTTAATAGAGGCGGGGTTTCACCATGTTGGCCAGGCTGGTCTTAAACTCCTGACCTCAGGTGATCCACCTACCTTGGCCTCCCAAAGTGCTGGGATTACAGGTGTGAGCCACCGCACTTAGCCCATCATCTCATTCTTGACATGTTCCCTAAGCCAGTTGGTGCCATGACTGGACTGGCAAGAGAAGATGGCAGAAGCCTGAAATGAGTGTGGTGGAATCCCTTGCACTCTCACACACTTCTGGAACCTCATTTTGATAGCCTCAGGAGAGGGGCTCCCTGCCTTATACCTTATATCAAAAGATAACTGACAAAGCAAAACTGGTTCTGGCAGTCCCATCTTTTAGCAAGTACAGGCTTTATCACTTCTGTTTAAATAAAAACTTCCCAGAAGCCACTTTTTAAGTTAGCTAAGGAAAACGGTAGTTAATACCAAATAAGAAAGAAGTTCCTAGTAGCTCATGGAGTTACATTTTATTATAAACTTATTAATTACTTCTAAAAACTCTTGGGTAAGAAATTTCTTGTAGAAGACTGCAGCTTTGGTTATTAAAACAAGAATAGGGCTGGGTACGGTGGCTCATACCTGTAATCCCAGCACCTTGGGAGACCAAGGCAGGCAGATCACTAGAGGTCAGGAGTTCAAGATCAGCCTGGCCAACATGGCAAAACCCCGTCTCTCCTAAAAAAATACAAAAATTAGCTGGGGATAGTGGCACATGCCGGTAGTTCCAACTACTCAGGTGGCTGAGGCATGAGAATTGCTTGAACCGGGAGGTGGAGTTTGCAGTGAGCTAAGATCTCATCACTGCACCCCAGTCTGGGTGGCGGAGCAAGACTCCATCTCCAAAAAAAAAAAAAAAAAATGGGGGCAGGACGGGAGGTGGGGGCAAATCCTACCCAAGACAGTTCTGACAAAATGCCATCTCAGAGAGTATATATATGGAAGCACGGGTATCACTTGATATGTGCATCCTCATATTACTGGGCTGTATTTTATACTGTTCCCTATTCCTACCTTTCTAAAAGCCTCTATTCACTTGGTTTCTGTGACTTTTCTTTCTTCTTTTTTTTGAGATGGAGTCTTGCCTGTTGCCCAGGCTGGAGTGCAGTGGCGCAATCTCGGCTCACTGCAACCTCCACCTCCCAGGGTCAAGCGATTCTCCTGCCTCAGCCTCCCGACTAGCTGGGATTACAGGCACCTGCCACCACGCCTGGCTAATTTTTGTATTCTTAGTAGAGACGGGGTTTCACCATGTTGGCCGGGCTGGTCTTGAACTCCTGACCTTGTGTTCTGCCTGCCTTGGCCTCCCAAAGTGCTGGAAAGGCATGAGCCACCATGCCCAGCCTCTGTGACCTTTCACTATGCTGGATTTCCTCCAAGTTCTCTAATTCTTCTTCCTTCATGTTCTTTACTAAGCCACAGCCTTATCTTTTAAGAACTGCCCTTTGGATGTGAGCCTTCTCCAGAGCTCTACATAGTCAACCTAGGCAATTTCATCTACTGTGATGGTTTTACCTATAAATTAAATTATTTCAATTTTCAACTCTACTTCCCCAATCCTAACCCAAGGCCCCTGAGAGTCGTATCAGTACAATTTTATTTCCACTCACCTGGAACATAGACTTAAAACTTCTTGCAACATGCCAGTGTTTTTCATAGCCAGCTATTGCCTATCTTGCTTTTATACTTAAACTCTTCCGAAAAAATTAAATTGTTTGTGGCTTCCGGTTCTCTTTCTTTGGACTTGAATTTGTTATGGCTATACTAGTTACAATACTTTTGTCAGCAAGCGTATTAGTCTGTTCTTACACCACTGTAAAGAAATACCTGAGACTCGGTAATTTGTAAGAAAAGAAGGTTAGGCCGGGTTTGGTGGCTCATGCCTTTAATCCCAGCACTTTGGGAGGCTGAGGCAGGTGGATCGCCTGAGGTCAGGAGTTTGAGACCAGCCTGGCCAACATGGCAAAACCCCATCTCTACTAAAAATACAAACATTGGCCAGGTGTGGTGCCATGCACCTGTAGTCCCAGCTACTCAAGAAGCTGACGCAGGAGAATCGCTTGAATTTGGAGGTAGGGGGTGCAGAGGTTTCAGTGAGCCAATATCATGCCACTGCACTCCAGCCTGGGTGAAAGAGCAAGACTCCATCTCAAAAACAAAAAAGTAAAGAAGGTTAATTGGCTCACAGTTTCACAGGCTGTACAGGAAGCAAGCAGCTTCTGCTTCTCAGAAGGCCTCAGGAAATGCTCAGTCATGGCAGAAGGCAAAGGGGAAACAGACACATCTTATGTGGCCGGAGGAGGAGGAAGGAGGAGGAAGAAAGAGAGGGGAGAGGTGCCACATACTTTTGAACAACCAGATCTCATGCTAGCTCATTCACTCACTTTCATGAGAACAGCACCTTGGGGATGATGTTAACCCATTCATGAGAACTCCACCCCCATGATCCAATCACCTTCCACCAGGCCCCACCTCCAATGGTGGGGATTACAATTCAACATGAGATTTGATGGGGACACAGATCCAAACCATATCATTCTGGCTACTCCAAATCTCATGTCCTTCTCACACTGCAAAATACAATCATCCCTTCTCAACAGTCCCCCAAAGTCTTAACTCATTCCAGCATTAACTCAAAAGTCCAAAGTCCAAAGTCCAAAATCTCATCTGAGACAAGGCAACTCCCTTCTACAAATAAGCCTGTAAAATCAAAACAAGTTAGTTACTTCCAAGATACAACTGGGGGTATAGATATTAGGTAAATACTCCTGTTCCAAAAGGGAGAAATCAGCCCCCAAAAAGAGGCCAGAGGCCCCACACAAGTCTGAAACCCAGCAGGGCAGTCATTAAATATTTTAAAGCTCCAAAATAATCTCTTTTGACTTCATGTCTCACATGAAGTCTCAGGGCACACTGCTGCAAGGGGTGGACTCCGAAGGCCTTGGGCAGCTTGGCCTCTGAAGCTTTGCAGGGTACAGCATCTGTTTTCACAGGCTGGCATCTGTTTTCACGGGCTGGCATTGAGTGCCTGCAGCTTTTCCAAGCACAAGGTACAAGCTGTCCTTGTATTTACCATTCTGGGGTCTGGAGGACAATGGCCCTCTTCTCATAGCTCTACTAGGCAATGCCCCAACGGGGACTCTGTGTGGGGGCTACAACCCCACATTTCCCCTCCACACTGCCTTTGCAGACGTTCTCTATGAAGGCTCCATTCCTGGGGCAGTCTTCTGCCTGGACACACAGGCTTTGCCATACATCCTTTCAAATCTGTGCAGAGGCTTCCAAGCCTCAACTTTTGCATTCTGTGCACTCACAGGCTTAACACCATGTGGAAACCACCAAGGCTTACAGCTTGCAACCTTTGAAGTGGCAGGAACTTTGAGCCATGGCTGGAACTGGAGCTGGAACTGGAATGGCTGAGATGCAAGAAGCAGTGTCCCAAGCCTGCTTACACAGGGTAGGTGATGGGGCCCTGGGGCCTGGCCCATGAAACCATTCTTCCCTCCTAGGCCTTTGGGCCTGTGATTGGAGGGGCTGCCTGGAAGATATCTGAAATACCTTTGAGGCCTTTTCCCATTGTCTTGGCTATCAGCATTTGCCTTCCTTTCAGTTATGCAAATTTCTGCAGCCTGCCTGAATCCTTCCCCTGAAAAAGGGCTTTTCTTTTTTAACACATGGCTAGGCTGCAAATTTTCCAAACTTTTACACTCTGTGTCCCTTTTAAATATAAGTTCCAGTTTCTGGTCATTTCTTTGCTCCTGTAACGGGCATAGGCTGTTAGAAGCAGCCAGTCCATATCTTGAATGCTTTGCTGCTTAGAAATTTCTTCTGTCAGATACCCTAAATCATCACTCTCAAGTTCAAAGCTCCACAGATCTCTAGGGCAGGGGTACAATGCCTCCAACTTCTTTGATAAATGCACAACAAAAGTGACCTTTGCTCCAGTTCCCAATAAGTTCCTCATCTCCGCCTGGCCTTCCCTGTCCATATTACTATCAGCATTTTGGTCACTACCATTCAACAAGTCTCTAGGAAGTTCCAAACTTTCCCTCATCTTTCTGTTGTCCTCTGAGCCCTCCAGACTCTTCCAACCTGTGCCCGTTACCCAGTTCCAAAGTCGCTTTCACATTTTTGGGTCTCTTTACAGCAATGCCCCACTCCTTGGTACTATTTTTCTGTATTAGTCCATTCTCATACTACTATAAAGAAATACTTGAGACTAGGTAATTTACAAAGAAAAGAGGTTTAATGGGCTCACAGTTCCACAGGCCGTACAGGAAGCATAGCAGCATCTGCTTGGCTTCTGGGGAGGCCTCAGGAAACTTTCGATCATGGCAGAAGGCAAAGGGGAAGCAGGCACATCTTACATGGCCAGAGCAGGAGGAAGAAAGAAAGATCTTTCAAACAACCAGATCTCACGCTACCTCACTTACTCACTATCATGAGAACAGCACCAAGGGGATGGTGCTAACCCATTCATGAGAACTACACCTCCATAATCCAGTCACCTCCCACCAAGCCCCACTCCAACCCTGGGGATTACAATTTCTTTTTTTTTTTTTTTAAGATGGAGTCTTGCACTGTCACCCAGGCTGGAGTGCAGTGGCACTATCTCAGCTGACTGCAATCTCTGCCTCCTGGGTTCAAGCAATTATCCTGCCTCAGCCTCCCCAGTAGCTGGGACTACAGGTGTGCACCATCACACCTGGCTAATTTTTTGTGTTTTTACTAGAGACAAGGTTTCACCTTGTTGGCCAGGCTGATCTTGAACTCCTGACCTCAGATGATCTGCCTGCCTCAGCCTCCCAAAGTGCTGGGATTACAGATGGGAGCCAACACATCCGGCCTGGGGATTACAATTTGACATGAGATTTGGTGGGGATACAGATCCAAACCATATTAGCAAGTAATAGAATAAGCAAATAAAAGTAGTTCAAGCTTAATAAGGTAATTTGCTATCTCTTACTATAAAAGTTGGTTGTTTCAGTGTTTTGTCAATGCTATCAAGGGCCCAAGATCTATCTTTCTTCTTCCCTATCTTCTGTGTGCCAGCTCTCATCTCTGACTTGTCCCCGCACAGTCACAAGATGACTGCTGCAATTCCAGGCATCACATCCTCAGACCATCTATGGAGGATTATTTGGAGGGAGTCCAGGCATTTCTCTAGATTTTTCTAAAGTTTCTGAAATTAATATAGCCAGATCAGTAGAAAATTAGGTGTCTGAACTGTATCACATTGGCCCCTCCTAGAATTGTTTAAGCAGCTGTGCTTCAAGGGAAATGCTGCTTGAAGCTGCTAGAATCATCAGCCTTAGACTTGAATCGACTCTGGGATGAATGTTGTTTGAACTTTTCATTCCCTCTCTATGAAGACTCTCAGGGGAAAAATGTTGCTCTGGTTCTTGTGTTGAGAAGAGTCCTGACTTGCCTAAGCAGTCATCCCATGGATACTATGAATAGCCCAGCTGATAAGATAGGATAAGACAGATAATGTATCCTCTTTTTCTTTGGCTGCTAGAAAGCCTAGAATCAAGTTCATGAGCCACCTAGGCCGAATACTTGATTTTACCACATGCTGCAAACTCAAATACCTACAGCCGGGTCATGTTCAAACTTTGCTGTTTTTTGTTTGTTTGTTTGTTTTTTGAGACAGAGTCTCACTCTGTCACCCAGGCTGGAGTGCAGTGCAGTAGCGGGATCTCAGCTCACTGCAACCTCCGCCTCCTGGGTTTAAGCAATTCTTGTGCCTTAGCCTCCTGAGTAGCTGGGATTACAGGTGTGCACCACCATTCCTGGCTATTTTTTTGTATTTTAGTAGAGATGGGTTTTCACCATGTTGGCCAGGCTATTCTCAAACTTTGGCCTCAAGCAATCCACCCACCTCAGCTTCCCAAAGTACTGGGGTTACAGGTGTGAGCCATTACACCCAGCCCAAACTATTTAACAACAGATACAACAGAGGCACTAAGCAGAATGAAAAGCAGTTGTGAACAGGGAGCATCAGCCTGCTTCCACGGCCAGGCTGCTAGTGTAAACAGGCAAAATTGAGACTAAGAAAAAAAAAATATCTTGACTAATTTTTTTTATTACATTTGATAGAAGGGTGAGTTCAGAGAAATAGTCCATGCTGATAAGAGGACCGACACTGCTTCAGTGCCAGACAGCCAAGTGGAGTGGAGGCCAGTGGGAAATTGGAGAGCCCGTGCTCTCCCAAGAAGGCGAGACTGCTTCTCAGACCCAGATCATCGTTGCCAGATGGGATATGGCTCAGAGCTCCCAGAACTTCACTTTTTTTTTTTTTAAAAGAAAAAGTGAGAAATTTTAATTTTTAAGAATTCCTGGATTTTAAGACTGCAACTCAAGACAAACAAACAAAACCCACCAAAACCCAACAGACAAACATAAGACTGCAGGACAACTCAAACAGGAAATTCAGCGAATGCTGGCCAGCTTGTGACTTCTGCTTTCTGCTGTGTACTTTATATTTAACCTCATTCCTTCCTCTACTTTACATCTCGTTCTTTTCTGTCTGCTTTCTCTCCTACTTAATTTATAATATCTTACTCTACTTTGTGTTATCTTCATATGTCACCTTAAATCCTACCTAGGACCCAGGAGAGTATAAATAAACTGACCACAGGACATCTCCACTTAGGTAACACATCAGAGTCTCAGATTCCAAACCACAGCAAACTGATTTTGGCATTTTCCAATCCCCTGCTCCCTTCTTCCTCTACCCCAGAGGGGATCCCCTTTTTTTGCTGCTCCAGTCAACAGCAATACCCTCATTCACCCAACTGCATGGCCAGAAACCTGAGTATGATGCTATTCCTGGCCCCTCTCTCTCTCTCATGCAATCAGTTGCCAGGTTGTATCTCCTCACTCTCTGTTCCTTCCTCCTCAACCCTAGCGCCATAGTTCAGGCCCTTGTCACTTCTGGCCTGAATTACTGCATGAGATCCCAACTCACCTCCTGCACCTACTTTGCTCTTCTTCAAAATTAGCCTCCCCTGCCTGCTGGGAGGCACACCTGAGCTCCTCACTTAACCTCCTGGACAGGCCCTGCCATCCCCTGGCTAAATCTAAACTCCCCGCAGTGTGCCCACCCATCCCCTCTGCACCATCTGTGCCGCACACGTGGCACTGCCACTGTGCTGCCCATTCCTCTGCTCAGGTGCCAGTCCTCCAGGGAAGCCTCCGATGCCCCTCAGCTCCTGGGAGCACTCCGCCTCTGGGTGCCCCTGTATCACCTCATGCTTTCCTCTAGACCTGCACCGGCACTGGGTTGAAGGAAAATAATAGTAGCCAACGTTAATTAGCACATACTCTGGGCCAAGCACCCTTCTAGGCAGTTTAAATGTATTCCTTTATGTCATCCTCAAAAATCCCATGAGGAGGCTGGGGAGCGGTGGCTCATGCCTGTAATCGCAGCACTTTGGGAAGCCAAGTGGGAGGTGGAGGTTGCAGTGAGCTGAGATCACACCACTGCACTCCAGCCTGGGTGACAGAGTGAAACTCCATCTCAGAAAAAAACAAAAAACAAAAAAAACTTTATTTCTCTGTCTAACCCAAATTTTGTGTCCTCTCACCAACTTCTCCCCAGCCCCTCCATCCCTCTTCCCTCTCTTCTTCTGTAGGCTGAGAGCAGCCATTCCAGGGCTGATTGTCCAGGCATGCCCAGCACTGGCCAGTGTGAAGAGGAGGAGCATAGACCACTGCTGTGACTTCCTGGGAGTGGGCTTACACTGGCATCTGTGCAGGCTTCAGGAAAAAGAAGCGAAATCACGGCGTGGATCTAAGGGGCCAAGCCTCACCTTGAAGGTTCTTCTGGGTCTTTGGCCTGGACAAGAACATGAAACTTGAATTTCTCAAGGTGAGGTGAAGGCCAAGCAGGAAGCCAGGATGGTCACCAGGAAAGGAGCCAGAATGAACTAAGTGTTCTTTAGGGCAAGGAACTTACCAGAACCTCTACGCTCCGAGCTATGATCAGGCTGCTCTCTCCCTCTCTCTCTCTCTCTCTCTCTCCCCCACCCCCCCGACCCCTTTGTGGCCAAGGTAAGGCCACATTTTAGAGTGGAAGCCCCAAGGCAACCCCCCACCTCACAACCTCCACTCTTGTTGCCCTCTCTAATCCAACGCCTGCCAGGCTCACACTTCAACCACTAGACTGAAAAGCAAGAATCTTCCACAAAAATAATCTTTTACCTTAGACCTGCTTCCTGTGCAGATGAGATAAGGAGAATGCTCTTGTCTGAATTTCTGGGCGTGGAGATTAGCAAGCCGTTTTCCTCCCAGCAGCTAGAGCGAGCAAGAGGCCCTGCTGTGAGTAGTGCTGTTCTGAGTCTGCGTGGTCCAGACTCACCACACTGCAGGCACGTTTCTTCATCAGGTGGGAAAGCAGGAAGAGGTTTAATTTAGGACCTAAAGCTGGTATATTGCTGAGTAAAAGAAATGGGAAGGCACCAAGTCTCTAACGAAATTGCGCTGGGTGCAGTGGCTCATGCCTCTAATCCCAGCACTTTGAGAGGCTGAGGTGGGTGGATCACTTGCGGTCAGGAGTTTGAGACCAGCCTGGTCAACGTGGCGAAACCCCATCTCTACTAAAAATATAAAAATTAGCCAGGCATGGTGGCGGGCGCCTGTAATTCCAGCTACTCGTGAGGCTGAAGCAGGAGAACGCTTGAACCTGAGAGGCAGAGGTTGTAGTGAGCTGAGCTCGCCGCTGCCCTCCAGACTAGGTGACAGAGCCAGATTCCGTCTCAAAAAAACAAAAAAAAAAGAAAAAGAAACTGCTTGTGATCCAACACTCCCCCACTGGTGCCTCCTCATGGTGAAGAGCAATTACTCTGGCACCAGAGTCTTGGGGTTCAAATCCTTACTTCACCAGTATGTGACTGGAAAAGCTACCTAACCTGCCTGCTGAAGCTTCATGGCTAATAATTCCTCACAGCATTTCTTTTTTTCTTTTTTTTTTTTGAGACAGAGTCTTGCTCTGTCACCCAGGCTGGAGTGCAGTGGCATCATCTCAGCTCACTGCAACCTCCACCTCCCTGGTTCAAGCTTCTGCCTCAGCCTCCCAAGTAGCTGAGATTACAAGCGCCCACCACTAAGCCTGGCTAATTTTTGTATTTTCAGTAGAGATGGGGTTTCACCATGTTGGTGAGGCTGGTCTTGAATTCCTGACCTCAAGTGATCCGCCCACCTTGGCCTCCCAATGTGCTGGGATTATAGGCGTGAGACACTGCGCCTGGCCCAGGAGGAATAAGTTTAAGAGCTCCCATTGTACAGCATGCTATCTATAGTTAATAACAATATATCGTGTATCGAAAATTGCTAAGACAGTAGATGTTAAGTGTCTTTATCACCCCCAAAAAATGACAAGTATATGGGGCAATTAAGTCAAATAGCTTGACTTAATAATTCCACAATGTATACATAAATTAAAACATCAAGCTGTATTTGTATACCATAATATATACAATTTTTACTTGTCAATTAAATAAATAAATACACAGAAAAGGGCAGAGACAGGTCAAGAAGCACAGCACTCAGTACAGAAATACAGATAACAATATATTGAAAGAAAGAATTCAAAGATAAATTTTTTTTTTTTTTTTTTGGAGACAGAGTCTTGCTCCATTGCCTAGGGTAGAGTACAGAGACACAATCACAGCTCTCTGCAACCTCAACCTCCCAGGCTCAAGTGATCCTCCCACTTCAGCCTCCCAAATAGCTAGGACTGCAGGGTATGCCACCACAACCTGGCTAATACTTGTATTTTTTTGTAGAGATGGGGTTTCACCATGTTGCTTGCCCAGTCTAGTCTTGAACTCCTGGGCTCAAGTGATCCTCCCAGCCTGGCTTCCCAGAGTGCTGGGATTACAGGCACCAGCCACCGCACCCGGCCAAAGATATGTTCTGAAGATTGAAACGTCTCTCTTTCCAAAATAACTACTCTTGGCCAGGTATGGTGGTGTGCGCCTGTAATCCCAGCTACTCGGGAGGCTGAGGCAGGAGAATTGTTTGAATCCGGGAGGCAGAGGTTGCAGTGAGCCAAGATTGTTCCACTGCACTCCAGCCTGGGCAAGAGTGAGACTCCGTCTCAAAAAACAAACAAAACCCAAAAACCTCTTGACTGGGTGCTGTGCCTCAAGCCTGTAATCCCAGCACTTTGGGAGGCAGAGGTGGGAGGATCACTTGAGCCCAAGAGTTCAACACAGCCTGGGCAACATAGGGAGACACCATCTCTACAAATTTTTTTTTAAAAATTAGCTGGGCATGGTGGTGCACACCTGTGGTTCCAGCTACTCAGGAGGCTGGGGTTGAGAGTATCACTTCAGCCCAGGAGTTTGAGGCTGCAGTGAGCTGTGATTGCAACCACTACTCTCCAGCCTAGGTGACAGAGCCAGACCCTGTCTCTATAAAAGCATTAATTAATTAATTAATTAATTACTAGTCTTTCCCACCTGAAAGTGAAAACTAAGAAGGTCCAAACTGTAGGATTATAGAATGACGGATGTCTGGGGAGATCAGAACAAATCTGCGGAAGAAAACACATGTAATCTGTCTGCATTGCCAGTTTTGGGTGGTGATTCCTGTCCAAGTGTAGCTCCCAAGCACAAGACTGTGGTCTAGGGTCCTGTTCTTCCCTATCTTTAGGAGAACATTAAGATCACCATGAGGCAGGCACCACATAAGAGGGCACAGTGATAAGAATTTTAGCATTCCTCGTTGTTCCTGCTAAGTGCTTGTGAACAGTTGTATAACCAGAGTTCTCGATCGGCAGAGCCTTTTCATTTCCTCTAATATGCTTTCACACTTTCCAGTTCTGGATGCAATCAGCAAAATCCAGACTATGGGGAAAATCTACAAACAACCTGGTTTCTTCAACAAGTAAGTAGCAAGTGGTGAGGGTGGAGATAAATTAAGAGATTTAAAAGTCATCAACCAATTGCAATGTCTGAGCTTTATTTAGATTCTGATTTTTTAAAAAAAGAAACCACTTATGATAATTGAGATGAGTAGAAATTTGAACACTGACAGGATATCTGATATTAAGAAATTTTTTGAGGTATGATTTTTAAATTTCTTGTCTTAGACACTGAAACATTTACGAGTGAAATAATATGATTCCTGAGATTTGCTTCAGAATAAACGGGATGGGGAGGAGGATGGGGCAGAATTGACCAAAGGTTGATGGATATTGGGCCTGAGTGATGGAGACATAGAGTTTCCCTATACAATCCTAATTCTGTATGGGTATAAAATCCTCCATAATAAAGTTTTTAGGGCTGGGCGCAGTGGCTCACACCTGTAATCCCAGCACTTTGGGAGGCCGAGGTGGGCGGATCACTTGAGGTCAGGAATTCTAGAGCAGCCTGGCCAACATGGTGAAACCCAGTCTTTACCAAAAATACAAAAATTAGCCAGGCGTGGTGGTGGGCGCCTGTAATCCCAGCTACTTGGGAGGATAAGGCAGGAGAATCGCTTGAACCCAGGAGGCCGAGGTTGCAGTGAGCCAAGATGGCACCACTGCACTCCAGCCTGGGAGACAGAGCAAGATTCTCTCTCAGAAAAATACATAAATAAATAAAATAAAATAAACAAACAAACATAAAGTTTTTAGGCTGGGCACCGTGGCCTATGCCTCTAATGCCAGCACTTTGGGAGAGCGAGGTAGGTGGATCACTTGAGGTCAGGAGTTCAAGACCAGCCTGGCCAACATGGTGAAACCCCGTCTCTACTAAAAATACAAAAATTAGCCAGGTGTGGTAGCGGAAACCTGTAATCCCAGCTACTAGGGAAGCTGAGGCAGGAGAATTACTTGAACTCAGGAGGCAGAGGCTGCAGTGAACCAAGATCATACCACTGCACTCCAGCCTGGGCAACAGAGCGAGATTCTGTCTCAAAAAAAAAAACACAGTTTTTAAAAAGATTAAAAAAAAAGAATTTCAGTTTTAATGGACAGAAATGGTCACTAGAATAAACACCATCATTTCCCTCCCTGTGCTGCAATTTTTTAAGCCATAAATTCTGATAAATCTGTTATATTTTTAACAAAGTCTCCCATTTACACAAATCTCTGGTTAAAGAAAAAAGTCTGACTTCCACTGGTAAGAACTAGACACAGTTCCCCTGCAAGAGCCCAGGTGGCCTCTGAAAGAGTTCACAACATAAGGCTTGGCTAAAACTGCTTTCTCGGGATTAGGTAATTGAGTCTACCCGATGGTACATAGAAGCTATAATTAAACGCTTTCCATGGGTTTGCCATTCACCCCAGGCTACATGGTGGAGCTGAGGTGAGGAACTCAGACCTGAGCCAGATCCAGCAGTGTTGAGAGTTAATCCCTCATATGCAGGTGAGCTGGCTAGGGCCCAGAGCTGGGACTCCAGGCTCCTGCTGTAGTGGCTGCTGCCATGCCCTCATGTTCTCCAAAAAAGAATGATAGAAAACTCATCAGAGCAAAGGATGTTCCACACGGCACAGAAGTTTTCTGCAGCCCACCTAGAAGAATAGCTTAGGTTTCCTCTCAGAGCTAATACAAAGAGAAATGGGACCAACTTCCCGCAAGGCCGTACCTTTTGAGGGTCACTGCCTTGGTGGTGAGGAATAGCAGGGGGAAAATATGCCTAAAATACAAAGTAAATTGCCGAGACCAGCTCAGTCAAGGAGACCCTAACCCAGTGGCACTAGAGGAATTAAAGACACACACACAGAAATATAGAGGTGTGAAGTGGGAAATCAGGGGTCTCACAGCCTTCAGAGCTGAGAGCCCCGAACAGAGATTTACCCACGTATTTATTAACAGCAAGCCAGTCATTAACATTGTTTCTATAGATATTCGATTAACTAAAAGTATCCCTTATGGGAAATGGGATTAACTAAAAGTATCCCTTATGGGACACGAAGGGATGGGCTGAAATAAAGGGGTGGGTCTGGCTAGTTATCTGCAGCAGGAGCATGTCCTTAAGGCACTGATCGCTCAGGCTATTGTTTGTGGTTTAAGAACGCCTTTAAGCAGTTTTCCGCCCTGGGAGGGCCAGGTGTTCCTTGCACTCATTCCAGTAAACTCACAACCTTCCATCGTGGGCGTTATGGCCAGCATGAACATGTCACAGTGCTGCAGAGATTTTGTTTATGGCCAGTTTTGGAGCCAGTTTATGGCCAGATTTTGGGGGACCTGTTCCCAACAGTAAATAAAGGAAGAAAGCAAAGCTCTATTTCTTCCTAGATGCTTATGGTCCTGCATTATCATTACACTCAAAATTTGTGAAGTTCAGACTGGCAAATAAAAGACCATGAAAATGTGGTGTTTACAACACTCTAGATAAACAGACACACATTTTTGGCAAGTGTGTAACTGGTGCAACACCTTAGGAGGGCAACTTACCACAATCAAAATTACATGTATCCTTTGACCCAGAAGTTCCACTTCTTATTTTTTTATTTTTATTTTTGGACAGAGTCTCTCTCTGTTGCCCAGGCTGGAGTGCAGTGGTGCAATCACAGCTCACTACAGCCTTTAACTCCTGGGCTCAAGCGATCGTCCTGCCTCAGCCTCCCAAGTAGCTGAGACAATATGTTTACAGCACCTCCCCTGGCTACTTTTGTTGTTGTTATTGTGCGATAGGGTCTTGCCACATTGCCCAGGCTGGCCTTGAACTCCTGGGCTCAAGAGATCCTTCCACCTTCACTTATAGAAATACAATACATGCAAAGACACACTGTCTCCCTCTCTGCTGAATGACTCTCATTGCCTTTCTTGCCTCCGCATTCCCCTGCTCCCTTTCACAATTAAAATTGCTGTAAGGGATTGTCACTGTCATTGTGTGGACTTCCTTCCTTCTAATTCTTTCTTGAACACACTATTCTGGCTTCCTTTCCCCATCACATCACTGAGAGGGTGGTCTTGCCAAGGTCACCAACATTCTCCAAGGGCAAGCTCAGGTAGTCACTCCTCTGTTCATATCTCACTTGGCTTCTTAGTAATTTTCACCATGATTGATTACTCTGTCCTTTATGCCCTTGGCTTTCCTGACAGCATATTTGCTGGACTTTCTTCTTGCCATAGTGGCTGGTCCTTCTCAGTGTCTCTTACTGGCCCTTCCTCTGCTCAAAAGAGTCTACATGCTGAAGGCCTCTGTCCAGGGCCCTCTTTTCTTCATCTATATTCTCTCCACTAGGTGTCAGAGACATTTGAACCAGAGCAACCCTTGAATAGGAGCTGGGTAAAATAAGGCTGAACACTACTGGGCTGCATTCCCAGACAGGCACTCTAAGTCACAAGATGAGGTAGGAGGTCAGCACAAGATACAGGTCATGGCCTGGTGTGGTGGCTCACACCTGTAATCCCAGCACTCTGGGAGGCCGAGGCGGGTGGATCACCTGAGGTCAGGAGTTCGAGACCAGCCTGACCAACATGGCAAAACCCCGTCTCTACTAAAAATACAAAAAAATTGCCGGGTGTGGTGATGCATGCCTGTAATTCCAGCTACTCAGGAGGCTGAGGCAGGAGAATGGCTTGAACCAGGAGGTGGAGGTTGCAGTGAGCCGAAATCATGCCACTGCACTCCAGCCTGGGCAAAAAGAACGAAACTCCATCTCAAAAAAAAAAAAAAAAGATACAGGTCATAAAGACCTTACTGATAAAACAGTTTGCAGTGAAGAAGCCGGCTAAAACCCACCAAAACCGGATGGCCACGAGAGTGACCTCTGGTTATCCTCACCGCTACACACCCACGAGCACCATGACAGTTTACAAATGCCATGGCAACATCAGGAAGTTACCCTATATGGTCTAAAATGGGGAGGCATGAACAATCCACCCCTTGTTTAACATATCATCAAGAAATAACCATAAAAATGGGCAACCACCAGCTATGGGGGCTGCTGTCTGCAGAGTAGCCATTCTTTTATTCCTTCACTTTCCTAATCAACTTGCTTTCACTTTATCGACTCGCCCTGAGTTCTTTCTTGAGTGAGATCCAAGAAAACTCTCTTGGGATCTGGATCTGGACCCCTTTCTAGTAACATAGGTAACCTCACCAAGTTCTTTTTTTTTTTTTTTCTCGCGCTGTTGCCCAGGCTGGAGTGCAGTGGCACGATCTCAGCTCACTGAAACCTCTGCCTCCTGGGTTCAAGCAATCCTCCCACCTCAGCCTCCTGAGTAACACTGGGACCACAAGCGCATGCCACCACACTGGGCTAATTATTTTTATCTTTTGTAGAGATAGGGTTTTGCCACGTAGCCCAGGCTGATCTCAAACTCTTGAGCTCACATGATCCTCCCACCTCAGCCTCCCAAAGTGCTAGGATTACAGGTGTAAGCCACCGCACCCAACCTCCTACTCAACAATGCTGCTTGGATGTCTAACAGGCATCTCAATCTCAAGATGCCATGGTCAAAACAGAACTCTTAACTTTCAACCTCCAAACATGCTCACTCCTAATTATTTCACCATTATCCATCAAGCAGAAACTCTAGGCACAAGCTTTGATTCCTCTTCTTTTCACATCTGTTGACTTTAGGCTTCTTCTCTCCCTCTCTGTTAGCACCACCCTAATTCAAGCCAACATCACCTCTTGCTTGGATTACTCCAAATTGTTCTTGCTTTCTCATCTTGTCCTTCTATAATCCCTATTCCACATAATAGCCAGTGATTTTTTTCTTTTTTTGAGAGGGAGTCTCGCTCTGTCACCCAGGCTGGAGTGCAGTGGCATGATCTCAGCTTACTGCAACCTCCGCCTCCCGGGTTCAAGCGATTCTCCTGCCTCAGCCTCTTGAGTAGCTGGGATTACAGGTGCACACCACCACGCCCAGCTAATTTTTGTATTTTTAGTAGAGACGGGCTTTCACCATGTTGATCAGGCAGGTCTTGAACTCCTGACCTCGTGATCCGCCTGCCTTGGCCTCCCAAAGTGCTGGGATTAAAGGCGTGAGCCACCGCGCCCGGCCACCAGTGATTTTTTAAATGGGCAGTAAAACAAACCTATGGCATCCCATGTAGAAAGAAAATCAAGCTCCTTACTCCCTTACAGTTCCCTTCAGTTATCAAGCTCTTGCCTCTCTCCAGCCTACTTGCTCATACTCTTCCTTCCCTTACTCATTCCCATAAAGCCCTTGCTTGGGATCCTCCCATGGCTGGCTCTCCTGCCCTTTACATTGCCACTTAAATTTCACCTCCTTAGAAACCTTCCCTGATCTCCCAATATAAAATACTCTTAGCATTTACTACTATTGGATATTTTGTTTTGTTTTCAGTCTTTCTCCAATCAGAAAGTAAACTCCATGAGAATAGAGTTCTTGTCTATTTTGTTCTCCACAATATTCCTTACTGCCTAGAAGATGACTTGGCACATAGTGCGTGGTGGAAGAATATTGAATTAACAAGTATGTACAGATTTCCACTCAAATATTATTTATATAGCAATATAAGTATAGCATAAGCTGGATTCCATAAATTATGGTATATGTGCACATGGAGATAGCCATTTAAAATAATGAGGTCAATCTGTAAATGCTAACATGGCAATCATATCCAAGATGTGTTCACGTATATAATGCAGAAACCAGCCTCCCATGTAATCCCCAGTGATCCTCGCCTCCTGGTGTTTATGCTAGGTAGTCTTCTCCCAGATTGAATTGGAGCTAGCTTGTCTGACCAAGCAATTGGAGCTAGCATGGTGGAGGTGATGGTGTGTGACCTCTGAAGCTAAGTAATGAAAGGCATTGTGGCTTTCCCCTTGTTCTCATGGATCACTCATTTTGGGGAACACCAATCTTCATGTTATGAGGTCAGTCCAACAGCCCTGTGAAGAGGCCCACGTGGAGGGGAACTGAAGCTTTCTGCCACCAACATGCCAGCCCTGTGGAGGATCCTCCAGCCCCCGTCACATCTTCAGCTAGCAGCAGCTCCAGCCAGTATCTTACCTGGTACCTCATGAGATCCTAAGCCAGAACCATTGGGCTAAACTGCTCCTGAATTCATAACCCACAGAAACTGTGAAAGTTAGTAAATGTTTATGACTGTCTTAAGACACTAAATTTTGAGGTAATTTATGTGTAATTTAACTAATACATGGTGTAACTCCTTTTATTTTTAAAAAGCATGTATACATGTTTATACATGCATAAAAACATCTCAAAGAATATACAGAGGGCGTATAAACGGGTTCCCATGTGGTGGGTAGGGAGGGTGTTCATTTCTCATTATATACTTATACTCTCAGATTTACTTATTTATTTTAGCTACTCAATAGGTATGGGTTTTTTAATTTGCATTTTTCTAATGACTAAGGCTAAGCATCTTTTATGTTTCAATATGCCTATTTGCCATCTATTCTATTCTATTCAGTTCTTCTTCTTTTTATTTATTTTTCATTTTTTAGAGATGAGGTCTCACTATGTTCCTCAGGGTGGGGTGTAGTAGCTACTCACTAGTGTGATCATGGCTTCGTGGCTCACTGCAGCCTTGAACTGCTGGGCTCAAGCAATGGTGTAAACAAAGCAGTGGTTAGGGGGGTAAGCCATAGTAGTGGCCCTTCTGGAAACTTCTTGTCCTTCACATTTACTTTGACTTTCTGCCTGTCTCAGGATCTAGCTCTGGAATAAGCTATGCTTTAAAGGCTTTTGAGAAGCCCATATACTGGAGGGTTAGGTTTCTGGGGTTTGTGTTTTTTTTTTAAATATTGATGTATTCCACTGAGAGAACATCAACCCCTCAACTGGATAGCTGTTAAGGTGGAAATCCTAATTTAATTATTTGCATTTAATAATGCAGTAATGTTGCAATGAATGTTTGTGGAATTGTGAACCCTGAATATTTGAGACAGGTCTCAGTTAATTTAGAAAGTTTATTTTGCTAAGGTTGAGGACACATGCCCGTGACACAGCCTCTGGAGGTCCTGACGACATGTGCCCAAGGTGGTGTGAAAGGAAAATATCTTGGGCCCCCAAAATCACTGCGCTAAAAGTTAAAAGTCAAACTGGAAACTGCACAGGGCGAACCTGCCTCCCGTTCTATTCAAAGTCAACCTCCACTCACTGAGATAAATGCATATCTGATTGCCTTCTTTGGAAAGGAAGAAACTCAAAAGAATGCAAGAGAGTTTGTCTCTCACCTATCTGTGACCTGGAAGTCCCTTCCCTGCTTTTCTGGTCTTTGCTTCAAGTTATCCCGCCTTTCCAGACCAAACCAATGTACATTTTACATATATTGATGTTTCATGTCTCCCTAAAATGTGTAAAACCAAGCTGTGCCCTGATCACCTTGGGCACATGTCGTCAGAATTTCCTGAGGCAGTGTCACAGGCATGCGTCAACCTTGGCAAAATAAACTTTCTAAATTAACTGAGAACTGTCTCAAATGTTTAGGGTTCACAGTGCTCAGAGCAGTTTGGTTTTACACATTTTAGAGACACATGAGACATCAATCAACGTATGTAAGATGAACATTGGTTCGGTCTGGAAAGGCAGGACAACTTGAAGCGGGGAGGGGGCTTCCAGGTCATAGGTAGATGAGAGACAAACAGTTGCATTCTTTCGAGTTTCTGATTAGCCTCTAGAAAGGAGGCAATCAGATATGCTTTTTTTTTTTTTTTTTTTTTTTTGAGATGGAGTCTTGCTCTGTCACCCAGGCTGGAGTACAGTGGCGCAATCTCAGCTCACTGCAACTTCCGCCTCCTGGGTTCAAGCGATGTTCCTGCCTCAGCCTCCCAAGTAGCTGGGACTACAGGCACCCAGCAGCATGCCCGGCTAATTTTTTTTGTATTTTTAGTAGAGACGGAGTTTCACCTTGTTGGCCAGGCTGGTCTCGAACTCCTGACCAGGATGGTCTCGATCTCTTGACCTCGTGATCCGCCCACCTCGGCCTGCCAAAATGCTGGGATTACAGGTATGAGCCACCGCACCCGGCCCAGATATGCATTTGTCTCAGTGAGCAGAGGGGTAACTTTGAATAGGAGAGGCAGGTTTGCCCTAAGCGGTTCCCAGCTTGACTTTTCCCATTAGCTTAGTGATTTTGGGGCCACAGGATTTATTTTCCTTTCACAGGATGAAGGATTGAACCACTCACACTGCTGCTGGGTTCTTGATGGGCCCGCAGGCTTGGGCTGTGGTTTTTACCGGAGGTTGTCTGTAACTCTGGTCAGGCTTAATTTCTCACCAATAAAGACAAAGGCTGGGAAACAGTCCATAGATTGACCCACTGGTAGAGGCAAGAGCAGTTCATACTCAAATCACGGAATATTTCAAACTGTCCCTCCAGAGAGGCATTCCAAGGTTGGTCTGAGTCACTCTAATTGTTGACATTTAAGTGGGACAATCATCTCAGTGAAGTTCCAAGGCTTGAATAAAATGTAGGGCTAGATCCCTGATCACTAAGGGCTTGGTTTTTGTCTTCAGAACTGGGGGTCAGGAAAGGACTGGCCACATCAGAAACTTCTTTTTGAGAAGACATCTAAACACCCAAGCAAAAACTTATCATTTTAATCAAGATCCGGAGGACAGCAAGTACTACCTTTGATTCTGCAATAAATTATAGTCCTCTCAGGGGCCTCCAAAGGGTTAATGTTTCAGGAACAAAGTTGTAATCACTAAACTATGCATACTGATGAGATTATAGCCCTAAAGTTTATGAAACCTTGATAACCAGGAAATTAATTACAGGTTTGAAACTCCTGCTGCAAACCACTGAGGTGACACGTTAGGAAAAAGCCCATAAAACAACTCCAGCCGAGTCAGTTTAGCACTGGCCTTTGTCCTGAGCATCAGGACTGCAAATCTTCGTTCACTTTCAAATTAAGAGGCCTCACTGTTAGTACATAAGCCTGTGGAGTTCAAAGTATTTACATTTTCAGACATTTTAGGACTCAGTTTAGAGAAATTAGACCACAGTATGACATATAACACAAGAGCAAAGACAACCACATCCAAGGTACTACTCCGCTAGGGCCAGAGTTCCTCATGCTTCCAATCAGGAGCCTAATTCAGATAGACCAGGGGGTTTTCTAAGCCACTTTTCAAAGGCAGAACAAAACGATTTGAAAAGCTTTTGCTGGGCCAGGCGCGGTGGCTCTCACCTGTAATCCCAGTACTTTGGGAGGCCAAGGTGGGTGGATCACCTGAGGTTAGGAGATCGAGACCAGCCTGGCCAACCTGGTGAAACCCCGTCTCTACTAAAAATACAAAAAATTAGCCAGGCATGGTGGCGGGCGCCTGTAATCCCAGCTACTCAGGAGGCTGAGGCAGGAGAATCACTTGAACCTGGAAGGCAGAGGTTGCGATGAGCTGAGATCACACCACTGCACTTCCAGCCTGGATGACAGAGCGAGACTCCATCTCAAAAAAAAAATAAGCTTTTGCTTTAGCAAATAATTTTAATTTCTCAAATCATTTCTTTTATACTTTTTTGTTTAGTTTTTTTTTTTTTTTTTGAGACAGAGTCTTGCTCTATCGCACAGGCTGGAGTGCAGTGTCCCGATCTTGGCTCACTGCAAGCTCCACTTCCCAGGTTCATGCCATTCTCCTGCCTCAGCCTCCCAAGTAGCTGGAACTACAGGCGCCCGCCACCACGCCCAGCTAATTTTTTGTATTTTTAGTAGAGACAGGGTTTCACCATGTTAGCCAAGATGGTCTCAGTCTCCTGACCTCGTGATCCGCCCGCCTCGGCCTCCCAAAGTGCTGGGATTACAGGCGTGAGCCACCGCGCCTGGTTCTTTTGTACTTTTTAATGTAGATTCAAAGGCTTGGTGAAAATAAACCAAGAAAAATATCTGTTCTTTAATAGGTACTTCTGACTAAATGTTGGGTCATTCATACATGAAATACTACCTGGTCATTAAAAATAATGAGAAACAGGCAGGGCACAGTGACTCATGCCTGTAATCACAGCATTTTGAGAGGCTGAGGAGGGAGGATCTCTGGAGTTCAACAGTTTGAGACCAGCCTGGGTAACATAGCAAGACCCTGTCTCTACCAAAAAAAAAATAAAAATAAATTAATGAGAAACAGTGAATGAGTTAAAAAAATTATGAGGACAATTTATATAAACTGATTTAGAAGTTAAAGTATATATGTATGTACACACATTCATACACATTTATTCTTAAAGTATAGCCACAAAAAAGAGATTTGCATAGTTACAAAAAGAAAAAAAAAGACTATAGCCAGGAGTGTTGGCATGTTCCTGTAGGCCCGAGCTAATACGGAGGCTGAAGCAGGAGGATGACTTGAATCCAGGAGTGTGAGGCTGTAGTGGGCTATGCTGATCATTGTCTGCACTAAGTTCAGCATTAATATGGTAACCTCCAAGGAGAAGGGGACCACCAGGTTGCCTAAGAAGGGGTGAACCAGCCCAGGAGGGAAATGCAGCAGGAAAAACTCCCATAGTGATCAGTAGTGGAATCACACGTGGAAATAGCCACTGCACTCCAGCCTGGGTAATAGACCGACACCCTGTCCACCCCCCACCAGAAAAAAAAAAAAAAAAAAAAAAAACCAAGAAATGACAAACACCAAAAAAATGTTCTCCACTGAGGTGGAGGTCAGCTACAGATGGCCTTCGGGGCTCTGTGAGCCATTTGTTCCTGCTCCCTTTTATCCTG
Source organism: Homo sapiens (assembly GCF_000001405.40). NCBI lineage: Eukaryota > Metazoa > Chordata > Mammalia > Primates > Hominidae > Homo > Homo sapiens. Next base: position 76,836,756 of record NC_000005.10, on the reverse strand, counting down.
TTCCCACCATTTTCTCATTTCTCACCTGACAAACGGGGACAACTTCACAGGCCTGCAATCAGACTCAAAGCAGAACAGGCAAAGAAAGCAGTGACACTGAAGTGAAAGGGGGCAGAGCAGAAAACAGGTCTTGTCCACAGAGCATAATAATAATATTATTTAATATTTGTGACCACATAAACGTGCCAAATAATTTTATTCTCATAACTTTATGAGGAAGATACTATTATCCTAATTTTACAAGTGAGGAAACTGAGATACTACTATCCCCATTTGACAAATGAGTCGCATTTTTTTTCTTACTTCTTGAGGTAATAAAAACATCCCTAATGTAAGCAGTGATGGAGTCAGAATTCAGCACAGCCCAGGACCTGCACTCTTAGCCACCAGGCTGTGCTGCTTCTTCAGTAAAACAACAATAAGATTGGGAAACCAAAGATTGATAGCATGGAATGTGGATGAGCATTTCAGGAAACAGGTGCAAATATACCATTTTGGTAGAAATATACATTACTGAAGACAATTTGGCAAGACTTATCAAAACCTAAAATGAGCATCTAACTTTTGAGCTGGCCATTCTACTTCTAGAAACTTATCCTCAAAAAATATGCTCACAGATGTCTGTATACAGATATTTGATACAGCACTTTTTTTTTTTTTTGTAGAAAACAAAAATGGAATATTTATGCGCAACTCAAAAGAAACACTACGCATATAAGGTAAGAGATTAAATATAAACACGGCAAGTTCCATCCCATTCCTATTTCTCCAAGGCTGCATGACCAAATGGAATCTTGAAGAGAACACCTAGATAACAGAGGACCTGTCAGCGACTCTGGACTTCTGGGTGCAGCACTGTTTTAAAAGTCAAAAAAAGAAGGGTGGGGGGATGACAACCTAAGGAGCCGTTGGTAGGGAATTAATTAAATACATCACAATATACCCAAAATGTTAAATAGCCTGTATCCTTGAAAAGCGGTCAACCTACAGATGCAGGTATAGAAAGAATTCTAAAACTTTTTTTTTTTTTTTGAGACGGAGTTTCGCTCCTGTTGCCCAGGCTGGAGTGCAATGGCGCAATCTCGGCTCACCGTAACCTCCACCTCCCGGGTTCACGCGATTCTCCTGCCTCAGCCTCCCGAGTAGCTGGGATTACAGGCGTCTGCCACCACGCCCAGCTAATTTTCGTATTTTTAATAGAGACAGGCTCTTGCCATGTTGGCCAGGCTGGTCTTGAACTCCTGACCTCGGGTGATCCACCCACCTTGGCCTCCCAAAGTGCTGGGATTACACACGTGTGCCACTGTGCCCGGCCTCTGAAACATTTTTAAATGAAAAACCGTTGTCACAGAGTTTGGTGTGAGTGTCCACTTTTAGAGGGGTGAAGCTGTTGCCTGCCTTCTCTCACTCCTTCCCTCAAAACAAACGCACAACTCAGAAATAAGTTGTAAAAAAAATTTTGTTATTTATAAATCAATTACACAATAAAATAATTATTTTTAAAAGTCACAAATACAATCGTTGTATAAAGTCATTTTGGCATCAAGTATCTCTTAAATATGTTGCAAACTATTTTCCAAAGAGATGTGGTCCAAACCCTCTGAAGGCTTTATAATTTTGTATTAGATAACAAGTGAACAAAACTGACAATAAATACTCCAACAATTATTTTTTAAAATACTAAGTGGCAAATGCTATTCTAAGTGGCAAAACAATCTATTACTCAGACTACCTGAAAATTTCACTGAAGTCATCAAAAGTTATACAAAATTTGTATTTACATGTTTAAAATCCTGATTGCATTTTTCTTTAATAATAATACATACAAAAACTCAGAGGGTTAATAAAGAAATAATTCAAAGTCCTAATAAGTCAACAAACAGATTTCATTATAAGCTGAACATAAAAGAGACACCATTGTTTGCTTCTCTTTTCAAAAATTATCACGGCACTTTGTCAAATGGAAGCAGCATTCAGAACAATGGTTCTCAAATCTCTGTGTGCATAAACACCATGCAGGTTTGTACCACACAGATTCCTGGGCCCTGTTCCCAGTCTGAGCTCTCATTATTGAATCTGAGGAATCTGCATTTTGAACAAGATTCACGACTATTTTATTTTATTTTATCACCCAAGCTGGAGTGCAGTGGTGCAATCTCGGCTCACTGCAACCTCTGCCTCCTGAGTTAAAGTGATACTCAATTCTTGTGCCTCAGCCTCCTGAGTAACTGGGATTACAAACGTGCACCACACACCTGGTTAACTTTTGTATTTTTAGTAGAGATGAGGTTTCGCCATGATGGCCAGGCTGGTCTCGAACTCCTGACCTCAAGTGATTGCCTGCCTCAGCCTCCCAAAGTGCTAGGATTACAGGCATGAGGCACCGCACCCAGCCAAGATCCATGATTTTGATGAAGTGGTACAAGAACCTCACTCACTGGACATTGAAATTCTACTGTCCAATCCCAACTCACTGCTGTTGATTGGAAACCTGATTCTGGCAGCTCATTTATCTTGGTTTCCTCATTTGTAAGGTCGTTCAGTTGGACTGATCATCTCTGAGGGCCTTGAAGCCCTAACAAGTCTATCATGATCCCAGATGTAAAATATATATATGTGTATATATATAATTTCAGCTGAGAAGTGAGTCTTCACACCAAGTCTACTTTTTGCAAGTTACTGGGTTTCTGTCTTCACCATCTTCTGAAAAGTCTGCTTCTGTTGGTTCAGTTTCTGGGGTCATCTGAGTAGAGAGATTCTGAAACAGACACTGATGTTAATTTGGGGGACTACTTTTCTCATGCAAACAGGGGAGCTCCTAGCAATCCTGAGAGGTGCTGCATCCACATGGTATGTGGTGAGACCTTTTTGATTAGGAAATAACAGACACGTCCTCATAACATTAAACAGGTTCCACATCCTACTGTGCAATTCCCATCTGAGGACCTGGAAAACTCAATAGGAGGTCTTAACAGTGGTTGAACTTGAAGAGTAAGAGCTGGATTTCCTGGAGTGTTTCTTTGAGGTGAGGGATACTTGCATCTGCTTTACAGTGCGGACACTTCGGCAAAGGAGAGCGTTCTTTGCATGATCCCTGAAATCATGTGAAACAAAGTAATAGACAAAGGGGTCGATGCAGCTGTTAAGGGTAGAGAGGCAGAGGGCTACAATGTACAGGGCATAGACATGGCTCTGGCCCTGGCTCTTAATCAGAAAATAATGCACCACAAGCAGAAGGTTACTAGGAGTGAAGCAGATCAGGTACATGGCCAGGACAGTGACAATGAGTTTGATGGCCCTCTTCCTTTTCTTCTCTGAGTTTTCATCCATGGCAGAAGATCGCAGCATTCTGATCATCAGCACATAGGCAGAGGCTGTGAGGAAGGCTGGGAACAGAAAGACCCCAATGGCCAGAGAGAGGAAGTAATTGAACATGTCTCCCACCAAGAGCTGCTCAGGCAAAACATCATGACAGGTCGTGATGTTCAGGGCAGGAATGAAGATGGTCTGCTTCACGACATACAAAGGAATGGTGACCAGCAGAATCAGCAGCCATATTGCCAGGGAGATGCCAATGGCAATGTTTGCCTTCTTCCTGGAGTGCCCCATGGGGTTCACGATGACCCAATACCTCTGCACACTGAGGCAGGTCATGAAGAGAATGGAACAGTACATGTTGCCATAGAAAAAGCCAATAAGCACATTACAAAGAGCTTCCCCATAAATCCAGTTGTTGCCATGTATGTGATAGGCAATCTTCAAGGGGAACCAGATGACAGAGAGGAGGTCAGCCAAGGCCAGATTGGCCATGTAAATCACAGCAGGGTGCTTCTTCTTAGTTCGGAAAAGAAAGACCCACAGGGCCATGCCGTTACTTGGCAAACCCACCACAAACACAATTGTGTAGACAATTGGAAGGAAGACAGTGGTCAGTTTTCCAGTGAGGACAGATGCAGAAAACTCATCCACAGAAAAGACTGTTTCAACTGTAACTCCTTTTCCAGTGACGTGGGATGTGCCATCAACCTTACCAATAAGGCTTCTTCCTTTAGAGGATCTACTGGTTCCTGTACAAGAAAGGAAGACAAGGGTCATTACAGAAATAAATGTTTCAGCAGTAACACTGGTTTGTTCAAATGAAAGTACATTCATTTATTCATTTTTTAATTTATGAGACAGGGTCTCGCTGTCACCCAGGCTGGAGCGTAGTGGAGCGATCATAATGCACCGCAGCCTCAAACTTTTGGGCTCAAGCAATCCTCCTAAACAGCCAGGCCACAGGCACACACCATCACACCCAGCTAATTTTTTACTTTTTGTAGAGATAGGATCTCACTATGTTGCCCAGGCTGTTCTCAAACTCCTGGCCTTAAGATTCTCCTGCCTCAGCCTCCCAAAGTGGTGAGATACAAGTGTGAGCCACTGAGCCCAGCCTCAAATGAAAGTACTTTAGATGAAAACAGAAATGTACTATTAGAGGATTACACAAAATGCTTATAGGGGCTTTTCTTTGTGTAATGAGATTATTGGGATTTCTATTGTCTGGTTTAGTTTGGTTTTATGGGTTTTTTTCTTACAGTGAGTATTTTTGTATCGGGGAGTTGTAAGGAGTTGTGGGATGCATGTGGAGCATCGATTTCTAGGAATATAAAGAAGACTAACAATATTTCAATTTATTTTTACAAACTGTCCACACTCATTAGTCCCCAGCTATTCTTTTTATTTTACTTATTATTTTTTTTTTTTTTAGAGATGGGGTCTTGCTATGTTGACTAAGCTGGTCTCGAACTCCTGGCTTCAAGTGATCCTCCCATCTTGGCCTCCCAAAGTGCTGGAATTACAGGTGTGAGACATCACGCCCAGCTCTAGCTATTCTTATCACATGACCAACAACAGTCCTTTGATTTATCAATTAGTAAAATTTGGTTTGGCTGGGCATGGTGGCTCATGCGTGTAATCTCAGCACTTTGGGAGGCTAAGGCAGGTGGATCACCTGAGGTCAGGAGTTTCAGACCAGCCTGGCTAACATGGCGAAACCCTGACTCTGTTAAAAATACAAAAATTAGCCAGGCGCAGGCGCCTGTAATCCCAGCTACTTGGGAGGCTGAGGCAGAAGAATCGCTTGAACCCCGGAAGTGGAGGTTGCAGTGATCCAAGATCATGCCACTGCACTTCAGCCTGGGTGACAGAGCGAGCCTCAGTCAAAAAAAAAAAAAAAAAATCAGTTTAGGAATGTGCAGTAATTCCTTTCTAAATTCTCAAGTGTGTAAAATAGCGATCCCCATCCTGACACCAGTTTTCTAATTTCTCACTTCATAATGGCCTTCTATCCCACTCTAGCCCTGAGCCAGGATCCTTCCTGGCCTATTCAATTCATCATACCCTATTCAGAGCTTGCCACAGGGAGATTCCAGGACCACAAGGGACATTCCCTTTTCACCCACAACGATAGCCTCAACAATGGCAGGGATTTTCCCTGCTCATGTGCTGGTTTCCTGGAGAATGTCCCATGGAGGCCAACTGGCAGGGAAACCGTCTGGCCTGGATAGGTGGCTGTACTGATGACAGACTTTCAAGCATGTAGCATGACAAGCTAACTTATTATCCCTCTCTTATATTATGAAGTTGACCTAAAAACCACAAAGAAATGAATGGCATGTCCTCCCTACATTCTGCCCCTAAGTATTCATGAACCTGCAGGAGTAAGTAAGGACAATATAAGGATACTGAATAATTTTACTCTAATTCTGGGGAAAAGTAGGCCTCACCAAGCAGAGAAGACAGGGCAATACTTGCACTGCCGTATACCAGGGGGATATTAAACCTACTCATGCTCTTATCTCATAATGTTATGCTTGGTCATCATTTTTCCACTAGAAGCTTTACACTAATGTTCCGCAGAATTTTTCACATCTTAATGCTTCCCTATTTGGGATGCTAGCCTGGGTGGAGTGTTGGGGGATGTAGAGATCAATATTTCACTTTTCACTTAGTGTAGTGGGTTGAAAGGTGGTGCCCCCAAAAGAGAAGTCTATGTCCTAATCGCCAGACTCTGTGAACATTATTTAGCAAAAATGTCTTTGCAGATAGAATTAAGGATCCTAAGATAAGAAGATCTCCCTGGGTTATCTAGGCGGGCCCTAAATCCAATGACAAGTGTCGTTTCTAAGATAAAGGCAGAGGCCTGGCGTGGTGTCTCACGCCTGTAATCCCAGCACTTTGGGAGGCTGAGGTGGGTGGATCACGAGGTCAGAAGTTCAAGACAAGCCTGGCCAACATAGTGAAACCCTGTCTCTACTAAAAATACAAAAATTAGCCGGGCGTGGTGGCAGGCGCCTGTAGTTCTAGCTACTTGGGAGGCTGAGGCAGGAGAATTGCTTGAACCTGGGAGGCGGAGGTTGCAGTGAGCCAAGATTGCGCCACTGCACTCCAGCCTGGGCGACAGAGTTAAAGTCTGTATCAAACAACAAAACAGAGAGAAAAGCAGAAAGAGATCTGCAACACGCAGAAAAGGAGAAGCCAGAGGAGTGAGTGACATGAGAATGGAGGCAGAGATTGGAGTCACATCAAGGAACAGGCCAAGAATGCCAAGAAATGCCAGCAGCCACTGCAAGCTGGAAAAGGCAAGGAATGGACTCTCCCTTAGAGCTTTTGGAGGGCTTGTGGCCCCAATTCCTTGATTTCAGACTTCTGGTCTCCAGAACTGACAGAATAAATGTGTTGTTTTACATCATCAGTTTATGGCAATTTGCTATGGTAGCCACAAGAAACTAATATGCTTAGGATAGTCCTATTTCTAGTGGTTCTATTTTTTTTATATAATTCTTCAAAAAGAACATATGTTGTTTTTAAATTTAAAAAAAATTCCTACATATTACAGTGTTCTTCAAATATTTGACCATAACCCCTAAGAACCATATTCCACATACTAACCCAGTTCCCAATACACATATCCATGGTGGAAAAACGTTTCACAAAATAATAATTATTCTTATTACATAGGGTGCACTGATACTTTCTATTGTATTCTATTCCATTATTATAAAAAGCCAGTTATTATTCTTTAACACTGATTTCACAGGCCACTTAACTTAGAATGACAATGTATGTAACAATTAGAAAGTAACATACTGGAAATTAATTTGGTGTTGGATTCAGTGCTTGATTAGTGTTATAGACTGAGCAACTGGTGCAGTTATTGTGGAAATTATCCAACACCAAATTAATGGAAATGAAGGGGGCAAAGTGTTAAACAACACCACAAATGTAGTCAGTAAAATTGAGACTCTGGGAACTGCTACAGGATAAAGGACCTGTTTTTTACAAAATATAAATTATAAGGCAAAAAATAAGAAAGAGGGCCAGGCACAGTGCCTCATGCCTTCAATACCCAGCACTTTGAGAGGCCAAAGCAGGAGGATTGATTGAGACCAGGAGTTCAAGACCAGCCAGGGCAACATAGCACAATGCCATCTCTTCAAAAAAAAAAAAAAGAAGAAGAAGAAGAACAAAGGTAAAAAAAAGGTGTGGAGGTGAAATTTATAGAGTAGAAGATTTAAAAGACATATCAGTCATATAATGTGTGTACCTTGTTTCAATCCTGATTCAAACAAACCATAAAAATAACTTGTTTTTTTTTTTGAGATGGAGTCTTACTCTGTCGCCCAGGCTGGAGTGCAGTGGTGCGATCTTGGTTCACTGCAACCTCCGTCTCCCAGGTTCAAGCAATTCTCCTGCCTCAGCTTCCCAAGGAGCTGGGATTACAGGTGCACACCACTACATCCAGCTAATTTTTGTATTTTTAGTAGAGATGGGGTTTCACCATGTTGGTCAAGCTGGTCTCGAACTCCTGATCTCAAGTGATCTGCCCACCTGAGCCTCCCAAAGTGCTGGAATTACAGGCATGAGCCACTGCACCCGGCCTAAAATAACATTTATAAGACAATTAGAAATTTGAACACAAAGCCAGGCACGGTTGTTCATGCCTATAATCCCAGTGCTTTGCGAGGCTGACGTGGAAGGATTGCTCGAGGCCAAGAGTTTGAGACCAGCCTGGCCAACATAGCAAGACCGTGTCTCTACAAAAAATTAAAAAAAAAAAAAATTAGCCAGGCATGGTGGCGCACACCTGTAGTCCTGGATACTTGGAAAGTTGAAACAGGAAGATCACTTGAGACCAGGAGTTCAATGATTCAGTGAGATTGTGCCACTGCACTCCACTCTGGGTGACAGAGTGAGGCCCCTGTCTCTATATTAAAAAAAAAAAAAAAAGAAAGAAATTTGAATACTGACTGAATATTTGATTATATTAAAAATTAATGTTAGTAGATACTATAATGGCATTATGTTTATATTTGAAAAAGAAATCCCTCATACTTTATTAATACATTCTAAAATACTTTAGGATGAAATTATATCTGAGATTTATTTCACAACCACAGGAATTGAAACTCTCAGACACTGCTGGTAGGAATACGAACTGGTGCACGGCTGGGCAGAGTAGCTCACACCTCTAATCCCAGCACTATTGGAGGCCGAGGTGGGTGGATCACCTGAGGTCAGGAGTTCGAGACCAGCCTGGCCAACATGGTGAAACCCCATCTCTACTAAAAATACAAAAATTAGTCAGGTGTGGTGGCATACACCTATAATCCCAGCAACTTGGGAGGGTGAGACAGGAGAATCATTTGAACCGGGAGGCACAGGTTGCAATGAGCCAAGATCACGCCATTGCACTCCAGCCTGGGCGACAGAGTGAAACCATGTCTATTTAAAATAAATAAAATAAAATAAAATAAAAGGTACAGTTATTGTGGGAAATTATCTGGCAGTTCCTCAAATGGTTAAAGAGTTCCTATATGGCTGGACGCAGTGGCTCACGCCTGTAATCCCAGCAATTTGGGAGGCTGAGGCAGGCAGATCACGAGGTCGGGGTTTTGAGCCCACCTGGCTAACATGGTGAAACCCCATCTCTATTAAAAATACAAAAATTAGCTGGGTGTGGTGGCACACGCCTATAGTCCCAGCTACTCGGGAAGCTGAGACAGGAGAATCATTTGAACTTGGGAGGCGGAGGTTGCAGTGAGCCTAGACTGTGCCATTGCACTCTGGGCAACAGAGCATGACTCCGTCTCAAAAAAAAAAAAAAAAAAAAAAGTTACTATATGACCCAGTAGCTCCACTCCCAGGTATGCAGGAGTCCACACAAAAACCTGTACACAAATGTTCATAGCAGCATTATTTGTTTTTGTTTTTTTTTTGAGACGGAGTCTCGCTGTCGCCCAGGCTGGAGTGCAGTGGCGCGATCTCGGCTCACCGCAAGCTCCGCCTCCCGGGTTCATGCCATTCTCCTGCCTCAGCCTCCCCAGTAGCTGGGACTACAGGCGCCTGCCACCACGCCTGGCTAATTTTTTTTTTTTTTTTTTTTTTTTGTATTTTTAGTAGAGATGGGGTTTCACAGTGTTAGCCAGGATGGTCTCGATCTCCTGACCTTGTGATCCGCCCACCTCGGCCTCCCAAAGTGCTGGGATTACAGGCGTGAGCCACCACGCCCAGCCATAGCAGCATTATAATATAGCACTGTGCCCAGCCCACAGTCAACAAGTGGGCTGGGCACAGTGGTGCTCACCTGTAATCCTATCACTTTGGGAGGATGAGATGGGAGAAGTGCTTGAGGCCAGGAATTTGAGACAAGCCTGGGCAACAGAGCAGAACCCCATCTCTACAAACATTTTACAAAATTAGCCAGGCATAGTGGTGCACACTTGTAGTCCCACTACTAGGAAGGCTGAGGCAGGAGGACAGCTTGAACCTAGGAGGTCAGAGATTACACCACTGCACTCCAGCCTGGGCAACAGAGCAGGACCCTGTCTCAAAAAAAGGAAAAAAAAGTGGAAACAATCCAAATGTCCATCAACAATTGAAAAGAAATAAAAAGCAGTATATCCATACAATGGAATATTATTTGGCTGTTTTCAAAAATCAAGTACTTGGGAGGCTGAGGCAGGCAGATCACCTGAGGTCAGGAGCTCAAGACCAGCCTGGCCAACATGGTGAAACCCAGTCTCTACTAAAAATACAAAAATTAGCCAGAGGTGGTGGTGTGGGCCCACAGTCCCAACTACTCAGGAGGCTGAGGCAGGAGAATCACTTGAAACTAGAGGCAAAGGTTGCAGAGATTGCACCACTGCACTCCAGCCTGGGTGACAGAGCAAGACTCTGTCTCAAAAAAAAAAAAAAGTACTGATACATAGATACATGGATGAATCTCCAAAAGATTATGCTAAGTGAAAGAAGCCAGTCACAGAGGACAACACATTATCCCATTTCTATCAAATGTCTACAATAGGCAAATCCATAAATAGAAAGTAGATTAGTGTTTGCCAAGGGCTAAGACCAGAAGATTGGTGAATGACAGCTAAACTGTTTCTTCCAGGGTAATAAAAATGTTCTAAAATTGTGGTAATGGTTGAATAATTCTATGAACATCCTAAAAGCCACTAAATTGTACAGTTTAAAGGGGTGAATTGTATGGTGTGCAAATTATCTGATATGGAATTCTTGGTAAAGCTGTTAAAAAAAAAACACAGGCTTGGCATCATAGGAAAGGGAAAAAAACAGAAAAGAAATAACAGGGAAGAGGAGTGGGAGGTGAGTTTGGGAATAGATGAAACAAGATTAGCCAACAGTTAATAATTATTGAAGTTGAGTGGTGGATACACTTAATTCACTATAATAGTATATTTCTATAAGATTAAAATTCTCCATAAAAATAAGCATGTACCAAGTCAGGAAAGCTCACATAAAGAGTGCTCAAAATCTGTTTTAAATAAGAATGCTAAAATAAAGACCAAAAAAGGAGCAAGGAATGGCAATATAACAATTTTTTTTTAAAAAGGAACTTTTTCTTAGAATATTTCAACACATAACCTTTAATGGTCTCCATCAAAACTATTGTTGATATTAACTGTTCTATAACACTGGTAAATGTCAAGATGCTACTCGAAGGTCCCTGAAGCCCTTGCCCAGTGCATTTGCTCTGACTCTGTACAGGGTCCTTACCACTCACCAAAACTCACAGAGCTTGTCTAGAGAACCGATGCTATCCCAGCTCCCAATTGTCAACCAGGTAAAATCATTTCTATTTCACAGAGTTGAGGAGAGACTAAATGCACAAATGAAGTTTAAACACAAATAAAGTGCCTGGCTACAATTACATTCCCATTTCTAGGGCTGTAATAAACAATTATTGCCCAAGTGTGTGAAAATACACACTCACAGATGCTCAAGGCAGCATCCCCCCACTCAGTTACAGACAAACAGCTCCTTATTTCTATTCCTAACTTAGCATGTCCCTGACGTAGTCCCTACTACTAAGGGTAGACAATATAGTAGCCAATAATATTGAAATGGAAAGACAGCCACAATATACAGTCAATTGAAAAAAGAAACTGGCCAGGCATGGTGGCTCACACCTGTAATCCCAGCACTTTGGGAGGCCGAGGCGGGTGGATCCTGAGATCAAGAGATCGAGACCATCCTGACCAACATGGTGAAACCCAATCTCTACTAAAAAATACAAAAATTAGCTAAGTGTAGTGCACGCGCCTGTAGTCCCAGCTACTCCAGAGGCTGAGGCAGGAGAATCGCTTGAACCCAGAAGGCAGAGGTTGCAGTGAGCCGAGATCATGCCACTGCACTTCAGCCTGGCAACAGAGTGAGACTCTGTCTCAAAAAAAAAAAAAAAAAAAAATTATAATGTACAATTTGCAAAATCTGAAGTCTAGAAGGATATCCACCAAACAATAAAAAGTGGCTGGCTCTGTGGAGTAGAATAGCTGGGGACAAGAGAACTTTTCTTTTTATTTTACACCTCTCTATATTATTTGAATTTTGTATCTCAAAGGAATATAAATTGATATAATATTTTTGGTGGGTAATTTGGCAAAACATATCAAAATTTTAAATGTATTTGCCATATGACCTAGCAATTTACTTCTAGGAATTTGCCCTGCACCTACCAGCTAAAGTGCACAAAGCTATTTTATGTACTAGAATATTCACTGGAACATTGTTTAGCATGGTAAAACAATGTTAATTTCAACATCTATCAAAAAGGGGAGTAGTTCAGGCCCTGGCAGGGTGGCTCACGCCTGTAAACCCAGCACTTTGGGAGGCTAAGGCGGGCGGATCATGAGATCGGGAGTTTGAGATCAGCGTGGCCAACATGGTGAAACCCCGTCTCTACTAAAAATACAAAAATTAGCTGGGTGTGGTGGCGGGCACCTGTAATCCCAGCTACTTGGGAGGCTGAACCTGGGAGGCTTGAACCTGGGAGGCGGAGGTTGCAGTGAGCTGAGATCACACCACTGCACTCCAGCCTGGGTGACAGAGCAAGACTTCATCTGGGGTTCGGGGATGGGCGGGAAGAGGGGAGTAGTTCAGGCCAGGCATAGTGGCAACCTAGCCATAGCCCCAGCTACTTGGGAGCTCCGTCTAAAAAAAAAATTAGCTGGGGGTGAGCTATGATCCTGCCACTGCACTCCAGCTTGGGTGACAGCCAGACCCAGTCTCTTTAAAAAAAAAAGGGGGGGGGGGTGTGGTGGGGAGGACTAGTTCAATTACCCCCCTATAAAAGTTTGTACAGGGTCGGCGCAGTGGCTCACGCCTGTAATCCCAGCACTTTGGGAGGCCGAGGCAGGTGGGTCACGAGGTCAGGAGACCGAGACCATCCTGGCTAACACGGTTAAACCCTGTCTCTACTAAAAATACAAAAAATTAGCCGGGCATGGTGGCGGGCGTCTGTAGTCCCAGCTGCTTGGGAGGCTGTGGCAGGAGAATGGCATGAACCCGGGAGGCAGAGCTTACAGCGAGCTGAGATAGCGCCCCTTCACTCCAGCCTGGGCGACACGGCAAGACTCCGTCTCAAAAAAAAAAAAAAAAAGTTTGTACAGATTTCTATAAACTGACTATGAATCGATTAGGTAAAAAAGATAAATAAATCATAGCACAGTATGTACAGTACGGTATGCTCCTTCTATTCCTATAAATCATTTGTGCATAGAGAAGTTGAGCTGATGGCCAGGAATAGTGACTCACACCTATAATCCCAGCACTTTGGGAGGCCAAGGCGGGCGGATCACTTGAGGTCAGGAATTCAAGACCAGCCTGGCCAACATGGCAAAATTCTGGCTTTACTAAAAATGCAAAAATTAGCTGGAGGTGTTGGCGCGCATCTGTAATCCCATCTACTTGAGAGGCTGAGGCAGGAGAATCACTTCAACCTGGAAAGCGCAGGTTGCAGTGAGCTGAGATCACATCACTGCACTCCAGCCCTCCAGCCTGGGCGACACAGCGAGACTCCATCTCAAAAAAAAAAAAAAAAAACCAACCAACCAAACAAACAAAACCCGAGAAGTTGTGCTGAGATTGGAGACCAGAAAGAATGAGAGATTTTCACTTTTTTTTAGACCCTTCTGATTTACACAATTTTGGGAAAATCTGCGTGTAAAACTTTTTTTTTTTTTTGAGACTGAGTCTCACTCTGTTGCCCCGGCTGGAGTGCAGAGGCACGATCTCGGCTCACTGCAAGCTCGACCTCCCGGGTTCACGCCATTCTCCTGCCTCAGCCTCCCAAGCAGCTGGGACTACAGGCGCCCGCCACCATGCCCGGCTAATTTTTTGTATTTTTAGTAGAGACAGGGTTTCACCATGTTAGCCAGGATGGTCTTGATCTCCTGACCTTGTGATCCACCCGCCTTGACTTCCAAAGTGCTGGGATTACAGGCGTGAGCCACCACGCTTGGCCTAAAACTTTTAATTTAATTTTTATTTTAAGTATACTCCTCTTGTGGCCCAACCTCCCCATCAAACCAAGTGTAAAACAAGCACTTTACTTGCATTAGTTCTCTTCCTTTCACCCTCTCTTCTCTATGATCCCCTCACCCCAAATGTCCTTTTTTGCTCCCAATCTTTGGGAGCACAGACTGAAAAATAAAGGTTTCAATTGTGGGGTGCCCCTCCCTAGCTAAACTTTTAGTACATTTTCAGAAGTGTTCTTTCAGAATGAACTGTTTTCTTCAACACTTGCCAAGCTAATAAAACCATAAGAAAGTCAAATACAGATTTACTAAAACATCATCTATCAAGGTTATTTAGTAACTACAAAGCAAGCAAAAGGATCAAATTTAAAGTCCTATCTTCCAGTTCATTGCAGTGTTCTGTCATATTACAAAACTTTGGCCAGGCACGGTGGCTCATGCCTATAATCCCAGCACTTTGGGAGGCTGAGGCAGGTGGATCACTTGAGGTCAGGAGTTCAAGATCAGCCTGGCCAACGTGGCGAAACCCCGTTTATACCAAAAACACAAAAATTAGTTGGATGTGGTGGTGTGCGCCTGTAGTCCCAGCTACTCCAGAGGCTGAGGCATGAGAATCACTTAAACCTGGGAGGCAGAGGTTGCAGTGAGCCGAGATCGTGCCACTGCACTACAGCCTGGGCAACAGAGTGAGATTCTATCTCAGGGGGAAAAAAAAAATGGAAATACCACATGTCTATCAACAAAGGACTAATTTTAAAATTGATGCATCCTTCTGTAACATTTTGGAGTCATTAAAAATGTTTTATATGTATTGACATGATACTGATGTGCTTATATAATCCCATACTTGCACAAACATATTTTCTGTATTTGTGAATACATATTTTGTGCATGGATGTAATAAAGAGTGGGAAAATATATAAGCCGAAATATTAGCGGTGGCTACTTTGGTACTGAAGTTCAGGGTGATTTAATTAAATGTTTCCTTTTTTTGTTTTGGCTCATTTTTCCCTCGAGTGATCACATATTGTTTTTATAATTTAAAAAACAATTATAGGTAGGGCGCAGTAGCTCATGCCTGTAATCCCAGCACTTTGGGAGGCTGAAGGTGGGTGGATCACCTGAGGTCAGGAGTTTGAGATCAGCCTGACCAATATGGTGAAACCCTGTCTCTACTAAAAATACAAAAATTAGCTGGGGGTGGTGGTGCGTGCCTGTCGTCCCAGCTACTCGGGAGGCTGCAGCAGGAGACTTCCTTGAGCCCGGGAGAGGTGGAGGTTGCAATGAGCCAAAATTGCACCACTGCACTCAAGCCTGGGCAACCGAATGAGAGTCAAAAAAAAAAAAAACCCAAAAAACCAAAAAAACAAAAAAAAACCACCAAACCAATTATAAAGAAAACAGAAGTTCCAGTCTCCAAAAGATAAATGGAATGACCTAGGCCTGTAACATGGTGGAAAAAAATAAGTAAGTGGCAGAGAGAAGCTGACTGAAATGAACACCACATGGACCAGCCAGGGTACTCTGGGCAAGACTCCTCACTTCATTCATTTGCTATTTACTGAGGTCCCGTAGGTGATGAGACTATGCTAGACGTGATGGAAAGGATGGTAGGGCCCCCTGCCTCCAGGAGTTAACGATGCAGTGAGGACACATATTAAGCATGTTTACCCAAATAATTATCAATTACTATTGTAAAGGGAAAGAGAAGCCCTGATTTCCAAGTGTTTTCCTTGCCTTGCCTCCTCAATTCAGTGTCCTTCACCTGTACCCTGAGAAGGTTGTGATCTCGGCTGAGTTCGTTTCTATGAGGCAGTCTTTTGGAGTGAGGCTTTGGGAAGAAAATCAAACCCCAAATCGGCCCTGCAGCCACCTGAGGGGCACGCAGAAGGACCGGCTAAAAAGCGAGTGAGCAAAGACCCACCCTGAGGGCAGAAAAGCTTTGCTAACACTGTATTTCTTATTAAAATCAATTTAGTTTTAAGGTGGGAGGAAAGCTCCATCTGCCTAAATCAATTGTCAGTGTTACTTCACTAACCCTTTGGGAAAGTTACTTTGCAAGGGAATAAAAGTATGGTGGGGGGAGGATGAGGAACAAGGTGCAATATTAAGTGGCTATAGTTAACAAGTAACCTGATTTTTCCTTATTGTTAAATCAAGTTCGCCTTATAATCCAGGGATCTCCCAATCCCCCAAGAGTAGTAAACAAGAACAAGACAAATAATCGGGGCATGCTTCCTACAGGGATCTCTGAATCATAAAGATGTTGAATCAGCTATACCAACATGTATTTTTTTAAAGTTTGCACATACTAACCTTTGCTCCTGAATTTTAAGTTTCCAACTTTAAAGGACATAGAGGAGAGGTGTCCATTACAGTTTTCAATACTTCCTGGAACTAAATGCCTTTATTCTGATGCTGATTAAGAAAAAAAAATATACCAGCGGTGCACAGTTTTCAAGCTTACACCATTAACACCCTTTTCCCTAACTGCAGAGGGAAAAGAATCACATTCTTCCATCTAATTCCAACCCACTGTGACTTGCTCTTTTACTTCGTCTTTATGAAGAGGAGGATAAAAGTGAGAAATGCGCATTTCTGAGGGAAATTAAAAGCTCCCTTTGCTACCCAGGCTGCCCCAAACAGAGGGGCCTCGGTTAGGATCACAGTGGCGCGATCGCAGGTCAAACATCCCCCACGGCCACAGCGAGGCCTGCTGGGCCCGGAAGAACACACTCCCAGCAATACAAGTTCGAGCACACCCGGAGCAGCACATCCAAGGAACGCGACGGCCGGGCGCAAGTGCTGCTCTGTTCCCAGGCCAGCCAGCCTCTGGCCTGCAGACCTGGGTGGCAGCCAGTGGCCGCTCCGGGTGGCACACTAGGAAAGTCCCGGAACCCCAGGCCCAGAGGGTCAACTGGTCAAATATAAGGCAGGGTCCAAAAAGTTCCGCTCGTAAATCCTCGTGGCGCCCAACGGGCCTGAGCGCTCATTACCACCAGAACCCATCAGGGACCGGCCCTGACTTTCATACCCCGGGCCTTCCACTGTGGGTGCCAGGAGCAGCGGGACCCGGGTGGGTCTCGAACGCAGGGGCCAGAACCCGAAGAAAGGCTTCCAGCAGTTGGAGAGGGACGCAAAAAACAACCTAGAAGGCTCCCGGGCCGCGGGTTCCCACCCACTCCGCCCTGCCCTGCGCAATCAGCTCGCTAACCCCACCGGCCCCGCGGGGCCAGCGGAGGAAGTCTCCGGAGTTGGCAAAAAGCTCTTAATGACTTAGTGTTTACAAAGCAACCAAGCCCGGGGAGGGGACTAGGTCCTCTGCGTACCCTTTAGACACAGCTACTCCTTCCTTCCCTCCCTTTCCCCGAACCCACGCTGGGGCCTGGAGGTGCCCAGCATGACAGCCTCTACGGGAAGTGGGGTCTTTGGGGAAATCTCTGCCTCTGCCCGGCTCCGCTGACTTCAGCTGCTCCCGCATGTCCCACCTGGGTGCCTCCTTGGCGCAGAGACCTCACATCAAAGCCACCAAGGGGAGGCTAAGGGATTCGTAGAGATGGGTGCCGGCAGCAGAACAGCCTTCGCACACCTGCCCGGATCCCACCGTCTGCCCAGCGTGCCCAGGACCCCAGCTCCTCAGAGATAAGAGCCCTCCTTGGCCAGGTTTCTCACCTTGGATGGTGCCACTGCAGGAGAGAGAGGCTGCTAGCAGGATGGCGGCCCCCAGCAGCCACGCCGCGCTGGGGCTCCGCATCCTCCTGGAAGCCCCGACGCCGGGCGCGCGGGGAATCCGCCGCCGCCGATTCGAAACTCAGAGCTCCACTGGACGCACCGAGAGAAAGTCAGCCTCTCACCTGCCCCGAATCGGAGCCTCTGCTGCGCGCCTCCCCAGGGCGGGTTAGGTTTCAGGGAAACCGAAGGAGCAGCGTACTCACCTGCGGGAGGCCACGCCCCGGGACCGGAACGCGCGCCCTGGTCCCGCCCCCGGCCCCCTTCCCTGCGCAGCTGCGCCCTCCGCTTCCCGGACTCGCGCCAGGTCCCTTAGACTGCGGGAGCCGCCTGCGGGCGGGGTTGAGCGCATGAGGTGTCTGCTTTGGAATGCAAATAGCAGGAGCGCTGGGACCACGGGTTAATCCCTGCCTAGGCTATACCGCGAACTACCTTTAATCTTTACTTACTCCTAGAGAAGCGGGTCGTCGGTCTCCCTTGCCTTTCCTGACTGTGGGAAAGCCACGATTCGTACTCACTGCAATTGTGGTTGGTAACTGATACAGACAGGGCTTCCCGGTGCGGTGGACCCTGCAGGAGGAGGGATGCGTTTTTTATTGTAGAGGCAGGTGGGCAACTGCGGACATCACGAAAGCGGTGGGGAGCACAAGAGGCGGGGCGGGAAAGAAGACATGGAATGGCTACTTTCAGCGCCAAGTGCCAAAGCTTTAGAGAATTATCTTGCTTAATCCCCATAACAACCAGCGCAATAAGTATGATTATTCTTCCCATTTTACAGACGAGGAAAGTGAGCTTAGAAAGACCAGATAAATTGGCCAGAGTTACACGACTTATAAACACAGTGTATAAATGTTTATCACATTTCAACTCCAGTATAAGACTATCACTGTCTTCTATTCATCGCTGCACTATAAATGCGTCCACCAGGGCTCCTCTGCATTGGGATCCCATAGGCTAAATAAATACAAAAGCAGATAGAAGGGGTGGGAGAAGAGAAGTGTGGGGTTGGGGATGAGTGCATGAGGGTTGGCATCATATTGGTAATGTCTTACTTTTTGTTTTTGAGACGGAGTCTCGCTCTGTCTCCCAGGCTGGAGTGCAGTGGCGTGATCTCGGCTCACTGCAAACTTTGTCTCCTGGGTTCAAGCAATTCTCTGGCCGCAGCCTCCCGAGTAGCTGGAGTTACAGGCGTGCACCACATCTGGCTAATTTTTGTATTTTTAGTAGAGGCGGGGTTTCACCATGTTGGTCTGGCTAGTCTCGAACTCCTGACCTCGTGATCAGCCCACCTCCGCCTCCCAAAGTGCTGCGATTACAGGCGTGAGCCACCGCACCCAGCATGTCTTACTTTTTATTTGCTTTTTAAAAGATTGAATAAAACAAAGTCTACTGTTACCCATTTAAACTATTGGTACCAGAAGAGCACAGAAGAGAGACATAGGTATTTTCAAATATTTAAAGGATTCGCTTGTAGAAGAGGATTTAGATGTGTTTTGAGTTGCTCCAGAGAGCAAAAATTGGTGGAAGCCACAGTGGGGTTTAATTTCAGCTCAATGTATAAAGAAATTTTCTTTATTTTTTATTTTAATTTCTATTAGAAAATAGAAGTGGGGTCTCCCTATCTTGTCCAGTCTGGTCTGGAACTCCTGGCTTCATGTGATCCTCCCCACTCAGCCTCCCAAAGTGCTGGGATTACAGGAATGAGCCACCACACCCGGACAGGCTTCTCCCCTTGTTGACATCTGTGTGATCCCAAGTTTACTTATCCTCTCTAAGCTTTCTTATAATATATATATATATACACACACACGTGGTTTAAAGGTTTATAGGTGTCTGTCTGAGGATAAAATAGTGACTAGTGACTGGGTTTGATACATGGTAGAAGCTCAATAAATATTTTTTGTTTATTTCCTTTCTCTGAGGAGTCTTCATACTCCACCTGCACCCCAGCTCTCACCTCAGCCCATGCCCACTTTTCCTCCCAGGAAAAGCTGACTTCTAGAAGCAGAACAGGAACCTTTGACATCCTGAACAGCGGACAGCTCTCCTGATAGGGATCAGGCCATTCCTGAAGGTCCCTCCCCAGGGGAGATAACTGATTCCTAAGATGTCCCTTCAAACTTTTCAAGCATCCATTTCCTCATCTGTAGCTTATTAATATTACATCTATCATCTGGGAATGATACTAGTACCTCTCTCGTAGGGTGGTTGTGAGGATTCACTTTGCTAAATGTCCATAAAGCACTTCTTAGTACCGTTTCTGGTATATAGTAAGCACCTAAGAAATGGGAACTGCTATAGAATGACTGCCTTTAAGGTGGAATCTTCCTCTTTCAGAGAACAATACATCAGGGTCCAGCTGCTTTCGATTTAAATTTTCACTGTATTTTATGGGAATATGCCTTGAATCATCACAATTTCCAATAAAAGACTTTATTGAACAATGCTATGAGTTAATTATCTCAAAAATGTGGTTTCTTCCCCCAGCCTGACTAAATGAACTAAACTCACTTGAGTCAGTTTGCAGGTGTTTTTCTGTAATTTTGGGAGTATAGTATTTGTTTTTCAGGTGTTGATGACTCCTTCGCCCTGAAGGGATTGGAGTATTGTATGGCTGTGTGGAACAGTACAAAGAAATGACCACAGGCAACTAGACTGCCTGGCTTCCAGAGATTAGGAACCTTCTGCAATCTTCCACCACCTACAATTCCAAAGAGGAGTTTAGACATTGAGGGAAAAGGTATTTCATTCAAATAATTTGTCAAACTCTTCCTGGAGAAACAAAGTCCCAAGTTACTGGGTCCTAATCAAATATAGTTGGAGAAAGTTACACTCATTTATTCACTGATTCATTGAGCACTCACTCTGGACAAGGTTAGTAATGAAATCCACATGGTAAGTCCTATGGTCCTCTTTCAGTCCTTTCTCAGTTACTCAGCCTAGCTGTAGAATTGGACACGATTGATTTCTCCCTCTTTCTGGAATGCTCTATTCACTTGGCTTCCAGGCCCACTCTTCTCTTGATTCTCCATCTGTCGCATTAGCAACTCAGAAGTGGGTTCTTTGCTAGTTCCCACCTACCCTCCTGACCACTATATTCTGGAGTGAGTGCCCCTAGCTTAGTCTTTGGACTTCTTTTCTTTTTTTTTTTTTTGAGACAGGATTTTACTCTGCTGCCCAGGCTGGAGTGCAGTGGCACGATCATGGCTCACTGCAGCCTCAACCTCCCAGGCTTAAGCAATCCTCTCACCTCAGGCCCTGAGTAGCTGGGACTACAGGCACACACCACCAGGCCTGGCTAATACTTTTTTATTTCTTGTAGAGACAGGTTCTCACTATGTTGCCCAGGCTGGTCTTGAACACCTGGGCTCAAGCAATCCTCCCACCTTGGATTCCCAAACTGTTGGGATTACAGGCATGAGCCACTGCGCCCAGCAGACTTCTTTTCTTCTCAAAGTATACACTCATTCCTTTGGTGACCTCATTCACTCCCATGGTTTTAAATACGATCTATATGTTGACAGCTCCCAAATTTCTATTTCTACTCCTGATTTCCCCAATCCAGACATATAGCATATTCATCTAGCTATTCAAAATCCCCCCTTGGATGTTTCTACAGGCATATCAAGCATAAGTCCAAAACTAACTTCCTGATTCATTACACCTCCACTGCCCTTTTCACAGTCTTCCCCCTCTCCTTAAATTACAACTCCATCCTTCCAATTGCTCAAATCAAGTCTTGGAGTCAGGCTAGGTGCAGTGGCTCATGCTTATAATCCCAGAAATTTGGGAGGCCAAGGCAGAAGGATTGGTTG
The DNA here is from genome assembly GCF_000001405.40 of Homo sapiens. Taxonomy (NCBI): domain Eukaryota; kingdom Metazoa; phylum Chordata; class Mammalia; order Primates; family Hominidae; genus Homo; species Homo sapiens. The sequence goes on along the minus strand of NC_000005.10, from coordinate 76,815,392 downwards.
AGCCTAGGAGTTTGAGATCAGCCTGGGCAATATATTGAGACCCTATTTCTACAAAAAAATTGCCCAGGGGTGGTTGTATGCACCTATAGTCCCAGCTATGCAGGTGGCTGGGCAGAGGGATCACTTAAGCCCAGGAGCTCCAGGCTGCAGTGAGCTGTGATTGTGCCACTGCACTCTAGCCTGAGCAACCAAGTGAGACCCTGTCTCTAAAAAATTAAAATTATTTGGCCAGGCACACTGGCTCACACCTGTAATCCCAGCACTTTGGGAAGCCAAGGCAGGCAGATCACTTGAGGTCAGGAGTTCGAGACCAGCCTGGCCAACATGGTGAAACCCCATCTCTACTAAAAATTAGCCAGACGTGGTGGCACAGGCTTATAATCCCAGCTACTCCGGAGGCTGAGGCAGGACAATCGCTTGAGTCCTGGAGGCGGAGGTTGCAGTGACCAGAGATTGTGCCACTGCACTCCAGCCTGGGCAACAGAGCAAGACTCTGTCTCAAAAAAAAAAAAAATTATAAAATGAAAATTAGGCTGGGTACAGTGGCTCATGCCTGTAATCCTAGCACTTTGGGAGGCCGAGGCAGGCAGATCACCTGAGATCAGGAGTTTGAGACCAGCCTGGCCAACATGGCCAAACCCTGTCTCTACTAAAAATACAAAAGAATTTAGCCATGTGTGGTGTCGGGCACCTGGAATCCCAGCTACTCGGGAGGCTGTTCAATCACTTGAACCTGGGAGGCGGAGGTTGTGGTGAGCCGAGATGGCACCATTGCACTCCAGCCTGGGCAACAAGAGCAACACTCCATTTTTTGCTCCAAGAACAAAAAAAGGAAAAGAAAACAAAAATACTAAAGTGCTTTCCACTTCCCTCTGAGTGAAAACCAAAATCTATCAAAGGTTTACACATCCTGTCCCCTCTTCCCCATCCACACACACACACCACCTCCTTGATGTTATCGCCTGTGATTCATATCATCATCCTGCTCCAGCCATGTATGCCCCCGTCATTCCTTTGCACTCAGTATCCTTTGCCTGGAGTGATTTTCCATCAAGCAGCTCTTGACTCATCTCTTTAAAGTGTTAGTTTACTTAGAATTATAAATCACTGGAGCTGCAGGGGTCCTTATAAGCCAGAGTAGGCCCTTACTCAGCCAGCATCTCTTAGCTTGTTGGCAGTGAGGCTAAGGTGTCTGGATGGTAGGCAAGGAGTGAATTGGTCATAGTGGTCGCTCATCTACACAAAGGCCTTCTAGACCCAAAGAAATAATCGCTCATGATAATCATTTCAGGCATTAGTGGTCAACTATTATCTAGTGTTATGGTTTTTGGGGTTTTCTACTTTGTAGATTTTTTTTTTCATTTGATCAAAAAATGGGAATTTTATTTATTTATTATTTTTATTTTTTGAGACAGAGTCTCGCTCTGTCACCCGGGCTGGAGTGCAGTGGCACAATCTCGGCTCACTGCAACCTCCACCTCCCGGTTCAAGCTATTCTATTGCCTCAGCTGTCTGCCTGAATAGCTGGGACTACAGGCGTGTGCCACCACGCCCTGCTAATTTTTGTATTTTTGGAAGAGACGGCGTTTCACCATGTTGGCCAGTCTGGTCTCGAACTCCTGACCTCATGATCTGCCTACCTCAGCCTCCCAAAGTACTAGGATTACAGGCGTGAGCCACCACGCCCAGGTGAGAAATATTTTTTTTAATTATTATTATTTTTTTTTATTGATCATTCTTGGGTGTTTCTCACAGAGGGGGATTTGGCAGGGTCATAGGACAATAGTGGAGGGAAGGTCAGCAGATAAACAAGTGAACAAAGGTCTCTGGATTTCCTAGGCAGAGGACCCTGCGGCCTTCCTCAGTGTTTGTGTCCCCGGGTACTTGAGATTAGGGAGTGGTGATGACTCTTAACGAGCATGCTGCCTTCAAGCATCTGTTTAACAAAGCACATCTTGCACCACCCTTAATCCATTTAACCCTGAGTGGACACAGCACCTGTTTCAGAGAGCACAGGGTTGGAGGTAAGGTCACAGATCAACAGGATCCCAAGGCAGAAGAATTTTTCTTAGTACAGAACAAAATGAAAAGTCTCCCATGTCTACTTCTTTCCACACAGACACGGCAACCATCCGATTTCTCAATCTTTTCCCCACATTTCCCCCCTTTCTATTCCACAAAACCGCCATTGTCATCATGGCCGGTTCTCAATGAGCTGTTGGGTACACCTCCCAGACGGGGTGGTGGCCGGGCAGAGGGGCTCCTCACTTCCCAGTAGGGGCGGCCGGGCAGAGGCGCCCCTCACCTCCCGGACGAGGCAGCTGGCCGGGCGGGGGGCTGACCCCCCCCACCTCCCTCCCGGACGGGGCGGCTGGCCGGGCAGAGGGGCTCCTCACTTCCCAGTAGGGGCGGCCCGGCAGAGGCGCCCCTCACCCCCCGGGACGAGGGGGCTGGCTGGGCAGGGGGCTGACCCCCCTAACTCCCTCCCGGACGTGGCGGCTGGCCAGGCGGGGGGCTGACCCCCCCACCTCCCTCCCGGACGGGGCGGCTGGCCGGGCAGAGGGGCTCCTCACTTCCCAGTAGGGGTGGCCGGGCAGAGGCGCCCCTCACCTCCCGGACGAGGCGGCTGGCCGGGCGGGGGGCTGACCCCCCCACCTCCCTCCCGGACGGGGCGGCTGGCCGGTCTGACCCCCCCACCTCCCTCCCGGACGGAGCGGCTGGCCGGGTAGAGGGGTTCCTCACTTCCCAGTAGGGGCGGCTGAGCAGAGGCGCCCCTCACCTCCCAGACGGGGCGGCTAGCCGGGCGGGGGGCTGGCCCCCCCACCTTCCTCCCGGACGGGGCGGCTGGCCGGGCAGGGGGCTGATCCCCCCCCACCTCCCTCCCGGACGGGGCGGCTGGCCTGGTGGGGGCTGACCCCCACCTCCCTCCCGGACGGGGTGGCTGCCTGGCGGAGACGCTCCTCACGTCCCAGACGGGGTGACTGCCGGGTGGAAGGGCTCCTCACTTCTGAGACGGGGCGGTTGCCGGGCGGAGGGTCTCCTCCCTTCTCAGACGGGGCGGCTGGGCAGAGACGCTCCTCACCTCCCAGACGGGGTCGCGGCCTGGCAGAGGCGCTCCTCACATCCCAGACAGGGCGGTGGGGCAAAGGCGCTCCCCACATCTCAGAAGAAGGGCGGCCAGGCAGAGATGCTCCTCACTTCCTAGATGGGATGGCGGCCGGGAAGAGGCGCTCCTCACTTCCTAGATGGGATGGCGACCGGGCAGAGACGCTCCTCACTTTCCAGACTGGGCAGCCACGCAGAGGGGCTCCTCACGTCCCAGACGATAGGCGGCCAGGCAGAGACGCTCCTCACTTCCCAGACGGGGTGGCGGCCGGGCAGAGGCTGCACTCTCGGCACTTTGGGAGGCCAAGGCAGGTGGCTGGGAGGTGGAGGTTGTAGCGAGCCGAGATCACGCCACTGCATTCCAGCCTGGGCACCATTGAGCACTGATTGAACCAGACACCGTCTGCAATCCCGGCACCTCCGGAGGCCGAGGCTGGCGGATCACTCGCGGTTAGGAGCTGGAGACTAGCCCGGCCAACACAGCGAAACCCCATCTCCACCAAAAAAATACGAAAACCAGTCAGGCGTGGCGGCGCGTGCCTGCAATGGCAGGCACTCTGCAGGCTGAGGCAGGAGAATCAGGCGGGGAGGTTGCAGTGAGCCGAGATGGCAGCAGTACAGTCCAGCTTCGGCTGGGCATCAGAGGGAGACCCTGGAAAGAGAGGGAGAGGGAGACCGTGGGGAGAGGGAGAGGGGGAGGGGGAGGGGGAGAGGGAGAGGCGAGAAATATTTTTAAGGAAAAGAGTTATGAAGACTTTCAAACTGGGGCTGGAATTGTGGCTGGGTGATGTGTCACTGGGACATGTGTAGACAGAGAGTTAGTCATGACATCATGGGAAATGCAGCCACAATAGCAATCTCACCTTCTGAAAAATGATACTGCTCTAGGGTGCAGAACTGGCACCTCGCCCCTCATGAAGAGTCAGGCGACAGCATATGTGCTAGCGATTACTTAATGAAATAAGTACATGATGGGCTGAGGTGTGGAGAGTAGTCATTATGCCACATGCTAATTAAAGAGATGGGAAAGGTTGATCTGCAGGGGCTGAGATGCCCACATAAGTAGCTGTAGTGGTAGGATTGCACCCTCCTACTCTCCCCATTTTCCCCTTTCTATTTCTTCCACCTACAACTGAGACAGCCAGGTGGAAGAAACTCCAACCAGCCTGCCCAATGAGATGAAGCTTCGAGAAGTTTGCAGCAGGGAGGAGCATGGCCCTTCCTCTTCCTGTGTGGAAACTGGGATTCAAAGGGCTAGGCGGGAAGCTCTGTAGCAGGGACTCTGGCCTTGCGAGAATCCCTGTTTCCCCCTTTTCTTCCTTTTCACCCAATAAAACCCCATCTTACTGACTATTCAAATTGTCTGCGAGCCCGGATTTTCATGGCCATGGAACAAAGAACCTGTCTTTAGCTGAACTAAAGATAAGTCCTGCAACACAACTTCTACCTGATTGATTCCTTTTCTTGTCATAGAAAGGTCATCCTTCCAACCACCAACCTCAGTGACATGCAGGTAGAGTTAAGAATAAATGGGCCGGGCGTGGTGGCTCACGCCTGTAATCCTAGCACTTTGGGAGGCCGAGGCTGGCGTATCACCAGGTTAGGAGTTCAAGGCCAGCCTGACCAACACGATGAAACCTTGTCTCTACTAAAAATACAAAACTTAGCCGGAGTGGCGGCACGCGCCTGTAATCCCAGCTACTCAAGAGGCTGAGGTGGGAAGATCACTTGAGCCCAGGAGCTCAAGGCTGTAGTGAGCTGTGATCACACCACTTTACTCCAGCCTGGGCAACAGAGCGAGACTTTATCCCAACATAAACAAATAATAAAAAATCAGATTGATATTTGCATTCCTTTTTTGTGACTTGGTTTTCCCCACTCAACAACAAAGTGAACATTTCCCCAAATGCTTATTCTTCCATAGCACCATTTTCAATTGCAGCAGAATATTTCATCTTCTCAATAGATTTTAATTTACTCTTGTAAAATATCCAGATTATTTCATGTTTTTATTGTTTTGGTAACACAGAGATAAACATATTGTGACGCATACATTTGTTTCTGCAGTCTCGGACTACTGTACGGTTTGATAATAATCACTGAGAGCTTTTAAAATAAACATAATTTTTTATTAAGCAAATCCACCTATCCCTTGAAATATTTCTTCCTAGTCTGATTAAGTTATTGCTAAATTAAATGAAGAAGAAATAGTCTGAGACTTAGTATCTATTACAGAATTAAAAATATAATGAAAATTAAAAAAAGAAAATGTGCATAAAAGTTCTTTGGAAACCATAAAAGCATGACACAAATGCAGGTGATTATTATTATTGCTGTTACTAACCACAGTGAAGAGCATATTATAATAGCCAATCTTAAATATACCATATTGTTTTTTTTATTTTTTATTTTTTTTGAGACAGGGTCTTGCTCTGTTGCTCAGGCTGGAGTACAGTGGTGTGATCTCAGCTCACTGCAACCTCCACCTCCCAGGTTCAAGCAATTCTTGTGCCTCAGCCTCCCAACTAGCTGGGACCACAGGGGCTTTGTATTTTTAGTAGAGACAGAGTTTCACCATGTTGGCCAGGCTGGTCTTGAACTCCTGACCTCAAGTGATCCACCCGCCCTCCCAAAGTGCTGGGATTACAGGCGTGAGCCACTGCGCCCGGCCAACCATATAGTATTTAAACAAGTCATCTTGTTTAAAGGTCTTCCCTCTGCAACCTGGCAGGACCCTGTTAGGCCATCATCCTCATAAAACATCAGGGTGAGAGAGACAAAGATCAGAGCCACTTCCTAAAAGCCCAGGATCTTAGAGTTTAACACAATGACTCCAGGTACGTGAGACAGATGCACCTACGAAAACCAGGCATGGATGTCAAAGGAGGAATTGAGACCAGTGCATGCTCTCAATCCTGCGTGTGAAAGCTACATGTAGTTAGCATCAAGGACAAGCCTCAGCAAGATTTAGGCAGGGAGGGAAACTAGGGTGAGAACCTGTGACCCAGCAGGGCCAGATCTGTGGATTCCACCAACTGGTTCTGCATCTTGGTTCTCTCACGGATGCTGTTTTCCTTCAGACTTCAGAGTTGCCTCATCCCTCCACCAATTAGAAATGTCTCCTGCCTCTAGAAGGTAGTTGTTGTGATTAGGAGGAAGGGCTTGGGCAGCGTCCGACTGGATTGAATGCTGGCTCTTGTCACTTATGATCCTGATTAAGTTACTTCATTTCTTTGGGTGCCTGTTTTTTCTTTTTTTTTTGTTTTTTGTTTTTGAGACAGAGTCTCACTCTGTCACCCACGCTGGAGTGCAATGGCGTGATCTCGGCTCACTGCAACCTCTGCCTCCTGGGTTCAAGCGATTCTCCTGCCTCAGCCTCCTTAGTAGCCAGGATTACAGGCATGCACCACGACGCCCGGATAATTTTTTTTTCTTTTTTTTAGTAGAGATGGGGTTTCACCATATTGCCCAGGCTGGTCTCGAACTCCTGAGCTCAGGCAATCCACCTGCCTCGGCCTCCCAAAGCGCTAGGATTACAGCCATGAACCACCGCGCCTGGCCCTGTTTTCTCTTATAAAATGGGGATATGTTACCTGCCTTCTAAGAACATTGTGAATATTCAAAAGGCTAACGGGCTATGGGCTCTGCCACTGGGACCCCCTCAAGAGTGCTTAGTACTGATGGGGCTGGTCAGACGCTGTTGTTTGCCTGGAATCCCTGGGGCACCTGAAGGAAAGACAAAGGCCTGTGAGAAGGGGTGGTAAGGAGAGGAAGCAGAGGCAGAGGGGCTTGTAGAACTCAGAGTGTCGGGATATGATAAGAAAGATAACTGAGGGCCACACAGGCCGAGAGAGATGAGTTAAAACAGGTGGGTTCCTGGCAATTTAAGGACAGCTGGTGGGAATGTGGAAGAAGGAGGGTCTGTGAAATCTCTGGGAAGAAGGGTAGGGCAGTAATTCCCAGCTGCTTGGGCCCACAGAAACCAGTTTGGTCCTGCTGTTCAGCTTTTGTAACTGTTCATTAGCATATGAAGGAACTGCCTGCAGAACGCACCCTGGGTCTTTGGAGCTTTGCTGTGTATGCTGGGCCAGGGGTGGGGGCAGGGAGTGAAATGGCTCCAACATCTGCCTGATTTCCTGAATCCAGATCCACCACCAATTCTGGACTCAATAAGAAGGGACTGAATCTCTGTTCCTTTCCCAGCTAAAGCCAAAATTTGTTCTATTTACAATACTTCTCAAGTCCTCAGCTGCTTCTATAATTGGTCTAATACAGAGAGCATAATAATTTTGGAAGGAAAAAATTTTAACAGGTATGGGGAACACAATGAATGGACTAACAACTCTCACTTAATCTTCACTATATCTTATGAAATATAGACAATTCATATCTTCTTGTTAGAAATAACATGATTCAGAAGGGGCTTCAGGAAGCAGATGCCAAACTCTTGACCTTAAGTGGAAGCATTTCTTGCATGTAACGCTAAATGGTTGTGTTATCAGAGCTTCCCTGAATTTTCAGCATACGAAGAAAAATATTAGGTGCTTATTTCTTTGGGGGGAGAATTCAGGCCAATTTTTGACTTTAGAGCCTAATGATGGCAGTCATTCAAGTTTTGGTTCTTGAAAAATTGCAGCCAGGCACTACCTCGTCTGAGAGGTAGAAAGAGGTCGTGGAAGAGTCTGGAGTTGAAAGTGCATACAGTCTCTGTTGTGTTCTGCCAGCTCTAATGCCCAGTCACTTACAACCACATTTCAGCCCAGCTATTCTGAAAGGAAACTCACTTTAGAAATGCAAATGACTCACCAAAGAGTGAGGAATTTTAGTGTCTGACAAGTGAAGTGTGTAGCTTTGAAGACTGGGAGACCTCTGTGTTCTCCCAGGAATACCTCCCAGGGTTGTTGTTGAAGCCAAAGGAGATCAGAACTCTAAATGGGCTTGGTAACGTGGAAGGTACTAAAGGAACTTTTATTTTTATTGCAAAAGTGTTGAGTTTTGAATAGCTCGGGGCCCACTGAACTTAGCCTGTGGAAAAGACAGGTTGTGTAAAGACTCTATTTCATTGGCCAGGATACACAACCTTGGTCTAGAGCTACTCCTATTCTTTTTTTTTTTAATTGTTATTTTTTATTTTTAATAGAGTATAGTGGCATGTTATAGTCCACTGCAGCCTCAAAATCCTGGACTCAAGTGAATCCCCCACCTCAACCTTGAGGTATGCACCACAACACCCAGCTAATGCTTCTATTCTTTTCTTTTCCTTTTTTTTTTTTTTTTTTTTTTTTTTTTTTTTTTTTTTTTTGAGACAGAGCCTTGCTCTATCGCCCAGGCTGAAGTGCAGTGGTGCGATCTCGGCTCACTGCAAGCTCCGCCTCCCGGGTTCACGCCATTCTCCTGCCTCAGCCTCCAGAGTAGCTGGGACTACAGGCGCCCGCCACCACGCCCGGCTAATTTTTTTGTATTTTTAGTAGAGACGGGGTTTCGCCGTGTTAGCCAGGATGATCTCGATCTCCCGACCTCGTGATCCGCCCGCCTCGGCCTCCCAAAGTGCTGGGATTACAGGCTTGAGCCACCGCACCCGGCCTGCTTCTATTCTTAACATCTGATTTTCAGTCTCTACCCCCCATCACTCCCCACCTCTCTGCCCATATTGAGCAGCTCCTTTCTTGGGAGTGGTCCTGTGCTGGATTGAGTTTAGCCAAGGAGACTGCTGCTGCACAGCTCAAAGAAAACCGACCTGCTCACTCCAACAGGAAAGTCCTGGGGGTCAAAGTAAAAGCATCAAAGACTAAGTTAGCGGTGGATGAGCCAAAAGAGGAGGGAGCTATGAAGAGGAGGATGGGAAGAGAAACCAAGATGCAAGATACTACAGAAGTGCGATGCAAATTGCTTATTACTCAGTGCCCAGCAGGCTCCCTAAACAGTCTTCAAAGCTACAGCTGGCTTGTCAGATGCTAAAATCCCTTCTTCCTTGGTGAGTCATATGAGACAAAGTAGCAAATGTTAAGAAGTCATGTTTGCTCATTTCTGCTTGCTTAATTTCTCGAAGCTCCTGACTCTGTGTCTACACACAGCTCTCTGGAAAGATGCTTAGAAGACAAAACAGGACATCTCTTGCCTGAGTCACTATATTCCTTAAAAGATAAATGACCGCAGTGTTTGTCTTTGCCTACACATAAGATAACCTCTGACAAGGTCAGTGATGATGCCTCTGTAATCTATAACCAGTTGTGCTCTTACACCGAAACGTCAATGTGATTCTGCTTGAATGCAACTTCTGAGCAAGTCTCATGTGACTTTGAACATATTGAACCCCCACCGCCTGTATATGGGCCATGGGCTGAGATACTGTGCCCCAGCAGTCTCATAGAACTGCTCCTGGGCTACAGGCCTTGGTCTATAGCCCTCAGTAAGACTTCTGAATAAAACTAACTTTAAATCTTTAAAAGCTTTTGTTGTTTTTTTTTTCCATTGACAGTCATTTCCATCCTCAAAGGGAGTTTTATATCAGAATAACTGAGTTGGACAGAATAACAAAGGCAACTTAGCCACACTGGCTAAGAGCTGGGACTCCTGGGCAAAACTGCTTGGGTTGGAATCTCAACTCCATTGTTTATGAGCTGTGTGACCTTGGGCAAATTTGCCTCTCTGTGCCTCAGTTTTTTTTATCTGTAAATCAGGGTTGATATTAATCATACCTAGTTCTTAGGTTTTTTTTTTTTTTTCTTTATTTTGAGACAGAGTCTTGCTCTGTCACCCAGGCTGGAGTGCAATGGCATAATCTTGGTTAACTGCAACCTCCACCTCCCAGGCTCAAGCGATTCTCCTGCCTCAGCCTCCCAAGTAACTGGGATTACAGGCACATGCCACCGCGCCCAGCTAATTTTTGTATTTTTAGTAGAGATGGGGTTTCACCATGTTGCCCAGGCTGGTCTTGAACTCCTGACCTCAGGTAATCCACCCGCCTCAGCCTCCCAAAGTGCTGGGATTACAGGAGTGAGCCACTGCATCTAGCAGTTCTTAGATTATTATACTAATAACAGGAGTTAATATTTGTAGGGTGCCTAAAACAGGGTCTGGCACACAGTTTCATTAAAGTAGGTTTTTAAAACCTATTATTGTGGCCAGGTGTGGTGGCTCACGCCTGTAATCCCAGCCCTTTGGGAGGCCGAGGTGGGCAGATTAGCTGAGGTCTGGAGTTCGAGACCAGCCTGACCAACATGGAGAAACCCCATCTCTACTAAGAATACAAAATTAGCCGGTCGTGGTGGCACATGCCTGTAGTCCCAGCTACTTGGGAGGCTGAGGCAGGAGGATCGCTTGAACCCGGGAGGCGGAGGTTGCAGTGAGCCAAGATCGGGCCATTGCACTCCAGATTGGGCAATAAGAGTGACAATCCGTCTCAAAAAAAAAAAAAAAGAAACCTTTTACTGTTATTATTTCATTAATGCATCTCCATGACTAGATAAAAGCTCTGAGAGCAGAGGCTCGGTCTGGGTTTGCTTATAATTGCGTATCCAGTGCTTAGCACAGCGTGTGGTAAGTACCCAACTATTTGTCTTATGAACAAATGGACAAAGGGAACCTCCCGAACCATTCCCAGATTCAGACCACAGAAAAGGGTCTGAGCTCCATCCTCACGCCTCCAGGAAGTAAAAAGTCATTCCCACGCATCCAAGAAGTAAAAAGTCACACCTACTAACAGTCGACAATGCTGGAGAAGTAACCCCACCAGCAATGCCGTGACACTGCTCCCATTCTCAGACCCTTGGACTTCTCCTTGTCGTCACCACACAGGATGTGTTCACCACACAGGGGCCCAGCTCTTATTGACTTGGCCGAAGGCTTGGCCTCTGAGTCAGGAGTTTCTGTCCAGTTTCAGGTGTGGGCCAAGTATCGCCTTGTCCTTGGTCTCCCACACTCTTGTGAGAGTGGGCAGAGGGTGTCCCACACTCTTGGGAGAGCTGGTGGGCAGAGGGCCGGCCTCCCCTCTCTGGCCTCCCCAGACACCTGGGAGCTGTCTGCAGAGGCTTGGGGTGAATGTATGTGTAATAAAGAGAGAGCCCTAGCCCAAAGTTTGTTACTATTATAAAGATGTTGGCTTCTCTTCCCAACTGTCAAAGTGAACAGCATCTGCAGGACCCCACTTTGCCCGCTGCAACAGAGGGCTCTAGTTGGAGCCAAAGTAACAACATTCCACGGTTCACTATATCCAAGTTACCTTTGACAAAAAGCCTTCTGCATTGTATGTAGCACCTGGAAGAAATAAATACCAACACTTAGACATTCCATTGATTTTTTTGTTTTGTTTTGTTTTGTTTTGTTTTTTGTTTTTGAGACGGAGTCTCACTCTGCCGCCCAGGCTGGAATGCAGTGGTGCGATCTCGGCTCACTGCAAGCTCCGCCTCCCAGGTTCACACCATTCTCCTGCCTCAGTCTCCCAAGTAGCTGGGACTACAGGCGCCCGCCACCACGCCTGGCTAATTTTTTGTATTTTTAGTAGAGACGGGGTTTCACCATGTTAGCCAGGATGGTCTCGATCTCCTGACTTCGTGATTCACCCACCTCTGCCTCCCAAAGTGCTCAGATTACAGGTGTGAGCCACCACACCCAGCCTGACATTCCATTGATTTTAAGATTTATTCCAGTTTCACCATGTTGACGTTAAAATATGAAAAAGATGCATCTTAAAGTTGATGCAAACAGCAGCATGACAACATACAGACAAAGCAGGAAGGAATGGGAAGCGGTCAGAAGAGAATGTCCACATGTTCCCCCAACAGAGGTGTCCACGATGTACCCTGCCCTCCCTGTTTTGACAATGAGTGAACTGCCAGTGCACCCATCTAAGCCCGCCTCATGCTACATGTGCACCCACTTCCACCCACTCTCAATGACTTCAGGACATCACTCTAGCAAGCCTCACTCCTCTCCTCTGCAGGGTCAATTTCTTCCCCTACTGGTTTTCCATTGTCTATTGCCTAAAACTATGAAATAATGACTTCCTTCTTGATCCCTCTCCCATCCCATTTCTTTTTTCTTTTTTTTTTTTTTAAGACAGGGTCTCACTCTGTCACCCAGGGTGGAGTGCAGTGGCATGATCACGATTCATTGCAGTCTTGATTTCTTGGACTCAAGGAATACTCCTACTTCAGCCTCTGGAGTAGCTGGGACTACAGACATGTGCCACCATGCCCACCTAATTTTTATTTTATTTTTTATTAATTAAAAAAATTTTTTTTAAATAGAGACAGGGTCTCACTATGTTACCCAGGCTGGTCTCAAACTCCTAGGCTCAAGCTATCCTCCTGCCTTGGCCCCCCAAAGTGCTGAGATTACAGGTGTGAGCCACTGCATCCAGTCTAATTTTTAATCTTTCGTAGAGATTGGGGGTCTCACTATGTTGCCCAGGCTCGTCTCAAACTCCTGGACTGAAGCAATCCTCCTGCCTTAGCCTTCTAAAGTGCTGAGATTACAGGTATGACCCACCACACCCAGCCCCAATTCAATTTTTTTTTGTTGAGACGGAGTCTTGCTCTGTTGCCCAGGCTGGAGGGCAATGGCGTGATCTCAGCTCACAGCAACCTCAACCTCCTGGTTCAAGTGATTCTCCTGCCTCAGCCTCCCGAGTAGCTGGGATTACAGGGACCCACCACCATGCCCGGCTAATTTTTGTATTTTTAGTAGAGATGGGGTTTCGCCATGTTTGCCAGGCTGGTCTTGAACTCCTGACCTCATGATCTGCCTGCCTGGACCTCCCAAAGTGCCGGGATTACAGGCGTGAGCCACTGCGCTCAGCCACAAGTTCTCAATATATGGAAGCATCTCACAAGTTCTCAATATATGGAAGCTATTGTTTTATTCTCTTCAGGTCTCTTCAGGTAAAACTTTGATTACATTTGTCACTCATTTCTGGCTAATTTTTTTTTTGTATTTTTAGGAGAGACGAAGTTTCACTATGTTGGCCAGGCTGCTGGTCTTGAACTCCTGACCTCGTGATCTGCCCACCTCAGCCTCCCAAAGTGTTGGGATTACAAAGGCGTGAGCCACCACGCCCGGCCTTTCTTGACTGCACTTTATACAAAACTCCTTAAATGAGATGTCTGCTCTTGCTATCTCCTCATCCCCTCCCATTTTTTTCCCATCAAATGCTGATAGGGACACCAGGCGTCCATCCCCACTACTCTATCTATCATGCCAAATGCAACAGTTAACCTTCAGTGTCTGTCTTGCTCCCCTCTCGGCAGCGGTTGGCTTCTAGAATACTGCTGTCTCTGGACTCTCCTCCTCCCTCCTTGGCTGCTCCTTGTCAATCTATTTTGCAGCCTCCTCCTCCACACACTGGAGAGCCCTGAGGGTCAGATATCTTTTCTACCTGTGACCACTCTCTAGGTGATCTCATCCAGTCCTGTAACTTTAATTACTATCTTTACTATCTTTACTTTGATAACTACTGTCCCCAGTACAATTAGGATATTGTATATCCTAATAGTCATCTCAAACTAATGTGTCCAAAGCCAAGCTTTTGAATTCCATCCTCAAAGAGGTTCTTCTCAAGAAGTCTTCCCGGTCTTAATAACTGGCAGCCATCCCAGCTTGTCTGGCCAAAAGGCTTGGAAGGCATGTCATCCTGACTACTCACTTTCTCTCCCATCCAACCCATCAGCAAATCCTTTTGGCTCTACCTTCAAAATATTTCCGGAACAAGATAAACTTTTGCAATTTCCTCTTGCTCCCACCCTCACCCAAAACACCAGCCTCCCTTTCCCAGTTCTCAATAGCCTCTCAGCTGGTTTCCTTTTGCCCAACCCTGTCTCCTGCATTCCAGCCCTCACAGAGAAGCCTGAGTTATCCTTAAGAAGGTAAACCAGACCTTGGCCCATTTCTGTGCAAACTCTCCAAGGCTCACGTCTAACTCAGAGCAAAAGCCAAAGGTCCCCTGCAGGATTAACTTCCGGCCCTCTGTGCTCCTCTCCTCCCACTCTTCCCTTCCATGCTCTCTCCAGCCACACAGGCCTACTTGTAACTTCTAAAATACATCAAGCACTTTAATTTCTTCTTCTACAAGCCATCTGCTAACTTCTCACCCCTTCAGGTCTTGGCTCCACTGTCACTCCATCAGAGTGGTCTTTTCATTTATTTATTTTTTTTTTATTTTTAAATTTTTGTACAGACAGGGTCTTACTATGTTGCCCAAGCTGGTTTTGAACTCCTGGACTCAAGTGATCCTTTTACCTTGGCCTCCCAAAATGCTGGGATTACAGGTACCACCCATACAGAATATCCCCTCCCCAGCCTCATTCTCTCTCCTTACCCTGCTTTCTTTCCTTTACTTATGTTGTATGTCACTCCCTCACATGCTGTGTATCTATTGGGGTTTTTTGGCTGCCTGTGGCCCCACTTGAATGTAAACTCCATGAAGTCAGGGGTTCTGTTCACAGCTGTATCCTCAGCTCCTTGGCCCCTGCCTGGTCCATGGTAGACACTCCATGAAGATTTACTGGATTACTTCTGATATTAAAAATACTTTATGCAGGAATGTTAGGGGTGTGACCATTTTTCCTGCTCCTTTCAATAACTAGGTCACTAGGAGTTAAAAAGAAAGGCAAAGGCAGCTGGGTGTGATGGCTCACGCCCGTAATCCCAGAACTTTGGGAGGCCAAGGCGGGCAGATCACCTGAGGTCAGGAGTTTGAGACCAGCCTGGCTAACAGGGTGAAACCCCGTTTCTACTAAAAATCCAAAAAATTAGCCGGGGGTGGTGGTGTGTGCCTCTAATCCCAGCTACTCGGGAGGCTGAGGCAGGAGAATCGCTTGAACCCAGGAAGTGGAGGTTGCAGTGAGCCGAGATCGCACCATTGCACTCCAGCTTGGGCAACAAGAGTGAAATTCCGTCTCAAAAAAAAAAAAAAAAGAAAGAAAGGCAAATGCATAAGTGTTTCCTAGAAGTTGTTGCCTGAAACACGGAAAACAGCTGCCTTTTTAATCTTACCAGAGGATCATGTCTAAAGGCATCTATTTGGGGACTGAGTGTGCATGTACAAGGAGTCCAGCGGCGCTTTACCTGGGTCTGCAATGCCCTAGCTGGTCTCTTCTGCCCATGGTCTTCTCATGCTCCCCCACCTACACCAACACTCTCACACTGACCTCCTTGTCCTCTGTGTCTCACTGCTTCTAGGGTCCTGATTGTCAATGGCCAACTTCTCTCTCCCTTCCCCCATCAGCTTTTTCTCTCTTCATCCTCAGCTCTTTCTCTAGACCCTTTAAAAGTCATTTATAAGCCTGCATGGCACATGTCTTTGTTTCCATCTGTGCCTGTCTGCCCCTCCTCACCAAACCTCTTAAGACCATGAAGCATTTGAAGTCAGGGGTTGTGTCTTATTCATCTTTATATCCTTAACCCGTAACACAGTACCTGGCACATTGTAGATGCTCAAAACCTGTTTGCTGAACAACTGAATGAATTCTCTATTGTTGACAAGCTGACTCTCCAGGACAGGCTGAGCTCATTCTTGGCAAAGATGTGCTGCAACATGCCCTCCAACCAGCATGCCCTGCCCCTCATTTCTACACACACAAGACCACCTTCAATAGTTAACTCTTAATTAAACAAGATATTTGGGCTCACTAAGCATTTATTGTCTATTTATAATGTTCTGGTACTGTACCCAGCAGTTGATAAAGATAAGTTGGTGCCTGATTTATTGGTCCAAGGTCCATCAGCTACCATTTCTTCATTAGGCCTCTCTCTTTTTTTTTTTTTTTTTTTTGAGACGGAGTCTGGCTCTGTCGCCCAGGCTGGAGTGCAGTGCAGTGGCGCGATCCCAGCTCACTGCAAGCTCCGCCTCCTGGGTTCACACCATTCTCCTGCCTCAGCCTCCAGAGTAGCTGGGACTACAGGAGTCCTCCACCATGCCCAGCTAATTTTTTGTATTTTTAGTGGAGACGGGGTTTCACCGTGTTAGCCAGGATGTTCTCGATCTCCTGACCTTGTGATCCGCCTGCCTCGGCCTCCCAAAGTGCTGGGATTACAGGCGTGAGCCACCGCGCCCAGCCGCCTAGGCCTCTCTTTATAACTCCAAACAATGCACACCTTCCCCCCATCAGAGGGTGCACAGCACGGAGGACTGGTTTCAGAGAGAGGAAGTAAAGCTCTGTGTGGGGTTAGGACAGTGGTATGTAAGGGCTGGGGTCAGACTGCCTGGTTCAAACCCAGTTTTCCTAATAACTTCCTTCATAAGGTTGTTGGGAAGATTAAATGAGATAATGTGTCCAAAGGACATAGATTATGACAGTGCCTGTAATCCCAGGACTTTGGGAGGATGAGGTAGGAAGATCGCTTGAGGCCAGGTAGGTGGGGGAGCATGAGAAGACAGTACCAACCTGGCCAACATAAGGAGACCCTATCTCTTTAAGTTAAAATTTTTTTTAATGAAAAAAACTTTTAAAAAGAACAACAACAAAAAAAGAAGGACATAAATTATGATCAACAAATGCTAGCTGTTATTATCGTCACAGATTAGGCCTTTGATCCTTTGATATGAGATTCTACTTTATGAAGTATTGTGGTGTATTTTCTTATTAGGTCATATATATAAATGATCTTTTTTTGTTGTTTTTTTAAAGAGACAGGGTTTCACTCTGTTGCTCAGGCTGGAGTGTAGTGGTGTGATTATAGCCCACTGCAACCTCGAACTCCTGGGCTCAAGCGATCCTCCCGCCTCAACCTCCTGAGTAGTTGGGACCAAGTCACATGCCACCACACCCGGCTGATTTTTTAAAAAAATTTTTGTAGAGACAGGGCCTTGCTATGTTGCTCTTGCTGGTCTCAAACTCCTGGACTCACCAAATCCTCCCGCCTCAGCCTCCCAAAGCTCTGGGATTACAAGCTTCAGCTGCTCCACCTGGCCATAAATTGTCTCTTAAATGACAGTTCAATTAACTAGAAGGCATGGATCATGAGCAAATAGTAGGCTTAGAATGAACAGGGAGGAATTGGGCTGGGCGCGGTGGCTCACGCCTGTAATCCCAGCACTTTGGGAGGCCGAGGCGGGCGGATCACGAGGTCAGGAGATCAAGAACATCCTGGCTAACACAGTGAAACCCCGTCTCTACTAAAAATACAAAAAATTAGCCGGGCGTGGTGGCGGGCGCCTGTAGTCCCAGCTACTCTGGAGGCTGAGGCAGGAGAATGGCGTGAACCTGGGAGGCGGAGCTTGCAGTGAGCCGAGATCACGCCGCTGCACTCCAGCCTGGGGGACAGAGCCAGACTCCATCTCAAAAAAAAAAAAAAAAAGAATGAACAGGGAGGAATTGAGTTGAACCAACTATATTAGTTAATCCATAATTTCTGAGACTGTATCTTTATTTTTATTTATTTACTTTTAAATTCTTTTTTGAGACAGAGTCTCGCTCTTTTCTGGAGTGCAATGGTGTGATCTCGGCTCACTGCAACCTCCACCTCCCGGGTTCAAGCGATTCTCTTGCCTCAGTCTCATGAGTAGCTGGGATTACAGGAGCCTGCCACCATGCCTGGCTAATTTTTTTGTGTTTTTAGTAGAGACAGGGTTTTACCATGTTGGCCAGGCTGGTCTCGAACTGCTGACCTCAGGTGATCTGCCTGCCTCGGCCTCCCAAAGTGCTGGGATTACAGGCGTGAGCCACTGTGCCTGGCCATGAGACTGTATCTTATTTTGCTATTTGGCAGATGTTTTTCTCAGAAGAAGATTAGAGAAGAGGACCAGCCATTTCATATATGATTCCATATATGTAAGTCATCATGTCTGATGGGGGATTTTACTGGGCGTGGGAGTGTATAGAAACCCTTTGTCCCAAGGCTGCCATCCTTTTTCATAATCAGCTGGAATGATTAATTGAAAACAGCGCTACATAGAACATATGTCTACGTAAAACCCTGGCTCTGGTAGTCAATGCTGCCTCTGCTTTTCTCTAGCTGTACATTGGGTAAGTTATTTAACCTCTGTTTCCTTATTTGAGGGTAAAGATAATGATAACAGTCCTACCTCATAGGGCTATCATGAAAATTTAATAAGTGCCTAGCACACAGTTAAGGGCACAATATGCGGTTGCTTTTTTTTTTTTTTTGAGACGAAGTTTTGTTCACTCTTGTTGCCCAGGCTGGAGTGCAATGGTGCAATCTCGGCTCACTCCAACCTTCACCTCCAGGGTTCAAGTGATTCTCCTGCCTCAGCCTCCCGAGTAGCTGGGACTATAGGCGCCCGCCACCACTGCCAGCTAATTTTTGTATTTTTAGTAGAGACGGGGTTTCACCATGTTGGCTAGGCTGGTCTGGAACTTCTGACCTCAGATGATCCACCTGCCTCGGCCTCCCAAAGTGCTGGGATTACAGGTATGAGCCACCACGCCCGACCTGTGGTTGCTATTTTTATAATGACTTCTTTATACGTTTGCTGCAGCTCTGAGGCAGGTCTTTGAGTTGTACCACTAGTGGGTCGGTTTGGCTTTCTAGGCCAAAGAAGGAATTCTTTTGAGTGTCATATAGTTATGAAAGTACAGGCTGTGTGTGGTGGTTCACACCCATAGTCCCAGCACTTTGGGAGGCCAAGGCAGGAGGATTGCTTGAGCCGAGGAGCTCAAGACCAGCCTGGGCAAAATAGCAAGACCCCATATCTTAAAAAACAAAACAAAAGTACAGAAGCTTGCTCCTGCCTTGCCCAGAAGCCTCCTTTGACCTGAGAAAGTAACCAAGCATCTCCATCCACTACTCCACTGGGAGCAGCTGGGACACGAGAACATGCTTGCTGTTATTTTATTTGCATTTCTCCAATTAATCTGGCACCAGAATTGGAATTTTAGAGTTGCAAGAGATCTTGGAGCAGGGTCTCTGAGAGATGATAAAAGTACAGGTTTTAGAGTCAGACTGAAGCTAGGTTGAAAACCTGGCACTGAACTTTACCAGTGGGGTGACCTTGAGGCAAATGACTTAGACCTTCTAGCCTTTTACTTCCAAGTGGGCCAGGCCTCACCCCAGACCTCCTGAATCAGGATCTGAATTTTAACAAGATCCACCAGTGATGCATAGATACTTTAAAGTTTAAGAAGCTATCATCTAACCCTCAGTCTTCTTGTTGGTAAAATTGGGTGAGCAGTGGCCTAGCTTGGTGGCTCACGCCTGTAATCCCAGCACTTTGGGAGGCTGAGGTGGGCGGATCATGAGGTCAGGAGTTCAAGACCAGCCTGGCCAACATGGTGAAACTAAAAATATAAAAATACAAAAAGTACAAAAATTAGCCAGGCATGGTGGCAGTCGCCTATAATCCTAGCTACTCGGGAGTCTGAGGCAGGAGAATCACTTGAATCGGGGGGGCCCGGAGGTTGCAGTGAGCCGAGATCGCACCACTGCACTGCAGCCTGGGCAACAGAGCAAGACTCCATCTGAAAAAAAAAAAAAAAAGAAAAAGAAAAACCAGACAGGGTCTTGCTCTGTCACTCAGGCTGGAGTGCATGGGCATGATCATAGCTCACTGCAGTCTCAACCTCCTAGGCTCAAGTGATCCTCCCACCTCAGCCTCCCAAATAGCTGGTACTACAGGTGTATACCACCACACCTGGCTAATTAAAAAAATTTTTTTGCCGGGTGCCGTGGCTTACGCCTGTAATCCCAGCACTTTGGGAGGTTGAGATAGATCGCCTGAGGTCAGGAAGTGGAGACCAGCCTGACCAACATGGAGAAACTCTGTCTCTACTAGAAATACAAAAATTAGCCAGGCGTGGTGGAACATGCCTGTAATCCCAGCTACTCGGGAGGCTGAGGCAGGAGAATCACTTGAACCTGGGAGGCAGAGGTTGTGGTGAACCGAGATCGCGCCATTGCACTCCAGCCTGGGCAACAAGAGCAAAACTCCATCTAAAAAAAAAAAAAAAATTTTTTTTTTAGAGACAGGGTCTTGCTATGTTACTCAGGCTGGTCTCAAACTCCTGGGCTCAAGCAATCCTTCTGCCTCAGCCTCCAAAGGACTGGTGTTGGCCCGTGAAATGTGAGTAAAATTTACAGCATGCTAGTTTTAAGTGAAGACCTTAAAAGGCTTCCTGTTTTTCTGCTCACACCTTTGCATTCCTGTGGTCTTCCATGAGAAAAAATATCTCCCAGAAGCTACTGATCTGAGAAAAATGAGAAAACACGTGCAGCAGACCTAACCCAACTCATAGCCTGAACCCAGGCCCAGCCAAGCCCAGCGGGGCACTCAGAGACCCAGTGGAGCCATGGGCCCATGAAGGAGAAAATAAATGTTTGTTGTTGTAAACTGCCAAGATTTTGAATTTGGTTAGGCAGCACAAACTATTTCACTCTGAGTGATGAAATCATCCGAATCATCATCATCTCTGAATGATGAAATAGTTGATTTTTATTTCCTTCCCTATTATTTTCCGTATTTTCCAAGTATATTTGAATGAGTTTGTATTATTTTAAAGAAAAAAGATAAGCCGGGTGCTGTGGCTCATGGCTGTAATCCCAGCACTTTGGGAGGCTGAAGCCTGCGGATTGCTTGCGGTTGGGAGTTCAAGACCAGCCTGGCCAACATAGTGAAACCCTGTCTCTACTAAAAATACAAAAATTAGCCGGGCATGGTGGTGGGCACCTGTAATCCCAGCTACTTGGGAGGCTGAGGCAGGAGAATCATTTGAACCTGGGAAGTGGAGGTTTCAGTGAGCTGAGATCGCATCACTGCACTCCAACCTGGGCGACAGAGACTCCGTGGAAGGAAGGGAGGGAGGGAGGAAAGGAAGGAAGCAAGGAAGGGAGGGAGACAGGGAGGGAGGGATAAAGATAAATAAAAAAGAAGAAAGATACATAAAAAAGGAGGGCCTTCACTATTATGATACAAGATCAAACTCACCTGAACTTACAAAAAGAATGTAAGGCTGGGTGCCATTGCTCATGCCTATAATCCCAGCACTTTGGGAGGCCAAGGTAGGAGGATTGCTTGAGCCCAGGAGTTTGGGACCAGCCCAATCAACATAGTGAGACCCCCATCTCTACAAAAAATAGAAAAAATTAATCCCAGCTACTTGGCAGGCTGAGGTGGGAGGATCACTTGAACCCAGGAAGTTGAGGCTGCAGTGAGTCGTGGTTGTACCACTGCACTCCAGCCTGGCCAACAGAGTGAGACTCTGTCTCAAAAAAAAAAAAAAAAAAAGGAATTTATAAGATTGTTAAAACAACTTTGAATGGTGGCTCACACTTGTAATCCCAGCACTTTGGGAGGCCGAGGCAGGCAGATCACAAGGTCAGGAGATCAAGACCATCCTGGCTAACATGGTGAAAACCCATCTCTATTAAAAATACAAAAAATTAGCTGGGCATGGTGGCAAGCACCTGTAGTCCCAGCTACTTGGGAGGCTGAGAGAGGAGAATCGCTTGAATCCCGGAGGCGGAGGTTGCAGTGAGCCAAGATCGTGCCACTGCACTCCAGCCTGGGTGACAGAGTGAGACTCCGTCTCAAAAAAAATAAAAAATAAAAACAACTTTGAAAACACAAGTATGCTAATTTACATGTATTTTCTCTCATTTCCCTCTCTCTGCACAGTTAACAATGAAGTCAGCATTCACATTTCTATGGCTTTGAATATATGTCTAGTGTTTTGAAAGAGCAGCTATTTCTAAGATTGTGTTTTAGGATCTGATAATATTGTCAGAGGCAGTTAAACCAGAGCAACTCCATCTTGAATAGGGGCTGGGTAAAATGAGGCTGAAAACTGGGCTGCATTCCCAGATGGTTAAGGCATTCTAAGTCACAGGATGAGATATGAGGTCGGCACAAGATACAGGTCATAAAGACCTTGCTGATAAAACAGGTTGCAGTAAAGAAGCCGAAACCAGCCAGGCGCGGTGGCTCATGCCTGTAATCCCAGCACTTTGGGAGGCCAAGGAGAGCAGATTACCTGAGGCTGGGAGTTCGAGAGCAGCCTGGCCAACATGGAGAAACTCTGTCTCTACTAAAAATACAAAATTAGCCGGGCGTGGTGGCACATGCCTGTATTCCCAGCTACTCGGGAGGCTGAGGCAGGAGAATCGCTTGAACCTGGGAGGCGGAGGTTGTAGTGAGCCGGGATCACACCATTGCACTCCAGCCTGGGCAACAAGAGTGAAACAACATCTCAAAAAAAAAAAAAAAAAAAAAAAAAAGAAGCCAAAACCCACCAAAAATCAAGATGGCCACGAGAGTGACCTCTGGTCATCCTCACTGCTATGCTCCCACCAGTGCTGTGACAGCTTACAAATGCCATGCCAACATCAGGAAGTTACCCTACATGGTCTAAAAAGGAGAGGCATGAATAATCCACCCCTTGTTTAGCATATCATCAAGAAATAACCAGTCCAGTTACAGTGGCTCACACCTGTAATCTCAGCACTTTGGGAGGTCGAGACAGGCAGATCACCTGAGGTCGGGAGTTCAAGACCAGCCTGGCCAACATAGTGAAACCCCATCTCTACTAAAAAAAATACAAATATTAGCTGGGCATGGTGATGGGCGCTTGTAATCCCAGCTACTTGGGAGGCTGAGGCAGGAGAAATGCTTGAACTCGGGACGCGGAGGTTGCAGTGAGCCGAGACCGGGCCATTGCACTCTAGCCTGGGCAACAAGAGTGAAACTCCATCTTAAAAAAAAAAAAAAAAAAAAAGATAAGAAGAAAAAAAACATAAAAATTGGCAACCAGCAGCCCTCGGGGCTGCTCTGTCTATGGAGTAGCCATTCTTTTTTCCTTTACTTTCCTAATAAACTTGCTTTCACTTTACTCTATGGACTCAATCTGAATTCTTTCTTGCGCAAACTCCAAGAACCCCCTCTTGGGGTCTGGATCGGGACCCCTTTCCTGTAACAATATCACACAGAAAGGCAAGCTCAGGAGCCTGGAAGACTTTACTCAGATTGAAAGAATTAACACAGACTGAATTCTCTCTCAAGGGGTGATCCTCTAAGAATTCTTTCCTTTCCTATCATCTTTGGTCAGAATAATTTTTTGCTTAATTGATTTTTCTTATTCATTATGGAACATAGTGGGGTGAGAATAGAATCAAGGAAGCAGGAAGGGAACCATCCAAGGAAGAGATGAAGGAAGCAGACGGGGAAGGGAAGAAGACAGATGGGAATGAAGAAAATGGGCCGGAAAGAGGAAACTGATAAGGAGAAGTGGGGAAAAGAGGCAGTAGATAAACCAGGAGGGCTTGGGCCTTGGCCTAGAGAACTGGTGAAAGAGGCTTTTGTTGCTGTTGTGAAACGGGCCCCATTCAAGTCTTCCCTGCTCCCTGAAGCATCTCCAGCCCACTCTGGTGTTTACATCTTCTGAGTTCTGAATTCTGGTCCAGATCTCTTCCCTGAGCTCCACCCTCATCAATCTGATCTCCACCTTGGTGTCTAGTAGATATCTCCAATGCGTCTGACCTTCCCCAACCCTATGTAAGCTCTATGAGGCAGAGATTTGGTGTTGGTTTGTTCACTGCTGTATCCCAGAAGCATGCTTGGCACCAAGCAGACATTCAATAACTATTAGTTGAGTGGATGAATTAATAAACTCCTGTAGCAGCAACAGGCAAGAGTACACAATATGCTTTTACTGCATTGGAATGCTGATGTTTCCTGCTTGTTTAATTTTCCCAGCAGAACTGCAAAAACCCTTTAAGATCAGGGATGCTGTGCTTTTATATTCCTGTTGGCGTTTAGCACACAGCTGTGCCCATTGGTGATTTGTTGACTGATTAAACAGCAAGTCCCACCAACAGTACAAGCTCATGGCTAAAGCCACCTTTCTCAAAGAGTAGGAATCACATGCTAACTCAAGAAAAAAAATATGTTAATTCATATCCACAAACTTCTAAGCACTTCAGCTTGGGCCTTGTGTCATCTTAGTGGTATAATAGTTTTCCTATGTTTGATTCTTGTCCTCTTTAATAGAGTACGTCTCATTTACACATCTGGATTTTAAGCAGAGTTTTTGAGTCTTACTCTCCTCCTATCAGGCCTTCAGTGGCTCACCAGCACGATGTGAGCACACATGAGAAGCTCAGCCCACTCCTGCCTGTAGGCTTCTGACTTTGATTAAAGATAGAGGCCATGCAGTGCTGGAAGCCCCTTGCATACTATGATACAAATCCTTCAAATCCCTGCTAGGCTGAAAGATGGGGTTCTGATTTGCTGCTAGTGACATCACCCTTCTGGTAACCTTCCTCTCCAGATGTGCCTCTGCTCTGTTTATCTTAGAGCCTCATTTCACAGCAGCAAGAAGACACAACAGGAAGCCAATGTCTGAAGCTGTTCCCATCCATGCCAGTTTCTCATAGCCTGTCTTTGACACAAGAGCAGCTCAGAGTCAATTATGTTGGATTCATTCACTAGGAACTTTTTCCCACCAGAGTCCTTGTTGTGGGTGGAGCAGTCTTTTGTTCTAGCTGGTTTGCTGTCTCTGTGGAATTGCTATCAGAATGGCTGTTTGCTATTGGAATGACTAAGAGCTGCATCATTGCTACGTTAGGAAGCAATTATCTGAAAACAAATTCATTTTCTGAGTCATCTAGCCGATTTAGCCTGTGCCACTCTTTCCCCCTTCCACCCCCTAACATTTCACCAGTTAAACAACTAAAATGTCCTCCTATTCATACCTCCTGCTCTATTTGTCAGGAGATTATATATCTGGTTTAGATGGATCAACAGAGTTATTACTTTTCCCTGTGTTACTCAGTCTGTCCTATTCTAATCCTAGATTTATTTTCGAAAGACACATGGTTTTCTGGATTATTTTATCTGGCTTTCACTCCTTTGTGTGCTAGGTGACTAACATTGCACTCATGAGCTCAGCATCCTTGCTTCCTTCTTTCTGCCTTGTTTTAAAGGTATAATATTTTCACATCTTCTTCATATTGCGTATTTGTTTCCTGTGACTGCAGTAACAAATTACCATAAACTAGATAGTTTAAAACAACAGAAATATATTCTCTCACTGTTCTGGAAGCCAGAAGTCTGAAATCTGTATCACTGGTGGAAGCGAGCTGTCAGCAGGGCTGTGGGCCTTTGGAAGGCTCTAGGGAGAATCTGCTTCTTGTCCCTTCCGGCTCCTGGTGGCTGCTGGCTCTCCTTGACATGTGGCCGTATTATTCTAATTTCTGCCTTGGTGGCCACGTTGCCTCCTCTCTTGCTGTGCGTCTAATCTCCCTTTGCCTGGCTTGTGCAAGGACACTTGTGATGGTCCACCCAGATAATCCAGGATAATCTCCCCATGGCAAGATCCTTAAATTAGTCACATACACAAAGCCCGTTTTTCCTTATACAGCAACATTTACAAGTGCTAGGGATTAGGGACTGCTATCTCTGGATGACCATTATTCAGCCAACCACACTTTCAATTCCCTGCTCTCCACAATGCACAGAATATTTTGTATGTAGATTAAAAAGTTGGTGAGGAAGATAAGGGAAGAAAGAGCAAAAGAAAGGAAATAGAGGATAGTCAAAGAGGATTTTTTTGTAATCCTAGCGCTTTGGGAGGCCCAGGAGGGTGGATTTCCTGAGCTCAGGTGTCCGAGACCAACCTGGGCAACCCAGTGAAACCTCATCTCTACTAAAAGACAAAAAAATAGCCAGATGTGACGGCGTGCGCCTGTAGTCCCAGCTACTCGGGAAGCTGAGGCAGGAGAATTGCTTGAACCCAGGAGGCGGAGGTTGCAGTGAGCTGAGATTGTGCCACTGCACACTGTCAGGCTTCTGAGCCCAAGCCTGCAAGTATACATCCAGATGGCCTGAAGCAACTGAAGAATCACAAAAGAAGTGAAAATGGCCGGTTCCCGCCTTGACTGATGACATTACCTTGTGACATTCCTTTTCCTGGACAATAAGTCTCCAGAGCTCCCCACCGAGCACCTTGTGACCCCCGCCCCTGCCAGCAAGAGAACAACCCCCTTTGACTGTAATTTTCCACTACCTACTCAAATCCTATAAAACTGCCCCACTGCTAACTCCCTTTGCTGACTCTCTTTTCGGACTCAGCCCACCTGCACCCAGGTGATTAAAAAGCTTTATTGCTCACACAAAGCCTGTTTGGTGGTCTCTTCACATGGATGCACATGACACACACCAGCCTGGGTGACAGAACTAGACTCTGTCTAAAAAAAGGCCAAGCGCTGTGGCTCATGCCTGTAATCCCAGCACTTTGGGAGGCCGAGGCGGGTGGATCATGAGGTCAGGAGATCGAGACCATCCTGGCTAACACAGTGAAACACCATCTCTACTAAAAATACAAAAAAACTTAGCCGGGTGTGGTGGCGGGCGCCTGTAGTCCCAGCTACTCGGGAGGCTGAGGCAGGAGAATGGCACGAACCCCTGAGGCAGAGCTTGCAGTGAGCCGAGATTGCACCACTGCACTCCAGCCTGGGTGACAGAGAGAGACTCCTTCTCAAAAAAAAAAAAAAAAGAGTGGCCGAGATCGCACCCCTGCACTCCAGCCTGGGTGACAGAGAGAGACTCCTTCTCAAAAAAAAAAAAAAAAAGAGTGTTTTGTTTTTTTTTTGGCTGTGATTTCCTTTTGGCAATAGAGTGGCCCTCCTGGCATGGGCTCCTGCTTCCTGCTTCCTGCTTCCTGGGGAAATATGAGCTTGCAGGAGGTACCCTACTCTGGCAGCCGAAGGACGCACAGACATTCTTTTCCCCTTCTCCTTGGTAGTTGGGGCACTGGCATATGATACCGGCTACACCAATCAGACATTCCTACCCAGGATTTTTGACTTTTGAGGGCATTAGTACCTGCATGTCAGGAGAATGACAGATTGTTTCCAGGGTGGCAGGGTCAAGAGTCCAGGAGCAGCAAGGGCCCGTGTCTGGCGGCTGTGGCAGTGGCACTTGCCTCCTACTCTGACTGTTGCAGTGGCAAGACCTGTCCGAGTTCTTTCTCTGCTTTTTGGTCTCCCCAGGTTCCTGCTCACTCCCCTACCCTTGTTCTCCCACATATCTGCATATTCAGTGACCTGCTGAGTACCCAGCCAGGACATTCCAAATTATTTATTATTATTATTATTTTACGTATTTATTTATTTTGAGATGGAGTTTCGCTCTTGTTGCCCAGGCTGGAGTACAATGGTGCGATCTTGGCTCACTGCAACCTCCGCCTCCCAGGTTCAAATGATTCTTCTGCCTCAGCCTCCCGAGTAGCTGGGATTACAGGCATGTGCCACCAAGTTTGGCTAATTTTGTATTTTTGGTAGAGATGGGATTTCTCCATGTTGGTCAGGCTGGTCTTGAACTCCCGACCTCAGGTGATCTGCCCTCTAAGGCATCCCAAAGTGCTGTGATTACAGGCGTGAGCTACTGGGCCAGACCTATTATTATTATTTGGAGGCAGGGACTCACTCTGTTGCCCAGGCTGGAGTGCAGGGGCATGATCTCGGCTCACTGAAATCTCTGCCTCTTGGGCTCAAGTGATCCTCCCACCTCAGCCTCCCAAGTAGCTGAGACTATAGGCACACACCACTATGCCCCGCTAATTCTTATTTTTTTTGTAGAGATGAGGTTTTGTCATGTTGCCTAGGCTGGTCTTGAACTCCTCGGCTCAAGTCATCTGCCTGTCTCGACCTCCCAAAGTGCTGAGATTACAGGTGTGAGCCACTGCACCTGGCTTATCCCAAATTTTTAGTTTAGTAGGCAGTTAACTTGGCTGAACTCAAATTCTGAATTTTGCCTCCCCCGTGGTGAGTGAACAGCTGAAGCCTCTGTTATTTTAGCCTTATCTGAACTGCTTGGAGTCTACCCTGTGCATGCATAGTTGGAGATCTGCCAGATACTTGGGTAGCCTCCCCCTGCAGCTGGGAACCAGAGTTGTCAGGTGTGCTGTCCTGAGCCAATATATACACATATACAAATGAATTGGCTCATGTAGTTATGGAGGTTGAGAAATCCCAAGATCTGCAGTTGCCAAGCTGGAGACCCAGGGGAACAAATGATGTAAATTCCAGTCCAAGTCCAAGCCCAAAGGCAGAAGCCTAATGTTCCCAGCGCAAAAACAGTCAGCCAGAGAGAACAAATGTTGTTATATTCAGCCTTTTTGTTGTATTCAGGCCTTCAACGATTGAATGAGGCCCACAGACATGGGGGAGGGCAATTTGCTTAACTCAGTCAACCTATAGAAATGTTCATTTCATCCAGAAACACCCTCAGCGTTACACTCAGAATAATGTTTAACCAAATATCTGAGCATCCCGTGGTCCAGTCAAGTTGACACATAAAATGCACAGATAAAATCCAGACTTTTTTTTTTTCTTTTGAGACGGAGTCTCACTCTGTTGCCCAGGCTAGAGTGCAGTGGTGCGATCTTGGCTCACTGCAAGCTCTGCCTCCTGGGTTCATGCCATTCTCCTGCCTCAGCCTCCCAAGTAGCTGGGACTACAGGCACCAACCACCACGCCCGGCTAATTTTTTGTATTTTTAGTAGAGACGGGGTTTCATCGTGTTAGCCAGGATTGTCTCGATCTCCTGACCTCGTGATCCAACCGCCTCGGCCTCCCAAAGTGCTGGGATTACAGGCGTGAGCCACTGCACCCGGCCTTTTTTTTTTTTTTTTTTTTTTTTTTTTGAGATGAAGTTTCGCTCTTGTTGCCCAGGCTGGAGTGCAATGGCGCGATCTTGGCTCACTGCAACCTCCGCCTCCTAGGTTCAAGCGATTCTCCTGCCTCAGCCTCCCGAGTAGCTGGGATTACAGGCACCCGCCACCATGCCCGGCTAATTTTTGTATTTTTAGTAGAGACGGAGTTTCACCACGTTGGCCAGGCTGGTCTCGAACTCCTGACCTCAGGTGATCCGCCTGCTTCGGCCTCCCAAAGTGCTGGGATTATAGGCGTGAGCCACCACACCCGGCTAAAATCCAGACTTTTATGGCAGATGGAAAGGCAAGGGAAGCTGGTTAAAATGAAGATTCTTCGGATCCACCGGTCACCTGCTGAATCTTTGCCCCAAGAAATCTGTGTTTTTAACAAGTTTCTCAGGCCAGGTGCGATGGCTCATGCCTGTAATCCCAGCACTTTGGGAGGCTGAGGCAGGTGGATCACCTGAGGTCAGGAGTTCGAGACCAACCTAGTCAACATGACAAAACCGTGTCTTTACTAAAAATACAAAAACTAGCCAGGCTTGGTGGTGGGCACCTGTAATCCCAGCTACTCGGAAGGCTGAGGCAGGAGAATCGCTTGAACCCAGGAGGCAGAGGTTGCAGTGAGCTGAGACTGTGCCACTGCACTGCAGCCTGGCGACAGAGCGAGACTCTGTCTCAAAAAAAAAGGAGCGTCTCAAAGATTTCTGATTTACATTATAATAGAACTGCTGCTTGAGATTCTGGAAAGATTCATTAATTTCATAATATATGGACTTAACACTCAATCTGAAGGATGTTAGAATAACAAGAATAATCATGGGAAATGGTCGAGGTCTTTCTCCTGATGGTATACGGGCCATTTTCAAGTGGGATGGGAGTAGTTAATGTGTGATCTATGTGTTGATCTCATACAGGGCAGAAACCAATTTGAGCAAGTAATGCCCCAGGGCACACCCCCTTACTCACCCACACCTCAAAATAATTTTACCAACTGTTTGTTCAAAGTCCAAGTGACAAAGGGCAGTGCTGGTTGTCATTGTTCTTGGGTGAGTCATACTATACTGCTTTCTAATTCTTCTTCCTCCTCAAACCTGCTTTCTTCCCATCTTCTAGGGGTTGAGGATTGTTTTTTTTTTAATCACACTCCACAAATGTGAACCTTCTTCTTTTTTTTTTTTTTTTGAGACGGAGTCTTGCTCTGTCGCCCAGGTTGAAGTGCAGTGGCGTGATCTCTGCTCACTGCAAGCTCCGCTTCCCGGGTTCACGCCATTCTTCTGCCTCAGCCTCCCAAGTAGCTGGGACTACAGGCACCTGCCACCACGCCCGGCTAGTTTTTTGTATTTTTAGTAGAGATGGGGTTTCACCGTGTTAGCCAGAACGGTCTCGTTGTCCTGACCTCGTGATCCGCCCGCCTCGGCCTCCCAAAGTGCGGGGATTACAGGCTTGAGCCACCACACCTGGCTGAACCTCTTTTTTCTATCACACTACCAGGATCTCTCTTTCTCCTAACTGTGCATGTGTGTGTTTGCACACGTGTGTGTATGTGTGTTTCTAAATTTTGGACATTCTTTATGAAGTTCTATATGATGTAATTATTTTTTTGTGTGTATGCACATGAGGCTAGGTTTTAAAATACATACATTTATTTAATTTTTAAAATATATGTAAAATTATTGAAGTATCACATACCTACAAAAAGTGTACATGTCAGCCAGGTGCAGTGTCTCATGCCTTTAATCCCAGAACTTTGAAAGGCTGAAGCATGTGGATCACTTGAGGTCAGGAGTTCAAGACCAGCCTGGCCAACATGGCAAAACCCCGTCTCTACTAAAACTACAAAAATTTGCCAGGCATGGTGGTGCACGCCTGTAGTCCCAGCTACTCAAGAGTCTGAGGCACCAGAATCGCTTGAATCCGCAAAGCAGAGTTTGCGGTGAGCCAAGACTATGCCACTGCACTGCAGCCTGGATGATAGAGTGAGACTCTGTCTCAAGAAAAAAAAAAAGTGTACATATGATAAGTTTGCAGTTTCATGAATTTTTATAAAATTCATATCCATAGAACCAGAATTCAAATCAAGAATCAGAATGCTACCAGAATCCTGGAAGACTCCCTCGTGCTGTCTTCCAGTCACGAATTCCCACCAGGGTAATGTGAGCCAAAAATGAAATTATAAGCTCCTCCCCCAAATGACTAAACAGACCCCTTCCTCTCCACCAAGGGGATTTCAAACCCGGGTATGAGGGTCTCATATGCCTCATTATACTCTCCTCCCTTTGGAATTCAGGCACAGCTGACCAGCATTAACATTAAAACAGAGATCTTATGACTGACAAAGCAGATTCTTTGTAGCAATAAAATACCAAATTCCAACCTGATTCTAGTATAGCATCACACGACAGATAGCAGATCCTGAAAGGAATAAAAATCTTTTGCCCCAGAATATATTCCTTTGACATATTTTTATTTATTATTTTCCTTTTATGTCAGACAGGTAATGTGCCAACATCCTAACAAGGTTCGAGGGTGGCACATCTGACACACGCATGTGAACGCCCGATCATTATGCTCTTGAACTACAAAAGGATCGACTTTGACGTATTTTTAAATGGCTCTGCAAAACTGTATCTCGTGGGAGAAATTTACTTTCTATAGAGAATCCCCTTCCCTTTCCAAGTCTTTTTCCGATCCTGAAGAGACTGGCTGAGAGACCAGCACCTTTTAAAGTTCTAAATAGAAAACATTTGCCATCTCTTGCCTCTAAGGGTGGCCACCTAGGAGACTTTATCTACATAATAAGAACCTTGAAGTCTCCACAAGTCCTTATCTTAACCCAAACCCTCCTTTCTATTGATTCCAGGTCTCTAGGTAATAACTCTTTCAACCAATTGCCAATCAGAAAATCTTTGAACCTACCTGTCACCTAGAAGCACAGTTCCCGACTTGAGTTGTGCTGCCTTTCTAGATTGAACCAATGTATGCCTCACATGTATTGATTGATGTCTTATGTTTCCCTAAAACATACAAAACTAAGCTGTAACTGAACCACCTCGGACACATTTCTCAGGACCTCTTGAGAGTGTCTCTTGGGCCATGGTCACTCATATTCGGCTCAGAGTAAACCTCTTTAAATATTTTACAGAGTTTGACTCTTTTCGTCAACAGTAACAACTGTTCTAACTTCTAGAATAATAGATTAGTTTTTAGCTGGCACAGCAGCTCACACCTGTAATCCCAGCATTTGGGGAGGTTGAGGTAGAAGGACTCCCTGAGCCCAGGAGTTTGAGACCAGCCTGGGCAACACAGTGAGATCTCATCTCCACAAAAAATTAAATAAATTAGTAGGGTGTGGTTGTGTGTGACTGTAGTCCCAGCTACTTGGGAGGCTGAGGCAGGAGGATCACTTGAGCCCAGGAATGCAAGGCTGCAGTGAGCTAAGATCACACCATTGCACTCCAGCCTGGGTGATAGAGTGGGACCCTGTCTCACTCAAGAACTTTAAAACTGGATTAGTTTTGTCTATTTTTATTTTTTATCTTTATTTTTGAGAGATGGGGTCTCGCTCTGTCACCCAGGCTGGAGTGCAGCAGCGTGACCTCAGCTCACTGCACCCTCCACCTCCCAGGTTCAAGCCATTCTCCTGCCTCAGCCTTCTGAGTAGCTGGATTACAGGCATCTGCCACCATGCCTGGCTAACATGGTGAGACAGGGTTTCACCACGTTGGCCAGGCTAATCTCGAACTCCCACCCTCACGTGATCCACCTGCCTCAGCCTCCCAAAGCGTTGGGATTACAGGCATGAGCCACCACGCCCGGCCCAATTTTGTCTATTGTTAAAGTTTTGACCTTTACATTACACAAGTAGAATCGTAAACTACGTACTCTTTTTTTGTCTGGCTTCTTTTGGTCCTCACATTGTGAGATTCATTCCGGTTGTGGTTTATAGTTGTAGCTTATTCATTCTCATTGCTGTATAACCTTTCATTATGTGGAAATACCATCATTTTTTTTTACCAGGACCCTGAACCCAGGCCACCATTGTGAAAAGAGAAAGCACAGCTACATGGTTACAAGGTCAGTCTCCCAAGGAAATGACTAACCAGTTTGCTGGGCTGTCTTGAACAGCAGGCATATAGGGGTCCTAGGTCCACATTCTATCCTAAGGTACTCCTCATCTTGACAGAACAATACAGAAAGATACACAAAGCACACCAGATTCACTACAGTTTAAGATTAGCCTCAGTAATCCTTTTTTCCATTAATCAAAACTTTACAGAGGAGATAAACAGTGATTTTTGTTTTTGTTTTTTATTGTTGTTTGTTTTTTGAGCTGGAGTCTCGCTCTGCTGCCCAGGCTGGAGTGCAATGGCATGATCTTGGTTCACTGCAACCTCTGCCTCCCGGGTTCAAGCGATTCTCCTGCCTCATCCTCCCGAGTAGCTGGGACTACAGGCACTTGCCACCATGCCCGGCTAATTTTTTGTATTTTTAGTAGAGACAGGGTTTCACCGTGTTGCCCAGGCTGGTGTCGAACTCCTGAACTCAGGCGATCTGCCCGCCTCGGCCTCCCAAAGTGCTGGATTACAGGTGTGAGCCACTACGCCTGGGATAAACAGTGATTTTTAGCATTCATTTAACCCGTTTGCGGGGGGAGAGAGAGAGAGAGAGAGAGAGAGAAAGAGCGCATTGCCTGAGGCAGGGTGGGAAAAGTGAAGAGCTCAGGGAGACCAGAGTAAGACCCGCCCATTACTCAAAAGTTCAGATGGCTGCTTGCCTGTCAAGAAGGAATCTTTTCCAGCAGTCCTGTCAGCTCTCAAGTTTCCCCTTTTAGGAAAGAAAAAGCTCCCCATGTCCCACAATCCTGTACATGCCAATCCTGACACCCACAGTCATCAGCAAAGAGTGCAAAGCAGATTATTCCATAGAGAGTAGCAGTTAACATCCTGTAGTGCCAAACCCATATTTAGCCGAAAGGGACTTTACTGAGAGGGGCCTCTAACCCTCCTAAGTTGGGCCTTGAACCCAATGTTGGTCAAGTGTCCTTGCCTCTTATTGAGAGGAGCCTTTAACCCTCTTTGTCTTAGGAGAGACTCTAACTCCTCTAAGTTGGGCCTCTCACCCAATCCCATTTTTCACCCAGGTACCCCACCAATTTATCCAAAGTCAACCAATCTCTTTCCTTTGAGTGAGGGGATTTCTTCAGTATCATCCCTTCAGGGTTTGCCAGAAAGATGTCACCGGACCCTACCACTTACCCAAAGTTAGCCTTTGGGTCAGGGGTTTACCGCACTATAGTCCCTTCTGTGGTTGCCAAAAAGATGTTACAAGAAGGGGGGGTCCTGATCCATACCCCAAGAGCGGGTTCTTGGATTTTGCACAAGAAAGAATTCAGAGCAGGTCCCTAGAGAAAAGTGAAAGCAAGTTTATTAGCAAAGTAGAGTAACCAAAGAATGGCTACTCCACAGACAGAGCGGCCCCAAGGGCTGCTGGTTGCCCATTTTTATGGTTATTTCTTGATGATATGCTAAACAAGGGGTGGATTATTCATGCCTCCCCTTTTTTAGACCCTATAGGGTAACTTCCTGACGTTGCCATGGCATTTGTAAACTGTCATGGTGCTAATGGGAGTGTAGCAGTAAGGACGATCATCACCATCTTGGTTTTGGTGGGTTTTGGCCGGCTTCCTTACTGCAACCTGTTTTATCAGCAAAGTCTTTATGACCTGTATCTTGTGCTGGTCTCCTATCTCATCCTGTGACTTAGAATGCCTAACTGGGAATGCAGCCCAGTAGGACTCAGCCTTATTTTACCCAGCCCCTACTGAAGATGGAGTTGCTCTAGTTCAAAGGCCTCTAACAATCATAGATCACTGGAACTTCAAACTCCTGGCCTCAGGTGATCCTTCCGTGGTGGCCTCCCAAAGCACTGGGATTACGAGTGTAGGCCGTCATGACCAGCCCTATCCATATCTTTTTTTTTTTTTTTTTTTGAAACAGAGTTTCACTCTGTTGCCCAGGCTGGAGTGTAGTGGCACAATCTCAGCTCAATGCAGCCTCAACCTCCTGGGTTCAAGCAATTCCCCCACCTCATTCTCCAGAGTAGCTGGGACTATAGTCACTATAGTCACCTGCTACCATGCCCAGCTAATTTTTTTTTTTTTTTTTTTAGATGGAGTCTCGCTCTGTCACCAGGCTAGAGTACAATGGTGCCATCTCAGCTCACTGCAACATCCGACGCCCTGGTTCAAGGGATTCTCCTGCTTCAACCTGCCAAGTAGCTGGGATTACAGGCACACACCACCATGCCCAGCTAATTTTTGTATTTTTAGTAGAGACGGGGTTTCACCATGTTGGCCAGGATGGTCTCGATCTCCTGACCTTGTGATCTGCCTTCCTTGGCCTCCCAAAGTGCTGGGATTACAGGCGTGACCCACTGCACCCAGCCATGCCCAGCTAATTTATTATTTTTTGTAGATACGGGATCTCCCTGTGTTGCCCAGGCTGGTCTTTAACTCCTGGGCTCAAGTAGTCCTCCTGCCTCGGCCTCCCAAAGTGCTGGGATTACAATGAGCAACCACACCTGGTCCCATATTTTTGTTTGTTGTTTTTGAGAGAGGATCTTACTTCATCACCCTGGTTGGAGTGTCGTGATGTGATCATGGCTCAGTGTAGCCTCAACCTCCCTGGCTCAAGTGATTCTCCTGCCTCAGCCTCCTGAGTAGCTGGGACTACAGGTGCACACTACCATGCCCAGCTAACTTATGCATTTTTTGTAGAGTCAGAGTTTTGCTGTGTTGCCCAAGCTGGTCTCCAACTCCTGAGCTCAAGCGATCCACCTGCCTCAGCCTCCAAAAGTGTTAGGATTACAGGCATAAGCCACTGAGCCCAGCCCCCATCCTATTTTTAATGGACATTTGAGTGTCCAATGTTTGGCTCTTGCAAACAGTGTGAAGCATAGTTTTTATACTGAGTCCTGGTTTTAAGAGGGAGTGTTAAGTATTCAAGTTAAAAAAAAAAACAACAAAGACTGCTTGTGGCAAATAATAGAAACAAATGAACATTCCACAGATACCTTTGTTCACCCTAAAAATGGCTCCCAGGGTTGGAAGCCCATATGGGAAAGAGGAAAAAAGAAAGAGAGCCCAGAGCCGAGAGTGATTTACAGTTCAGTCTGCCGCCCCTGTTTGCTTCTCCAAGGCAACCCATTGCCCCTCCTTCTAATTTGGCCTAAATCAGTAGCTTTTCAAAACACCTGCTGGTTATCCAAACTGGCCCGTTTAAGGGCTCTGTGATGGATTCATTGTTATGCGGTCAACCAACCAAGATGGGGGAACCCGGGAGGCAGAGCTTGCAGTGAGCCGAAATCGCGCCACTGCACTCCAGCCTGGGCGACAGAGCGAGACTCTGTCTCAAAATAAATAAATAAATAAATAAATAAATAAATAAATAAATAAATAAATAAACGAACCACATCTTCAACTTCAGGGGTTTTGTTTTGCTTGTTTTGTTTTTCTTTAGTAGGCTACATTGTAACATGACCTTACCTCTCCATTGCATTTGCAATATGATGCTGATTGCCTTATTTTCTGACTTCCTCCATTTAGAGTAGTTTTTCTCTGGCTAAAATGTTACTACCCTCTTCTATGACTTCCTCATTTTTGTTTTTGTTTTGCTTTCTATTTTGTCTATGGGTGTACAATCAATGATATTTATATGGCCTGGATAACAGAGGTGGGAACTCATGTGCTGATATCCCTTAGAAACTAGGAGTTTTCAATAGTTAAACAATTCAAGAGTAATTACTTACTTTTTTTTTTTTAGATGAATTTTGCTCTTGCTGCGCAGACTGGAGTTCAATGGTGCGATATTGGTTCACTGCAACCTCCACCTCCTGGGTTCAAGTGATTCTCCTGCCTCAGCCTCCCAAGTAGCTGGGATTACAGGAATGCGCCACCAGGCCTGACTAATTTTGTATTTTAGTAGAGACAGGGTTTCATTATGTTGGTCAGGCCGGTCTCGGACTCCTGACCTCAAGTGATCCTCCCGCCTCAGCCTCCCAAAGTACTGGGATTACAGGCGTGAGCCACCACGCCCAGCCTGAGTAATTACTTTTTAATGATATGTAGTTATGAATGTGCATATATGCTCACAATATATTAAGTGCAAATTACAGAACTGCATTGTATGCTCTATTTCTGATATATATATATATATATATATATATATATTTTTTTTTTTTTTTTGAAATTAATTTATTATTTTTTTCAGACAGAGTCTTGCTCTGTCGCCCAGGCTGGAGTGGAATGGTGCAATCTCAGCTCACTGCAACCTCCACCTCCCGGACTCAAGCAATCCTCCCACCTCAGCCTCCTGAGTGGCTGGGATTACAGATGCCTGCCACCATGACTGACTAATTTTTGTATTTTTAGTAGAGATGGAGTTTCACCACGTTGGCCAGGCTGGTCTCAAACTCCTGACCTCAAGTGATCCATCTGCCTTGGCCTCCCAAAGTGCTGGGATTACAGGCGTGAGCCA
Source organism: Homo sapiens (assembly GCF_000001405.40). Classification (NCBI taxonomy): domain Eukaryota; kingdom Metazoa; phylum Chordata; class Mammalia; order Primates; family Hominidae; genus Homo; species Homo sapiens. Next base: position 76,778,149 of record NC_000005.10, on the reverse strand, counting down.
CTGGGCCCAGCCGAAAGTAAGTTTTAACTGAACTTGGAAGTATCTGATCTTTATCTGAAAGGACTGTTAACCATGGCACCAAGGACAACCTTACTGATTCTTTTTGCAATTCGAGTTCTAATAAATTTAAAACATAATTTCTCTGTACACTGTGTAATATTCATTTTTGTTCTCTTCAGTTTGCCTGACACAATTTGGGCCCAATACACTTTTGGTAAATGAGTAATATGAATAAATGGAATGGAGATCTCACAGTGTGAGAATCTCAGCCAACTACAGTAATGGGAAGGGGGCTGGTTTACAAGGTTGATAAAGAGATGCATTTTTATTTGTCAGCATCCAGAGGTCCATATGGACAGGGTTTGCCTTCTACCTGCTGCTAGGAATACTAGCCTAGTCTCTGTGATTTTAAAAATAACCCAAGAGGCGGCCGGGTGTCGTGACTCACGCCTGTAATCTCAGCACTTTGGGAGGCCAAGGTGGATGGATCACAAGGTCAGGAGATCGAGATGATCCTGGCTAAGACAGTGAAACCCTGTCTCTACTAAAAATACAAAAAATTAGCTGGGTCTGCTGGCGTGCACCTGTAATCCCAGCTATTTGGGAGGTTGAGGCAGGAGAATCGCTTGAACCTGGGAGGCAGAGGTTGCAGTAAGCTAAGATTGTCCCACTGCACTCCAGCCTGGGCAACAGAGCGAGACTCTGTCTCAAAAATAAATAAGTAAATAAAAATAAAAAACGCAAGAGGCTATGTTTTAGGTACATAAAGATATTAGAATTTTCATATTTTTTCAGACCTGTGCTCTATCCTACACAGCATTCAAATCCAGCAGGATTTATATGCCTGATTCTAAAAGTCGATCTCAAAGCTTACGAATCAACCCCCATCCTAGTTAACCCATTATGGCTTTATCATCCCTGAACTTATCTAACATCCTACTCCTTTTTTTTTTTTTTTTTTTTTTGAAACAGTGTTTCACTGTCATACCCCAGGCTGGAGTGCAATGGCACAATATCGGCTCACTGCAACCTCCACATCCCGGGTTCAAGCAATTCTCCTGCCTCAGCCTCCCGAGTAGCTGGGATTACAGGCACGCGCCTCCACGCCCGGCTAATTTTTGTATTTTTAGTAGAGATGGGGTTTCACCATGATGGCAGGGCTGGTCTTGAACTCCTGACCTCAAGTGATCCGCCCACCTCGGCCTCCCAACGTGCTAGGATTATAGGCATGAGCCACTGCGCCTGGCCCTAATATCCTACTCTTATATTTATGTTTGTTCTAGAAACAATTTTGGGTGAAATTTTATGTTTACTAAAGATAGACAAAAATCACCCATAACCCGGCTACCCCATCTCAGGGGGTGTATAGCCATCACTGACCTTTGAATTTGTCGTGAAAGCCTGGAAAGATGTCAATGGTACCTAAAAGACATACGATGGAAGATTTTTTTTTTAACTTAGAAAGGCTCAACTTAAAGCTTATATTGGAAAAAGTAAATTATTCTTAATTCAGAGCACAAACCAGTCAAATCTGCCAATCATCAACAGATGGCATCTTTCACACATTGTACATGCCACAGTCTAAAACAAAATTTGCAAATTGACTATAAGAGTAAAAATTTGAGCCCACACACTGCTTTTTATTTTTTCACTCATTGTATATAAGATGAGTTTTAAGTATATTCTGGTTACTAGTTTAGGTCCAGTGGATACAGCAATGAACACAACCACTATCAAAGCTTTTATGTAAACTGATGTTTTGGGCAACACAGACAATAAAAAAGATAAGTGAAATTTTAGTGCATTAAATTGTATTAAGAGCGAAGAAGAGAAAACAACGCAGGTAAGTGGTAGATTAAATTTTAGCCTGTGGCCAGGAAGTGTCACTAAGATATCTTTGTGGCCGGACAAGGTGGCTCACACCTGTAATCCCAACATGTGGGGAGGTTGAGGCGGGAGGATCTCCTGTCCAGGATTTTGAAACCAGCCTGAGCAACATGGGCAGATTCCACCTGTACAAAAAATAAAAACATTAGCCAGGCATGGTGGCCGGTGCCTGCAGTCCCAGCTACTTCGGAGGCTGAGGTGGGAAGATCTGCTTGAGCCTAGGAGTTCAAGGCTGCAGTGAGCTGTGATCCTGCCACTGCCCTCCAGCCTGGGTGACAGAGTAAGACTCTGTCTCACAAAAAAAGAAGGAAAAAAAAAAAAGAAGTCTCTTGAAGAGAGGTAGGAAGGCAGTGAGGGAGCCAGCAATGCAGACTCTAATGAGAAGGGCATCTTGGGCCCAGGGAAGTGGGTGTGAAGAGGCCAGAGTATGCAGATGATTGAAAAGGTCAGTGTGGCTGGTGCTGGGAGAAGGAGGGATTGGAGGAGGAGATGAGGACAGAGAAGAGGGGTGGTGAAGATTAAACGTGGCCTTGTAGGTCATCGTAGGGCTTTGGCTTTCGCTCTGAATGAGAGTTAAAGCCATTTGACAGTTGGTTGCAGATATTATGACATTTTATCCCTAAAAACTTCAGCATGCATCTCTTAAAATAAGGACACTCTATGTAGATATTCATTAGTAGAAGTTTGCTTTTTAAAAATTATTATCATTGGCCGAGAGCTGTGGCTCATGCCTGTAATCCCAGCACTTTCGGAGGCCGAGGCGATTGGATCACTTGAGGTAAGGAGTTTGAGACCAGCCTGGCCAACATGGCGAAACCCTGTCTCTACTAAAAATACAAAAATTAGCCAGGTGTGGTGGTGTGGGCCTGTAATCCCAGCTACTTGGGAGGCTGAGACAAAATTGCTTGAACCCAGGAGGTGGAGGTTGCAGTGAGCTGAGATCGTGCCACTGCACTCCAGCCTGGGCAACAGGGCAAGACTCCATCTCAAAAAAACAAAACAAAACAAAATTATCATTATTTATTTAGAGATAGAGTCTCACTCTGATCCAGGCTGATATACAGTGGTACAATCATCACTCACTGCAGCCTCGGCCTCTAGGCTCTAGTAATCCTCCCACCTCAGCCTCCTACGTAGCTGGGACCAGACACCTGCCACCACACCTGGTTAATTTTTTTTTTAACTTTTTGTAGAGACGGTGCCTCACTGTGTTGTCTGTCTCGAACTTCTGCACTTAAGTGACCCTCCTGCCTCAGCTCCCATACAGGTGTCGGTCCCAGGCTTGAAAATTACTTAATATTCCCAAATCATCTAATATCCATCTTACGTTCAAATTTCCCAAATTGTTATGTAAATAATTTTGGAAATCATATCTATTGATTAAAGAACGTAAATAAATACACGTGCCTGACACTGCCTTCATGCAGTCTTTCCAAGTGCAGATTTCTTTTTTAACTTCACCCTGGAACGTAGCTCAGGAAGGTGATGCAGTTTGCCTAGTGGACAGTAGGGGGCGCCACAAGCCCGTTATGCTATTTGCCAGCATTGGTGACTTCCGTAGTGGAGGAGTGGGTGCCCAGGGTTCTGGGTAATTTTCACAGTGTCACACAAGACCTGTGATTTCAGGGTGCGCTCAGAACCCCACAATGTCACCATTTCTGTAAAGGAGGTCATAAAGACTTCAAAGCAGAATTGAATTTTATTCTGTTAAAAGCCAGCTCAAGCCATGCAGTACTTTTTGGGGTGATTTTCAAAACTGTGCTGTGAAATCAAATTAACAAAAAGCTATAATTCACTGAACTAACCACTTAAAGGAAATGACCGTAATCATTTCTCAAAAGCAAACTGAGAAATGCTTGGGAAATTTGTTTTCTTTAAAATTTTACTTTTTACTTTTTTTTTTTTTTTTTTTTTTTTTTTTTTTGAGACGGAGTCTCGCTCTGTCGCCCAGGCTGGAGTGCAGTGGCGCGATCTCAGCTAACTGCAAGCTCCGCCTCCCGGGTTCACGCCATTCTCCTGCCTCAGCCTCCCAAGTAGCTGGGACTACAGGCGCCCACCACCACGCCCGGCTAATTTTTTGTATTTTTAGTAGAGACGGGGTTTCACCGTGTTAGCCAGGATGGTCTCAGTCTCCTGACCTCGTGATCCACCCGCCTCGGCCTCCCAAAGTGCTGGGATTACAGGCGTGAACACCGCGCCCAGCTTAGGCATTACCTTTCTTTCTTTTTCTTTTTTTTTTTGAGATGGAGTTTAGCTCTTGTTGCCCAGGCTGGTATGCAATGGCGTGATCTCGGCTCACCGCAACTTCCGCCTCCCGGGTTCAAGCAACTCTCCTGCCTCAGCATCCCGAGTAGCTGGGATTACAGGCATGCGCCACCACGCCCTGCTGATTTTGTATTTTTAGTAGAGACGGGGTTTCTCCATTTTGGTAGGGCTGGTCTCAAACTCCCAACCTCAGGTGATCCGCCCGCCTCAGCTTCCCAAAGTGCTGCGATTACAGGTGTGAGCCACTGCGCCAGGCGGCATTACCTTTCTTAATGAAAGAAACATGCTTTTGCCACCACATTCTTCCAGATTGGTTTTTTGTTTTTGTTTTTTCAGTTCCTTACTTGCTTTATATATTGCCTGGAATCCAGTATATTTCTTCTTGCAAGTAAGTATTCCTGCAGCCCACAGACATTCGTTTGTGTTTTTCTTTCTTTCTTTTTTTTTTTTTTTTTTTTTTGAGACGGAGTTTTTCTCTTGTTGCCCAGGCTGGAGAGGCTGGAGTGCAGTGGCGCAATTTCGGCTCACTGCAACCTCTGCCTCCCGGGTTCAAGCGATTCTCCTGCCTCAGCCTCCTGAGTAGCTGGAATTACAGGCGCCCGCCACCATGCCCAGCTAATTTTTTGTATTTTTAGTAGAGATGGGGTTTCACCATGTTGGCTAGGCTGGTCTTGAACTCCTGATCTCAGGTGATCCATCCGCCTCGGCCTCCCAAAGTGCTGGGATTACACACATGAGCCACCACACCCGGCCCTCGTTTGTGTTTTTCATTCCTTTTTTTTTTTTTTTTTTTTTTTTTTTTTGAGATTGAGTCTCATTCTGTCGCCCAGGCTGGAGTGCAGTGGCACGATCTTGGGTCACTGCAACCTCTGCCTCCCAGGTTCAAGCACTCCTCCTGCCTCAGCCTCCCCAGTAGCTGGGACTACAAACACACACCACCATGCCCAGCTAATTTTTGTATTTTTGGAAGAGACAGGGTTTCACTATGTTGGCCAGGCTGGTCTCGAACTGCACCTCATGATCTGCCCGCCTCGGCCTCCCAAAGTGCTGGGTTTACAGGCGTGAGCCACGCAACTGGCCTGTTTGTTTTTTTGAGATGGGGTCTCTGTTGTCCAGGCTGGACTTGGCTCACTGCAGCCCCAACTTCCCGAGTTCATGTGATCCTCCCACTTCAGCCTCCCTAGCAGCTGGCACTACAGGTGTGCGCCACCAACCTGGCTAATTTTTTTGTATTTTTGGTAGAGATGGGGTTTCACCATGTTGCCCAGTCTTGTCTCGAACTCCTGGGCTCAAGCGATCTGCCTGCCTTAGTCTCCCAAAGTGCTGGGATTATAGGCGTGAGCCACCAAGCCCGGCCTGACATCTGACATTTGTTATAATTTGTATAGCTCTCAACCTGGCTTGTTTCTTCATTGCCTCATATTTTTCTTTCTCAATTTCCTCCCCCACTCCACTCCCCGCTCCTTTTTTTTTTATTGAAGTGCATCCTCAAGGAACTTCATTAAGAAAGAGTATGTAGTAAGTAAACGTGCTGAATCCTGGCAGTTTGAAAATGTCATTATCTGCCTTTACTTTTGATACCTGGTTTAGATGATAAGGAATTCTAGGTCCTAAAAAATTATCCACAGCATTTTGAAAATCTCGGTGTTTAGCATCCTATTTTCAGTCCCTTTCTCTGTTTTCCTCTCCTCTCATGCAGACTCCAGTCCACACCCTGTCTGGGCGGAGAAGTCTCACTCCTCCAGAGTCTGCTCCCACACATAACCCCCTACTCCACTCCCTCTGTCTACAATTCATGTTCTCTTTTCATCTCCCAGAAATGTGTTGAAATCTCTCAACTGCTGATGCCCAAATCATGCCTCATCATCTTTGTGACTATGGATTTATACTCTTTTAAATTCTTTATCGCTTCATTAGTATCTTAAGAAGAATGACAAACCTACATGCTAAGTTTACCTTCTTGAATTGGAATCTGTTTTATATAAATATAGGTTGTTGGGGTTTTTTTTTGCCTTTTTATTTGTTTTCATAAATACAAGTACTGTGTTTAACTCTGTTTTGCTAAATACACACAAACTATTGCTACCATGTTTACATAGCAGTTTTGCAAAGTTAACTAGGTTCTTTGAATATTTGGAGTTACAGTACTGACATATTAACTGGTGGTTAAAGGTGAAAAAGAGGAATATAAAGGGGCTATACTTACTGTAAGTTAGAGGCTACAGCCCAAATTATTTTTGAGAGCAAGCATTTATTAATCCACAGCTTCCTGGAGCTGTACTCTGTATAGAAAAATTAGTATTCCTATTCCTAACAAGTTTCCAAGAGCAGGACAGATACAAGCATTTATACCAGCAAGTAGAGAGCAACCCCAGTCAGAAATAAATAATGTCAATTAGCAAAGTCATTATGATTCACAGCCCCTTTTTCTTTTTTTTTTAATATCATTTCAACTTTTACTTTAGATTTAGGGAGTACGTGTGCAGGTTTGTTCCAAGGGTATAGTGCATGATGCTGAGGTCTGGAGTACAATTGATCCCCTCATGCAGTTAGTGAGCGTAGTACCCAATAGTGTTTGTTGTTGTTGTTGTTGTTGTTGTTGTTTTTGAGACAGAGTCTCACTCTGTCACCCACGCTGGAGTTCAGTGGCACAATCTCGGCTCACTGCAACCTCCGCCTCCTGGGCTTAAGCGATTCTCTTGCCTCAGCCTCCCAAGCAGCTGGGCCTAAGGCACGCGCCACGGTGCCCGGCTAATTTTTGTATTTTCAGTAGACAAGGGGTTTCCCCATGTTGGCCAGGCTGGTCTCAAACTCCTGACCTCAGATGATCCGCCTGCCTAGGCCTCCCAAAGTGTTGGGATCACAGGCGTGAGCCACTGCGCCCAGCCTCAGTAGTTCGTTTTTTCACCCTTCTCTCTCCCTACCTCCTCCCACCCAGTAGTTCCCAGCGTCTATTGTTCCTATCTTTATGTCCTTGTGTACCCAATGTTTAGCTCACACTTATAAGTGAGAGCATGTGTTACTTGGTTTTCTGTTCCTGTATTAATTCGCTTAGGATAATAACCTTCAGCTTCCTCCATGTTGCTGCAAAGGACATGATCTCATTCTTTCTTATGGCTGCATAGTATATGTGTATATAAAAAAGAATAAGATCATATATGTACCACATATACACAATACTATATGTGTATTTGTACCACATTTTCATTATCCAGTGCACGGTTGATGGGCACCTAGGTTGAGTCCATGTTTTTGCTACTGTGAATCATGGTGTGATGAACATACGAGTGCATGTGTCTTTACGGAAGAATGATTTATTTTCTTCTGGATGTATACCCAGTAATGGGATTGCTGGGTTGAATGGTAGTTCTAAGTTCTTTGAGAAATCTCCAAACTTTTTTCCATAGTGACAACTAATTTACATCCCCACTAATAGTGTATAAGCATTCTCTTTTCTCCATAGCCTTGCAAGCATCTGTTATTTTAGGATTTTTTTTTTTTTTTTTTTTTTAAGACAGAGTCTTGCTTTTGTGGCCTAGGCTGGAGGTGCAATGGTGTGATCTCAGCTCACCACAACCTCCACCTCCCAGGTTCAAGCAATTCTCCTGCCTCAGCCTCCAGTGTAGCTGGGATCACAGGCATGTGCCACCACACCCGGCTAATTTTGTATTTTTAGTAAAGACGGGTTTTCCATGTTGGTCAGGCTGGTCTTGAACTCCTGACCTCAGGTGATCCACCCGCCTCTGCCTCCCAAAGTGTTGGGATTACAGGTGTGAGCCACTGTGCACGGCCATTTTATGACTTTTTAATAATAGCCATTCTGACTGGGGTGAGATAGTATCTCATTGCACTTTTTATTTGCATTTCTCTGATTATTCGTAATATTGAGCATTATTTTTTCATGTTTGTTGGCTGCTTGTATATCTTCTTTTGAGAAATGTCTATTCATGTCCTTTGCCCACTTTTTTTTTTTTTTTCTGTGACGGAGTCTCGCTTTGTCGCCCAGGCTGGAGTGCAGTGGCGCGATCTTGGCTCACTGCAACCTATGCCTCCTGGTTTATGCCATTCTACTGCCTCAGCCTCCTGAGTAGCTGGGATTACAGGTGCCCACCACCACCACACCCAGCTAATTTTTTGTATTTTTAGTACAGACGGGGTTTCAGCGTGTTAGCCAGGATGGTCTCGATCTCCTGACCTCATGATCTGCCCGCCTCGGCCTCCCAAAGTGCTAGGATTACAGGCGTGAGCCACCGTGCCCAGCCTTCTTTTTTTTTTTTGAGATGGAGTCTCACTCACTCTGTTGCCCAGGCTGGAGTGCAGTGTGTGATCTTGGCTGACTACAACCTCCACCTCCCATACCTCCACCTCCCGTGTTCAAGCGATTCTCCCGCCTCAGCCTCCCCAGTAGCTCAGATTACAGGTATGCACCACCATGCCCTGCTAACTTTTGTATTTTTAGTAGAGACAGTGTCTTGCCATGTTGGCCAGGCTGGTCTCAAACTCCTGGCCTCAAGTGATCCGCCTGCCTAGGCCTCCCAAAGTGCTGGGATCACAGGCATGTGCCACAGTGCCCAGTCCTTTGCCCACTTTTTTTTTTGAGACAGACTTTCGCTCTTGTTACCCAGGCTGGAGTGCAATGGAGTGATCTTGGCTCACCACAACCTCTGCCTCATGAGTTCAAGTGATTCTCCTGCCTCAGCCTCCCGAGTAGCTGGGACTACAGGCATGTGCCACCATGCCCTTGCCCACTTTTAAATGGGGTTGGCTTATTGAATTGTTTAAGTTCCTTATAGATTGTATTTTTGTTTTTTTGAAACAGGGTCCTGCTCTGTCACCCAGGCTGGGGAGCAGTGGCACGATCATAGCTTACTGCAGCCTCAAACTGAGCTCAAGCGATCTTGCTGCCTCAGCCTCCCAACTAGCTGGGACTACAGGCATGTGCCACCACGCTTGGCTCCTTATAGATTTTGGATATTAGACCTTTGTCAGATGCACGGTTTGCAAATATTTTCTCACATTCTGTAAGTTGCCTGTTTACTCTGTTGATAGTTTCTTTTGCTGTGTAGAAGCACTTTAGTTTAATTAGGCTTCGCTTGTTAATTTTTGTTGCCATTGCTTGAGGACTTAGTCAAAAATTCTTCCCCAAGGCCAATGTCCAGAATGGTGTTTCCTAGGTTTTCTTCTGGGATTCCTATAGTTTAAGGTCTTACATTTAGATTTTTCATCTATCATTAATTTTTGTGTGTAATGAAAGGTAAGGGTCTAATTTCATTCTGCATGTTGCTAGCCAGCTATCCTAGCACTGTTTATTGAATAGGGAGTCTTTCCTCATTACTTGTTTTTATTGACTCTGTTGAAGATCAGATGGCTGTAGATGTGTGGCTTTATTTCTGGGATATCTATTCTGTTCCACTGGTCTGCATATACTGTTTCTGTACCAGTACCGTGCTGTTTTGGTTACTGTATCCTTATAGTATATGATGTCAGGTAATGCAATGCCTCCAGCTTTGTTCTCTTTGCTTAGGATATTGCTTTAGCTATTCAGGCTCTTTTTTGATTCCATATGAATTTTACAATAGTTTTTTTCTAATTCTGTGAAAAATGATGTTGGTAGTTTGATAGGAATAACGTTGAAACTGTAGATTGCTTTGGGCAGTATGGACATTTAAATGCTATTAATTCTTCCAATCCATGAGCATGGAATGTTTTTCCATTTGTTTGTGTCATCTCTGATTTCTTTCAGCAGTGTTTTGTAGTTCTCCTGATAGAGAGCTCTCACCTTGATTAGATGTATTCCTGGGTATTTTGTGTGTGTGTGGCTATTGTAAATAGGACTGCATTCTTGATTTGGCTCTCAGCTCGAACATTATTGGTGTATAGAAATGCTACTGATTTTTGTGCATTGATTTTGTATCCTGAAACTTTACTGATGTTGCTTATCAGTTCTAGGAGCCTTTTGGCAGTCTTTAGGGTTCTCTAGGTATGTAATCATATCATCAGTGAAGAGAGATAGTTTGACTTCTTTTCCCATTTGGATGCTTTTTATTTATTTTTTTGTTTGATTGCCCTGCATAGGCCTCTTTCATTGTCAAGTCTAATAATATGCTTATGTGAACAAAAGTCTGTCTTAATAAGATAGTTATGACCATACAAGAAGGACAGTATTACTCAGGAGGCTGAGGCAGGAGAACTGCTTGAATCTGGGAGGCAGAGGTTGCAGTGAGCTGAGATCGTGCTACTGCACTCTGGCCTGGGTGACAAAGCAAGACTCTGTCTCCAAAAAAGAAGAAGAAAAAAAAGGACAATGTTACTTGGGAGGCTGAGGCAGGAGAATCACTTGAACCTAGGAGGCAGAGGTTGCAGTGAGCCAAGATCATGCCACTGCACTCCAGCCTGGGTGACTCTGTCTCCAAAAAAAAAAAAAAAAAAGGCAATGTTTAGTCTTCCAGAGTTATGTATAAATTTTATGTATCTTACCTCCCTTCAAAGATTGATGATTAGTTGGTGTTTTCATATTATTTAGGCACAGAATATTACTTGAGATCAACGATAGTTGGTCTTTACATCACAGCTATAAGTAATATAAGAACTATAAATATTATAAGATCCATAGCTCTATAGGCTAATAGGTCATTTTTGATGTATTTACTTTTTGGTCAGTTATTATCTAACTTTTGTAGGGTGTCTACTTTATGCTTTGCAGTTTTTGGTTTTTGTATTTTTTGTAGAGACGGGGTTTCGCCATGTTGGCCAGGCTGGTCTCGAACTCCTGGCCTCAAGTGATCTGCCCACCTCAGCCTCCCAAAGTGTTGGGATTACAGGTGTGAGCTACAGTGCCCAGCTTATGCTTTGCATTTTGATAGAATTACTAGATGATATTAAACCAAATAAGACCCTGCCCTCAGGAGTTTACTTTGATCTCTTCAAATTTTTTCCTGATATATTTTGTTTTTAAATGTTCATTGTGACTCACAGAGTTGATTTCATGACTCATTAATGAATCATACATATAATGTGAAAAACATTGATAAAGAGACATTTGTGCCTTCTGCTGTGTTGGTGACTTCAGTATGTCTGCTTGATCATGAAAGAAACTAGCTGGTCTGTTAGACAGAGGGATTGTACAGAAACTTCTCGGAGTGGTAGGAATATATCTTAGATTTTCATTTCAGATACTTTTGATGGCAAGAGTTTTTAAGAGTGCCAGTTATGGACTGAACTAGTGAAGATCCAGTGAGGCTTTTTCCGTGGCTAGCTCAACTATCAAGTTGGAGTTGTCTGTCTGTCTGTCTGTCTGTCTGTCTCTCTCTCTCTCTCTCTCTCTATATATATATATATATTTTTTTTTTTTTTTTCTTTTTTAGACAGAGTTTCACTTTTGTTGCCCAGCCTGGAGTGCAATGGCACCATCATCTCAGCTCACTGCAACCTCCGCCTCCTGGGTTCAAGCGATTCTCCTGCCTCAGCCTCCCGAGTAGTAGCTGGGATTACAGGCATGCGCCAACACTCCCGGCTAATTTTGTATTTTTAGTAGAGATGGGGTTTCTCTATGTTGGTCAGGCTGGTCTCGAACTCCCGACCTCAGGTGATCCACCTTCCTCTGCCTCCGAAAGTGCTGGGATTACAGGTGTGAGCCACAGCGCCTGGCCTGACAATATATTTTTATGGAACTTTCTTGGAATGCATCTTTTACCTCCAGCCCAATTGCCACAACCTGGCAGGTCCAGCGCTGCAAACCTCACATCTCACCCGTGGAGAGGCAGTTCAACTCACCCCCCATTCCCTCTGCAACACCACTTCTGGCCTCTGATCTCTCCAATTAGAGCAGTGGTCTATGGATGAACTAGCAGAGGTTTGCTACTTTTCTGTAAGAATATCTGAATATCGTGTTTCATGTTGATAATATATATGTTGTATGTTTGAAACAGAGTTTCACTCTTGTTGCCCAGGCTGGAGTGCCATGGCGCGATCTCAGCTCACCACAACCTCTGCCTCCCGGTTCAAGCAATTCTCCTGCCTCAGCCTCCAGAGTAGCTGAGATTACAGGCACATGCCACCATACCCGGATACTTTTTTGTATTTTTAGTAGAGACAAGGTTTCACCACGTAGGCCAGGCTAGTCTTGAGCTCCTGACCTCAGGTGATCCACCCGGCTCGGCCTCCCAAAGTGTTGAGATTACAGGCGTGAGCCACTGCACCTGGCCTGTGTCCTGTCTTTTCAACTGGTAGTTGGATGGGGATGCAATTTGTGCTTGAAGAAGATAGAGACCCAGGACTCTGTACCCCCTTCCTGAGAACCTGACAGAGGTCTCCAAAAGGTTAGACTCACACCCTGCACAACCTCAAGTCCATGCCATATCAGGGGCCAAAGTCAAGCCACTGCTTCTCCAGAGCAAGCCAGCTCATTCAAATGCTAACTAAATATTCCCTAAAAGAAACTGACCCCAAGAATGAGATTCTTTCCTAAGTTAGGTCATCTGAAGAGTGGTTTATTGAAAACCATGTGAACTCTGACTTGAACGAATGACCTTCTGAATAATATGCACTTTGTGGGATGGAAACTCATGGCTTTAAAAATGAATCTTGGCAGAGTTTTCTGTGTTAACAGTATTTTTGCTTGGCCTGAGTCTGTAAGACGTGCAGCTTGAAACATTCCTTATCCTGTTACAAATCAGGTAGAGAGTGACTGAGAACTCAAGAGATCAGTTCCAAACGAATCTAAACAATAGCCAGACATAGTACTCCTTGTGGATGTCACAAAGTGGATCTGATCTTACATTCTTTTGATGCTTTGTTATTTCTTTGTTTTACAAAGAAATAGACACCATGAGAGTTTACCAAGTACAAAGTATGTGAAGTGTTACATAAAACTAAACTTATAGAACAGACCAATAATAAGTAAGGAGATTAAATCAGTAATAAAAATCTCCCATGAAAGAAAAGACCAGGACCTGATGGCTCTACTGCTGAATTCTACCAAACATTTAAAGAATAACTAAAATCAATATTTCTGAAACTCTTCCAAAAAATTAAAAAGGAGGGAATATTTCCAAACTTACTTTACGAGCATTACCCTGATACCAAAGCCAGCCAAATATAATAAAAGAAAAGAAAATTATAGGTCAATATCCCTCATGAACATAGACACAAAAATCCTCAACAGAATACTGCAAATCAGATTCAACAGCACATTATAAGAATCATTTGGCCAGGTGCAGTGGCACATGCCTGTAGTGCTAGCTAATTAGTAGTGCTGGCTAATTTGGAGGCTGAGGTGGGAGAATAGCTTGAACTCAGGAGTTCAAGCGCAGACTGGGCAACATGACGAGACCCTCATCTCTAAAAAAAAAAATAGTTCACTATGATCAAGTGAAATGTATCCCTGGAATGCAAGGATGGTTAAACATATGTAAATTAATGAATGTAATATGTTACACTGCATTAACAGAATGACAGAATGAAGGATAAAAACCATATAATCTTCTCGATAGATGCAGAAACAGTGTTTGACAAAATCCAACATCCTTTCATAATAAAAGAATTCTCAACAAATAGGTATAGAAGGAATGTACTTCAATACAATAAAGTCCATATATGACAAGTTCACAGTTAACATCTTATTCACTGGTGAAAAGTTGAAAGCCTTTCCTCTAAGATCAGAAACCAGAGAAGGATGCCCATTCTTGTCACTTCTATTCAATATAGTACTGGAGGTCCTAGCAAGAGCAATTAAATAAGAGAAAGAAATAAGAGGCATCCAAATCAGAAGGAAGAAGTAAAATTGCCTGTTTGCAAACAACATGGTCTTATATATAGAAAACCCTAAAACATCATGTTATACCCCATAAATATAAAAAATGTTTGCCAATTAGAAAATATATAGTAATAATTTTAAAAAAACCCAAATCACAAAAACTAAATCTACAGACCCAGGTCTTATCTGTTAGGAATTTATAGTTCTAACCCAACAGAAGTTGCTATTCTCCTTCCTTCCCTCTCTCATCCTTTTTTCTTTCCTTCCTTCCTTCAAGATAATTTTACTAAGTCTGAGTGGAAGCATGGAGGAAGATGAAATAAGTCATATTCTTTATTGGGTGGTTTTTTTGATTGTTTTTTGACAAGGTCTCTCTCTGTTGCCCAGGATGGAATGCAGTAGTATGATAATGGTTCACTACAACCTCCACCTCCTGGGCTCAAGCAATCCTCCCACTTCAGCCTCCCATGTAGCTGAGACTACACACGCATACCACCACACCCAGCTAATTTTTGTATTTTTTGTAGAGATGAGGTTTTCCCATGTTGCCCAGGCTAGTCTCGAACTCCTGACCTCAGGCGATCCACCTGCGTTGGCCTCCCAAACTGTTGGGATTACAGGCATGAGCCACTGTGCCTGGCCAAAAGTGTCATTTAAAAATACCATTTTAAAAAGGCTTCGGAAAAGCAATTCTGGTAGAAATCCTGTTGTCAGCATGAAGGTGGGTTAGCTTCTCTGAAAACAGGCCCAGTTTTATTTACAAGACAAACATGGAACAGAGCAAATGTCAGAACAAAGCCAGGAGACATGTTGCCACTGGCCCTATCTCTCACTAATTGGATATTTGTGGCCTTGAGTTGTTAAAATCCACCCCTACCACTTCCTGTCAAGGAGGACTGTACCCTAGATGGTGGCTGAGGTCACTCATCTTTCTACATCCTGCAAGTACATGCAAGGCAGGATTCTGAGAGATAATGACTGCCAACCCTCTGGTGGAGACATTAATACCACTACTGTCCTCAGTTGCTGCTGGAGAAGGCAGTCCATGAGCTGCAGAGGGGAGAAGGCAGAGAACTGAGGGCAGTGGTAATGCTTGCCCCCAGGTACCCATGAAGCTGAACCCAAATTTTTCACTCTGACCCTCACGCCTCACTTCTCTTTTTGTTTGGAATTAATGAAAATACCTGCTTATGTCTTCATTCAGCATAGCTCCTGTCTCTTTCTTCAGGTTTGTGGGGCACCAAGATATGGAAATCCTTGGCCTCGCTGTGCTTATTTGAAGCCAAGAGGCTTGAAGACAATCATGACTGTAGCTGGATTCAATCTTCTAAAAGATGAAACTGGAAAAAAGCTGCAAAAGCACAGCCTTTACAGCCACAAAATGCAACATCTGGAGAAAAAGAGGATACCTCTTTCTCTTAAAATAAGTGGGGGTCCTTCCCAGAAGTTTTTAGGACACCTCTTCGGTGTCTCATTGGCCTGAATTAGGGCACATCCCCATTCCTGGATAACCAATGGGCCGGGGCTGGATTACTTTTAGGTTTATCAGGCCCATTCCTGCATTTGGGGATGAGGTCAGCCTTCCTTGAAATACACAGGCTGTGTGGGGAGGAGATAACTTCAAAACACTTGCTAAAAATTAGAGAACTGTTAGGAAGAGAAAAGAGAAGAATGGGTGTTGGCCTAGTAACCAAAAATGTCCACCATAACTTTCTTAGATATCCTTTCAGGATTTTTTTCTTTCTTTCTTTTTGAGATGGAGTCTCACTCTGTCACCTAGGCTGGAGTGCAGTGTAGTGATCTCGGCTCACTGCAACCTCTGCCTCCCAGGTTCAAGTGATTCTCCCACCTCAGCCTCCTGAAGTAGCTGGGATTACAGGCGCACACCACCATGCCCAGCTAATTTTTTTGTATTTTTAGTAGAGATGACATTTCACCATGTTGGCCAGGCTGGTCTGTAACTCCTGACCTCAAGAGATCCACGCACCTCCGCCTCCCAAAGTGCTGGGATTACAGGTGTGAGCCACTGCACCCAAGCTGTTTTTGTTTTTGTTTTTTTTTTGTTTTTGAAAGAGTCTCACTCTGTCACCCAGGCTAGGTTGCAGCAGCACAATCACAGCTCACTGCAGCCTCATCCTCTGGGGCTCAAGAGATCCTTGCATCTCAGCCTCTTGAGTAGCTTGGACTACAGGTGTGCATCACCACACCCAGCTAATTAAAAATATTTTTAGATTAGAAATACTAATCAGGCTCTCACTATGTTGGCCAGACTGGTCTCTAACTCCTGGGCTTAAGTGATCCTTCCACCTGAGCCTCCCAAAGTGCTGGGATTACAGACATGAGCCACCATGCCTGGCCCTTTTCAGGAAATTTTATCTGGTGTTCCTTGTTCTATCATGCACTGTATTAGTCTGTTTGCACGCTGCTGATAAAGACATACCTGAGACTGGGCAATTTACAAAGGAAAGAGGTTAGACTTACAGTTTCACGTGGCTGGGGAAGCCTCACAGTCATGGTGGAGGGCAAGGAGGAGCAAGTCACATTGTATGTGGATGGCGGCAGGCAAAAAATGAGAGAGCTTATGCAGGGAGACTCCTGGTTTTTCGTTTGTTAATTTGTTTTGTTTGAGACAGAGTCTCACTCTGTCGCCCAGGCTGGAGTGCAGTGGCATGATCTCAGCTCACTGCAACCTCCGCCTCCCAGGTTCAAGTGATTCTCCTGACTCAGCCTCCTGAGTACCTGGGATTACAGGTGCCTGCCACCATGCCTGGCTAATTTTTTGTATGTTTAGTAGAGATGGGGTTTCAACATGTTGGCCAGGCTGCTCTCAAACTCCTGACTTCAGGTGATCCACCCGCCTCGACCTCCCAAAGTGCTGGGATTCCAGGCATGAGTCACCGTGCCTGGCGAGACTCCTGTTTTTAAAACCATCACATCTCGTAAGACTTATTCACTATCACGAGAACAGCACGGCAAAGACCTGCCCCATAATTCAATTACCTCCCACTGGGTCCCTCCCACAACACGTGGAAATTCAAGATGAGATTCCGGTGGGGACACAGCCAAACCATATCATTCACTAACAGTAATGATAGCAATATTTATTGTATTTTACCATCTGCCAGGTGCTGTGCTAAGATTTCACAGATATCTTCTCATTTTAGTCCTTAAAACAGTGTGGCAAGTGCAGGTACTATGTCCTTCTCATTTTACAAATTAGAAAACCAAGGGTCAAGGAAGTTCAGTGGCTCACCTGAAGACAGAACTAGTCAAGATGGAGATGAAATTCAAAGTGTGGACCCTGTGGGTGCAACGAATGTTTAACCATGACTCTTACTGCCTCTCATGTGTACCACACACCTACCACGCCAGACAGCTTGTTGGCTTCTTCTCTGCTACTGACCTTTACATCAACGCCCCTTTGGTAACCCACTCCTGTGGCCACAGTGGACCCTTGTCATAGCACAGCTCCACTTCTGGCACGTGGCATTCTTCCTTTTGCCTTTTTTTTTTTTTCCAGACAGAATCTTGCTCTGTTGCCCAGGCTGGAGTGTGGTGGCATGATCTCGGCTCACTGCAACTTTCACCTCCCGGGTTCAAGCAATTCTGCCTCAGCCTCCCAAGTAGCTGGGATTACAGGCATGTGCCACCACGCCCGACTAGTTTTTTTGTATTTTTAGTAGAGATGGGGTTTCACCACGTTGGCCAGGCTGGTTTTGAACTCCTGACCTCAAGTGATCGGCCTGCCTTGGCCTCCCAAAGTGCTAGGATTACAGGTGTGAGCCACTGTGCCCAGCCCTCTTTTGCCTTCTTTGTCCACAGCCCTCAAATCTTTTCTTTTTCCTCTCCCGCTTCCCAGCGAAGCCTCTCTTCAACCCTTGCCTCCTGCCTCCCAGCTTCCTGGCCTGCCAATCCCTCCTGCTTCATTGCCTAACTTGTTTGGCCAACCATCTAACCCCTTGGCCAACCATTTCACGTCCACTGTCACCCACCCCCACTATTTCCTCACGCCTGGACCACCTGGTGCCCTGGCCTTGCTAGCCCCCACCTGGGAGTCAAGCTGACCTGAAATTCCTGTACTGGAGTTTCTTTTTTTTTTTCTTTTTTTTTTTTTTTTTGAGACGGAGTCTCGCTGTCGCCCAGGCTGGAGTGCAGTGGCGCGATCTCGGCTCACTGCAGGTTCCGCCCCGCGGGGTTCACGCCATTCTCCTGCCTCAGCCTCCCGAGTAGCTGGGACTACAGGCACCCGCCACCTGGCCTGGCTAATTTTTTGTTATTTTTAGTAGAGACAGGGTTTCACCATGTTAGCCAGGATGGTCTCGATCTCCTGACCTCGTGATCCGCCCGCCTCGGCCTCCCAAAGTGCTGGGATTACTGGAGTTTCTATCTTAATGCATCGGGAGAAAAGTCCTAAGTACCATTTCCAACTCCAGCTTGGTGCCTGGGGCTCTGTGTTAGGGCTCCACAGCCCCTCCCCTGCTGCTGTCACTCCCAGCAGAGAAATGACTACTGTCTTGTGCTCTAGTGAGAAATAATGCCCTCAGGGGTGAATTCACCATGAGCAACCTCCCCACAGCCCTACAAGGCAGGAGCCGGGCAAAGAGCAGGCTGAGGAAAGGGTGTTGCCCCCTTAGGAATGTGGCCACCTGGTTCTGGGGTGTAGGGAGGGTAAAATTTCCAGAAGAAACAAAATAAAAGATAAAATAATAACAAAATAAAATAATAAAAAATATAAATAAATAAATAAATAAAAGCCAGGCCAGGCCAGATGCGGTGGCTCATACCTGTAATCCCAGCACTTTGGAAGGCTGAGGAGGGTGGATCACTTGAGGTCAGGAGTTCGAGACCAACCTAGCCAACATGGTGAAACCTCGTCTCTACTAAAAATACAAAAATTAGCCGGGCGTGGTGGCGGGTGCCTGTAGTCCCAGCTAGTCAGGAGGCTGAGGCAGGAGAATTGCTTGAATCTGGGAGGCAAAGGTTGCAGTGAGCTGAGATCGTGCCATTGGACTCCAGCCTGGGTGACAGAGTGAGACTTTGTCTGATAAATAAATACATAAATAAATAAACAAAAGCCAGGAGAGCACCTCCTGCACGAGGTCACTCATCCTTGTATCTGGGCTGATGGTGAGAGGTAAGGCTGGGAACCAAAAGGAGCATTAGGAGAGGTCACAGAACCTGAAAAGCCGATAATGAGGAGGACGGAACCAGAGAGAGGGCTGGGGTCTGAGACACTTTCCAGGGCTCAGGCTTGTGTGGGCAGCTTCATTTGAGGGCAGGAGCAAGGCAGATAATCCATCCTCAGGCTGAAGCGGCATTTATTCTGGGTTTTTGTCTTTTAGCAACAGTCCTCTTCTTGATTTTCTCACTTCTTCAATACTCCCTCTTTTTCTGGTCTTCATTCTTTTTTTGCCCACAAACCTGTTCAGAGCTTTTGCATCCTAAGCTACACAGCAATCTGAACTCATCTCTGTCTTTTCCCAGCACCTCCTCGTCATCCCTCCAGTTCAGGCACCTGGAGCTGCCGACATTCTTAGCTTCCTCTCAGCCAGACCTCTCCATTTCTACCTCCCATGCTGCTGCTCTCAAAGGTGCTGACAATGTCACACCTGGTGTCCCCTGGTGCAATCCAATGCCCTTGCTTGGGAGTCATCCTATCTGAGCCCTCTAGAGTATGTGATAGCCTCTCTTGGAAACTTGTCTCCCTTGGTCCTTACCACACCCTTTCTTCTGGTTTTCCTCCTTCCTCAAGGACTATGGGTCCCTTTTAGGACTCTCTTTTCTCTTCTACTGACCCTTAAATACAAATGTCCCCCTAAATTCTGGCCCTGATATTCTGCTCTTTTTGCTCTGCATTCTTTCCCCATGCAATCTCATCACCTCCATGGTTTTAACTCAGCCGTGTGCTGATGACCTATTACTTTCAGCCCCAGGGTTGGGACCAGGATGTAAAATTTAAGGAAGTGCTAAAAAGATTGAGTAATAGCAATAATTAATATGTTAATATAATATTGGAAAAAATGAAAAGTAATGCAAGAAAAATCTGTGATGAACAAAATATCAGAATTTTCAGCCGGGCATGGTGGCTCACGCCTGTAATCCCAGCACTTTGGGGGGCCGAGGCAAGCAGATCATGAGGTCAGGAGTTCAAGACCAGCCTGGCCAACAAGGTAAAACCCCGTCTCTACTAAAAATACAAAAAAATTTAGCTGGATTAGCTGGGCATGGTGGCGGGCGCCTGTCGTCCCAGCTACTTGGGAGGCTGAGGAAGGAGAATCGCTTGAACCTGGGAGGCAGAGGTTGCAGTGAGCCGAGATTGCGCCACTGCACTCCAGCCCGGGCGACAGTGCAAGACTCCGTTTCCAAAAAAAAAAAATCAGAATTTTCAGTAACGACAGGACCAATAACAGTGCTGCACAGAGCCATATTGGAGCCTGTCCAGAAGGAAAAATCAAGATTTTTTTTTTTCTTTTTTGAGACGGAGTCATGCTCTGTTGCCCAGGCTAGAGTGCAGTGGCATGATCTTGGCTCACTGCAACCTCCGCCTCCCAGGTTCAAGCAATTCTCCTCCCTCAGCCTCCCAAGTAGCTGGGATTACAGGTCCCCACCACCACGCCCAGCTAATTTTTGTATTTTTAGTAGAGATGGGGTTTCACCATGTTGGTCAGGCTGGTCTTGAACTCCTGACCTCAAGTGATCCTCCCACCTCAGCCTCCCAAAGTGCTGGGATTACAGGCGTGAGCCACCACACCCAGCTAATTTTTGTATTTTTAGTAGAGACGGGGTTTCACCATATTGGCCAGGCTGGTCTTGAACTCCTGAACTTGTGATCCACCTGCCTCAGCCTCCCAAAGTGCTGGGATTATAAGCGTGAGCTACCACGCCCAGCCTAATAATATTATTAATTATATATTAATTATAATTAATTATATATTAACATTGATAATATATTTATATATTTATAAATATATTTATGTTTATATATTTATTAACATATTAATATTACTGATATGTTTATAATATTAATATAATTAATTAATATTAATTAAATAATAATGTTTATATATTAGGTATAAATATATATTATATATACATATATATTTCAGACAGATTCTTGCTCTGTCACCCAGGCTGGAGTGCTGGAGTGCAGTGGCATGATCACGGCTCACAGCAGCCTGGACCTCCCCGGCTCAAGTGATTCCCCCTACCTCAGCCTCCCAAGT
The DNA here is from genome assembly GCF_000001405.40 of Homo sapiens. Lineage (NCBI taxonomy): Eukaryota > Metazoa > Chordata > Mammalia > Primates > Hominidae > Homo > Homo sapiens. The sequence goes on along the minus strand of NC_000005.10, from coordinate 76,757,020 downwards.
AGCTGGGACTACAGGTGCACACCACCAGGCCCAGCTAATTATTTTTTATTTTTAGTAGAAATTAGGTTTCCCTGTGTTGCCCAGACTGGCCTCAAACTCCTGAACTCAAGAGATTCCCCTGCCTTGGCCTCCCAAAGAGCTGGGATTACAGGCCTGAGTCACCACACCTGGCCTGAAAAGTATCTTTAACCTCTACATAGAAGTTTGTAATACGCTGTCCGATTTGATAATTTGCTACCCTGGTAATGTTATAATTGATGTCTCCATTTTCCTAAATGGTCTGTATAACTGAGGCGGGAGAATGGGGTCTGGAGACAGGGAAACTAGGGCTGTTTCAAGTCGACTTCCTAGAACTAAACTGAAAGGAAAACCCTAACTTTCCACCCCTAAGTAACAAAATGACCTACTCCCTTTGTAAACCCTCACCTTTTTAGTGTCGAGTTGCCGAGTTGCCGCAGATGGGAAATTGGCTGTACTCAACAAATCAGACTGATTGCAGGTCCAGCCTTGGTTTGCAACTTTGTAACTTCACTCCAGCCTCTGAATGGTTGCTGTCCACAATCAGACTGATTTTGGGCGAAGTCTTCGTTTGCATAGAAGTATAACTTTGTAACTTCACCCTAGCCTCTGACTAGCTGCTTTTTGCAACCAATCAGATGTTTGCACAGGAGTGTGACCTTTGTAACCATTTCAGCCTCTGTTTGGCTGCCTTCTGCAACCAATCAGACTGATTGTGGGCTACCACTTTATTTACATGAGGTGAGCATCAGGTGGCCAATGGGAAACTTCTAGGGGTATTGGACCCAAGAAGATTCTGTGTCCGGGCCCTTGAGCTGCTGCTCCGCGCACTCCCACACTGTGGAGTGTGCTTTCATTTTCAATAAATTCCTGCTTTTGTTCTTTCGTTGCTTCACTCTTTGCTTTGCTAGGCATTTTGTCCAATTCTTTGTTCAAGATGCCAAGATCCTGGACAACTTGCAGTCACAACTGTCAACCGTCTACTGATGACACAAGGAATGAGGCCACAGAGGCCTACCTGGGGCACAGAGGACTGAGGTGGACGGAGGCTGGAAGGGTGCCCACCCACTGCAGCAGCTGCAGCCCAGCCTCTCTTGAGGGAACTGAATTCAGTAACAGGAGCCACCAGGCTCTGAGTGCTGTCTAGCAACACCCAAGGACCAGGATCCAAACAGCCAAGAGCAGAAAAACTCCACCTGGAAAGGTTCACTAAGTCCTTCTAGTAATGGGACCTTGAGGTTTTTAGGCCATTTTGCAGAAACTTAGGTGACATCTGAATGCTGTAGACCTGGCCGTTGTGAGATTGTTCAACTCTGCAGTCTGAGAGAATTCAAAAGAAAATACCTGGTTATCCCTAAATAAACTCTGAGCTGAACTGTTGGAAGACAGGCTGGAAGGGAAGCAAGGAGCAGGGTAGAAAGCTAGCCCAGAAAAGCATTTTGGGGTGTGTGTGTGTGTGTGTATATAGTGACACCTCATTTTTCAGTAACATTGGAAAAAAAGTCTTGTTTCAAATGCAGGAATATTCACATAACTGAAGCTTACCCTTCTGCGCTGGTGTAGATTAAGATTGTCCAACCCACAGCCCAGGGCAGCTTTGAATGGGGCCCAACACAAATTTGTAAACTTTCTTAAAACATTATGAGATTTTTTTTTTTGCAATTTTGTTTTAAGCTCATCAGCTATTGTTAGTGTCAGTGCATTTTATGTGCGGCCCAAGACTGTCCTTCTTCTTCCAGTGTGGCCCAGGGAAGCCAAAGGATTGGATACCCTTCATGTAGATTCTTCCAGAGGCGGATCTTGAGACAGGCTCTACCTCTGGAAGAACACAACTAGTTTACCTGGGACGTGCAGGAAGCACCTCTAGGGAAGTGGGGAAATGATAAAGATGGGATAGCAGCCACTAAAGGCTATGCTACCAACCCCGTTAGCACAGTGGGTGACTGGAGCCTCACCTAGTTGGCCACTCTGGGAGACTGTGTAAGATCTCACTCAAGGGGCATGGGAGCTAATGGATTTGCACACCAATGCCTGAGGGTTATTAGTGCTGCTCCCAGGGGAGCAGGGTGTGTTCATTCCCTGGCACTCTTGGGCTGCTGATGAGTGCAACTGTGTCCGGGAAATAAGCCTTCTGGTTTCAGAAAAACCTTCAGGTATGGATTTGGGCAGTTGGAAACCAGCCAGAGGATAATAAATCAGTGAGGTTCAAGGAATGTGAGCAGAGCACTGACAGTGTCTGTTGCATTTATTAATCCCCAGACTCACTTTAGACTCCTGAAATTTTCCAACACAGTACATGGAGCATAATTTAGTCCTTTCTTCACGGCTAAGCAGCACCATAATGAGCATCAGTCATTTTAACTTCCTTTGTTGCTCCTGCTAGCAAGGTGATAGAATGGTTTGTTTTAAACCACAGGCCCTTGAAACTTCTGAGTTTGTTTTATATTTCCAGTGAATACTATTGAAAGAATGAATAAATAATTTTCCATGTCAATACATGCATTTTGTTTTTCTTGAAATGAAAATTTAAATCATAGAGGTAAACATTTGAGTACATTCTCTCATAAAAGGTTTACCCAATACATTAAAGCAAACATTCCCTTTGACCCTGCCCATGAATCTCACTTTCCTAGTGGATAACAAAGCATAACAGTGATTTGGGTATATTCTTCCCAACCATGTTAAAGGTATCTGTACATATATATGTATACCTTTAGAAATATGTAGCTTTGTTTTTGTGTTGTATATAGATACATGTATATATCTATATTAAACCACTGTTTATAACCAAAACATTTTCATCAACCCAACATAAACTCTATATGCATTAAATTGTCTCATTCTTTTTCATTCTCATCTTATAGATGTGCCATAATTTACTGATGGACATTGAGGTTTCCAGTTTTTTCCTAGTGCAGACATTGCTCAAGGAAATATTTTGCGTTCTTGCCATTTTGTGCATATGAAGATGTTTCTCTGTATATTCCCTGGAATTGAGGACAATTTAAACTCTTTCTTTGAAATTGTTATGCCACTTATTTCCTTATTTTTTCTGGATGTTTTTCTGGAATAGATGTTGACAGTGGAATTGGTGGGTGGTAGAGAATGCAAGTCAAAATTTTTGATAGAATAAAATTTCTTTCTGAAAAGGCTATATCCATTTATTCTCTTCAACTGAGAATGACAGCTTCCATTTCTCCATATCTTCACCCATATTGGATGTTATAAATCTTTTATTTTTGCCAATCAGGGTGAAAAAGAACTCATTTTAGCTGTTGAGATTGAACATATTTTCATATGATTATTAGTCATTTGTATTCAGTGAAATTCCTGTTCATACCTGATCTTATAAAAATATTCATTTTCCATATTATTAGGTTTGGTCTTTCTTATTATTATTTATAGGCACTGTTATGTTATTATGGCTATTAATATTTTGTCTGTTATATATGCCAGAAATAGTTTCTTCCATTCTATAGTTTGTCTTTTGAAAGTTGTTTATGGTTCTTTTTTGCCAGCTGGATGTTTTGAAAGCTTATTTAGTGAAATTTATCCATTTTATGGCTTCTTTGCTTAAGGAAGTCTATGCTATCCCAAAGTTATAACCACATTCACTTATGTTTCCTTTTAATTTGTCTGGAGTCTTGTTTTTCATGTTTTCCTCTTTTAATTAACCTGGAATTTATGTGGCAGCATAAAGTAAGGATCTAATTTTTTCTCCTCCCAAAATGCATAGCCAATTCTTTAATGCTTTTATTTATTTATTTATTGAGACAGAGTTTTGCTTTTGTTGCCCAGGCTTGAGTGCAGTGGCACGATCTTGGCTCACTGCAACCTCTGCCTCCTGGGTTCAAGTGGTTCTTCTGCCTTAGCCTCCCGAGTAACTGGGATTACAGGCGCCTGCCACCGCGCCCGCCTAATTTTTTGTATTTTTACTAGAGATGGAGTTTCACCATGATGGCCAAGCTGGTCTCGAACTCCTGACCTCAAGTGATCCACCCGCCTGGGCCTCCCAAAGGGCTGAGATTACAAGAGTGAGCCACCCCACCCAGCCAATGCTATTTATTTGTATCCTTTCACAATTAATATGGAATGCCTTCTTTATCAAAAAGTACACTCATGAAAGTGGATCTACTTTTCAACCTCATTCTATTTGATCGATGTATTTGTATTTTCTTGTACATTTCTGAGTGCTCGTCTCTGCTTTTCATTGTTCTTCTGTCTCTCTCTCTTTTATATGTGGATGTGGGTAGTGCCTCTGCCTCCAGCAGCATGGTTCCTTCTTAACAACTAACTCGAGTCTGCTGGGAGCTAGAAAGCAGTGGATAATCGGGCTTGTACGTATTGTGGCCAAGAAGAAAAAAGATGGCAACACAGCCTACAAATGTCCTATAAGCATTCTGGAAACACAAGGTTTATCTTCCTCCTCAGAAGCCTTTTTTTTTTTTCTGAGACAGGGTCTCACTTTGTCGCATAGGCTGGAGTGCAGTTCAGCCTTGGCTCACTGCAACCTCTACCGCCCAGGCTCAAGCAATCCTTCTGCCTCAGCCTCCTGAGTTGCTGGGATGATAGGTGTGCACCACCACAACCAGCTAATTTTTTTGTATTTTTAGTAGCGATCGGTTTTTGCCATGTTGGCCAGACTGATCTCGAGCTCCTGGCCTCATGTGATCCGCCTGCCTCAGCCTTTCAAAGTGCTCGGATTATAGGCATGGCACAGCTGGCCTTCTCATAAGCCATTCTTGCCTCTTCCTTGAAACTTGGCTGAGCATACATTGTTTGAAGAAGTAACTTTGGGATAAGCACAGGGTCTCACTTCTGATGTGCTCAAAGGGATTCCTTATACTCAAGTGCATTTGCCTTCTTGACTGAGGCCCAGGCAGGGCACCCGCCACCTGTAGTCACTGCAGAGATATTTAAGGGAGCCAAAGAGGGCCAAATAAAGAGAGACTGACTTGGTTAAAGGCAAAGTGGAAAGAACACACCTATGTGACAAAGACACATTTTAGAGAATCACAAGAGCCAACCGTAAAGCCATGTGGTTTGACTGTGGACTTCTGGAAAGTCACAGGAGCAGACTCCACAGGCATCCTGAAAGAGGTATCCAGAAAGAGGGTTTCATCCCTGAAAGAGGCTCGGGCATCTGCTGGGCCGTGAACCTTTTATTCTTCTCAGGGTGACAGCAGCAGCTGCCAGCAGAGCAGGCAGGGTCTTCACGATGTTTTCCAAAACTGTCAGGTCACAAGAACCACGTGGAGCACTTGCTCAACATAGAGATTCCAGATGCCAGCTGCAGACTCCTGAATCAGCATCTCCAGAGAGATGCCTGGGCACCTCTGTGCTTCACACACACCCCAGGTGACCCTTTCGGCCTGGCACACCAGGGAAATGATGGAATGAGGGCAAAGGCAACCTTCAAAGCAGATTGAACTCAGCTGGGTAGTGATGCTGCTCATGCGGGTAACTCCTACATCCAGAACGAAGTGAAGGGAGGTCATTCCTAGCATGGGGCATGCCAGGGCCTGCAGCATCTTTGAGAGCCCAAGGAAGCGCTAATGAAACCAGACTTGTTTAAAGCGAACCTCATAGCCCAGGGTGGACTTATGTATAACACTTCTTCTTAGATTTGCTGTAGAACAATGATTCCCAGTTGAGTAGGAATTAGAATGAGGGAGGAGAAAGGAATGGTATAGCTGAAAAATGCTGCATTTTCCAACTAACTAGTGTAGTTGGAAAAACATTCTCATTAGAAATTGCTTTGATTTGTTTTAAATCAAAAGTAATTTACTTTGAAATGTATGAGATGTTAAAGCAGTGTGAGATTTTAATGTTTCTCAAAAAGGAATATGAGTGTAAGATGTTTGAGAGGACCTGTGGTTGACTGGGATAAACCAAGAACTACAGGTCAGATTTGCTTGAGGTATCTGTAGAATGGTAGGGACCTCCTAAAGCTCACCCTCTCCTGGCCCCTGCCTCCTGGTTGGCCCTCTCCAGCCCATCCCTCCTCTGCCATCTTTCTAAAACTCACATCACAAGTCAATAACCACCTTGACATTGTTGAAAGGTTTACTGCTACCTATGAGATAAAATCCAAACAAACTTAAGTGTGGCCCTCAAGATCCCTCTGTCTGGCCCTACCCTAAATTTCCAGCTGTACCTCCTGACCTTGCTTGCCACATGTACTTTGTTCCCGCAACAGCAGGCTGCTGAAGTTACCCAAACACGGCCCCACCTTGGAACCTTTGCATGTGCTGCGCTTTTCTCCACTGATCTATCTGCAGATCCAGCTCCTCATCCAGATGCCTTTTCATTAAGCCTCTCCCATGTCCCATGTGCCTGGCAGAATAAATTGTTTCCATTTCCCAAAACAAGACATTTGTTGATTGACATAGAAGTCAGAGTGGGGTCTTGGGCAGGGGCAGTGGAGTCTGAAAGTCATCTGTCCATTTGTCCTGTCTTGCCCCAAGACAAGCACAGTTGATTAGGGGAGTCCTTCCTTCCTTTCTTCCCTCCATCTTTCTTTCCTTCCTTCCTTTCTTTCCTTCTTTTTCTTTTTTCTGTTTCTTTTTCTACCTTTCTGTCTCTCTTTCTATCATGGTAAATAGACAAAACATAAATTTTAACATTTTAAAGGTAAAAGTCATGGGCATTAAGAACATTCACAGGGTTGTATAATCATTTCCACCATCCATCTCCAGAACTTTTTCATCTTTCTCAACTAAAACTCCGTATCCATTAAACAATAACTACCCCTTCTCGTCTCCCCCAGCCCCTTATATTTTTTCATCTCTATAAATTTGACTACTCTGGTTTTTCATATAAGTGAAATTTGCAATATTTATTCTTTTGTGTCTGGCTTACTTCACTTAGCATGCATATTCAAGGTTCATCCATGTTGTGGCAGGTCTCAAAATTGTATTCTTTTTCGTGGCCAAATTATGTTTCACTGTGTGTGTATATCACATTTTGTTTATCCATTCACGCACTGTTAGACATTTGGGGTGTTTCCACCCTTTGGCTATTGTGAATAATGCTCTTATGAACATGGATATACAAATATCGGTTTGAGTTTCCACTTTCAATTATTTTGAGTATATACTTAGGGGTGGAATTGCTGGATCATATAGTGATTCTACATTTAATTTTTTGAGGAACTGTCATATTGTTTCCTATAGTGGCTGCACTGTTGTACATGCCCACCAGAAATGTGCAAAGGTTCCAATTTGTCCACATCCTTGTCAACATGTGATTTTATTGTAGTTTTTTTTTTGTTTGTTTGTTTTTTGAGACGGAGTCTTGCTCTGTCGCCCAGGCTGGAGTGCAGTGGCATGATCTCGGCTCACTGCAAGCTCTGCCTCCTGGGTTCATGCCATTCTCCTGCCTCATTCTCCCAAGTAGCTGGGACTACAGGCGCCCACCACCACGCCCAGCTACTTTTTTGTGTTTTTAGTAGAGACGGGGTTTCACCGTGTTAGCCAGGATGGTCTTGATCTTCTGACCTAGTGATCCGCCTGCCTTGGCTTCCCAAAGTGCTGGGATTACAGGCGTGAGCCACCGCGCCCGGCACTATTGTAGTTGTTTTTAAATAATAGCTATCTTAATGGGTGTGAAGTGATATCTCACTATGATGTTGATTTGCAATTCCCTAATGATTGGTGATGTTGAGTCTTTTTTGTTAAAAACTTCCATTTTATTGGGGTAAAATTTATGTACAAAAACTGCACCCATTTTAAATTCAAAGAATTTTGAAAAATATATATATAGCTACGTAACTACCATCACAATAAAAATATATAACATTTTGGCTGGGCACAGTGGTCCATGCCTGTAATCCCAGCACTTTGGGAGGCTGAGGCAGGCAGATCACTTGAAGTCAGGGGTTCAAGACCAGCCTGGCCAACATGACGAAACCCCGTCTCTACTGAAAATACAAAAATTAGCCGGGCGTGGTGGCCCACACCTGTTATCCCAGCTACTTGGGAGGCTGAAGCAGGAGAATTGCTTGAACCCAGGAAGTGGAGGTTGCAGTGAGCCAAAATGATGCCACTGCACTCCAGCCTGGGTGACAGAGCGAGACTGTGCCTCAAAAAACAAAAACAAAAACAAAAACAAAAAAAACGATGTCCAGTTGCTTCACATCCATGTCAGGATAGCCTTCCATTTGAAAATCTCTCTGACTTCTGGCTGAGCTCAGAGGGCCACCAGTTCCTATGAACTATGCCTGTGGGTATCAGTGACAAACATAAAGAAAAAGGGCAAAGGGGAGGAGGTGAATTTCTACAGGATTATGTTGCATAGATAATGCTGTACAATATTTTTCTGTATCTCAGATTATGGAGAGTGCTGATGTCAGTGGTCAGCAATTTACAAAGGCAATACCTGTTCCATTGAGGCTAGTGTCTTAGTCTATAGTTTGTGCCACTATAACAGAACACCTGAGATTGGGTAATTTATAAAGAAAACGTTTATTTAGCTCACAGTTCTGCCAGCTGGGAAGTTGAAGAAGCCTAGTACTGACATCTGTTCTGCTGCTGGCGAAGGCTTCTGTGCTGCGTCATAACATGGTGGAGAAGGTCAAAGGGGAAGCAGACACACGAGAAGAGAGGAAAATCCGAGGGCATCGTGGCTTTATTTTTTACTTTCATTTTTTTTTGAGATGGAGTCTTGCTGTGTCACCCAGGCTGGAGTGCTCTGGCACAATCTTGGCTCACTACAGTCTCCGCCTCCCGGGTTTGACGGATTCCCCGTCTCAGACTTCCGAGTAGCTGGGATTAAAGGCGCGCATCACCATGCCCGGCTAATGTTTGTTTTTTGTTTTTTGTATTTTTAGTAGAGACGGGGTTTCGCCATGTTGGCCAGCCTGGTCTCGAACTCCTGATCTCATGTGATTCTCCCGCCTTGGCCTCGAAAAGTGCCACCACCGCACCCGGCCAGCGTCATGGTTTTATAAGGATGGAAGAAAAAACCTTAGACAAATTACACCGAACAGAGTTACACTGAGCAAAGAGCGATTTGGGATTTGCGAATCGGGCAGCCCCTAAAGCACATAGGTTCAAAGAGGCTCCAGCGCAGAACCGCCTGGTGGAAGATTTATGCACAGCAAAAGGAAACCGACATAGAGAAAACAGAAGTGAGGTACAGTAACAGCTGGATTGGCCACAGCTCGGTGTTTGGCTTATTTGAACACGGTTTGAACAGCTAACTGCCTTCAATTGGCCAAAACTTAGTGACTGGCACAAGAATAGGTTATAGTCTGTTTACACATTCAGTAAGGTTACAGTTTGTTATGTAGGGAGAAACCTTTAGGGCCAACTTAAAATATGTAAGGAGGCCGCTTTGGGCTAAACTTAATTCAACAATAACAACCCACTCTTGAAGGAACATTCCCAGGAGAACTAATCTAGTCTGGAGGGCAAGAACTCACTACCAGGAGAATGGCACCAGACATCCATGAGGGATCCACCCGATGACACACACACCTCCCAATACACCCGCCTCTCAACATGGCCACACTGGGGATCATGTTTTGATGGGGACGAGCTCAAACTGTATCAGCTAGGATACGCTCGTCTCATACTCAAACCTCTAAAACAGATTCCAACCTAACTGTATGCATAGACTCATTGAGCTATGGCCTGATCACTGAGTGTCGCGAAGTCTTACTTCTCACTGTCTATCAGAAAGAAATGCTGCATTTTCCAGTTACTGCCTATCAGCCAATAGGACTAAATGCGAGTGGGTCAAGAAATGTTAACTGTCTAAGTAATTCCACATGCATATTAAAGTATTTGAAAATTCTAGTTAAAAGGTTACTTTTTAAAGATCAGGATGAGGCTACTGATAGCATCAGAGTCAGTGTCATCTTAAGAAACAAAGTTTATTTCTTAAAATAAGCAAATAGCAATTGAAATTAAGTTAAATGGAAAGCAGAAACCAGAATCACCCCTGACATTTGTTTCATAAACCTTTCAAGGGTCACTTTGTAAGCATGACTATTCTGATTTTAAAAAGGCAAAGATTTAAATCAGTATAGAATACGAAAAATAATCTCAAAAAACATGTTGACATAAAAGAATGAAAACTGTACTTGATCACACTGTTTTTCTGAAAGTGGCTTGTTAGTACATCAGCACCCCTGCTGGAGGAGGTAAAATTTTCAATTAAAATGGCACTTTTCTTTGGTACAACTTGAAACATTCTATTTCCTGTTTCCCAGAGTCATTATCCATCTTTTTCTTTTTTTTTAACTTTTATTTTTATATAAAAGTAGAGACAAGGTCTCACGGGTTGCCCAGGTTGGCCTCAAACTCCTGAGCTCAAGCAATTCTCTGGACTCAGCCTTCCAAAGTGCTGGAATTATAGACATGAGCCACCATACCCCACCTGTTTTTCTCATTTCACATATGACAGTGGAAAGGTATATGCTGACTGGCTGGGTGTAGGTCCCAGGTCTTTGAGATGTTTTCACAATTCTTCCGTTGACCTTAGAAATATACACATAAATGACTGGGTGCAGTGGCTCACGCCTGTAATCTCAGCACTTTGGGAGGCCAAGGTGGGCGGATCGCTTGAGATCAGGAGTTCGAGACCAGCCTGGCCAACATAGCGAAACCCCATCTCTACTGAAAATACAAAAATTAGCTGGGCAGGGTGGCGGGAGCCTGTAGTCCCAGCTACTTGGGAGACTGAGGCACAAGAATCCCTTGAACCCGGAAGGCAGAGGTTGCAGTGAGCTGAGATCGTGTCACCACACTCCGGCCTGGGCAACAGAGTGAGACTCCACGCCCCAAAAATATAAATATACATATACAACTGAAAAATCTTCAGAAAACAAGGACAGTTTTATAAAAGTACAATACTTGAACACTAAGCCAAGTATTATTATTGTAATGAATTTTCAGTCATTTATGTACAGTAGATTTTGGTGATAGCCTCATTCTTCATCACTCCCTATAGCCATGGCCTTGCATGTGACATTGAAATTCCTTTCACTAAAGAAGCAATGTCTATTTTTCCATCGCCTTAAAACTGGGATGGCCTGTGTCTTGCTTTGGTCAGTAGACTGTGACTGTGGTGAGAACATGCCAATCCCAGTCTTACACTTCCCGATGTCCAGCATGCTTTCTCTTATCTCTAACACCTCGGCCATTGCCATGGGAATGTGCCAGGATTAGTGTACTTGAAGATGAGAGACATATGGAACCCAGTAAGTCACCCCAGTCATCCCAGTCCAGGCCTTCCTAAATCAGCCAATAGATCCCCAGACACATCAGCAGGACTACCTAGCTGGCTATCCCAGAATATTAGCAATAAATGCTTGTTGTTATATGCCTGTGGGGTTTTGTGTAGTTTGTTATGCAGCAAATATCTGACTGAGATCTTTACATCAAAAGGAGTTTTTAAAACTGAAAGATACCATTAAAAAATAAAATGGCTTATTGTGGGCGCGGTGGCTCTCGCCTGTAATCCCAGCACTTTGGGAGGTGGAGGCGGGGGGATCACTTGTGGTCAGGAGTTCGAGACCAGCCTGGCCAATAAGGTGAAACTCTGTCTCTATTAAAAATACAAAAATTAGCCAGGCATAGTGGCGCATGCCTGTAATCCCAGCTACTTGGGAGGCTGAGGGAGGAGAATTGCTTGAGCCTGGGAGGGGCAGCTTGCAGTGAGCCAAGATTGTGCCACTGCACTACAGCCTGGGCAGCAGAGCAAGACTCCGTCTCAAAAAAAAAAAAAAAGCTTATTGTATACTCTCTTTTAGCTTTCCTACCAAAAGTAATAATGAGTTTCCAGATTGTTTTTTAAATAGATTCAACACCATACTCAAGAAGCTGTTAACTGTGGTTGTCTTCCAGGAGATGACAGAAAGGAAAGGGTGATTTTTCACTGTATATCCTTTTGTTCTTTTGAAATTTGAACCATATGAGTGTTACCTATTAAAAAAAATACAATAAAAATCCTACATGAATACAGGGCATTGACTTGTATTTCTAGAGGAGAGGAGAGACAAGGCAGAGTAAGTGATAGAGACAATTGTTTGTAAGGTTAAATCTTTCAGTGGATATAGTCAGATATTTAGGGTCAATATCTAGGGGGTTATAGCTAAAGAATACTAATATTCCGATAACTTTACTGAGAGACATGATAATATACAGGTCAACTCTGAAAAACTTTAGCATTTTAACAAATAAACTGTGGTTTACTAGGTTAGAGATTTCATGTAAAAACTAGATCCATGGTTCTCAAAGTTTGGTTTGCATAAGAATCACCCCCAGCTCTTGTTAAAAATGCAGATGATCCAGGTCCTATCCCAAACATTCTGGTTTTAGGTCCGGGATGGAGACCAAAAACCTGCATTATAACAAGCAGCTCAAAAGACTTTTGTGGACTCCATTTCCAGAAGCACTGAATGTAGTCACTGCTGGGTGGTTCAATCGACTACTGAAGCTGCCTTCATTATACAGAAGCAACAAGCCTATGGATACCAGCTTCAGTCTCACCATGTAAGAGACCATTTAATAATTGTAAGAAAATGAATAAGTGAAATTAAGGATCCAACAACATGGGTCAAAGAATGCAGAAATTAAATAAAGCTCAAGTATGTTTTAAAAAGAGCTTATGGGATAATTAATCAGATTTTTAAAATACTGAATAATAGAATGTGGGTTACACACATTCATTAATTTCAAGAATAAGAGGACTAACATAACTATGCAATAAAATCAGTCAAAGTTTTTGTTTTGTTTTGCAAAAATAATATTTGCTGCTTGATGAGGAAATATGAATTCCAGAAGAAAACAAATGAATAGCCCTTTTGGCACAAGTATAAAGACTATCAGAGTAAAAAGTCGTGCTCTGGTTATGATGACAGAATGCTGTACTGAATGTTCTGGTAGCTGCTGGGGACAAATAGAAACATTTCTGGCTTCAGAGTATAGCTAATGACTTTTTTTTTTTTTTTTCTTTTTTTTTTTTTTGAGACAGAGTCTCGCTCTGTTGCCCAGGCTGGGCTCACTGCAACCTCCACCTCCAGGGTTCAAGCGATTTTCATGCCTCAGCCTCCTAAGTAGCTGGGATTACAGGTGTCAGATACTGCACCTGGCCATGGCTAAAGATATTTTTATGTTTTTGAGAATTTCAGAGTTCCACAAGATATTTTGGGAGAATCTTGAAGATGTCAACTATATGTAGAATCATATGATTTCCTAACACCATTATTTCCTGCTTGAATAATATATTGAGGCACAAAATACTAATTGTGGCTAGGAGATGGTCAGAAAGATTTGTTTGTTTTTTCAGATTATTTTACTTTTGTTTTAATGTGGGTTGCTTTTTTGCTAGAGAGGCAGTACATACTCAGGAAAGAGAGAAGTAGAAAATACTTTAAAGGAAAAAAAATGACCCAATTACCAAAACGCAAGTTTAAACATCTTGGTATATTTCTCATTAGTCTTTGCCTTGACTTAGATCTATTTTTCCCCATCTTGTTGGTTTTGTACTGCTTGTATATCATTGCATCTTATTTTTTAAAAAATTAAACATTATAAGCACTGCTCTGTGTCGTTACATACACTTAAAACGTCTCATTGTTAAAGGGTATAATAGTCTCTGGAGAAGTCCTTTAAAATTACACATCTAGAGGAATTTTGTCTTCTGCTAACATGCAAATAAGGCTGCTATTAACAACCAGAAGCCTATTACTTTTTTTGATGTTATTTGTAATTATTTCTTGATAGATTCCCAGAAGTCATACAACTGGGTCAAAGGTTATGAACATGTAAGGATGATGACATTTTGTCAAATTGCTTTCCTAAAGTGTGTCCACCGACATTATCTTACCCTTTCTGGTATTTATATTATTTTCCTTATTTCCTCCATTCCTTCTGTAATACTTATTAGGGAGCTGTTTTAGCCATCATAGAAAAAGATCATTGTTAATTGGACACGAGCCGGTGTTATCTTGTTTTAAATTGCAGCTATTGGATTATCGCTGAGATGTAACATTTTTTCCCACGTTGGCTAACAAATTGTAGTTTTTCTTTCATCATTTAGTTTTTTCAATCAACTTGTAAGAGGGCTTCTATAATGACGAATTTACTCCAAGTTTACTGAATGTGCTGTAAATGTGTTCCCAGAGTTGATTAACAAAATCTTTGGTTTTCCCCAGGCACAGTGGAATCATGGATCCTCTGATGATGATCCCTGGGCTGACTCATTTGCCTTTGGGTTTGCAAAACTTCTCATTCCAGCTCCATCAAGACTGAAGCTCCTGAATGCTAAGTAGCACCCTAGTGCTTCCCTGAGGTCACCATTTTTCAGCCAGACCCAGAGACAGGAAAAATATCCACAGTTGCTTTCTGGTAACCAGGCGCTGCCGCTATCTGCCGGGCACTATCTTTAAAAAATGGGAGTTGCCACTTTAAACCCCCAGTGTCTTCTGAAATGGTTTTATGTATAAGATTAGAGCCATTTAAGCTATCTTTTTCCCTAGAAAAGAACCAAAGAAGGGAGAAAGAGGAGAGGAAGCATACAGCAAGATAGATATCACCTACAACAAATTTTGATTAAGAACATATGCTGCCACTACATTAAAAATTGCCCCAATTTTCTCAGAATAAAAAAAAATTGTCTCAGAAAATGATTTTAAGAATATGAGAATTGATTTTCTGGATCCCTGGACCTGCAACCTAGCCAAATTCTGCCTCGGGGCTATCTCTGAGAGCACTGCTATTCAAAGCATAGTCCAAAAGGAGCAACTTTAACTTTACCTGGGAAGTTGTTACACAGGCAGACCCAGCCTCGGACCAGTTGCAGCAGACTCTGGTAATTTGTATGCAGGTTAAAGTTTGAGAAGCAGACAGATCACAGCTCACTGTAACTTTGAACTCCTAGGCTCAAAGGATCCTCCTGTCTCAGCCTCCTGAGTAGCTGGGACTACAGGCGTGTGCCACCACACCCAGCTAATTCTTACATTTGTTTTAGCAGGGTCTTGCTATGTTGCTCAGGCTGGTCTCAAACTCTCAAACTCCTGGCATCAAGCAATCCTCCTGTCTTCACCTCCCAAAGTGCTGGGATTACAGATGTGAGCCACTGCACCTGGCCAAGAAACACTATTTTCTTTTCTTTTTTAAAAAACTTTTACTTTAGGTTCAGGGGTACATGTGCAGGTTTGTTATATAAGTAAATTGTGTGTCTTGGGGGTTTGGTGTACAGATTATTTCATCACCCTGGTAGTAAGCATAGTACTCGATAGGTGGTTTTTCAGTCCTCTCCCTCTCATCCTCCACCCTCAAGTAGGCCCTGGTATCTGTTGTTCTCCTCTTTGTGTCCATGTGTACTCAATGTTTAGTTTCACTTATAAGTGAGAACATGTGGTATTTGGTTTTCTGTTTCTGCATTAGTTGGCTTAGGATAATGGCCTCCAGCTCTATCCATGTTGCTGCAAAGAACGTGATCTTGTTCTTTTTTACGGCTGCATCGTATTCCATGGGGTATATGTACCACATTTTCTTTATCCAGTCTATCATTGGTGGGCATTTAGGTTGATTCCATAGCTTTGCTATTGTGAATAGTGCTGCAGTGAACACCTGTGCGCAGATGTCTTTATGGTAGAATGATTTCTATTCCTTTGGGTATATACCCAATAATGGGACTGCTGGGTTGAATGATAATTCTGTTTTAAATTATTTGAGAAATCACCACACTGCTTTCCACAATGGCTGAACTAATACTTTACATTCCCACCAGCAGTATATAAGCTAAGAAGCACTTTTCAAAAACAGTGGTATTGTTGATCTAAAAGGAAGAAGCTGAGTCAAAATTAATATAAGTAGAGAGTTTATTTGGGCCAAGCTTGAGGACTGCAACCCAGTGTATATTGAAGTGTATATTCAAGTTGTCCTGAATATACAATCTGATTAGCAGCAGTTGCATGTGAATGTTTATAAAGGAAAAGAGGCAGTTCCTAAGTTGTTTATCAAAATTTACATTAAAATAACATAAGCTGTTGATTGGATACACATTGTTCTTTGTATCACAGATTCCAGGAACATGAAGATAACAGGGAATGTAGCTAGTCAGGAACAAAATGCCTTTTTTTTTTTTGAGATGGAGTCTCTCTCCGTTGCCCAGGCTGGAGTGGCGCCATCTTGACTCACTGCAACCTCTACCTTCTGGCCTCCTGGGTTCAAACAATTCTCCTGCCTCAGCCCCCCGAGTAGCTGGGATTTCATGAGCATGCTGCCATGCCTGGCTAATTTTTGTATTTTTAGGAGTGTAGGGGTTCCACCATGTTGACCAGTCTGGTCTCAAACTCCTGACCTCAAGGGATCCTCTCGCCTCGGCCTCCCAAAGTGTTGGGATGACAGGCATGAGCTACCACACCACCAGGAACAAAATGACTTTAAATAATTGCCCACAGGCATGGGGGGTGGTGGGTAGGGGGAGGGTATGTGCCGGGGGTGTGACTGAAGTCCTCTACTCCCGTCTCTCTGGGCCTAATAAATTTTGCACACCTCACATAGCTCAGACTGCTGAGGGATTTTTCTTTTCTTAGTATCAACCCTGGTTTACACATCAGAATCTTCTGAGGAGCTTGAAAACAATATCAATGTCCAGGCCTCGCCCCCAGAGATTGGCACTGGAATTGTTTAGAAGCTCTCCAGTGATTCTATGCGCAACCAGAGTTGAGAACTGATTTAGTTTCTTTTCTTTTCTTTCTTTCTTTTCTTTTTTTTTTTTTTTTGAGACAGAGTCTCGTTCTGTTGCCCAGGCTGGAGTGCAGTGGTGCCATCTCGGCTCAGTGCAGCGTCTGCCTCCCGGGTTCCAGCAATTCTCCTGCCTCAGCCACCCGGGTAGCTGGATTACAGGCACGTGCCACCATGTCTGACTAATTTTTGTATTTTTAGTAGAGACAGGGTTTCACCATGTTGGCCAGCCTGGTCTCGAACTGCTGACCTCAGGTGATCCGCCCGCCTTGGCTTCCCAAAAAGCTAGGATTACAGGCATGAGCCACCAGGCCTGGCCAACTGATTTAGTTTCTAAAACTTGTTACAAGGCAGAGCTGATAAAATTCTAAATCTGAGGTCTTCAAATTTTGTGCTTCCTAACTAAACATTAAGTATTAGGATTAAATCCCAAAGCCAGTTAGCTTCTGGAGGATGGGAATATATTATTTGTCTTGTTTTTTTTAAAATATGTGTCAGCTAGTTTCAAGAGCAACTAGATATCCCAGGATAGGAAACAAAACAACAAAAATAGATATCAAATGATTATGGTTTTGCTCACGAATGCATCTCAGTATTGGACAGCCCACCCTTCGTGGTGTTTTCACTTCCTTGGATGGGTCGCATAGCAGCACACCAAAATGACCTGCAGATGTAGTCATTAAGATAGGCAAAACAGCCAGACTGGCCCTGCCACCATGCAGGCTACTATAGATGCAGCTTTCTTTTCTTTTTTTTTTTTTTGAGATGGAGTTTCGCTCTTGTCATCCAGGCTGGATGGCACAATCTCGGCTCACTGCAACCTCTGCCTCCTGGGTTCAAGCAATTCTCCTGCCTCAGCCTCCTGAGTAGCTGGGATTACAGGTGTGTGCCACCACATCTGGCTAATTTTTGTATTTTTAGTAGAGACAGGGTTTCACATGTTGGCCAGGCTGGTCTCAAACTCCCGACCTCAGGTGATCCACCCGCCTCGGCCTCACTAAAGTGCTGGGATTACAGCGGTGAGCCACCGTGCCCTGGCCAGATGCAGCTTTCAAAGCTCATCTCCTTACTGCTTATGAGTCATTTCCTGAAGTGATAAACACACAGCCTGCTGGGTTGAAACTGTACATGCTGTGTTATCTGAATTCTGAGATGCTACTGAATTTGACCTCTGGTTTTCCGTGTGTTTCCATAAGACTAGCATGCAATCAACAGTCCCCATGACAACAAACTTGGCGCTTGAGTTTCACTTTACAGGAATGCCACCATGGGTAGAATCTGCTGCTGTTCTGAATTGTCTCTTGGTCTTCTGGTCTGAAACTTTGCTCAGCAAGCACCTCTCTCTTTCCTTTACACAGCAGGTGGCTGAAAATCAGACCTCACACAGAGCTTCCTGTTCTGTGGACCACACCATACCTGATGACGTGAATCAGTATCTTTTCTTTTCTTTTTGTGACAGGGTCTCACTCTGTCACCCAGGCTGAAGTGTAGTGGCACCATCTTGGCTCATTGCAACCTCCGCCTCCCAGGCTCAAGCCATCCTCCCACCTTAGCCTCCCAAGTAGCTGGAACTACAGGCATGAGCCATCACGCTCGGCTAATTTTTGTATTTTTCGTAGAGACGGGGTTTTGCCATTTTGCCTAGGCTGGTCTCGAACTCCTGGGCTCAAACCATTCATCCGCCTTAGCCTTCCAAAGTGCTGGGATAATAGGCGTGAGCCACTGAGCCTGGATGTTGAATCAGTTTCTTGCTCCAAGACTTGGAACCCCTCAGCTCTGAAACAGCCAGAAACCCAGAGTGGTGCCTGCAGCTCTAAGCCAACTCTTTACCCCTGTTTGCTTTTATGCTTTTATAATAATTACCAGTTTATCTGTTTTCTTCAAGTCAATAAAGTTGGGACATCTTGGATAAGGGCAGTGGTTTTCAAACTTCTTTTGCTCAGAACACCTTAATACACTTAAAATTATTGAGGACCAGCAAAGAGCCTTTGTTTATGTGGGTTGCATCCATTGGTGTGCTGGAGTCAACTTGTACCTGCTCACAAGAATTCAATATTCAGGAAATTTGTCAAGCCAACTGTTAAACAGTTGGGAGCTTGAAACTGGAAAAGAAGGGAGTATTCACACCATCAAAATTGGCAAATGCTAGTTTGCCAGATCAGGCTTTTTTTCTTTTTGTGGAGATCCTGCTTAGCAGCACATCACTGACTTTTTTTCTTTTTCATTTTTTGAGACAGCCTTGCTCTGCTCTGTCGTCCAGGCTGGAGTGCAGTGATGCCATCTTGACTCACTGTAACCCTCGCCTCCCAGGCTCAAGTGATTCTCGTGCCTCAGCCTCCCAAGTAGCTGGGATTACAGATGTGCACCACCACACCCAGCTAAGTTTTTTATTTTTAGTAGAGATGGGGTTTACCTATGTTGCCCAGGCTGGTCTCGAACTCCTGGCCTCGTGATCCGCCTGGCTTGGCCTCCCAAAGTGTTGGTATTACAGGTGTGAGCTACTGCACCCTGCTGCCAATGATTTTATCTACTGATATTTTCCATATTAGACATTAAAATGGAGAACTTTTGAAAATATCTATTTCAGCTAAAAATGACAATAAGCCCATTACATGTTAAAATAAATACTATATTTTTCAAAATTTTTTCCCAAAACAATAATTTAAGGAGGAGAGTTGCATTGTTTTACATTTTTGCAATCTCTTTAATGACTGGTGTAATAGGAGACAGTCAGATTTTCGTCTCTGCTTCTGCATTCAATCTGTTGCACTTTCACATGTTGTGTAGCTTCTGGAAAACTCATCTGTCCACTTATGAGAGAAACAGACCAAAAAAGGCAAATAATATCTTGGTATTTGAAGAGAGTTTGACCTTGCAGATCTCCTGAGAGTCTCAGGAACTCTGAGAATAATTGCATTAGAGAATTTCTCCTCTCTTCTCACATTGCAGCTCACTTAACCACACCTCCTTCACAAAACACAATTAGGTTTATCCTGTGGTCAATTACTCTTCACACACATTTGGTCTAGTAGTTTCAAAAGGCATAGCCACATAACAGGCTAATTATGCCAGGAAATTACCATTGGTGAACTGTTTTTCCCCTTAATTTTCACGACAGCACCTGGCTGAAGATAAGCTGCTAATGGATGGTCCAGGCCCCAGAAACTTAAATAGCTTGGTCATCAATGCTGCTTAACCTTTTCCACTTGCTTCTGTAGCTCAACTTCCTCAAAGACATGCCAACGGCAAACAGTTTTTAAAATTTCTTAAATTCAGAAGTATAACCTAAAATTTTCCAAGTGTATATTCAATAGCCAAGCATTCCATTTCCTTAAAAATGCTATTTTTAGCTTGGTGGAAAAAACATTTTTTTTTTTTGGATACATGGTCTCACTCTGTTGCCCAGGCTGGACTGCAGTGGTGCAATCATGGCTCGCTGCAGCCTCAACCTCTTGGGCTCAGACGATCCTCCCACCTCAGCCTCCTGAGTAGCTGGGACCACAGGCATGCCATCGTGCCAGGTTAATTATTTATTTATTTTTTAATTGAGATGGCGTCTCACTATGTTGCTCAGGCTGGTCTCAACCTCCTGGTCTGAAATGATCCTCTGGCCTCAGTCTCCCAAAGTGTTGGCATTATAGGCGTGAGCCACCATGCCTGGACAAAAAAAATTTTTGTGTTAGCAAAATTTAAGGTTTTTTGAACTCAATCTATTCCTTGAAACACACGTGAAAAGTCCAGGCCTTAGAAACTTAAAAAGCTTGTGTGTTAACTTATAAAAATTCTGTATGTTAACAAAATCCTTGTTTAGTTGAAATAATTTTTTCATTGACTATGACTCTAGAAATAATTTATCAAAAATTTTTTTATTTTCAACCTTGAGAAGTACTAGTCATTTTGCTTTAAATTTCCCCTCCTCCCTTCTGCCTGAGGGAGTGCTAGACAGCAAAGGACTGTCATTCAGCCAGAGAAGACAGCACAGCCATTTTACGGATTTCCTTTCTGCTCTGACATTTAATTTCTCTCTCACTAGGGAAGAACTGCAGACACTACCCATGATGTCTATAACTCAGAAATTTGAATATATTCTCAATAAGCTTAAATTTTCTTAAGAAGGGATTGAGAGAGAGAGAGAGAGCTAATCACTCAATGTCTTTGGCAGAAATGGTGCTGTTTGTTTTATTTTTTCCTTGCATTTGTTCTTCCAGATCCCTTCTCCACGGCAAAGGAAGCTGATCTTTATGGACTACTTCACTCTGGGTATTGGGTTAAGATTAGGATCAAGGGGAGGCCTCCCAAGAGATCAGAGGGTGAGGGAGAGGCGTCAGTGTGTTCCCTCCTGTACCTGGGCCTTGGCAGTAATGGCTTCCCCTGATTGCTAGTCTCTGGGGGGTGCTTCACCAGTCCCCGTTGGTTCCCTTAACCCTGTCTACACCTTTGTAAATCACCTCTTCATTAAATGCTCTTCAGTTAAACCCTTAAAGTGTGCCAGGACCAGAAAGATATAATACTAATTTGTTCCAAAGAGATACCAAGCAAATGTTCACATTTATTAATACAGGTTATGTTTTTAAGAATGAACATAAAAACAGTGACATACTATTTTGTAAGTACATTAATGATATCATATTTTAATATATACAGACTAATAAACAATGACAGTAAATCTTCACTGATTTAGATAAAATGAATAGTCACTAAATTAATAAAACCAGTGCTAGCTTCTACTTACAATACAGTTATATTACTTTTATGTAAGTTATTCTATGGTATTTGGAAATAGTTTGCTCTTTTATTTTTTTATTTTTTATTTATTTTTATTTTTTGAGATGGAGTCTTGCTCTGTTGCCCAGGCTGGAGCACAGTGGCGCGATCTCGGCTCACTACAAGGTCCGCCTCCTGGGTTCACGCCAGTCTCCTGCCTCAGCCTCCCGAGTAGCTGGGACTACAGGTGCCTGCCACCACGCCCGGCTAATTTTTTTTGCATTTTTAGTAGAGACGGGTTTCACCGTGTTAGCCAGGATGGTCTCGATCTCCTGACCTCGTGATCCACCCGCCTCAGCCTCCCAAAGTGCTGGGATTACAGGCGTGAGCCACCGCGCCTGGCCTGCTCTTTTAAATAAACATTTGCCTTGCAACTTTCTATTTTGTTTAAAATGCTACCATTTTTTCGTAAGATAAGAGATATGTTTCAACCTAATTTCCAAATTACTTTGTGAATTCCATGAAGATTTTCTATACTTGATACTTAGGAGGTTAAAAAATGCTTTTAAAGTCTCATTAAGTCTTAAGTAAATGGAAATTATAGAATAATTTTCCTAGATTTCAATGTCAATTCTATTTTCTTCTGTTATTTCTAAGCAGACTGACATGATTGATTCTTAAAAGAAAACCTGATTTGAGCAATCTATTGAGCAAAACATTTGTAAATAAATAGTGCCCAATTAAATCAGACTTATTTTAAAAAATATATGTCCTGTACTGCATTGTTTTCATTAAGTTATAACCACAAGAAATAGTAACCCAAATGTTCAAACTTCTTTAGCTGACAGGCCTTGTTTGTGTGAAACATATTTATTACACATACATCACACTCTATGCATGATCTACTTTGCTCTTGAGGGCAGGTCTCTGTCTTATTCCACTCTGTACACTCAGCACCTATTGGAGTGGCCACAGCGCATAATGGGTGCTTCCATATCAGAACTGACATTTCAGAACAACTACTAGATGTGTTTACACCCAGTGGATGGGCATCCAGAAGTCCATGCCTTCTTTCGTTGTTTTTAAGATGGGTAGAGAAGTCTTTCATGGTCATTACCTCCTAGGATATCACATTCTGCTTTGCCAGTTTCTCATAAACATGATCAGTTCACAGCCAATCCCAGGAGGATGGAGCAAATGTAGTGGCCCCAGTCTCACTGCTGTGAGGCTCAGCAGGAAGGTTTCTGGCCAATCTGTGTCTGACATGGCCCTGGCATGTGTCTGCTGCCTGGAGTCCTCCATCGGGGGCGGACACATGCAGCTCTCAGGAATAGCCTACTCTGAAAGCCAGCCTACATTCACTAGAGGACTTATGCTCAGTTTTGGCTTATGTGTACAGTGTGTAAAATGTAAAAAATACTACCCATATCAAAACAGAGGCTTTTCATCTGTTTCCATAATTTTAGGAATTCAAACTTGGATATGTTTAAAATTGAAAACACTAGAACTTCTACGCACAGATAGTACTAAGTCTTACCTCTTAATAACTTAAACCTTGCCGTCAAACAATTTCAAAATACACTTATTTGCAAAAGTGGTACAAGCCCAAACTATGGAGTCTCTCACTGTTGATGAACACCATGAAATGTTCAGGGCTAAACTCTACCAACCTAGACTTTGCATATTAAATCAGGGAATCAGAGATTATTTTCATAATTGCTGGGGTGCGGGGAAAGAGTGTTTTAAAGTGCCTATTCTATACTGCACTGCAAATAATATATGTGTGTGCATACATCTACATATACACACATGTAAGTATGTATATGTCACCTAGCTATATCCAGAAGTGACATTCATTTATTACTGTAGCATTGGCAATATTCCCTTGGAATAACACCGTCATCTCGTCCTGTTATCTTTCTGGTAATTGACAAAAATACATGCTTGACAGCTCCCATAAAAAGCAGGTATGCAAGTCGTACATCTGTTGTTTTAGGAGGTGAATCAATAAAGTTTGGGTGGGGACTAATAGAATCCTCAGGTTATTCACTTTTATAAACTTTTCTTTTTAACCTCCCAGCAGTCCCTTTTCCTAAGTTAACAGCTTTTTGTATATGCTGTTATTCAGGTTACTAGAGCAGGTATCCATTTTACTTGCCATCAACTGCCCACTGCTGTTATAACTGCTGGGATCGGAACTTTCTTTGCAGCATAAGATACTGTAGACGTACCTCTGGCACTCAGAGGAAGCGTAATAGTAAATTAGGGGGTCGATGCAGCAGCTTATGCTGCTGACACAGACACAGAGGAGGTAGGCAAAGTAGGCAGCCTCTGTGGTGGAAGTGTGAGAAAGGAATGAGTAATGCGCAATCAGGAGGACGTTTGTGGGTCCGAAGCAAATGATGAAGATGCAGAAAACAGCAGCTGACAGGAACAAAGCCCGGGACTTCTTGCTGCGGTTGGCAACTGCGGAAGAGCTAAGACATCGAATGATAGACACATAACAGACCGTGGAAATGATCAGCGGCACAAAAAAGAAGACAGCAGAGAAGGCTGAGAAGTAGTAGGCATAGTAGCCTTCGAGCAGGGTTTCATTGAGCACATCATGACAGGTAGTGATGTTGAGCCCGGGCACCTGGATGGTTTGCTCCTTGAGGAGCAGAGGCACTACCCCTGCGATGGCCAAAGCCCAGATGGCCAGACAAGTGAAGGAAGCCCTTCCCAGAGTACGCCAGGAGAGGGACTGCATGGGATACACCACAGCCAGAAACCGGTCAATGCTTATGACTGTCATGAGCAAGATAGAGGCGTACATGTTACAGTAAAATGCTGCAGTGACGAAGCGACACAATTCAGACCCAAACTGCCAATCACTGCCGGAAAAGTAATAGCTGATCTTAAAGGGGAGCACAGACACAAACAGCACATCTGCCGTGGCCAGGTGCAGCATGTACACCACCGCCGGCTTCTTGACCTTCATTTTCAGGATGAACACAACGATGGCCATGATGTTTAGTGGGAGGCTGACTACAAACACTCCGGTGTACACAGATGGGACAAAGAGTGTCAGCCAGGAGCTGGTCAAATATCCGGAGGCATCTTCTGAGATGAATGCAGGAAGTTGTTTTTGAAGAGGACTGCTTTTATTGATGGAGACTAATCTGTATTCAGTTAACCCACTTTCATTTTTCTCCTCATCCTCCCAAAATGGTTCATATTTATCA
Source organism: Homo sapiens (assembly GCF_000001405.40). Lineage (NCBI taxonomy): Eukaryota > Metazoa > Chordata > Mammalia > Primates > Hominidae > Homo > Homo sapiens. The sequence goes on along the minus strand of NC_000005.10, from coordinate 76,732,371 downwards.
TTGGGGTTCCTGAGAAGAAATGACCGGGGATCTAAGGTGGCATTTGTTGCTTTTGATTCTGAAAAATAAAATTAAAAAAATTTTAAATGTAAAAAGTGAACGCATCAACAAGGCAAAAGCGACAAGCAGAGAGCATATTTTACTTTTGTTTATGTTTTCTTACTAGGAGAGTGGGTGGTAAAGAGCAGATAATGCACAAATAGACTTTATTAGAGAATAAGCCAACTCAAAATACTGTGAAACATTTGTCTTGATATAAGCAATACTTCCTAAACTCTGCCCCTCAAAGGGACAAAGGTGAATGATAGGTTTTCAGAGATCTACCCTGAAGACATTAGGAAAGGCTGAGTACTTGACATAAAGGGATCAATCATTGATTTCCACGCTAGCCACTGTCTATATAAACAAATCACTCCCAGCTTCCATGACTTCTCTTTCCTCCGCATACCTTCATGTGCACACTTTCTCCATTTAGTCTGCAGTCATCCCATGAAACCTGTCCCTTTTCAATGGAAAAATCCACATAGAAAGTTGAGGGGATTTAGGCTGGGCACAGTGGGTCACGTCTGTAATCCCAGCACTTTGGGAGTCCGAGGTGGGTGGATCACAAGGTCAGGAGTTCAAGACTAGCCTGGCCAAGATGGTGAAACCCCATCTCTACTAAAAACACAAAAATTAGCCAGGTGCGGTGGCATGCACCTGTAATCCCAGCTACTTGGGAGCCTGAGGCAGAAGAATCGCTTGAACCTGGGCAGCAGAGGTTGCAGTGAGCCAAGATCACACCACTGCACTCCAACCTGGGCGACAGAGTGAGACTCCGTCTCAAAAAATAAAAATAAATAGAAATTAAAAAAAAAAAAAAAGTAGAGGGGATTTCTTTTTCTTTCTTTTTTTTTCTGAGACACAGTCTCACTCTGTTGCCCAGGCTGGAGCACAGTGGCGCGATCTCGGCTCACCGCAACCTCCGCCTCCGGGGTTCAAGGAATTCTCCTGCCTCAGCCTCGTGAGTAGCTGGGATTACAGGCACGTGCCACCAGAGGGGATTTCTTAAAGGTTTTGGAGTTAGAGGCAAATTAATAATGGGATTCAGGACTCCCAATTCTACGGCCAATGTCCATGACAGTAGTTTTCCTCTACAGTCTTTAGTTTGCTTACACAGGAGAATGTAGAAATCTCTCACTATATCTGGGTCCAAACCACAATCCCTGGGGTTATCTCCTAACATAGTCACAAGGTACCCATCATCTCAGTCATTCTTCTACTTCTTTCCTGAGCAGGTCAGCAGAGCAGCCGATGTTCTTGGCCACTCATGCCAGACCAACCAAGGTTTTTGGAGTATCAACCAAAAATAGGTGAACACATGGAGGTTCCTGGAAGGTAGTGCCCAAGAGAGGGCATGGAAACTCTGTGCTCCTTCCCACAATCGCTGCCCTATGCATCTCTACCATGTGGCTGTTCATCTGTATCCTCTGTAATTTTCTTTATAACGAATGGATAAAAGTAAGTAAAGTGGTTCCCTGAGTTCTGTGAATCATGCTAGCAAATTAATCGAATCTGAGCAGGGGGCCTTAGGAACTCCCAATGTATAGTGTGGTCAGAAGTCTGGAGGCCCAGACTTATGACTGCCATTTGAAGTGGAAGGCAGCGTTGTGAAACTGAGCCCTTAATCTGTGGAATCTGACTCTATCTCCAGGTAGATAGATAGTGTCAGAATTGAGTTATATTAGAGGTAGATAGTGTCCAGAATTGAATTATATTCAAGGATACCCAGCTGGTGTCCACTGGAGAATCTGCAGGAGAATTGGTTGCTTGGTATGTGGAGAAACAAGCTCCAGACATACGGTGTCAGAAGGATTGAGTGAAGTGCTGGGTAAGAGAAAACAGTTTGGGGAAAATAGTTTGGTTTTTCCTATATAACAGCAGTGCCTATATAACATAAAAGGTGACTAAAACCCAGATAGAAAATCCGTAGTCTTTTTGGCCTACAGAACCAGAGGACAGAGTTCAGGGCAATCACAGTCACTGGAAAGTTAGGAGAGAATCCTGGAAAGGAAAAAGTCAGAGAGGGGGAGCCCTAAATTTCAGTATAACTTCTGTCCTAGGGTTTGGCTGACCCTTGAACTATGCATTTGTAGGAAAGATGAGAAGCACCTCTGCTAAAGATAAAAGAACTGAAGTGATATTTAAGCTTCTGCTCAAGAGAGAAAGAGTCTGCTGCTTGAGTAAAACCAAATTAATTGGCTGCTAAAGCAAAAACACCAACACTCTTTGAAGGAATATAACAAAATCCAGAGTCTTTTTTCCTGTAATTTATACAAGAAAATGGTTTATTGGACTTACAGTTCCACATGGCTGGGGAGGCCTCATAATCATAGCAGAAGGTAAGGAGGAGCAAGTCACATCTTACTTGGATGGCAGCGGGCAAAGAGAGAGCTTGTGCAGGGAAACTCCTGTTTTTAAAACCATCTGATCTTGAGAGACCCATTTTACTATCATGACAACAACACAGGAAAGACCCGTCTCCATGATTCAATCATCTCCTACTGGGTCCCTCCTACAACACATGGGAATTATGGGAGCTACAAGTTGAGATTTGGGTGGGGACATAGAGCCAAATCGTTATCACCAGATCCAACCAATATACACAAAAGTGATAAACTCTGGACGTCTTGTCCCCCTTCTCTCACACTATATACAACAACCAACTTAAATGGATTAATGGTTTACACATAAGACCTGAAACTGTAAAACTACTAGCAGAAAACATAGAGGAAAAGCTTCATGACATTGTCTGGGCAGTAATTTTTTATAATGACCATAAAAGCACAGGCAATAAAAGGAGAAGTAGACAACTGGGACTGTATCAAAGTAAAAAGCTTCTGCACAGCAAAGGAAACAATCAACAGTGAAGAGAAAATTTATGAAATGAAAGCAAATATTTGCAAACCATACGTCTGATAAAGGGTTAATATCCAAAATATATAAGGAACTCCTATAACTCAACAGCAAGATAACAAATCACCTGATTTAAAAATGGACAAAGGATCTGAATAGACATTTTTCAAAAGAAGACATACAAATGGCCAACAAGTATATGAAAAAATGCTCAACATCACTAATCAGGGAAATGAACATTAAAACCACAATGAGTTATCACTTCATACCTGTTAGAATGGATATTATCAAAAAGATGACAGATAACAAGTGTTGGTGAGGATACGGGGAAAGGAAGCCCATCTATACTGATGGTGGGAATTTAAATTGGCATAGCCATTACGAAAAACAGTATGAAGGTTCCTCTAAAACTAAAAATAGAACTATTATATAATACAGCAATTCCACTGCTGGGCATACATCCAAAGGAAATAAAATTAGGATGCTGGCTGGGCACGGTGGCTCACGCCTGTAATCCCAGCACTTTGGGAGGCCAAGGTGGGTGGATCACCTGAGGTCAGGAGTTTGAGACCAGCCTGGCCAACATGGCAAAACCCTGTCTCTACTAAAATTACAAAAATTAGCCAGGCTTGGTAGCGCATACCTATAATCCCAGCTCCTCGGGAGGCTGAGGCAGGAGAATTGCTTGAACGCAGGAGGCGGAGGTTGCAGTGAGCTGAGATTGCGCCATTGCACTCCAGCCTGGCCGACAGAGCGAGACCCCATCTCAAAAAAAAAAAAAAAAAAAAAAAGACCAGGATGTCAATAGCTGCAATCTCATGTTCATTGCAGAATTATTTATAATAGCCCAGTTATGGAATCAAACTAGGTATCCACTGATGAATGAATGAATGAATAAAAAATATGATGTATATACACAGTGGAATACTATTCAGCCTTAAAAAAGAAGGAAATTCTGTCATTTGCAACAACATGGATGAGCCGAGAGGGCATAATGTTAAGTGAAATATGGCAGGCACCGAAAGACAAATATAGCATGATTTCACTTATATGTGGAATCGAAAACAGTTGAACTCATGGAAGCAGAGAAGAGAATGGTGGTTAGTAGAGGCTGGGGTTGGATGGGTGGGTAGGGTAGACTGGGGAGACATTGGTCAAAGGGTACAAAATTTCTGTTAAAAGGAATTAGTTAGAAAAATCTCTTGTATAATACGGTGACTATAGTTAATAACAATGTGTTGTATACTTGACAATTGCTAAGAGAGTAGACTTTAAGTGGTCTCACCACAAAAAATGATAAGTATTTGAGGTAATACATGTTATAAGTTTGATTTAGCCATCTCACAAGTTATGCATATTTCAAAACATTATGTTATACACTATAAATATATATAATTTTTTGTCAAATAAAAGAAAAAGGGGGCTGCCAGGTGTGGTGGCTCACACCTGTAATCTCAACACTTTGGGAAGCCCAGGTGGGAGGACAAGTTGAGCCTGGGAGATCGAGGCTACAGTGAGGTATCATCACACCATTGTACTCCAGCCTGGGCAACAGAGTGAGACTCTGTCTCTAAAAAAAAAAAAAAAAAAGTGACCCAGTCTTAAGTAAAAAGACAGTGAGCGGAAACCAACCTCAAGTTGACCCAGATGTTGGAATTAGCAGATAAGGATTTTGAAGAATGTATTACAACCATGTGCAAAAAAAAAAAAAAAGAAAAATATTTTATAGAAATGAACTGAAAATAGGAAATATCAGCAAAGAACTACCAAGTGGAAATTCTAGAAATAGAAAATAAAATACAATATGTTGGCATCTATTTCCAAAATGAAGAGCAAAGCTAGAGTAGTACCAACTCAGAGACAGCAGAGCAGAGCCTGGTAGTGTAGGGTTGAGGTCAAGCTACCTAAGCAAAGTTGGGAGAGGGTCTCCAGACAATGAAGGGGTGGCCTGGCAGGAGATCTGTCACAGGGAAGGAATGAATGTCTCCAGTGATGAATGTGAATACACACTTGTGTCTACATTGATCCTTAAGGGTAAGAACTGTTCCTGTTAATCTCTGAACCTCCAGTACCCTGTGCCCTGCATGTGGTAGGCACATATTTGTATTCTAATATTGACTCTGTTCAGGGATCACTTAACTTCTCTGAATTAAGCTCAGAATCATTAAAATGGAATTCTAATTCCTGTCTGGCCTACAAATCTGGCAACTGGAGCATCCCGTGTGAAACAGGACATACATTCACTTTGGAAACCATAACGATTAAGCAGTTTAAGAAATTACTATTATCCTTCCTCTCCCACTTCCATGTAGTGTGCTTTTATACCCAATTGTTTGCTCACTTAATTAAGTTAAAAGGAAATCTAGGTTCATCTTCCCTCCTACTTAGCAATGTTTATAGTTTTTTAGTACAATGAGGGAATGAACAAGTTGTATATTATATAGCTCTAGGGTTCAGAGCTATAAATCAAATTTTGAATTCACAATCTTTTCTGGAAGTATCACTCTCTTACCTTTGCAATGCATGTAACTTACTCTGTGTTCACCTTGCCCCAGTCACACAGAAGCCTGACCTTGGTACCAACAGACCCTGTGGATGTGAGGCTGTTCTCAAGATCACAATGAGTGTGTGGGTGCTGAAAGAAAAGAATGAATGGCTTCTGGCACTTAAACATTTTTTTTTATTTTTAATTTTTTTTGTTTGTGGTTCTGGCACTTTAATATCACAAAAACATGCATATGCAAAAATGCTGATCTAGAGGAACCAATTTTTTTTTGAGATGGAGTCTTGCTCTGTCACCCAAGCTGGAGAGCAGTGGTGCGATTTTGGCTCACTGCAACCTCTGCCTCCCCAGTTCAAGCAATCCTCCTGCCTCAGCCTCCCAAGTAGCTGGGATTACAAGCACGCACCGCCATGCCCAGCTAATTTTTTTTTTTTTTTGAGACAGAGTCTCGCTCTTTCGCCCAGGCCGGACTGCAGTGGCGCTATCTCTATCTCGGCTCACTGCTAACTCCACCTCCCGGGTTCACGCCATTCTCTTGCCTCAGCCTCCCTAGTAGCTGGGACTACAGGTGCCTGCCACCGCGCCCGGCTAATTTTTTGTATTTTTAGAAGAAATGGGGTTTCACCGTGTTAGCCAGGATGGTCTCTATCTTCTGACCTCGTGATCCACCCACCTCGGCCTCCCAAAGTGCTAGGATTACAGGTGTGAGCCACCGCGCCCGGCTGCCCAGCTAATTTTTGTATTTTTAGTAGAGATGGGGTTTCACCATGCTTGCCAGCTAGTCTCATGCTCCTGGCCTCAAGTGATCCACCCACCTCAGCCTCCCAAAGTGCTGGGATTACAGGCATAAGCCACTGCACCTGGCCAAGGAACCTTAAAATAATGCAATTCTCCTCTGCAGTTTTGGAAGCCTGGCCAGATTATGGGCTTTTGTGATGCACAGAGGGGAAAAAGTGGACATGAACATGCATACTTACATACATGAATCAAGATGACACCTGAGAGACTGACACAATGTGAAAACTAATAAATACAACTAAGCTCTTCAGATACTATCACTTAGTCTGAAAATAAAACTGTCACTAGACTTTACTCTGTATTTAGTACTTAGGCAGTAAGTACTTGTTTTAAAAAACATCTTCTCTGGGTAGGCCTCAGGCAGACGGTACTTCCGACAGGAACATTATACTTGTGGAAACATGAAATTTTTATAGGCTAGAGCTCAGGAAGAATGTATAATCCCTTGGTTAAATATCGCTGCCTAAGGTGTTACCTTTTCTTGATACTATGGGTTTGATATTCTGGTTTTTGTGAAATTAAAGAATGTCGGAAAAAAAAAGAAAAGAAAAAATGTAGTATATACCAGCATCAAAGAAAGGACAAAACCAATGCAAGGTGACTAGACAATTCCAACTAGCTCAAGACCCTTAGGCTGAAATTTGAGTTTAAGTATCTCGCTTTTCCTCCAGTCCTAGCACAACTCAGGTCAAGGAGAAAGTGCTTGTGAAGGTGCCCAAATCTCTTATCATTCATCTCTGTTTTTTTTTTTGGTTAAGCTATGGTTTCACAAAAAAGGCAGCAGAGGTCCTGAATTCAGTTCTCATACGATTTGCTAAGTTTCACTTAATTTAGGCTCTTCTAAATTGCTCTAGAGTAGTTTTGTTATCGAATACAGCAAATTATTAAATAGTTTAAATACGGACTCTTTAACTGTGGCGATTTTTAAAAATTAGTGAGTTAGGCAACACGTTTTCTGACTGTGATGAGATCTGTCCTGGAAGCAGAGGGGTGACTAGAGGATCTCTGAATGTCGCATTTGATCCTGGGATTTATACCACACCAGCATTCCATGACACACATGGTTTTGACTCACAGTTCTGCCCTTCGGGGCTCATGCTTTTTCAGAGTTAACAAAGCAGAAGTCCCAGGACTTTGCTCACATTCCCACACAGAGCACAAGAGTTGAAACAACACTACAGGCTAAAGAGAAATGAAGAGGAGGACAGGAAAATAACAGAATCACACTAACTCTGTCAAGTGGAAAACACCAGCATTACTGGAATGTTTTACTCCCTCAGATTCAAACAAACACCATTTTCCAATGAAAAGAACTGGGGCTTCTTAAAGAAATGACTAGTTCCAGATCTGGGGTAGGAAATACACAAGATGAACATTGAACATCTTCAAAGAATATCAGGGTTAGGTCAAAAAGACGCTGGAGTCAATCTCAAAGGGCTCCCACTGACCAAAGATGTGACATGTTGATCACCAATTTGACCATCAAAAGAATAATGATGGAAATGAATTGAAACATTTCATACATGTTAAGATCCATGAGTTGAAGACGCAGTCAGCCAGATCCAGTATGTAGAAAAGACAGATGGCTTAGTTTCTTTGACAAATAAGAACTAAGACAGATGGCTTAGTTTCTTTGACAAATAAATAGCAATAAAAAAGGGGTGGGGGGGCAGTTACAGATTAAAATGTAATGGTGGACCTTGTTTGAACCTGATTCAAACAAACCAACTGTTAAAAGGTATTTATGAGACAATAAGGTAAATATGAACACTGACTGATTATCAGATGATATTAAGGAATTGTTAGGCCGGGCACGGTGGCTCACGCCTGTAATGCCAGCACTTCGGGAAGCCGAGGCAGGAGGACTGATTGAACCCAGGAGTTCCAGACCAGCCTGGGCAATGCAGCAAAATCCTATGTCTATTAAAATAAATACAAAAATTAGCTGGTCGTGGTGGTGTGTGCCTGTAGTCCCAGCTACTTTGGAGTCTGAGGCAGGAGGATTGCTTGAGCCCAGGAGGTTGAGACTGTGGATGAGCCATGATTGTGCTACTGAACTCCAGCCTTAGCAACAGAGTAAGAATGTGTCTCAAAACAAACAAACAAACAAAAAAACAGAAGGAAATGTTCATTTTTTAGGTATTATAATTGTATTGTGGTTATGTGGAAAAAAGAGTTCTAATCTCTAAGGATGCTTACTGATGTTTTTATGAATGACATAATATGATATCTGGGATTTGCTTTAAAATTATACAGTTGGGAGAGGAGGAAACTTGAGGGTTTAGATAAAACAAGATTGGTGACATGTAAATAATGTTGAAGCTGGATGATGGGTATGGGGAGTAACTATACTGTTCATTTTTGGGTATGTTTGAAAAATCCCATAATAAAAGTTAAAAAAACAAACAAATACTGTATGCATGTTTATTTGCCACTAGAAGTTAAGGGCAAGGGTTTTTGCTTTTTTCTTTTGTCCTAGTTCTGAAGGGGAAAATGTTCTTGCATGCTTGTGTGAAGATTGTCTTATATTTAGATAATTTATTTGGTATCAACTCTTCAAAAGCTTTTCTGGAATATGGAAGCATTGGTGTATGAAAAAACCTTACCATCTTTTTGAGCACCTACTATGTGCCAGATACTTCACTTGCCTTAGTTCATATAATTCTAACATTTCTATGACATGAGCATTATAACTACCATTTTATAAATGACAACATGGAGGCACAGAGAGGCTAAGTAACTAATCCAAAGTCACACAGCTATGAAGTAGAGGAGCCAGGGTTTGAACCTAGGTCTGCCCAGCTCCAAAGGTCATACCTTTTGACCACTCCACGCTATTCTCTCCTTAAAAACTTGTGATTCATGACCTACTTCTAAAAGAGTACCATCTTTTTCTCTTTGCATGTCACCAAACAAATGAATCTGCCCATCCTTTTAGCTACAGTAGGCAGTATGTGGACATGTGAATGGCTAGCTTAACGTGATGATGCCCAAAGCTTGGGAATTCTGGAGTCCTACTGACTTTGGCTGCACACCAACCACACATGCCAACAACTTGGTCCTTACACACAGGAGAGAGATAGCAGGGAGATATTCAAGGACAAAACAGAAAAATACATCTTTAAAACACTGTTCTAGATGGAGCAGATGCAAGAGCAGTAAGTGAACAAAAATCTCTGCTACAGAAAAAGCAGAATTAAAGACAAAATTCTTTTTTTTTTTTTTGATACAGAGTCTCACTCTGTCTCCCAGGCTGGAGTGCAGTGGCACGATCTTGGCTTGCTGCAACCTCTGCCTCCTGGGTTCAAGAGATTCTCCTGCCTCAGCCTCCTGAGTAGCTGGGATGACAGTTGTGCACCACCATGCCCGGCTAATTTTTGTATTTTTAGTAGAGACAGGGTTTCACCATGTTGGCCAAGCTGGTCTCCAACTCCTGACCTTAAGTGATCTGCGCCTCAGCCTCCCAAAGTGCTGGGATTACAGGCATGAGCCACCGTGCCCAACCTAAAGGTAGAATTCTTGACTGACTGGGGTTCAGAAGAAGCTGCCAATATCAGAGGCCTCCTCTCCTCCCATTCCATGTCCTGGAGCAGGTACTCCTCTGGAAGCATAGGAAAGCAAGCCTAAGAGGAAGCTGGGAGAAGGGAAGTTGCAGGAAAGTAAACGCAGGTGTACCCAACGCCACAGCAGGCATGAAGACTACATAAGGAAAGTGTGTGGGCTCTTGCTTGGAGCAGCCTGGAGGCCAGAGCCTGACGTGGGGTGAGGATGCTAGCAGGCCTTGCCCGGGAACTACTCAGGTTCCCCGGCTTTCCCCATTTCTCCAGGTCTGTTCTCCAAGAAAAGTTACAGGTCCTGAGCTCTCTGTCTTGGGAATGCTGATCTCTACTCTCCAACAAGACATCTAGCTAAAATGAAAACTAATTCACAGTCAAGGATGTCAATGATCACCAATTCCTCCCCAGGGCTGGGGATGGGGACAGCTTTGTATTGTACAAAATACTGTGAGTTGTACTATAAAAACTGTCCCCATGCCCAACCCTGCCCAAGTCCTTCTGCAGTCTGTATATCTGAACTCAAATAAATTAGGTTCTAGACATGATAAGAACAATAATAAACAACAGTTCCAGGAAAACAGAACTCTTCCTGAAAAGCTAATAAGGCCTTTGATTTGGCTACCATAGGAATATTCATGTAGCTGCTGCAATATGTTTTAAATTATGTTATAGATTTAGCAATGGCTATGAAATCAATTCACAAGATTGCAATAAGCATTAAAAATAGAATATAGTGTGGAAAATATCAAAATGCATACAATGCAGTAAAGGTGAGCACTGTTTGTGGAAAATATCAAAATGCATACAATGCAGTAAAGGTGAGCACTGTTTGGTAAAACTTTTGTTTCATGTTTACATATATACTATGATTGTCCACACATATTTATTGAAAACACACATCCCTACCATATCAGAATGTGAAGTGTTGTTTCTACAGTTCTTACTGTTGGTTACGAAAGAGGAAAATACTGTACTGGTAAACACTATTCTACAATACCATAATACCTGATTTTTAATTCATCATAGACTTGAAATATAAATAGATTACATAATGTCTTTTCCTAAAGTTATATAAATGTGTTTTCAAGGGCAAATTGCAGATTACTCCTGTTGTTTCAAAAGGCCACTTACTTTTGAAAGCAAATAATGTATATAGGACCGTCAGGGCCCTTTAAGTGGCTTCCTCCAAGTACCACGACAAGGTCAGTGTGGGAGACGGTATCTGGGGAAGTGAAAGCTCATGCCCAGAAAAAAATTCTCAGTATATAGACAGAGCTATTTATGACGACAGTTTTAGGCACAAGCAAGAGAAAGAAAAAGGCAGAATGAAAGAAATCGCAAAAAAGGAAACAAACAGAAAATTATGAATGGTAAAACTATGGAGTCCTCAACACTAGTATCATAGTCAAAAATAAACCAAGGCCCTGAGTCCTAATAACTCTTCTAACAAGGATGTTTTTGTGAGTATCCGCAATGGAAGGGGAGCCTAGGTGCTCACGAAAACTAGTTAAAGACTGGGCATGGTGGCTCACGCCTAGAATTCCAGCACTTTGGGAGGCCAAGGTAGGTGGATCGCTTGATCCCAGGAGTTTGAGAACAGCCTGGGCAGTGTGATAAAATCTCGTCTCTACTAAAAATACAAAAATTAGCCAGGCGTGGTGGCAGGTGCCTGTAGCCCAGCTACTCTGGAGGCTGAGTTAGGAGGATAGCTTGAGCCTGGGAGGCAGAGGTTGCAGTGAGCCAAATTTGTGCCTCTGCACTCCAGCCTGAGTAAGACACCTAGACCCTGTCTCAAAAAAACAGCAACAACAACTTTAACCCACCTAAAGTTAAGTTCCCCAGACACTAAGACCACATATTATATGATTCTATTGATATGAAATATCAAAAATAGGTAAATCCATAGAGAAAAAAGGCAAACTGGTGGTTCCTGGGGGTAGGGGAAGGGAGAATGGGATCTGACTGCTTACTGGTTTCCTTTCGGGGAAATGACAGGATTTTGGAAGTAGGTAGGGGTTTACAGTGTACATTGTACACTGTAAATGTACTAAATACCAATGAATTGTATACTTTAAAATGGTTAATTTTATGTTATGTGAATTCTACCTCAATTTTATTATTTTATTTTTTAAATTTAAATGATTAATTTAAATTTAAAATTTTCATTTATTAAATATTTTGAAGACAGCGTCTCTCCCACTCTGTTGCCCAGGCTGGAGTGTAGTCACGTGACCATGGCTCACTGCCACCTTGAACTCCTGGGTCAGGCCATCCTCCCAGTCTCCCAAGTGCTGGGACTACAGGTGCACACCACAGTGCCTGGCTACTTTTTAATTATTTTTTTTAATAGAGATGGGGTCTTACTATGTTGCCTAGGCTGGTCTCAAGCGATCATCTGGCCTAGGGTTCCCAAAGTGCTGGGATTACAGGTGTGAGCCACTGCACCCAGACCCTGAGAACCTGCTATGCTGGTATGTTCTATAAAAATAAAGGCAAAGCCACTAAAAATTATTAGATATAGATAGATAGATAGATAGTAGGGCAGAAAATTACTTGCTGACTCATAAGAAATCTGACTTTCAGGCTTTATAGAGCTTTCTGGTCTGCTTACGGTAGAACCACTGCTCAGTTTTCTGTCTTTCTGTTTAGGTTTACTAGCAATATCTCTTGTAACATCTGATTAATTAGTGTATTCATGAGCAGGGATCTTTTCAGAGCCTGCCTTATCATCTGTTAGCGAAAGTAAATGAGAGAATACCACAGTCCGTGCATAAATGCTCACTAAATACCTCCCTGTGCTGGGCCTGAGCTACCAAGGCGATAGGGCACAGACTTTGCTTCTATATTTTGATGAATTATCAAAAATAGGTAAATCCATACTGTACTAGGGAGCACAGTGGGGTTACTTCTCTACTGTAAGAGGTGCTGGGAGTCTAGATGGCTTCCTTTCTATAGGGGGTGTTAGAGAAAGCCTGCACTTCGGAGAGACAGGCCTGTGGTCAACTCCCAATTCCACCTCTTTTTTTTTTTGAGAGAGAGTCTCACTCTGTTGCTCAGACTGGAGTGCAGTGGCACAATCTCAGTTCCCTGCAACCTCTGCCTTCCAGGTTCAGGCAATTCTGGTGCCTCAGCCTCCCAAGTAGCTGTGACTACAGGTGTGCACCACCATACCCAGCTAATTTTGTATTTTTAGTAGAGACAGGGTTTCACCATGTTGGTCAGGCTGGTCTCAAACTCCTGGCCTCAAGTGATCCCCCTGCTTTGGCCTCCCAAAGTGCTGGGATTACAGGCATGAGCCACCGCACCCAGTCCCAATTCCACCTCTTTCTCAACTTGTGACTTAACCATTCTGGGTCTCTGTTTTATAACCAGTAAAATGAGGATGACATCTACTCAAAGGGCTGTTGTGAGAAATAAATAAGATAGTATTGTAACGTCCCTAAGAAGGATGTCAGCTGTAGTCAGTACTCCACAGAGGGTAGCTGTTTTTAATTAAACATGAACGTGGCGGGTATGGGATATGGGGAGGGCATTCTGGCCAGAGGGAGTGGCATGCGGACAGAAGCCAGAGAAAGCATAGCTCCTTGAAGGGAGGATCTAGAGGATGGGGCTGGGTGAACTGGAGGGTGAGTAATAGGAGATGGCTGGAGAGGGGCTGGGGACCCTCCTGCAAGGGGAGGAGCACTTCATTCCATGCCAGAGAATTGGGCTTGACTCTGTGAGTAGGAGGGTAGCAAGTGGAATTGCCCACCAAGTTCTCTCTGTCATAGTCACCACCAGCTATTCTTGAACACTTTAACCCTCTAGAGCCCCATAAAATTTATAAACATCACCTTTTACTCTTGGATGTTGGCCCTTTTAATGATCACATATCATCTCACTTAAATTGTCTAGACGAATGTAAACTGGTTGATGAATTTACACATTTCTCAACAACTATCTGCTGAGTGAACATTTGTTTTAGTCACCATGGGGATAAATAAAACTTTATAATCTTAGTTGGGAGAATGAGACACACACACAAAGTGACAAGGCAGGAAATGCCAAAATGAGTGGGAACAAAAAGTCGGGAAGTGCTGGAGGAAGGCTCAGCTTGGTGGTCAGGGCCAGCCCTGGGAGGGCTTCACCGCCCCTCTTGGCACACAGAGCTGGTAATCCTGGACAATAAACTCTATCACAGCGGTGGCGGTTCAAGGATGGGAGGCACTGTTGGATGCCTCAGAGTCCCAGCACCACTACCTTATGACAGACAATGCTTAGAATTGTCAATGCATGGTGGTAATAGAAAGTAAACCTATCTTGGGTTGATTTTATTAGTGATTTTAAATTTTCTAAAGACAAAGCCCCACTTATTCCTAATTGCTTGCACCCAGGGTGGGTGGACTGCCCCTTCCCTGCCCCACCCGCCACCACTTGCTTAGCCGCTGTCTCTGGGTCTTAGTTGCAGAATCAGCAAAAGGGGATAAATACCCACCTTAACAAGGTGTTTTGACAAGGTGAAATGAGACAATCCAAGTGAAAATTCCTTCTGGCCCAGGGCTTGACATGGAATATGGCACTTAGCAAGCGCTCCTTTTCCTCTATCATACTCCTTTCTTCTTTCCCTCCCAAAGTGGTTCCAGAATCCAGTGTTGATAAACTAGCCAAGTTCATCCACCTGCCTTTCTGTCTACACCAGCACTGTCCATATTAACATGCACCACTCCTGCCATGAGGATGTAAGAAGCTTGGCAGAAACCAGTACGCTTTGACTTCACTCCCTAATGAGGCTACACACCTTGCTGGGAGGCCACTGTGAGAAAGGGTGCAGCATTTCTATAAGCTCTGTTCTCCACCCCATGATCCAAATCTCAAACAAAACACTGGATTCTCAAGAGCGTGTCCTCAAACTACATTGTGCAAATTACATAATGGTATGTGAAATCATATCTCATCGCAAACAATTTTTCAGGAGTTCTCGGTGTTCTCTCAAACACTTTCGGCAACAATGCTCACTTATCTGCAGGCAGGCTAGTTACTGCTAAACACTGGGCCCCAGTCTGGAGCTCTTAGTTTTCCCAAAAGCATCTCAAAACTCACCCTGAACAAAGACAGAGAGGCGAGAACATGCTATGTCTTTGTCACCTCTTAATCTTGATGTGTCTACACTTTTTTTTGAGTGTGGGAGCAATATAGAGTGCACATTCTTTTAGCGATAACAAGAAAACCCGCTAGAACTTCTTTCAGCGTAAAAAAAATGGCTCAAAGCTTATAAAATACTATTGTTATTAGGAAATTCAAAAACACTTTTCTCACTTTCTAATTAGCGCCTTTACAGGCTAAAAACAACTCATCTGTGCTGCTCTTGGGGAAAGGGATACAGAAAATATTTGACCAAATAAATTAATCAAATTTATTTATTTGGTCAAGTGGCCAGATACTTAAAAATAGACTACTAGTGGGGAAAATATTCTAGGGGAGCAACCTTCTTGCAGTGGATCAGAAATCTCGTTAAGAAATACTGGGATCCCACAGTGTTCGAGGGAGCCCGGTCCTGGGGAGGGATCTCTCTCTTCAACTCACTTAGAAGGAATGGGTTCTAGGTAACAACAAAATCCTCTCCATGTCCCCTCCCCCGCCACCACGCGGAGCCTCTGCTATTGTCACCATATATCTCGCACCCTGCGCACCTCCTGGACACAAGGCCGGGCCGGGGGCTGCTGGTACTGATTCTCTGCTAAACATGCCAAGGGACTGCCTGGGCTTTTCTCTACATCACTTTTCTCGCCTGTAAAATGTGCAAGAAAAAAACTTCCAACAAAGCAAAACTTCAGCGGCAGCGGTTCGCCACTTTATATTTTAAAGATCGAAACGTTTATTGGTGGAGCAACGTGAGAGCTTTTCTTTTTGGGGGTGGTCCTGGGAGAAACACAATGACAAGTGCAACGCAGGACTGCAGGCTCCCCCAGGGGGCTTCCGCTCCATCCTCCTCCATATCCAACACCCCGTGGCAGGCGGGCTGCACCCTCCAAGATCGAGTCCAAAGGGGCATCGGCTGGGCCCGCGAAGGGGGTGGCACGCCCCACCTAAACGTGACTGGAAAAAACTCCAGATCTCAGCCCAAATGCCAGTTTGGCTTTCGGAGGAAACTGAGGCAGGGGTGAGGAGAAGGCGCAACAGTGACCCCCGCAGTCTCCCCTCGGCGTCCCTCCGCCCGCGCACCCCATTCCCGTGCATCTCTCACCTGGCCTGCGGGCCCGGGTGCGGGCAGACAACAGCGGGCCGCACAGACTGAAGCAGGCGGCCACCAGCAGCAGCCGCCGCGGCCCCATTGTCCCGGGCTCTGCGCGGCGCTGCTCCGGGAGGCTGCCCCGCCTCGGGCTGCTCCGCTTCACCCTCTCTCCTGACTTCTGCGGGTCGGGGAGCCGGTCTTCGCGGCAGGCAGAGCGCAGGGTGCCCACGGGTAAGATCAGGGTCCAAGCGACCCTCGGCGAGCGCTGTGTCTGGGGCGGTTAGCGGGGCGGGGCGGGACTGGGGCGCGCGGTCGCGCGGGCGCGAGCGAGGAAGGGCGCCCTCCGGCGTGCAGTGAGAGTCTCTGCGCTGGAGCCGCTCGGCGCCCCCTCCCCGCGGTCCCTCAGCCGCCGCTCGCAAGCCCCTCTGGCTCTGTGCGCCCCGCCCCGCCCCGCCCTGCCCTACTGGGGGGCCCTGGCCGCCGGCCACTGCCGGGCCTAGAAGTCCAAATGAGAAGTTTTTTCCTCTGGGCACCGTTGATTCGCGAAGCTGTCAGTGACTCACACTGGCGGGGTCCTTGGAATGGGGCCGCACGGCTCGCAGGCTGCTTCCCGCGGCCGTCTCGACCCTCCTGGGATGTGGAGACGTCGACAGTGGACGCCCCGGCCAGGATGCGTCCACGCCCTGCAGCCCCGCAGCCCTGGCGTGGCCTCCCGTCCTCCCTCCCTCCGTGTGGGACACCGGCAAAGTTCAGTTTTCGCTAAAAGTCTAAAAGGGACTTCTGCTTTTGTAACGTGGGGATCACGGATTTAAAAGTTTATGATGTAGTGACAGGGTTGCCCCTAAATGAGAAAGGGCCCTTGAGTCTGGACAGAATTCTTGAACTTTTATACGTCTCTCTTTATTTCGCGAAGTTAGGCGTTTCATACGCCGGGCACTCGTTTCCCCCACACGCAGACTGCGAGTGGAATAGGAAGAGCGGCTTCTCCCGCTTCCCCCCCGCGCGGCCTCGCGGAGCTCTTCCCTTTCCCGCGCCGCCCGCCGGGGTCACCTGCGCATCTGGGAGGAGGGCGCGCGTCTGCCGGTGAGGCCGGCGTTCTAGGGCCGCGGGCGCCCAGGAGAGAAATGGCCTGGTAACTTTCCAAGTGTCCTTCACACGTTCTTGAACGATATTACAGTTTGTTTTGTTTTTGAGGCAGGGTCTTGCCCTGTCGCCCAGGCTGGAGTGCAGTGGCGCCAACACGGCTCACTGCAGCCTCGATCTCCCTGGCTCAGGCCACCCTTTCGCCCCAGCCTCCGGATTACCTGGGACCACAGAAAGGCGCGCGCCACCATGTCCGGCTAATTTCACTGCTGGCCTCAAGCGATCCTCCTGCCTCAGCCTCCTAAAGTGCGGGGATTACAGGCGTGAATCACCGCGCCAGGCCTGATATTAAAGGAGTTTGGCTAAATTCAAGGCACAGGGCGGGGACACTCGCTTGGCAGTCTGCTAAGGGCCCCCAGGGGCGTCGCGGCTGGGGGTGGGCAGGAGGAGCCTGCAGCTTAAGTTGCTTTGCCACTGGCTCTGGTGCGTGCGCCTTTCAGACTCCAACAGGAAATGGGTCCCCAAATAGCTGTTTCTAGGAAAGCTCAGCCGCAGCCCCTTCTCCTCTTAACCCAGCGCACTGATGTGCGGGCATATTCGGAGTTCTGTGGTTGATAAGCTGCAGCTGAGAGCCGGTGGTCAGTTTTCTAAGCCTTTTTTAAAAGTGAATTTCGCACGAAGAGTATCATTCCCCCACTAGAGCCCGGACACTTACATCCGTGGAGAAAGTACGATCAGAGGCGATTTCGTTCTTCCCTGTATTCTCCCATCATCCTCAAAGGACAGTACCTTGTTGTACACAGAAGTTGATCACTAAATTGCGGAAGTACCCAGTTAAATAAAGCTTTTTAAAATCTATCCCCGTTCAGTTATCCTCTGGAAACATACCCAAGAGTAAATGTGAACAGTTAAAATTACATAGTTCTTCATTCACTATTAAACTATTTTTCATTATTCCTAAGACGTCATTGATTTTACAATTTATCATTTTAACCCATTACCACAAGCCAGAAAAAAATGTGACATACCAATGATTGTAAGAAACACTCCAATTTCAGGGTTATGAAGAAAAGGCATTTTAGAATCAATGAAACACAGTGGAAAATATAAACACATATGACAAAATTTCTGATAGTTGAAGGATATGAAATGAAAAATAAATTACCTTCTGCCTCCCCTCCCCTAGTTGCCATCTGACCACTAAGTTTCCCCTCCTTCCTTCCTTCCTTCCTTCCTTCCTTCCTTCCTTCCTTCCTCCCTCCCTCTCTTCCTTCCTTCCTTCCTCTCTTCCTTCCTTCCTCTCTCTCTCTCTCTGTCTTTCTTATTTTCTTTCTTTCTTTTTTTTCCTGAGGCGGAGTTTCACTCTTGTTGCCCAGGCTGGAGTGCAATGGCGCGGACTCGGCTCACAGCAACCTCCGTCTCCTGGGTTCAAGCGATTCTCCTGCCTCAGCCTCCCGAGTACTTGGGATTACAGGCGCCTACCACCGCGCCTGGCTAATTTTTTGTATTTTTAGTAGAGACTGGGTTTCACCATATTGGCCAGGTTGGCCTCAAACTCCTGAACTCAGGTGATCCACCCGCCTTAGCCTCCCAAAGTGCTGGGATTACAGGCATGAGCCACCGCATCCAGCTACCTGACCACTAAGTTTCTGTTCACCATTCAAAAAATCATATCCACATACAAATTGCATATATGTATATCCTTAAAATAAGAATGGAATAATACCACCACATTTTAAAATTTTATCTGTGTCATTGGTGGAAAATGTTATTTTTAACCATTTTACAAAACGATAAAGCTTAAAAGGATGCTTTGGGGTCTTAGTTGTTAGAACAAAATGTACCTCTAGTGACAAAAAGACGTACAATGAAGGCTGGGTGCAGTGGCTCACACCTGTAATCCCAGCACTTTGAGAAACTGAGGCGGTCAAATCACTTGAGGTCAGGAGTTAGAGACCAGCCTGGCCAGCATAGAGAAACTCCGTCTCTACTAAAAATACAAAAATTAGCCGGGCTTGGTGGTGTGCACCTGTAATCCCAGTTACTTGGGAGGCTGACGCAGGAGAATCACTTGAACCTGGGAGGCAGAGTTTGCTGTGAGCCAAAATTGCACCACTGCACTCCAGTCTGGGCAACAGAGCAAGACTCTGTCTCAAAAAAACAAAAACAAAAGCAAAAAAAAAAAAAAAAACAAAAATAATGAAATGCTTAAATGCTTTGTGCATATTGACTAAAGGATTCCTTCTAGGAATATTTCTGCCAGTTGTATTTTTTGAGGCTTGTTTGGTACATGTTTATCTAATTCTTTTTAAATAGTATACTATTCCCTTGTATACATATAATAAATTTTAGTCTTCTAAAACTATTTTATCTGTAGTGTTGTCCCCATTTATATTCCTAACATAGCTAATTTTTTGCTTTTTTCCCTTTATCTGACCAGAGGTCAGAAATGACTATTTTCTAATGCCCGTCTTTTTGCTCCGTTACTTTTATTTTTATTTATAAACACAGATTTTTAATTCATTCTTTTCCTCTACTTTCTTTGAGTTTACTCTTTAGCATAATTTTTTTTTTTTTTTTTTTTGAGACGGAGTCTCGCTGTATCGCCCAGGCTGGAGTGCAGTGGCGCGATCTCGGCTCACTGCAACCTCCGCCTCCTGGGTTTACGCCATTCTACTGCCTCAGCCTCCTGAGTAGCTGGGACTACAGGCGCCTGCCACCACGCCCGGCTAATTTTTCTGTATTTTTAGTAGAGACGGGGTTTCACCGTGTTAGCCAGGTTGGTCTCGATCTCCTGACCTCATGATCCGCCCGCCATGGCCTCCCGAAGTGCTGGGATTACAGGCGTGAGCCACCGCGCCCGGCCTCTTTAGTATAATTTTTTGAACTGATTATTTTTTACCTCTTCTCCTTCAAAAGACCACATCAGCTACATTTTGCAAGTTTTGATATGTGCATATATAAAATTCAGGTCTAAATATTTTGTCAATTTCATTCAATCTTCAACCATAAATTCTTGGATATTTTGACTGGCTTTTTGTGACTGATTTCTAATTTTATGGTCTGTTAGTGATGTTGTTTTTTGTTTTGTCCTTAGACTTCACAAAGTTCCTATGTTTATGTGCTCTTAAGAGCTTTTTTTTTTTTTTTTTTGAGACGGAGTTTTGCACTTGTTGCCCAGGCTGGAGTGCAACGGCCGGATCTTGGCTCACCACAACCTCCGCCTCCTGGGTTGGAGCGATTCTCCTGCCTCAGCCTCCCAAGTAGCTGGGATTCAGGCATGTGCCACCATGCCCGGCTAATTTTTGTATTTTTTTTAGTAGAGACTGGGTTTCTCCATGTTGGTCAGGCTGATCTCGAACTCCCGACTGCCGAGACCAGCTCGGTGGTGGAGACCCTAACCTAGCGGTGCTAGAGGAATTAAAGACACACACACAGAAATATAGATTGTGGAGTGGGAAATCAGGGATCTCACAGCCTTCAGAGCTGAGAGCCTCGAACAGAGATTTACCCACATATTTATTGACAGCAAGCCAGTCATAACATTTACTAAAAGTATTACTTATGGGAAATAAAGGGATGGGCCAAAACAAAGGGATGGCTCTTGCTAGTTATCTGCAGCAGGAACATGTCCAGGCACAGATCACTCATGCTACTGTTTGTGGTTTAAGAATGCCTTAAGCGGTTTTCTGCCCTGGGTGGGCCAGGTGTTCCTTGCGCTCATTCCAGTAAACCCACAGCCTTCCAGCGTGAGCGTCATGGCCATCACGAACATGTCACAGTGCTGCAGAGATTTTGTTTATGGCCAGTTTTTGGGCCAGTTTATGGCCAGATTTGGCGCCCTGTTCCTAAAACCCGACCTCAGGTGATCTGCCCGCCTTGGCCTCCCAAAGTGCTGGGATTACAGGCGTGAGCCACCGTACCCGGCCTCTTAAGAGCTTTTTGAAGAAGATAACCCACTACTTCATTTGTTCCACGCCACTCCTACCAAAACCCCTTTGTCAGTTTTAAAGCAAACATCTGTAGGTTTCTGAGAGTAGAAAATCTACTTAACCAGAGATGATAAACATGTTGAAAATCTGCCTAACCAGAGTTGCTAAAAATATTTCTTGGAAATGAAATCTTGACTTTGCAGCATCATTCATATTGGAACCACTTGATATTAGTTTCCGGTTTTCATTTTCTCTGTTTTAACTTGCCTGGTACCAAATAGTATGAGTCATTAGCCATCCTCCCATAATGTTTATGGTATTTAGTAGTGTTTTCAAACAAATGTGGCATCAACGTGGTAAACATTTTAATAACTAGATGATACGAAAGCAGTTTCATGTAAGCCATCAGATGATCTACCTGCTTCAGGTATTCTGGTTACCACTCTTCTATTTGAAGTGTTCCAAAGACAATAGTATATTCTAAGAACTTGCATAGTAATTTCCTTTTGGAAGCTAAATGATGGGGATACCAGAGCTCATATGAAAGTATTCAAAGTAGGTTGAGGCACTACCAGATTCTGTGTATATATTGCCACATTTTTTTTAAAGCAAACAGAAGGTTTGTAATCAGGTTACAAGCCAACCAACAGATGACCTGTTTCTGTCTTTCGCTGTTATAAACCCGTACTGTCAGCTTAGATTTGGAAGTTTATCTCTCATAATGGATCAACAACTATATTTCTACCATCGATAGAATGGTAGGCTATCCCTATGACTTAGGGTGCTAAACAAAGGTCAAATTCAGTATCTATTAAAAGACGACAAAAACCAAAAACTTTCATTCCAGTTAAGTAAGGTGAACACATTATCTCCTAGTTCTCCCTCTTCATTGATTTCCCTTTCAATATATTTTAGCTAAAAGATTTTATACTCTAAGGAAAACAGTGAGGCAACATAGTAAATCTGTATAAGATATTTTATTTGGAGATTGAGTTGAGAGGCTATTCATTTTTAGGCTGAGATAATAAGTAAAAGCCCCATTCATCCAAGTGCCAACCTGAAGTAATAGTGGACTCCTGAGGGGCAGTGGGGGTGGTAGGGTCTGTCTGCTTTTCATTCCATTGCTAGAACCCCTGTCTGCACCTGCCATTTATTTACAAAGCATTGCCAGGCTCCGGATTTAGAGTGACTGAAACACAGATTCTGTCCTCTGGAGCTTAGGGGGCCTCTGTTGTAACCTGTTACCAAGTTTGGTTTTAGTAACATTGGCAATAGATTTTTCAAAAAGCTAACCAGCAATAAGAACATCCAGTGCTCACTATAATTTTTCAAAATAAAGACAACTTTCACCATTCAGAGTTTTGTGGTTTGCCTCTTGGAATGTTTGAGGAATACCACAAATCCCTACTTAATGACAAAGTCATAAAAATCACATCATGAATAGCATTTCTAATTTGTGCCCAACCACACACAAACACTAACGTATAATTATAGTTGAGATCATTCATATCAGACAACGGTCACACCAAGCTGGTCTTTCTTCACCACTAACTTTCAGAATAAAGCATACACATATTTTCCTTCTCCTGAAGACCACTAAAGCATATCCTTTGAGAGCACCTATAGTGTTGCATAAGTACTTTTTGCTTTTAAGATCAAAATAATCAAAATAATCAAAATACAGGAGTCAGTTTTGCAAAAATAAGTTATAGTTCCAATTGCTCAGTGTTTAAAAGCAAAAAAGCAAGCAAACAAAAAACCCAAACAACAAAAAACCTTTTCCATTGAGTAAGAAAAATCTATGGGCTCTGGGAGGAAGTTGGAGTCCTTAGTGGCTCAGGCTCAGGGTTATCAAGAATTGTCCTCTGGCTTGAGGGACAGTTTAGTCCTCTTAAAGAGTAGCACAGGACTTGGCTCCAACAAATCTCTGTAAACTGAAGTCTGCTACACCCAGGCCCCGATGGCCCTTGGTTTTGTTCCTTCATCATGAGCCTTCTTCTCAGGTCACCCATTCATACCGCTTAAAGATCTCACACAAATAGCAATTGGTGATGTCTTCAACAATAACCTCATCTTGTGGGCCAACAGAGAAATCATTCACAGCGTTCCTTGAAGGTATTGACATGATGCAAATATCTTTATTCGTACAAATAACATTCAAGCATATCATTCAGTGTTGCAATAAGTTAAGATAAGCTCCTTTCAGAGATGCTGGGAAAGGCTGGCTTTTGCCTCCAAAACATTGCTCCCTAATTTTGGCTCCTTCTATACATTTCCACTAAAAGCCTTGCCCGGAGCAAGAAGGAAGCTTACCCTGCCCACCCCTCATTGCCCCTGGCTCCTGTTCCCCTTTCCAATGCTAGCAGTAGGGCAAGAGGGAGGTTTATTTTCAACGTGAAACTTAACTGTATATTTAATTCCTTCTACCAAAGCCTGCATTAAGGCTAATGCATTACAAAACATACATACCCGCAAACTGTTGAGATAGTGAGCATTGTTTTAAGCTATTCATCTCTTTGTCAAAAAAATATACATAGCCTGAAACCATCACTAAAGTAGCAGATTTTACTTTTTTTAATTTGAATTTTCCAAATTCTGTTGGTCTTACCCTTCAAGTTTATTTGTGCCACATGTACATAAACTAACCTACTTTCTCAATATTTTGCAATTTGTGAAAAAATAAAGCCTGTTGCAGGCATGAACAAAGTGGCAGGGAGGTTCCAGCCTGAGAGTCTGGAATCCTTTTGTGGTGAAGACTCCTAAACTGTCAGCAGGAATCACACTCCTTTTCTTCCTTTTAATAACAGACCCAATTCCCTCTCTACCTCTCTGTATTCACTGGCTACATGGCTGCCTAGTTAGGGACTATCTTTAGCTAGCTGTGTCCACATGACTCAGTTTTGGCCAATACAATGTAAGTGGAAGTTAAAGTGATGCGTATAACTGAAAAGGCTTGCCCTGGACTTCTTCGTCATCCTCTTCCTCATCTGGCTGGGGGGAATCAGTACAAGGACAGAGCCAACTGACCCACCTGGAAACTCTTTACCTTGTGGATCTGCTCACCGTTGAGCTGAATTTGAGAAAAACAAACTTCTACCCCTTGTTTTAGACACCAGGGTTTTGTATCTTTTCCTTACAGCAGCTTGCTCTCTACTTTAACCAGTACAGCAAGAAATGTATTCTCTCCTAACAAACCCGACCAAGAATCTTCCCCTACCCACTAAATGACTTTGATTTATTAAGACAACTTAAAAGCCAAATTAATGGAATTAAGTAACATTTATTTTACATAAAACAATTTCCAGAGAATACATTTAAAAACCATCTAGATACTGATTTTTTAGCATTACAAAAAATTGAGAGGCACAATTGAAGTATTCAAATAAATTGTGAGGGGTGGAGGTGGGGACTATGCTCACTATCTATGTTGTTCCTTAGTCACTTAAAGGCTCTGCGTGCAAGAGTCTTTACATGAGGCAGTAGTGCACTTTCATTTAGTAGGAATAAATCACATAAAATATATACTTTTATACAGAAAGTGTTATTGTGTTGTCATTTTCAATTACTTATAAAAACTTCATTTGAATTGCACAAAAGTTCTCTTTAAAATTGATAACTCCCAGAAGACAGGGCTTAGAACTGTCTAAATAATTCATTACAAATAATTAGGTTTCCATTTATCCATAGATTAAAAAAACTATGAAGAATTACGTTATTCAAGTGGGACATTTAAAATTTTTTTCATAGGAAAATAGGTTTACATGTTTGTCCCTAGTCAGCTAAATTTCCCACCCCCCAACTTTAAAACAGATCACAGGATGTCCAAAGTTTTAAATCAGAGTACCTATATCACAGTACAGTGTGGATATGTTTCCATTAATTCATTTTATGTCTCATTCTATTATAGTATCAAATTAGCAAAAAGGCACCTGGGTACATTCTTCAGAACAGTTTTGGTCGTTTTAAAAAAATCACACATTTATAAGCAGTGATTTCAATCATGTTTAAAAACAAAAATATTAAACAAATTCATTTCCTAATCCAGATGATACAGAATCCAAGAAATTTCTGTAGGCACTTCACTTTCCATAGAACTTCTTGTTCAGCAGGTATATGAGAAGGTTTACATTCACTTTAACCTTATCAAACATTTTCATTACAGCTACTCCTTCATATTGCATCTGAAGTAAATCCTGAAATTGTAAAAAGCATCATTAAATCTCAACTTTGACATTTTGTGCATTTAAAAAACATATTAGAAGAATTTGTTGACAAAAGTCAGATTCAATTGACCTAATCACCTGGGTGGGGTCTAACTATGTTGCCCAGGTTGGTCTCAAACTCCTGGCTTAAGCTATCTTCCCACCTCAGCCTCCCGAGTAGCCAGGACTACAGGCGCATGCCATGGCACCAGGCCATAGATGGGGGTTCTAAAACTTAAGTGTACATCAGAATCATCTGGTTAAAAACATAGGCTAGTTAAAATAAAGGCTGCCTGGGCTCCTCCCACAGGAATTTCTTGTTATGTAGCTCTCTGGTGGGGCCCATCAATTTGCATTTTAATAAATTCCCAAGTGATTGTGACTTAGATGAAAGAAAATAGCTTTTTGGAATTGATAAGGGCTGTATGAAAGTAAATGATGATCATTAAGTTAATGTCAGATATATAATTTCAATTTTTAATCGAAAATGTTAAAACACAAAGTTCTGGCTAGATGCATATTCTTTAGAAAGCAGTGTTTTCTGGCTGGGTGTGGTGGCTCATTCCTGTAATACCAGCAGTTTGAGAGGCTGAGGCAGGTGGATCACTTGAGGTCAGGAGAGTGAGACCAGCCTGGCCAACATGGCGAAACCCCATCTCTACTAAAAATACAAAAATTAGCTGGGCGTGGTGGTGCACACTTGTAATCCCAGCTACTCAGGAGGCTGAGGCAGGAAAATCACTTGAACAGAGTAGGCAGAGATTGCAGCGAGCCGAGATTGCACTGCTGTACTCCAGCCTCAGCGACAGAGAAAGACTCTGTCTCAAAAAACCCGAAAAACAAAAACAAAAACAAAAACAAAAACAAAAACACAGAAAGCAGTGTTTTTTTAAAGTGAAGTGAGCAAGACATTCACTGGGGAAGCAAAAAGAATATTAGAACTCCTATTTCTATTTATTTTTTCTCATTTTTTGGACTTTTTTGGTATATAATACAGCACGTTTTAGAGTACAATAGCAGAAGCATGTATACTTTACAAATAACTATGTATGGAGAGAAGTGCTCATACTATTTCCTGATGAAGTGACCAAAGTTTGGAGACCATTGTACAAAGCGGTGGTCCGCACTTCTTGAACTAGGCTACTTCTGTTTCTGTACTGAGAACAAGCCCTCATTCTTAAGTCGAACTGTCATTCTGTTTTTCACTGCCAGCATATAAACAAAGGAAATCAACTCTCTTTTTAAAATAAGTAACTGGATCACACCAGCCATATGCATGAAACTAAGCTGTAACATTTCATAGTAACATAGGTACAGGAAGCCTTTCCCAATGGAAGATATAATTCCTGAGCTGTCCTGGCCCAATATCTAAGTCTCATTTTCTTGTTTCTAGCAAGGTCAATTGTAGAAGTTGGAGTCATCTTTGAGAGAACTCTGACTCTTGGCAGCTTCCTCCTCCACTTCCTCAATTACCTCTCACTGCACTTAAGAAAACCCCTACATTATTCAGATATGCTTCTAGAACTAAAATTCTATAGGGAATTGAAGTCCTTTCATCAATAATACTTTTAGCTATTTAGAGTGTAGAGGAGATTCACTTTTCCTCTGGGAAATGCAACATCTGTTAAACAAAGTCTAGTGGAAAAGAATTAAACCAATAGAGTTAGATTGAAAAGGAATGGCATATGTAGGGGAAGTAGCTGGGTCCCCAAAGTAGGGAGCAGAGAAAACATGGCTGGACTCATGACTTGAAAAGCAGACTTTAGTTTTAGCTCTGCCATTTGCTATCTTAAGACCTTGCAACATGACATAACTTCTCTGAAGTTCTGTTTCCCTGTGTGTAAATTGGGGATAACACTGCCAATTTCACAAGGGTGCTACTGGGAATGAGATATGAGATTAAGGTATATGCAAACCCTTTGTAAGCTACTCTTGTCTTGCAGGATCAACTGGAATCCTATGAGACAGGCAGTGGACTAGAGTGATGAAGAACTTGGATCCCAGCTGCATTATCTTCCATAATTATCCCAGCTAATTATCTTCCATAATTAGCTGTCTGAACCTCAGTTCTTCATCTAGGAGAGGAAGAAGGCCCACCCTGCAGTCCCCGATAAATACCTGACATTATTTTTACAAGAAGAATATATATCACATAAGTCATATCCTCCTGTTACCTATATGGCCTATAATTATAGGATATAATTCTATCCTATGGTTTTCTTTAGGAACTGAAGGGAAAATGGGCTGAAGATAACCAAGAGACATAGAGCTGTAATGTTAGAAGGGGCTTTCTTTAGTCCTTTCAAACTTTGGTCCTGTTCCTGGTCCTTTACTCACAGTAAGGACCTGGCCATCACATTTCTCTTTGACAATTTACACATTCATGCAATTGACTGAAAGCTGCATATATAAATAGAAGTCTGCCTTTACATCTGACAGCTATCAAATGCAGGGCTGGCTCCGTGGGTATGCAATCTGTGCAGCCGCACAGGGTCCCATGCCCAGGGTTTTATTCTCTTCTGTCATCATCCTAAAATCCTTAATAATTTTAAAAACAGGGCACTGCATTTTTATTTTGCTCTGAGCCCTGCTAAGGATGTAGCCAGTTCTGATTATGCACTACTGATTTAAAAAACCCAGGACATACTGGTCACCTGCATATAGCTAAGGATTAACATTTCACAATCCATTATGTGTATAAATGAATGGTATGAACAGCTAATCTTACTGTATACAGAATCCTTAACAAAGGAACAAGTGAAGCTTGGTTTTTATACCAGTACTCAAAGGAAGTCTCATGGAATTATTGCTTTCTCTCTAAACACAATATAAGGTGTCTCCTGGTCACTTGTGACTCATTGGTCCAGTTGATATTGACTGGCCCTGGATAATTTCCTTCTTGGCAATCACATATGTCTTTTGCTATTTCTACAGAGGAATCACTAACCAAAGGGTATCACCACAAGCACCTTCTTTTCTCTTCCTGTATTTATCTGTTACACAAAATAACTGAAGACCCTAATTAGCTAAATTATTAAATGGATACATTTAGTGACATTTAAAGTAAGTTAGAAAACAATACTGTTTACTTAATTATACTTTCAATAATTACATAATAGCTTTCATCTTATCTCCGAATTCTAATTTACTCCATTATCTCAATGTCCTTATCAAACCCATTCAGCTCCCGTTTTTCTTTTAAACTTACAAGGGCTGCCAGAAAAGAAGGGCTCTGGCACACACTCCCATGATGGGGAAGTAATTCCAGTGCATGGAGCCCTGGGCTGCACAGACAGTGAGGCCAGAATTCACATCACTCTCAGGATCTTAGTGAGATGATTCATGTAAACATATGCAAAATACCTGGAAACCATTTTGTAAGTAGTTTGGGGCCCAGGTAAGATGTTATTTCCATTTAAAAAGTGTTACATCAAAAAAGAAAAATAAATTACTTCTTTAAATTGGTTTTGTGCTAAGGATTAAGAAGTTGGGGGCAGATGAACATTTGTTTGCAGTGCTCTCTTTTTTTTTTTTTTTGCACAGAAACTGGATTTCTCGGTTTTCATTTACGTGTATTTGGCTTAAATGTGGCTCTTATGATAAAATAACGATAATTTATATTGCAAACACCATTTTTCTATGTATAGATATCTGTTTTGCATAATGCCTTTCATTCCTGTGATCCCAAGCATTTGACAAATAGAGTTAATAAATTGACGTAAAAACTATTCTAGGGGCCAGGTGTGGTGGCTAATGCCTGTAATCCCAGCACTTTTGGAGGCTAAGCCAGGCAGATCACTTGAGCCCAGTAGTCTAAGACAAGCCTGGGCAACGTGGTGAAACCCTGTCTCTACAAAAAATACAGAAATTAGCCAGATGTGGTGGTGTGTGCCTGTAGTACCAGTTACTCGAGAGGCTGAAGCAGGAGGATCGCTTGAGCCCAGGAGGTTGAGGCTGCAGTGAACCATGATTGTGCCACTGTATTCCAGCCTGGGCGACAGAGCAAGACCCTTTCTCAATGCCCCCCCCCACCCCCTCCCCCCACAAAAAAGAAAAACCATTCTAGGAAAGAGGGAAAAATGAGATCATGAAAGTTCCAGTCCTGGGCATACATGCCACTGTATTCCAGCCTGGGCGACAGAGCAAGACCCCTTCTCAATGCCCCACCCCCACCCCCTCCCCCCACAAAAAAGAAAAACCATTCTAGGAGAGAGGGAAAAATGAGATCATGAAAGTTCCAGTCCTGGGCATACATAGTCTTAGAAAGAAATGCAAGTTTCCAATAAAAGGAAAATTTATAGCATTTATTTAATAGCTCTGAATACTTTTAAATTATATTCTTTTGTCTAAGCTTTAAAATGGAAACATGGCTTAGAGAAACTGACTGCTATGGTTTGCCAGCTAGAAGCATATCAATTTCCAATCATTTGAAAAGTCACAGCTCTTAAAAATCATCAACACTTAACAAATATTGGCAAATAAGGCTGGCACTGGTTTTCTGTTAAACTTTATTGTTGTCCTGAAGAGAGAGAGCCAGGGTAGCAATGTATGATCCACATATAAAATTTATCATCAATGTGCAGAAATTCCAGCAGCTTACCTGAATATTGAGTTGCACCTTTTCCATCTCAACACCAAGGAATTTTG
Organism: Homo sapiens; assembly: GCF_000001405.40. Classification (NCBI taxonomy): domain Eukaryota; kingdom Metazoa; phylum Chordata; class Mammalia; order Primates; family Hominidae; genus Homo; species Homo sapiens. Next base: position 76,702,543 of record NC_000005.10, on the reverse strand, counting down.
ATCTTACATCGAAAATGCCTACATCTTCAGTAGCTATGATATCAAATGTAACATTCTTAAACCTGTGAAGAAAGGAACATTCATACATGAGAAATTACAAATACAGATGTGCTTAAAGCTGAAACAAACTAATGGAATCTCAAATAATCATTTTTAAATAATGGCTTGTTGAGAAAATCCTAAGGAAGTCACCAAAAACCTCACGTCATCTTTCCCCCAATTCTGCTCTCCAAACACTAGGTTTGATGGCTATTGTTGAGATCTGTAGCTCATAGAGTTCTGACATAGGTGCTTTATTACAAAAGAAATAGAAGATACGGTCCTTGCTCTTCAAGAGCATAAAACATAATTGGAAATATGTGAGTCACAGAACATGAACATTATTGACCTATAGCCAATTGAGTATTTCAGATGATAACTTTTATAGAAACTTCAGGCCAGGCGCAGTCGCTCACGCCTGTAATCCCAGCACTTTCAGAGGCCGAGGCGGGCGGATCACCTGGCCAACATGGTGAAACCCCATCTTTACTAAAAATACAAAAATTAGCTGGGCGGTGGCATGTGCCTGTAATCCCAGCTACTCGCGAGGCTGAGGCAGGAGAATCGCTTGAACCTGGGAGGTGGAGGTTGCAGTGAGCCAAGATCCCACCACTGCACTCCAGCCTGGGCCGCAGAGTGAGACTCCATCTCTGGAAGAAGCATTTTCTTCTGAGTTGGTGTTGTCAGGAGGTTTCATGGGATAAACAGAAGTCAGGCTTTGAAGGAAGGCAGGAGTTAAAGAAAAGGCAAATGCCAGTGAGTCTGGCTTCCCTTGAGATTTTAGGACAAGAAAGTGATGGAACACTGGGCTCATGACCCCTTTAAAAGGAGGCAGCACATGGTGCCTGATGTGGGGCTGTGAAGGAGGGTTTGTTTTTTCCACTACACCGAATACACACACTCACAGCATGCTTTGGAAATGGCTCTGATCCAGGGGTTGGCACAGCCTATTTTAAATGAGAAAGGTGCTATTTTGCAATGGTAGATAATTCATCCATCAAGACCAAAAGACAGCCTTTTACTCTCATTGCTATGACTCAGTTCTGGAGGTTCACCAATCCAAACATATTGCACAAGCCACGGGAAAGACAACCACTGATCAACACTACATATGACTGACAGCACCAGATGCTGAGGCCAAGGGAAGAGTAGCCATAACAATTTGTGTATTCTTCCCTTGTCACCCATCAGTAATTGAGGTTAAGCCTTGCTAGACCAAATGGAGCTCTCTCCAAGGCCACAAGAAATCAAATGGCATGCGTGTTCTATGCAGATTCCAGGTCACACTTACTGGTTTGTTTGAAGATCATCTATATCTAGCAGGACACCTTTCTCATGCAGCTTTGCTGCAGTGTACTTCACTGGCTTCGCTCTCTTCGCCCCTTTGGGTTCTCCTTTTCCATCTAGTTTAATTGATCTCCGAGTATTTCTGACAAAATAAGAACAGAACATTTGTTGTTATGATGGCAAATGCAGAGGCTTCTGGTAGTGCGATTACCATACTCAGAGTGACATCGCTGTTCATACCTGGCCCTCAGAGCGCTGAATATACACTTTTTTATTTTGTGATAGTAGGTAATTTTGTCCATAGAGTGCAACTTCACTACTAAACTGTTTGTGGGGAAAGGGATTTCCCAAGTGACTGAAGTTTGCATTACAGACTAACATTTTTAATAAAACTTACACTCTATTTTCTCAGGTATATTGAACCAAGTGGCTATCTTTAGTCATTTCAGAAGTAGCTTTGGTGCAATAACATGAACTGTGTATTCCTAGATAACGATATTACTAGGACTGTTTTAATCTATTTAACAAACACTATGTGGCTAGCATTGTTCTAAGTGCCTTATAAATATTACCTCACATTTCCAAAATTAACATTTCCATAGTACTTTTAAACTAATAAATTCCTTTGCTATATACTATATCATGTAGCTCTCATAACCATACTTGTGAGTCTGGTACTCTTTGCTTTTTTGGGGGGAGGTTTTTTGTTTTGTTTTGAGATGGAATCTTGCTCTATTGCCCAGGCTGGAGTGCAGTGGCGTGATCTTGGCTCACTGCAACCTCTGCCTCCCGGGTTCAAGTGATTCTCCTGCCTCAACCTCCAGCTGGGATTACAGGCACATGCCACCACATCCGGCGAATTTTTGTATTTTTAGAGGAGAAGGAGTTTCGCCACGTCAGCCAAGCTGGTGAGGCTGGTACTCTTAATTCCACCTTAAGGATGAGAAAACTGAGGCTCAAAGTTCACTGAACTGGGCTCAAGATCACACGACATAAGAGAGAATCAGAACCCAAATCCAATTCGCCCGACTGTGGATCTTGTGTGAAATGCCTTAAAGTAAATCCCTAACAATCTCATTTCTACTGAAAGTAAGCTTGACCAACTTCTTCCTTGCATGTATATGTATATATTCTTCCTTCCTTCCTATATTTAGTGTATAGTGTATATGTTTATGTAATTATAAGTGCATATGCACACTATATGTAGTGTGTGTATATACATATTTAGTGTATTTTTGTATATATATATATATAGAGAGAGAGAGCACGAGAGTGAGAGAGAGAGAGAGAGAGAGAGAGAGAGAGAGAGAGAGAAACAGAAAGAAGCCTGAAGCAAATGAACTATATATGGAGAGAGAGAGAGCACGAGAGTGAGAGAGAGAGAGAGAGAGAGAGAGAGAGAGAGAGAGAGAGAGAAACAGAAAGAAGCCTGAAGCAAATGAACTATATATGGAGAGAGAGAGAGCACGAGAGTGAGAGTGAGAGAGAGAGAGAGAGAAACAGAGAGAAGCCTGAAGCAAATGAACTATATATGGAGAGAGAGAGAGCACGAGAGTGAGAGAGAGAGAGAGAGAGAGAGAGAGAGAGAGAGAGAGAGAGAGAGAGAGAGAGAAACAGAGAGAAGCCTGAAGCAAATGAACTAAAATTCAGGACTAGTGGGAGCCAAATCAATAAGGTTTAAATGTGGCTGCATCCCTTTATCAAATCTTCTGTGATTTCAGCAATCCAACTTCTGGGTGTTTACTCCAAGATGTGAAATCAGTTTGTCAAAGAGATGTCTGCACTCCCATCTTCATTGCAGCACTACTCACACGTTAGCTAAGTTATGAAATCAACCTAAGAATCTACTAACAGATGAACAGGTAAAGAAAATGTGGTATATATACACACAGAAGAATACTATTCGGCCCTAAAACAAAGAAATTCTGACATTTGGGGCAATGTGGACAGAATTAGAGGACACTATGCTAAGTGAAATAGGCCAGGCACAGAAAGGCAAATACCACATGTTCTCGCTTATATGTGGAATCTAAAAAAGTTGAACTCATAGAAGCAGAATAGAATGGTGGTTTCAGAGGCTGGAGGGTGGGGGAAACGGGGAGATGATGGTCAAAGGATATGAAATCTTAGGAGGAATCAGTTTTTTTTTGAAATCTATTGCACAGTGTGGTGAATATAGCTAATAATAATGTATTGCACATTTAAAAACTGCTAGGAGTAAATTTCAAGTGTTCTTATCACAAAAACTAAGTATTTGAGGTGATGCATATATGAATTAATTATTTCACATTGTAATAATAAATGATAACATCACCTTGTACCCCAGGAATACATAAAATTATAGTCAATTTGCAATAAAATTTAAAAGATCTATGATTAATGCAACAGATTTTTCCATACAGCACCATTTCCTCCTGCCAATTTGATGACAAGGATTATATAAAAATATTGTACTACATATTTAAATGGGTAATTAAAATTTAACTAGCATTGATCATAGTCTAGTGATAAGAATAATTACTAAGCAAAGGATATTCATTAAAAATGGCTATACTGTATATAAAAACCTATAATACTTATGCTAATGGATAATAGACAGCTGCCAAATTTTGCCAGTTGTGTCAATAATTTTTTAAAACCATGAAGCAATTTAAAAACATTCAGCTGCTCTGTGCAATTAGCAAACACCTGGCATTATCTAATATTATCAATTATATAAAATACATTCCAAAAACAAGAGACTTTAAAAATAATAGTATTTAAAAAAATCTTTGGCTAAAAAAGACAAAAGGAATAATGAAAGTGCTTCCCTAACTTACTAATGCTATTTGCTCAATATACAACAGGTAAGCCACTTTAATTCTAGTGCTGGTGGGGAATTGAAAAGCTTTCACTTACTCCTGACTTCTTAGTTCACAGTGGCAAATAATAAAACTGAGACTCTAGTTTTCGGTTAGAAGACAGAGCAAAAAGTTTTCTTCCATACCCAACCCAACTGCCTAGAAACACAGAATTGACATCTCATAGAAATCATGACATTACAAATGAACATGACATGATTTTAACTTACTTTCTTTTTAAGTTGTCTAAACAAGTCTTTATGTAGGTGTCATAATAATTGATTTGCTCTTCATAAAATGCTGCCTTCTTGTTAAGTGCATTCAGGGTCTGCTGAAGTTTTGCCAATTCAGCTTTTCGAAGCTTACGATAGATTCTTTGATTTCGAATATCCTAAAACAACAAGTAAGGGGTATCATATTTAAGCAGAAGTTTGCTTTATGATATTGCCAGTTTGGGACAAGAAGAATATCAAGCAGTAGTAAGTCGCTATTTGTAACTTGACTTGTAGCTTATCTCAGGCACCTTATTTTACTCTCAACACCACAGGGTTCCCATCCCTTTTTACTTCAGAACTGGAAAGTGTACATATTTCACTTTAAGAGACTTGTTAACATTAATTTTGCTCTGGATGGAAAGGCAAAGAAGTTATTTTAGAATAACCACACATTTAGTTTAAGGAAAAATTGCGTTTTAAAAGGGGCACAAAGTAGCAGAAATGCAATTTCTTCAGACTTTTTTTTTTAGACATAGTCTTGCTCTGTCACCCAGGCTGGAGTGCAGTGGCCTGATCTCTGCAACCTTTACCTCCAGGTTCAAGCGATTCTCCTGCCTCAGCCTCCTGAGTAGCTGGGGCTGCAGGCCCGTGCCAATATGCCTGGCTAATTTTTGTATTTTTAGTAGTTACAGGGTTTCACCATGTTGGTCAGGCTGGTCTTGAACTCCTGACCTCAAGTGATCTGCCCGCCTCGGCCTCCCGAAGTGCTGGGATTATAGGCATGAGACATTGTGCCCAGCCTCTTCAGACTATTTTGAATATTCCTCTTTGAATAGTACTTTAAACTAAAAAAGTTTACATTTAATTGTTAAATTCATTTTTAAAATAAGAAAAGAACAAACTTTTTCATCTGACAAATATTTCCCAAGGTTTGAAAAAACAACACTGGGCTGTCAAGACTGAGTGAAAAGATTCAACATTGATAACTATTACTTGGATTTAAATAGAATTCCTAGAACATTAAGTTGCATAAGCTGCTTATAGCTTACAAGAGCTATGCTAAATTTAAACTTGCAGATATAAGTTTTTTTCATAATTCTAATTGGTAAGTTATGAAAATGTTTGACTTAAGAAAACGGTGCCTGTTTAATATTATTTTTCTTTTGTAAACAAGTTAAAAACCATTCCCCTAGGAATTCAAAGAAATACCTACATACACATACACTCCCCCACAACTTCCCCATGCCCTTAGGTAAAATTTCTTCATTAAATAGAATATTCTTCATTAAATAGAATTCTTCATTAAATAGAAATTCTTCATATAATAGAATATTCATTAAATAGAATATCATGTCTTCATGATAGCCTTTTTCTTTTTTAAAGCAAAAGCATATATTTATCTACCCCATATTCCCAAATAGAAATATTTCTACCCCCAAACTAAAGAAAGAAATGTTATTTCCCTTGAGTCACTTGGGCTAGAAGGAATAAGCCTACTGCCAGAATTGAACATAATTTTCTATCAAAGAACAAAGCTGAGCGCATTTCCCTTCCAGAAGGTGAGAAATTTTTTTTTTTTCTGGTCATTTAACTGCCTTTAACCTCTAGATCCATATTAATTTGCATGTTTGAATAAAAAGAATGAAATATCCTTCTAACCCAAATATATACTTCCTTATCCTTGACAAACAGATCTCAGCCACTTCCTGTGATGTTTCATTGCACTAAGTTGAGATCCTTTGCTCAGGAAGTTTCTCAAGTGTAAAAATATTGGATAAGAAAACAGAAACTAATCTTCAAGTCTGAACTGCATTTAGGCTAAATTGCTTAAAAACAAATGATCAGGGACACAGAGTTCCATCTCAGTGGCAGGTTCTAAGAGCAACTGAGCTATATGACAACTAACATCTCAGGAGAAAACTCTTCCAATAGTGTTATTTTTAAAACTTTAAAGGTATAGACCAAACTTGTCAAGTACATTTTTTAGTATTTATTTCTGGTCTGTTTCAACTCTCCTAATGACATGAAAGTGTTGTGATTGTTTTCTCTTAAAAGTCATCAACTGCTTGGGAGGCCCCGGTGGATCACCGGGTCAGGATTTCGAGACCAGCCTGGCCAGCATGGTGAAACCCCGTCTCTACTAAAAATACAAAAATTAGCTGGGCGTGGTGGTGCGTGCCTGTAGTCCCAGCTACTCAGGAGGCTGAGGCAGGAGAATCGCTTGAACCTGGGAGGCGGAAGTTGCAGAGAGTCGAGATTGTGCCACTGCACTCCAGCCTGGGCAACAGAGCGAGGCTCCAACTCAAAAAAAAAAAAAAAAAAAAAAAGTCATCAACTGCTTTGAAACCTTGAAAAATCTGTAGCATTGAAGAGGGCAGTAACCACAGCATATGCAACCATGAATCCCTAATGCCACCTCACAGAGTGCCCAGCACTTGACTGGTGATTAGCAAATGTCTGCTAAGTGAAGGAAGAAAGAATACTGTTTCCAAAAACCTTGGCAATCTCATTGAGAATGTCTTGGTATTTATTTTCGGATGACACGTGTCCAGTCTGTTCCAACGTCCGAAGATTCCTCTGGATTTTCCTCTTCTTCTGCTCAAGAGGCAGCTGTGCATCTTCAATCATAGATTGGCTATGCTTCATTTCTTCTGGAGTCCTGGAATCTATCATTGCACGGCTCACCATGTCCGTGGCATGGTCTACCTCCTGAAAAGAGAATATCAAGATGCTGAGTTTTCTCTGATCCCCTAATTTCACAGTTCATAAGCTACACAATGCAAGTTAATGTCAAAATGAAAGTAGTCCTCCAGCCAAAGTTCAGAGACTAGAACCAGAACATGTTCTTCCTGAGTTTTGAAGTAGGTCTTTGAAAGGAATTACTTCATCTTTTCGATAGCAAGCCTTATTTGGGAAAAATTCTCAATAGCTACTTTATTGCCAAGGTGACAAATCACTATAGTAATGGACATATTTTAATGGATAACTGCTACTTTGTTCCCCACATGGAAGGATTTCAATTCCTGGATAGGCTAGCTGAGGAAACTAAAACTAGATTACCTATTGAAATGTGGCTATGAGAACCCTGAATGTTCAGAACCCAGCTAAACTCTCACACATCAGCCATGTTTATGGAGAGTCCTAAACTAAACCAACAGTAAGGCAGTCAGAGAGCTTTATTCTTATAAGGGAATCACAAACCAGCAACTCTGAAAAACTTGCAAAGTTTCTTTGAGCCAAAGGGAATAAGAATATTCTAGCACATTATAAATTCCCAAACGATGAGTAAATGAATGAATGAATGAATACTCTTTGGATAGTCTGTTCAAGGAAACAGTAACAAAAAGAGACTATTGGTCTTCCCATTTCATTGTACTAGACAATTGACTGACCCAATAGATGAAGTCTAAGGAAACGACTATTAGTTAGGGACAGTAATCTTAGACACAGGACAGGTAGGTCAATATTATTGGAACATTATTACCAGGTTAGCAGTAAATAACAAAAGCAGCAGCCAACATTGTTGAGCACTTAATGTGCACCAGATACAGATGTACCCACTTAACATGTTTAATTGACTTAATCCTGCCTGTGAGCTGGGTACTATTATTATACCCATTTTACAGTTGAGGAAACTGCGGCACAGCAATGCTTCTAAGTGCACAGAGTTACACACCTAGGAGGTGCAGAGGTATAGTTGATCTCAGAAGTCTGTGTTCTTAGTCACTTATTCATGATACATTTAGGGGAAAATGAAAAATAGTAAGGAGTAAAAGTCTTTTATACTAACCTAGTATAATATTTTACCCACATTGTTTAAAACATACCCACATATTAACAAACGTGTGATTTGAAGTTTTGCTTTACATTTTTTATTAAAAATTTTTAAAAATTAGAGATGGGGGTCTCACTGTGTTGTCCAGGCTGGTGTTGAACTCCTGGGCTCAAGTGATCTACACACCTCAGCCTTCCAAAGTATTGGGATTACAGACATGAGCCACCATGCCCAGCCTTTTATATTTTTTAAATTAAAAACTATTACAAGGATTCCTTGGCAATCAATTAAATTAAGAATGATCCAGGAAAATTATGTGTAGCTGTGCTAAGAAATAGTTAATTAAATAATTAACTTTTGTTTAGGGAGCGGCAATTATTGGTACTAAAATAACAACCTTGAATTTATTTTAGAACGAACAATGACGTATTTTCAAAGATGTTAATAAAAAGCTAAATGCAAGATTGTTGTGAAACCTCACTTACGCTAACATAATGATGCTTTGACTCAGTGGACTCAACATTTGCTTCTGAAGCATTTGGAAAACATCTTTAACATGTGAGTCGCTTATTTGTTTCAAGTTAGTAAATACATAAAATGTGAAAGGTATTTTTCAATATCCTGTCAGCTAGAACTCTCTCAACTGACTTATTTGCCCATTATGATGAACATTTCCGGGCTTTGAAAAACCCAGAACTATCATCCTAGGTTAAGACAAAAGTATATTCGGCATGAATTTGGTGCTGTATTTTCTATTTCATTCCCATTGATACTTCATACAGGTTTATATATGGCTGAACTAAGTCCACTGCAGTAATAGATAAAATTCCTTACTTCCGGACCATGTCAGATACAGTTTCTCTGAGATAATAAACATATGGCATAAAGATTTATGAAGAAAATCAACACCTGTCTATTATTATTTTACACTTAAAGTCAAATTACCTGTTGCGCAGTTGCTGGTGTCTCTAAGATTTCTGTCAATGTGTTCCCTGGCTGGTTCCGGATCACATCAATTATCAGCTTCTTGGTCCTTAACAAACCAGAGAAAGAGACAGACTTTCAGACTGTAGTCCTTATGCACAAAAATCTGTTTCTCCTAAGAGAGTGCACAAACACATACAATACTGAAGCTTCAAAGATAATACCTTAAAATAAAACATTCTTGCGGATATTCACCAGGTCTGCTATAAGGCTCCTGAAAGTTTATGAATGCTTGATAATCAAAGTCTGGGCTTTCTGTGCTTGATGTTGTAGCATTATACTGTCAGTAACATGGGCACAAGTGTATCACAAGATTTCCTCTCTAAATACTTTTCCTTCTTTTTTAGACGGAGACTACTTTTTGATGGGCAGGGGGAGCAAGTGCTGCTGATATGGCCTGCTACTGCAGAGTGCAGGAATGATATCTAATATTCTCCTTTCCTGACTTTAATAGCACCTAGACTTCTGAGCTGGCTTAATACCTCATAAGCCTTTAGGAGCCAGACCAACTGTTACCTTTCCTACTATCAGAAAGCTATTAAAGAGTCTGAAGACCAGTGGGAGCGAACGTTCAGTGTGGGCTGTGGAGGCTTGGTCTGTCAGCTGACACAGCAGCGAGGAGGATGGTGTTCAAGGGCCTGAGCAACTAACAAATAGGGTTAACAAAGAAACCTATTTGTTAGGTCTTCTTCCAGTCTTCAGGTGGAAGAGAATAGAAGAGCTTCTCAGTAAACAGTAAAGAGCTGGAAAATTCTTCTGGAAGTACGAAAACCGTAGTTCTCTCATAGGTGTTCTTTATGGCAATTGGCCACCACTTCCTAGGGAGGCATCATGTTATGTAATTACGTACAAAGGTTTTAACATAAAAGCTAAAGGGTCAAATTTGCTCACTTTTACATAAGGTGGAAACAGTATTATTGGAAAAGGCTTTCCTTCTAAAAAGAAAAAAAAGGGCCAGGCGCGGTGGCTCACTCCTGTAATCCCAGCATGTTGGGAGGCCGAGGTGGGCGGATCACCTGCGGTCAGAAGTTCCAGACCACCCTGGCCAACATGGCGAAACCCCATCCCTACTAAGGATACAAAAATTAGCTGGGCATGGTGGCATGTGCCTGTAATTCCAGCTGCTCAGGAGGCCTAAGTGTGAGAATTGCTTAAACCCGGGAGGCAGAGGTTGCAGTAAGCTGAAATCGTGCCACTGCACTCCAGCCTGGGTGACAGAGTGAGATACCATCTCAGATAGATATCTAGATAGATAGATAGAAAGAAAGAAAAGAAAGAAGAAAAGGAAACACAGACAAAAGTTTGTTTAAATTATACATACACTGGTCTAATTGACATCTGAAGTTTCACTTTTACTGTAGTCCCGTTATTGCATTTAACTTTAGTTATTTCAGAGTCATTACATGATATCACTGAATGACTAATTTTTCTTCCTAAACTCTAGCAGGAAATGTTCATGTAGCATGAAATTTAGAAATGAGAACAAAATTTTCACATTTTGAAGGATATGGGCAACTACTCCCAAATGACAGAGAAAACCCTTCAAGTTAATTACAAATATATTACTTTTGAAAATAGGATAAAATCCAATAAGCCATCTGTAAACATCATTTTTCTCATTTCCTATTTATCAGAAGTCTGTGTGAAAAGAACAATCACAATGTGTCTTCCTTGCCTCCCTTCCCCCTAGCCTTTGGAGAACCATTTCCTCTGGCCCCATGACCCTTTGCTGCTGGGGATTTACAGGCTGTCTGGGAATGCACAGCTAAATACTCCACAGAGACTCAAAGGTGGGCCCACAGCTAATTACAGCCACGTGGGGGATGGCATGTTTCCTAAAGCGGCTGTGGCTGAGAAAGCAATGTATCCTTTCCTTCCTACACACCACCTTCCTCCAGCCATCATCATCAATGTATTAAACAGGAACACTGAGTTAAAAATAAAAGCTTTGGATGATTTAAAAAATGTCAATATAGTAACTTTCTTGTTTGAAATAGTATTCTCAGAACTAATTGTGATATACAGTTTCTAGGGAACTTCTAGTTCTTTAGAGAAGCTGTGCAATGACCAAATGACTGGAGTCAATAAAACGTGCCCCACCAAAGACAAAGAATGTTTATTTGCTCAAGAGTTGCTGGAGGACAAACTGCTCACACAGCCTGTTTCCCTTGGACTTCTACTGTACACCAGGCCTGTGGAATTCATTGCCAAAGTTCTACCTCAGACATAAGTAACCATCCAGTCCCATGACAGGGAACCCACCTCCCTCCCACTACAGTGTGTCTAGTGCTTAAGGACGACGGGGACGGACAGATTTAAAGCCAAATCTGTCTTGGCTTGGACTCTTGTTGCATATTAGCCATGTGGATTTGTGCAAGTTATATAATCCTTGTAGGTTTTGTTTTTTCGTTTATAAAACAGGAATCTCTCAGGACTGATGCAAGGATTGGATGAAAAGATCTAAAGCCTTCTGTGAGGTCTGGCACATGGTAAGCACTCACATGGTCGTTAAAGCTGTGCTGCCCATGATGGCCGCCACTGGCCACAGGTGGCACTTGAGCACTTGAGACATGGCTAGTACAAACTGAGATGTGCTGTGTGAAACACACACTGGATTTTGAAGATGTTGTATGAAACAAAGAATGTAAAATATTTCATCAATTTTTTACATTTATTACATATTTAAATATTTTTGGATATATTGGGTTAAATAAAATATATTATTAGAATTAATTTCATCTATTTCTTTTTAAAATAAGGCTTCTAGAAAAGTTAAAATTACATGTGGCTCATATTAAATTTCTTTTGGAGAGTACAATATTGGCACATTCCATTCTCAAACAGGAGCTCACTCTGAGAGGCCTGCCTTCCAGGGCCACCCAGTCATGAAACCTGGTTAGTCTTAGGACTGTGGCCCGGAGAGAGACCTTTGAAAAACAATCCAATCCCTGATTGTACAAATGTGGCAACTAAGACCTAAGAGACTAGAGCTGCAGGAAACAAGTCCAATTCCCTTTCCAAATCAGCAGCTCCTGAAAAACCTATAGAGAAATGCCAAGACTGTGTTCCTCTATCCCCTCTTCCACCATCTTTCCTTTTTCCAAGTGAAACCACTCAGTCCCTTAAAGCTCCTCACAATGGCATCTGCAGAGAGCTCACAGTCCTGCTCACATTCCAGTTACCAATGACCTTAATATGCATCCCCCTTCCCACCCCAGTCCAAATATAACATTCTGGATATGGTCTGACCAGCATAAATCAACTGCTTAGAGTACTGGCGCCAGGGCTCTTCAAATATGTAAGATAGGTTGATCCAAACCACGGGTCTTGCTCTCCCTGAATGAGGAGGTATCTAATTTTGAAAAAGAATTAAGAAAAAAAGAGAAAGAAATACACCAGGGAGTTTATTCATCATAGCTGTGCTCAAACCCCACTGTAGATAAATGAGCCCATACGGCGCTTGTAAGCTGGTGTGGCCCCTTGGGTTTGGCCACTCCATTCATATGGTATCTATTATTACCAGTAGCATTCCTGAAGCTCCCCCTCTGTCATCTGCTTATACTGTGCCCAAGGTTGAAAAGCAATCAGTGTTTGTGGAAACTAAGGAATATTTTCAGTATTTAACATCCTAACAAGATAATTTACATTATTAGCTCCAGACCTCAAATATCACCTTAGCCATTTAGTGCTCCTGCTAGTTTGGACCAAAAAACAAGGAAATCTTTCAGCTGGGATCATGGAACCTAAACTTAATCATGTGACAGGAAATTCTTAAGAGATGACAATTTAAGCACTCAAGCAGCTAAGTATGATTAAAAACCACAAATATTGCCTTCTACTTAAACACACATACTTTTGTGGGAAACTAAGCTTAATTAAGGCCATAAGGATCACATATTTTAAGTTGAATCATAAGTTATAATGAAAGGTTGACAACTGCATAGTTTTATATAATTTATGTGGTATTAATTATAATTTCATGTGATCATCATAGCCCTTCCTTTCCCCTCTCCTCTATATTATGGAGGAGAAAACTGATGGCGAGGCAACTTGCTGAGTTCCATGGTTAATAAGTGATAGATTGAGGCTATAACCCTATGTCATCCCTAAGACCCCTCGACTAGGTTTTTAGGATTCCTCGACCAGGTTTTTTTTTTTTTTTTTTTTTTTTTTAAATATCCCTGTGCTTGGTAGTATTAGAAAAATAGCAATAGCCCAAACTGAGGTTCTCTATTCTATAAACATACACAAGGGAAAAAGAAATAAATGTTTCTTCCTACTCCGATATGTGCCCTTTGTCCCTCCTCTTTGGCCTGGAAAGATGCTCCAGCCTCCGTTACTCAGTAACTGCTCAGCTAATAATTCTCATTATTTATTCTAAGATTCCTAAGAATGCAAAGAACAATGACCTTGCCCTCGACAAGTTGTAAAACTTTATGATCAAGAGTGTGGGCCCTGGAGGATTTCAAATCATGTGGGTTTGAATCTCTGCTCCACTTAGTAACTGTGTTACCCAGGAAAAGGTTTATACCTGTTCTGTGCCTAGTTTCCTCATCTGTAAAATACTGATAATAACCTCCACTCTCTTGGGGTTGCTGAGAATATTACATACATATTTTATACATGTTTATTTTAATATATATATATGCACATGTTATTCTCTTTCTCTCTTTACAGATTGTGGGTCCCTTTTTCAAAATGCTTGGGCCCAAAAGTGTTTCAGATTTTTTATCTTTTCAGATTTTGGAACATTTGCATTATATACTTACTGCTTCAGCATCCTAAATCCGAAAATTCAAAACGCTCCAAAGAGCATTTCCTTTGACCACTGTCAGCTCTCAAAAGGTTTGGAATTCTGGAACACTTTGCATTTGCACAGTATATAAAAACTGTCCCTGGCCATGGTAAGCACTACATAGGTGTTTGCTATTATCATCATCTTCATCTTCATCTGATGAGTAAGAATTATGAGACTAGCATGGAATTAAATTTACAAACATAATGATTAACAATGCCTCAAATTCTGCTACTGTGGGGGCCTCCATGAAGATGAGTTACTCATGACTGGAAAACTAGTGACATTGTAATTAAACATAAGGGCATTTCTGAAAGTTAAGAACACAATCTGTTTCACAAAAAAGCAGAATAGTTTTTTGATAGAGAAAAGCTAGGTATTTTCACATCCCAATTGCTCTGCATTTCATGTCTGTCCACTTCATAACTTATAAAAGTCATTGTCCGATTTTAGTTAAATTTGGTTCTCTAATGAATCTCAAGAACTATATCTTATGCTTGAGTTACAAATTCGGTTTATTAGCTTGGAAAAAAGTCATCCTGATGAGAGTGTTCAAATCAAAAAAGTCATCCTCATGAGAGTTCAAATCAATATTTTAAAGGAGTGGTCCCCAACCCTTTTGGCACCAGGGACAGGTTTTGTGGAAGACAATTTTTCCATGGACAGGGTGGGGGATGGTTTCGGGAAGATGATTCAAGTGCGTTACATTTATTGTGCACTTTGTTTCTATTATTATTGCATTGTAATATATAATGAAATAATTATACAACTCACCATAATACAGAATGAGTGGATGCCCTGAGCTTGTTTTCCTACAACTAGACAGTCCCATCTGTGGGTGATGGGAGACAGTGATCATCAGGCATTAGATTCTCATAAGGAGTGTGCAACCTAGATCCCTTGCATGTGGAGCTCACAATAGGGTTCATACTCCTATGAGAATCTACTGCTGCCACTGATCTGACAGGAGGTGGAGCTCAGGTGTTAATGCCAGCAATGGGGAGCAGCTGTAAATACAGGATGAAGCTTCACTTGCTCCCCTCCTGCTGTGTCGCCTGGTTCCTAACAGGCCATGGACTGATACTGGTACTTTTAGACTTTAGTTTCCTTGCCTGCAAGAAAAAGACTCAGTTTTCAGGTTCCCTGTCAATGCTGCACTTTGTAATTATCTGTTAGTATCAAGATTTTTTCAAATATGTACTTTAAAGGAAGTATATTTAGAAGCAGGGCTTGGCTAAAATCATAGAACTAATTCTATTGAACCTTTTGGGCAATATCCAAATTTCACTTTCAGGGATGGCTAACCAGTCAGTGTTGATTTCAAATTGTTACCTACATTGATCACTGGGCTGCTTAGTAAAGTGGTCGGCCAACAGTAAGATCTCACAGTATGCCAAGAGGAAGGCCTTTGAGCATAAAAGACTTAGGGCCTCTATTAAAACACTGGCCTCAAGCCTTTTTTACATAAATGGAAAAGTTGATCCTAAAATTCACATATAACTGCAAGAGACCTATTCAACTGCAAGACTAAAACAATCTTGAAAAAGAAGAAAGAAGTTGGAGGACTTCCGTATTTCAAAACTCATTACAAAGCTACAGTGATCAATATGGTGTGGCACTAGTACAAGGATAGACATATAAGTGAATGGAGTAGAATTGAAAATCCAGAAATAAAGCCATACATGTATTGTCAATTAGTTTTTGACAAGGGTGCCTAGACCATTCTATGAAGAAAGAATAGTCTGTTTAACTAATAGTGCTAGAACAACTGGACATCCACATGCAAAAGAATGAAGGTGGGGCCAGGAGTGGTGGCTCACGCCTGTAATCCCAGCACTTTGGGAGGCTGAGGTGGGCGGATCATGAGGTCAGGAGATGGAGACCATCCTGGCTGACATGATGAAACTCCGTCTCTACTAAAAACACAAAAAATTAGCTGGGCATGGTGGCAGACACCTGTAGTCCCAGCTACTTGGGAGGCTGAGGCAGGAGAATGGCATGAACCCAGGAGGCAGAGCTTGCAGTGACCCGAGATCATGCCACTGCACTCCAGCCTGGGCGACAGAGCGAGACGCTGTCTCAAACAAAAAACAACAACAATAACAACAAGAAAGAATGAAGGTGGACACCTGTCTCACACCACACACAAAAATGAACTCAAAAAGGGTTAATAGACCTAACTGTAAAAGCTAAAACTATAGAACCTTTAGAACAAAACATTGGGGTAAATCTCACAAGTAACAACAACAACAACAACAACAACAACAAAAAAAACAGATAAACTGGACTTCATCAAAATAAAAAAAAAAAAACATTTGTGCGGAAAAGGACATTATCAAGAGAGTAAAAAGCCCACACAAGGGGCAAAAATATTTGCAAATCATATATCTGATAATGGTCCAGTGTCCAGAATATATAAACAACTCTTACAACTGAGGAACAAAACCACAAACAACCTAATTTTAAAATGGACAAAGGAGTTAAATAGACATTTCTCCAAAAAGAATACATAAATACACAAGTGGATGACAAACATATGGAAGGATCCTCAACATTACTGGTCATTGGAAAAGTACAAACCAAAACCACAGTGAGATACGACTTCATATCTTCAGGCAAAAGTTCAAAGACATAGAGTGCAGACTAGTAGTTGCTAGGGGCTGGGCAGCAGCGGGGAATGGGGAATGACTACTTAATGGGTACAGGGTTCACATCTGATAAAAATGTTCTGGAACTAGACAACAGTGATGGTTGCACACTGCGAATGTACTAAATGCATGTACACTTTAAAATGGCTGAAATGGTAAGTTTTATGTGTATTTTACCACAATAAAAAATAAACCCACTGCTGGCTCTACATAGTGTGGTGATTAAAGAAGTGGATAGTGTTTGTTTCCAACACACTGGGGGGGACGGGGGAGAGCCACACAAGGGCAGAGGCTGGGTAATGGGTAAGGCAAACAGGACAATGTCCCAGGTTTCCCAGGCTAAGACACATTGCTTCCAGACAGGCCTGACTTTTATGGTTTTATCTTTAAATGTGATTTCCTAGAATTTGCAGAATCATGCAGACTCATGTTCAGGAATAAGTATAAATATATATGATATTCAGATTATCTGATACTTTGAACTACTCAAATGGTGATTCTCAGATATCATGCAGACATTGGAGTTGACTGGATTTAGAAAATGATGTTCAAATAGCAGACAAAACTAATTAAGAAAAAATTTCTTCCCATTACTTCTAAAGGACAAAGCTTATGAGATCATGGGATACTTGGCCTAATTTCATTTACATGGCAAAACCACACAATCTGTATTTCCAGTTATCTTTATAATTGGCACTTGTTCAGAGGAACCCAGGGTGTAGACTTTCTCCCCCTTTCTCTCCTGCCCTGCCCTGAATTGTCTCCCTGAAATTTTCATCTGCCTTGGTAATCTGTAGTCAAAAAGAACCGCCCTCAACTCTTGTGAGGCCAAGGGTGAGTCCTAGTCCTGCAACTTGGTTGCGGTCCTACTGTCGAACTGTGCTCTCCACCCCTGTAAGACAGGGGCTGTTTCCAGCTTACCCACTGTTGTATCCCAGCCTCAAGCCCAGCGCATGAACACAGAGTAGGTAGTCAAGCATTTGCTGCATGACCGAATGGAGCCTCAGATGATCTGAGGACAAAATCAACAAGCCTAAGAGAGGAACATATCAACACAGCACAGTGAAGAAGCTCTTCCTGTTGTTTTCACAGATGATTGAATGTTTAAAAAAAAAAATCAAGTGGAGATGAATGCTGTCTTCATTCACACTTCAAGCACACTTCAGCACATCAGTGGCAGGAGAGAAAGCTCTTGCCACAAATTAAAACCTCAGAACTCAGGACAGGTAGCTTGGAAGTAATATGTTTCGTATTGTTTCAACACATACTTGTTCCCTTTGTCCTCATTTTTCCACTTCCAGTCTCCATCTCACCCCAATACATAACTGTTCTAATGTACTGATATGCATTCTTGGGTTTGTATAAGTTCTTGAAAACTGCACTGCTTGGTCAGCGGGTGCTTTTGATTTATGGTGTTGTATCATGAATCTCATTCTCTTTCTTACTCTGTGTGTAAAGGATGGATGTGGAATATCCTTGATTCTTTGATGGAGAAAAGATAGTATTATTTAAAGTGTGAATGCTTCACTTGAAATCTTTAGCGGCAGGAAGCAGGGTACAAATAAAAGTCAAAGCTGGTAAATATATCCAGGATCAGTTTAACAGGAAGGAAGGCCAATAAATCAGATGCTATCATAATGTCTTATTGTAGGTACGTGTTTTTATATTATGATTTTATACCGGAAATAAACGTTGGTTAACTGAATTTCCTCACTAATCTTCTGGCCACTCTGTAATAGATATTTCTCTTCAGTTACCTAAGGACTTGCATAAGCTGAGTTAATCATTTCTCAAAGGAAAAAAATCAAATTACTACATGGAAAACTAAAAACCAAGGAAGGTGTTGTAAACTATTATAATATTTAATGCCTTCCTAAATTCTAAAGAGTCTATTATCCTTTGGTTAGATGTTTGATGGATATACATAATAGATTTCAATGTTCACATACTTTTAAATAAATTAGTTGGGATTTAGCCTCATTTGAATTTGCATCATTTAAGATGTGTATTTGGAGACATGTGCCCTTTAACCCCCAAACTTACTTTATCATGAGGCTTCGGCTATCTATAGCTTCACCGTCCTCTATGTCATATTTGCTTGTCAAGACAAGAGAAATCTCGGTCTTTGAAAGCTGACTTAGTGTATTTGCCTTGTTAGGGTCATTGGGGTCAACTGCTCCTTCCCCTGTAGGGAAAAAACCTAGTGTTATTTTTCCAATTCACTCTTTGTGATGATGGCACCAACAATGTAAGATAAAGGTTCTGTGGGAAAGATAGGCTTGGTAATTAAATGGGAGATCATGGTCTTTACAAAACCCACATTCTACTATAGCTAAAGTGGCTTTTAAAATATCTGATTGAAAAATGAAAATGACATGGGACATAGGTATTTCAAATACAAATTACTAAAAAGGATAACTGTTAATAAAAGTATTTTTCATTTTGTAATAAATTTGGTTCTTTATTGATGGCTTCTTTCTGTATAATACAGGTTGACAATTCCTTTTTGACATATCTGGAGCTTACCTTCAAGAATACTGAATTATTTTATAATCCCGGACTCCATTAATTACAGAACTCTTACTGTAGGAAGGGGCAAGTGTAGTTGTTATTCTTTAAATATGCTTAAGCATTAAATTCCAAAATAATTGTTTTATCTAGGATAGGAAAACCAACGAACCAACCAACCAACCCACCCAATTAAACAAAAACCAAGGGATAAGTAGAAGGAACAAGCTCTTACCAAGAAAAGATTCCACGGTTGGCACCTCTCCCAGCGACCCCAGCAATTCACTCAGTAAGTCATTTTTCTCAGGGGCAATTGCATCCTGGTGTTCCAACAGGAGCTTTATGTAGAAAGCAACACACACACAAAGAAAAAAGTAAATTCTCAACTGTACCATATTTATATGAAATTTTTCATAATTTCCTCCTCATACCATTTAAATCTTAAATATGAGTATGACATTTATAAAAATTAGAGACATAGATACAGTTTTTATTGTATCTCAGAGGGAAGCACCTACTCTACATCAAGAAATTGTTGCAAGAAACGTGTTCATAAACCCTTTTTCAGCAAGGTCTGCCAAAGGGAAGCCTTCTACCACCTGATCTCTGTGCTTCACTCTTCCTCCATAGAAAAAGTCAAAGTTGGGGGAAAGAGTCCAGAATGAGGCAGATCTTTCAGTTAACATTGGTAGCAAACTGGAAGGGCATTTACATCTCTATGCAGTAATCAAATACTACAGTTATCTTCTTCTTAATCACTACTATGAGCTGTTTCAATCTGTCTTGCATTGAAGATCTCTCATGGGTAAGGATGTAAGAGACCTAGATGTCCTGAGTGGTTTCCCCTTTCCTTATCCTAAGAAGGCCCAAAGATGAGTAACATCTGCTGGGGTGTCTTGCCAGGTCTTACAGGAAACAGTATTAACTCCTGAGGGGTAGCAGCACTCGGGGGAAACCATGAAAGACAACACTTTTTTTTTTTTTTTAATTTAAACAAATTTTAATGGAGTTGGTTTAATTGTTACAACCTTACACATGAACAGCGACACATCTGTTTTTGCTTGCATTTCTAATTAGATTGAAACAACATTTCCAAAGTACGGAACTAGTAATCTTGGAGACAGGAGATAAAATTTGTTGTTCTCAGCAACTATTTTATAAAACTCTGCATCATAATGATAAAGCTAGTTCCTTTTCCATTTTCAATCTTTTTTCCAACAGCTTTACCAAAATAGAATTCAGATACATCAAATCCACTCACTTAAAATGTACGATGCAATGGCTTCTAGTGTATTCACAGAGCTGTGCAGCCATTACCACTCTCTGACTGTAGAACAGTTTCACTGCCCTAAAAGATACCGGGTACCCATTGGCAGTCACTCTCCATTATCTCTTCTTTCTATCCCCTAGAAACCACAAATATACCTGTATGTATTTGACTACTCTAGGTACCTTAGATAAGTGGTATTTGTCTTTTTGTGACTGGCTCATTTCAATTAGCATAATGTCTTCAAGGTTCCTCCATGTTGTAGCATGTATCAGAATTTCCTTCTTTTTAGAGCTGAATAATATTGTATTGTATGAATATAACACATTTTATCCATTCATCTAGTGATAGACGCTTGGCTGTTGTGAACAATGCTGCTATGAACATGAGTGAACAAATAACTCTTTGACTCTGCTTTCAATTTTTTATGGGTATACTTCCAGAAGTGGAACTGTTAGATTATGAGGTAATTCTATGTTTAATTTTTTTTAATTGATCGTGCCGCCATACTCCAGCCTCTCTGTTTAAATTTTTGAGGAAAGACCATCCTGTTTCCATAGCAGCTGCACCATTTTACATTCCCACCAACGGGGTGCAAGGGTTGCATTTTCTTCACATCCTTCTCAACACTTATTTTCTGTTTTTTTTTTTTTAAATTTTGATATTAATCATCCTACTGGGTGTGAGTGGTATCTCCTTGCAGTTTCAGTTTTGATTTCTCTAATTATTAGTGATGCTGACCATCTGTATACTTCTCTGGAAAAACATCTGTTAAAGTCCTTTGTTTATATTATAATTGGGTTGTTTTGTTGTCGATTCGTAGGAATTCTTTATATATTCTAGATATTAACCCTTTACCAGACATGTGATTTGCAAATATTTTCTCCCATTCCATACATTATCTTTTCACTCAGTTGATTATGTCCTTTGATGTGTAATTGTCCAATATTTAAATTGGATTATGTTTCTATCATTGAGTTGTAGGATTTCTTTATATATTCTGGATACAAGTCCCCAATCAAACATATTATTTACAATTATTTTCTTTCATTCTGTTGGTTTTCTCAAGTTTTTTTTTTTTTTTTTTTTTTTTTTTGAGACAAAGTCTCGCTCTGCTGCCCAGGCTGGAGTGGTTCACTGCAAGCTCCACCTCCCAGGCTCAAGTGACTCTCGTGCCTCAGCCTTCCGAGTAGCTGGGATTACAGGCATGTGTCACCGCACCTGGTTAATTTTTGTATTTTTAAATAAAGATAGGGTTTCTCCATGTTGGCCAGGCTGGTCTTGAACTCCTGGCCTCAAGTGATCCACCTGCTTCAGCCTCCCAACATGCTGGGATTACAGGTGTGAGCCACTGCACCTGGATGAAATTTTTTTTTTTTTTTTTTTTTTTTAAATGAGACAAGGTCTGACTCTGTCACCCAGGTTAGGGTACAATGGCATGATCATGGCTCACTGCAGCCTCGAACTCCTGGCTTTAAGGGATCCTCCTGTCTCATTCTCTCGAGTAGCTAGGACTACAGGCATGCACCACTACACCCAGCTAATTTTTTTTTCCTATTTTGTCGACGAACTCCTGGCCTCAAGCATCCTCCCACTTTGGCCTCCCAAAGTACTAGGATTACAAGCGTCAGCCACCACGTCTAGCCTCAATTTCTTGATATTACTCTTTATAGCTCAAAAGTTTTCAATTTTGATGAAGTCTAGTTTATTTCCTTCCTTTGCTGCTTATGTGTTTGGTGTCATATCTAAGAAACTACTGCCTAATCCAAGGTCACAAAGATTTACTCCTATATCTTATTTTGAAGAGATCTATAGTTTTAGCTCTTACATCTATGTCTACCACCCATTTTGAGTTCACTTTTTGTATAGAGTGGAAGGAAGGGGCACAACTACATTCTTTGGCATGGGAATTTCCAGTTGTCCCAGTACCATTTGGAGACACTATTTTCCCATTGAACTTAGTCCCCTGTCAGAATGAATTAACCATAAATGTGATGGCTTATTTCTAGACTCTCGATTCTATCCCATTAGTCTTTATGTCTAACCTTATGCCAGCATAGCACTGTCTTGATTACTGCCTTTTCCGTTCTCTTCTAATCTTTAAGATCAGTGAAGGAGAGAGTATCTGTTTGATGCTAAATTTTTCTTAACATTTCCCTGACACATGGAGAGTTGTTAACAAAGAGAGAACACACCTCAGATACATAACTTCAAGGTAAGGAAGTGACTGTATCCAACTATTTTGTTTTCATTACACTTATTTTCTTCTAAAGTTTCTGTGTATGGCAAAGCAGGCTAGTTTTTCACTATAGTAGAGGTACTTTGTTTTAAAGCAAAGAAATTACGTGTTGTTTTTAAAAAGGTGAGTTGATTCAAAGAAAGGCATTAAATAAATAATAGAGGTGATACAAAGACCGGGCAAAATCTGGAAAGGCGGTACATATGATGTTTTGGAGGGAAAATTAAGAGACAAGAACAAAATATGCAAGATGGATAAATTTATGTTCTTCTTCTCTGATGAGCCAGGGCAACTGATTTGGCTGTTTTCTTTGGAAATGATTATTTAGGTGGCCACCTTCTACCCTTTATTCGGAAAAATTTCCTGATAATGTCTTCTTAAAGAGCTTATTTGGAAGTTCTTGCATCTTCCTTAGAGAAAGGGGTAAGCACATGGCCACAGGCTTGGCAAATCCTGCTACTGCTGTGCTTGTGTCTGCACACGGACGCCTCCACACAGAAGGCAGACAGTAAACAGGACAGTCTTCCTATGAAATTACACAATTTCCCCACATTACATCTGCTTCTAACCTAACACAGGAAGGAATTCCAAATCAGTCACAAGCTCTCTTTCCCAGGATTGAATTCTGTTTTCAATTTTTGTTAACAAAAGAACAGACTATTTCTCCTTAAAGACTTCTAAGACTTCTAAATTAATACAGTAACATTTTCTCTCTGCTACCCTTGGGAAAGAATCTCTCACTCTAAACAAGTACTCCCCACCATTTTTTTCGCATGTGGATATTGCATTCAGCAAATGTGCACCCAAGATGTACATATTCTTTGAAGACAGATAATGTACCACAAAAACAGACAAATGGGTCATTGCTCAAATATAAATGAGTCTGTCCAGTAGATAATTATTTCTGTAAGTAATGCATTGCTAGATTGCTGGACAGTTTTCCTTGTAATCTAGGGTGTTCATATATAGAGAAAAGAAGGATAGCCTATTCATTTAATCAGTATGTATTGAGAGCTTGATGTAAATGTCAGGGAAGTTCCCTGTTTCAACCCTGAAAGAAGAAAATCAATACTAGATTCAATCTTTCCTTCAAACCTACATTCAAGCTTTAGTTTCTTAGAAGAGCTTAATAATAGACTGAAATTTTAAGCAGCTAACCTGCCACTTGTCAGTATGTCTGGTTTGATGGGGGCTAGAGCACAACCTTTGAGAATGTGTATTTGTTATGCTTTCCCTTTGGTTCTCTGTATAATCCAAAGTTGGGTGCATCCTTAACTGAAGCATCTAGAACTTGAATGTGCATCTGAATCCTCTGGGATCTTGTTACAATGCAGGTTCTAATTTGGGAGGTCCAGGGTGCATTGCTAACATATCCCCAGGACCTTGCTTCAACTCACAAGGTCTGAAACTATTCTTGAAATGGTTACCTTTTAAAAACCAAGATTTTTTCATGAAATAAGTTCCAATTGATCTTAAAAAGAAAACAATGCAAACCCCTCAATGCTTAGCTTTTTTTTTTTTAATTTTAATGTTTGAAAAGTCATCTAAAGCCTCCCAATTCCTTCCCCATGCCACTGAGCACAGTGCCCTGCACCCAACAGATACTTAATACATGCTAATGGCTGACGGCAGTGATGTCTGCATGCAAACCAGATGTAGATGTCATAACACAGCACATGATGTGAAAAACTGCCTGCTTCCGAGAAATGGGGGTTTCCAGAACAATGGAAGTGATTCTTTGCAGAAGGCTACTATTGGGTGGTAGTTTCTTGTTTTCGTTGCGTAGCCTGTTTATTACCACTTTATGTTAAAACATTAGAATAAAAAGAATATTCTCATTTCCCCCAGAAAATTACTGGAAAAGCTGAGAGGGTTCCTGGAAGAGGGGAGAGACAGGGTGTAGGTCTACATAGCATAGCTTTGGCGGATGAGAACACCATAGCCTGTCCTGGCTCAGGGCTTAAACTGCATATTTACAATCTGGCTTTATTTTTATTATTTATTTATTTATTTTTTGAGGTAGGGTCTCGCTCTGTTGCCCCGGCTGGAGTGCAGTGGCACGATCATAGATCACTGCAGCCTCAGACTCCTGAGCTCAAGTGATCTCCCACCTCAGCCTCTTAAGTAGCTGTGACTACAGGCATGTACCACCAAACCCGGCTAGTTTTTAAAAAATTTTTAGTAGAGATAGGGGTCTCACTATGTTGCCCGGGCTAGTCTCAAACTTGTGGGCTTGAGTGATCCTCCTGCCTCAGTCTCCCAAAGTGTTGGGATTACAGGCATATGCCACCATTCCAGTCACAATCTGGCTTTGTAAATGGATTATGCCAAAAGTACACTTTCTTTTTTGGGGAGAAGTTTTATTAATGTCTAGGAGTCAGGGAATAATTATGTAAAAATAGAATTTTGTTGTTTGGGAGAAGGAGTTTTATTAATGTATAAGAGTCATGGAATAAATAATTGCGAGATTTTTAGGGTTAAGAATATGAGTATTAGCACATGTGTACAATAAGTCCTGTAGAGATTAAGCATTTTCAAGATAACAGATGCCTAAATCATGGGTCCATTGCTAAGATGGCTCCCCATCCCCACTTACTGAGTGTGTGCTGATGATTTCTTCAATTGAAATATAAATGACTGGTTTGCTGACTGTCACCAGGTCTGTGTATTTGTCCATATTAAACTTCTCTTCTGGCTCAGGGACATTACATGCTTCTTTGAAATATTTCCTAATAAAGGGGGGAAAAGTCTTAAGACAGACTCAAACATGTGCATTAAACAGTTTCATCAAAATAGCTAGGAAATTTTGAATGATGACATGTACTTTGTTCCCATCTCAAACCTTGAGAGGACGTGTTACAGCTTCTTCCAGGCTGGCTCCTGGCTGTCGGAGCTGCATCCATGTTTCTGGATATTGGACCCAGCTCCTCAAACAGGATTGGAGAGAGTGGCAAGGGCCTCAGGCCCTGTTTGTGACTTAGTGATATAGTGACCTATGCGTAGGTCATCTTAAAAATGTTATTTTAAAAATGGTCCCTGAAACTTAAAAAGTCAAAAATGATAATTCTTGATCTAAGAATCAAGTCTGTGTGAGGAATACAATAGAAAAAAAAGCAATTAGTCAAATTTGCTGCTTTAAACAGCACAGGCTCCTGGGCCTACATCACCCTAATCACCCTTCAGAGCTTCTGTTACCAGTTTGACAAAAATGAGATTAAGTCTACTCTTCTTCGTTGCTGCAAATATTTGCTGGCCGATGGAAAGATTGTTAAGGCTAGACACCCAAATACATAACATGTCCCAGGACTCAGACCCTAAAAAGTCTATTTTAAGCTAAAGCAAGTTTTGACAGAGATCAAGAGAAGTGAGGCATGCTGTGATCACAGTTGAATAGTTCTATGTATTTTTTGCCTAAACAATTCTTGTGCAGGTCGAATATACATTTTATTCTATAAAGTTGTAAATGTTTCATATGCCTGAAATCATTGTCGGCATCTCTCCTACAGGCACCTGGGTCTTATGTACCAGAAATGACCTCTGCTTTCCCAGCCAGAGGCTGGGGGAGGTTAAACAGCAGAGCCCTGTTGTGGGGAGCATGTTCCCATGTAACAGTCGGCTTTCCTATGCTGCTTTGGTTATAATTTTTTGTAGATTTCTGAGAAACACAAAGGATAAATATGAGTGGAAGAAAGGACAAGTTTAGAAGAGGCTCACTTCTTTGGTCTTGTTTCTTTTTAAATAAAGAATAGGTGGGAACATAAATGACTGATAGGAATAACAGCAGTTAAAAGTTCATGAGAAATGTGGGAAATGGATATTACTTTGTGTGTGTGTGTGTGTGTGTGTGTGTGTGTGTGTGTGTGTGTGTGACAGAGTCTTACCCTGTCACCTGGGCTGGAGTACAGTGGCACAAACACGGCTCACTGCAGCCTTGACCTCCAAGGCTCAAGTGATCCTCCCATCTCAGCCTCCTGAGTAGCTGGGACTACAGGTGCTTACCACTATGCCCAGATAATTTTTTAAATTTTTTGTAGAGATGAGGTCTCCCTATGTTGCCCAGCCTGGATATTACTTTGTTAGTCAGTGAGGAGAATGAAAAATTAGCTTGAAAAATCAACACTTTCTGTAGTAGGAGGATTTGGGGCAATTTTCTCACAAAAGACCACAAATTCTAAATAGAAATGAATAATCATGAACTACCTTTGTTTTCTAGTAAGTCACTCACTCCAAGGGAGACCGAGGAATGAGAAATGAGTTTCCAAGTGAGGATTAAAAGAGGCCAAACTGATGTTACACTTCTATGGCCTGTTGATTAAATGGCAGACATGAGAACAAACATGACAAGAGGAAAGTGTTTCCTCAGAGCTCCAGGAGGAGTGAATCTGACTACCAGACTCATGCCTTTCTTGTTAATGATTAGTGATATAATTTGGAAACACAAAATCAATAGAATTAAATCTTCTTACATGTGTCATTAAGAAAGGCTTGAGAATAGAACAGAACATATTCACATACACAATCATCAACAAATATAAAATCTGGGTTTTCCTAACCTTTCAAAATCAAGTATTCCATTTCCTACTACAGTCGTTCCTTGGTATGTTTGGGGGATTGGTTCCAGGACCCCCATACACACCAAAATTTGTGCATACTCAAGTTTGAAATTGGCCTTGTGGAACCCATGTATGTGAAAAGTCATCTGTTTGTATATGTGGGTTCTGCATCCCATGAATACTGTATTTTCTCTCTGTCTTTGGTTGAAAAAATCCATATATAAATAGACCCGAGCAGTTCAAACCTGTGTTAATCAAGGGTCAAATGTATCTGACGTAGATAAGCAAGTTCTTCCTCACCGGAAAACTTTTTAAAAATGATTCCTCTCTTCTTAAGTTGAAAGAAGCAGAAATCTGCTATTTTGATTTTTAAATTCTAGGTACTGGAAGCCTGTAGCATACAAGGAAGAACAAGTATGCCATTTTGTCAGCAGCAGAAATAATACACACAGAAAAGACTCAGTGTAATAGGAGTGCTGTGGTGGGGGTGCGATAGGATCGCCAGACAGAGGCAATCTTGCCTGCACTTCCCTCTCTCCTCTTTCCCCAGTGGCTGGTAGAAGAAATGCTTGTAACCACCTGGGGTTCCTGTCCTCCATGCCCACTCTAGCTCTGGGCACAGAGCACATATTATTCTTGCCTACCATTCTTGCACGTTTCTCCAAAACTAAGGGCCCCTCTCACCTGAATTCCTGATACGTCTCTGATAAATAATTGTTCATAGATGAGAGATGCTCATTTTCTCCTTCAAACAGCTTGTTGGAGGCTGCGTGCTGAAGAACCTTGGCCACTGATCCTAAGTTTCTCCTTTGGTCAGAATTTATCTGACCTCCAGCTGTCATGTCGATGATATCAAAGCCATCTGGAGCTACAATGGCTGGATTCATGTACCGATAGTACAGGAGGTTTCCAACAATCTGGAGTGACGCAGAAGTGCATGACCATTTTTAAGAGAGAAAACTCAAGAGTTTTAGTTTTCTTTTTTTTTTTAAAGATATATATTCTCCTACATTTCCCAAGAGAAAGCAGATCATTTTCTGATGTAAATCCTAACAAGGAGTTTAATAAAGGCAATGAATATAATCACACATTATTAATAGCATAATTTGCAAAGTTATTTTTGATGAAAAAATGCTCATTGCCCCCAAAATGCTCTAATGCAAAGAATTTCAATAATGTCTAGGATCTCCAAATTAACCTCAGCTTAATCAATTATCTTGAGAGTCATTAGAAACAGAAGACCTGCAGCTTATTATAAATAATCATACATGGGGAATAATCTTACAAAGTTATATGTTGGTAATTTTGATTCATACCCCCAGGAGAAGCTATGGTGAGATTACCCTTGAAAATCTACCTTTAATAGCTCATCTTCTGTTGCATCGGGGAATTTCTCATGGATCGAATTCTTCAGTACTTTGGCTATATACCTCAATCCATAACTACATATAAAACAGATGACAAAAGAAAATAATGGAAAAAAGGCGGAGTGAGGAAAAAACACACAGCAATTGTTCCAGTCAACTTCAGCTGAGTAGTTTTTCTAAAAATTAAACATAAGATGAGATGGTAATGGAATCACAGGACTTCCACTGATGATAATAACTGAGCTGTGTTTGCTACTGAAGTATTGCCCCTTCTTTAGAGAACAGTCAGGAATTTAAAAGGTAAATGTAGGCAATCTTTTAAAATAGTAAACACAATATAAGGGAAAACTGCTGTCTTCACTACAGGGGCTTATTTTACATCGTATTCCAAGAACGTTCCAGGAAAGAATGTTAAACTTGCTGCAAGTACAACTTACGGCAGTAGATCAAGGGAAGAAATGATAGAATTCAGGACTTTGTCGGTGACCCTTCTCAGGTTCTCAATGGAAGCCTCCAGTTTATTTTTCACTTCTGGGTATGTTAGAGCTTGTTCTGTGGTCACATCATAAGGCAACTTGCTGAAAACACAAAGGCTTTAAATTAACTGGAGGCTTAGGTACAAGCATTAATTTTGCTGCCAAGTTGGTTCTATAGTCAAGCTTTGTATAGTGAATTGGACTTTGCCACTGACTCCAGTAACAAAATGTTTACTAAATGAGGGGAGGCTCCACCTTCACAGAGGGTACCTTCTGCAACTTGGAACAGGAAGGACTTGAGGCCTTCCCTCTGGTCTCTTCTGGCAAGATAAGAGGCAGACCCAGGTAATTTAGACTCAGCTAAATTTCTTTTAATTATAAAAAGCAAATGTTCATTACAGAAAAATAAAATCACATATAATCTAAAACAATACCAGAGAGGACAACCAATTTTCTTTTCTTTTTTTTAAATTAATTATTTTTTATTTTATTATTATTATACTTTAAGTTTTAGGGTACATGTGCACAATGTGCAGGTTAGTTACATATGTATACATGTGCCATGCTGGTGTACTGCACCCATTAACTCGTCATTTAGCATTAGGTATATCTCCTAAAGCTATCCCTCCCCCCTCCCCCAATCCCACAACAGTCCCCAGAGTGTGATGTTCCCCTTCCTGTGTCCATGTGTTCAATTCCCACCTATGAGTGAGAATATGCGGTGTTTGGGACAACCAATTTTCATACCTTAGTGCATAACTGTCCAATCTCCTCTGTGCATGTATGTCTGTGGGCCTCGCATATTGATGGGTGTAATGCAATTTGTGTAATCGACATTCTATACAGATCCTGTGTGGCGTATGTAATGAGCATTCTTTTCCCAGAAAAATGGGTTATTGCACCTAACTCCAACTGGAATATATACCCTGAACATTTTTTTCTGTGCCAACAAATGTATATCTATACCACGATTCCAAATACTTATTCCATTATGTGCTATACAAACATTTATTTAACAAATCCCTCAAAGCTAAATATTTTGACTTTTCCTGACTTTTTATTATTACAAACAGTACTGTAACAACCACCCACATAATTACATAATTCTCTGTGTACACTTTATTTCACAGACATCCTTTTACAGGAAACAAGAAGCTAGGGTTGCTTAAATCTACAACCACCCACCCAGAATAAGCCAATCCAACCTGGATTGTTAAACCTTACACCTTAAAGTTACTTGCCTGGTAACTGTAAAGAAAAGTACGTATTATCAGGTGAAGAGAGAGTCTACACCATCTCTAGGTCTAGGTTTAGAAATACACAAAGAAAATAAACAAGGGAGAGAATTATGGAAGTTGTGGCATTGGGGATCACCTGGCTCTGAAATGTGAAAATACCATTTAGTATCAAGATGTAATTTGCATGGATATGTTAAAGGGAGGTAACATTTTGGATTGATAACTGACTTTGTACAGTTCGCCTAACAAAGTTTAAGAGTATCAATAAATACACATGTAAAAATATCATAAAACATAACAGAAGACCAACACCTTCCTGATTCTATTACCTGGCCTCTCCAGTCTGTGTTTCTAGTTGGTTCACCCAAGCCTTGTACACCTCTACAGGGTTTGTGTTGATAATCAGCGACTTGTCGTCGATGATCTCTTTTACCACTGGAGCCAGGAGTTGGCGCAGGGTGTTCTGTCCCCGGGCACCTCTATTGAAGCTGACGACCATCTTGATGACTGTAGGGTTACCAGTAACTATGTCCTGTACCTGGTCCACTTTTGATCTAAAAAAGCCCAAGACAAAACAAAATGGTTTGCTTCCATGGATACAGATTTTTTTTTTTTTTTTTTTTCCCCGAGACAGTCTTGCTCTGTCACCCAGGCTGGAGTGCAGTGGTGTGATCTTGGTTCACTGCAACCTCCACCTCCCAGGTTCAAGCGATTCTCCTGCCTCAGCTTCCTGAGTAGCTGGGACTACAGGTGTGCACCACCACATGCCCGGGGCTACTTTTTGTATTTTTAGTAGAGACGGGGTTTCACCATGTTGGCCAGGCTGGTCTCGAACTCCTGATCTCAGGTGATCCACCTGCCTTGGCCTCCCAAAGTGCTGGAAATACAGTCCTGAGCCATGGTTCTGGGCCTGGATACAGTTTTAAACAATGTATTCTCCCTCTGGAAGGCAAGGACTTCATGGAATTATACTTTTCTCTATGAAAATCTAAGTTGGTGTGCTTTAAAAACAAGCAATCATTTATAAGGTGTATATTTCTTTTTTTCTTTTTGAGACAGAGTCTCACTCTACTGCCCAGGTTGGAGAGTAGTAGCGCCATCTTGGCTCACTGCAACCTCCTCCTCCAGGGTTCAAGCGATTCTCCTATCTCAGCCTCCTGAGTAGCTCGGATTACAGGCACATGCCACCATGCCCAGCTAATTTTTGTATTTTCAGAGAGATAGAGTTTCACCATGTTGGCCAGGCTGGTCCCAACTTCTGACCTCAAATGATCTACCCGCCTTGGCCTCCCAAAGTGCTGGGATTACAGGCGTGAGCCACTGTTCCCAGTTTATAACGTGTATGTTTCTTAGATGAGCAATTTGAGGATCTGAAAATAAAGTCACAGCCTCAATTTCAATCTAGAAGGCAGGTATGAGCTGAAAATGGACCAGGACTAGCAATACTGGGTGACACGGTACAAGTACCATGCCCCTGTAGTTATCAAATTTCAAAAACAACTTTCTTGATTGAATGAACTGTTTTCACTTTTTCAAATCCCACTCAAAGCTGCAATACAGCTTCTAGCCACGTCAGATGGCTGAGAGAGCTTTTCTTGATTTATGGTTGCTGATTCTTAGGGCCTCTCTCCTCTCTTCCTCCCCTTTCTCTTTTGACCACTTTCTCTCCCTCTTCCACATCCTTCCCCTTTAGAGCTTGACAATGCCTGGTTCTTATCTTACCCAGTCATTCCTTTTTATTTTCTTTGCTGTGCTCCTCTTCCCACCTTTAAATGCTAGTTTTGTTTATTTTATTTTTTGAGACGGAGTCTGGCTCTGTCGCCCAGGCTGGAGTGCAGTGGCGCGATCTCAGCTCACTGCAAGCTCTGCCTCCTGGGTTCACACCATTCTCCCGTCTCAGCCTCCTGAGTAGCTGGGACTACAGGCGCCCGCCACCATGTCTGGCTAATTTTGTTTTTGTATTTTTAGTAGAAATGGGGTTTCACCATGTTAGCCAGTATGTCTTGATCTCCTGACCTCGTGATCCGCCTGTCTTGGCCTCCCAAAGTGCTGGGACTACAGGCGTGAGCCACCGTGCCCGGCCTTTTTGTTTATTTTTTGACTAATTGTAGGTGCTTGTAAGGCGAATGAGGGTGAATCAATGCCCAAACAAAAGAATAACTGGTCTACCAGAGCCCAACCAAAACCCATGTTCTCCCCTCAGACCTCACGTGCATGCACAGCTTCACCCGCCATCTCTCTGGGACCTATCCCCCTGAAGTCAGGAGTTCGAGACCAGCCTGGCCAACATGGTGAAACCTCTTCTCTACTAAAAATACAAAAATTAGCCAGGCGTGGTGGCGGGTACCTGTAGTCCCAGCTACTCAGGAGGCTGAGGCAGAAGAATTGCTTGAACTCAGGAGGCAGAGGTTTCAGTGAGCTGAGATCATGCCATTGCACTCCGGCCTAGGAAGAAGAAGAAAAAAGATTTCACAGATCCCCAAAAAGCAAATAGAGCCTTAACAGCTGGGCCTTTACTCAGAGTCTCCCACTACCTGGCCCTACCCTATCATTCAGGATTCATCTCCTGGTAGTTAGTAATTAAGTCACTTTCTGGCTAGACTAATCTACTTTCCTCCTGGGACCTATGCCCATGCTGTTTCCACCACCATTGTGCCTTATTTCCCTCTTCTATCTCTTCTTATAAAAATTGTAGCTGTTCCTCAAGGTTTTAGGTCAAGCACCTCCTCTTCTATAAAATCTTTACTAGTCAACCTAGTTGGAATCTTTCCTCCTGTCCTCTAACCTGATACATTGTACATGTCCTTCATTTAGACGCGTCCTTCATTTAGTACTTACCACATTCCACTGCATAGCATTCCTATTTCTCACGAATCACATGTCTCGTGGGCTTACAGACACCTGGTGGGCAGAGGTGCCTGGCTCCCGTGCTCCCAAAACCAATAGGAACTGGTATAACTTAAGGTTTCCACAAGTTAGGGAGGCCACCTGAGCTAAGGACATTTCTCATGCTTGTTTCTCAGCCCACTCATTATAGCTACCTATACAATTTTTACATTAACTGAGTCAGAAAATAAATTAGCAAAAGTAGTTTAAGTTCTAGAAAGAAGGGAAGACTATTTAGGCAGAGATTGCACTCTGCATTCCCACCTGTTAATGGCTTTACTACTCAGAATTTTAATTAAGTTAAATGTTTTCACTGACTTTCAATATGCTATTGATTTTCAGTTGTTACAGGCATACAAAATCAAAAGTTAATTTAACACTAGAGAAAGTATCACTGGTGGGAGAAAATGGTACTTGAATATAGCTCTAATAATATAGAAGTATTCTCAAGAAACTTGATATATTTTAATATGTGGGAATAACTTATAAGAATTTAAAAATAATTTTAGTAAATCAAAGACAGCCACCACTAACAAAAGGATTGATTCACTGGTATTTTTACATACATATTTGTATACATACTTTATTTCTTCCTCCAGAGCAGTTTTAAAAAGCTTGAGAAGTAGATATTCTTCTCGCTGATTAGAGGCATAATTATATAGTGTGAAAATAACAGTATCCATAAATTTAGTGGACTTGTTCTGTGGCATCTGGAAAATCAGCTTAGCCAAGTATAAAGGGTTGGTCTAGAAGGAAAGAAGGAAAAAGAAAACAAAAAAATCCCACAAAACAATAAGTTAATATATTATTAAAGCACAAAGCAGTATCTGATTCCCTGCTCTTCAATGACTTAATGTCACTAAAAGCATATAGATGAGTATATAAAATAATTTTTATATGCCAGGTACTCATCTCTATGCTATTAGTATATAGTGTAACTTTCTACTACAGTTTCCTATAGACTGATATTATATAACTTTCTACTTTAGCTTCCTATCATATATTAATATTTTAAAATATTAATATCAAATATTAATTACTTAATATTATTCATATCATACTATAGGAAGCTATAGTAGAAAATTATGATAGGATTTAAATGATACACACTATATGATACACTTAACATATTATATCTACTTTTCACTGTTGACCTTTTTGAACCACATATTAATATTTATTGTAGAGACGCAGAAAACAGGGCGGGTAGCCAGTAGAATCTGGTGTCCAAAGACACTGGCAAAGCTTGGGCATGGTGGCTCACACTTATAATTCCAGCGCTTTGGGAGACAGAGGCAGAAGGATAGCTTGAGCCCAGGAGTTCGAGACAAGCCTGGGCAACATGGACAGACCCTGTCTCTAGAAAAAAGTAAAAATAAATTAGCCGGGTGTGGTGGTGTGCGCATGCAGTCCCTGCTACTCAAGAGGCTGAGGTTGGGAGGATCACTTGAGCCCAGTATTTCAAGGCTGCCGTGAGCTGTGATCATACCACTGTATTCCAGCCTAGACAACACAGACTCTGTATCAAAAAAAAAAAAAAAAAAAAAAAGAAAGTGGACTAAGGGCCCGGCTACATAGACTGGCCTAGAAGGATTGATAGATGAGTAGAAATGCATACTATCTTGTCAGACTGGAAAGAAAAAGAAAAGAATACATTTACAATGTGGAAACAGCAAAATGGCCACAATGTTCTACACAGAGTGAGAAGGGGGAGTGAGGTAGGGAGGCTGAAGAGAGGGGTGAAGGTCAGGACAGTTGATAAGGGAAGTGCCAGAAGACCATGAGCAAAAAACAACAAAGAACTTAAAATGGACGTGGAACCCTGTGGGCTCTGATGAGGATGGACCCATTGGATACAGAACCAGCCTTCATGGTGATGTGGCTTTTCTCCAGCAGCTACACCTACCAGGTAGAAGTTCAAAGAGAACAATAATGTTCAGGTTATAGAGGAAGTATGTACAAAGAGAAATTTAATACTCCTAATCTTCATCTTCTTTCTGACAAGAGAAGAAAATTTTTCCATACTTGAAAACTGGTATTCATCTAATATACTCAAGCAGTTTGGGCAGCTTTTAAGAAGCCTTAAATTCTGGTTTACTTTATCACTTAGGTTTACTTTTAAGTTCATAATGATTGGTTGAAATTTTATAAATAAGCAGCTCAGTACTTTTTCTTGATAGCTCTGTAGTGACTGTTTTTCAATGTGAAGTATATAGGAATTAGGAGAAAGGAAACTTACTCTATAACTAAAGAAAGATGCCTACTCACCATTCCTCCTAAGGTTACCTAAAAATTTTAAATTTAGGTTCATACTGAAGAGACAAACCCCCCAAAAACCTATACTAGCTGACTGCGGCTTTGGTTAAGAATTTTTGCTAGGTCAGGTGTGGTGTCTCATGCCTGCAATCCTAGTGCTTTAGGAGGAGGCTGAGATGGGTGGATCACTTGAGCTCAGGTGTTTGAGATCAGCCTGGGCAACATGGAAAAACCCTGTCTCTACAAAAACCATGAAAAAATTAGCCAGGCATTGTGGCAGGTGTCTGTAGTCCCAGCTACTCAGGAGGCCAAGGTGGGAGGATTGCTTGAGCCCAGGAGATGAAGGCTGCAGTGAGCTGTGGTTGCGCCACTGCACTCCTGCCTGGGTGGGAGAGTGACATCTTGTCTCTACAAAAAAAGAAGTCTTGCTAAAGTGTAACCAACGGGTCGAAGGAATCCAGGCCATTTGCTTTTCTATAATTTCTTTAGTGATATTGGGCTAACGCCTCAAAAGAAGAGAAGGAGAAGAAAAATATATGATTTCAAGAGAGAGTTCACTTGATACAACTGAATGGTTGCACCCTTTGGTTGTACATTTTGGATTGTTTGCGGATCAAGTTTGGTGGAATTATTCTAAACATGCTCCTGCACTTTTTCTTCTTCCCATAAATGTGCCTCCACCTATATAATAAACAATGACTAGATTTTAACTTATGACAAATTCTGTCAAATTGAGAAAACTAAATTCTAAAGAATCTTCAATATGCTTGAAATTTCATGGGTGTAAAAAATGATAAGTGCCTAAGATTAAATTTCAAACTGGTGGTTGACTACTAAATTAGGCAGACCAAAGTCCTTTCCTGTTTAAAGTGAGCCCCCTTTCTTTCTAGGTTTGCTGGCGTGAAACAGTGGGTTCCACAGACAATTCTAAGTACTGTTAACCTTTTCCTTCTGTGCCGCCATGTGGTGGCCACTTGTGTGAAGATGTTCGTATGTTTGAAGATGTTCTCCAATCTCTTATTCCAAGTAGAGAATTTTCAAACCTACCAAAATTAACATCGTGTTTCTCCATGAGGTTAGCCACGCCTCTTATTTATGGTTTGTGTAATGTGCTCTCTATACATCTACTGCCAGTGACATCCTCAAACAAAGATCTAAGCATCTCCAGGCTTTGAAGGAATCCCAGCAGTGGCCCCACTCTGAGAGACATCTGACTCTTACAAGGGAGAACTATGGATCCACCTCTTTGGGGAAACTTTTCCTGCTGAAGAGGATGCTTGTTAATTTCTATTGCTATCATGCAGTTTCCTCTGTGACTAGCTGTATGTGCTAGTAGGGCTGACGGGCTGAATCAATGGTCAAACAAAACAATAAGTGATCCATCAAAGTCCAACCATAACCAGTCAAACTTATCAGTTCTCACCAACACTCAGGAAGCAATGGAAAATTACTATTCATTTAGATCATAGTAATGCCATGAAAATAATACAAGAAAAAAGAAATATTATTTTGAAATCCCAAACCCTCTGGCTCTTCCCCCATAGAAGGGGAGACTGGTTCTGGTAAATATCTGTTTTTCACATACAGTTATTTTAATTTTTTCATGGATGACAGCACCTGTTTTTGTTTTGTTATTATCAGATTTATATTGTTTCTGAAGGTAACCGTAGTATAATACTGTAAAGAGCATGGTCTCTGAAGTCAAACTGCCTGCGTTTCAAAACCCCTGCTTTATCATTTACTGGCTGTGTCTCAGTTTTCTCATCTGTAATGCAGGAATAACAACAGTACTCATTCTCTCACGGCTCCCAGGGTTATGGTAAGAATTAAATGAGATAATGTATGTAAAGCACCAACAACAGCACTTGGTACTTAGTAGATGCTCAAAACATGTATGCTATTATAGCTGAAGCATGACAAAATACTCCCTGTAAGCCACAAACATGTAACATAGTATTACTCCCAAACTCAGAGTGAACGATAAATTGTTCTCACCTGTAAAAGGTAAAACAGCTGCTGATATGTTTCTAGTGTTTTTCTCCTCTCCTTACTCAAACTTTTTATTCCTTGGTTGTCGGTGTTATTCAGTATTTCCATTTCTCCTCCTTTTTTCTTGTTCAGCTTTTTACTATGTGAAATTACATCCTGTAAAAAATTTGATGAGATTACTCCTTTTTAATTCTCATACTCTTTATCTCCTCCCTTCACATATAGGATTGAAACACACGTAATTGGAAATACAGGCATACCTCATTGTATTGTGCATTGCTTTACTGTGCTTCACAGATACCGCATTTTTTTTCTTTGCAAATTGAAGGTTTGTGCAATCCTACATTGAACATGCCTATTGTCACCATTTTTTTCCAATAGCATGTGCTTACTTTGTGTCTCTGTGTCACATTTTGATAATTCTTGCAATATGTAGAACTTTTTCATTATTATACTATCTATTACGGGGCGCTGTTATCAGTGATCTTTTTTTTTTTTTGAAATGGAGTCTCGCTTTGTCACCCAGGCTGGAGTGCAGTGGTGCAACCTCAGCACACTGCAACCTCTGCCTGCCAGGTTCAAGCGATTCCACTGCCTCAGCCTCCTGAGTAGCTGGAACTACAGGCACGCGCCTCCACACCTGGCTAATTTTTGTATTTTTAGTAGAGACGGGGTTTCACCATGTTGGCCAGGCTGGTCTCGATCTCCTGCCCTCTTGATCCACCCGCTTTGGCCTTCCAAAGTGCTGGGATTACAGGCGTAAGCCACCGTGCCCAGCCTATCAGTGATCTTCGATGTTACTATTGTAATTGTTTTGGGGTGCCACAAACCACGCCCATAGAACTTAACCAATAAATGTGTCTGTTCTGACTGCTTCACCAACTTTCCTTTTTCTCTTCTCTTCTTGGGCCCCCTATTTCCTGAGACACAATGATATTGAAATTAGGTTAATTAATAACCATATGATAGCCTCAAAGTATTCAAGTGAAAGTTACACATCTTTCACTTTAAATCAAAAGCTAGAAATTATTAAGCTTAGTGAAGAAGGCATATCAAAAGCTAGGACAGGCGTAATGCTAGGCCTCTTGCACCAAACAGCCAAGTCATGAATGCAAAGAAAAATTTCTTGAGAGAAATTAAAAATGCTACTTCAGTGAACACATGAATGATTAAAAAGACAAAATGGCCTTATTGCTGATATGGAGAAAGTTTGAGTGGAATGGATAGAAGATTAAACCAGCACAATATTCCTTTAAGCCTAAGCCTAATCCAAAGCAAGGCCCTAACTTTCTTCAATTCTATGAGGCCTTAAGAGAAGCCAGGAAACTTCGGAAGAAAAGTTGGAAGCGGGCCAAGTGTGGTGGCTCATGCCTGTGATCTCAGCACTTTGGGAGGCCAACATGGGAGGATGGCTTGAGGCCAGGAGTTTGAGATCAACCTGGGCAACAGAGCAAGACCCCATCTCTACAAATTTTAAAAATAAGCCAGGTGTGGTGGCTCATGCCTGTGGTACTGGCAACTCAGAAGTCTGGGACCCGCAGTAAGAAATACATTTTCCATCTTTTATTAGTGAACACACATACACCCTCTCTCTCACTAATGGTACATGCTGATATTTTCTATTTGCTTTTATTCTATTCCACTTTTAAAGGTTGCTCATTGTGACACACTAAATTGATTTCATGACCCTAATGGCATGCGACTCATATTTGAAAGTCGCTGTTCTAGAACACCTCCCCTGCCACTTAACATTAGTTCACTGTCCCAGAGTAAGTGGCAAGAAAGTTGCTTTTCCTAAAACTTTTTTCAGATTTTTGACTGAGCTCTTAGCTGGACCTCCACGTGAGGACTCTATTTGCACATCAGGAATGCTGGCCCAGTGTCCTTAGAGGGGCACTATGGGCAGTGTGGACAACAGTGTTTTGCTCTGCATGCACTACCAGCGTCTATCACCCTGGCCACTTCCCACCACCGGCTATCAGCAGGGGCCCCTAGTCATTTTCACAAGCGGACATGGGCCCGCCCCCATTTCCAGTTGCCCCTGGGGATGAGAACCACCGTCAGGTCTTGCCTAAATGGCAAGCTCTAAATCTGTTTACTTCCTGGCACCCCATTCTCCCATAGCTGGGGTCAGCCCATTGAGCAGCTGGGGTCCAGAGCTCTAGGAAGCTCTGGAGTAAGACAGTTCCATGTGGCTACATCTGTTGCCTTCCAGGTCCATGATTTTATTCTTTCTCATTCTCAATTCAGAGAGAGGCAGCCTTGACTTACCCACTTACTTCTGTCACCCCAATTGCTTTTATAGAGAAGGAGGGAGGGGAGTTGATTTACATTCCGATAACATTTTTAAAAAAGCAACATTTCCCCCTTGTTTTACCAATATATAAAATGTCTTCAGTACAAAGAAAGGAAGTGCAGTTACCACCAGATAGAGGTCAAGGGGGAATCTAGGCAGGCGGCTGTCTGATAATCCTTATCTATAAGAAGTCCTAAGACATCACTAGAATAAATGTGGCTTACAGTGCCAGTTAATCCACATTTTTCCTCTTCAGATAGCTGGCGACATGTATGTAAATCGTTCAACTCCCTCAAATACACAGAATAAATCTATCACCTTGATTTTAAATATACGACAGGAAAGTCTTGTTACCTATAATTCCCCCCTTTTCCCTCCCAAGTGTTTTCAGTGGAGGTCACTCTAGAAACTGGGGGCTTTTTGTTTTGTTGCAGACTTCATCTTCTGGTTAATGGTTTTTGCCATATACAGATGAGAGGGTAGGGGTGGTGAGCAAGATCTGGGGCAGATCTAAATTCCTCTGCATTAGAAACAGAGAGAGTTGGTGAAGGCAGGATAATGAGAGGAATGGAGGGAGGGAAGCAACGGAGGCAATGCTGAACCCAGAAAGGGGAAGAGAGAGGACGGGCCGGTGGCTGTGCTGATGGAACAGCACCTGTCTGCTGGAGCTCCAAGGACAGAGCCCGGCACAGCAATGGGGATAGCCCCTCTTCCTTCTCCCTGTGAGGTTCTGACTTGCTCCAGAATGTGCTTGTGTGAATGGAGGTTTGCTTTGGGAAGCTTGAAGATGGACACAAGAGCCAACCCAGACAAGGATAACAAACAGGGGCAGATACTTTTTATTCATCAAAACTCACTTTTCCTGATTCTTAATAAATATTGAACATTGGAGGAATACCATGGTTTGAAAGAGCAACCGTATTTGGCTTGTTCATGATAGTCCCCCATCTCAGTATTGCCCTTTTGCCACCACCTTTCCCCTTGCTCTGATAAAGGGATATCTGCATGCAGGTAGTATGCTATGATATAAACGTTTTTGTAGAAAGTGTGGGCTAGTATGAAGGGCTTGGGCTTGGGCTTTGGAGTCATAAAAGATATGGGTATCTGCAGAGTATAATTAGCTTGGTAAACCTACACAGGTTAACCTAAGCTTCAGTTTCCTCATCTGTAGAGTGAGTGTAATAACAGCAATTTTACTGAGTTGCTGTGAAGATTAAAAATATATGTAAATCACCTAGAACATTTTCCAGGGAAGAAAACACACTCAGAGAGAGGTTAAGAAACATGCTCAAGGCCACATGTTAATATAAGCAGTGAAGTAGTATAATTAAGTATTAATAGTTAAAAATCTCAGTCCTGAGTTTCAGGTAGTACTGGCCTGCAAATCTGGGCTCCTAGATGATACATCATACTCATGAATGGGAATTTTAGCACTAGTTTTAGATTAGCTTCAGTCTCTTAATTTAGGCTTTCCTTCCAGCTAGGCTGACCTATACTTTTTTATTTTTTATTTTTTGGCTCCTGTGCCTCCAGGAAACCTCTTATTTCAGTTGCTCTGTCTTCTTTCTCCAAACCATTCTTTTTGCCTAAAACCAATGTTAGCCACTTCACTGACCTACAGATTTTGAGGATTTTAGGAGGAATGCTGATTTAAAAGAACTATAAAAAATGTTAAGGTTACTAGCAAGAGCTAGCATTGTTCTATAAGAACAAAGCCATTTCCCTTTACAATCTCTCTTTTCCTCACTAAACACACACTCATTGTTAAAAATAAAAAGGTGTGGGGAGGAGGGGGAGAAGATAAACTTAACTATCACCCAAAGAAAAATCACTTAACTTCTTTCTTCTTCTGGATTATTATTTTTTGATAATAAAAGAAATCATACTACCTTAGGCACTATTTTCTCCTCTACTATATCGCAAACCTTTCCTCCTGCTTTAAAATAGTCTAAAAACCATCATTTTTAGTGGCTATACAACATCCATATTAAACTAATTCTATCGCCCTCTGCATATTGCTTTGGGCTTCAGGTCGTTTCCCACTTTTTCACTACTATAAATAAAGCTTCAATTGCTCTGTTCTTGTATCACTACTAATATTCTGTCAATGACAAGGCTAACAGCTACATATTTAATAATCATTAATTTAACCGCTAAAAAATGCTGGATACATATCTGGTGTTTGCAAATATGTTGAAAAACTTCACAATGTTATCTATTAGTGATAAGTGGCTTTAAAAAACCCCCACAAAACCTCAAGCATTCATAAAAATCTGATAACTTGCCATGATTGTGTTTCCAAAAGATACATATTATTTAAACTATGTACTGATTTGCAACTAAGCCTTTATTTTAAAAGGCAAGACATTTCCTGTTTATGATTTTATGGGGATAGCGTGAAACAGCAGTTTAAGGCTATAAAAAGCATTCTCTGAAAATCCTTCTGGAATATATTACACTTTAAAAGTTCTCATGGATGTCAAACAATACAAATAACATTGTTTTTTAAAAAGTACTGTTGTTTTTCTGGATAAAATAATAAAAGTAGAGTTAAATGTAGAACATTTAAACTGTAGTTTTATTCCTGAATATTTAGAAGAGATGATTATTTCTGTTTATAAAATGCTGTTTTTCTTATTTTCTCCTCCACAATTGCCCTGGTGTCTTTATGAGGTCTGGAGGACCAGCCTGGGGCATTCACATGCCCATGTAACTGGCAGCCTCCTGTGGCTGCTCATCTCCCCGTTGTCCAGAACGTTCGCTTGGTTGCTGGCCGCTGGCGCTCTATGAGCCACTGTAGCCTTCTCAGAGCTTCCAGAAGATCAGTTTCCCTCTTTGACCTATCAGTTTTCTGAAAACTGATGTGGCACATAGGAAGGGAACAGGGACAGGGAGAGTGGTCTTAGGCATCTGTTCTTGGGTAAAAATGACACTTTTTATACTTTTTTTTTTTTGAGCCCTGATGTTGGCAGGTTTCACACAGATGTGAAACCACACCGTAATTTATTTAGAAGTTATCAATGGGGGCATAACGGGGGCAGTGTGTCTTTGTAGGGAGTCACATTTTGGAAATACGTAGGGGTGTTTTTTAATATCTTAACAATTGAAGGGCACTCTTGGTTTCTAGTGAGCAGGGATTGGGGATGAGAGGTGCTCTGTGATCTGGCAATTTGTGGGATGGTCTTGTGTAAATAATTGCCCTCACCTTGCATGACAGAACTTTTGAATGTCTTACTGGTCAT
This sequence comes from Homo sapiens, assembly GCF_000001405.40. NCBI lineage: Eukaryota > Metazoa > Chordata > Mammalia > Primates > Hominidae > Homo > Homo sapiens. Next base: position 76,659,643 of record NC_000005.10, on the reverse strand, counting down.
TTACGTGGGTCAAGATTCTGTTTGTAATTATCTGAGCCTAGAATCTAATTGTTTTATGTAGATGCATAATACATTTTCCCCACACAAAAGCTAGGATTTTCTAGAATTGCAACTGCTATGTAAATTGGGTGGAGACTACACTTGGCTAATGTTGAACTTTACAAATAGTTGTTCTCCATTTTGGAAAATGAGTTCCTGCCTCATTTGCCACTGAAGCCCTCATAATCTGTAGCTGTTCTGTGAAGAGGTCTACACCTCTGGTAACTGTATCATGTCTTCCAGTGTCATCAGGCATATACATTTTCTCAATAAAATGTGTGCTTTTATTATTAATTACTCTTTAAATATCTCTTTTGTATTCATATAAAGGCCCTAGTCTTATTCTGAAGGTATATACATCAGTACATTTTATCATATAGATTTCATTTCAGAATGATAAAGAAGCCTTACAAAATGTTATAAATGGGCGGGCTTAAAATTTTACAGACGAAGAACCACTAATTTATAATAAAAACGATAAAAACTTATCTTAGATTCCAAATGAACTTAGCTAGACCAAAGTGTCATGAACATATATAACCACAAACAACATAATGTTTCAGTCAACAGTGGACCTCATATAAGACATAAGTCCTATAAGATTATAGTACTATATTTTTACTGTATTTTTTCTATGTTGAGCTATGTTTAGATACACAAATACTTACAATTGTGTTACAATTGCCTGCAGTATTCAGTACAGTCACAAGCTGTACAGGTGTGTAGCCTAGGAGCAGTAGGCTTTTTTACCATATAGCCTAGATGTGTAGTAGACTCCACCATCTATGTTTAGGTAAGTGCTCTATGATGTTTGCATCAGGATGAAATCACCTAATGCTACATTTCTGAGAATGTATCCCTGTCATTAAGTGACTCTTGACTGTATGTAGGCGTCTTCCCTCTTCTGGGAGCTGACAGTCCCAAAAACCCCACTGACCTCTAGTGTGATCCTGTTCTTCACCAGCAGTCCAATCTTGATGTCCATCAGGTTCAGGTCTTTTTCCAGCTGTTGATTGGCCCTGATCTTGGTCACTACTTCTTCCCTTAATCGTGCAACCTCTAGTTCCTCCTGGAAATCCAAATCACTTTGGTCCAGCAGGTATACAAATTTGCGAATTACTGTTAATGGTGGGTTTTCAGAGCCAACTGCAGTGACAGGAACAGGTATACTTTAATTAGGAAAGCTTGGAATGATTATCAACAGGAAAGAAACAAGGTCTTAAATAATTACTAGAAAAATATACCAATGAAAGTACTTGGTCTAGGGTGAGAATCATTCTACCCACCCCCACACAATTTAAAATCTGGACAAGGAAACTGATCAATAAATAAACGCACAAAACAGATATCTGGCCCCACTCTTTTCTAGTTATCAACTCCCCTTTTATCCCTTTTATCAGCTCTCTCTCACACTGTTCCCTGGACTCATGCGCTAAGAAGATAGTCCTATCTGTGCCTCATTCCTCAGGAACCTGGGAAAGAAAGTTAACATAAGTTACCTCGACCCTGAGACCTTGTGCTTGAGCTAGATAAGTGACTTACATTCTTGCTGCAGGAAGCAGAAAGTGGTTTCTCCCAGCCCAAAGGATCTTTGGGAAGGAGCCGGAAGTAGGTGAAAGCTGAATTAGAAAAGGGCCAGGAAGGGAGGACTGTAAAAGCCAAACAGGAACCAACAGAATGATAAGTAAAACGAATGTTCTACTTAGCTGAAATAAAAAGATTTTAGAAATTGAAACTTGGCCCTTGTCCTTTGAGCACCGGCCAAGGGAGGGTGCTCAGAATCTAGGGGTCAGCCCCTGTTATTGAGAGGGACATTCTCACATAAATTCTAAAAGGGTTTTCCCCTTAGTACCTGGAACTTTAGGCTTTAATTTCCTGGCACTCTGACTCTTGGAAAAATATTTTTAACATGCTTAGGGAGATCAGATCTGGGTAAACTGTAAGAATAAATTGTCTGGTCCATTGAGGACGAATGATTAGACCCAGTAATAGAAAGATGACTTGGAAGAGCTAGTCCAGCCATGGCCATCTCATTAGTTGCCCTCCTTTACACCTAGGCCCTTGACAGTCTTCCTTTTACTTCCACCTTAGTTCTGTGGTGTTTTGACACTAAAGGAGTAAGAAAACTAACACCAAAACAACTGCATAAACCACAAACAACTGCATAAATGGCCTTTATTGGAGAATTTTCCTTGGATCATGGGACCCTTTATTTCCTGACCACTGAAGCACATCAATTTATTTTCCTTCTATTTCCAGCAAAGATGCTGCCACTGACATGACCACTTCAGGGAAGGCCTTAGCAATGCACCACCGCTCATCCATGCAGCCAAGTTAGGGGAACATGAGCCCTCCCACTGTGGCCAGAGTTGATGGCTGCCTCTCCCACCCACTAAGGGTTGTGTCTCTTCATATGTATTAACAGTCCCATCGGAAAAAACTAAATTAGTATTTTAGCTTTACTAATTGTTATGGCTCGAATTTAATATTTCCTCTATCAATACTAGGCTTTTTGCCATCTTCATCTGAGAATGACTTTGTGGTACAGGTATTTTAATTTCAGGAAATCAGACCACTTTATAGTCTGCTCCTACAACTGACCACATCTTAGTTTCAGCATCTTTCAAGCTGGAATGCGTTCAGTGACATTCCAGAATAAAAGGGGGAGAACAGATGATAACAAACTTAGAAAAGTTATTTTTTTTTTTAAATTAGAAAATCCCAAAGCCTTAGTTTTCTAAAGATGCTGAACTAAGAAAGAAATGAAAATTTATGTTTTGGTTACCATAAAAGCACCCAATTTGCTGAAGCCCAGAGAAGCTTAGATCTAACTCACTCACCGAGATGGTTTCTCTATTTACCTTTTATGCCCCAATATAAAGTTGCCTAGATTTTAAAATTGGAATTTGTCTTTGTAATAAAAAAGTAAACAAACAAAAAACATCACTATAACTGCTTAAAAAAAAACACTTTACCTGAATAAAATGAAAACTAGCCTGTGTTCATTTGGAAAATTTATTTTGAAGTCATCTTTCATATATAAAAGCAACAGCAAACATATTTTAGTGTTAGGGCTCAGAAAAAAAAATCCTCTTTAGCCTTCTTTAAAAAAAAAACCAAAAACGGCTGGGCGCAGTGGCTCATGCCTGTAATCCCAGCATTTTGGGAGGCCGAGGCGGGCGGACCACAAGGTCAGGAGATTAAGACCATCCTGGCTAACACGGTGAAACCCCATCTCTACTAAAAATACAAAAAATTAGCTGGGTGCGGTGGTGGGCGCCTGTAGTCCCAGCTACTTGGAAGGCTGAGGCAGGAGATAGCGCCACTGCAGTCCTGCCTGGGCGAAAGAGCGAGACTCCGTCTCAAGAAAAAAAAAAAACAAAAAACAAAAAACAAACAAAAAAAACCAACAAAAAACCCCAAAAACAACAACATATCTACCAGCTGAGAGGTGAGCTGGAATCTAGTGGAATGAGACATTATTCAGTAGATTCTGCAGGCTGGAGGCAGAGTGAGGACTTCAAGCGTCCCTAGATTTTCCTTAACAAGTACCAGGGAAGATCTTTCTTGAGCCATATACTTCATCCCTTAATTCAGACAAACTTTAGACAATAAAAGGTGCTGGCTAAACTTACTAGGCACTGTAAGTACTAGTAAATTTATCATCAAGCTCTCCTTGACTGTGCATGTTCCCGTGATAATTAGAATGTTAAAAATTTAGTATATAAAGAATCAACTTATGATCTGTAAAAAACCAAAATAACAAACATAGGCAAAGTTGGGACTGTAAGGAGATAGCACAAAATGTGATTGTTATTTTTGGGTGAATTTTATTTTGCTATTTTCAAACTTTCTACAAATTTTTATTAAAAAATTTAATCTGTAATCCCAGCACTTTGGGAGGCCAAGGCAGGTGAATCATGAGGTCAGGGGTTCAAGACCAGCCTGGCACACATGGTGAAACCCCGGCTGTACTGAAAATACAAAATATTAGCTGGGTGTGGTGGCTGGTGCCTGTAACCCCAGCTACTCGGAAGGCTGAGGCAGGAGAATTGCTTGAACTGGGGAGGTGGAGGTTGCAGTGAGCCAAGATTGCGCCACTGCATTCCAGCCTGGGCGACAGTGTGAGACTCTGTCTCAAAACAAAAACAAACAAAAATTAAAAATTATTCTGTGAAAAGTTCAAAATGAAATTGTAGGAAGATATTTGCAGTTGTCATTTTTGGGAGATGAGACTATGTCTAACAAATTAAACAATTTAAATATAAGGTTATTTTCTGGCTAACTCTTTTGCATTAGATTTTTGACTCTCGCTTAGATTGAAAAAAAAAAATCAGCATTTATGCCAACTCCACTCTCTTTGAAGAAGAAATTATACCATGTGGCTGATCCCTTCCATTTAATAGGAAGGCCCATTTCCTTTCACCATGTGCTCCTCTGTGTACTGGTTTAGAACCTGGGGCCTGAGATGATCAAAATCTACTGGAAACAATGGGTATCCTCTGTTCTTAGAGCAGCCTCTGAAGTGACCAATATGGACCAATATGTCCTTGCCTGGTTTATAAAAAATCCTTGCTTTGTTTCAGAAAGCTCTCACTTACCCAATGTTTTGTAGTCATCTCTAGCTTTGTTCGCTCTCAACAGTGACTGTATTTTCACAATTTCATTATTCTGCAAAAGATTAAGACAAGTCTTGATCTCCCAGAGTCCCACCTACTCCATCATTTTTGAATTTAGAACATTTAAGAACTGTCAGTATTTAAGAACTGACACTACTTAGAACTGACAGTATTTCAATGTGGTGTATTCAACATTTATTTTTCCATTTTCTTTGAAGAAGAGGTCAGATAAGTCAGCTAAAAGTACAAACAAGACTGTAGGGGAACTGCCTAGACAAAGAGATCTAAAAAGGGAAAATAATTTTAGCACACAACTTAGATGATCCAATCTATGTTCCCATATCTCTTCTTTAAATATTCAGGAAGAAATCCCTCCCAGGGGCTTCTATTTAAAGTAAGCAGTTAACAGTTGAAAAAACTACATATGTAATGCTGTAAAATATTTCTCTAGAGTCTTCTCTTTGGTGTTACTAGCCCACAGTTTTCCCCTCACCCATTTTCTATCGAGTCCTGACTGGTGAAGTCTAACTCTCAACATGATTTCTGAATGAAAACAGTAAGCCTCCAAATATTATCATATGAAGTTCTAAGATCCATTATTTCTTAAGTGTTCATGTTCACCATTCAATAAAAATCATTCAATGCTAACTTTCAATAAAGCATTCATTTAGGTCATTATCAACCTGGATAAAATCCCACAGGCATTTTTCTTACATGATCTCTGAAATACTGTAGTCTTGAAAGATAGCTCTTTCTTGCAGTTGCCATTCGGAACCAGGACTGAATCTGAAAGGTTTTAAAAAATAGAAAAGTACAACAAAAAATAAAGAGAAAAGTCAAAGTAATCACCAAACAACCCGTAATACGGTTTTGTGTAGTTTTTCTAAAAACAATGATACTTGATAAAGAAAAAAAGCAGCCCACTGAATAATCAATCTCTAAAGCCTACTCTTCATCTTTCACTGAGGTTTCTTAAGGGGTTCAAAACGCTTTACATGTTACTCTAAATTTCACCACCTTAATAAGAGAGAAGTGGGGAAAATAATTTAACTTTGTACTATTTTACCTTAAACTCAGTAAATAAAAGCCAGAAGGGTGAAGCGTTTTGCTGAGAGTTGCAATGAGTCAGGAAATCAAGTAAACTAAGTCTAGGGTTTCTTCTAACATCCCTTTAAATGCATCCAATATCCTTTAAGTTTTTACAGGAAAACATCGAAGAGGTCTCATGAGGGACCAATTGCTACCAATGGTTTTTGACAGAATAGGCATATGTTCCATAGGATGCTATTTCATCAAGGAGCTACTGCACAATGGATCTGGGTCACATTATTCTCTGTCTTCACAGTTTAAAACGTTTTTTAAATTTGTTTTTATTTATTATTATTTTTTAAAATACAAATGAGGTCCCCCTATGTTACCCAGGCTGGTCTTGAACTCCTGGGCTCAAGCTATCCTCCCACCTTGGCCTCCCAAAGTGCTGAGATTACAGGTTTGAGCCACTAAGCCTGGCCTGAAAGATCTTTAAACTAATCTGATTCTACTTTCCAGTTCCATTGCTTCCACTCTCATCTGGATTTCCAAGCTGGAGACTTGTAGATCTCCAAGTTGTAGATTTCCAAGTTGATTTTTGTCCAGTCCTCTGGCTTTCAGATCCATGAGAGTGGACATCACAGTACCCTTTCTTTCTCACCCAGAGCTATTCACCTGGGTTCGACTAATTCAGCTCCCAAATATAGGCCCTAAATTAGCTCTACTTCCTCTTATCATGGGTTTTGTTCTGTTATGTCTGAGCATTCTAAATATGCTTAAGCAAATGTGGAAAGAGAAACATGAAAAAAAGCTGGGTTCTACCTAAAGTCTAAATAATCAACTTGAACTTTCTAGACAAAGAACATTTATTGGTTATAGAACACTTTCACTTGTGATTCTCATAACCACTCATAAAGGACTTGAGGTTTTATACCGGTTTAACCAACCTGCTTGAAAAATGATTAGGTAAATGAGCAGCAGAACTGGGATTCAAATCCAGTACTGCCTTCTGACTTCAAGGCTCACATGTACCCTCCCTTTCTATAGCTGTCTTTCAGATTAAACATGAAATGAGGGGAAACGTTTAAGCCAAGCACTTGGTATGGTAGGAAAGGGTATTTACCTTCACAATAGAATCAGTATTATCAATGAACGTTTGCCGCCTGTGCATATACTCCTTCCGTTGTTTATATCCTTTCCAAAAAGCCTAAGGAAAAGAGTGGGTTATAGAATTATTTACCAGCAAGTTTCCCAATTTATCTAGGAAGTGCAAGAGCAGAGCACATCTCAGGCCGCATGGAGCTGGGACACTGTCAGGCACCCTCCCTTCAGATCTCATCTGGACACCCTCTCTGGGGGTAGCCAGTTAAACACAGCAGAGCACATCAGCTCACAGCTGAGACTAGTTCTAAGCTTAGGACAGCAGAGTAAGGGTGATAAATTACATGGAGAAGCACAGTTCCTGCTGGAAAGCTTAACTTTACCAAGGCCCTGGGTGGCAAAAAGGAGTAAAATGGAATTTCTCCAAAACCCATAAACAGTATTAACTAGGTGCTAGTGGTATTTGATAACAACAAAAAATGCTTGAAAATAATGCCTAATATTAAGTATCTTTACCACAACACGTGGCCCACTGTGGCCCCGACTGGAAAGGAGGATGCTCTACCAACTTGTGGCCCTGAATCCCTTGGATCCCTGAAAACACTGGTGCTGCAACTGACCATCATTTCATATATCCCCACATAAAGTTAAACAATGCTTCATCAACATAGCTTTACCTGATTATCACCATTAAGAATAATTTTTACAGGAAACTCTTTACAAAAACTGGACACAAACTAGTATCTTTAGAAGAAGTAAATTCATAACTGTTACAGTTTATTCCAATTCATTTATGAGCATCTTTTTATTGAAACATCTTTGTAACTCACCCCAATTCTGATACTGTTTTTCAAATTAGAAAGGAAGTAAAAGTTCCTTGTTAAAAAGGGCAAATATAAAAAATCAAATTTTTTTATAAACTTCTTTTCATGTCTGTATATATTTACCTCATTCTTTTTAAAAAGGGTAAATGAAATTTTGTTATTTCAAAAAAATAATATTTTTGTAATGAGTCAAAACAATTTAGTCAGGATGGAATCAAAATGACGAACTGGGCACTTGCTCCAGACTTCCCCTCAGTCCAAGTCCCTAGAAGGCATAAATATGTTTAAAAAAAAAAACCTTTTAATTTGGAAAGAATCATCGACTCACAGGAAGGACAAAAGATTATACAATGAGTTCCGTGTACCCCTTTACACAGCTTCCCCCAATGGTAACATCATACAAATATACTTTTATTTTCTTATTATTTTTTGAGACAGGGTCTCATTTTGTCCCAGGCTACAGTGCAGTGGCTCAATCATGGCTCACTGCAGCCTCCACCTCCTGGGCTCAACTGATCCTCCTGCCTCAGACTCCTGAATAGCTGGGACTACAGGTGTGCACCACCATGCCTGACTGATTTTTCTATTTTTCAGAGAGACTAAGTTTCACTATGTTGCCCAGGCTGGTCTTGAATTCCTGGACTCAAGCAATCCACCCTACCTTGGCCTCCCAAAGTGTTGGGATTACAGGTGTTAGCCATGCCTGGCCCAAACATACTTTTAAAGCAATCCATAATAGTGCTAGAAAATAAGAAGGCATAGAGATAAAAATTATGAGGGTTCCTAGAAAACAGAAAGCAACTAGAACTGAACTGAAAGAGGAAGAGGCAGAGCAAATTTCCATAAAAAATGTCAAAACTTTTTTTTATGGCTTTAAGCTTGAGGTAGTCAGAGTAATTTTGGGAAAATTCTTGCCTTATCCATATGTCAATCGGTGGACAAAGAAAGCATAGATGGTGAAGTGTGAGCTCGAGGAAACTACAAAAGGGTATAGTTTTGGGGAGGGAATTTAGCAGTATCAAATTTAAAATTATTTAGCCTTTCACCTAGTATTTCTAATTTTCAATATATCTAGCCCAGGAAAATTAAAGCACCTGTGTAGAAAAGCCCCATATATAAGTATTTTTGTCACAGCATTGTTTGTAATACCAAAATTGTGCATCCAGTAAAATGTTCACTAATAGGGGGAACAGCTAGAGACACTGCAATTGCAGTCCCACTGAGGGATGTTACACATCAGTTAAGAGTAAAGTAAGGGAGCGGGGAGGGATAGCATTAGGAGAAATACCTAATGTAAATGACGAGTTAGTGGGCGCAGCAAACCAACATGGCACATGTATACATATGTAACAAACCTGCACGTTGTGCACATGTACCCTAGAACTTAAAGTATATATATAAAAAAAGAGTAAAGTAAGGTCATATATACTGACTATGGCAATGCTCTGTATTTTGGAGAACAGGAAGACCTCTAAGATATATTGCTAATATGAAAAGGAAATTTTAGCTTACCACACATATTATGATACCACATGTTAACAAAAAACCCACAGAATAATTCTATATATTTCTATGCAAACAATCTGTACCTCAATATCTAGAATATCTATTAAAATACACAGTGAACAAAGAGAAAGGGTATACATACCTGTGTACCTATCTCTACTTCCACCTAGCTACTTTATAAAGGCAACTACTATTTAACATTTTATTATGTATCTTCTGAAATACGCACATGTGTAAACACACATACCCCATCATTGTACACACAAATACAAATACAAACTTATATAAAGATGTGAACTGGACATGATGGCTCATGCCTTAATATGGTTTGGATTTGCATCCCCACCCAAATCTCATGTTGAACTGAAATCCCCAATGCTTTAGACCTTCACAGCAGCCCCTGCCATCACAGGCTGGGAAGCCTAGGAGGGCAGAATGGTTTTGTGGGCCCAGGGCCTTGATGCACTGCACAGCCTTGGGACAGTAATCCCTGCATCCCAGCCGCTCCAGATCTAACCATGGCTAAAAGGGGCTCAGGTACAGCTAAGGCTGCTGCTTCAGAGGGTGCAAGCTGTAAGCCTTAGTGCCTTCCATGTCATGTTAAGCCTGTGGGTGCATAGAATGCAAAAGTCGAGGTTTGGGAGCCTCTGCCTAGATTTCAAAGAATGTTTGGAAAAGCCTGGGTGTCCAGGCAGAAGCCTGCTGCAGGAGCAGAACTGTCATGAAGAATCTCTGCTAGGGCAGTATGGAGGAGAAGTGTGGGGTTGGAGCTCCTACACAGAGTCCCCACTGGGGCATTGCCTAGTGGAGCTGTGAGCAGATGGCCACTGTCCTCCAGACCCCAGAATGGTAGATCCATCGACAGCTTGTACCACGTGCCTGGAAAAGCCACAGACACTGAACGCCATCCCTTGAGAGAAACCACAGAGAATGAAGCAGGCTTCATTCAGAGCCACAACAGCACTTCAACTGTCAACTTTAAAAACTCAAGAGTAGAAAAATGTATTTATTCATATTTTTATTCTTCTAGCTATCCTTTCTTCCCTTCTGATGTTCCGAAATTTCTTCTTTCTTCATTTCCTTTTGGTTTAGAGAGCTATCTGTAGTCATTCTTTGAGGGAAGTTTGCTGGTAACAAGTGCTCTTAGTTTCTCCTTCATTCCTAAAGGTTATTTTTGCTGGATATAAAATTCTATGTTGACAGTTATTTTCTCTCCAGGTTCTACAAGTGTCTGGGTGCCTTGTTACAGGAGGGTGGAAGTCTAGACTCCTCATTCAGCCTTTGATTCCCCCGAAAAATGTTGTACTTCCTTCTGGCCTCCTTAGGTTATGAAAAATCCTCTGTCATTAGAACTGTCTCCCTCTTACAGGTAAGTTGTTTCTATCTCACTGCTTTTCCAAATATTTTCTTTGTCTTTTGTTTTCAGAAGTTTGACTATGATATGTCTTTGTGTGAATTTCTTTCACTTTATCCTGTCTGAGGTTTCCTCAGCTTCTTGAATCTGTGTTTTTGGAACATTTCCACTTTTATTTCAAGTACTTTGTCAGTACTGCCTCTTTCTCCTCTCCTCTGGGAATCCGATGACACAAATGTCAAATCTTCTGTTATAATCCCACTGATCCCTGAGGCTCTGTTCTTTATTTCTTTCAGTCTGCTTTTTCTTTGTTGTTCAGATCTGGGAATTTCTGTTGTTATAGTCTCTAGTGCACTGATTCATTCCTCTGTCCTTCCATTCTGCTGCAAAGACTATTCATTGGGTTTCCACATCTGTTACTGTATTTTTCAGTTCTAAAAGTTACTGTGTGGTTTATAAACCTTTTAATTCTTTGCTGAGGCTTTAGTTTTTTTCCTGAGATGTTCTTTCTTTTGCTTCAAATGTTAGTAATTGCTAATTGCTTATTTTAACATTTTTATGATAGCTGCTTTAAAAATCCTTGTCAGATAATTCTAACATCCGTCATTTCTGTGTGGGCACCTAGGAATTGTTATTTTAAACTTAAGTTGTGATTTTCTTGGTTCTTGACATAAGTGATTGTTGTGATTGCAATATCCAAACAGTCAAGTGATTGAACCTTAGGTAATGTCGGTAGTTTGGGGTCCTGGATCTTATTTAATCCTACTGTTTTAGGTGGCTTTTCCTGACATTGTTTTGGCAAGGAAAAAGTGGGGGCACTGCCTCATTACTAGGAGGTGGGAGGAGAAGGCTAGGTTCTCCATTTGGTTTCTGTCTATATAAACAAACATAACTCTCTTAAAGGTGAAGAGAAAAAAAGGAGGCTAGTGAATCTTGGGACCCAAGGAACCTTACTACTAAGGTGGGGAAGGCCTCCTCGTTATTGCTGGGAGGGGGTCCAGCTACCTACTGGACCTCTCTTGATATCACTCTGGCTGGGAGAGTAGGGGTGCCTTCTTATTACTCCCCATGTGGCCTCCATTGACCAACTGAGGGGAAAGACCTCATTACAACTGGATGGTGTGAAGGTCCTGCCTCTCTGCCTTGGCTCCTCTCACACCACTCTAGCAGGGAGAGGGAGGGCTGCCACATTACTGCTCAGTGGGCACAAGATCCAGATTCTATAAGTCTGGGTGCCTTATTACAGTCCAGGAGGGTGGAAGTCCAGGCTCGCCATTCAGGCTTTGCTGCCTAGGTGGAGGCATTACAGTTTTTTTCGTTTGTGTGTGTGTGTGTGTGTGTGTGTGTGGTGTTTGGCTAGAGTAGAGCAGTTACTGTCTGAAATTATTTCTGTCTTGCTAGCCTGTTTCTTTCTTGGTCCTTTGGCTACAGAGAGCAGGCTTTCACTAGAGCCTGTATTAATCAGTTTTCACGCTGATGATACAGACATACCTGAGACTGGGAAGAAAAACAGGTTTAATGGACTCACAGTTCCATGTGGCTGGGGAGGCCTCACAATCATGGTGGAAGGCAAAAGGCACTTCTTACACGGTGGCAGCAAGAGAGAATGAGAAAGAAGCAAAAGTGGAAACCCCTTATAAACCATCTCATGAGACTTATTCACTACCACAAGAACAGTATGGGGGAAACCGCCCCCATGATTCAAATTATCTCCCACTGGGTCCCTCCCACAACATGCAAGAATTATGGAAGTTCAATTCAAGATGAGATTCGGGTGGGGACACAGAGCCAAACCATATCAGAGCCTGTACCCATTGGCATTTCTGGGTGGCCAGCCTCTCCAGCTCCAGGTCAGAAAAATATAAACAAAAAGAAAACTCAAAGAACTCACCACTATGTCATTCCTTGGGTCCCAAGGTTCACTACTTAGTCTGACTTTTTTCTCTTCACTTTTAAGAGTGTTATGTTTGTTTATATATAATATTGGAGGCTTTTAGTTGTATTTACGGAAGAATAGGGAAAAGAACATGCATTCCATTTCCCCAGAAGCAGAGGCAAGCCCAAATAATTTTTAAGTCCTTAAAGCTTACTATATTATTAAGGCTATGTGAATCTATTCCTTGACAAAATTAAAGATTTAAAAAAAAATCAGAAGTGTCAATGGTAGTTATGACTCAAGAGGATCAACTAAAAATTTATTAGAACTAAGAGTTCATCCTGGTGACTAGTTATAAAATGAATATAAAATTGATAAGTTTTCTACATGTCAAGAATAAACAACACAATAGAATAAAGATGTTATTCACAATAGCAGAAAAATATACATGAGTAAACTTAAATATAAAGGAATAAAATTATAATGGTACAGTTTGGAACAGATTAATAAATGGAAAAAGATTAATGCCTGAACTGTAAAGTTTATTATTATAAAGATGCCAATTGCCCTCAAAAAAAAACCTTAAACTTCAATGCAATCATTTAAAAACACAGGAATGAGTCTAGAATTCTATCAAATGCTTTTGCAGTAACTATTGAAAAGAGCACATGGGTTTTTCTCCCTTAAGCTCTTATGGTGATAAAGAATTATACAGGAAGATGAATTATTATCTGGAGTTTTGAAACTGGAGTGATCTTAACGGTGCTTCTCAAACTTTAATGTGAATATAAAATCATCCGAGGATCTTGTCAGAATGCAGGTTAGGATTCAGTAGGCCTCGGGGAAGGCTTGAGATTTTGTACTTTTACCAATCTTCCAGGCAAAGAGAGCATTGGGTATGTGTTCACACATTAAATGATAAAAATGTAAATAACCAAAATAAAAAATTTTAAATTAATTATCCGTTTAGAAAATGCTACCCCATGGGATTTGTCACAGTGTGACAATTCTGAGATGGGCAAAATTCTCTGATGTCACCAACAGTTGTTCATAAAAGTGGCCCAACAGCACAACAGAAACTAGGGGAAGTGGACCCTAATCGTGGGTCACTGGGATTCCATGGCAGTCCAACCAGTAAAACATGTGTTGTGATGGATCTTAACAGTTCCTATATTTTGGTGGTTAACACTGGTTTAAAGCAGAGAAGTGCAATTGTTTGAATGTATATTATAAATTCCACTCCTTCCTTAGTCCATACTGAAAGGCTAAACAAGATAATTGGAATTAGCTCAAGTTCCTATTCTGCTCTTCTGGAATTACCTAAACTCCAAAAACACTTAATTTCAATTATCTGAGATTCGCAAACATTCTGAATAAGTGACCTGTCATAGTAACAGATTATTTAATATTGAATCATTCCTGCATTGGCAAAATTACCCCATTCGTCCATTCTGTTTTTTTTTTTTTAATATACTAAGGATTAACTATTTACCTTGAGAGCTCATTATTATGTTTCATCTCATAACTATTTATGTAAAATTTTCTGGTATTCTTCTATATTTATGAGTTTTTTTACGTTTCCAAACAAAGGCAGCTTGGCTGGGAATATAATTTTTTTGCTCCTGGATATGAAGAGACACTTCTCAAAAGAAGACATTTATGCAGTCAACAAACATGAAAAAAAGCTCATCATCACTGGTCATCAGAGAAATACAAATCAAAATCACAATGAGATACCATCTCACGCCAGTTGGAATGGCAATCATTAAAACGTCAGGAAACAATAGATGCTGGAGAGGATGTGGAGAAATAGGAATGCTTTTTACACTACTGGTGGGAGTGTAACTTAGTTCAACCATTGTGGAAGACAGTGTGGCAATTCCTCAAGGATCTAGAACCAGAAATACCATTTGACTCAGCAATCCCATTACTGGGTATGTACCCAAAGGATATAAATCATTCTACTATAAAGACACATGCACAAGTATGTTTACTGCAGTGCTGTTCACAATAGCAAAGGATTGGAACCAACTCAAATGCCCATCAATGACAGACTGGATAAAGAAAATGTGGCACACATACACCATGGAATACTATGCAGCCATAAAAAAGGATGAGTTCACATCCTTTGCAGGGACATGGATGAAGCTGGAAACCATCATTCTCAGCAAACTAACACAGGAACAGAAAACCAAACACCGCATGTTCTCACTCATAAGTAGGAGTTGAACAATGAGAACATATGGACACAGGGAGGGGAACATCACACACTGGGGCTTGTCAGGGGGTGGGGAACTAGGGGAGGGATAGCATTAGGAGAAATACCTAATCTAGATGGTGGGTTGATGGGTGCAGCAAACCACCATGGCACGTGTATACCTATGTAACAAACCTGCACATTCTGCACATGTATCCCGAACTTAAAGCATAATAATAAAAGAATTTTTTTGTTCCATAGAAGCAGAATACTACATGCCTCATCTTTCATTTGCCAAAATTCTGTTTTTCTTTTTTTAGTCTGTAAGTTTTAGTTCCTTTGAGATGAGCTTTTCCTATTATGTCCTAACAACAGAACTCTTGTGCATAGCCATGACATTGTAATCTCTTCTCTAATTAGAGGCTGTTTATTATAAGCAAATATGGGTATACAGTTGATATAAAGAAACTTTGAAAATTACAGACAGATGGGATTTACAGGCCAGGTGTGGTGGCTTATGCCTATAATCCCAGCACTTTGGAAAGCCGAGGCAGGCAGATCACTCGAGGCCAAGAGTTCAAGACCAGCCTGGCCAACATGGTGAAATTCTGTCTCTATAAAAAATACCAAAATGAGCTGGGTGTGGTGGCGCATGCCAGTAATCCCAGCTACTTGGGAAGCTGAGGCATGAGAATCACTTGAACCCAGGAGGTGGAGGTTGCAGTGAGCTGGGATGGTGCCACTGCACTCCAGCCTGGGCGACAGAGCAAGACTCTGTCTCAAAAAAAAAAAAAAAAAAAAAAGGATTTACAAAAATGGCAGTCTCATTCTCCTGCCTGGTATGGGAACTTGTGGGAAAATTTATAATAGCCATCTTATTTGTTTTGTTTTCTAGTACCATAAATATATTTTCTGTGCAGAGTATCTGTATAAAAGAAGTCTGTCAAAACGCTTAGACCTCAGAGGTCATTGCTCTATTTTATAGACTTTAACTATTACTCTCTGGGAAATCTGGCTTGATACACTGGCTGCTATGCTTGATAACTGGACACTCAGTATAGAGATATTCAAATTACCAATGCCAACTTCTGATGCACAGAATACTTGTGTGATCTCGGTTAGCCAAGAAAGCCCTAAACATTTACCTCTTCTCCCTCTCCTCAAAGGTAAAAAAAATCCAGCCATCTATAAGAGCAGTCGGTTACATTAAAACAACTGAGGACCGACTCTCCCAGGCCATCCCCTTCCTCTTGGCCCACAGACTCTGCCACTGCTCCTGGCGAAGTGAAGTTCCTTCAGAGTAGCTTGTTTTTCTTCACCAGGATGCTTGTGGCACTCCCTGAGCTGAAGTTCAATAATTCATTAATTCTCAGGGCTAAGTTTTGGTGTTTGCCACTATTATGTCCTTTCCTAAAAAGTAGTATACTAGCTTTCTTCAGTTCATGAAAAAAACTTCCTCCTGTAGTTACCTACTCTAATCCTATTTCATTTTTTTCTGATGTTTTCCTGTGCCACACCAACAATATCAATATTGGATCCCCATTATCTGCCTTCTGAGTCATTATCTCTATCATCTTACCATTTCTAAAGTTTATCAAGCACTTGAGAAGCAAATACTAGGAAACATCTGTTATGTGAATTATTCCAGTCAGTCTTCACCACCCTGCAATAAAATGGGCATTATATTTTTCAGATGAGAAAGTGTGTTTTTAGTCATCTATTCTTTCTCTCATCTTTTGTGGATTTTTCTGAAGTTTTTTGTGTCTGCTCCAATTATGTTCAGTGTCTAATTTGCATTCTGCAGTTATAAATTCATTTACATTCTATAACATCATTATTTCTCTTCCTCTCCTTAGCTGTCAGCTGTCTTTTCATTTTATTATTCTATTGTCTTCTTATTTCATTAAGTCCATGTCTTATCAAATTCCTTGACAGTATAAAGCAGCTTCAGTATAAAATTTTCTCCTGTCTTCTGGAAGAGTAACTCTAGATATCTACTCCACTTATATTTTACAAGTTACATTCCTTTTTCTATTTCTGATATAAAATCTTTTTTGTTTATGAACAGATTTTTTTTTCTGGCTCACTCAGGCAATTTTATCGGGGACTTCTAACTGCTCAAAAATAATATGGCTATGTAGATTCTCCTTGACTTCCTCTATATTGACCTGGGCACCTCCCAGTTAACTCCATAAGCACTTGAGACAGAATGCTGGATGTTGATCATGCTGCACATTCTCTGTACCACTACTCATTTCCTTGGCAGACCACTGATGGCAGGGAGGGTGGTGTAGCCGGAGTATAGCTGGCCTCGGCCTAGGAGTTTTGCCTTTGTATTTCTCTCCAAATGTGTTAAGACTACTGTGTCTGGGGGGCAGTTCAGCCAGCTAGGAAGCTCACAGTGTTTTACGTAGGGGACCTTCTCAGATATCAGAACATTTTCCTACTTGAAGGTGAACCAGCCACTTTGGTGAGAAATGAGATTAGCATGACACCTTTTGGTTCACAGTCTCTTGGTTTTATGGGTCAGCAGGTTCCTATTAACTGTATTATTCACTTCTGGTCCACATCTGTAAAGTAGGCTTACCTTTAGGCCTCATGCCCTCTGTTTTGGAAAATTGTCAGAAGACTGAAAAAAAGGCGTGGTGAGGTGACTTCATGGTTTGATGGCTGCTTCGTCAATTCTTTTGCCTCTGCTGAGGTGGAGGAAAAAGGCTCCAAATGATCGTTCCTGTCCTTACCCCATTTCTCTCATCCTTCAGCCCTGGTTTCTAATATAGAGGGATTCTGTACTGGTGGGCTCTGTGGTATATCTTCCAACTGCAACACTGCTGTGTGACCTGAGACTGGAGAGTGTGGGGTCCCAATTTTATATTGGCTGACACGTGAAATTTGTGCAAAATTAGAGTCTCATCAGTGTAGATGACTATTTTTAGGCTTTTGTTCACTTCCTGTGTGTTTTGCCTACTATTTGTTTAAAGGAATACATTGTAAACTCATTGGCCCACCTAGAAAAATCCTTTGAGTGTCAGATTTATAGTAGAAATTTCTTTTATAAAATTAATTATTTCTGCTTTGCTAATAATATCTTAAGCTCCAAGCAAATTTAAATATGTAAGCACCTATCATGTGCAAGATACAAGAAGACAAATGTTTGTAAAATTCATTTTCTGCCTTGGACATTACAGTTAGGTGGGAAAAGCAGATGAGTTCACCAGTGACCACACAAAAAAGAAGGTCTTCAACAGAAAAATGTTCAATTTAGGAAACTTCAAAGTAAAAACCCATCAGCATCAGACTTTACCAGTTGTTAATAATACCCCTTTGAACTCACAATAAAAAGAACAAACTCACAGCCTTTCACAAACCAGTGTGGTGACTGGTAGGGGGCGCTATAGGAATACAGAAGAGAAACATCTAAACCTGGCAAATTCTCCTGCCAATCAGAAAGTTTAGACAAGTCATGCAAACTTAAGAACAATTTATAGCAAAAAAATTGGGAATGAAGGTTTCTCCTGAAGGCCTAAATGAAGAGTGACAGATTACAGAAGGTAGAAGACATTCTTAGAGAGGCTAAATCTGTTTATTTCATTAGTTCTCCTGTTCTTTCAGGCTAGAACAGCACAGAAACTAAGACGCCACTCAACATCTACTAACCACAAAAAAGCCAAATTGTAAAGTCCCCAAGTCAGGTATGATTTCAACTCTGATCCAAGGTATATCCCTTTGGGTCCAACTAGGTTGGCAGCAGGTGGATCTGTGCAAATCTGCGGTGCTCCTAAATGCTCTCTAGAAGACCATAGGTTAAGTCATTCATCATCAAAATGCTTCCTATTTTAAAGCCTTAGTGAAGTAGACTAGGGGCACTGATTATGTAAAAATATGCAGTCAGATTTGTTTATAGGAATGCTGGTAGTTGACTATTCTATTATCAAATAAAACATTTTCAGGTGATATGACAGTTTTGTGTAAACAGTGGCAGGTGATCCACATACCTGTATTTTGACCACATTCTCTTCTTGTTCATGCAAAAATGATTTTCTAGCTTCAAACTCTTCCCTAAGGATGGGTCCTGAGCTTGTGGCTTGAAAGCGAAGAAGCAACTCTTCTGAAGCAGACCATATATTCTCACGAATGTAACCTACTGTGACTTCCTCAATAATGTCCTGGCAAGAGATATTTCTTATGGTTACACTTCACACATCAGCTGAAAGGCACACATAGAATAGCTTCTGATATTTTATCTTTTAGAAAATAATATGGATGTCTCCTTTTGGCTTGGTTTAAAAACAAATTTAAGCAGAGCTGAGGGATGAAACTGGCTTAACTTCTTTCTAGCAATATGATTTTGGAATCTCTGAGCTTGGTGCTGAGGTGGCAAGAGAATGCAGCTCAATGATCTCAGGATTTGGAGGCAGAGATGTATGGATGATGCTGGCAAGGACCAGGCATGAGGCCTGAGCTCCACAGAATGTAAAGGGACAAGGATGCTTGCTGTAAAAACATGCATCACCTCCCGCTTCCCTCGGACTGCCAAGGAAAAGACTGCAATGGCCATAAGGTCCTCAGACTTCTTTCCCATTTCTTCCCCAGGCCAGAGTAGGCAGACCCCTGTAACGAGCTGTGGCCAAACTCAGAATGATGCTCTGGGGCAAAAGACAAAGGGGTGGGAGAGGCAAGATAAGTGCTATTAAGGATAGAGAGCAGAAATCTAGAAGAATGAGAAAAAAGGAAGAAGGGGGTTATAAGAAAGTTTCATGTGGGGTATGAACAGGGTTTACTTTTATGCCCGATGAGAGATGCAAAGAAAGACTGGACTGTCACTTCTACAGCTGATGACTCTTATCTAGTACAACTGGAATTAATGGTTGGTTAACTTAAAGAGCTAAAAGTGAAATCATACCAAAGATGCATACATATCTTTAAGAGAAGACATATATGTATGCATTCATTGAATAAAACAGGTAACTGGATTCCAGTTGTTTAGAATAAATACAATTTTTTATAACAGTGTTAGACCTTCCACTGGTTAATAATCTTAACAGACTGATGCTTGATATAACAAAAAGTTATACCTGGGGTATATCTTGGGATGCCACATGATCAATTTTTATTCTAAATTTTAAATCTTCGATGCTGCTGCTTTATAGTTTGATACATCTTTTCAACCATGGCATATAAATTTTTAGTATGTCTATAATTTCATTTTTTTCTTCAAAATTAGCACTAATAATCCATTGCTACAATGTCGTTTTCCTAAAAGTTGTACGACCTCTGAACAACTGAAATGAGTCAATAAACTGTGTTCTTCACTATCTTCTTGTCATTAAGTATTTTTGGTAGCATTGGTCAGACTCAGATCATGTTTTTTTCCTCTAAGTTTTAGTAAATACTGCATTGGTGATTCTGTCTGCAATACTGCCACACTGCGATATCTTTGATGCTGACTTTTAACGATTCTATAAGATATGTGTTCTTGTTTTTTCCCAAAATAGAACTTAATTATCATCAGTATTTCCTCTTTAAACATATTATGACGCGTGGATCCATTATCAGCAGGTTTCACATCCTTTGGGTCCAACTTTTGTTTTTGTTTTTAAATCCAAAGCAATGTTGGTGAATATTCCTTCAAGAGTATTCCTCCTAGGAAGCATTACTCACTTTTTAAAGTACCTATGTATTTCTTAAGCCACCAACTTATGTTATTAATTCCAGAGCAATGGGCACATGATATAACCACTCAGAGATACCGGTGACTGTGTCAAAAACAATGCAAAAAGTGGAAAACATACTAGACTAGAAGTTGGAAGCACTGGAAATAAATCTGTTTATTGACAAAATCTACACAAATTGCAGAATTAGTACAAACTGCTTCACCTACTCTGTGCCCCAATTTCCTCACTTAGAAAAATAGAAGATGAGAATATTTGCTCTATCTCTACTTAGAGGATAATTTAGGGATCAAAGTGATGTGAAAGTACATTGGAAAGTGAAACTCCATACAAATGAGGGGTACTTGGCTATGTTTATGGTTTCAGGAGACCTCATTCGCAGTTCTACACATTCTTTGGGTATTTGTAGAGACACCAGTTGGAAAGGTTACTTTTGGCCATAACTTGTTTCAGACATCTTGCTACAAGGGTTGATTCCAATTTCACATTCCTCTGACTTTACCCCCTCCTGTTTCTTCATGGCTGCCCACCAACTTCAGACAAAGCAAAGAACCACCTCACAAACAAGGCCATTCGGCAAGATCTACCTCACTACCTGTTTATAGCTAAGTCTTTTGTTTCAGGAAAGCCTCACCAAGCATTTAGTTCCCTATTCCCATGTTGCAAGAAAACATTCAGATCTAACAAAGCCATGATTATGCAAATAATCTATTGTCAAAGTGCTCCTCTCATTCCTCTATGTAGGGAGGGGCAACTAAAAAATGAATGAAATTCAGTGACCTAGAACTGAAACTGAAAATAGCTCTTTTGGCTGTACTTTTTCTCCTAGCTTTGCTCTTGTTATCTTTTTTTGTAAATACTTCAGCCCTGGGCTCCTATATATATAAAAATTGCTGAATATTTGGGAGGGAATTAGGACTACAATGGACAAGGCACATGGGGGAATCAGGAGGACCCCTGAGACTCCAGCCAGTCTTGTTTATAACGAGAAAAAGCATCTGAACCTGAGATTCTAACGCAGACTTTTCTGGGCTTTTTTCCCTCCCCGGGACAGAGTGTAGCTCTTGTCGCCCAGGCTGGAGTGCAATGGTGCGATCTTGGCTCACTGCAACCTCCATTTCCTGGGTTCAAGCAATTCTCCTGATGCAGCCTTCCAAGTAGCTGGGATTACAGGTGCCCGCCACCATGCCCAGCTAATTTTTGTATTTTTAGTAAAGATGGGGTTTCACCTAATGCAGACTTTTCTAAATGAGTTTCTTCTTTTATTTAAAATAACAAATGTTCCCCCAAAAAGAGAAACAAAAACTAACAAATGTCCTAATAGTCAATAATGACACTATGTTCACTAATGCACTATTTCTTTACTCCTAACAAGAAGCTCAAACAGGTACTATTTATATAGTTTGGTTAAAAAGAGATGAGAGGAGGGACAAATTGCTTTCAATAAGTAAAATCTGGTAGAAGAAAGCTTTCAAATATGGGTCACAGATTAGTTAAAAGGGACCTTTAGTAGTTAAATAGAAATTCCAGTTCAATGTATCTTGTTTAACTCTTGGTTAGTACAATACATGGACACATGGCTAATTTTTATGTCAGTTAATTGAAAGCAAAGTATAAGATACACTCAATTGTGATGTTTGCACTTACATTTGGACATGGGTACATCCAGATCTCTAGAAATGTTAAGCAATGAAAACATGCTAAGATGACCATCTCGGAAGAAGCAAACATTTAATGTTTACCCATCCTGCTCTTTGCCCAACTCTGTTCTTTGCTTCCGAAGCTGTCCTGGAGATGGCTGGGGCCATGTGTGGCAGAGATGCCCTCTCCAGCACTTTGTAGAAAAAAATGACATTTTGGTTTGAAAGGTACAATGTTAAGTTGCAGGCTGAGATGGGGGGAAAGAAATACCTTTTAAATATTGACAACCCAGGAATTATCATTAATTGAGCTTAATTAAGTCAAGGAAAATCTTAAGATTGATTTCTTAGGATAATCTACCATCCCAAATAAATAGTGAAATATTTCTTCCCCCTGCTCTATTTGGTTTTGTTAAGCCAATATGGAAAAAATTCTGTACATTAGTAACAATGCAGCCACATTCAACTGCAGTTCATGAAGACTTTATTACATATCCAGACTTCAGATAAATCAGTTAGTTCCTCTCATCACTTCCATGATTCAGAAATAGAAAACCAGTCAAATTTAACTTTATACAGTAGAGTTATCCATCAAACACCAACCTCCTACCTCGATTTCTTTTCCTGTGAGCCATGATTCTTTATACAAGCATGATTCAGGTGTGACCCAGGAACTCTCTTTTGAATCAGTGTTGTAATAGTAGTCATATTTTTTGTGCAGGTTGAGTTTGAGCCATGAACCGTCACTAGACACTAAAGAAAAAAGTTTGTTAAATTCTACACAGACACAGTGAACCCTTAAACATTAGTGTAGTTTCTTTAATATGTAAAATAATTGAATATGTTTTTCACCAAACCTTCAGACAGCCAAAGGCATCAGAAGTGACCCACTAACATGGAATGAATTCGATGTATTTAATGGCAGATGCCTGCTAACCCAAAGAAAAGGAAGAGACACAAATATCTAAGGCTAGCTCTGGAACTTAAATCTTTCATGAGGATGATAAAAACATGTTTGGCCAAAAGCAGCCAAAGAGAAGGAAAAGCAAACAATAATTATAAGTCCCAGGTAGATGCAAACAACACATGTAGACAAAGGAGACCAATCGGCAAGATCCTCTTTGCTTACAAAGTTTACCTGCAATTTCTCCAATAAGGAGATACCCACAAGGACTGTGGCCCTTATTTAAGGACGGCCAATGTTCGGCATTAAACCAAAGCAGAACCTTTGGAGACAACGTTACTCAAAGTACAAAATGGCATATGCACAACACAAAGGTCAACTAAAGTGGGGAAAAAGAAAATTCCTGGTTCCTCTGACTCATTTTGTGCTGTGCAACCACAAGAAATGAGAAAAAAATTTTTTTGAAACTTAATTTTGGGGAAGGGGTGTTAGAAAATCCTATGGTAGTCATGACTTAGATTGGTCAAGAATCTCTCCTCCTCATGAATCCATGGGCTAAACTTCATATTTAGAAATCTGTTTATTTTGTTGAATGGTTACAATTCTGGTCCCCAGACCTGAGAGCTAAAAACAACAGAAAAACATAAGAAGTTCTAACTTAGACTAAGCTAAGTCAACTGTATCAAGTGAGCATTAGACTCATTATCTTTCCAGGTAAATCAGAGTTCAAGTGAATTTTTTCACAGAATATTGAAATGCATGTAAATAACTAAGCAGGGGTAACTTTAAGGCTCTTTAATATGTGTTGATGCTTCATTTGGCTTTAAATGCCCCTCACCTGTTCTTTCTGTTTGTCAATGCCCAGGAAGAGAGATGTATCTCTTTTCAATGGGCAGCCAGACAGCTGGTTCATCTGTTTAGAAACATTGGTCTACTAGAAAATACATTGTACAGTCAAGTTAGGATGTTTACAAGTAATTATTATTCTTTCTTCCTTCCTTTCCCTCCCCCTACCCTCCTCTCCCCTCCCTTCCTTCCTTTCTTTCTTGCTTTTGAGACAGGGTCTCACTCTGTCACCCAGGCTGGAGAACAGTGGTGTGACCAAGGCTCACTGCAGCCTCAACCTCCCCAGGCTCAGATGAGCCTCCAGAGTAGCTGGGACCACAGGATCATGCAACACCTGGCTAATTTTTTGTATTTTTTTGTAGAGATGGGTTTTGCCATGTTGTCCAGGCTGTTTTCAAACTCCTGGGGTCAAGCAATCCGCTCACCTCAGCCGCCCAAAGTGCTGGGATTATAGGCATGAACCACCACAACCAGCCAATTATGATATTTTCAATTACCAATAGTTGTCAGATTCATAAATGTTTTCAGAAGAATAATCACCCTTCTTAAGGCAACTGTCTCAGTGGGAAGGAAAGAAAGCAAGCAAAGCTGGTGAAAATGTTTCTCCCGTCACTTGAACTGAGAAGTAAAAAATTTGTTAGTTGGTTAAAAGACAATCACCAATGGTCAATTCACTTGAACTTTGATTTACATGGAAAGGCAATGAGTCTAAAGCTCACTTGATAGCAGCTGACTTAGCTTAGTCTAAGTTAGAACTTCTTATATTTTTCTGTTGTTTTTAGCTCTCATCCAAATATGACACGTGGGAAAAGAAGCAGGCAAGTTTAGGAGAGAGAAGATAAACTAAGTTTTTTCCAGGATGAATATGAAATTAGGATAGCTCATTAATACAATTATGTAATTCTTTCCCAATGAAGGATGAGACAGGGGACATTACAGTAATTCCTGATGAAGAGATCTGAATGGCATTAGAAGGCTTTACTTGGGTTAGGATGTCAGTAGGTAATAGGAAAGTAGAATTCCTACATTTTTCACATCTAGTTTGAATGTAGTTAGATCAGAGGCTGAGGAGAGCTACTTTCCAGCATGGGCTCCAAATAGTTTTCCTAAGAAATACAGTTGGTTTGTTACTTAGAAAAAAGACTGATTACAGTTAGTTAAGAGGTGATGAACATTCCACAAGGAGGCATACTTTTTAGATGCCTTGCAGACAAAATTATACGCGAACATATAGAAGCGTTAAACTGAGTTACAAGGCTGAGTAATCCATCCACCAAATGGTAGATGTTTCAGTTTGGGAAAAGATAAGACATCCTAGAACCAGAGGTGAAAGAGATAAGAATAAATCATCCTGTGCGTGCCTGAAAACAATGCTCATAGCTCTATCTGGAGGTGAGAATCAGTCTTTAATTGCTTGGGATGCTCTTCTTTCTAGAACAGGGGTTGGCAAACGTTTTCCGTAGAGTCAGAGAGTAGGGGCTGGGTGCAGTGGCTCATGCCTGTAATCTCAGCACTTTGGGAGGCCGAGGCAGGTGAATCACTTGAGGTCAGGAGTTCGAGACCAACCTGGTCAACATGGTGAAACCCCGTCTCTACTAAAAAATACAAAAATGAGCCAGGCATGTTGGCAGGTAACTGTAATGCCAGCTACTCGGGAGGCTGAGGCAGAATTGCTTGAACCCAGGAGGCTGAGGTTGCAGTGAGCCAAGATTGCCCTGCTGCACTCCAGCCTGGGTGACAGAGTGAGACTTCATCTCGAAAAGAAAAAAAAAAAAGGCAAATATTTTCAGTTTTGCAGGCTATGGGTCTCTGAAACAACCACTCAGCACTACCACTGCAGCAGGAAAGCAGCCATAGACCATATATAAATTAATGTGTGGCTGGATTTCAGTGAAACTTTATTTATTAAGGCGGATGGCAGCACAAGAAATTTACTAAAAATGATTAGAATGAGTTCAGCAAGGTTGTAGGATACAAGATCAATATACAAAAATCAGTTGTACGAAAAGATATATCCATGAAAAAACCTGGACATGAATATTCATAGCAGTCTCATTTAGAATAGCCAAAAGTTGGGGGGAGGGGGTGGCGCAGAATACAGGTTCCATCAGTTGATGGCTGGGTAAACAAAATGTGGCATATTCATACAATGGAATATTAGCCACAAAAAAGGACGAACTGACTAATGCTACATGAATGAACTCTGAAAATATTATGCTAGGTAAAAGAAGCCAGGCACAAAAGGCTATGTATTGTATAATTCTGTTTACATGAAATGTCCAAAATAGGCCAAAGACAGAAAGTAGATTAGTAGTTGCCTGGAGCTGGGGAGTGGGTGATGGGGATTTACTGCTAATAAGTATTGGGTTTTGTTTTGGTGTGATGAAAATGTTCTGGAATTAACTAGAGGTGTTGGATGTACAACCTTGTGAATATACTAAAAACCTCTTAATTACATACCTTAAAAGGACAATTTTATGGCATATAAATTATTTCTCAATAAAAAGTCAATCGTATATCTATAAACTAGCAATAAACAATCCCAAAATATAATTAAAAAACAATATTTACAATAAAATAAAAATGATAAAATACTTAGGAATAAATTTAATGAAACAAATGCAAGCCTTATATGCAGAAAACTACAAAAAATTGTTGAAAGAGTTTTAAACTTGATTAAAAGGAAAGATACCCATGTACATGGATCAGAATATTGTTAAGATGGCAAGACTTCTCAAATTTACCTACAGATTCAATATGATCTCAGCTGACAAAAGTCTTGCTGCCATTTTTTTCTTCCCAGAAGAATGAATCTAAAGCACTTCCTAGGTTTCTGAATTGGATACACAGGGATTTGACTATAGTCACCCAAATATGACATGTGGGAAACGACATAGCAAGTTTAGGAGACAGAAGATGAACTAAGTTTTTTCCAGGATGAATTTGAAATTAGGATAGCTCATTTATACAATTATGCAATTCTTTCCCAATGAAGGATGAGACAGGGGACATTACAGTAATTCTTGATGAAGAGATCTGAATGGAACAGAGAGGGACTCAAGGGTGACCAGATGCCAAGTAAGAGAGTGGTCATTTCATTAACAGAAAATTAACTGAATTTTAAGGTGGAATCTCCAAGTTGGAAATATATGAAACTTGAAAACAAGTACATAGAGTACTACTAGACAAACATCAAGTTGGACTAAAAAAGTTTTTTTTTTTCCTTAAGCTCTACTTCTAAGGCCACACACTGTCACACTAGTTTCTTAAAGATGAATAGTATCCTGTAGATGACCTACAATGTGGTACAAATAAATACTAGCCTAGAAGTTGACAGCCACCTTGATCCTTGACACTAGGAAATAGTAGGTGCTTAATAAAAATCTACTAAAGGAATTCTGGAATAAAAATTAATTGTCCTTGGGTCTACCATTCTTTCCCTCTGTCTGAAATCTTACCAATGTGAACTTCCAAATCTGAAAAATGAGTATCAAACTGTGTAGTCTCAAAGATTCTTTCCAGAGCTAACAATGTAGGCTCTGCCATTGGATTGAGTAGGCATAACTAGTTGCCTAGCTTTGCCAACTGATCCCTTGCAGGCTGGCTCATTGTACTTTATTTCATATATTCAGAATTACTCTTTACCCCTACTTAATACTGTGCAATCACAAAGGATTAGGTGAGAGAAAATATTAGTGTAAACATCTGTTTATATCACTGGTCTACTCACACGAATAAATGAATCAATAAGCATGACCTGTATAAGGCACAGACTCCTCAAATATGACATTTTCTTAATGCCATCCATATATTGCCACTGAGCTCATCATAGCTTTCTAAAACTAAAAAGAAACATCTAAAACTTTTCCTAATTTCCTTAGCCATAGATGACAAAAAATTACAGAAATGTTAATTTGAAAGCATTACTTGTCTTAAAATTAAGAAAATATAATACCACAGAAATGATATTTAAAATACTTAGTTTGTGCTAAAGTAACAAACCAACTTACCTCTTTCAGATTTGAGCTCTTTTGCCTTCACAAGGGCATCATAGTATTTGTCAGCACACTCCGGGATTATGTCATTTGCATTAGAAGTGGAAGACTTCAATACAGACAAAATATCACTTGATTTTTTTCCTTCCAAACACTGATTAACATCAACCACCAGAGTAACCCCTGGGTAATTGAAAAAAAAGTTTCTTGTTAATGGTTATCTTCCACTTACTTCAAGGCATGCAAATATATAATTCAACGTTTTAGGAATGCATTAGTATCAAACATTTTTACCCTTTGAGAATATTTACCACATATGCCCAAGACAATCACAAATTCACAGACCAGTTTAGTCCATAAGAAGAATTAGATACCATGGGAGTATGGTTTATTAAAAACAATAGTCTTTCCTGGTTACTCATATGTGGTATGAAGGCACTAGGTTTTGCTTGCTGTAGTAATCTATGAAATGGGGTGAATACACACGAACATAGATATGTAGCTGTAACCTAGGGCATTAGCATGTATTTGAGAACTAGTTTTACAAAGACATTTGTTTACTTTAGGATAAGCAAAATCCTTTTTAAGTTACAGAAATCCTGGTATTCTCTTGTATAGTGCTAATATATTTAGCAAGATTGTCAAAAACAACCTAAACAAGTGTTCTAGAAAGGCAGAGCTGGTGGATATGTGCAACGGAGTCCTAAAACTTAATTCTGGAACCATTTTAGACCTAACAAGCATTTTATCCCATTGCAAATTTCTACCCCTCCTCATTAACAAAACACATTAAACTCTTGGTTGCCTAAGGAAAGTTAACTTAGTGAATTATTTCCCACCTTAATTCCAGGTAAGAATGTCCAATCGATAGGACTAGAGTTTTCACAACCAGTAAATGCACTGAGTTAGAAAAGTAGAACCAGAAAAATGAAAGAGGCCAAGTTAAAATACTTCCTACATGAAAAACATCTTGAGGAAAAGAGAAGGGAGACACGGATGCTTTCTCTTTTTTTCTTACACGTACATCAAACTCTACAAATATTAAATTACAATTCGTTGTCATCAAATTATGTTCACATGTGCATAGCACTATGAGGGTTAAAGGAGAAAGAAAAACAGAGATTGACTTTCAACAACCTGGAGTCAAAGTCATGCAAATCTGGAGGGGCACATATAGATGAAGGGGAGAACTTCTCAGGCAAACTCCAGTGGTTGTTGAACAAAAGGTATGGCAGCATGTTCTTATGCTAACAGAGGTTAATAGAACATGGGTAGACATAGCCCTTTCCTCTTCTCCAGGAAAGCTTTGTAGGATAGAGAAAATAAGAGTACTGGCAATTGAGAAGTTTGTGGTCCAAGAAAAGTAATAGGAACAAGAAAATGACAAAAATTATCACATGAACTACATGTGACAGTGTCATCTAACCCAATAAAATGCAATTTTCCTTAAAAGATATTACAAAAGGCACACATTTCTTGGATATATCATCATTGAGTATCGATGAGCTGGTTCACAGGTCAATTTCCAGATAACTGAAGCTAATTCCTTTATGGATCAACTCTCATCTTAATAGAACCATTTTCGATGGAACTCTAAAACATGCCTTAGAGAAAATCCTAACAGGACAGCTGCTATTGCTCCTTATTTTACCCAAAGTCTATGGTATAAAGTAGGTGCTTAATGTCTGCTGAGAGCTGCCAGAAGAGTCCTTGTCATTAAAATTGTGCTGTGCTATAATCTGGTGAGTGTTATTTTCAAGGACTGTGGAGGTGTTTGGGCTTACTGGCTCCTGCACGAAATAGCCTTAATAACTCCTATGCTTCTTAGTTTTTCCTTCTTCCTTCACTGTCAGCTGTCACTTTTTACTGACATTGGTGTGCCTGCCTATGGCAGCTTAAGCACTTTACTGCCTTGTGACTTGTGGCTTCTGATGTGCTCTAAGTCACAACCAACCAGGAAAAGAAACTACCAAGATAATAGAGTTTTGCCTAAGAAAAGAATCAACAGGCTCAAAGTGTCTATCTGAGGGGTGCTCAGTGAATAAAGTAGATTAACTTCAATGCGCTTGCTTTGAGATATCTATTTTGATTGCTTTTTTTCTTAATCTGTGAGTTGTAGCTAAGTTCCAGATAGTTGAAGATATCAGATAGATGACTTTCACTCCAGAAAGTCAGGTATGTTTCTGCCAAGGAACAAATTAAGAAACCTCCATAAATCTCCTAAGAGATCCAAAAAATGTTTGCTTTACATCTTAAGCCATATACCAGCAGGCTCTCTTAAGGCACACATTCACAGTGGAGGTGATAGAACCCCTAACGGGGCAAAAATTAGTTCCTGCAGGGAGGGAGTGAAAAAAATCTCTTTATGTATAAAGTACAGGTCTACATATGGCACATAAACAGGTATACAAAATATCTGTGGCATTAAAATTTCATGGTAAGGAGTGATTAGAGAAAAAACTGTCTAAAAAGATTCCTTAGGGTGCCATAATGAGAAAAAGGTAGAGAAAGACTGCTCTAAGGAATCAAAAGTAGAGGCAAATCTACTTTAAGCAAGCAAGATACTCCAGTGAATGTGAACACTAGGCCAAAATGAAAGGGACTTGAGTTACTCTGCCCTTTTAAATTTTGCTGGTGGTAACATATTTGGGCCAACACATTTTCTTTTATCATATTATCTGAGAGTGTGTGTGATGCTTATAGTGTGTGACCAGAATCTATTTCAAGTCTTCATGCAAATAATGAAGAATGTTTTTAATCAAATTCTTGTTGAAAGTCAGAAAATTCTCATAGGTAGCATTAACTTTGGAAAATCTTTTTTGCTGTTTAAGATATAGTAAAAGAAAGTATATCGGCTCTTTAAGGGACAGGACAGAGTGAAAAGATAGGATTTTAGATGTGCAATACAGAGTACAAAATTATACATTTGAGAAATCCTCTTACTTTTATAGTCAATAGAACCATGAGTCTCAATGTGAAAAACAGAATCAACTTGACATTTGCAGGCCGAATGTAAGAACAATGAATATAAGAACATTTTAAAAACCTTCTAAATTGGTTTGATTTCTAAGAGACAAATCATAACCATCTTAGGCTATTTGAATGTCTAAATTACAATCTACTTTCTCAAAACTGTCTCTTCAGACCATGGCTTCCTTCAGTTTTATATTTAAGTTGAAATTTCTTATATACACACCTCCACTTCATTATTTTTTTCTTAAGGCGTGCTAGAAAGGAAAGACTTCAAAGTTCCTTAGGGAATAAAAGTTCAGGTTAGAGAAATACACACATTTTTCTAAGCTAAGGAGATAAAGCCCAGATGTTTCTCACAGATGCTTCCGAGGTTGAAAAGCCCATCTGTGGAGTAAGACAAAGTCATCTTAAGAACCTTCTCTGACCTGATACAACAGAATAGATTCTAATTATGCCATCAGTTGGCAGGTTAGTGAAATATATTTTTAGGAATCTTAATTTATATATGGAGAATGTTAGTATAGCAATTTAGAAGCTATTTCAGACTATCATGTGAATTTTCATGTTATTCTTCCTTAAAAACAGAGGGTTAAACAATTTTATCATTTGAACCAATGTGGGGATTCTGCCAGTTGCTGATTATGCCTATTCCGATTATGCACTCCAGAAGTGGGGAAGTAACCACAGAAAGAGTTTAGGGACCCACTGTGAGATGGATCTGAGCTAATATTCTATTCATCACCTGACCTCCACAAACCCCTACATTGACTGGTGGACCACAGTTATGTTTTGGGCCTCTTGGAATTAGTGTCAGTTCAGAGCAAGTGTCCACTAATTCCCAAAAGTCTGATTATGTACTTTCTCCTAAGTACAGTCACCCTGGTAAAAGGCCATAGGTCCCTTTGGGGGAGGGGTGGAAGAAAGACTAACAGTATAAATTTTTGGTAGTGTAGCTGAGTTTTTCCTCAAGGGGCCTGGCCTTCCCTTCATTTGAGGGGTTCTGGGTTTGTAAACTGGCCCCATTCTGGGAACTGATTGAGGGTCCATGACTATTTTTATGATTCAAGGTAGACTTCTGTTTGCTTGACCCAAAACTCATCCAGTTGTACAGATTAAGTAAGAATTGAGTAGACTGCCAGTCTATTTCACTTCTAGTTGCACCATGATCAGCTAGCCAACTCCATAGGTCTCCTATTGGTTCTGTTTCTGTGGAAAACCCTGGTAACTATAAAGGCCATGGAAAGGAGAAAAAGGCATTTATTAAGTAGAAATGGTCTAGTTCTCTAAAAATCAAGAGAAAAAAAGAATTTTATTCAATTATACAATTTGAGAGCTTAAAAACTATTTTTTACCTTCTGGATTTTGTTCAGCAACATTGTTACATTTTGTTGGAGATAGAGTCAAATCACTGACAATAGGGCAACCAACTAATTTCGGTATAATTATGTGTCCAAGAACTAAAACTTGGTAAGAATCCAAATCTTTCAGAAATTAAAAATCACATGACTTCAGGCACATAACCAAATCCAAAAAGGCAAGTTTCAAGAGCAAAGGAGGTGAGGGCTTACATTGTTTTGCTCTGTCCTTGTCCACGTTGGCATCATCGACGGCTTGCTGTATCTCATCCAGCCAAAGCACTTTGGAAACACTCTCAGAGTCCTGGGGACAATGTCACAGAATAAAAAGAAAGAAGAGTGAATGATGAGGAAACAGAATTAATAACTGCTTTTGAGGAGCCATTTAATCATAATTCCCACAAATTCTTAATCAGCAACTATCCAGCTCTGCCATATACTGTACACACTCCTAATGAAGCAGACCCCAAACCCGACCACTTCCTCCTTCTTCCCCACCACTCTTTAGTCCAGCCCCCCATCATCTCCCAACTGGACAGCTGCATCAGCCCCCTAGCAGCTTCTGCTGCATCTAAGCTTGCCCTCACCACAGTGGCCCTCTACAGAGGGCCCAGAGGATCCCTTCAAAATAGATAGCTCAGTGCACCACTCCTCTACTTAAAGCTTCCCCAAAGGCTTCCCCCGGCAGTTAGAAGGAAACACAGGGTGCCTTCTCAGGGATGGCGGGGCTCCAACGGCATGGCCCTGCCTACTGCCTCTCTGGCTGCACCTCACACCCGTTTACTTCCCCCTTCCTGTTCTAGACCTTCACACGAGTCTCTTTCAGACCACAATACTCTACCCTCACTGTGTGGCTGTTGGCTTTTTCTTACCATTCAGGTCTCAACTCAAATGCTACCTACTCCAAAAAGTCTTCCCGGGCTACCCTAGTCAAACACTCTCTCCCTCAATCAATTATTGTGGTTCCCAAACTAAGTGTCAAGGTGTCCCAGGGTACCATGGGATATTTTTAATTTGAGAGAAACACAGGGATCGTCGATATTTATCAGACACAGAGACAAAAATTAAAAACAAACAACAACATGGTGATTGTCCTCAAGGACCTAACAATGTAGTGTAAGAGACAGATGTGTCAAGACATATAGCTGGGCATGGTGGCTTACACCTGTAATCCCAGCACTTTGAGAGGCTGAGGGTGGTGGACCACTTGAGGTCAGGAGTTCGAGACCAGCCTGGCCAACATGGTGAAACCTCATCTCTACTAAAAATACAAAAATTAGCCAGGAGTGGTGGTGCATGCCTGTAGTCCCAGCTACTTGGGAGGAAGGCGGGAGGATTGCTTGAACCTGGTGGGTGGAGGTTGCAGTAAGCCAAGGTCAGGCCACTGAACTCCAGCCTTGGGACAGAGTGAGACTCTGTCTCACAAAAAAAAAAAAAAAAAAAGAAAAGAAGAAAAAAAAGAAAAAGAATTATAATACAATGTGATCAGGGCAATATATACTGCAGACACATGATCCAGACATAGGTGAGAAAGGGTTAACCTATGGTAAAGGTGTCAAGTTGCAGGGGGAGCAAAGACTAAGTAGTTAAAGATAGCTTTAGAAAGGAAGCAACAGCAGCAATGAAAATGTATTGCATTATTCCTATTATAGGTAAATATTCCTATTTAACTTTGGGTTGATTCTGATGGTCCTGCTACAAAAGCAGCCCTGACAGATATTAAGTGGAACTTCCAGGTAGCAATTGTGTTTTATAAAATCTTTTCTGAGATGGCAAGTAAATAATTATCAGCAGAGATATTTTCAGGAAACATGTGACATTTAACAAATGGGAACATTTTACCTATGTGTAGGAATAAGTGTCGTGTTCTAAATCCTAAGTCAAGACTGTGATGAATGAAAGGTAATGGATCTGGCACCGACTCCGTCATTTAAAACTTAAGATGGATGGGGGCAGGAAGGAGAGGAAATAGTCACTGGTTCCTCTGGCAGGCTTCTAACACTATTTTCCTCAGAGGTTAACGTGAGATAATGCATGTGGAAAGGGCTCTGAAAATGAGATAAACTATCTGTTATTTCATCGTGCAACATCTGGGCTAAAGGAGACCTCTGGGGAAGTGTTGGTGCCTGCTTCCACAATCACCTCTAGCTATGCGGCAGACTACAAGGGAAGCATCAGCAAGATTTTCCATTTCTTTCAAGAATGGATGGGGGAGGCTCAAACAGGAAGCCGGGTGGAAAGGGGAAGACTAGAGGAGGAAAAAAAGAGACAGGGAAGCAGGAGCTAATTTTTCTCTGTTTACAAGATCTAAGAGAACCCAACACTCCCCAGCTATAACCTAAAAACTAAGCTCTATGAGTTCATTTATGTGTCTCAGTTCTTTTGAAGGGTATTTGCCTTCCTTCATAACTTATCACTGTAGAAGATACACCACACAGATTTCTACCCAGATGAGAAGGCAGTAACAATCTTACTTCAAAGCTTAAAGTATTAGTCTTATAGGCCAAACTGAAGAGAGAAATTACAAATCAGATGAATTTAAGTCAACGGTTTAAATTATGAAACATTGAACTAACGATTACTAGAGTTAAATGTAAAACCAAAAGTAAAAGCTGAATCTTATCAATGTAAAGTCTGCTTTTTCTTATTTATTTTATTTTTGAGATGGAGTGTTGCTCTGTCACCCAGGCTTGCTCACTGCAACCTCCGCCTCTCAGGGTCAAGCTATTCTCCTGCCTCAGCCTCCCAAGTAGCTGGGATAACAGGCGCCCGCCACCACGCTCAGCTAATTTTTGCATTTTTAGTAGAGATGGGGTTTCACCATGTTGGTCAGGCTGGTCTCAAACTCCTGACCTCAAGTGATCCCCCCACCTCAGCCTTACAAAGTGCTGGGATTACAGGCATGAGCCACTGTGCCCAGCCAAGTCTGCTTTTTCAGTTGTTCACCAGAAGACTGAAAATAATAGTATATTTATGGGACGGCCACACCTCCACTTCAGTTAAACAGCCAGGTTCAACATAAGAGTTACAAATGAATTAAATGACCAGAAACTAGGCCATGTGCAAATCAAGTCATAAATTCCTGAATTTAGATAACTCCCAGAAAAGTTCTAATGAAACAAAAAAAACCTTTGTCAATATTTTAGGTTTTATATTTCTGCAATATAATAACATTCTATCTCAGTTTGTATAACCATATATTATGTAGTTGAAGTATTAAACACTGACCTTTGTAAAAATCTTGGTCTAATGTAATTTAATCAAGATGTGAAAGGTTTCCGCAGATCAATTTCTTCCTAGCATATCCCTAGCCTTTAAGTCTCATGTGAAATTTGTATTTTCTGATTCTTGCTGCATTTTGTAAAGAGCAGGCTGTGGGATGGTCAGGCTTCAAGTTTAAGTTTTATTAACTACAGAAAAATGTGTTATAATGCATTTTTTTACTGTATATTAAGTCATACTCTACAGAATATAACAATTCATAAAAGCTTATATGTTGTACAACAATGTGAATGTATTTAACATTACTGAACTGTACACTTAATACTGGTTAAGATAGTAAATTTTATGTTACGTATATTTTACCACTATTAAAAATATCTTATTGTAGACTTATTCACCAACACTCATGGAATAAAGGGAGTCCTCATTTTCATGATGTGCTATGATTTTAGTTTAACTGAACAGCGTTGTTTGGGAGGTTCCTCCAGTTATCTGACCCTAAGGGTTATTGAATGGCTCAAAACACATCAAGATAAGGCAAAAAAAAAAAAAAAAGCCTGAACAAACGCCATCCTCACCCGGCGAAGAAAAACCACCACCACTCAAAAGCCAGGTTCTGGCCAGGCACTGACGACAAACTGAAATCAATATTACATTGATGGAAAATTTTCAAAGTGATTCACCGCTCAATTTGAATTTCTTAAAAGTTTGTTTTCCATGATTAATTTATAATTATGTAAAGTGTTTAAGGATTAAGATTTGAAATAGCTGGGAAGATAAAGGAAAGGATAATTTATTAAGTAGAAATTACACTCTGGAACTGCATTTTTAAAACGGATAAGAAATGAAATGTGGGACAGATTCAAAACTTACTGCTGTTCAACATCTGTTTTTGGCTTAGTTCTGTAAAGGCCTGTGTAATTTCTGCCATTCTTTAAAAGCAAATCTACTAGGGGAGAATTACAGCACCTATTCAGAATAGATTGTTGGGGGTGGGTAAGAGTTAAATGCCTTTCTCCAGGGATAACGTAACACGTTCAGAGGCTTGGCCTGAGTCATGCTTACTGAAGCATCGAGTGGATTACATCCTTTCCCTGCGGAGGACCAGGGCAAGTTTCCTGCCTGCACGGCACAGGAGAGCAAACTTCTACAGACAGACCAAGGCTTCCATTTGCTGCTGACACATGGAACTGAGGTGAAATTGTGCTCCATGATTTTACAGATTTCATAACGTTTAAGAGACGGGACTCAGGTCATCAAAATGAAAGCCCTCATCTTTGCAGCTGCTGGCCTCCTGCTTCTGTTGCCCACTTTTTGTCAGAGTGGTAAGCAATTTTCTCAGGGGGTAGGATGGGGATGTGGGTTTCTGTTACAAATTAAGAGTCAACTGAACCTAGGTTTCTTTGCATCTCACACAAACTGTAAACCCCAAAGGCAGTTTGATCTTTATTATTAAAAGGTAGAATCATGGAAATGAACATCTATAGTTCATTCACTCTATTCAAACCTGGTCATAGACTAAGTGTTCCCTCCTGATGTTTAAAAATGTGTGGCATATTCAAGATTTTAGATGTCTACGATTAAGTCAGGGAGCAATTTTGAAAGTCGTTTTTGTGTTTGTAAGAATTTCTCTTCTGGTTAAGCAAAGATGGCACTTTTTCTAGGGATTAAAATATATATCCTGTGTTTAAACCTCTTGGTGAGACATAAATGGGAGAAACAAGAATACTGCCAGAAAGAGAAAGTCATCTGCTTTCAATAGCTGGCAATGCTAATAAGTCAGTATTTCCGAAATGAATGACCTTTTTTGACTTTAAGTGGGGAGTTCTCCCTACCCTCATATATGATTTTTTAATTTTAAAAATAAGGTCTCCCAAATACTATTATTCAACTTTGAATGTACTTTCCACTTTACCCATCACAATGTTAGCCTGAAACCTCCTGCTTTTTCCAAAAATAACAAATTTGGGATAGGTCTGTACCTGTTACTCTTTGTTAGGTCACACACTCCAGTCAACATTGTTAGGAGTGGGAGAGGCAAAGACTGGACATAGCAAGGGAAACAAAAACAGAAATCAATGCTTTCTAAAGGAACATTGCTTAAATTCACATTTGGAATCCCTGAGCGGTTGCAGAGAGCTCTAAGAGAATCTGTGGTGATTAGCAGTAAGCACATGTGGGATTTATGAATATAATAAGTGCACGCTCTTTCTGGGAGTAGATGGGCCAATATGTTGAGAAGCAGAATTGCAAAAGAAGCAAGGTTTTCGGGGGTGGTTCCTTCAAGACGCTAATAGGGTTTGATGGAGGTGAAAACGGGGGCCTCTGAAGGAAACAAAGAGGCAGTGAATTTGCTTTCTTCCATGGGGTGGGGGAGAAATGTGAAGGAAGAATGAAGCAAGCTTGTCCAACCTGCCTTATTTCGTTGTGGTTTTGTTTTGTTTTAGGCTTTTAGCAGCCTGAAGCCATGGTTTTTAGTTTCTGTCTCTAGAGGTAAATGGAAAAGAGGGATGAGGAAGGGGCTTTACTGGCTCAACTAGAAACAGAAACTATGAATCCATGACTGTATTCTCTCCCTTGGACACCCCTGAGAGGCCGGAGTTCATTCTCTTTGGATTAGTTCTTCAAGGCCTTTTCCCGGATAGAAAAACATTTCCGAAATATTATGCCCAATGGAAGCCTCTATAAAGAATTAAAATACAATAAAAAAATTTAACAATGAGTACAATTCATAAGGAAAACCAGGCTCTGAGGAATAAAAGCCTTATTTAAGTGGACCCAGATCTGGCATTCTCACGGAAAATGGAATCAAATCAACTTTTCCACAAAACACAGGCACTGTTTGGCATGTCTGGAGGCATGATGTCTTGCTAAATCCCAGAAACTTTCTGAAAACGGACAAACACTTGGTTTTAACAGCTTTTTAAAATCAGGCTAATAACTTGTACGGCATGCTCTTCAGGCACCATTCTCTAACTTTGTGCCTATCTTTAAAGGCACTTCTCTTTGGGTGATGTCAGATGCAAGAACTTTTCCAAAATGCAAAAGTGAGCAGAAGGGTTTGTGTGTCACACAACACAGCTTCTAAGATCACCTCTAAATACAGGCATAGAAGAATGCTGCCTCCCAAATTTTTCTTTCCTTTTCTTTAATCTACCTTTTCTTAAATGATACCTGATCACCTCCATACCCCTCAGTTACTAGGACACACCTCCTCTATTTTACACCGTGAATTCAGCTTGTGCAATCTCAGGTTTACGTGGAGGGTTTCCATTTCACCCGGGAGCTAACTGCTAGAGATTAAAGCAGGAAGAGAAACTGGCTCTGAATGAAACATAGGTTACTAAACACTAACTTCAAGTATTCAATATGGAGGAATTTTGAGGCCATGGGACAAGACATAATGGCGCAGTACTGGCATTTTAAATCGATAAGAATGAGGTTTATATTTGGCATAGAAGTCTATCTTAAAGGTAACATTAGAAATCTGGGAGAATCTATTTTCTATACATGTGAAAGGGTTACAAAAAGTTATATAATAATAAATGTTCAGGTTTGAGCTTTAAGATTTTGTTTTTGAAATTGCAGGAATTAGGATTATTAACATCAACATGCCAAGTAACACCAAATATTGATAGCATATAGTTGATGTGTTTCTATCTTTTAAAGAATTCATTTCCAACTTCTTAGGTCCTCATACCGATTTCATCTTCCGATTTTTCCTCCTTTGTTTCCTCTTCCCTTAAAATCTGTCATTACCCCTAAAGTCCACCTTTGGATTCTTTCTTCTCATAACTCCCCCTAGGCCATCTCAACCACTCCCATTAAATTAAACGAGAGCCTCCATGCAGACTACAATAAATCATGCCTCTAATTTGGGCTCCTGGAATTTTGGACCCACATCCAGTCTTCTAACCAGTTGCTGGACATTTTACACACTAATATTCCACCAGCAACTCATCCTCAGTCAGACTAAAAACAGATTGTAGCTTCTCCCCGATCCTGTCTCCTTGTCTCCCTCCAACTCAGTTAATGGCATCCTCTCCCTCCAAGTCATCTAGAGTAGAAACCTGAGTCATTATTGCTTCCTGCCTCTCCCTCACTGCACCCCAAAGCCAATCAGAACCAAGTCCCTTTAAGCCGCCATCAGAGTCTCACGTGTTCGCCTCTGCCTTTCCATAACCACTGTTCTAGCTCAGTAACTCACTGAGCTATGAATGATGACAGTAGCCTCCAAATCAGGTCCCCTTGCCTGTAATTTCTTACCTTTCCAATCTGTTCTCTACACTATTACCTAAGTCATCTTAAAAACAAGTCAAAATAACGGCTATATTCGTTTCCTACTGCTGCTATATCAAATCATTACAAACTGAGTGGCTTAAAATAACAGATTATATTTCTGGAGATCAGAGGTCTTAAAATCAAGGCTGTTGGTGGGGTTGTGTTCATTCTCGAGGCTCTAGGAGAGAATCGGCTATCTTGCTTTTTTCAGCTTCTAGAATCTGCCTGCATTCCTTGGGTTATGACCCTTTCTTCCATCTTCAAAGCCAGCAGCATAGCATCTTCAAATCTCTGACTTTGACAACCCTCTTACCTTCCCCTTATATGGACTGTTATGATTATATTTGACCCACCCAGGCAATCCAGGAAAATCTCATTTTAAGATCCTTAACTGGCCGGGCGCGGTGGCTCACGCCTGTAATCCCAGCACTTTGGGTGGCCGAGGCGGGCAGATCACGAGGTCAGGAGATCGAGACCATCCTGGCTAACATGGTGAAACCCTGTCTCTACTAAAAAAATACAAAAAATTAGCCAGGCCTGGTGGCGGGCGCTTGTAGTCCCAGCTACTGGGGAGGCTGAGGCAGGAGAATGGCGTGAACCCGGGAGGCGGAGGTTGCAGTGAGCTGAGATCGTGCCACTGCACTCCAGCCTGGGCGACAGAGTGAGACTGTCTCAAAAAAAAAAAAAAAAAAAAAAGAAGATCCTTAACTAAGTTAGATCTGCAAAATCCCTTTTGCTAGGTAAAGGAATATACTTGTAGGTTCCAGGAATTAGCAGGTAGAATCTTTGCGGGGGGCTACTATTCTGCCTAACACAATGGTCATTCCTCTGTTCAAAATTGTGTGTGCAATCCCATCATCTGTGAATAGACATATGATTTCTTAGGACAGTTTAGAGGCCCTTCAGGAATTTAGCTGTCACCCACTCTTTCAATTTCCTTTCTCAGCTGCACTTTATTCGCATAAGACAATGCATTTTTATGCATCTTCTCCACGAGTAGCATTACTTACAGATAGAAATGGATTTTATTTAAAACTTTACACCACTGACACATCAATGTACAATAAAAATTTGCTAAATCAACTTATCTGGCATTCCCAGATCCCATGATAGCCCACACTATGCTTCTGTCCATTCATCACCAGCAGAATCTTACTCATTAAATTCCATCTTTTTAGGAACCTTGCTAGTCTTTGCTCAAGTTCATCTTTTCCTTGACATTTTGCTCAAACATCTGAATCTATTAAGTATTGTCTGAATGCCTGTATAGTTTGTAGTCAACATGCCTATAATGTTCTGATGGGCTGTTTTTGTTTCTTCTAATAGTATTATAAACACTTTACATACAAGGACTGATCATTTAGTTTTTGTTTCCGCACAAGATAGTGTTGTTCTGGGGCATATGATATGTATTAAATATATGCTTGTTGACTGCCTAATCTACAATAACTTTTTAAAATAAAAATGATCTTAAATTCTACAATCACAGAAATTATTTACAAATAATTAAACACACTTTCTTTTCTCTTGAACTATACATTTATGTTAATACTTTCTTTCAATTACAGGCATGGAAAATGATACAAACAACTTGGCAAAGCCAACCTTACCCATTAAGACCTTTCGTGGAGCTCCCCCAAATTCTTTTGAAGAGTTCCCCTTTTCTGCCTTGGAAGGCTGGACAGGAGCCACGATTACTGTAAAAATTAAGTGCCCTGAAGAAAGTGCTTCACATCTCCATGTGAAAAATGCTACCATGGGGTACCTGACCAGCTCCTTAAGTACTAAACTGATACCTGCCATCTACCTCCTGGTGTTTGTAGTTGGTGTCCCGGCCAATGCTGTGACCCTGTGGATGCTTTTCTTCAGGACCAGATCCATCTGTACCACTGTATTCTACACCAACCTGGCCATTGCAGATTTTCTTTTTTGTGTTACATTGCCCTTTAAGATAGCTTATCATCTCAATGGGAACAACTGGGTATTTGGAGAGGTCCTGTGCCGGGCCACCACAGTCATCTTCTATGGCAACATGTACTGCTCCATTCTGCTCCTTGCCTGCATCAGCATCAACCGCTACCTGGCCATCGTCCATCCTTTCACCTACCGGGGCCTGCCCAAGCACACCTATGCCTTGGTAACATGTGGACTGGTGTGGGCAACAGTTTTCTTATATATGCTGCCATTTTTCATACTGAAGCAGGAATATTATCTTGTTCAGCCAGACATCACCACCTGCCATGATGTTCACAACACTTGCGAGTCCTCATCTCCCTTCCAACTCTATTACTTCATCTCCTTGGCATTCTTTGGATTCTTAATTCCATTTGTGCTTATCATCTACTGCTATGCAGCCATCATCCGGACACTTAATGCATACGATCATAGATGGTTGTGGTATGTTAAGGCGAGTCTCCTCATCCTTGTGATTTTTACCATTTGCTTTGCTCCAAGCAATATTATTCTTATTATTCACCATGCTAACTACTACTACAACAACACTGATGGCTTATATTTTATATATCTCATAGCTTTGTGCCTGGGTAGTCTTAATAGTTGCTTAGATCCATTCCTTTATTTTCTCATGTCAAAAACCAGAAATCACTCCACTGCTTACCTTACAAAATAGTGAAATGATCTTAGAGAACAAGGACAGCCATCACAGAGAACGTCTGTTTTCAAGAACAACATAAGCATAGTGCAAGGAGCTCCATTTCCGAGCTCCTAAGAAATATGCTTCAAAGGTCAAACATTACAAAAGCATTAGTAGTTTGTTTGTTTGTTTTTGAGACTGAGTCTCACTTTATCACCCAGACTGGCGTGCAGTGGCACTATCTTGGCTCATTGCAACCTCTGCCTCCCAGGTCAGCCTCCCAAGTAGCTGGGATTACACCACCATGCCCAGCTACTAAAAATACTTGTATTTTTAGTAGAGACGGGGTTTCACCATGTTGACCAGGCTGGTCTTGAACTCCTGACCTCAAGTGATCTTCCGGCCTCAGCCTCCCAAAGTGCTGGATTACAGGCGTGAGCCACTGAGCCAGCCAGCATTAGTAATTTTTAAAAACACTTTATCAGTATTTTAAAAATGTTAATGCAGGAGAAAAGATATCACAACTCTATGGAAAATGACATTTCCATTTGCCTTATTGCTACTTCAAGCTCTTTAAATCACCATCTTCCCTATTTCTGTGAGTGGTATTGCCATCCTTGACATTTGACATCATTTTTTATTCTTTGGTCTCTTTTGACTCTCATGCTGGTGGCTGCCTCATCAACTGATTCTATCTTTGTAGGGTCCCTCACCAGGGTCTTTTATCTAGTTTCACCTTTGCCTTCTTTTTTCCTTTTTTTAATAGAGACAGTGTCTCGCTTCGTCACCTGGCTGAAGTGCAGTAGCCTGATCATAGCTCACTTCAGCCTCCAACTCCTGGGCTCAAGCAATCCTGCTGTCTCAGCCTCCCAAGTAACTAAGACTACAGGCATGCACCACCATACCCAACTAATTTTATTTTTTATTTTTTGCAGAGATGGAGTCTCACTGTTGCCCAGGCTGGTCTTGAACTCCTGGTCTCGAGTGATCTTCCTATCTCAGCCTCCCAAAGTGCTGGGACTACAGGCATGAGCCACTACGTCCAGGCCACCTCTACCTTCTAACCATTCTCTCCACTGCCAGCCTACCCTCCACCACTTCACAAGTCCTGCCAGATTAATCTTCCTTAGATATCAGTTAGGATACATCACTAAAACATTTCCACTAACTCCACTGTTTCTATAATAAATCATAAATCTTTAGCCTGGCATTCAAGGCTAACTTGCTAATCACACTTCCCATTAAACCTTGCTTATGATATAGGCACCAACCAAACCTCTTGCTCTGCTATATCTCCACTCTGCCTCAGACTGAAAAGCTAGTCCTAACGTCTTTGCCTTAATTCTGTTCATTTTTTCAAGTCCTTGAAGGACCATTCTTCCCTGATTCTCAGGCTAGAAGTGTCACTTTTCTTATCTGTACTTCCAAAGCACTTTCGTATATTTTTATTATGGCATTTATATATAGTTCATTTATATTTAAATTTTAATTCCATGAACAATCAAGTACCAAGTATAATGGAGAAGGTGCTCATCCTCTGCCTTCCTTGAGCTTCTGGGTGATGCCAGGCCCAAGTCTTTGTGGCACCCAGCTCCATGCTTTGAATACTATGTGGCTGAATGAATTTTTAAAATCTCAAAGCAGTTAAACAGCAGGAAAGCCCATTAACTTCGTACTGAAAAAGCAACATACTGTGATGATACGGGATGACATCATTTCAGGTTGGGCATACAAAAAAGTAAGGAAGCTAAACTAAGACTATACTCACCAGGCCATTTAGAAGTTTTAAATAATGCCTCCACTATTTTTTTTCTTAGACATAGCTTTTAATGGGGAAATGGAATTTTGTTATTAATACCCATTATATTCCTGTAAGTAAATGACTATTTTTCCCTTAACTCAGTGATTAGACAGGAAGGAAGACATTAGTGATTAGACAGGAGGGAAGATATTAGTGATTAGACAGCAGGGAAGATATTAGTGGTAAAGAGTGAATGATAGTAGTGAATATAAATGGGGCTGAGGAAACTTTAAGCATAAAAGATTCCTGAGATGACTTTACAAGTCTGTACGAATCTGCCTTGACTGTATATTTCATACTGCCCAACAAAACAATAAAAAACAATTTTAAATGCATATTTTTAAATGTACACAGTTTTCTATTTCATCAGACTTAAGTAAAAAGCTTCCACATGAAGACCCTTTATAATATGTGTGTGGTTATGCAAAGAGCAAAACTCAGGTAAACACTAAAGTGAGAATGAAAAACAAACCTAAAGTAAGTTTCAAGAAGATAGAAACTTAAATGGAAGGAGCTGACTTCTGAAAACTAAGTCATCAATTACAACACAGTTTTACCTAAGGAAAAAATACAGCAATATTCGTTAAAAGCACACAGTTTTTATGGTATATACAAGGAGCAAAACAGAACTTTTTGGTGGAGTATAACTCATATGTTCACAAGCAAAACCTTCAATTGTAAAATAGCACACACCACCCAGTGAACAGACATAGAAAAAGTGTTAAAGTCAACATGACCATTACTCAAGTCTCTTTCCAAGAGGCAAAAGGAATTTTGTAGCTACACAAGGTTATACTTGACATACTGCTAAAGAGGACCCAGAATCTTCACCAACTTCCATTACTGTCCTCCACCTTTGACAAAACTGGGCAGCCATTCTATGAAGATGTTACCCATTGTGACCTTTAATGGCTGTAGCCTTTGGCACAGTTTTACTTTATACTGATAATACCAGCAATATAATTTTCTAATATTATTTTCCAA
Organism: Homo sapiens; assembly: GCF_000001405.40. NCBI lineage: Eukaryota > Metazoa > Chordata > Mammalia > Primates > Hominidae > Homo > Homo sapiens. The sequence continues at coordinate 76,614,832 of NC_000005.10, read as the reverse complement.
GGCCAGACCTTGGGAAGACAAGGCACAGAAATACCATCATAAACACACAACTGGAAACTTCTAGGAATCAAAATAGTAGAGGATGCTGAATGTGGTGGCTTGTGCCTACAATCCCAGCTACTTGAGAGGCTGAGGTGGGAGGATCACTTGAGCCCAGGAGTTTGAGACCAGCCTGGGCAACACAGCAAGATCCTGTCTCCAAAAAAAAAAAAAAAAAAAAAAAAAAAGCAGAGGGGAAAAACAAAGACATTAAAGACATTGCCAAACAACAGAATTAGGATTTTTCCAAGAAAAAAGAACAGGCTGAGAAAAGAAAGTTTCAAAGTCAATGAACAGAGAAAGAAAACTGCTTAAAAACAGGAATTTAACCAAATATGATTCATCGCTTGGACCTGCAGTATTTTAAATCTGTTTAAATCTGTTAGTAATTGCCAGTATATTTCAAACCTCTAACTATAGTCTAACAGTGGTTTAACGCCTGAACTAGAACCCAGATCCCTAGGCTCCATATCAATGCTCTAATCACACCATGAAAGCTACTGTTTCCACACCTAGAAAGGATGCCTGACACAGAGCTGGCATGGTGTGGGCACTCAGGGGCTTCTTTCAAAGGACGCCTGTGGAGTTCCATCTCAATCTAGATTGGAATGCTCAGTCTAGAAGGGACCTATACTGCCTGCCTATGAAAGGCCTTGGGTTTGTGGAGTCAGGCTCACCTCAAAGACAAACCCCCATGTGGCTGTGGGCAGACAGGGACCCAGGTCTGTCTCTATTTGTCCTCAGAAGATCCTGACTTTGGTGTGTAAATTCAGCAGACTCTACGTCTAGTAAGAACCTTGAAGCCGGGTGCGGTGGCTCATGCCTGTAATCCCAGCACTTTGGGAGGCCGAGGCAGGTGGATAACCTGAGGTCAGGAGTTCAAGACCAGCCTGGAAAACATGGTGAAACCTCGTCTCTACAAAATACAAAAATTAGCCGGGCTTGATGGCAGGTGCCTGTAGTCCCTGCTACTCGGGAGGCTGAGGCAGGAGAATCGGTTGAACCTGGGAGGTGGAGGTTTCCGTGAGCTGATATGGCGCCACGGCACTCCAGCCTGGGTAACTGAGCGAGACTCCACCTCACAAAAAAAAGAACCTTAAGATACTGACATCACTCGCCCCTTACTTGGGAGGCAACCATAGGTGCCCACAATAATACTAGCTACATTATTTAAGCCCTTTTTTTGGTGCCAGGCTCCATGCTAAATGCTATAGCTACACAAACACGTGCACATATTCTTCATTAATAGTACCTATAGTTATATATTGATATATATTTACATATTGTATATTCTCATTGAACCCTCACCATAATCCTATAAGACAGGTACTATTATTCCAATTTTATACATGCAAAAATAAGCATATAGAGATTTGATGATTTGACCAAGATCACATAACTAATTTGTGGCAAAGCCAGGATTTGAATGATGTCTATCTTCAAAGCAAATAACTTTGTCTTCCAATGCTTGTAAGTTTACCATGTGCCATGGCCACAGCCACCTCAGTGGAAACATCAAGGTGAAGGCCCACTCTCCTGCCCCTGGGATGTATGGACTCCAGGCTTGTGTATGAGCCCTCACTCTCCCACTCACTGGCTGTACCTTGGCCAGGCATTCGCCCTGAGCCTCAGGCTCGTTCACATCAGATGAGACAGCACCCATTCCACAGGTGGTATGAGGCTTAAATGAGAAAGACTGATGTGAGTGGGGGCGCTTGGCAAAGTGAGGAGGGTCAGGCAATGCCACTGCCGTTCCTGTTGGAAGGCTGGCAGTGCAGAGGGCGCCACCATGGGGGATACATTTCTCCACCTTCAATGAGGCAGTGGAGTAGTGAGGATAGGATTTACATTGGTTTTTAAAAGTTTAGAAACAGTAATTATTTAATACACACACTCCTTAAAAAATTTAAAAATCCAAGCAGTACAAAAACGGAGTGAAGAATAAATCTCCCATCCATACTAGCCTTCTAGTTCACCTTCCAGAAGGTATCCTCCCTCCAGAAATATTTTAGACACATGTAAGAGTGTGTGCGCCCCTCCCCCAACACATACACAAGCCTATCTATATTCCATCTATGTGCACATCACAGCATGATTTTTTTTTTGCTTAACAACATTTAGGTTGTTTTTCATGTTTTGTGATTGCAAACAAAGCTGCAATAAACATCTTTTCCCATCTGCCTTAATACATAATTATAATGTTTCCGAATCAGACAGACCTGAGCTGCATGTAGTCTCAGGACTAATTATCTTTTAGATAGCTTGATTTTGTTTTATTTTATTTTATGTATTTATTTTCGAGACAGAGCCTTGCTCTGTCACCCAGGTGGGGGTGCAATGGTGCGATCTCAGCTCGCTGCAACCTCTACCTCTCGGTTCAAGAGATTCTTGTCCCTCAACCTCCCAAGTAGCTGGGATTATAGGTGTGAGCCACCACACCTGGCTAATTTTTTATTTTTTATTTTTATCTTTTAGCAGAGATGGGGTTTCACCATGTTTGCCAGGCTGGTCTCGAACTCCTGGCCTCAAGTGATCCACCTGCCTTGGCCTCCCGAAATGCTGGGATTACAGGTGTGAGCTACTGTGCCCGGTCACATTTTAGATAGCTTTCAACAAGTTACTTAATCTTGGTTTCATTATGTGTAAGATGGCAATAATGATGGCAAAATGGTTCAGAAGGCTGTTATGAATTGTTGTGATGATTAAATGAGATGATACACATGAGTATCTAATATCATGCCTGACAAATAGTAGGTTCTCAATAAATGTTTGCATTAACCAAGGATGTTTTTCCTGTTTCGAATGAGGCAGTTCCTAGGTTCTAAAGACCTAGACAGAGGAGATGACCGCCCTTTCAGTTGGGTTTGCACCTGAAGACATGGCAGCCATAAGTAGCTAGGTCCCAGGTGGCATCACTCCCACTCTTAGGTGACAGATCATATCAGCCTCACCACTCAGCCCATTGGCCTTATCACAGAGGCCAGTCTTTGTGGGGCTCCTTATAATAGCGGTACAAGCTCTGTACTCAGAAAAAGCCACTAGTCTTCGAGAGGACAGCTTCTGCTCTACCTCCACACCAACTTCTCTTAGGATTCTAGTCCCCGACAATCTCAAACATCCGTGAATCAATCTGTGTATCTCTCATTTTGACACTTTGCACACCCTTATCTTTACTATTACTTGACTGTTCCATGTGACAATGTCCACTGCCTCAATCAGTTTCTAAGCATTTTGAAGATAAGGTCAGAGAACATTCAAATGGTATTATGTGTCCCTCTGTATCCCCATCTTCTCTACCAGAAGCTATGGACTGAAGTGTGCACATAGTATCTACTAAGGAAATAGTCAATGAATTGAACTCTGAACAAGAACTCACCTACAACTGAGTTTTTAGTCAAAGAATTAAAGCAATAAATAGCTCTGGAGCTGGTTTCCCCCCAATGTTTGTTACCAGGAAAATAACAGCTCTATTATTTCCATTCTGATTCATGGGTAATTGTTGGGACAAGAAGCTCATGAGATTTAACGTAAATGGGTCAAATCCTCCTCCTTCTCTCCCTCTGCCACCCAGCCTGTAAAATTTAAAAGAAACAGATATACTAAAACTTACTCCGAGTTTCTGTGATTTAGCATGGTATAAAACATCCTGGTAGTGCTGGGCATGGGCTGGGTCCACATCACTAATATTCGCAGTAGGTAGGAGCAAAGTTTCTAAAGTCCTCAAAGGATTCCCTTCATCAATAGCTTCATTGATGTACCCTACAGCTACAACTCCTAGAAAATGAAGAAGTAGTTTTCCTTTTAAGTCACAGTACATTATAACTTCTTTAGTATCACCGATTGCAAAAGGCTAATTAACTAGTACAGCAAGGCTATAGGATGCAAGATGCAAGCACAAAACCAATTATGTGTCTATACGCTCATAATAAGCAATCTGAAAATAAAATTAAGAACACATTCAATTCATAAGACTGCAACTACAAATACATTATAATTATAAATAAATATTTAGACATAATTTAATGAAAGAAACATAAGACATGTACACTGAAAACTATACAACACCATGGGAAAAAACTTAAAGACAAATAAATGAAAAGAGCCAATGTTCATGAATTGGAAGATTTAGTATTGTTAAGATGGAAATACTTCTTAAATTGACCTACAGATTCAATGCAACTTCTATCAAGGTCCCAGCTGCTGGTTTTTATTTTTATTTTTTTTTTTTGAGAGATTCTTGCTCTGTCCCCCAGGCTGGAGTGCTGTGGCATGATCTTGGCTCACTGCCACCTCCGCCTCCTGTGTTCAAGTGATTCTTGTGCCTCAGCCTCCTGAGTAGCTCTCTACATTCTGACCAACACTTGTTATTGTCTTTTTCATTACAGCCATCCTAGTGGGTGTGAAGTGGTATCATACTGTGGTTTGGATTTGTATTTTTCTAGTGACTAATGATTTTGAGCATCTTTTCATGTGTTTATTTTCCCTTTGTACATCATCTTTAAAGAAATGAAGTGTCTATTCAAGTCCCAGCTACTTGGGAGGCTGAGGTAGGAGAATCACTTGAATCCAGGAGGCAGAGGTTGCAGTGAGCCAAGATTGCACCACTGCACTCTAGCCTGGGTGACAGAGTAAGACTCTGTTCCCCCCACCAAAAAAAAAAAAAAAAAAAAAAAAAAAAATATATATATATATATATATATATATATATATATATATAGAGAGAGAGAGAGAGAGAGAGAGAGAAAGAGAGAACAAGACTGACTATAGGGTTCACAAATGAAAAGCACAGAAGTCAAACTATGAAACCTGCTTTTACAATTCTAATGAAACGGATCTATCTGGAGGTTACTTCTCAATACCTTATTATTAAAAAATAAACTATCATCCATTCATAAAAAAATGCATTTAGATAGACATGCACACACAGACACACACACACACACACACACACATATATATATAAAACACACATATACACACACTGCCAAGGAGCTTTTGCTTCCTAGGTTAGTACTGATGGATAAGAACTGTTAAAGAAACTAGATATTAATGAACAATAAGCTTAGAATATAAGCATTTTTAAGGTCAAACTTCATATTTCTCATTTTTTCCATTAGATTTAATCTAAAATGATCACCCGTCACTTCACAACTGTGATATGCCATGAAATAGAATGAGTACTTCTCATTTTTAAAAAAAGTATCTCCAGCTTGACATTCAAGTAAAGATAAAATATTTAGCTAAATATTTCTTGAATAGATGAGCCCATAACCACCACTTCGTTAAGAATGAAAAGATTTACCTGTAAGAAGAATGAAACCATCTAAAACTCCTAGAAATCATTCCAGACTATAATACTTAAATATGTTTGAAGAAAAAGCAGAAGTATTTCTCTAATGTGCAGGTTATATTATCTGTAAACATTGACAGAACTCTGGAAAGTCTAAGTATTATCTATATACAAGGTACTGTCGTTTTACCCTATAGGATTTATAAACTGGAGTGCATGGAATATTTAGTGCCATTCTCTGGTCACCCCCCTTGGGTAAGCTGTTCTAAATACCTTTAAAACACCCCATCCAAAAATGGTCTTAACAGAACCAAGGCCGATCACCTGGAAGTGAGTGCATTTCAGCTGACTTGATTGAAATCACCTGCTAAAGTTGCTGTCTGCTGCGTTTCTAAGAATACAAGCTGCTGAGGTCATAGTGAATGACATCATAGGAGCTGAAAGATTACCCAGAAGCCCTCTGGGAACATATGCATCACTTCCTCTGTTTATAAATAAAAGGGAAATCCTATTTGAAGAAAGATTGCTGAGCTTCACTCAGCCCACGGTCCACTTCTTTACATCAACACATGTTACTATAACATTCTAGTCCACAAGAGAGTGGGCGTTCTTTTAGAGTTCATGTATTTGAGGCAGCAGATGAGGTAACCTACACAGAATTGTACCTACCAAATTTAAAGAGCAAAAACTCAAAGAAGAAAACTTCCTGATGTAGGCTATAAGGTTAAAATAATGCTCCTTTATGGTTCTACTGGGAAAAGTAAACTTTTCAGTAAGAAATCAACAGAGCCTGAGGAAATGCATTCAGCAGCTAGCTTCTCCATTAAATTCACCTTCTATATTTCTCATTTTCCATTAGCTGCTTACCTCACCCACATCACAACTCAGATATGGAATTAGATCTCAGAGCATGTGGCAAGAATAAGGTGGGGAGGCAAGAGTAATGCACCTTCAAAACGTCCATGAAAAATTCTCAGCTCCTCAGATGACTTAATTACTATACTGAGCAATTCCTGCCTGGTTACAATGGTGTATTTTAGAAATTTTAGATTTTGAAGAATTGCCTAAACATGATATCAAACTCAATACTTCAGGAACTCATTCTGACAAAAGAAAAAAATAAAACCAAGACACAGATAAATTAAATACTCTGTATTAAAGTTCCCAAATTCCAGAAAGGAAATATTAGTGTCTGAAATACCTTTTCTGGTTATGGTATATGTCCTTTATGACAAGATACTTAACAGAAGTGTTATAGTGGCTGTGTGAAATGTCCTAGGGAGAATAACTTAGTAGTGCTGTTACCTTGATAGATAAAAGCCACAGCAATCAAATGAGATTTTTGCTTAAAAATAATATCTACTTACAAAAGACTATTTTCTAAGTTATGCAAATGTTACTTGCTTTTTTTCCCCCCAGTAACCAACTAAAGCAAAGGCTGTACTTGATAGCCAAGAACAAAACTGGCATTTTCCCCCTGTTAATCAATGTCAACCCTACAATCTTTCAGCACTGAGAACTAACATACCTTCATTTGTGTAAGCAGCACATACAGAAATAACCAAAGCAGAACTGAAGCATGGGTATTGCCAAGAATTGGGGAAAAAGTTAGAAAGCAAAGATGGGACGTGAGTCTTTGTTTTGCCTACCAAAAGAAAGGAGTCCTACTTCTTGGGTGGCAGTTGCTGTAGCAACCAAACCACTGCTAAAGGAGATTCAGAGCATTAAGACGGAGGTTGTGGAGAAGGGCAGAAGCCTGGGGGACTGAGCTCTGTAGCGGGACACTAGGAGCAGTGGTGGTCCCCCAACCCCCACCTGATGATGTTGAACATCTGCTCAAATTAGAGCTTGCGTCTTGACTAACGTCTGGCAAGAACCATAAACTCCCAAGCCAAGTATCAGAAAAGAGCTAAGTGGGGTGTGAGCAAGCCGTCTCACCGCAGAGACTTTAAATGCTTCACTGAAAGGAAATGCAGAGGCAACAGGGAAGCTGTGCCGTCTCGAAAGAAATTTAGATTTGTGCACAACTTGAAAAGGACAAAATGAAAGTGTCCAGGGATCAGTGTAACAGTGGTACATCCATGGTACCGTATATAGGGTAGCACACCTGGATCCTGTTTTATAGTAGGGGCTTAAAGTGAGAATATGTTTAAAAAACAAGAACCAAAACTGGCCTTGACTTTTGGCCCAGCACTCACAGGAAACAGCAAAGAAAAAGAAGAAAACTTTGCAAATGCAATTAATTAACAAAGTCATATGTTTTATTTCAAGAGTGATCTTAGTATTCCTAAGTTAAATACAGCATTAGAAGACCAGACCTAAGACCTTACCCAAACACACTAAAATAAAACATAATAAACTGTGAGAGAAGTATCTGCCCACTCTATCCGCGAGCTTGGAGCAAATGAGTTAGAAAAGTCAAAGCTGGAAGGTGGAGGAGAGATCAATGATTTTAGCAACACTCACCCACTGTTGCTGACAAGTCAAAAGCTCATAAGCCACAGAAGATGGTGTTGCTTTGTTTTCATGGTGGAAAACACAGCTCGAAGCTTGAATTTGGTAATGCATACTACAGAAAAGCAGTGAATGTATGGACTGCAGAAGCTACATAGCTCCTCATTCTTCACTCTATTTTCATAAGCAAGATGCAAATGATAAAGCAGCAAGCTGACATTCAAGAAAGCATGTTTCAGGGCATATCTTCCTGAGGTTGGTATGCTTTCATGCTGGCAGCTCATAATTTCTAGAAACACAGCAAATCACCATGATTTGTGATCATTAAGCAACAGTTAGATCGTGTTCCAATTCCTCCATTTGTGGGGCAGAAAAATCGTGTCATATTTCAGAAAAAAAGATGCCCAAATAAAAGGTCAAAATAAAATTGGGTGCTTAAAAATATGAGTTATTTAGCTGTCTCTGTATTTAGCTGTCTCTGAAGTACAAATAACCAGAAAAATCAGGCCTTTTACTTGTGTATTTTATTATATTATGAATTCTTGTGTAGGCTTTGTAACGTTTATAACATATTGGTACAGTGGTATAGGCATAAAATCTACCTATAAATAAAGGTATGCATATTAGCGGAGTTTGCTCTCACAAAGTTCCTTGAGCAAAAACTTAAAGCCCTAATCTAGAAAACTAAGTTGTCCAGATACCTTCTTCTCCCACTATGCTAGAGAAGGAAAGTGTCTTATACTTACGGTCATTTTCTTCTTGAATTTGAGCATTAACCATATCAATACAATTCTGAATTTCATTCCAGCTTAAGTTATCTTGCCCTTGGGATAAAACTTCTAGTTTAACAGAGAGTAGTGTGTTTGCATAACTGTGGAAGAGAAAATAATCTTGATGTTAATTAGAGACATTCATTCTTCGTTCCTGTTGTTTCTCAACTATGACACATGGTCAAACATAGTTGTTATGAAGTTAGACAAAGAGTAGAAAGGCAAATAAAATTGTCTTGTGTAGCTCTGTCAACATATACCAGGCTTACTTGTACTAATGGTGTTTTCTTAAAGTATTTTTATGAACAAATTCTGTTAATGAAAGCTCTTCAAAATCGAAACTCATACCTAACTCAAGCAAAACTGGAAACTTTCAAGTCTGTGAAATTACTTTTCCCTAGTTACTAATTTTCCTCCCCTTTGTATGTCTTGGTTCTTCTCAGTCTTCAGATGATTGTTACAGGGCAAAATTCAGAGTTACTATGGGTCTCAATCTTTCTATCATCAAGTGTCCTTTTCATTATTTCTCTTGTTCCTTCCAAAATCTAAGTTTTAAAAGACCTTTTCTACTACAACCCTAATATAGAGCCACTTTGAGGCCTAATATGACACTGAGGAATCAGATAACATGCAAATGCAGTTCCAGAAACCTTGCTGAGTAGCACAATCTTTACCGTATGTTGTCCTGAAGAGGTGGCACATGAGTTAAACCAGGATATACTGAAATTCCTTTTCACCTGCCCATTTCTCCAAAGGCTCCTAGCCAATACTCAAAAATCTCTCTTAGGCCTGGCGTGGTGGCTCACACCTGTAATCCCAGCAATTTGGGAGGCTGAGTGAGAGGATCGTTTGAGCCCAGGAGTTAAAGACCAGCTTGGGCAACACAGGGAGACTCTGTCTCCATAAAAAAATAAAATTAAAATTAAAAATGGCCCTCTCACCCATTGTTTATGACCAATGACCCTTCTCACTGTGCATAGCCCTCTGGAAGATACAGTTTAGTCAACCACTCCAATTACTTTTTTTCTGCCTGGGGAAATTTCAGGGAAAAACTTACTCATACTGATATATTAAGAAACTTTTACTTCTCAATTATCAATTTTCCCACTTTCCAATTTTCACAGAACCAATGTTACAACCATAGGCTAACATGAACTATTCCAGCGAAAATTAATAAAACTAGATAGTTTAGTGTGCTTTTATGTCTTTGCACCAGGGCAATGAAGAACAATCTTCTGTGTACATAATGAGTCACTCTGCAGTTTGAATTCTGAATAGTCTCTAGGGATCTAGTAATGGCAGAGGTTAAAAGAAGAAACATTATATGAAGTCTAAAACTGTTTTCTTGGTTGTGACAAACTTTTTCAAAATTCTGCATGCTTCAAGGTGACATGCGGTGTCTTCCATAGAGAGTAGCTTGAGAGAAAAACATTCAAAAATAGGAAATGGTGGTAACAATTTATTTTCTGTAGCTGAATGAGGCCTCGCCAAGTGCAGATGTGAAATACACTAGTAATGTATAATAAATAATACTGACCACAATAACGATTTGGATTATCGGTAACTTGCACTGGTTAGTGTCCCTCACAGATGGAGACCATTCCAAAAGCGCAAAGTCCTTATGGGCATCCCATACACTTAACGTCTAAATGCTGACCCAACAGGAGTGAAATGAGAAAGTAAAAAATAAACACAGAAAGAAATACAACTACCCATCATTTCTTTAGAAATGAACAAAAACAAGCTATAAAGGAAAAGATTTTAAAAGTAACACCATTTGACCCAGTAATCCCATTATATGATTATAAATCATTCTACTATAAAGGCACATGTACCTGTATGTTTATGCGGCACTGTTCACAATAGCAAAGACTTGGAACCAACCCAAATGTCCATCAATGATAGACTGGATAAAGAAAATGTGGCACATATACACCATGGAATACTATGCAGCCATAAAAAAAAAGGATGAGTTCATGTCCTTTGCAGGGACATGGATGAAGCTGGAAACCATCATTCTCAGCAAACTAACAGGAACAGAAACCAAACAACACATGTTCCCACTCATAAGTAGGAGTTGAACAATGAGAACATGTGGTCACAGGGAGGGGAACAACAACATACACCGAGGCATGTCAGGGGGTGGGGAACTAGGGGAGGAATAGCATTAGGAGAAATACCTAATCTAGATGGTGGGTTGATGGGTGCAGCAAACCACCATGGCACTTGTATACCTATGTAACAAACCTGCATGTTCTGCACATGTATCCCAGAACTTAAAGTATAATAATAAAAAAAAATTTTTTTTAAAGTAACACAAGAGAACTCCACAGGCTTTTCCAATTGAGTATTTCTCTCCAGTACTGAAGTTACCAACTTTGGGAAATATTCCGTAGTTTCCCCAAACAGGTCAATGTCCTCTCCTCTCACTCCTCTCAGTTCTCTTCACCTCATCTATGGACAGACTAGTAAGGAGTCTACTAATCTAAGAGCCCTGGGAAGCTCTGAGAAGATCAGTAATCCAATTTAGTTCAGCAGATGTTTGTGAGCACTTACTACATGTAAAACATGGCAGGCACTACAGGAATATTAGGAGGAAAAAGGTGCAGCCTTTATGCTTTCAGACCAGTGGGTAAGACGACAAAAATTCCAAAAAGGTATAAAAGCAGAGCACAGGAAGGACCATTAAAGAGTCCATAAGAGTAGATATAATGGGGTTCAAAGCAAGAAGTGGAAGGAAACCCTTATTGGTGGAGCACCCTCCCTGGGACAGGCACTGAACCAAACACTAAATCCTCAAAACAGTTCTGCAAATGCAGAGTGGGGCTTTTGTTTCTTTTGTTTTTGTGCTTTATAGATGAAGGAAAAAGGCTTAGTTAGGGAGGGTCAATCTCAGATATTTTTGGTTCCAAGGCATATGCTCCTTTAACCACATCATGCTACCTCCCAGGAGAGATAACATCAGATGCTAGGGTGGGGAGAAGCACGGATATACCTCACAGAACATAATGTATGGTAGGCAGGGCTCAGAAGCTCCAATACTGTGTTTAGCTGAGCTGGGTAAAGGCACCAAGTTCCTGATGGTGAGAGGACCACGCATAGGAACACAGAGACCAGAAAGTACACTTGGACTTGGCTAAAGCACAAAATACGAGTAGGGATGGAGCTGGAGGTAAGGTCAGAGCAACATGCTTAGAATGAGAAGTCTGTTCTTAATTCGGATGTGAACAAGGAACAATCAAACAGAATTATGAATAGGGTTACATTTTAGAACAGTTAATCTGGGAACAGTGTATGCCCAAGGCTAATGTTAACCCATACAATACTTTTGTGAGAATTAGACAAAAGAATCTCTCTGGGCAAACACAGCCCCAAGAGTAGAAGCCACGGTGAACAGGGAGAGACTTTGCATGAATTTGTCAAGGTGGCCATGCACAGCACACTTGTGCTATGAAGAACCTGCACTCTATGGGGAGAGGCCCTGGACAGAGCCGTGTTTCTCAAACTTGATAATCTGCAAAACTGGGATTCCAAGATCCCAAGTTAAGATGCTGACTTTGGAAGTAAAATGCCAAGGCTGTAGAAGATCATTTGGGGCCAATACAAGTGTCAATACAAGAACCCAAGTGGGCCCTTAAATCCCATGTCAGTACTGGGTCTTCCAGATCCAGAATGTATTTAAATTAAAAAAAAAAAATCAAAACATTTTAAAAGTTCTTCACACAGAACACTCGAACTGTGAGGCTCCATCTGTAGGTCCCAGCTGGAAACTACAGGTATGAATATGGTTTTCAAATAGAATGGGACCACTTCTTTAAGGGTATTTGTAAATGAAGAAGCAGGCATTTTTGATAATCAGAATGGGTGAGTCAGGGGCTAATGTCATGTGGAGGACAGTTGCCAGGGATGCTAAATATGTGGAATAGTCTTGACAGTTATCTCACCAAGATGCCCCATTAGCCTGTAAGCTTCATAAGGGATTGACCGGGTCTGTCTTCTACTCTAGCACTGAGAAAGTATGGCAAAGCCTGGTTAGGTAGGAATGATTAATGAATGGGGAGAGAAAAGAAGTAGGATGACCAATTTAGGGGTTACTACAGAAGCAAAAGTGAGAAGTCTAAGTGAGGGTGGTTGCAGGGAAATGGAAACATCTTGCAGAGGTATAAGGCACATAGACTGGCTACTGACAGCAGGCTCTTTAGAGCACGAGGGTGCCCGGCTGAGGGCAGAGGGAAACTCAAATTGGGCTTCAGGTTTCTAAGCTTACAGGAGAGAATGGTGCCATTAACAAGTAACAGAAACAGTGGTGGTAGATATAAATTACCTTGGAAACACACTCTAAGGAGTCATATGAACCAGATGGCCAAATTTAAGTAGAACAAGAGAATTAGTTTCTCCAAAAAGACTAAAAACAAGGAAAACCCACCATCCTTCCATTACCTTTTGGCCATTCACTACATAGACAAGTGGTCAAATACCATTTGTTTAACCTAAGAAATCTCTGGTTTTTCCTTGGCAACTGTACATGACCCAAGAGAATTAGCCAACCTGCCTATTAGAGCCGTTCCAAAATCAGTAGCTGAAAAGAGCTTTTGTCAAGATCTGTGCAGACATCTCCCCCTGGTGGTTACAAGAATCCAAGATTCACTCATTTTAACTGGGGCTTTTATCTCAGCGACTCTCTCATCTGGCTCCCAATTCTGGCCATTTGATTTTCTCTCAAGATCCGCTATAGTGTTTTATAACAATGCTATCAGTTGTACTATCTGGTAGCACACTTCAGAAACATGAAATGAAAGATAAATGGATGTTGTTACCCACTGCCATGACCCACTGTGGTCTCAGGATTTCTTTGGCTTAATAATCAGAAGAGTGGAGTTTGGGGCCCAACTGCCCAATTTTAGGTCCATAACCCGGATTCTGTTTCTGCATCAGTGACATAAAAGAATTGGACTGGATGATTATTAAAGTTGCTTCCAACTCTTCTACATTCTGCGGTTTCCAAAAGACGCCCAAGGAAAGGTATGTTTCCAATAGTTCCTTTATTTTCAGCCTATCAAATAATCTTTGCCAACGACAAAGTCATTTATTAATTGCCACAGGATGATCACTTTCTGATTCTTCTTGTTCCCCAGAAGGAATACTGTAAACAAGGATACTAATTAGAAGGACTCTTAAAACAGACTAGTTTTCAAGAAACATGAGCATGGTATATGGATTTCTCCACCAACAGGCAAATTCCTCACTTTTAAGATCTGCCAAACATGCATTTCTGCATTGAAAGAAGGTTTGGAAAATGTTCCTTACCGTTCCACATATGCCTTGTCCAGATTGTTTAAGCCTATTGCGGGGCTTCTGAGTTGATTCTGCACAGACACAAGATCGTTGCTTTCCAAGGCCTGGTTTAGTAAAGCAACAGCAGACAACATTTCCACAGCAATCAAAAGCTCCTCGTGGGCCAAGTAGTTCTGTTGGAAAACATATGGCAACATAAGCTCCCCACACAACACACCTCATGTGCATGATGGAGGTTTACAATGCACATTTCAACAAACAACAAAAAGTCAAAGAACTTGATAGCTCAGCAGAAAGAGGAGTCGTGGCCACCTGCTTTCCACTGGCTTTAAGAACAGGTATATGGCTCCTGGGCTTTCATTAGATGATCATTTTTTGGGACTGGGTTGATTACAATGAAAAGTTACGATTCCACAAATATCTGCATTCCCATTGCTGATCCCTACTCCTAGCTATACTGGTTGCTTAAAGGCTCAGTCCAGCCATATAATTAAGCCAAGGACTAGATAACATTGTCACTGACTGAGAGTGCCAGGTAACATTTTAGCACAGCTAACGATTTCCAGTTTGAATTAAGGGTTAAGGGAAGGTTGGGAGAATTTCACTGAAAAGTTATAATCTGAAGCACAAAGCAAGGTCTTCAAACCAAGACTACTGATTTAATTCAAAAAAAGTTAAAGTGACATTTTCATAAATTTTAAAATAGAAATTTTAAAATACACTACCAGGTCAAGATATTTGAAGAAATCTGAGGTGATCTTTTGGTAAAGCAAGTAAAGCTCTCCAGGTTTTTTTGTTTGGTTTGGTTTGCTTTATTTTTATTATTATTATTTTTTGAGATGGAGTTTGGCTCTTGTTGCCCAGGCTGGGGTGCAATGGCACGATCTAGGCTCACTGCAGCCTCCGCCTCCCAGGTTCAAGCGATTCTTCTGCCTCAGCCTCCCAAAGTGCTGGGATTACAGGCATGAATCACCACACCTGGCCAGATCTCCAGGTTTATATGATTTAAAATCTGGATTTAGCTTATCCAAAAAAATACGTCTTAGATTTCAGAACACCCTTCCCCTTTAATATCTTCTTCCATTTAACCATTTTATATTATCTTGGCCCAACTTCAAAAGGAATATTTTTTTCATCATATTGAAGGGACATAAGGAGCAGGAGCATGAAAAAGAACCACTAAGGAAAAGCTGATACATATTTTACATTTAGGATATTACAGGTATTTAATATATAACATAATGTTCATCTTAAAATGCATTATTATATCTTTCTGGATCTCCACAGAAGTCTCGCAGCAAACTGATTTCAGAATAAAAAGGGATAGTTTAATCTTTCAAAGCAAATGGGAAGAAGGGGTTACCATCGAGAGCATGTAAGTAAATTTTATTTAAATATATTACATTAAATACAAGTTTAACATACAAAGTATCAAATTATAAGAGCAGAATGGAATCGTTTATAATTCACCTCCTCTATCTCTTTCAGTGACCTGTCCGTGGATACCTAAATTGGTTTACAGCAAAAAGGATAAGGAGAGAGGAAGAAGAAATGAGGTTGGACAGCCACAGGTTAACTATGGCCAGTTGAGGATGAATGAGTGTCCTCAAGCATAAGTAGCCTTGAGCTTCAGAGCCAGAGAAGTGGAAGAAAATATTAATGAGAGAACCTGAATGAAATTAAGAAAATAAGCTATTTTTCTTTTATTACAAATACTATATTTCTATTTAGGAAACATAGGGAGTCTTTTTAATTATTATTATTATTTTTGTAAAGATGAGGCCTATGTTGCCCAGGTTGGTCTTGAACTCCTGGCCTCAAGTGATCCTCCTGTCTCAGCCTCCCAAAGTGCTAAGATTACAGACAGGAACTACCACACTCAGCCAATACAGAAGTCTTAGTAAGCAAGAATAAGAAAACAAATGCTACCACTCAAGCTCTTTTGTGTATATCCTTTTATGTATTTTAAATTCATATATACATTTGCAGAGGTTTTGTCTTTATAACTGACTTCACTTTCTTTTTGCAAAAAACAAGATAATGCTATATATCTTAATCTTATTTTTCCCACTTAATATTAGTATGGATATCTTTTCCAGTCATTCTTTACATTATCATTTTTACTGGTTGCACATATTTCTCACATGTACAAGCACCATAAATGTTATTAATTTATAGGCAATCTGTTATTAATTAAACATTTGTTTCCTGGTTTTCAGTATTCTAAACAATGCTGTGAAACATCTCTGTGGCCAAAGCTATTTGGTTCATATCCTTCAGGCTTATTTTCTAGAACGTAACTGTCAGCATCATGGGCTTTTGATCTGTATTACTAAGACCACCCTGCAGAAAATCTGTATAATTCATACTCCCAGCAGCTGTGTAGGAGATGTTTGGGCCCCATATCTATCCCTACGCTGGGTTAAATCTTTCTAATCTTTACCAATCTAATTTTAAATCATAAGTGTACTGTGTTTTAATTTATATATTTTTTACTTCTGATTGAGTTTAAACTTTTTTTTTGTTTGTCATTTGTATAGTTCTTGTTTTATGAATTGCCTGCTCATGTTTTTGGCCTCTCTTTATTGTGTGTGGATAAGTGCTGATTGTGACTTTAAAGATCCAATGACTGTCCTGTGTTTTTCCTTAGAACTTTAATTTGTTAAATTATTTTTTATATTTAACATTTTATGTTGAAAATTTATTTTGATATATGTGTAGTGAGTTAATGTTTTCTTAACAAAGCTTAAACACTTGCAAGGATATCATTTATTAAATAGTTGTTTCCCCACCTTCTTGAAATACGAGCCTTGTTATATGCTGAATTCTTGGTTCTGCTTTCAGTAGTTTTCATTTTGTTTCATTGTTTGGCTTACAAGAGTGTTAGTAAACATGTTCTTAATTACTGTAACCTTGTATGAAATTATTGTTGAATGCTGTTGTCATATTAAGGTGCACAAGTTCACAAAAATCAAAGCCATGGTGCTAATGGTCTTATTTGCAGTTTCTAAAATTGCAGATTGAGCTTATTTTCTACATAAAAACATTATATATTGTAAAAAAAATACCACATCGGTATAGCTAAAATTTATCCAAGGTGTCTTCAAATATCACACAGAAAATAAGAACAACCTATTTTCACAGGTATATGTATAGACCACTGCTGGAATTTCCTAACTATGCTCTTAGATTCTTTATGTAGACTAAAAGCAAGAATTAACAAGGAAGAAGGCCTTGGAATTGGTACAGGTGGGCCAGTGAGACCAGGACTGGTACAAATTAGAGATCCCCGATCCCTATTCCCCTTTCCTAACTAGGCTTCCCTAGTGCGCCATGGCACGCAGGGTTACCGTCCCCACAGCTGGGGTCTCCTCTGACTTACCATGGTGTTCTGTTTCTGGAGGTTGAAAAGTTCGTTCTGATACATGGCAGCAGCAAAGGGATAAACAGCAGGCAGCTGGGCCTCTGGTTTCTTCAGTGCAAGCAGCGTATTCTCGGGGTCACCTTCCGGAATGACAGCATTGATATGGTCCACTGCAGCCTGCCCTGAGGATGGGGGTTCATGTTTTGTCAGAATGGTTGCTCTTTCCACTGCAGTCTCACCCAACCAGCCCTTCTTCCCAAGGATTTGAACCTAAGCAGTTACTTTTCATGAACTCTGAAAAGCTGCAGGCAGAGGGTAGGTAAGGCTTTGAAAATGTTATCTCAGTAATTCAAACTAATCCAATCTTTGGAATTAGTGCCTACAAGAACCTTAGCATTGATGGAGCTTAGGGTATGAGATCATTCCTGAGTAGCATGACTTCCTTCCAAAATCCTTCCTTATAGGACCAGCTCTGGTCTCATTTCTTCCCTGAAGCCTTCAGATTGCTCCAGTCCTTAAGGATTTCTCATCATGTGAACACCATAGTTATTTAAAGCTGGGCCATGTAGTTCCAGCAGGCATGTTCCCTGTGCTCCTTGTGCATTAGTACTGTCTCCCCAAGGAGACTTCAAGTGACAAGAAGACCAGAAGCAAGCCTTGCCCTACTGTTATATCTTCCTAACACATAAGCACTGCGGTAAGCCTACAGCAAGCACTCGGACATATTGCTGCAACATCTGAGACAACCATAAACTCTGTGATATGGTTTGGCTCTGTGTCCCCACCCAAATCTTATGTTGAATTATAATCCCCAATGTTGGAGGAGGGATCTGGTGGAAGATGATTGTAACATGGGGGCGGATTTCCCCCTGGATGATAGTGAGTTCTCACGAGATACGGTTAAGTGTGTAACGCTTCCCCCTTCTCTCTATTCCTCCTGCTTTGGGCATGTGAAGATGTGCCTGGCTTCCCCATCACCTTCTGCCATGATCGTAAGTTTCCTGAGGCCTCCTTCAGACATGCAGAACTCTGAGTCAATTAAGCCTCTTTTCTTCATAAATTACCCAGTCTCAAGCAGTTCTTTATAGCAGTGTGAGAATGGACTAATACACTCTGTGATCTCTCAACCAGTTGTAAGGTGCAGATTATAAAGAAATGAATTTTGGTTACCAAACTGAGATGCTTGGAACAGTAGATTCAGCATAGTTTTCAGAGAACAAAAATGAAATTGCTGAGTAAATGGGAGAATGAATGATGAACTCTGCCACCAGGAAAGAGCAAATCAGACAGAGATTGCAGAGTTTTGCCTTATAGAGAAGGCATCTGGGTAGCAGAAGTAACACATACCCATACATTTTTAGAGCCTTTCAAGGGTTAGCCTGTCTGCCTAATTCGTGACTAGATTGCAGCTAAGATTCTTCTAACCCTTTTTGACAAGATGACAATTTATCTTCTCTAAATACATTCACGAGGATCTTCCCTCAATATTTTTACTAAGAGATATAATTCAATAACAGGAAATACTTATGATTAATGGAATCCTTCAAGTCATCCCCCAGAAAACTCACACTTAACCTAAAGGACCCTGAGAACCTTAGCATTTCTATCTTTAAAATTAATGTGACAAACCAAAAAATTTCAGAAAGGAAGGCTAGTGGTTGTTTGTGGTATTTGCTGTTCTGCTAAAGTTACTCCAAGGCCTTTCAGCTGTATCTCGGATTACTCTAGGTAGGATCTTGCTTTACCTTTGATAAATTTATTATATGGGTTTGTACAGCTATATTTCAAACATCAGAAAATCATGTCTTTAAAACACTGTTTTCTCTCTCTCTCTCTCTCTCTCTCTCTCTCTTTCTTTTTTTGAGACAGTCTTGCTCTGTTGCCAAGGCTGGAGTGCAGTGGTGCAATCTTGGCTTACTGCAGTCTCGACCTCCTGGGCTCTGGAGATCCTCCGACCTCAGTCTCTACAGTATCTGGGGCTACAGTTGTGTGCCACCACACCCGGCTAATTTTTAAATTTTTTTTGTAAAGACTGAGTCTCTCTTTGTTGCCCAGGCTGGTCTTGAACTCCTGGCCTGAAGTCATCCTCCCACCTCAGCCTCCCAAAGTGCTAGATTACAGGCATGAGTCACTGCACCTAGCCTGAAAAACACTATTAAATAAACAATTTCTTCTAAAAAAATAAGGTAAGATCAACCACTCTTTTACACTCTGCATTTAACGAAATGTCCAGGCAGGGTGTGGTAGCTTTTGTCTGTAATCCTAGCATTTTGGGAGGCTGAGGAAGGAGGATCACTTGAGCCCAAGAGTTTAACACCAGACTGGGCAATAGAATAAGACCCTGTCCGGAAAAAAAAAAAAAAAAAAAAAAAAAAAAGCAAAGAAATGCAAAATGTCCAGCTCTGATCTTAACAGAAAATATCATGCAATGAATGGAATGCATTTGCTGAACCTGAAAGGTAAAGGGTTATAATGTGAACAAAGCTGAGGCCTCTAACAACAGATCTGTTGACATTACCACCAACATTGTCACTGATGCTATTACTATGGTTGCTATGAATGTGGATGCCTTAACATTTTAATATAATAACCTACATGGTTGAGGAAAATCTTGTCAAAGTAATGATTCTTACTTTTTTTTTTTAAATTTTTTTTGAGATGGAGTCTCACACTATCATCCAGGCTGGAGTGTAGTGGCGCAATCTCAGCTCACTGCATCCTCCACCTCCCACATTCAAGTGATTCTCCTGTCTCAGCCTCCCAAGTAGCTGGGATTACAGATGCCCGCCACCACGCCTGGCTGACTTTTTGTATTTTTAGTAGAGACAGGGTTTCACTATATTAGCTAGGGTGGTCTTGAACGCTTGACCTCGTGATCCACCCATTTCAGCCTCCCAAAGTGCTGGGATTACAGGTGTGAGCCACTGCACCCAGCTGATTCTTACGTATTTTAAAGTGTACAATTGTCTCATTGTCATGTCATCAAAATGAGGGTTTTTTTCCTAAGGTTACTTTCAGTTCTACTGGACTATAAATTTTAAGATGGGGAGAGATAAAAAGACTTCAGAATAATCATGTTCTACACATTTAAAGCCATCAAACCTTGCTTTCATATTTTCAGCCGGTTTTACCATTAGTGCAAAACATCCAATGCCTTTTACTTAAAAATGGAAAAAAAAAGTATAGCCAATTTGGCATTAAATTTGCGGTCAGGAAATTATGGCACTGAGTAAAGAACTAAAACATTTATATAAAGCATTTTATTTAACATGAAAAAGAAAACTGTTTTCATGGTTATAAATATTTCAAAAATAAAGGATGGTTAAAGGCTATGGAGCCATTTCCTCTCTAGGCTTATGGACCTCAGATGTCTCACTGGCAACATTAATTTCCTCCTGTAATTCATTTCTGTCAAGCATCACGAAGTTCTCAGCTTTCGCATAGAGCAAAAAGACAAACTTTAAATTGTACTTCATGTATCATCAGTAACATGTTCAAGATTTCACAAGAATAAAACAACAGGCACATGCACCCTAAAATGTTAAGGTGTTACCTTAAAAAAATAAAGGCAATTGAGAGTTTTCAGCCCAGTTATGTGTATGTGAGGCATATTCTCAAACACATTCAGTTGTTAACTCCTAGACATTTACATTAACCCTCTGGGGCTTTCCTTAATTACTGTTTGAGCCCCTTAGGATATTTCTCTCCAGCAATTTAGGAGCAGACTTCTTAGTAACACCGTGGGTGTACACTTCTTTGCAAGAGTTACAAGCAAAAAAGAATATTCAAAACTCAACGAGGATGTTAAAAGGAAGGCAAGGTTTAGGACTGTTGTAATTAGTGGATACTCCAAATTTTAATTTCGCAGGGAGTTCACATGCTTTATTAAGCAGGCTAAATGGCCTTTCATGTATTAGTTTTTTGGGTATATATGGATTATCTAGATTGACCAGGGAAAAATAAACATCAAATGAAATTTCTTACTGACTCTTCTGATGCTCAAGTAAAAATAGGTTTTGCCAGAGGGGAGAAAAGACTAATAAAAAAATTGATGTATCTCAACCTGCATACGCTTATTTTAATTACCTGAGTCTGCTGTTCTTTACAATCAGACACTTGAGCCAGGTACTAAGAGGAACTCATCTGCTTGACTCCACAGAGGCTCAGGGGTGTGGGACTCAAAGCTGCCATCATGAGATTTCATCTGGCCTGTCCATAGTCCCATTCACTGGCACCAAAGTTACACAAGTGTAAGAAAAATCTTACAAACAACAGACTAATGGCTGGGAAGTCACAGAGAGCAGTGGTGTCAATAGTACCTTTTACAATTCCAATAGAACATCATCGCATAATCATGGGCAAGCAACTACAATCTGTAAATTATAATCTTTTACTAAATGACCTTCAGTATTAGCCCCAAAAGTGACAGAATTAAAATGTGGAATGTAATGAAACAGGAAGGTAGAATCAAACTAGCTTCAGGATACTTTGTGTGGACTGAGATCACCAAAAAAAGCCCAGTGGGAAACTGCCAAATGCTGCACCATAATTAAGAGCAACACTGACACTGAGTAGATTTTTCATTGTATAAGGCAGTTTTCCAAGTATACAAATTGAGAGTTGTGTTGGGATTCTGGCAAGGAAAGTCTGTATCTTACGGAAATATCAATTTCCTTCATACGATCCATTACTTACTGTTGACTTTATTAATATTGCCTTGGATTTCTGCTTGTGTCAGCAGTTCTTCATAAGCATCTCTTTCTTCTTCTGAAATACAGCTATTCTGCAAAACAAAGTCTTCACTGATTTCTGAGGTTAAATAAAATATTTCCAAAACTCGAAATTCAAATGGAAAAATGTGAAGAGTGACAAAAACCATTCCCTAATTATTTAAATTCATTGCAAGCATTTGTGGAGTGCCTGCTCTGTGCAGGGGACTAGGGGAGAATGCTGGCAAAGACTACAAAGATGAATGACAGACCCGGTGACTCTTTGAAAAGGGCTAATTTTCAAATGTGGAAAACATTAGTTTGGACCACTTGGTATTGCCCTTTTTTTAGATCAAAAACAGTTGAATAGTGCCAATTTCATTTGATTTGATCTAATAAAATCAAGAACACAAGTAATAAATATACCTAGAAGAACAGAATAGGTTCTATAAGAGAAGTACTATAAGCATTTTTTAAGAAAGTATTCATACTTAGTTGGGAAGAAAATTTTGCAAAGAGATCATAATCAATGAGGGCTTCGAGCAACAGAATAATGTCAAGAATAGGAAACAGACAGCAGGATTTGGTTACACAGATGGAAAGCTTAGCACATTAGGCTACAGCTTGGAGTGTGTCCATGGTGAGCCAAAAAGATGAGGGGGTCAGCTGAAGGCTAAGCTAAGATTTGGTATTTAATTCAGTAGGTAATAGAGAATCGGGGCATGTCTCTGGTGGGTTAACACAAGATTTGTAGTTAAAGATCAGTTTTGTAACCTCTAGCTTTAAGAGGGATTGGCTTAGAGAGTAACAGGAGGCAGAGAGACCCACAAGGAAGGTGCTTGATAGAAGAGTCATGCAATGAGGTCAGAAGGGGCAGGACTGAGGCAAGACTGGTGAGACTAGAAGGTTGGCGACAGATTCAACTCCAACAAGAGTAGGCAGCAGAATCTAGCAATGCATGGGACACAGGGGGCATAAAAAGAGTTCTGAGACAAACCCGGCCATCATTCTGAACCAGGGAAGTCAGCAAGGGGAACTCTTCTGATATAATGGGGTACAAAGCCAGAGGGACACAGACAAAGTTATCTGGAGAAGGAGGAGAGAGGCCAATTTGGGATGGGCTGGCATAAAGCTGATGGCTGATTTCTTCAACAAGTGGATGAGCTCAATGGAAGAAGAACAGAGAAGGGATTCCATGTCAGACCTTGAAGAATCCCCATACTGAGAGGGAGAAGGAAGAGGAGAAAGAGGCACAGAGGAGAACTGTGGCAGCAAGGACGCACATAAGCTAGTGAAGCAGAGAATCTCAAGGTAGGAGGCCAACCCTGCCAGATGCTGGTGGAAGCCACCAGTTGAGAAAATGCCAAAACCTAAAGTGGTTACTTTCAGTCATGGAGCTGAAACTGACATGGCAAGAGCTTAATGAGAGACAAGCTGGTGAGGAAGTAGAAGCTCTCAGCGTAGACAAATTTTTCAATAATGGACTACACAGAAAGGTGGTTACAAATGGAGTTACGATTAGGAGCAGGCTGTCTTGTACAGGAGGGACATCCTCAAATATAAAGGATTGACTATTGGGAAAATATGAAGACTGTAGATTCAAAAACATCCTCTCTGAACTTCACCACACTGAATTATTAACCTCTACTACCAAATGTAAAAGTAACTTGGCTAATGTAAGGTCTGTTGATGTCTAACAAGGGATGATCATGAGTTGCTACTTCTACACTTCCTGGGGACATTAGTAAGTTTGCAACATGACTTTTAATTCTGTCAATATATAACATCCATCACAAAATTCCCTTTCTAAAAATTGAGAGAGGGTCTCAGTCTGTTGCCCAGGCTGGAGTGCAGTGGCAGGGTCACAGCTCACTGCAGCCTCAACCTCCCAGGCTCAAGTGATTCTCCTACCTCAGCCTCCCGAGTAGTTGGGACTACAGGCTTGCACCACCAAGCCCAGCTAATTTTTTATTTTTATTTTTATTTTCTTAGAGACAGGGTCTCACTATAGCGCGCAGGCTCGTTTTGAACTCCTGGACTCAAAGGACCCTCCCGCTGCAGCCTCCCAAAGTGCTGGGATTATAGGCATGAGCCACCATGCCTGGACTATAAAATTCCTTTTTATGCCTTATATAGGGATATAATCTAATTGCCTTACCTAGTGTATGGTCCTCTTGTATGCTACATTTCATTCAAATCAATTGTCTACGGCTATAGAGAAAATAGCCAATTGATTTAAAAGTATTGCTTTCAACATTAAGGCTTTTCAAACTAGTAACTCATAAGCACATTCATTACTGTTTTTATTACTCAGAATCTAAGCACCTTCAGTCTTGCATTTTCCTCTTTTTTCTTTTTGGCATCCCAGAGTTCTTTCTGATATTCTGGTGCAAGGTTGTCATCCACTAAAGTTAAAACCGCATTTGGGTTTCTTAGTGTTACAACGGTTTGCTCTGCTATTCCTTTTTCAACTGCTTCATTAATGGCTATAACTGCAGCATGTACTAAAAAGTAAAGAGAGAGAGAGAAAAAGGTTTTTATCAGCAAAAGACAACATGGACAGTTGCATTGACCCTGTGTAAACTCAAGCAGTTTTACTTTCTTTCTTGGCTTCCAGTAAATATGTCAAAAAGAGAACTGAGACATATTATGGAGCACCTGACAACCTCTCCACATGGCTGTCTTTGGTCCTGATCTCAGCATCTGTTAAGTAATTCTGACTCATTTATACATCACTGAATGGCTAAAATGAAGCAAGCCCTATGTCAACCACAGGAGTTAGAAGGTAAGTCAATCCTTGCCCTCTGGTCAGGGCGACATGGGTAATTTTAAAGTAACATGTTGGTTCCAAGAAATACTTGCAATTTAGCTTGCAATACTAAAAGACCTGTAACAATGAACTCTACCACTAAAATCTACAGACACAGAAAGTAGAGAACTATGGACAATGAAGGTATTTCTAGAACCTCAATTCATGTTGTACAAGTAGAAGTCTAAAGACCAAAATCAATTACTTGGTTATATTCTGACATCCTCAAATTAATCATCTATAAAACAAATAATAAAAACTTTTAGGGTGCTTAAAGTATCTTCTAAATATTCTATTTCGAGTAATCAAAATCAATAGGTAAAGTACAGGTAAGTCTCACATCCATGGCAAGTTTGGATTTTGAATGGACTTACATGCAGCTTCATCCACGGACAGTTCATTGGCCAGAATACCACCTATTTTGCTGAAAGATGGCATCTGTATTCCATATTTCTCAAGTTCTTTTCTCATATTACTGATTTCCTCCTCTAACAAAGAACAAAATAATCATAATCATTATCAGAGAAAGCTACAGACAGAGATGGATGCAGGAATGAGTACAATCATATCAAGAAATGTCTTCATCAGGAAGTGGGGTTGTTTGTAAACAAGAGCCTTAGGAAGAACCTAGCCCAAGTTTCTCATTTCACAAACATGGAGAAGGAGAACTCAGTCAAGAACAAACAAGATAGGTCTGTTTTCTCTTCTCATCAATATACAGGAATAAGGGAAATCAATAATATCAAAATGGGGAAAAAAGGTATTGGTAATTTTTTTTTTTTTTTTTTTTTGAGGCAGAGTCTCGCTCTGTCGTCCAGGCTGGAGTGCAGTGGCACAATCTCAGCTCACTGCAAGCTCCGCCTCCCAGGTTCACGCCATTCTCCTGCCTCAGCCTCCCAAGTAGCTGGGACTACAGGAGCCCCCCACCACGCCCGGCTAATTTTTTGTATTTTTTAGTAGAGACGGGGTTTCACTGTTAGTCAGGATGGTCTCGATCTCCTGACCTTGTGATCCGCCCGCCTCGGCCTCCCAAAGTGCTGGGATTACAGGCATGAGCCACCACGCCCGGCCAGGTATTGGTACTTTTTATAACTAGATTGTAAAAAATTACAAAGATAAAGAGTAGTACCTGTGAAGTCTACTTTGCCCAACAAATCCTGGATCTGGGGTGCTATTCCTAGTTTGAACAGATACAAACTGAAAGAAAAAAACACAAAATTATCAGAAATTTTATCATCATAAGTCTTAATGTTATAAATTACATAATTCTTAATAGTTTTTTCAGTTGAAAAGACCTAAGAGATATCTAGTCTATTCATTTTGTAAATGAGGAAACTGAGTCTCTGGGTAACAGAGTACTTGGTGAGGCCAGGATCAGAATTCCAATCTGTGTCCCAAAGACTGGTCTTCTACTGTAATCCACTTCTACAGCACTTCTACAGAGCCAGCTAACTCTGCATCATCCATTTGTATGGAGAACAAGAAACACAGCTAATACAAAACAGCAGGTAACAAATGCAATAAACATTTCTTTGAATATTCCTCACATAATTCTTATTTTATTGAAGGTACAGCATGAATTATATTTTGCTTTTTAATATTCCTCCAAGTACCACATACCCCTTGAGGAAATATTTGTTTTACATTTTCTAAACCAATAAATAGAGTGGCAAGACTATCAGTGGGTGAGGTAATGTTAAACTATGATGTGTGTATATTACCCAAGTGGAAGATGGAGAATAAATTGGATGTATTTAAAAACAAATCCATAAGGTAGTAATGATGGCATCCATTAACCTACCCATAACCTGAGAAAAGAACTTGAGAGCTGGCATCTAAATTCTATAAAAAATATATGTGCTTTCCCCACTTTTATCACTGAGTCATAGTTTCAAGTAATAGTATATATGAGAAAGTGAACTGAATGATTTTTATGGCTTGAAATACTTCAAAATTATCACTTCAGATGTTGATGTGAGATGAAGCTCCATAGTTTATAGAACATAGAATTTCATTAAATGCATTAAGAAAGTTCAAGATCAAGCTTTTTTAATGGTATTAAAACAAACTCTTAAAATGTATGATTAGTCATTTAATGTAAGTAGCTTGCATTAAAACTGACAATAATTTTCTGATTTTTTTTTTTTTTTTTTGGTTGAGACAGAGTCTTGCTCTGTCGCCCAGGCTGGAGTGCAATGGCGTGATCTCGACCCACTGCAACCTCCACCTTCTGGGTTCAAGCGATTCTCCTGCCTCAGCTTCCCAACTAGCTGGGATTACAGGTGCATGCCACAGAGCCCGTCTACTTTTTGTATTTTTTTTTAGTAGAGACGGGGTTTCACCATGTTGGCTAGGCTGGTCTCGAACTCCTGACCACCCACCTCTGCCACCCAAAGTGCTGGAATTATAGGCATGAGCCATCGTGTCTGGCCAATTTTCTGGTAATTTTTATGAAGAGCAATTATTTAGAAAAGTAATACATGATCAAAGTAAAAAATTAGTGGCTTATGGTTTAAAAAATTACACAGAAAATCACCACTCAGTTACACACTAAATATTTTGGTATATATGTTCTTTTAAAGTTGTTTCTGGACATACCTATTTTATAAACGTATATATTATTCTAGAATATGAATGTACTATAATTTTCTTAAGCAAGTGCTGAGCATTTAGATTGTTATTAATTAATAACTATGGCAAATAATGCTTAATAAACCTACTTACATATAGACACAGACACATCTTTGTGCATATTTCGTATTTGTTACAATAAAGCCATGAAAACAAAATTGCCAGCTTGAAAGGGTACACACACAATAAAAGTTTTCAATGTTTACTGTCCAAATGTGATCTTAAAAAGAGATTATGCTCATTTATTCTTTATGAGTAAAGGGTTAAAAAACACCCTTTTTCCTTTTATATGAGAATTTGACCTTTGGTTAACTTTCTAGCTCTGTTCTCTTAGGAACCTATACTGTCAACAGTGTTATAAGCATCATTGCTTAGGAAAAAATAACCCAATTGATAAATTGTATCTTGAGAGAAAAAACCATAAATACCTAATAGGTACCATATCTTTGGGCCTTCCTGGGTTCAATGACTTTTATAACTGGTATGTTCTTTGCAGAGAACTGGGAAGCTATGCAGTACAGCTGTTACTATAGATATTGGCTCCTGGGGGCACGAGGCTTACAAGCCAGGAAGGCTCAAACCCACTTCTTAGCAGCAAAGTTGTATCTTGGGGTACCAAGAATGGTGGCTTCCAGATGGTTGTATGGACAACTAAGTGGAGTGTCACGCAGGCTCCCACTGAAGAGCAACACCTGCCAGCATGCTGGCTATCCCAGCTACCTCTCTTCTGAGCAACAGGTGCCAGATGTGGCTTATGACAGGTGGGTCAATCTGAATATTTAGCTAAACCTAAGAACCCCGATGGGCATGGCCCACTAGACCACGAATACATCTGAATGCCATTTTCTTTGTCCCCTTATCACCACAGGATATTATCAATAAAGTCTTTCAAGGGACTAGCAACTGATAGCAACAAGATGTTATTTAAATTTGTATTTCCTTATGGTGGTTGGGAGGGTAAATATTTTTTCATACATGCATTGGCCATTCATATGTCTTCCACGAAATGCCTATTAATGAATGTTCGAATTTTAAAGAATTTTTAGGGGAAGAATTTGCCTCTTATTTTCCTGCTTTTCCTTTAAAACCATAGCAAAGGACAAAGAACATTTTTTTTTTTTTTACCATATGTGTAACATTAGTTTTAATACTAAATTTCAATGTGATATTTATATCTTATCCACAGAGGAAAAAGTTTTATATTAGACTTTGAACATTCTTCAAAGTGAAATAGCCATTATGTATTCATAATCCCAAACTAGCAAGAGAGGATACATTCCTTAGTTAAAGTTCTAGGTCTTTAGACATTATCATGGATATAAAACTGTTTACTTTACACAGCCTCTGAAGACTTTACTACCAAAGGTTCATGCCAACAAGTCATTATAATTAAAGCTAGATCATTAAGATACCATGCTGACATTTTCAAAACCATAATATTTTATGAACCAATTCTCAACTCATTATTACATAGGGAAAAAATTCCAGTTAAAAGGGTGCTCATATTACTTGGAACAATGAAATGTCAACCTCTTCACTTGCTCCTTTCTAGTAATGGGAACGACAAAATTAAACAGAATTTAACAGGCAAGATAAACTGCAAAAGAATTTGGGGGGTGAATGGAGATCAAGCCATCATTTAAGAAATGAGAATACATAGCTGGGGGCGGTGGCTCACGACTGTAATCCTAGCACTTTGGGAGGCCGAGGCAGGCAAATCACCTGAGGTTGAGAGCTCAAGACCAGCCTGACCAACATGGAGAAACCCTGTCTCTACTAAAAATACAAAATTAGCTGGGCATGGTGGCACATGCCTGTAACCCCAACTACTCGGGAGGCTGAGGCAGGAGAATCGCTTGAACCCAGGAGGTGGAGGTTTGTGGTGAGCTGAATTTGCACCATTGCATTCCAGCCTGGGCAGCAAGAGTGAAAGTCCACCTCAAAAAAAAAAAGAAAAAAAGAAAAAAAGAAATGAGAATAGATGAACAAATAATCAAAAATGTATAATTGTATCACTTCAATTTCTTTCATACTACCTGATTTGCACTTTCCTCCTCTTTTTACAAATTCAAAAATATACCTAATTTACAAAGAAAACTATAAAAAAAGTGAAATTTAGAAAATGTTATACAGTAAAATGTAAGCAGACATCCATAAAATGTCTTCAAGCAACAAATTTTATACTTATTTCAAGTACTTAATGTGCTGCATCTTTAATATATATTACCTATACTAATATCCTGCTGAAGTTTTAATATACTTTTACATTTTTCTATCAAAGCCTAAACTAATTGGTATCTATTATCCTTAGATGCTTCCACCTCTAACTTTCCCACCTGTGGAATATTGAGATAATTTAGAATTTTAGATTCATGCTTTTTTAATTATATCCACCAATAATTTAGATATCTACAAATTTTATTAACTGTTTTTCTGATTTTATCTATACCAAATTTTCCTTCTTAGAGTTTTATCTTTGGTTCTTCTGTGTATAAATGTAAGTGCTCAATAAATATTTGTTGAACATAAATTGAATGAATCATCAATTGCACATATTTTAATATTTTCATTTGTTCCTTGGGTCTTGGTTCTGTTTGGTGAATCTAATGCTTCCTTCAGTGGCAGTTTCCTTCAAATGTCTGACATCTTCTGATCTGGGACTCATCTTAGTGTTTGAGACTTGCTGTTTGTTGGTCATTCACTGCAGATCCGCATGTCAGGAGCCAGCATTAAGAAGCTGTAGAGAGCAATGGAACGGACGCCAGAAGGGAACCAGTGTCTTTCCTTCTCAGACTGGGGACTCTCTGTTCCTTCTTGAGGTCATTAGCTGTCTTGGGTACCGGCATGCTATCCCGCTATCAGCATCTACACTTGCTGCTTTAGGGAAGGGCCATATAGTTCTGCTGGTCCTAGGCTGACGATTGCTCACTTTGAGGCTCTTCTTTTCCTTGCTGTCCCCTTTGCTTGGAGCAAACCTCACGACAGCTCCTACCTCTGCTGCAACCCCCAGCGTTTTGTGGGCTGTGATCTTCTCCCAGTTTGTTTCTCAGTCAATCGAATTCTGTCTGTTTACTTCATGTTAGGGGTTGTTCAAATTTCTGGTTAGTAGATGGCATTTTTATCGCAAATGTATTTTTTAAAAGTTATTACTGTAGTTAATTTCATGTTAGTTTTGGAAAGGGGATAAGACAGCTGTGCTCAATGATCTTGATGCAACTGTTTTCACATTATGCTCTGTTTATCCATTCATTCATTTAATTACTATTTATGGAACAGCTCCTATATAAAAATATTTTTCTCGGCTGGGCACAGTGGCTCACGTCTGTAATCCCAGCACTTTGGGAGGCCAAGGCAGGCGATCATTTGAGGTCAGGAGTTCGAGACCAGCCTGGTCAACATGGTGAAACCCCATCTCTACTAAAAATACAAAAATTATCTGGGCACGGTGGCACACGCCTGTAATCCCAGCTACTAGGGAGGCTGAGGCAGGAGAATTGCTTGAACCAGGGAGACAGACGTTGCAGTGAGCCACGATTGTGCCACTGCACTCCATCCTGGGCAACAGAGCAAGACTCTGTGTCTCAAAAAAAAAAAAAATTTTCTCTACCATGCTATCCCTAAATTAAGGTACTTAGGCTACCACAAAATATAGGTTTGATGATAACATGAAGTAAAATGTTTATACTAAACTGTTAATTTTCCCCTTTGATGATAAAGAAGTTAGATAGCTATTTCCAATTACATTTTTAATTTCTCCATTGTACAATGTAATATTAATATAAATCTTACAATAAACAAACATCCTGGCTTAAGTAAAAGTTACCACAAGGTGGTGCTGAGAAGTTAGCTTTCTGAACATGGAAGAATCTTTGCTTTTAAATTTAAGTCTGATATTTTCTTAAGCTAATATTGATCAGGTAAAGATCTCATTTGCATATATCAAAAAATCTCATTTACTAAAAAATTAAAAAAAATATTGTATAGTTTCTGTTTGGCCTCAATTTTCAACTTTTTTTCTTTTTTTTTAAATCATTGATGTTGAGGTTTAAACTGTTAGCTTTGGAAAGATCACTTTTCATGGTATGGGCGTTTTACACCTAATCTCTGTGTGGGAGGTGCTTCCCAGCTGATTACTCAAACGGGCAAATGTTTATCAGGAAACTGTGTTTACCCAGTATTCCCATGCTGAAAAGAAACAGCAATAGCAAACTTCCTTCCCAAGCATTTAAATTCAAATGAGGCTGCTTATTACCTGAAGTATATAGGAAATCAAGTCTTAATCTAAAAAACAAAAAAGCCCATCGAATAGAAAAAGTGCCAATCTCATGTAGCTCTTCAACAGTTAATTTATTAAGCACCGTTTGGTACCTAACAGCCAAGTCAAAGGGCTGAGAGCATTCCAAAGGAAGTCATGGAATTAATGTCACCTTTGCTTCTCATGTCTAAGAGAGCACTTTTTGTGAGGTAGCAAGCCTCCTACCACACCAAAAGCTACAGCACACCTGTGCAGCTGAGTGAGGCCAGCAACGGAGGGGTTGCCCAGAGGTAGCTACCGACTCATTGACCCATGTGCTCCTACTTGTACAAATAATATCACTTAAAGTCCAGGAAGCAATAAAGAAAGTTTTAAAAAATACCATTTAGTGTATATCATGAAAGTAGTATATAGTAGTAGTAGTAGTAGTAGTTGTTATCTACTGAACCAAATTTTTCCATCTTAGTCACATACATTACTGCCAATATCACATGGCATTAGTTTTTTCTACCACTTTCAAGATAAAACTAGTGGTATTAGTTTTTTCTATACTTTCAGGATATACACTAAAAGGTACTATCGTAATGAAATGCAAACTTAAAAGGCAGGAGCTAAATTTATTTCAGCTTTCTTGGATCACATTATGTGTAGCTCATTTTGTACTATAACATGTGGAATGAATGTTTGTATATCAAAGCCTCATGGTAGAGCAGAAAGACCACAGGACTAGAATCCAGAAGCGCTGAATCCTGGTCCCAAAACTGGTAAAACCTCAGTGTGTGACTAAGAGCAAGTCACGTAACCCAAGCTTTCAGTTCCCTTATCTGTGAAATGAATGACTTAGACTACAATAACTTCCCAAGGCCCTTCCCCTTCTCAAGTTCCATGATTCTTCATTTAAAACATGTTAAATATAATAGCTGAGAGGCCTGTGCTGAAGTTCAAGTCTGATACCAGTGTTCTTTTAATTTTCTTAGAAGTAGGGAAATAATTGACTTCTTTTGAAGCCATTGGCTGGCTGAATTCATAATAGCACAGGTTCAGTTCTCACATATCCTGGTTTTTACTAACTGTGTGACCTTCGGCAGCCTCTCTGTGCCTCAACTGCCTTGGTGATAAAATGGGAGTAATAATAGTGACCACTGCACAGATATGTTATGAAGATAAAATGAGATTATACCAGTACAGTATTTTGTGCAGTGCCAGGCACATAGTTAAAAGCTCCATTTGTGTTAACCTTTGTTCTTACTATTCTTTGTTAAATAAATGTGTCCTTTGTATACAAACACTTATTGATAACCTATCAAAGTGGTTTTCTTACTTTTTCCAATGCCAAGAATCTCTATTTCACCACAGACTCCATGTTTGAAATAGTTTTATTTACTGAACCAAATTTTTCCATCTTAGTCACATATATCACTGCCAATATCATATCAAAATCCAGGGTTCTATACCTAATTTTCAGCCCCAAACCAAAGGAATCCTGAGGTAGCCTTATCATAGAGAAATTAGTTCAATTAAACCTCCTGAAGAGTTAAATATACAAACTCCAGAGACTTTAACTTGGAATCAATAGCACGTAAGCTGTATGAAGTAACAAGATGTGGTTCATAGTCTCTTAAGAGCTCAGAATTTAGGAAGACAGAAAGGCATAACCACCATACTAATTTAGGACAGAAAGAGGAGGAAAGGGAAAGGAATGGTTCAGAGCACAGAGAGAATTCTGAGCAAGGAAGGACTTGAAAGAAATAAGCAGGTGCAACTGCCTCCCTCACCTTACTTCCAAATACTGCCATCTCCAGATATCCCTTCTGAGAACCTAGGATTAGAGCCTGTCCTTTGAGCTAAGAAACTGTCTTTGGAAATCTTATTTATAAATGCAAATATGTTCACTGTTAGAGATATAATCAATCTGATATAAGGGTTCAATCAGTTTCTTAGGGAAGGAAAAGGTTCTAAGGGAACAGAGTGTTAAGACAAGGAAAGTTATGCATTAATGCCTGAGGAGCAGGTTCAAAGGCCACCTGGTAAGCAAGACAGCCACCTGGCTGTGTGGGAGCTGGCTAGACAAACTCTACTCCACAAAGCTCCCAGAGTACCTGGACGGCTGGTGAACCAGAAGTGGGTCTGCCAGAGCCATGGCATCACCATTGCACCTGAAAACATGGCTGCTGCGACACAGCTACAGTATCAGCAGCGGGAAGAGTAATCCTATCACAGAGGAGAGGCAGACATAGCTTCCGTTTGTGGCTGCCCATGTAGAAGAATCTCAATGGTCAAATGAACTAGACAGCAAGAAAAGCAGAATCCAGTAAGCTAATAAGGTTAAACTTGAAAAATTAATATAAACACATGACTTTTAAGAGGAATCCCTAGAGAGTGGTGGTTCCACATCTCAAAGCAGAAATAATCAGGATAGGACTGGAACATCCTGTTGTGACCACGAGCAAGGATATTTCAAAGAATGTCAGGGACGGTGCTAGAAGGACAAGGAAGTGGGCCAGAAAGAGCTCAGACTGACCAAGCTGAAACAATCTGGTTCATCAAAAAGAAAGAGATATTAATCTTGGTTAAGTCTGAGAAAGGCCACAGGTTCAAAACAATAATCAAGAGAATAATATACAGTGTCCAAAAAGGAAGTTGTAATAAAAAAAAGAGATAAATAGCGAATGTGTATTTATATTGACTTTAACAAGTTGGGGAGCATTATTAAAACACAAGTACTTTGTTTCTTCTATATCTGTTTTTTGTTTGTTTGTTTTGTTTTGTTTTGTTTTGTTCTTTGAGACGGAGTCTCGCTCTGTTGCCCAGGCTGGAGTGCAGTGGCGCGATCTTGGCTTATTGTGATCTCCGCCTCCTGGGTCTATTCTCCTGCCTCAGCCTCCCGAGTAGCTGGGACTACAGGCGTGTGCCACCATGCTTTTTTTTTTTTCTTTTAATTGAGATGGAGTCTCCCTCTGTTGCCCAGGCTAGAGTGCAGTGGCACAGTCTCAGCTCACTGCAACCTCCGCCTCCCAGGTTCAAGCGATTCTCCTGCCTCAGCCTCCCGAGTAGCTGTGATTATAGGCACCTGCCACCACACCTGGCTAATTTTTGTATTTTTGGTAGAGATGAGGTTTCACCATCATGGCCAGGCTGATCTTAAACTCCTGACCTCACATGATCTGCCTGCCTCAGCCTCCCAAAGTGCTGGGATTACAGGCATGAGCCACAACACCTGGCCTATATTTGTTTATATATAGATATTTTTATACTATTTATACTACATGAAAGAATAAAGACCAAGAACTTTGAGTAAACTAAATAGTCCCAGAAAACAAAGGAAGTGCCCCAAGATAAGGAAGAACCAAGGAGCATAGGTGGTGACAGAAACACCGGGTAGAAAGAGGGTCCAGCACTGGTGGTCACATCCACTAACTAAGTGGAGGCAGGACTAGAAACATGATCTGAGATGATAAATCAGCCCAAAAGCCTAAGGATCACTGGGTACAGTCAATCCCTTGTCTCCCAGGGGATGAAAACCTCTAGAAAGCCCAACTAATTAAAAAAAAAATATTTAAAAGGCATACATAAGCTTTTAATAATGTTAATGGATCAGGCCAATACATCATTATGACAGGACAATGGATTATACAATGCTGGTCAAGTGAGACTTAAGAAAGTAAATTATTTCAGGGTAATGGGGAAGGGGGGCAGGGGTGGGGACCAGATTGTAAATAAAGACCTACCTGAAAGCCGGGTACTTAAATGCGGTCTGATTTTTTTTTTTTTTTTTTAAACAAAGAAAGTTTAGCCTGATGCCTGTGGCCAGGGTCTGACTCGCCATGGGAGAAGAACCCAAAGTTGCGCCATGTTCTGACTCACAAGTGATCCATCCGAAACCCAGATCTGTAATCATGGCAGGTTTGAAAGGGTATTCTTTTGTTTCTGGTGCCACGAAGATTATGTCAATTCTGGGTAGGTATCAAAATAATATAATAGCCAAGGACAACTCAAAACTAGTTATAAATAATAAACAAAATGAGTGAAACTTGTAGTATGGGTCTTACAGAATAGGTTCCAGTGTAGTAAGTTTGTAATAACGTACCTGGGCATTTCACCTGCTCTTTAAGGTATCTGAAGTACTCAAAACATCATTTCTACTAAATTATTCCAACTCTTTCAAGGAACTCACTTTTATGACTGTTTAAACAAGTAACAGTTGTTTAATATCATTTATTATACATCTTTAATAAGGTGGGCACTAAACAACATGTCAAAAAAGTGTTCTTACCCTTACGTAAAAGGCCTCCAGATATTTTTTAAAAATTAGTATAGTAACTAGTTAGTAAGGCTCTCACTCTTAAACTGGTTCCTTTTCAAGGCAGAGGCTTTATAACATTCCAAAAGAAGCCACAAAAGTAAAACATGCCATACGCAGTATACACTTTAAGTTCAAAGATATCAAAATAGTTACAGTGGTTTTTACTTGGTGTTGAGATAGTGGGTATTTTAGCTTTTTCTTTAACATTCTTCCTGGATTTTCCAATTTTTTCCACAATGAGCATACATTACTTTTGAAAAAATGAGAAAAAGACAAACATTTCTTTAGAAAAAGAATGATGTGGCCGGGCGTGGTGGCTGATGCCTGTAATCCCAGCACACTGGGAAGCTGAGGCAGGCAGATCACGAGGTCAAGAGATCAAGACCATCCTGGCCAACATGGTGAAACCCCGTCTCTACTAAAAATACAAAAAATTAGCTGGGCATAGTAGTGCGTGCCTGTAGTCCCAGCTACTCAGGAGGCTGAGGCAGGAGAATCACCTGAACCCGGAAGGTGGAGGTTGCAGTGAGCTGAGATTGCACCACTGCACTCTAGCCTGGTGACAGAGTGAGACTCCATCTCAAAAAAAAAAAAGATGCCATCCACCGCTAAGGTGAGTCTGTCTACATTAGGTGAAGCTTGAGAATTTCCTCCCTTTGCTGCTGTGGTAATGTTCATGGAGTCTGGCTTGAGAACACCAAGCTAAACTGACACAGGGATTGGTGAGTGGTAGGACACGAGACTGGGATCAGAAATAAAATGATAAGGTGAGGGGCAGGCAGCAAAGGGGAACACAGATACAAACAGGAAGCAAGCATAAGCACCCAGAAGTTAGGTTGTTAAGCCCAAATCAAGATGACAGGGAATAGGAGACAAGTTTGGTCAGGGCTAAGAGCTAACTTTTTAGATCAAGTCAGGCCCACAGGCTGGGGCAGGAAGAAGGCAGCGCCTGGCAAGCTTAACTTCCTAGGGAAACTTCCTTGCTGGCTTCTGAGTTATAATCAGAATCTCTGACCTGCCTAATTACTCTACCAGGTAATAACAACTCTCAAATACAGCAGCAGTGCTGTATTTGCAGCCAGGATATAAAAGCTGAAGACATGTTAGTTCATTTCCATCATCATTTCTAACTATGCAGCAAGAGTATTTATCAAACCCACTGTATTTATTAGAGGATTGTTCCTCAGCTTTCAAATGTGTCTTGCACAACAAAGCAGAATATCAGCCTCCTTTGAGTGACTGACTGCATTTTAAATCATAGCAGGAACAAGTTTTGGTGGAAAAAGCTGCAAGATACACTTGGGACTTCTCGGCTCCATAGTGAGAGGCAGCTATACAATAATTTAGAACAAAGAAAAGCGAGGAGAATGCTATTTACTAAATAAATATTGCTTTTGAAGATAAAATATCCTACTTAAGATCAGATCTGGTGAATGACATGACCCAACAGGAATCCCCTCCAGGATGAGTAAAAGTAATGGAGATGTCTATGATGAATAACTGAAAAACACAGTCCTGGAAAATATCACATCAATATTTGTATACAATTGGTAATAATAAACAAAAAGTTGTTTTTTCTTTGTTTACCAAGCTATTCAAGCCATTGTTAAAACCATGGCAAATACACATGTAAGTCTAAGTGCAGCTCTAGATAGCTCCTTTAGGAGAACCATGATATCACCAGAAAGGAACTTAGCATACCATTTGTTTATAAGCTCCTTAACATGAATGTCCCAGTTGTCTATTTCAGAAAATCAATTGAAACTTATACGAGACAGCCCACGAGCATGCGACAGAACTAGAGATTAGCACTGTGATGCACACATGTAGCAATGGCATTAACTAGTCGTGGCTGGCTTAGCAGCTCATAGACCCAGTACTAACTATAGTGTTATCATTCTAAGATCAGAAAAATATTTAATAAAGAATATCAGGCAACACAAGTTGAAAATATTCCTCAACATAAGCACTTTTGCACAAGGAGCTTTTAGAAAACCTGTGGCATAATGATACTCTCGCCACATCTGAGAAGGCAGCATGAAGTAGGTTTGTTTTTACTGTTGCTGTTTTTCTTTTTTTAACCAGTTGTTCTAAGTTACTAGAATAAAAAAAAATCATAGCAAAGGCACCTACACTTGGTCTATATTTCTAGCAACTGTCATCTTCCAAAGCAATCCCATAAGTACTGACTGGGGGAAAAAGTCAAATTATATGACATAATCAAATTTCTTCTCTAGAAAGCCAACACCACCATGAATTATTGTAGAAGCATTTTCCTTTGGAGAGGAAAAGAGCCAGGAAGAAGTCAACATAAACCTCTAGGCAGAGTACTCTGCCAGGAAAATGACTTCTAGTGATGAAAACACAAGGCAGATGTTCTAAAAGTAATTTAAAATTTAATCAGACATGAAGTCTTCCAAAACCATTACCTGTGTACATTCAAGACAACAGCCACAAACTGGATTTTTAGAATAATCTTTGTTACCATCTAAAAATCACATTTCTTCCAGGCCAATAAGATAAAATGTAATCTGTGAACTAGCAGAATTTCAGCATTTTCAAAAATTAAGTTATTGAACAATTGCTTTAAAATAATGAATGTGTCTTGATTTGACTAATTTACACCAAACTACTATGTTTCTTCTTTATCCTTAGGGTACAAATTCTATTGAACAGAAGATCAAAAGAAACCATTCTTACCTCTATTTTCTTAATTTGTAAGAATTGAACTAAATTATAATTTTAACTCATTAAACCAAAATTATGACTATTAAAGTTGCTCATTTGATATATCTGCATTATATTTGTAAACTAGGTCATAACTCAAGAATATAGTAGTACATTACAATTGGATTTCTAGAAGTTTCAACCTAAATTTTCTCTTTATTGTACTTAATGGTTTTCAATCATTTTCTGGTTTTCTATTTTGAGTTAGATTTAAAAATCAGAAAAACATTTTTCAAGTTCAAGAATTGCTTATATGTGACCATTATTTTAATTTTGTACCAGCAAATCCAAAACAATGGAATTTAATAAAAAGTTCTTCAAACTATTAAAGTAACTTAAAACCTCTTTTAAAATTGAAATTTTAGTTTTATTTAAATCTACTTCTTAGAGCACCTTTTAGCTGCATTTTCCCCCTACCTCAGTGCGTGAATGCAATATATCATTCTTGGTATGTTTTTCCGATCATAGACATCTGTTGTTTCTGGATAAAATATCTGGAAAACAAAAGAAACAATATTTATTATATGTTTTGCTTCTCACAAGTATTTTAACTTCCCAAAATGACCCTATTTTGATTGTCCTTGCTATCCTATAATTATTTAAATATAGAGGAACCTCTCTGCCATTGCTTCATCTTGCTGTAGAGATAGACCAATCACCATATCTGGACCCCTGCCTGACAGCATGCCTCTTAGTGGTCCACAGGAGGATGGTGGGGTCCCCAGCCAGCTACTCCAAGAAGGCTGTGTCCACAGTGCTAGTGGCAGTGTTTCATTTCATAGGGCATATGAGCACATGTGGGCTCTGCCTCCTGTAGCCTTCACACTCCTGTGACTTCCCAGAGGTCCCATGGGCCTGAGAAGGGTGTCCTTGTTATTAGCCACTTTATTGCATTGTTAAAAACTTGGCATATGTGCTCTGTACACATGTATACATGCATATACAACACACACACACACACATTTAAAAAATCTGTTTAAAGTAAGACATTTTCACCAAATAAAATCTGGAAAGTATATAAGGTATGAAGGAAAAACATCTATGACCCCACCTCCCAGATTGTCACTATTAGCAATTTTGTCCCTATTTTTCTTCTGGTCTTTTTTTCTGTATGTCTCTGATTTTTTTAGGTTTATATATATGTGTGCATGTGAAAACAAAATTGTACTTAGTGTAACCTGTTTAAAACACTTTACAGAACACAATTATTTCCCATCCCCTTCATTATACTATAAGATTATTTTTAATAGATGTATATGATTCGTTTATATTTTTGAACCCTAGCTTAGCCAGTTAATCCATGGTTGAACATTTGTTTTGCTTCTAATTTTTCCCTATTATAAGCCACTGCAATGAATATTTCTGTATTTTCTGAGCATCTGATTATTTTGGATAATCATCTAAATATGAAATTACTAGACTGAAAGGTCTGAACATCAAAGTTTTGAATACACCTTCACACTCTTTTCCTTTTTCTAACATGTTTTATTTTAGGTTTGGGGTACATGTGAAGGTTTGTTACATAGGTAAATGTGTGTCACGGGAGGTTATCCTACATACTATTTCTTACTCTTTTTCTTAAACTTGAAACTAATAGCCTGATAAGAAACAGATTTCAGGCCAGGTGCAGTGGCTCACGCCCATAATCCCAACACTTTGGGAGGCTGAGGCAGGCGATCACCTGAGGTCAGGAGTTCAAAACCAGCCTGGCCAACATTAGCCAGGCGTGGTGGTGCATGCCTGTAATCCCAGCTACTTGGGAGGCTGAGGCAGGAGAATTGCTTGAACCCAGGAAGTGGAGGTTGCAGTAAGCCAAGCACGTGCCACTGCATTCCAGCCTGGGTGACAAGAACAGAACTTCATCTCAAAACAAAACAAACGAACAAACAAATCAACAAAAGAAACAGATTTCAGAGTGAGGCACCAAACTTCTCTGTTCCTAAGCACACACAAAAAATAATTAAGCTTGAGGCTTTTAAAATTAAGATAATCATTTAGACATTATTTACTTTAAGTAAATATTTTATAAAAACTGACATCAAAAACTAAAATAATGCATCATATGGTAGTACGTGATACTCAAGTGCAATTTCCTATTGGTCACTGAGAAAAGCTGAGAAAAGAAAGAAGCAAAGTTTCTTGAGCTACAAAATATATAATTACTAAGTACTTAAAGAAATGGCAGTAGCCTAAGAAATTTAAAAAGCCTTTCCAACTTTCCTTTAATGCATTTGCTACTAAAGTATCAATGAGAAGAGGATCCCTAAATTCAGAAGAGTATTAGCTGGGCATGGTGGTGCTTTGGAAGGCAGAGGCAGGTAGATCACGTGAGGTCAGGAGTTCAAGACCAGCCTGACCAACATGGTGAAACCTCGCCTCTACTAAAAATTAAAAAAAAAAAAAAAAAAATAGCTGGGCATGGTGGAGCACACCTATAGTCCCAGCTACTTGGGTGGCTGAGGCAGGAGAATCACTTGAACCCAGGAGGCGAAGATTGCAGTGAGCCGAGATGGCACCACTGCAGTCCAGCCTGGGCGACAGAGCGAGACTCCGTCTCAAAAAACAACAAAAAAGAGTATTACCGGTTTAAAGTTTTTTATGTAAGCAGAGAATAACTACAATTGCCTCTTCCCTTTTCTTTAAACAAGAATCTTTTATATTTATATTTCTCCTGGAAAGCCATTATAAATGACTTCCTTCAGCAAGGAGATGAGATCAATTTATCATTCACCAGAATGTTTTATGCAGCATTGTATTTCTGGCACCTAGCATGATACTGAGCACAGAGTAAGCACTTAATATTGATAAATGAAGGAATACAAGTTAAATATGATACATCAAAGTCAACTCAGTACAGTCTCTTGCCCCTGCAATGCAATATATCAATGACTTCATAATAAAAACCAATGTTAAAATAAAATCTGCTCTATAACACCACTTGTTTGGCCCTAAATACATACAATTTGAAAAGGTTTACATCAAATCTATCAAATCCAATGAAATTATCTGAATTTGATGTTGCCTTATACAAAACAATTCTGTTTAAATTCGTTTTTTATTAATCGGTTTATCATCC
Organism: Homo sapiens; assembly: GCF_000001405.40. Classification (NCBI taxonomy): domain Eukaryota; kingdom Metazoa; phylum Chordata; class Mammalia; order Primates; family Hominidae; genus Homo; species Homo sapiens. The sequence goes on along the minus strand of NC_000005.10, from coordinate 76,573,110 downwards.
AGCCTCTAGTTAGTAGTTGCTAAATCACAATCCAGAAATATGAATTATGTATTACAGCCAGTTCCTAGAAGGAAACAGCATTTAACGTTCTGGGCATTTTAGGAGAAGAGAAAATAGTTTGATTAAAAATGGCAGAACAAAATTTAAACACTGATCATTTCAAGATAAAATGAGACTGACCTAAAACAGATATGAGCACAATTATATTAAAAATGGGCATTAATAAATTACATTTAAAGAATCTTCTGTTTCTGTGGCAGTGGGTGTTTTTCACTGCACACCTGGCACAACAGAGGTCTTCATAAGCCAGTAGCTTATCCTCTTGACCTCCAGCGAGACCACTCCTAAATAATTTTTTAAAAATAGCTGTACAGGCCAGGCATGGTGGCTCATGCCTGTAATCCCAGCACTTTGGGAGGCTGAGACGGGCAGATTTCCTGAAGTCAGGAGTTCGAGACCAGCCTGGCCAACATGTGGAAACCCTGTCTCTACTAAAAATACAAAAAATAGCCAGGTGTGGTGGTGCCCACCTGTAACCCCAGCTACTCGGGAGGTTACACTTGATAACTCGGGGGGTTATCCTACATACTATTTCTTACTCTTTTTCTTAAACTTGAAACTAACAGCCTGATAAGAAACAGATTTCAGGCCAGGTGCAGTGGCTCACGCCTGTAATCCCAGAACTTTGGGAGGCTGAGGTGGGCAGATCACCTGAGGTCAGGAGTTCAAAACCAGCCTGGCCAACATTAGCCAGGCGTGGTGGTGCATGCCTGTAAGTGATAACCCCGAGAATCACTTGAACCTGGGAGGCGGAGGTTGCAGTGAGCCGAGATTGTGCCAATGCACCCGAGCTTGGGTGACAGAGCAAGACTCTGTCTCAAAAAAAAAAAAAAAAAATAGCTGTACATACTAAGCAACACATAGGAGCAAGCTATTGACCCAGATGGGTCTCAAGGACCATATACAGAGTGGAAACGATGTGACTCAAAGGATACCCGCTATATGATTACACTTATATATTGTGCTCAAAATGCCAAAACTATAGAGATCGAGAACATATTAGTGGTTGCCAGGGAACAGGGCTGGGGGAGGGATGCAATCAGAAGGACCACTCTTCTGTGTGTCTGTGTCTTGATTGTGGTGGTGGTTACACAGATCTATTCATGGGATAAAACTGCACAGAATCACACATACATGCACACACATGCCCACTTACACAAATAAATGCATATGAAATGGTGAAAATGGAAAAAGGTCTGTAGTCTAGTTTACACTAATACACCAATGTCAATTTAACATGTACTGCAGTTAGATGTCACCACTAGGGGAAAGCTGAATGAAGGATAAACATAGAAGTACTATTTTTACAACTTCCTGTGATTCTATAATTATTTCAAAATAACAAGTTTAAAAAAATAGTTCTACAATTTTTATCAAATGTAATTATTTCCTCATTTCCTCCACTTGCCTAATTCTCTCACAGACTTTAGGATGCCTGCTCTTCAAATTTAACAAGCACTGAATGTTTGCTGAGTTAAATTATATTTAGGAGATCTATTTTAGGAGTAAGAGCTATAACCCACTAGCCTTTACAAGTGATATTATGATTTATAATGATAATTTATACGCCGGGCATGGTAGCTCATCCCTGTAATCCCAGCACTTTTGGGATGCCGTGGTGGACAGATTGCTTGGGCTCAGGAGACTGAGACCAGCCTGGCCGACGAGGCAAAACCCTGTCTCTACAAAAACAAAAACAAAAACAAAAATTAGCTGGGCATGGGGCAGCTACTTGCCTGTGTTCCCAGCTACTTGGGAGGCAGAGATAGGAGAATCACTTGAACATGGGAGGCGGAGGTGGTAGATTAAGCCACTGTACTCCAGACTGGGCGACAGAGCCAGACTCTGTCTTGAAATAATAATAACAATAATTTACAAAAAATAAATTTATAATAATTTACAGTAATAAAGTGTATACTAATACAATGAGATTTCTTTTTTTTTTTTTTTTTAATAGAGACAGGGTCTTGCCATGTTGCCCAGGCTGGTCTCAAACTCCTGGCCTCAAGTGATTCTCTCACCTTAGCCTCCCAAAGTGCTGGGATTATAGGCATGAGCCACCAAAAGTGGCTGAGACTTAGAATCTTTATGTACAAATAGCAACACAAGAAAGGGAGTTGGCTATTTTAGATAGCTCACCTATCTACCAGCTATAGCTTGTTCTGCCTTTATTTTGTGCACAATTTTACCTGGCTGCTCTCAATCTGGGCACATCCCTCATTCTGAGTTCTTGCCATATGTTACTTTGGATAGGTCTTTCCATGTTTTTTAGTCCTCACATTTCTCATTTCTACATTAACATAACCCAGTCTCCAAAGTCATTGCTCATAAAGAGATGTTTGTGTACTACCCCTTTGCCTTTCTAGTTCAGATTCCAGTGCGTGAAGGCTTACCTTGGGTAGACCAATAGACTCCATCGCTCTTAACCACTGGACGGTATTATCTGTGTGTCGAAAATGAAGGCCAGACTTCTAAAGTGACGATAGGAGGGAAAAAGGGAGAGAAGGAACCACACAAAAAGTGAGTCATTTGCAATAACTTTTTTCATGTACAGGATGCTTTTCAATTGTATTTCTCCTGGAACAGAGTTATTAATGTTCACATAAAGCAAACAGAGGCGTGCTAAAGGATGTATCTTGGCAACATCCCAACCATCTGTGATGAACCATGAATTTCCATAATTCACACGTTTGAGGTAAATTCTGAACTAGAATCTCCAAGACTGTTTAATGTCTAGCTCATGCTTAAGGATGTTTTATGAGACACATGTACACAGGCGTGGGTGTGTACGCACATACACACACATGCATGGTGTCCAGATTTTGGCAACCATGGCTGAGAGGCCTAGCAACTTCAGAAAAAGACAGGATTTTTAGAAGACTACATTTTTTTTTGTTCTAATCATGAATAGAATATTTCTGCAGAAAACCTGGAAAATAGGAAAATATAGCAAAATACAAAGATGAAAACAAAAACCATCCCACAATTCAGAACTAACTTTAGTATTGATTCTTCTAATTTAACCCTGATCTTGGCCTTGTATATAAGAAACAAACCTTCAGCAGAAATATTTAACAAGATCTTTTTCTACCCCTACAATAAAAATAGCTTTTGTGTATCTTCCATTTCTTCTTTATAGCCCTCATCAGATAGTCATTCCTTCTGCACAGCCTGTAAGTATAGCATTCTTGCCTGTATCTCATAAAAATTTATCAGGAATGAACCATTAAGAACTTTAAAATGATCTTGTGCTTTTCACTAATTAAATGCATAGCACCATGTTATCTATTTATTGTAATTTTTAATAAATGTACAAAACAATAACTATAGCAAGTTTTACCATATAACTAACATTCAGTAGTAGATAATCACATTCAGAAAGTTTGGCTCTCCCCACCTTCTGTTACCTTCTACAATCTAATAATTTGTTGTATAAAAAGTATTTTCATTGCTGTTAGAAATATAAAGTATAAGCAAATTAACATTTGACAAATGTTTATGCCTTCTCAATGGTGGCCACTATTCGTGATTGAACCATGTGTTCCAATCACTTCATGTAAATTAACCCTAATTTTCAAAACACCCTGAAAGGTAATTATCATTCCTATTTTTTTTTTTGCAGTGTTCATAACAGCTTTATTTTAATAGACTCAAACTGGGAATAATGGAAATGTCCTTTAGTGGGTGAATAAGATTAAATAAACTCTGGTGCATTCACACAATGGAATAAATTTCTATTTTTTAAAGATATGGAAAGATAGACCAAAAAGATGATGTGATTTGCCTAAAGTCAAGTAGTTGTCAACTGACTGACCTAGGATTCAAGACTACATCTCTCCGGATCTGAAAACCTTCCCTATGCTAACACTCTATCAGAGAAGAATGAAGGACCTAGATTGTTTGATTATTCTTTGGAAGGCAAAAATTAACTACTAATGAACTAGATAGAGGAAGGGAGAGTTGAAGGAAGGGAAGAAGGAAAAGGAATAAACAGAGCCCAGAGAGTTGACAGGTCAGGCTATACTGTTTGAGTGTTTATAACTCAGCAAAAATTTGCTTATGCAAATAATTTTCAGACAAGGCCACTCTGTGACCATGGAAGAACAAGATAGAAACAATCCACAATCAAGTCTGAACCAAGACAGGTATGAGAACCCTCTGTGCCACAAAATAAATAATGTCCCCCTCTTCCAACTAATATGAGGTACTCTGCTTTCTTTACTGATGACAATCTAAGTCCCTATTCAATCTTCCCACCTCTTAGATAAAAATTACCAAGACACCAAATTGATCCCACTTTCTGATGACACCCAAAAGAAAATGGGTTCTTGCTTCCCTAAATCCCTACTAGAACCACCCAGCACAAGCCCAAATCTACTCATTTCTCTTCACTGTGGCAATATGGGTATGCACTTTTCTTGCCCAACAAGTTAAATAAACCTAATCTTGTTTGACCACAGAGGGCTTCTGGTGTCCAAAACTGGTGGGCTCCAACAATCCCAAATTATGTAACAAAGACACCCATGTGTTTAGTGGTCTTGTTAGCAAAGTAATCTCAGGAAAGATAGAAATCTCTCTGAACCTTGGTTCCTGAGCCACAAAATGCTTCTTTGAGTTGCAGAGATTAATCTGAGAATATATGGAAGGTATTTAGTTGCAAAGTGCACCTAAGAATGCAGTAAATATTAGCTATTATAATTATTACAATACAAGATTAGGCTTGGAACTTTCGTTTACCTTTAAGGTCAGAAAAAATTTCAGTGCTTCATGTTAAGAGGCACTGAAGAAAAGGGTGGTTATCTTGGTCATATTTCTGCAACAAATGAAATGACAGATTTCAAATCCTTCATCCTTTTAAACTACCTGAGAATGCTGACTTCAGAATCCTGTGATTCATGTTAGCACACTTTCGTTAGTGAATTGCAGCAATAACATTGTCAACATACTGAGTTTGCTTCACTTAGAATGAAAATGGTCTTCTAATTAGGCTTGAAATAATCCCAGTCCACTATAATCATCTTTAACAAGTCTTTTCTTCCCGCTCCAGTCCTGTATATTACTATTAGATGAGGTGACATGTCTACAGTCAGATTTAGCCAAGGGTTGCTGTTATCCATACACCTAATTTCTTTCAGGTATTAGACCAGGAAGTATATGCTGTTTTTCCACTGCTGAGCTATTACACCAGCAAACATGGTTCATCTAGTTTAAACTGCATAGATGAGGAATTACATTGTCATCATTGGATGCTAACATTCTACATATTGGAATTAGAGCATTTTAAAACCAGGAGGTAGTTTAGAAACAAATAACATTATCCAAATTTGCTTATTTTACAGATGAGGAAACTGATGGCACAAATAAGTAAGATGCTTGAGTTGACCTAACTTGTTAGGCTCAAGGTTAAGACTCCCTTGCAGAATCCCATAATATTTGGACTTCAAGTCCAAATATTATACTCATTTTACTGCTCAAGTACCTTAGAACAAGCACTGCCTCCAATATTCACTAGATGCTCATGTCTGTCAGGCACCATGCCAAGTGCCCTGCATGGATCATTTTGTGCCTCACAATATCTCCACAAAGGCAGATACTGTTGTTATTACATTGAGGATCTGTTATCTGAAATGTTTGGCATTAGAAGCGTTTCGAGTTTCTGATTTTTACAAATTCTGGAATATTTGCATCAGACATACTGACTAAGCATCCCTAATCCCAAAATCCGAAATCCGAAATGCTCCAAGGAACATTTCCTTTGAGTGTCATGTCGGTCTTCAAAAAGTTTTGAATTTTGGAACACCTTGGATTTTTGGATTAGGGATATTCAATCTGTATTCCCACTTCACAGGTGAGGAAACTGAGGCTCAGAGAGCCAAAGTTAATGGCGAAGCTAGACGCTGAAGTATTTTGATTCTACAGTTCACACTGCTAACCACTGTGTGCATGCCTTCCCTATCTAAGGCACACCTACCTATTTGACAAGAATTTATTATAAACCTACAATTATCAAGGTGCTGTTCAGAGTACTATTCATCTTTGAACCTTGTCAGACTGAAACCTCTCCAAGGAAGGCCCTTCTGTCCATTCCTCTTTCTCCTGCCTGCCCCAGTCTGCTTGGGACCACTCTCTAATCTCTCAAGTCCCCACCATGGAAACCTTCCTGGCCCTTCACCACCAAACACCCCATTTAGAATGGACGGGACTGCTCCCTCCTCCTTGGTCATCTCCCACTGTCCACCCAGCTGTCTTCTCATGGCCCTCCATCCATTTCTATTTCCTTTTCAGGATCCACCCTTGGTTTTCCCTCTTGAAGCAGTTCACTTCTTGTCTGTGCAGGTCACTGCCACCTGGACTGAGTTATCCCCTCACTGGACTCTGTCTCCCCTCTTATCCTCCTTCTGGTTTGTTCTCTGTATAGCAGCAACTGATGTTTCTGAAGCGCAAACTGCACCATATGGCATCACAAGGCTTCTGATTGCTGTCCCCTCAACATAGCATGAAATCTCAGGTGCTCCATGGGGCCTGCATGGCTGTGCAATCTCATCTCTGCTCTTCCTGGCCTCATCTTCCACCACTGTCCCTTTCAACCACTCTGCTACGGACAAGCTCTTTTCCTCCTTGTGGCAAGTCTCTCACAAATGAGCTCCCTCTCTTTGGACAGTTCTTCCCAGTGCCCACCCTTGACTGCACACAGGTGACTTTCTTCTCACTCTTCCATCCTCAGAGTAAACTCCTCCTCTGAGAAGCCCATCTCCTGGCCGTTGCTATCTACCCATAACACTGGCTTTCGTGTCTTCCTTCAGACACTTATCACAATTCACAGCTATAAATTCACTTAGTCTGCCTCCCCGCCACCATGAAACCAGGCCCTTGTCTGCTTGGCTCACTATTCTGCCATTAGTGCCTAGAATAGTGCCTGACATGCAATGGGTCTTCATAAGTGTTGCATGGATGAATGAATTCTACCCTATATGTATTTCTATCGTGGCATACCTTTATCTTCCTTCCCTACAACTGTATTGCAATTTGTTATATTAATGTTTATTCACCTGTTAGAGCAGTGGTTCTCAACTCAAAGTGCAGAAGAAAAGAATCACCTGCAGGTGATTTATTAAGAGTACCGCTTCCTGGGTCAAGAGATGCTGCCTGACTCAGTAGTCTGGGGTGGGACCCAGGAATCCAATTTTTACACACACCCATTAGGTGGTTCTGCAGGAGGCTTGAGCACCGTTCTTAGAGGAAGAGTATCACACTCAGCATACTGAGTATGTACCAAATAAAGCACAGAAGGTAAGAAAAGGAATGGAATCCTTTGGCTTATGTGAAACTATTGTCATTCATTCCTTCATCCAACAGCTATTCCCCAAGTTCCTACTGTGGATAAGACCCTGCCCCATTTGCTGGGGATGGGGCATAGAGGCACATACGGTGCCTGCCCACTTTACAATACACTATGGCATGTGCAAGAGAGACTGTGTCAGGAGCTGCAGTGCACATGGCGTGGGCATGTAACTCAGACCTGGTGTGGAGGGCGGAGGTGGCCATGGAAAAAATACTTATAACTGGAAAGTTGAACTCTAATACTCAGGACATCTTTCCAACCCTAAATTAATGAGGAACTAGGGTTGTACATAAGCTGACAAAGAGAAGGGGGTAGCACAAAAGCTCCTGTCTGCCTAACTGATGGCCATCAAAGCTGCCAGTGCCAAGGCTGACATATTTTATGGCTGCAGTCTAGGCAGACCCTGCAGCGAGAGCCCGAGTTCACTGAATTCATGGTTTCCAGATGGCACGAGGGGCTGGGGCTGGGTTATTGAGCGTTCCCTCGTGCTTCAACATCTTTGCCTTAGTCCCATGATTTAGCTCTCCTTGCAAAGGGCTATGTGACATGCTTCAGTCCTGAAGAACACAAGATCAGGAAGTTGCATTATCTATTTGCTAATATTTATCTCCTTTCATTTTCGTATGAGAGATGAAAAGGCGCTAAAATAAGATTTTATGATTACATGGCAAATCACTCAAAGTTTCCATCAAGAACACTAGGCACTTTCAGGGATTTAATAAAGAAAAAAACAAACCTCTTTTCTGTAGTCAATCCACAGAGGGGTCCTTTCCATTTGTCTTATGTTTTTTTCTTTTAGCTCAGCAAGGATGGGCTCCCACGCCACAGCTGGCCACGATCTCCCTCCTGCTGCACCTCCCTCCTTCCTGCTCCTCTCCCAGCATCACCTCTGTGCCACCCGGCCTTCCAGGGATCTGATGGGGCAGGGGTGGCCTCCCTCTTGTGATGTTTCACTTGGGGATGTATGTCATCACCTGCCTACGCCCCGCAAGTATTTTATTCCATAACCAGAAATTGCGAATATTATTTCCCCTGTCCCCATCCTAAAGAGAAGTTGCTATTCATTTAAATAATAGGATATCTGATGCCAGGAGGAGAAGGTACCTGTTTAAGTTGCCATGAGGCAACTGCCATGAGGGCCCTGAGCTGGTCAGGAAGGACACTCCTATATTCAAGGTATACAACATTCCAGGAAGAGAAAAGAACTAGCACACATACTGCTCTGAGGCTCACTTCCATGAAGGGCCCGTCTTCCCAGCCTGATTCTCACAGTTCATGAAAGCCAAAAGAAAATCTGTAATTCCCTTTCAGTGGAGCTGGAGCCTACCCCAACTACGCTTTAACTCTATCATCAAATCTACATACGTGTTGGTACTGACAGACCTAGATCTTGATTATAACCAAAATAAAAGCAATGAAAAAAAGACAAGCTGTAGTCTAAAATGTGGACTAATATTTATTTTGTGGAGAGAGGATACAGATGGTCTTTTTCTGGGCTTCTCTGAATTTCTAAAAACATTTCTCAAAAAATTTTTCTAAACTTCAATTTTAGCCGGCTAAATGATTGTTTTATTAAAGTCTTGTGGAAGATTATAATGAGCTGGAACTCTGGAGTGAAACTTCATGAACACAAATTTACTTTAATAAATGTAAACATTTTTATTTATAACATTATTCAAGGCAAAAACTTTTGCTCAGTGACCTTTTTGACCAGACTAGAAAAACAGACTCAAAATAAATTTGACAAGTAATCTTGTCTACTGTTAACCTTGAAGATTATTCAAACATTCTATCTGTATTTAATATACATATTTAAAGAATATATTTTGCCTAAAGAAGTGAAGGGTACTATGAATCATGCAATAAATGGGAAATCATTCCTTTTCCAACTATATGCAACATATTCCCTACAGCTGTAAGAGAAATAACTGTTCAGAATACTGGAAAATCTGCAGATAAAAAATATTGATATAAAGAACTGAATGCATTAAAAAAATAAAGATCAAGTTTCAAAGAAGCTTTAGAAACCTTGACCTGCAGCAGACAAGAGGTCACATATTGCAGAATAGAACACCAGACATTTAAAAAATCTGTTTTGAAGATACATTGCTAATGGAGGAGCCTTTTAGGTTGGCGTTTGCTTTTTCCTTTTCCTTCTGAATATATAATTTCAAATGTAAAAAAGTAGACAGAATAGTATAATGAACTCCTATGTACCCATCATTCAACTCAACAGTTATGAACTCATGGCCAGCTTTTTATCATCTGTCTACCTTCCCCTCAATTATTTTGAAACAAATCCTAGATCTATCACTTCATCTGTAAATACTTTGATATGTATCTCTAAAAAATCGGGATTTTTATTACTATAAAATTGATGTTTATTTTAATTTTGTTTTCTTCTCCCTCCTCCTTCTAAATTTAAATAACAGTGCGGTTTTTATTGTTGATCTTTCTTCTTCTTGCTATTATTATCTTAGAGACAGGGTCTCACTCTGTCACCCAGGCTGGAGGGCAGTGGTGTGATCATAGCTCACTGCAGCCTTGAACTCCTGGGCTCAAGCAATCCTCCTACCTTGGCCTCCAAAAGTGTTGGGATTATGGGCAAGAGCTACCACACTCAGCTGTTGTGATGTTTCTAAAAGGGCTACAATAGCTTTTTATTTTCTAATGCTTCCCAAATTAGCCCTGAAACAATTCTTAAAACTAGTTGTACACAAAGTGGTTAGTCGTATCTTGCTTTAAACATGAAATGGAAAAGAATTCTTGGCTGATCATTCGACCTTCCTACTTGTTTTATCACATTGGCCCTAACTCTTTAGGGCCACAAGTTCAAGTGAAAAAAGGAGTGGTAGCATGCCCCCACTTTTACCTTTACTGGCACTAATAAAGTCAAGAGTGACTTCCCTGAAGGAATAATTGGGGGAGGCATTGGGAAGCCCCATAAGTCAGAGGTCTCTTAGTGTCAGACCAGAAATAGAAACACTTTGCTTTTTAAAACTGCTGCTGCCTCAGGAATGCTATTAACAGGCTCCAAAGACATCCCCCAGCCCCCCAAATCCTTACAGAAACACTAAGAGTAAAAGAAGGGAGAGGATATGAAATACCAAACTTTCACTTTTAGCTGGAAGCCAAAACCAATTAGATCTTGGTTACCTTATAACGTGTTTGTTCCACATCATAGATCTTTTTCTCTGATACCATTTTCGGGGCAAAGAACTTGGCTAACTTTGCAAGGTAAACTCCATTCCGGAGCCCTTCTTCCAATTCAGTGGTTGGTGGCAATTCTTCAACTAAGCAAACTTCCATCCACCTAAAGAGATTAAAAAAAAAATATTAAAGTGATTCCAGTTGGGTAACTTTCTGCAAATGAAGGCATGCAGCATTTCGCTGTGTGTGTTGGAGACAAAGGAAGAAGGATCTGAAACATCTTTCGGTGTCACTGGTGGGAAGGGAAGACTTTCTGGGTGGAATGGGGATTTTGAACATGAGACGAACAGGGGGAATGAAAGCCCAGAAGCGCTGAGCTCACTCCCATGCCAGAGCTCGTCAACTTCACCTTTATCTGAGCCTCTGCCAAGTCTCTTTTGTGCCAAAGAAGGAAAAGGCCAAACCATTTTGTATAGGTGGAATTAGTCCTGCTGACATTAAAGAAAAAATAATTCCAAGTTTAGGAGCCCTTGGCAGAGGCAATTCTTATACGGTCTGTGCCTTAGGGAGTGCATAGTCCCAAGTACTATAAAATCTGCAGTTACCTCAGTCCAGGAATGACTACCAGGAAAGGTAGGAAGGCATGGAAAAGGGGCATTGGAATTAAGGAAGCAGACAAGGCTTCTTTAAATAACACAGACTCCTTTTTCCAATACCAGGAACTTATGACAACACACTTATCTTTTTTGGGAAGACACCGTACTTAATGGGTTCTGAAAAAAATATTTTAGACAAAGATCAGATTAAACCTTAAGATGTTGTGCCAGTATTGTAGAAAAGAGAACACCAAGGTCATTACTGGCTCAAGGACTTACAGTGGGAGAGGAGACAGGCCAGTTCACATGTCACAATGGTGTGCTGAGGATCTGCCAGAGTCATGAGGATACTCCTTTCTCAAGTAACTATTACCTACTGCAAGATTCAAGAACCCGGTGTGCAGTTCTCAGCAGGGAGCCCCCAGCCTCCCTGCCACCCAGCTACTGATCTACAAATCCAACTATTAGCGTGAGCACCATATCTATATAGACAGTCTCCCTAGAGGATCATTAACACAGTAGCCACTGATCCTGCCAACACTTAAACAGTAGAGCACCGTGCCCCAATATTAACAACTGATCCCAACCCAAGTTGCCAACACTGTAATATGTCTGAACTGCTTGTAGCTCTGAACAACAACTTGTAGAAGTTCAACAAGCCCCTAATAAGTGGTTATTACTGACCATTTATTAGGCACTATAAAATTGGAATCCAGTAGACCCCCCTTATCCAAGGTTTCACTTTCTGCAGTTTTAGTTACTTGAGGTCAACTAGTCTGAAAATATTAAATGGAAAGTTCCAGGAATACAAAATTCATGAGTTTTTAATTGCATATCGTTCTGAGTAGTGTGATGAAATCTCATGCTATCCCACTCCCATCCCTTCCTCATCACAAGAAGGGTAAGTGCAGTACAATAAGATATTTTGAGACAGAGGCAGAGTCCACATTCACAGAACTTTTATCATAGTATATTGTTATAATTGTTCTGTTTTATTATTAGTTACTGTTGTTAATCTCTTTCTATTCCTAGTTTATAAATTAAACCTGAGCATAGGTATGTATCTATATGCAAAAACAGTCTATTCAAGGTTTGGTGCTATCTTCAGTCTCAGGCATCGACTGAGGGTCTTTGAACATATTTCCAACGGATGGGAGGGGAATAGTATATATGATAAAAATATAAACATAAGCCTTGCCTTCAAAGAGCATTAAATATAATTAAGAAGGCAACACAATTCTAAGGAAAAGCCAGAGAACCATATGAGAGGCTATGATGTGCAATGCTACATGGTAGGATATAATCAGAAAAAGTTTGGGAGTAAAGGGGAATAATTGGGTTATCACTGCAGCAATCAAGGAAAACATTAAAAAGGTGGTAGAACCTGGACTTGGCCTTGAAGAATGGAGTACAGTAAGTCCTCACCTACTTGGGAACTATGAATTTAAGCAAAATAATGTATAACAAAATCAATTTTACCATAGGCTAATTTCTATAAACAAGTTACACTGGGCGCTATGGCTCATGCCTGTAATTCCAGCACTTTGGGAGGGTGAGGTGGGAGGATTGCTTGAGACCAGGAGTTTGAACCAGGCTGGGCAGCACAGTGAGGCCCTGGCTCTCTTAAAAAAAAAAAAAAAAAAAGAGCCAGGCATGGTGGTTTGCACCTGTGGTCCCAGTTACTCAGGGGGTTGAGGTAGGGGGATTGCTTGAGCCCTGGAGTTTGAGGCTGCAGTAAGCTGTAGTCAGGCCACAGCATTACAGCCTGGGCAACAGTGCAAGACTCTGTCTCTAAAAAATAATTAAGTTCCTATTGCATATTTCTGGTCACAAAAACATCAACAAACTTCTAAATAAAGACCAAAACACTTCTATGTTAAACACTGAAATAAATGTGAGCTATACATACAATTAAGAAAGATTAACATAAACTTTTAGTATAATGAAGGGACTGGAAAAACAAAAAAAGTAAGAAAATTCTTCACCCTCTTATTCCAGGTCAGGGTCTTGGGTGGCCGGAACCTATCCCAGCAGCTCAGAGGTAGGGGGGTGGGCACCAACCCTGGACAAGATGCGTTCCCATTGGAGGATACACTCAAACCCCCACCACACTCAGTGGGGACTATGTAGCCACATCAGTTAACCTAACATGCACATCTTTGGGACGTGGAAGAAAACGAGTCCCCAGAGAAAACCCACGCAGACCTGGGGAGACCACACGAACTCCACAGTGGCCCCTTCTTTTTCTTCATCAACATTATGAGGAAATGACATCGAATGAAACGACATTATTGGAGGACCTGCTGTAGTTGGAAAGGCAGGGAGAGAACCGGAAGCTGGGGAGAACAGAAACTAAAGGCATAAAAGAAACATGGCTGACTCACGAAGAAAACCCAGGGAAGACAGTGGGCCTCTGGGGCTCACAGGGAGAAAAGAGCAATGAAGCTGGGCCTTCCCGTGAAGCTAGGCTCTGGAAGGTCTAGCATGTGAGGACGGTGTTGACATTTGTAGCCACAAGAAGCAGGGAGCTCCTGGCAGCCTCACCGAAGAGGAGTAATGTGCTGACAGTGGTAATTAGAGAAAATTAATATGGTATAATGGACGCCTCAGAGACCGACTCCTCTGTCAGGCCTTTCCCATTGTGAGATGTTGAGGGACGGGATCAGCCAGGAAGAAACGGGAAGGAAGACAACCGAAAGACAGTTCCAGGAAACAGTAAGAGGACTTGGTGACAGCTCAGAAAAGGGAGTTGAAAAACAGAGGGCCAGGTGCGGTGGCTCACGCCTGTAATCCCATCACTTTGGGAGGCTGAGGCGGGCGGATCACGAGGTCAGGAGATAGAGATCATCCTGGCTAACACGGTGAAACCCCGTCTCTAATAAAAATACAAAAAAATTAGCCGGTCGTGGTGGCGGGCGCCTGTAGTCCCAGCTACTCGGGAGGCTGAGGCAGGAGAATGGTGTGAACCCAGGAGGTGGAGCTTGCAGTGAGCCGAGATCGCGCCACTGCACTCCAGCCTGGGCGACAGAGCGAGACTCCGTCTCAAAAAGAAAAAAAAAAAGAAAAACAGACAAGAGATTACCAGCCAGGGAGAGGCACTGGGTTGAAGGGAGGGTTCTGCACCAGGAGTCAGCCACATAGTGGTGGTGTGACTGCAAGCAAGTACCCTCACCTCTCTGAGCTTCAGTTTCTCTCCTCTGCTAAAGGAGGGGTGTTGGTGATAAGAATTTGGTGATAAAGTCCTTGCCAGCTCTAACATTCTAACGGCTGTGAAACTGGAAGAACAAGGAACAGGTAAGATGTGATGATGATGAACTTCCTTTTCACATATCATGCATATCATTCACATCTCATGTGGGCCTTGTGTCAAATAAACTGAAGTAAGAATACCATGGACTTGCTAAATTTTGTAAAGAAGAAATCAATAGTAATGCCGCCTTAAAAAAAATATGGCCAAGTTAAGAGCCACTGCTCTAGACCAAGTTTCTAAGCTAAATAAACTAATTAGGGTATTAGGTGATTTCACATTAAAACACAATCTGTTTTCAAATAATTACATTTTCAAATAATTATCTTGGAAAAATGCAAGAAATCATTTTTTACACAAAAATATATGAATGCTTTATAACAACCTGGAAATTGGGGTATATGTGTGAGGGGTAGGGGCTGGGGGTAAACTGACAATTGGTAGCAAGAGTAGGGGGAGATAAGTTGACAATTGGGAGCAAGGGGCAGGAGGCAAAAATAAAAGCTCCCCGAAGTATGATATTTTAGAGTTGGGCTTGTTTTTAAAAAGAGGTAATCACATTTTTGTCTATATTAGGATATATGTGCAGTAGGTTTAAAACACTGATACCAGGCCGGGCATGGTGGCTCATGCCTGTAATCCCAACGCTTTGGGAGGCGCAGGCAGGCGGATCACTTGAGGTCAGGAGTTGAAGACCACCCTGGCCAACATGGTGAAACCCCATCTCTACTAAAGACAAAAATTAGCCAGGCATCGTAATGGGCACCTGCAGTCCCAGCTACTCAGGAGGCTGAGGCAGGAGAATCGCTTGAATCTGAGAGGCGGAGGTTGCAGTGAGCCAAGATCGCACCACTCCACTCCAGCCTGGGCGACAGAGTGAGACTCTGTCTCAAAAAAAATTAAAAATAAATAAATAAATAAAACACTGATAGCAAAAACTTAGGTTAGCTACAACCTATTTAAAATATAGCCATGGCTAATTCTTATGACATTATGAACTGCTCAAAGGCAAAGGCCATTTCTTCTTTCTCTTTATAATCCCTTTGTGCCTGGCAACCTGTTTACACAAAGCAAGTACTTAACATATGGTTATGAAAGATTCTGACTGCTAAAAAGAAAGTTTTCCAAGCATCACAGTTACATCATAAAATATTTTAAGATATTGCCAAAGATTTACAAAATGTTACTTTTTTTAACATTAGGCATCAATGGAGATACCTCTTTTTCTCTGCCTTGAAAGTCAAAAGATGATGCTATTATTATCAATGACAACTAGTGTTTATTGAGCATGATCTTTTGCCAAAATCTGGACTTGATACTTTATGGGGATTATCATGGAATCTTCTCATGATGACCCCATAAGGAAGAGATGCTATCAGAATCACCATTTGCTGATGATTTTCCGGTGTTTTTCTCAGATTCTGTTGATTTTCTGACATGATATCTGAGGTTTTCCAAAGCTCAGAAAAGGCTAAGGCTACCCAGCTCAATAAGCTGACAGGGGCCAGCCTCTGCTCCTCTAATTCCAACTTTTAATTTCTCACAACTCACCAAACTGAATCCTCTAGCCTAGTGTAAAACAAAAGTGATAACAAAACACTGCAGGGCTGCTTCCAGAGTAGCGGTAGAGTTCCACGGCTTGGAGACATAGATGTTGTCACTGTTTCAGTATGAGGTCAGAAGATAGTATATTCACTGTCAGGGTTGAGTAGATTCCTGGGGCTTCATTTGTTCTCTCAGAACTTCCTCTTTGTCACCTACCTTGCAACAGGCAGGGTAAATGGTCCAGGTTTCCCCTTGTAGTGCTGTAGCAGGGCAGAGGCAAGATATAGGAAACTTAGAGCCTATTCAAATGCAGTCACCTCCTCAGGAAGGCCCACAGGCCTAGAGCTCTCAAAGGTCCTTCCAATAAGATACAACTTGGAAACTCCTATCAATCATCAGCCAGTCTAGGAGCAACAAACAAGACTATTCTTCTAGGACAGGTGACAGACTCTGCTGACAGAATAACCAGTCAGACTGGGTACTTAACATTGCTCTAAAGGTATTAAAATCCCTCACAATGAAGCAGGAGCCATGATATGAAACTTCTAAACTTGTGCCCAGTCATCATGCGGGCTGACTAGCCTTTGGATTGATTTTTTAAGTATAAGGAGAAAACTTCAAGCCCAGATAGGGATATAGGAGTTAAGAAGAAATCACGCAGGCAGATAGCAAGGGTATGGGAGTCCTTGGTAAGGTTCTTCTTTTTAATGAAAAGCAGCCCCAAATCATTTTCTATCAAAGAGCAGCCAGCAAGCTGGGAGCTTGCACAGGTGAATGCCAGCGGGAACTAAGGAGTAGACATGTTCAAGATGGCGGCTCCATCTTCCCTTCTCTGCCAGCCACCTGTACTGTAAAGGAGCAGACAAGATGGCCCTAACTGGACAGCCCATTTGCATAAGAAGATTAGGGTGGGGAAACCAGCCTTCCCCGCACTATGTAAATGTCATACCTGATTGAACCAATCTATGAGCTCTAGGTAAATCAGACACTGCCTCTTGAAACCCTACTATAACACTCGAGGCATTCACCACCAGCAGGTCCTTTCTGCTGGGAGACCCCCTCCTTTACAGAGGAAGCTGTTTCTCTCTCTTCTCTTCTACCTATTAACCTTCTGCTCCTAAACTCCTTGTGTATGTGTCCTAAATTTTCCTGGCAGGCGACAACAAACCCCAGGGTATATACCCCAGACAATGTAGCTCCTTCAATACCAGAGTCTGCATTCGTAGCCCCACAGCATCTGTAAGGTGCCAAGTGACTGGGTTGTAACCACAGAAGGTGTGGGGAAATGAGTGTGAGAGGTGCACCACCCCTAAGTGTGGCTCAGGAAAACCTCCCATGGATAAACCTCCTCTCTCTCCTCCCCATCTGCTGGCTGGAGAAGGTAGAAGAACTTCCATCAGACAGGGTCCCTGAATAATTGTGTGGTAAAGAACCCCATGTTTTCAAGGTCATTCTTGTTGGTTAAAAAAAAGAAAAGCAGCAGCAGCTGTTGTGTCTCCTCACCCCCAGCCTACACTACTGAACCTTACAGGAGCAGGAATTAAACTGCTATTGCCAGCCTCGGTTTCAGGGGCTTGCTGATCTGTTACATGAACAAGTGAGTGGTACCTGGCCACACCAATACAAATTTTAAGTGTGACTTGTATGGTATGTTGGGGTCAAACTTCCTGTAACAATCACAATGGAGAGACAGTTGGCCTGATGTTCAGGAAGTCTGGCTCTGTGATCACCAGCTATATGCACTGGAACAGGTCGCTTAATACTCTGAGTATTCAGTGTTAGTCCATAAATCTGAAATTATAACGGAATTCAATATGACTGTGTAATTATGTAATATGACTGTGTGTGGTTTAACATCTTTATTGAGATATAATCCACACATCATACACTCAACACTTAACACGTATAATGCAATGGTTTGTAGTATATTCACAGGGTTGAAAGACCATCATCATTATCAATTTTAGAACATCTTCCTTACACCGAAAAAGAAACCTTATATCCATAAACAGTCATTCTCCATTTACCCCCAAGCCCCTAACACACTAATCTACTGTCTTTAGATTTGCCTATTCTGAACATTTCATGTAAATATAAATAGACTCATACAATATGTGGCCTTTTGTGACCTTTCACTTAGCATGTTTTCAAGGTTCATCTATGTTGTAAGATGTATCTGGACTTCATATCTTTTTCTTGAATAATGTTTCATTGTATGGATATATCACATTTATTTATTTATTCATCAGTTTTTGGACATGTTATTTTCCCCCATAACTTTTTGACTATTGTGAATGATACTGCTGTAAACACTTGTGAACTAGTTTTTGCACTGATGTATGTTCTCATTTCCCTTGGGTATATACCCAAGAGTAGAATTGCTGGGTCATATGGTAACTCTATGTTTCATCTTTTTAGGACTTCCAGACTGTTTTCCAAAACAGCTGTACCACTTCCCATTCTCACCAGCAGTGTATGAGGATTTCAATTTCTTCACATCCTTACCAATATTCTTCTGTCTTTTTGATTACAGCCATCCTAGTGGATGCAAAGTGGCATCTCATTATGGTTTTGATTTTCATTTCCCTGATGGCTAATGATATTCAGCTTCTTTTTATATGCATATAGCCCATTTATATACTTTTGGAGAAATGTCTTTCAAATCTATTGCTCATGTTTTAGTTGAATTATTTGTCTTTTTACTTTTGAGTTATAAGAGTTCCTTACATATTCAGTATACAAGATTCTTATTTGGTATATGATTTGAAAGTGTTTCCTCCATTCTGTGAGCCGTCTTTTCACTTTCTTAATGGTGTTATCTGAAGCAAAAATGTTTTTATCTTGATGAAGTCTCATTTATCTATTTCTTCTTTTGTTGTTTATATTTTTGGTATTTTATATGTTATATATTTATACCTATGTTTTCTTCTCTTTTATCTCATAGTTTAGGTCTTTGATCCATTTTGAACTACTTTCTGTATATGATGTGAGGTGAGAGTCTAACTTCATTCTTTTGCATGTGGCTACCCAGTTGTCCCAGCACCACCAGTTGAAAAGACTACCTTTGTTGAACTGTCTTGGCACCTTTATTGAAAATTAACTGACTGTACAAGTGAGTGTTCATTTCTGAACTCTAAATTCTAGTCCAATCTATATGTCTATGACTTATGTACAGATAGTACATAAAGTGTGCATACATAAAATCAAGTTAGAGATACTTCATGTGTCATCAAGAGCCTGTGTTCAAATTTGGCCTAAAAATCCACAGAAACGAAAACCAGAATATTCCCCCTTCCCCACCAACACTGTCCTTGCATTCACTGCTTCTTCCCCATTCTTTCTATTGACTAGTTTATTGGCCCACAACCCCAATATGTGAATGTCTTGTTTCAAAGCAAAAGTTTAAGCTATTTCTTATGAGCATCTTATGGGTTGCTAGAGAACCTCATCTTCCTTTTTAGGGTGGGACTACTTGTGGCAGAAGGGGAGAGAAAGGAGAAATCTTTCAAATTTTAGGGCAAGAAGAAAAATTCTGTCTTGTGGGAGAAAAAAGAAAAAGAAAAAGAAACCACCCCACAAAAATCCTGAAGCAAACAATCCTTTCTATTGTACTACTTTGTGCCTTGCAGAACATACGAAAGTTGTTTTGTGGAGGCATTTGCTATCTGAGTTGTTACTCAGGAAATCACCAACTATAAATCTTGGTCTGTATCATACAGTGCTGTATGGAATAAGTATCCTGACGGTAGAACTGCTGGCCAAGAACAGAAAAATGTGTTTTATTTGCATAAGCCCTGTTTTAATGCAGTGCCCTGTTCTATGAACTTTCAAGTATCACAAGTCAATTTTTCCCTTAATATTTTAAAAATCAGCACATAAGACATATTCTAAAAGAATATAAGAATATCTGGACTTTGTTTTTATGTATAGCATAGTTGGTCATTTTCCACCTTCTGTGTCAACAGGCAGTAAAAGCATCAGAAGGACTAAGTTAAGTTCTCATGGCAAAACTTTTCATTAGCTGGAGGCCAATGCAAAACTGCCACCATGATTCCATTAGCCTTATTAGCCCAGGGGAACGTGGCTGTAGGAACCCACCCTGCAAAACTAAAGTGGGCATCTACGGGCCCCTATCTTTCTCTCATACAAAACTTATTTGGTTCACTCTAAGAAAGTGACATGAAAGGCTAATTATTTTCTTTAGTAAAATTTTTGCTTTGCTTTAAGAATGCTAATTATTTTCCTTAAAACACAGGCACACAATACCATGAAAAGAATCAACATATGACTTCAAGATCTAGTAGGAGTGGAACAGACTGCAGAGGACTTATGTCTCACTCTTCTCTTTCAGGGGGAGATGATATAGTATAATCTGTTGAGTTTGGCAAGCTTCCCCAAACTGTGTTCCACAGAACGTTGTCTCAGATGCTAAGAGAGACTGTTGCTAGAAATATGGACATGAAAGGTGATTCTAGTGAGATTTTAGACAGAAATGAGGAACATGTTATTAGACACTGAAAAAAGGCAATCCTTGTTATAAAATGGCCAAGAACATTGCTGAATTGCATTTTTGTGTTTTGTGGAAGGTAGAGCTTGTAAGTGACAACCTTGGATATTCTGCTGAGATTTCTAAGCCAAGTGTTGAAAGCCTGTTGTGCTTTCCTTGCCACTTTCCTTTCTCCTTACTGCTTCTATTAAAGTGCAAGAGAAGTGAGAGAAATTAAAGAAAAAATTGTTAGGCTAAACAAACCAGAACTTAAAGATCTGGAAAATTCTCAGCTTATCCATATTGCAAAAAAATGAGAATGTGTTCTGGAGAGGGCACCAACAGTGTGACTGGACAATCACTCCCTAAAGAGTGACAGTGGGACTCACAGATCTAATTGGCCATCTCAACAGAAGCCAGGAATAGAGACGGGGTTCTACCAGTAGCAGAAACACTGCTGACTTGGACTAAAGGGGACAGAGACAGGACACAACAGCAGCAGGCTTCTGAGATGCTACAGGATGGGACAATAGATCTATCTGGCTCTGGGTGTGAGCATGTATTATCCTTCAAGAAAAAGGAAGAATGGTCCCTAAAGCTACTACTCTCACCCCACAACGAAAGTGTTCAGGCCCAGGGGCGAGGAAGGCTCTCTTCCATTTCAAAGGGTGAGGCTCTCTCTGTCTCAGTGTGAGAGGGTGAGGCTGTCATTGTCCAAGGCCTCAAAAGCAAGGCTGCCACCTGGGGCCTTGAAGAAATTCTGCCAGTCCTCTCCCTCCCCCTCCCCTCCCCCTCCCCTCCCCCTCCCCCTCTCCGTCTCCCTCTCCCGTCTCCCTCTTTGCAAGGTCTCCCTCTGATGCCCAGCGGAGGCTGGACTGTACTGCCGCCATCTCGGCTCACTGCAACCTCCCTGCCTGATTCTCCTGCCTCAGCCTGCAGAGTGCCTGGGATTGCAGGCACGCGCAGCCACGCCTGACTGGTTTTTGCATTTTTTGGTGGAGACGGGGTTTCGCCGTGTTGGCTGGGCTGGTCTCCAGCTCTGGACCGCGAGTGATCTGCCTGCCTCGGCCTCCCGAGGTGCCGGGATTGCAGACGGAGTCTCGCTCACTCAGTGCTCAATGTTGCCCAGGCTGGAGTGCAGTGACGTGATCTCGGCTCGCTACAACCTCCACCTCCCAGCCGCCTGCCTTGGCCTCCCAAAGTGCCGAGATTGCAGCCTCTGCCCGGCCGCCACCCTGTCTGGGAAGTGAGGAGTGTCTCTGCCTGGCCGCCCATCATCTGGGATGTGAGGAGCCCCTCTGCCCGGCCGCCCAGTCTGGGAAGTGAGGAGTGCCTCTTCCCAGCTGCCATCCCATCTAGGAAGTGAGGAGCATCTCTGCCCGGCCGCCCATCATCTGAGATGTGGGGAGCGCCTCTGCCCCGCCGCCCCGTCTGGGATGTGAGGGATGTGAGGATTGCCTCTGCCCGGCCCCGACCCCGTCTGGGAGGTGAGGAGCGTCTCTGCCCGACCGCCACCCCGTCTGGGAGGTGAGGAGCGTCTCTGCCCGGCCGCCCCATCTGAGAAGTGAGGAGCCCCTCCGCCCCGCAGCCGCCCCGTCTGGGAAGTGAGGAGCCCCTCCGCCCGGCAGCCACCCCGTCCGGGAAGTGAGGAGCCTCTCTGCCCGGCCAGCCACCCCCGTCCGGGAGGGAGGTGGGGGGCAGCCCCCGCCCGGCCAGTCGCCCCATCCGGGAGGGAGGTGAGGGGCGCCTCTGCCTGGCCGCCCCGTGTGGGAAGTGAGGAGCCCCTCTGCCCGGCCGCCACCCCGTCTAGGAGGTGTACCCAACAGCTCATTGAGAACGGGCCATGATGACGATGGCGGTTTTGTCAAATAGAAAAGGGGGAAATGTGGGGAAAAGAAAGAGAGATCAGATTGTTACTGTGTCTGTGTAGAAAGAAGTAGACATGGGAGACTCCATTTTGTTCTGTACTAAGAAAAATTCTTCTGCCTTGTGATCCTGTTGATCGGTGACCCTACCCCCAACCCCGTGCTCTCTGAAACATGTGCTGTGTCCACTCAGAGTTAAACGGATTAAGGGCGGTGCAAGATGTGCTTTGTTAAACAGATGCTTGAAGGCAGCATGCTCCTTAAGAGTCATCACCACTCCCTAATCTCAAGTACCCAGGGACACAAACACTGCGGAAGGCAGCAGGGTCCTCTGCCTAGGAAAACCAGAGACCCTTGTTCACATGTTTATCTGCTGACCTTCCCTCCACTATTGTCCTATGACCCTGCCAAATCCCCCACTCCGAGAAACACCCAAGAATGATCAATAAATACTGAAAAAAAAAAAAAAAAAATTCTGCCAGCCCAATGGGCCTGGAGGACAGATCATCATGTAAAAAGAATTATTTTCAGGCCTTAAAATTGAACATAATTTGCCCAGCTAGGTTTTGGACTTGCTTTGGACCCATGACCCTTTTTTCTTCCTTCCAAGTTTTCCCTTTTGGAATGGAAATGTCTATCCTAAGCCTGTCCCCATCATTGTATTTTGGAAGCAAATAACTTGTCTGGTTTCACGGGTTCACAGCTGGAGAAGAATTTTTGCCTCAAGATGAATCATATACTTGAGTCTCTCTCACTTTGATGTAGATGATATTTAGATGAGATTTGGGACTTAGAATTGATGCTAGAATGGGTTAAGGCTTAGGTTGTTGAATGCAGGTGAATGTATTTTGCTGTGAGGAGGACATGAATTTTGGGGGTGCAGAGGGCAGAGTGTTATGGTCAGAACTGTGTTCCCCTCCCCAAATTTATATGTTGAAGTCCTAACCCCTAATACCTCAAAATGAGACTGTATTTGAAGACAGGGCCTTTAAAGAGATGGTTAAGTTAAAATGAGGTGATTAGGTGTGGCTACTGTCCTTATAAGAAAAGGTGATCAGGGCACAGAGAGCTCCCAGGGCTGAACGCTCATAGAGGGAAGACAGAAGGACATAGTGAAAGGGCCATCTGCAAAGCCGAGGACAGAGGCCTCAGAAGAAACCAAACACATTGACACCTTGCTCTTGGATTTCCAGCCTCCAAAACTGTGAGAAAGTAAATTTCTGTTGTTTAAGCCTCCCAATCTGTGGTATTTTGTTTATGGCAGCCTGAACAAACTAATACACTAGCTAAAACATCAACTCCCATCATCCTCTAAAATTCCTCACCCAATTTTCTCTTCACTGCATTTATTACTACCTGGCAGACTAGATATAATACTTATTAGTTTGACTGGCTCACTCAGTTAGACTGTGAATTCTACAATAGCAAGGACCTTATCTGTCTTGAGAGGCATCTAACACAATGGTTGAAAGCACACACACACACACACACACACACACTCCAGAGCTCGACGCCTGAGACTGAACCAAAGCTCTGCCACTTACCAGTTACGTGCCCCTTGGGTAACTGAATTAATCTGAGTCTGTTTCCTAATCTACAAAATGGGATAATAATAGAACTGCTTCCAAGGGCTAATAGGAGAAAAGCACTAGAACAGTGCCTGGCATATAGTAGGTACCTTTCATGGTAGCTATTGTAGTTTTTACTGCTCACCACCATATCCCAGACCATGCCCCGCCAATATGATTCACTGTTCACACCTGACCTTCAGCAGTATTTGTTTAGTTCAGCACTGTTTAGCCATACAGACTTCCTTGCGCAGGAAGTATGCCAGCATTTTGACTATCAAACATGCCTTCTTCTCCCATCCCAGTCTGTTGCACCCCCTGAACAAATCCACTCCTCCTGCTAAACACATCCTATTGCCTTACACTAGATACACTCTTAAATGGCATTTAGTAGGGGCTATGTAAATATTTACATATGTTCAGGAGAGCCAGGTTTCTGCTATAATGAGACTCCCACTCTACTGATAATGCCAATGGCAAACAATTGCAGCTCACATTTACTTAGCACATGGACTAGCACTTAGCAGGTACTTGGCACTTATATGAATGTATTCTCACACTAATCTGATGAGATTGATATCACTCCCCTTTAATAGAGAAGGAAGAAGAGGCTCAGAGAGTTAAGTAATTTGCTCAAGATTACACAGCTAGTAAGCGGCTGAGCTGTGATTTAAATTCAGGTTGTCACCTCTGCAGGACACCTCTCTGCCACTCTGCTCTGACAAATCACTTAAGATTAATAGGGTGAACAGGGCTTAAGCTCACTTCCTAGGAATGCTCTCTTCTTAAGCAGAAGCCTTAGGTGAAACCTTTTCTAAAACTAAAATGAGCCAATTCAGATCTTGATAAACTATGCTTTCCCAAAGCCAGGTGTGCCTGTGCTTTAAGACAGATGAAGGTGAACATACTCTTCAGGACTGGCTGAAGAGGCTGTGGTCACTTTCGGAAGTGTCTGTGGGGGTACAGCTGTGTTCACTGGACCTTGGATCTCCAAAAATCTGGCTTCTAACTTGGTTCTGCAACTGTATTCATCTTCATTACTTTGGGGTACAACAATCTCTCTGGGCCACAATTTCCTCTATCAGAAAACTGGGTACAATACTTGCTACCTCACAGAGAAGTCATGAGAATGAAAACAGATGCTAAATGTGAAATCACCCAGGAAAAAAGCACCCAGCATGCAACAGGTCCTCAAGAAACAATTGTTAACAAAATGAAATTAAAAGGAGGTAGGCAAGTGGCCACCAGTTTAAAGCGTAATGCTACCAAGGATTTATCACACTGTTCTCCACAGAGCAGCGTGGCTACACTGATCTGAACATATGAGATCCAATGTCTTCCAGGTGGAGACTACTGTGGGATGTGACACCCTGCAGGAAAATAAGCTGACCAAAGGGCCTTGGAGAACTGAGCTCAAAAATGGGACTCTGCCAACCTGCCTTCCCTAGAACTTGCTACAGGGGAGACTGAGCTGTCATGTCTGTTTGCAGTGCAAAGCACCTTCAGTTTTACAAGATAACCATGAGCTGGGGTGCAGAGGTAAAGTAAAGAAGAAAGAACCGAAAGTACTCAGCAGAAGTTTCCTGGCACATCAACAGTCATCTGAGGCTTACGCATACATTTTGGTCTAAATAACAACTTAAGACTTGATGAAGCAGATTCTCCTTCCTGGGTTTGTCTACACTGTGCACATGCTCTAACCACAAAATAATCACTGTTCTTGCACTTTTAACACGTCTTTGCCCCAACGTAGGCAGGAAAATGAAAGCAACAAGCTTAATAAGATCATTGTAAACTTACTTAAATTGCCACAACTCCTTCCTACACTTGACTTCCCTCTTCTAAGCCCCAAGCAAGTATTCAATATGGAATTGTTAAATAATGGACATTCCAGAACACCAAGAGAATGCCATAAAGCCAGCCCATATTTCAACATAGAAGAAACAAAACTGGCAAAAGCTGTATCCAGTATGAATTTCCTTCCTTCTCTTCCTCCCCTTAAACTACAGTTATCTTATGTCCAAAGTTAACCCTTTCTTGGAGGTGGTGAATGAGGGAGAGTTACACAGACTGATTCCTCTACAGCCTAAAGGATCAAAAGAGAATAGCTCGCAGCAGGTAGTGTGAAGTAATAGCACAGTGAAAAATTCAACTGTGAGGAATGTCATCTTAATACCATATTTGCAGTGCTTTCTTCCTCTAGCTATGTCCTTTGTCCAGCCCTTATTGATTTCCCCCACCTCCACTACCAGCTGTACCAAGGAAGTGACAAACAGGGACTCACTAGATGCCGTCAATCATTGTCACCAAGAAGAGAAAAAAAGAATCCAACATATGTTCTTGCAAATGCCTCCCACTCTCCACTCCCACCTCTTCCTCTTCACTGACACACAGTCTTTATAAGCAGTAGGCCACTTTTTAATATCCCTCGAGTGAAAACGTTTGAGGCACAGATAGGAGGAGCATCCCAAGCACCATTCTTTCCTGACATGTGTGTCCGTAGTTACAGTTCACAGTGCAAGCGGCAAGACCAAGGCAGTGTTGCCCACCAATGAGTTACTGCCAATCCTGACTACAGAGAGCAGAAGGGCTGCTGATGATTAAACCAATGCTGCTCTTGTGCCAGGCGTGACAGAGGAACAGAAAGATGTACAATACAGGTAGCAGATGGTACTCTCTGCAACTCATTCTGACGACATAACAGGAGTTTCCTATTTGTCTGCTGACCACCATGACGCCTGGTATATCAATTCCTATGGCAACAGCTCTAAGTATAGTGCACTACAAATAAAAAGTGGTGTATTGTTTTGTTTTTTTGAAATGGAGTCCCACTCTGTCCCTCAGGCTGGAGTGCTGTGGCATGATCTCAGCTCACTGCAACCTCTGCCTCCCAGGTTCGAGGATTCTCCTGCCTCAGCCTCCGGAATAGCTGAGATTACAGGCACACGCCACCACACCTGACCAATTTTTGTATTTTTAGTAGAGATGGGGTTTCACCACGTTGGCTAGGCTGGTTTTGAACTCCCGACCTCAAGTGATCTGCCCACCTCGGCCTCCCAAAGTGCTGGGATTACAGGTGTGAGCCAACACACCCGGCCAAAAAGGGGTGTATTAAATGGATATAGACACCTGTGTTCATTTCTGGAAATAAAGCAAGAGGTAAAATGTGGCCACTTCCATCACATGCTATAGGAGAATTTTTCTCTGGCTCAATAATTCCCTATTGGGCATCTGTTCTGGCTTAAGAAAAAGAAAATCAACAAAGACCAATGATACGCATGTAACCACAATGATATTAAAAATAAAAAACTCAGATGTCTGATGACAGGAGAGAGTGTGAAGTAATAACTGATTATATAAATGGAATACTATACAGCCATTAATATTTATGACAAATTAGCAAAATGGAGGAAAGTTGAAATAGTAAAGTGAGTAAAACAGTAACACAAAAGTACATGCACTTTTTGTCATGTGTGTCAACATGTGAAAAAACCTGGGTAAAAAGTCACAAAGATTGCTTCAAGTATTTTCCAAATCTCAGTTTGGCCCTACAAAGACAGATAGCAATGAAGTGGATTCACACCTAGTAAAATGGATGGAACTTTCAAAGCCTAGTAAAAAAAACTAAGGAACAGAATGAGATAGCCATACCATTTGCATAAATTAAAAATACTTACACACAAAACAAGATCCATTGCAAGAATACACACAAATCTAAATGATACATTGTATACATATCAGAATGTTGCCTATGGGAGGGAGGGAACCAGGGATAAAAGGAAATAACTTTTAGGGGTCCAGCACAAACCAGAGTCCACCATGTGCCCAGAGATACTGTGTACCATGACCTAAAGGGTGTGTCGGCTTAACCTTTGCCCCCGAGGTCCTTTGGCAAGGCTAGGCATGGTTTTAAAATTGTAGTGGAAACTGGTGCAATTTCAGACCACCACACATTTCCTCTCCACGGCATGTCCCTTGCTCCCAAACAGTAGCTGCCTTTTATGATGCCACTTCTGTTCGGTCCATTTCTAATTTTCCTTGTGTTTAACAAGATTGAAAGGCTGCAGGAAATCATCATTAATAAGAAATATTTAATCATATCGCTATTGTATACACATCCATGTTACACAACAGTGTAACAATTGTATAGTTTTATATACATAGTTATGTGTATATATGTATGTATATGTAGAGATAACTATATAGAAGAAAACTATAGATATGTATATATGTACTGTATACAACTACATATGTATATATTTACATATAGTACATATATACATATATACTGTATATAACTACATATATACTGTAGACATATATATGTACTGTATATAACTACATACATACTGTATAGAACTACATATAGTTCTATCGCTATAGAGTTACCTATAAAGTATGGATAACTATTCAGAAATTATTCCCACTAGGCTACAAAAGAAACTGGCAATAATGTTTACCTTTGGGAAGGGGAACTGGGTGGGAGAAAGATATAATTTTCACTGTCCCCTCCTTTGGGCCTTTTACATTTTGCACCACGTGTATATATGACCAAAAAAAATTAAAGCACTTAATTAAGCAACCACTCACTCTGTACACATAACATTACACAGTAGGCTTAAGAAGTAAAGTGTTCCAATTATACCAGAAGCAGTAAAAATCTGACCAAGTTCTCTCTAAGCTGCATCCTGGTGTGCCTTAGCTAGATCCATCTCCACCCAGCACAACCACAGGCAGCTCACAAGGTGGCAGCATTTGCTGCTGTGCTTGGCTATATGTCCTTGATTTTATATGTAGGTTAATAATCAATTAGAGCCCTGCCACCCAGAATATCCTCCTAGGCCCCAAGTCGGCTGGGAACTGCTCTCTCTGTCAAGTGGCCCTGTCCTTGAGTCTCAGTGCTTCTTGGCTCTGAGGATTGTAGACTCTCTTGTGAACCATCGTGGGCTGTAGGAACCCCTGGGGGATTCAGGGTCTTTACTCCTTGACAAAGAAGGCATGTTAAAAATTGTTTCAAATGAAGGTTCTTATCTTAGAAGTCAGTTTATTTACTGTCTGCCAGCTTTTTGGTCAGAGCAGCAGACATTTGGGGTGCCATGGCCATGGGAACAGGAAGATGATGAGAGGAACAGGCTGCCAGGAAAGCGTGGCTTTGGACTGGCTAGAAAGTGATGCCTACCAGGACCCATTCCTACAGCATGTTCAGGAATGGGGCATCTTAACTGCTATCCACAGTAAATTCTCACTCAGAAAGACTTGCAGGCGCTTAGGAGTTTCCAGACAGATAGTTAAGTACCATTTCACCTGCCTAACAATTTCATTATTGTTCTGTATTGACATAGACATCAGAAATAGAGAAAACTTCTTTCTGCGGCACACCCTAATGGGGGGAAATGTAAGTCAACCTGACAAAACAAAAACAAAAACAAAAAACAAAAAACCTCGTCCCATCTACCTTGAGAAATAAAAGACAAGTGGAGCTTTTAGGAGGGAGGGGCAAGATGAAGCCAGGAAACAAACTGTTACAAAATAAGAAAATACAAGTCCAAACTCACAACTGACTACTATGCCCAGTCAGGAAAAAGAAGACAGATAAGAAGAGATTGATGGATGCAAAAAGAAACTGGCTGAGAAGCAGAAGACAAACACATGCACCACAGGTTTCCCTGACAGGAAGCACAAATCATTGGTACTGACTTGGTGACAACGAGGTTCCCAGCTCCATCTCCTGGGCAAATGATCAACAGCTCCTCAGAGAAACATGCTGGAGGGCCGTGATGCCTGAGAGTGAAGGCAAGGAGGCCGGTCCACCTAGGCTCTGAGGCCCGCTTGCACATTTACGTCCCTCCAACCATCATCAAGCACTGGCTCTTGATCACTGAAATGCTTCACCTTTAATGAAGTCATTAGCGACCACACAGAGAGACGGGCTGAAAACCACAAGGGGTGTCATGCGAAGGTTTGAGGGAACAGGAGCTGGTTATAAGAGAACTCTATTCCACTCTGGCGTTCTTGAGTTTCAGGAAATATGGCTTGAGCAGCAGTACAGCCAGCTCTGTGCAATAACAAATCATGCTGCGAGGGTGTTCTGGGCCGGCTTGGGTTTCACAATGCCTCCATTTCATGGCTGTGACGCAGCTTCACCCTACACCTTCCAGTACTGATTATCTGTAAGACACAGGATCTGAAGCGGCCAATTATCATCTTCACAATCTAAACAGCTACAGCCATTGCTAACTGTATTTCCTGACCACAGACATGAAACATTTGTATTTCTTGTGCCTTAATTCTAGCATATACAAAGACTATTAAATGAATGGGCACACACACAGATATAAAGTCCTTACATATGTGAAAAGATTTCTCTATAACGTAAACAGTGGATACAACTAGCAAGCAGAGGCCTACAATTAGGTGGCAATGACAGAAGAGCCACTCTATGTTAGAATGTGGCAGAGCTAAAAGGGTGTATCTACCTGATGGGCAGATGCAAAACATGATATCCAATTGTTCCAGGTATGAGGAGACAAATTTAATGCAACTTTTAACCAGTAGAAACCAATCTGTTGATAAGACCTGTCCCTCAAGGGGCTCAAGGGATGCAAGGATAAATGAAGAGATTTCAGATTTTATCAGGAAAGAAAGTGTCAGTGGAGGTATTAAGTAGCTAGGTAGAACAGAAGTATTAGTCATATCTAATCACCTCGATTATTTATATAAGTTGGAATAAATCCAAACTAACTTTAGCCTCAGAAAATCCACTCTAACAGGGCGGGCTTGGAAACAGATACCTGCAGGGGTGAGGCCGGTACCGGTAAGGAACGAAGCTGGCTGGGTGGGGGCTGTAAGCAACTTGGCTCTAGCTCACAGCTACTTGTGGAAATGTGGACCACAAGGGCCTGACCTTTGGGATTTCTTGAAAAGTGGAAGATTCAGATTTTTTATGAGTTCTTCTGTTTTTTTAAATGCTCACAACTAACTGAAAAATAGTGGCCGGGCACAGTGGCCCATGCCTGTAATCCCAACACTTTGGGAGGCCAAGGCAGGAGGACTGCTTGTGCCCAGCAGTGTGACACCATCTCTATCAATTTTTTTTTTTAATTAGTATGGCATGGTGTTGCATGCCCATAGTCCCACCTACTCAGAGGGCTGAGGTGGGAGCATTGCTGCAGCCCAAGAGGGTGAGGTTTCAGTGAGCTGTGATTGCACCACTTCATGCTAGTCTGGGTGACAGAACAAGTCGCTGTCTCAAACACATACACACATACACGCACACAAAAAATAAACATTCTGCACGTTGAATCAAATACATCTAAAACTCTTATTACAGTATTTCAAAGGAGATGAAACTATGCTCTGCATGTTCTCATATAAGTGAAGGTTGGCTATGAGTTTATAGCGGGGGAAAGCTGCTCTTTCCAGCATTCTTGAAAAGTAGAGCTTTCTTAATGACAAGCAGGTATATAAAAGTAGAACTGGGACACCAGGGAAATGCACATCAAAACTGTAATGCAATATTACTTTATTAAGATGGCTACTGGTTTTAAAGAAACAGAAAATAACAAATGATGGTGAGGATGATGAGAAGTTGAAACACTTATGAACTGTTAGTGGGAATGTAAGATGGGGCAGCCACTGTGGAAAACAGTTTGGTGGCTCCTCAAAAAGTGAAACGTAGAATTACTTTGTGATCCAGTATAGGTATTATAATATCCCCAAAGAATTAGAAGCAAAGACTCAAATATATACCTGCACCCCATGTTAACTGCAGCATCAGTCATGATCACCAAAACATGGAAACAACTCACGTGCCCAGCAACAGATGAATAGATAAACAAAATGTGGTATATATCCATACAATACAAAGTTATTTGGCCACGAAAAGGAATAAAATTCTGATAAATGCCACACGATGAAACTTGAAGACATGACACTAAGTTAAAAAGTCAGATGGGCACCAAAGGACACATATTCTATGATTCCACTTATATGAGGTATCTAAAGTAGGCAGATCACAGAGGCAGAAAGTAGAATAGAGGTTACCAGGGGGCTAGGAGGAGGGGGAATAGGGAATTATTTTTAATGGGAACAGAGTTTCAGCTTTGCAAGATAAAAATTTCTGGAAATGGAGAATGATGATGTTGCACAATGTTGTAAATGTACTTAATGCCACTAGATTGTCCATTTAAAAATGGTTAGAATGGTAAATTTTACATTATATATATTTCATCACGATAAAAAAAAGAAAAGCTGTGATATGTGTAGATTAGGTAGGTGTCTGTCAAAAGGAGTGCTTTTCTTACATGATGGCTTTTTCTGCAATCAATACAGGAATAAGCACTATCACTCATTCGACATTAGAGTCTGGCTATGCCCTTGATGAAGTGTTGAGGCCTTCTTACTCCATGGGAACCTTGCTGCTCTAAAGGAATCTTCCCCGGGGCCATCATGTATGGTTGTGTAGGTGGCACACTGTGCACCAGAACCTAGCCCAGACCAGCCTGTGTGCTACAGGCCAGGTCCTGTGCCTGGAGGAGGGAACATCTTTTCCTTCTTGAAAAGGCACTATAGGCCAAGGGTAGCCCTGATGTTCCGCACCCTCAAATTGGTCTTTTCTTCTAACTCCCTTACTTCTGTTCATGGTACCCTCTCCTTTCATGGATCCCAGATTAATGCTGCAAAGTCATTCCCTGTTCTCATTCCAGTCCGTTGTTGGCTTCCAGCAACTCTGTGCCTCTCTCTCATTTCATCCCCTCCTTCCCACTACCACTGCCACTTACTGTGGTCAGGCCCTTTGACCTCTGGTCTGAACACTGACCTATAATCTAGTGCTCCATACCTCCAACTCCTCTTCCCCTGGATGATCTAGTTTCCATACTCTGCCACCAGATTAACTTTTCCCAAAAAGAGCTAGCCATTTCACTCATACCCTCCCAGTGGTTTCCTTTTTCTTTCTTGTATCTACTTAATAAATGAACAATGAAATAGATTACCTGAACCTAATCATCAACTCTGCTATTTAAAGTAAGACTTTCCATTTATTTTGACCGTCCATTTCTTAGGTGAATATGAAGAGGAAGCAGCAAGTCAAACAATCCATCCAAGAGAACACACCTTTATATTTCTAAGTCACTGGCATAGAGTCAGGAGGGGGAAACTGAAGAAAACTTGGGGCGCTTTGAACCTCCAATTCCTGCAGCTAATTAAAATGATGTCCATGGAGACCCCTACCATACCTTTCCAAGGTGAAATACATTTTAAGCCTACTGATCAAATCCGACACAAATGCCAGTAAGTATTAGTGTGGTCCTGCCCTCACTCTGCTACTGCAGGAAAGGATGCACAGGAAGAACATCCTGGGCACTACAGAAAGAGAATATTACTAATATCCTTAAAAAGGATATTGTTAAATGGGCTGTTTCCCTTATTTTTAGAATACAGCCAAGGCCAAAGCTGAGCACAACAGGGCTAAGTACCCTACTCAGAAAGCCATAAACAAGTAGGGTCAGACACTGCCCCCTATGGCTTCCCCAGGAGGTCAGAGGACCAGTCTTACTACCTGACCACAGCCCCTCTTCCCATGCAAGGACAAGGAGAAAGGTTGATGTTGGCTTTATGGGGAGGGCAAGGTTCTAGTGCAGGTTACTGTCTGCTTCCCCAACCAGGTAGGGGTTGGGGGACTTCCAAGAGAATCACTAGGAGAGACTAGGATACCTGCAAGAAGGAGAGATGAGCATCTTGCTCCTAGTCTGACTGCTGGCTGAGCTGAAGACTTCACAGTTTCCCGCTCCCTTCCAGGCTGGCACTGCAGCAGAACGGAGCATGTCAGGGAGTAGGGGGAACTTGGCATCCAGTCCCTGGAGTGGGGGCACACCCATGAGCATGAGACTGGTACCCATTTTTGAGTCAGAGATTCGGGAGTGGCAGGCCCACTGAGGGAGCCACATGCAAGCAGAGCCTCAAGGGAATGTTCCAGGAAAGAAGACTGGAATATTCCCGCTCCAGTTCAGTTCCCTACAACCCCTGGACAGAGAGACAGGACTGCAGTAACTCACACAGTTCCTTTTGAAGGAGTGTTGAGGTCAGAGGGGCAGGAGCCCTTGGGCTGCCAGGCAGCTGATGGGCCAAGCACCAGGACACTCACTAGAAGGAGGAGTTGAAGCCTGATGGGGCATGAACACCCAGCAATACCAAAGGGGGACACTGCTGTCCTTTGCACAGGCTGCTCACAAACGAGGCTGAGGTAAAGCCAAACACAGCCCCAAGAGAGTCACACATCACCTGAGCAGACACCCCACCATCAGAACAAACCACACAAAAGCAGCAGGCTACGAGAGGCACTTTCTCACCACCAACTCCGCTTGGCGAGTTAAATAATTACTAGTCCCTTGCTCCCCATTTCCATCCTCTCCTCTCCACCCCAGCATCCCAGAGGGCCTAGAGCTCAGAAGAGAGAGTAGGAGAGGCACAGAAGATGAACTGGATGTAACATTAGGAGATTTGGAAAGATGAAAGAATGATAGAAGATGCCCAATCCACCATTCAGAGACTGGAAGGGGGGATTTAACAGGGCACAGTGGTAAGCAGTGCCTAGAGAAAGTTAAACCCATTTCATGTTTTTAGCCCCAATGAATTGAGTGAGACTCCTTAAGAAACCAGTGATGCTGACACAGAGCTAAACACACATCAATTATAAACTCTCTCTAGATCAGCTGGGTGCAGTTGAAAAACAGTCCCAACAGAATTGTAATCCGGCTTGAGGCAGGCAGAGGTCAGCTCTGGGTCCCTCATGGCCACTCTCCATGGAGCAGACTCAGACTACCTCCATTGCCCTGGAAGAGTACGTGGCAGCAGCCTGGACTCAATGGCTCTGCACTTAAACCTTACCCCCCCTTGATATGGATTGGCTGTGTCCCCACCCAAATCTCATCTTGAATTGTCACTTCCACAATTCCCACATGTCGTGGGAGCGACCCAGTGGAAGGTAATTGGATCATGGAGGCGGGTCTTTCTTGTGCTGTTCTCGTGACAGCAAATAAGTCTCACGAGATCTGATGGATTGATAAAGAGGAGTTCCCCTGAACAAGTTCTCTCTTGCCCGCTGCCATGTAAGAAATACTTTTGCTCTTCCTTCATCCTCTGCCGTGATTGTGAGGCCTTCCTAGCCGCATGTGGAACTGTGAGTCTGTTAAACCTCTTGCTTTATAAATTACCCAGTCTCAGGTATATCTTTATTAGCATCATGAGAATGGGCAAATACACCCCTCCTCTACACTCAAATACAACATCTACTTTGTAGCAGGCAATATGCATTACTTTATCTAACAGCTCTGCAAAGCAGTGGTGGCACCCCCATATTACAGAGGTTACTTAATCTGGGTGCTGCCCCGAGGGTCCAAATTGTGACACCAGGATTCCAACAAAGTCTGACTCTAAACAAAATACATGCTGGTTCTAGCCCATCACACAGACCTGCATGTTGATAGAAGATCAAAGATGGGTAAAATGAGCCCAGAAAAGAGCTGCAAACACCCATAGTGATTTTAGAATTGGCAGCTGCTCACAAGTAGTCTAAAAATGCAAATACTTTTATTTACATTTTTAAATCATTAAAATCCAGCATTGTGATAGGATATTATAATAGAAAAACTAAGTCAATATTTCCACCCTCTTCCCGAATAATTCAGGAACAATACCAGTACTCGACAACTACAGTCTGACCTTTAGCAGAAAGACAAAAGCACTATTGAAAAAAAAAAAAAAATAGTTGTGAACAGAATGCACCAGAACTCAAACTTGCCAAGCTGTCTGCACTTTGGAATTTTGCAGTGTTTAATGTCAAGAGTCCAAAGTTGGCCTTGTGGGTCCCTCTGAAATAATACCTTAATATCACTATTACTACCCAGCTCTATAGGTGGCATTTGAGATAATCAAAAGTGGCTGGAAACCACTGCACATTATACTATTCCGGACAGGCCTTTATTAACCTAACCTTTTAAAAGCATAAACCAGGAGACTTATCTTAACCAAAATTATCTCAAAGTCAACTTCCATTGGCCGAATCACTATGCAAATATCAGGGCTCTGAGTCATTGAAAACTGCTGAAAGGAATTTTGTTTAGTAAGCATAAGATCTTTTTTCTAGAAACGTAAACTGTGTTTTAAAAGGTGTTCACAAACTTTGCCCTCAAGATAGCTTTGGTACAGAACTTGCCAAGTAAACTTATTACAAATGAAAATGACAGCAAACAATTTCAGAATATCCCAAACTACCAAATTCCCACAGCCACTATTCTTCCCTCAGTGATACTAGAAGGGAAAATTCTATATATTTATGTCTTCAATTTTCAGAGTTAAGGAACTTCACAATTTACACCTCTTATGCAAAGCTCTGTCCGGTTTCTGAATCATTTTCCACAGGTAAAAAATAAGTGGAGAAGGAGATAAAAAGCCAAAAGCCATGTCTTACCAAATTTTTTTTTTTTTTTTTGGAGACGGAGTTTCACTCTTGTTGCCCAAGCTGGAGTGCAATGGCACAATCTTGGCTCACTACAACCTTCACCTTCTGGGTTCAGGTGATTCTCCCTGCCTCAGCCTCCAGAGTAGCTGGGATTACAGGCGTGCACCACCACACCTGGCTAATTTTGTATTTTTAGTAGAGATGGGGTTTTGCCATGTTGGTCAGGCTGGTCTTGAACTCCTGACCTCAGGTGATCCACCCACCTTGGCCTCCCAAAGTGCTGGGATTACAGGCGTGAGCCACCGTGCCCGGCTGTATTACCAGTTCTTTAAAAAAGAAAAAGAAAGCAGCACACAATTTAACAGGAAGTCTTTTGCCCAAACCATTTTCCCTCCAAACTGTTTAAGAATATGCTCCTGGAAGCCAGGCGTGGTAGCTCACGCCTGTGATCCCCGCACTTTGGGAGGCTGAGGTGGGTGGATCACCTGAGGTCTGTAGTTTGAGATCAGCCTGGCCAACATGATGAAACCCTGTCTCTACTAAAAATACAAAAAAATTAGCCAGACGTGGTGGCTGGCACCTGTAATCCCAGCTACTTGGGAGGCTGAGGCAGGACAATCGCTTGAACCCAGGAGGTGGAGGTTGCAGTGAGCCGAGATTGTGCCACTTCACTCCAGCCTAGGTGACATGAGCAAAACTCTGCCATCTCAAAAAAAAAAAAAAAAAGAATATGCTCCTGGAAAGCCAGGTAAATGGGTACGTGCTAGGAGAAATAAATAGTTCTAAGGAACAAATTTAATGTTAATGTTATTTCCTTCTCCTAGTTTATGTTTTCATCAACCACAGCCAATAAGAACAAAAAACAATTCTCTTAATTCCCATCACCATCCCTACTCACCTCCTCTAGTCATAAATACCTGCTGCCAGTTTTGTTTCCGACATTCTCTGTAATTTACATTGTATTAAGGTTAACAAAGCCTTTGAGTTAAAGAACAGGTTACTCTGGGCGCACTGCCGGTAGGGTAGCCCTGCTCTGCAAGAAGCAGTCTAAACAAACAAACAAACAAAATAACAGTAGTAGCTACACAAGCTTAGCTTATCTTTACCTCTCTGCCTAGACCACAGGAGTCATCATCAGCCTTTTTATGGAACAGGCAAGGAGAAGCTTCTCAGGGACTGACTCAAGCCATTTTGTCACACAGACCCAGGGCGTGCCGCATAGCAATCACACAGGGTCCCATGTTCGTTGAATGCTCTGCTGTTGCCATCTTGAAATTATTTTATTTTTGCACAAGAGGTCCCACGGTTTCATTTGGCAGTGAGGGCCCTGCAAATTAGGTAGCTGGTCCTGCACAGAGCTGATTTAAAAAAAATTTTTTTGTGACATGGGCATTTTTGAAAATGTTTCATTTTATACCATACCTTACAGGGCTTTTACTCTAAACAACAGATGTTCATTTTTTTTTTATACTTTCAAATCCAATAAAGGCAAAGTATCCCTCACCTGTATCACTGCAACAGGTTTCTAGATTATTTTTTTCTGGATTCACTCTTGCTTACTGTCAATCTATCTTTACACAGCCAACGTTCTCATCTAGTACAAGCCTGATCTTGTCACCCTGCTTAAAATCCTCCCACAGCATCTACTGCCCTCAGCATCATGCCCAGTGCTTTCACCTGGACCTAGGCCCTGAGGTCCAGCCCTGACCTGGGGCTTGGCCTCACTCTACTCCCTACCTGCTGTGTCCCTACCTCACCAGCCTTCTTTCTGCTTCTAGAACATGCCACGCTCCAACTTCATAGCCTTGGCACCTGCCCAAGGGACAAATACTTTAATGTATGTCCAAGGATTTTGATAAAATAAAGGTGGAACAACCAAATTCAACTGATAGTCATTATTGGTTTTAATTTCTTAAAAGAAACACAAGAGGGTTTAAAAGACTCACACTTCTTAGTAAATGTTTTTCACTCACACTATGATTTGGGCTACTTCCCCAGTGGAAAGGATAATAAGCCTTGATCTGACTGTGAAACGTAGGACAATAATGGGGAGATGTAGAGAAGGTCAGTTTTAAAGTTTTTCAAATCAGGTTAATCAGGCCTTAAAGGCATCTTCATGACCTTCACTGATCCCTGACACACAACATTCCCAAACAGCTTGGAAGGGTTGGGGAAAACAAGTATTAATGAGGATAAATAAATCATAGGCTCACTTTAAAAAAAGAATATCTCATGTTCTTTGAAGAGACTTAACTATTAAATCTGATAAAAGATTCATAGAGAACGTAATTATGTAGAACCTTTTCTTGTTCAGAAAAATGAGTAAGTTGCCTACAACTGTTTTCTCATCCAGATAATCACAGATTTTAGTTCTGCCTGTATGTAAATGTTCTGATAGTAAAACCGGTCAAAGGATGTTGGGTGTTCACTCCTACAGGGGGCTTTCTCAGAAGGGTATGTATCTTCTAGACTGAGAAGTCATCTAACCTTGATCAGTAGGATGTTTAGCAATTATCTGTCATTCTCCCCACTCCAGCCACTTTAGCCCTTTGACTACCCTTATTCTAGTGGCCACACACCATGCTACTGGCTTTCCACAAACAGTGTTGAAATAACTAGCTCTCCATGTGGGAAAAAATTAAGTTAGAGTTCTACTATTCATGAAAATATCCCTGATGGATTAACCCTCAAAACACTGTAAAATGTCAACTATTACAGCATGAGAAGAATATATAGGAGAAGGTGTTTATAACCCTGGAGAAGGATGGCCTTTTTAAGCCAGACACAACACAAAGTCATTATTCATCGTGCCTTTGATGTAGTCCAATTTCCCAAAGTTAAAAGACAAGGCCAAGCTGGGAGAAAATATTTGCTATGTAACAAAGGGTTCGTATTCAGAATATATAAAGAATTACAAATCAATAAATAGAGACAATTTTTAAAATAATAGGGCAAGCCAGGCGCGGTGGCTCACGCCTATAATCCCAGCACTTTGGGAGGCCGAAGCAGGCGGATCATGAGGTCAGGAGATTGAGACCATCCTGGCTAACACGGTGAAACCCCGTCTCTACTAAAAAATACAAAAAATTAGCCAGGTGTGGTGGGTGCCTGTAGTCCCAGCTACTCGGGAGGCTGAGGCAGGAGAATGGCATGAACCCAGGGGGCAGAGCTTGCAGTGAGCCAAGATCGTGCCACTGCACTCAAGCCTGGGCGACAGAGCGAGACTCCATCTCAAGAAAAAAATAAAAAAATATATATATATAAATAATAGGGCAAAGGACTTTAACAGGAAATTCATGGAAAGAAAAATTAAAATGCTCAATAAATATATAAAGAACTGCCTAGTAAAGAAAAGTAAAATGGTGAGATATATGTGTCTTTTTCCTTCAAAAGCCTGGTAAAAACATTTAAAGATCAATTTTGTAAAGTGTTGGCAAGCGTGTGGCATGTACCTGAGACCCCGTCGGTGAGTAATTTAACATTCTACTGCACCATCCCTCTATCATCCAACAATTCCACAAGTAAGTTTCTAGTATACACATGATGAGGATGCTACACTGCAAGTTTTGGCTCTAACACAAGATGCTAGCAATATCAGATACCAAAGTGAGTTAAAAAAAAAACACCCATCTGCCCTTCAAAAAGGAGATAACTAAGAACTAGGCTTAAGCTCCTCTCCCACAGGGAGGGTCAAGAGCAAGATGTGAGGGAGGATTTCTTTGGAAAGAGCTGCACTGAGATCCCCATTCAGCACCCTCTTCCCATTGGGGAAAGAGTAGGAATATCAGCTTCTTACTTCACAAGCCGGATTTCAGTGAGGCCAGTTGGGGGCTTGATTTGAGTGCTCCACCATTAAAGAGACACAGAGAGGTGCTGGCACCCCTTCTCTGGGGACCTGGAACATGAGAGGCAGTGTGGCTAGCTGCCCTGGTGGCATGGGAGTGAAGGGAAATTGCTGCTGCAGTGGGTCTGGGCCATCCTCTCAGAGGCTGTGGGTGTTGGGGCAAAGAGTGCCTGATGTTTCCAAGGGCACGGAGTGGTCCTCCGACAAGAACGAGCCAGTCCAGGGCTTGTTTCAGGTCCAGTCCTCTAGGGCTGTCTGAAAGGGCAACATGATCACAGTGGCAGGACTGGTGGTGGACCCCTAGACTCCCAGAAACTGACACAGATGACAGAGTCTTTGAAGAACCCTCATGAGCACCCCATGAGATAGTCAGCTTTAAACCTTGACCACGCCTACAGGATAGGAGGCTGTCTTACCACCATATCATATGCAAAGGGTTTTCTATCACCTTCTACCCCCCCACCCACCCAATCCTCAGGAAAGCATGGCAAAAGAAAAATGCTGACCTGTGTTCTCCAACATGGATCAAGTAGGAAAAAAAAGCAATTTTCATTATAATCTGTAGGATATAACATCCATATGGGTTTTTTTTCTTTTTCATCTTATAATGATAAGGTCTTGTTATGTTACCCAGACTGGACTCAAACTCCTAGCCTCAAGCAATGCTCGCAATTCAGCCTCTTGAGTATCTGGGACTATAGACATGCGCCAGCATGCCTGGTCTCATATGGTTTCTATTAGGAAACATACTTCATGAACATTTATTTACATAAACACACAGAAAATGATTACAAAACATTGATAGCAATGGTTGCCCGCAATGAACTGAATGCTTATGTCCCCCTCAAACTCCTATGCTAAAATCTTAACCCAGAATATGACAGTATTAGGAGATATGGCCTGTGGGAGGCCATTAGGCCATGAGGGTGGAGCCCTCATGAATGGCACTAGAGAGATCCCTGGCTCTGTCCACCAGGTGAGATTACGTGAGCAGACAGCCATCTATGAGGAAGTAGACCCTCACCAGATACCGAATCTACCAATGTCTTGATCTTGGACTTCCCAGTCTCCTGAATTGTGAGAAATAAATTTCTGTGGTTTCTAAGCCACCCAGTTTATGACATTTTGTTATAGCAGCCTGGATAGACTAAGACATTATCTCTGGGAAGGGAAGAAGTATTGAGTGGAGGAGACAGGGTCAAATGAGAAATTCAATTTATCCATATTATTTTAAAAGACAAAAATATAATCATGTATTCTTTGAATAATTAAATGCACTTCTTTTTAAAAAGACAGTGTTCCGAGGAACAGAGCCTTCTATAGTCTGAATATGTCCTCCAAATTTGCATGTTGGAAACTTAATCCCCAATGCAGCAGTGTTGGGAGGTGCAGCCTAATGGGAGGTATTGACGTCATAACGGTACAACCCTCATGAGTAGATTAATGCTGCTATCAAAAGAGCTTGAGCTAGCCTGGACAACATAGCAAAACCCTGTCCCTCAAAATAAATAAATAAATAAATAAAAATTATCTGGGCATGGTGGCACACACTTGTAGTCCTAGCTACTCACGTGGATTGCTTGAGCCTAGGGGTTTGAAGTTACAGTGAGCTATGATCATGTCATTGCACTCCAACATGGGCAACAGAGCAGAGACCCTGTCTCTAAAAACATTAAAATTAAAAAATTAAAAAGGCAAGCTTGCAGGAGTAGGTTCTCTCTCTTCTGCCCCTCTGCCACCCGAGGACATGGTGTTCTCCTCCAGAGGATGCAGCATTTAAGGCACCATCTTGGAAGCAGAGAGACTGGGCCCTAACCTCCTGGTACTTTGATTTGAAACTCCCAGCCTCCAGAACTGAAAGAAATAAATTTCTGTTCCTTACAAATTACCTAGTCTTGGGTGTTTTGTTATAGCAGCACAAAATGGACTAATACAGAGCCCATCTGTCAGTCCTAATTACTAAGCAAGAATCTGCAAAAGTTCTAATCATTAGCACACAAAACACCCCTTTGGGCTGTTCTGTAAAAATCTGACTGCCATTTTTCAGCTTTCTTTACAAAATGTTCCCATTCAAGTGCATTCTGAATGGATTCTTAAAGTTTACAGGATTCACAGCTGAAGTGACATTGTTTTCTTAATTTTAAGAAATGCTTTATGTGGTTTCCTCTATCAGCAAGGACAGGAAGAAACAGGACTTTACCAGAAGAAAACTAAGATGTACATCTGGAAATAAACTGACACATGGAGAATAAAGAATCACTTAGTAGTGAACAAAAAGGAAATTAGAAGAACTTCAAATTGTTAAAGAGCCCTCCTGTGTGTGCATGTGCACGTACATATTTATGTACATAACACAATTTCTTTTGAAACAGGAGAAACCTAGTACTAAACTGCAGCCTTTGAAATCCAGCAACAAAACTGTACTTTGATTACACACCAAATATTTTAGAAAGCTGATATAATCAGTTTGGAGAAATTAGGAAAAAATTCCTGGTTTTGAAATGACTTTTGAAAATGAATGGTACAAGAAGTCTCAGTTGCCAAGAAAACGCTGGGTAAACTTTCTTTTCACACTATTGCAAACATATAGCAGCCTGTATTTTGTACTGTTTCTTCCCGAAACTCATCCTATTCTATGTTATGTACCAGGGATTGGCACATACAGCCTGTGGGTCAAGGATATTTTTTAGATTTTTTAATGGCTGGAAAGTTTTTAAAAAAGAATAGCATAACACATTAGTTTACATGAAAATCAAACTTCATTTTCTATAAAGTTTTATTCAAACTCTGCTGCACACATTTGTTTATGGCCTATGGCTGCTTTCAAACTATAAGGACAGAGTCCACACAGCCCACAAAACCATCCAGCCCCTTACAAAAAAAATGTGCCAGCTGCTGTTACAGACTAATCAAACCTTCTTTACTCCTATTTGCATTACACAACCATCATGATTGATAGTTGCAAAAAGCAACCACTGAGCTTCTTACATGTGTTTGAGTGATTACCAGTTGCTCAGAGATGATAAACTGTTCTACATCAGTCCATCAGTGTTTATCCAAACAGACTTCCTGGGCTCAAGTCACTTCAAAACACCCCTTGACACTGTCCACAGGAAAAAGAAGCCCCTGATAAATACATAATTCTAAGATTGCAAAAATACTAATCTGTGTTAAAGGACAATGAGTCAAAGGACAGGAATTAATCTCTTCCAATTTCCCCCAATTTCAAGTCTTATGAATTTCACATTAAATATTACTTTAAAAATAACCATTATTATTATTATTATTATTATTATTATTATTATTATTATTATTATTCCGAGAGGGAGTCTTGGTCTGTCACCCAGGCTGAAGTGCAGTGGCGCGATCTCGGCTCACTGCAGCCTTCGCCTCCCGGGTTCAAGCAATTCTCCCGCCTCAGCCTCTTGACTAGCTGGGATTACAGGCGTGCGCCACTACACCAGGCTAATTTTTGTATTTTTAGTAGAGATGGGGTTTCACCATGTTGGCCAGGCTGATCTCGAACTCCTGACCTCATGATCTGCCCACCTTTGCCTCCCAAAGTGCTGGGATTACAGGCATGAGCCACTGCGCCCAGCCCTCAAAAATAACCATTTTTATTCCTAGACATATGCTTCTGGATATCCTGAAGCTCCATGTAAAAACCACTCAGTTAATTTAGTTTGAAGGTAACTTATTCATAACATCCCTTTTTCATATGTACATCATTGGTGAAAGCAGCTCAAGAAAGACAAAACAAAGAAACTAACCAGATATCAGTCATACTTCTCTTTCAACATTCTGATCTCCCCTCAGCATCACTCAACACTGCCACCTGCTCCCTCAAAACTAATCTCCCTTGCACTCTGCATTTCCCATTCTCTCCAGCTCATGAATGCTATCTGCCTAATTCACAAGACTCATCAAGTCTTCTTCTCCAGTTACAACTTGGGTAAAACTGTTTCAAAGTCTTCTCATGGTGCTTTTGCCCTTGTCTAAATTATCTTCTCTTTGCTTCTCAAGCAAACAAAATCTGGTGTTTAGAACATCTCTGAACAGGCTTTACTCCTGTCTATAGAATAGCCCTTCAATTCCTTTAAAAAGCAAAGAGTCATCTATGAGGAAGGGGTGAAAGTAAAAAGCAAGAACTTTGCAAGGTGTCCCTAGAGTCTAAATGGCATGCACTAGGCTTCAGAGCTGGTGCAAATGAATCATATTGGCCACGAATGACCCTAGAGTCGCCTGCTGGAAGCCTTGCTACAAGAAAAAGGATGCAATGAATGGCTGACACAGATATTTCTGTTACCTAGAGGTTAGACTTTTCATTGTTATTGAATTGGCATTCACTCCCTTGAGCTTGGTTTTTATGAACTGAATTCCATAAGCCTGGATCAACTTTGAAAAAAGGAGAAGATTGGGTTCCTGGTTTTGTAAAAGAGGCACACTTGATGCTGGTTGACCCCATCAAGGGTCCATCTCCTCCTATTTGAAATATCTAACTCATGACACCTTTTACCTGCTTCCTCTAAATATTTATTGAACACTTACTGTGTGCTGGTGCTTTGCTAAGAATTATAATATATAAAATAGAGCAGAATACTTTCTATTAAGGAACTCTGACTTGCTGGAAAAACAAGTAATATGTGAAATAACAGAAGACCAATAGTAAACCAAATATACCAAATTGTGCAGGCGAGACAGTGAGAGAGGGATACAAGAATGCTAGGAAGGCAGTGTGGGCCAAGAATGGATAGAATTTGGCCAAGAGAAAAATTCCACAGTGA
This sequence comes from Homo sapiens, assembly GCF_000001405.40. NCBI lineage: Eukaryota > Metazoa > Chordata > Mammalia > Primates > Hominidae > Homo > Homo sapiens. The sequence continues at coordinate 76,528,163 of NC_000005.10, read as the reverse complement.
AAGGACAGAAAAGAACAAAGGGTGTCTGACAACAAATAAACCATCTTAATGGCGCCCAAGATCCATGTCAGTGAATCAAAGAACAAGGTCGCTAAGATAAAAGGACCTCACCTGAGGTCTAGATGGCCAGAGAAGTTGAGACTTGATAGGGAAGCAAAGGGAGATCCTTAAATAAGAGGATGATGTCATGACATCAGCATGTGCATCTGTAAGTGTAATCTTTCTTCTGATTGGACTGATTAGATCAGAGAAAGAAAACCACAAAAACAGGAGGTTAGTTAGCAAGTTAATACAGGATACAATGTGAGCTTAGGGTCTTGGAAGTTTAGATTAATGGAAGAAAGGGGTAAATAACTGCAAACAGCCAAGACATGAGATCTGGTAAATGCAGATAAGACATTTCTTCCCTTTGCTTGCCAAGAATGCTTACCATTCATATGCCACATAGTTGTCAAATTGATTAGTCACTATAAATGATCACAATGATGGCCAAGGCACAGGAACCTTGTAAAGTCCTGATACCTTCAGAGATTAATACGACAATTATAGACGTCATCCTTAGTGTTTTAATAAATTATTATATGTTGAAAATTAGTGATCCATCACAGTATATTTGGCAATTCTCTATAAATTGCAACTTCTTTTTCAAGCCACACTAGGTTAGAATTTACTATATTTTCACTTTATATCCCACTCCTGCTTCTGCATTCAGAAGAGCAGGAGAGGTCTATGGGGGGCACTGAGTGATCTCAGAAGTGCAGGGCTAATGAAGGATCCCTGGCAGAGTTGGAGAAGTCATTCAGGTCCTTAAGCAGCTCCTGATTCAAACAGCTCTTGGGGGACAGGGAGCACCTCTGAGACTAGCAAGTGCACACTTTCTTGAAGCTGTTTAGACCCTGTCTCCATCTGTTCCCCTTAACAGCTTCCTTCTGCAGAGGCGAAGCTCTCCCATCTTTTCTGGCTTGCATTACTTCCAGTTTGTTTTCATAAAGATCACTATCTTGGCCAGACACTGGGAAATAAGTGAGACGACAAATCTGGTTTTGATGAAAAGGAGACATTAAATGGGGTGTTAGCCATGACCCAAGGGACAAGGAAACCCTGAAGCTCCATTGCCTCACTGATTTCACACCCTCACTGAGATGATGGATCAAACACTCAGTATCCTGCCTTTAAAAGCTGTCAGGGAGAAAGGAAGAGCTGCCCAGCATCATGCACAGACACACTCAGTGGCCAGCCAGAAAAAGAACACATCCTTATGGCCTATAGGTACATGTGCTTAATAAAATATCCAGACAAAATCAAGGTATCCACACTTTTGAGTTTCCCCTTAAGTAATAAAACTAGACTATTATCACATGTTAAACCTTAATCTAATAGAGTAGCCAGACCTTTTGGGGCTCTGCAGGTGTAGTAGTTACAATCCAAGAAGGCAGTGGTCCCGCCCCTTCTAGAAACAATCAAGACATGTCCATACTTTGCAGCCAATCAATCATCTGGGGACCTACGTCTCCGGTGGAAGAAAAAAGCTCATGCCCAAATGGGGTGGATGGCAACACCAGTTCTAGTTATTGTTAAAACATTTATAATGAACAAAAAGCTGTTTCTTTGCAACTAAAGGCTTTGGATCAACAAGGCCAGGAGGAAATTTCCTAATAGACTCCTTTCCACATATTTTATAATGCTTTCTCTTTTCTCCATATTATATCCCACTTCTGACACTCCTTAAGGGTCGACAACTCTTAAGAAAATCTAAAGGTAAAGGAGTTTTCTGCTTTCAGTGTAATCTTTGAGTTCCCTGCCTAGCATAAAGTCTGCCCCTACCTCTCAGCAAGTGTAGCAAGTGTCATTTTATTCTATCACTGCCAAAAGAAATCTGGCCAGAAGACCTAACGTGCTTCAAGTCATCATTTGTACACAAAGAGTGAGGCTAGGCATGATCTTCCTATGCCTTTCCACAACTGTACAAAGTAGGTCTCATCAACGCTTTTATAAATGAGGAAATAGACTTTTTGAGGTTAACTTGCCTAAGGTGGTACAGCCAGTAAAAGGCTATGTTAATATTCTAGCCAAGTTCTTCTAACCCAGGGGATCTTAATCTGAGATCCACAAGCTCTTGTTTTGGGGACTGGGACAGGAAAATAATTACATTTTACTTTGCATTAGCCTCTACAATTTAGCATTTTCCTTCAATTATGAATGTATGGACCACCCACCAGATATTGGCAGTATCTATGACCTTGTCTCCAACAGAAATACCTGTATTTTTATATCACTTCACAGTTGTTGCCAATTGTGAAATATCATTTATGCCCATCACCATTTCAAAACTATAGAAGTCATTAGGTCCCACAACTAGAACTTGTTATTTTGTGTGTTAGTAAAAAAGCACATACTACTGTGCCATAAGTGTTTTCTTAAATATTTTGGTAACTTTTCAATACAACTGGCTTTCTTTGTAGTCCAGCTTATTTTATGCATTTAAAAATATTCTGAGAGGGGTTCCACAGAACTTTCAGCCTGCTAAAGGAGCTCTTGCCATACAGAAAATATGAGAACTACTGGCTTTATTTAATCCCAAAGCCTACCTCTCTTTCCATTTTGCCACCCAGCCTGCCTCACACTGTATTTTCCTCCCTGGTTCTCTTCTTTTCCAGATTATCTTAAAATGGGTCCCTACACAGAATTAAAAAAAAAAAATTCACTGGAAATTCAACCACTAAATCAACTAATGCACTGTCTCCTATTAAGCAGTTCTTATAAATTTGCATGGCTCCAGATTTTAAGTCCTAAATTAGCTTTAAGTATGATGGGCAAAACCACAACTTATCATTTTGCTGATATGAAGAATGATGCTGATATTCTATTTATCTGAAACCCTAGCATTGCCGGCTGGCATGTAACAATTTCCATCAGCAAACAATGGCACAACTGGTTAAAACAAAAAATAGTATCATGAAACAACACTAAGCTAATCCAGAGAGGGATGCCAAGCTTCAGCCAAGATTCTCTGAGTATCAGGTAACATCCTTCTCTTATATTTGAAAATGCCAAGACACAGCTCTCCCCCAAATCCAGACTCACAGCAGTCTCACGGCAGTCCCATGGGAGGTTACTTAAACACCACACCAGACTCGCATGCATAATGCATAGGCATGGGTTTCCTCAATGAAAATAAGACAGAGGAAAAAGATAGCTTCCTTGTTGAATACATTGGCACAAGGCATGCATTTGTAATACATTCTAGTGCAATTGCAGGATGTCATTGTCTTGATGTTACTATAAACACATAGAAGAGTCGTAGGAAGGAAAAATATATTTCAGATTTTAAATAACGAATCTTACACTGCAAAATATTCCCTAAATCTTTCAAAGGCTATTGATGTGAACTTTCTTTTCAGAGGAATCTTCCACTCAATATACTCAAGAATGTGAATGCCCTAGTTATAAGGTTAAAGAATTTCTTTAACATAAAAATATTTCTTAGTTGATTCAACTAGGCCATGATATCATTTCTTCCTTTGGCTTGTTCAACTCTTATGTTTTTTGATTCTTAACAAAGACATTCTTTGTGGTTTCATGTCAAAAGCAGTGAGAAATCATGGCCTCCCCATTTATGCCTAGACATGTGGCTTGAACAGCCAACACTGCCTTCTCTTCTGTTTTCCCACAATCAGAATTTTTGCTTATATATCACTGGATCGGATCGGTACTAACTGATTCTCAAATGCTGGGTGCTGTTGGAGAACAGTGGCAACAGGAACCCTACTACAGTCCCTAAATTGTTATTTAAAAAACTCTTAAATGGCTTTACCAGGCTATTCTAATTATCCCAGCCTCAGGGAGTCTTGAAAAGTCAAATGTATGGATAATCAAGTCACAATACACAGGATATCAAGCACAGGTCAGAAGTGAGGCTTCTGGCTAAGGTATAGCATACTTCATTCAACACCAAAGGCTCTTTGATTCCTTGCATTATTAAGACCAAAGCTGATTCTGCTACACAGGTCAATTTGGGAATAGGTTGGGTTGTCCTTTGCCTTAACTGGGGGGCCTTCTCCTAACAGAGAGTGACCCAACAAGGCTTGCACACATCTCACAGCACATGCCCCAGATTTATAGACTCCTAAAGAGATCAGCTGTGTACAGGTTTCTGCTTGAGTTTAAGATTTCTTACCTGTATTGGTAAAAGGTCACAGGGTAATGGACACCTGGGATCTAGCTAATCTTGTCTGCCTCAAAATGTACGTAAATAAAGCTCACAGTGTGTCCGAGGTGGAGAGTACGGATAATCACCCGAATCAGGATGTAATAACTCTCTAAAATCCTGAATCTTTCCCCCATCTTTGTTTTCTCCTAATCATCTCAATTTAAACAAATTAAAAGAAATGCGATTATTAATCAGGAGTTCTTCACTACTTAGTAGATGAAAATTTTTCTCTTCAAAGCACTTTAAAAATGTATGCTCCAGAATAGATTGCTGATGATGCCCCCATTCTATTCAGGGCTAGAGGATGAAAACTGAGCTCTTACTGCATAGCTGATTGGACAGAAAGAGATTAGAAATTCCTCCACACACTATACTTGTAACAAGCTACATTTCCATGTCTTATTCAGCTGTGCCTTGCCTATTTGACATCTGCAGACAAAAACGCATGCATTTTAGAAAGACATGCAAATTCCCTGTTTCAACCCAGGTAGCAAAAATTTGATATGGCGAGATTGCTAATGAACACAGCATACAGTTCAATAATCTTTCCCAGTGAAAATTAAGGCTGGTCGTGGTGGTTCAATGGCTGTAATCCCAGCAATTTAGGAAGCCAAGAGGGAGGATCGCTTGAGCCTAGGAGTTCAAGAACAGCCCCAGCAGCATAGAGAGACTCTCCCCCTTACAAAATTTTTTTTTTTTAAATTAGCAGAGTGTGGTGGTGCCTGCCTTTGGTCCCAGTTACTTGGGAGGCTGAACTGGGAGAATCACTTGAGCATGGGAGGTTGAGGCTGCAGTAAGCCATGATCACACCACTGCATTCCAGCCTGGGCAGCAGAGTGAGACCTTGCCTCACAGAAAAAAAAAAAAAAAAAAAAAAGGCAAAAGAAAATTAAGACTGAAAGAAAATTTGTGAGTTTGCTGATTGCATTTCCTCTCCTTCTGAGGTTAAGATCTTTTACAAAAAGGCATGTAATTTGTAATGGGGATGGATGGTGGTAAGAAAGAAAACGGGGTCATTTACTTAGGCAGAAATAAATAGAAACATAAAAACATAAAATCTCAAGGCCAAAAAGAAACTTAAAAAGATCGATTCCAAAAACTCCTCAATTTCCTGACTAAAGTGATATTCAAAGTAAGTGGCTTCCAAGGCCCTTGTATTGAGTGTCCAAGGCACACAGAACAGATTTCCTTGGTTAATGATTGATCTTTCTACTCTACCATACTATCTCTGCTCTATCAAGGTACATAGGAGTAAAGCTTTTAGTCAATGGTAAGCATTTTAGAATGAATCATACACTGTCACGTTGTAAATTCATTTTGAGTGCTGCTGAATTCTCCTTTCTGCATTCAAGTTAAGTCTGCTGTCAATATACAGAATTTAGCATGCCTAAATGAAAGAAATAAATATAAACATCGTACATTTCCTTGAGGTAAGAAATAGGACTTGAGACCCAACCTTAAGCTGTTAAATGGCCAGGCGCGGTGGCTCATGCCCATAATCCCAGCACTTTGGGAGGCCGAGGTGGGTGGATCACTTGAGGTCTGGAGTTCAAGACCAGCCTGGCCAACATGGCGAAACTCCATCTCTACTAAAAATACAAAAATTAGCAGGGCATGATGGCAGGCACCTATAATCCCAGCTACTCAGGAGGCTGAGGTAGGAGAATTGGTTGAACTTGGGAGGCAGAGGTTGCAGTGAGCCGAGATTGCGCCACTGTACTCCAGACTGGGCGACAGAGAAACACTCCGCCTTTAGAAAAAAAAAAAAAAATTCTAGGGATATGCTCCCTCCTGGTTACATAAAAGAAGAAGGCAGAAAGCAATGTGGCCCAGCTTTGTTTTCTCTCTCACATCAGCTATGGACAGGGCTCCTTAGTGGAGAAGTTTCTGTTTCCATCCAATAACTTGAGAACAAATCCATACCATCTCATTACTTGTAAGAATGATTTAATTGTAAACATATATGATTTTATAGAGATTCTGTTGGTTGCATTTTTTTTTTTAATTATCAATTCTTTTGAATGACACAAACACAGAAATTAGAGGAATTGATCTCCAAGCAGGCCCCAAACTAGCAGCCTCAGTAATGCCTGGAACTTATTCAAAATGTAAATTCTCAGACCTATCCCAGATCTATAGAACCAGAAATTCTGGGAGTGGTACACAATCATCTGTGTTCTAACAAGCCCTCCAGGTGGTTCTGAAGTAGCTAACATCTGAGAGCAACTGAACCAGAACATTCCAAAATGCTACAGTGACGTGTGTTGATGGACTGAAAGTCACGGGACACAGACAGGCACACGATGGTCTCTGGTTCCTAAGAGCTTTCTCTACAGGGGCTCTGAAACTTGTACAAAGCATCAAGCTTATCCAAGTTAGATCACTTTCTGGCAAATATCTATGGCAGACGCTGCCTAAAAGTGAGTCATTTTCCAAAAGTATGGAGGAGTTTTATAAAGACAGAATTTATGACTCAGTTTTCTATTGTTTAAGTGGACAGCTAGTTCTATCCATTACAAATTAGATTTTGCCTGCTTTTCCCCAAAGACAGAAACTGTAACTGAAAATAAAGATGAGAGAAATAGGAAATAGTGACGTAAGTATGCTCTCTGGTCTGTTGTCACTTATGAAAAGCTGGCTAGACCCGTGGAATTGGTACACATAGTCACTGCCCTATTAAAGGGGACCTTCTGTCATTGAGGGCCTGGGTCCAACACTAAATAAGATGGAGATCTGGACAAATAATTATGTTTTCTAGTGTACCTACTGCAGTAAAAGAAACTTAAATCAGATTCTGAAAACATTTCTGTTAGGAAGAAAGGTAAAAAAACAAACAAAAAACCCCCAAACATCAGAATCAATGGATTCTTCAACTTTAAAGAGAGATAAAAACTATAAAACACTGATGAAAGAAGTCAGAGACAATCTAGATAAAAGGAGAGACCTAGGCCGGGCGTGGTGGCACATGCCTGTAATCCCAGTACTTTGGGAGGCTGAGGCGGGTGGAACATGAGGTAAGGAATTTGAGACCAGCCTGGCCAGCATGGTGAAACCTCGCCTCTACTAAAAATACAAAAAATTAGCCGGGCATGGTGGCGTGTGCCTGTAATCCCATCCACTCGGGAGGCTGACGAAGGAAAATCGCTTGAACCTGGGAGGCGGAGTCGGCAGTGAGCCGAGATCGTGCCACTCACTGCACTCCAGCCTGCGTGACAGAGTGAGACTCCGTTTCAAAAAAAAAAAAAAAAAAAAAGAGGAGAGACCTATGATGTTCATGGACTTGAAGATCTAACACAGTTGTCACTTCTCAAAGTGATCTATAGATTTAATGCAATTCCAATCAAAATCCTAGCAGAATTTTTTCAAGGGATAGACAAGCCAATAATAAACTTTATACATGAAAATGGCAAAGGAATTTAAATAGCTAAAATAATTTTGAAAAAACAAAAGTTAGAGTACTCATACTACCCAGTTTTAAGACTTACTATAATGCGCCGGGCGCGGTGGCTCACGCTTGTAATCCCAGCACTTTGGAAGGCTGAGGCGGGCAGATCTCCTGAGGTCGGGAGTTCGAGACCAGCCTGACCAACATGGAGAAACCCCGTCTCTACTAAATATGGTCAACTGGTTTTTGACAAAGGTATAAAGGCAATTCAATGGAGAAGGAGTAGTCTTTTCAACAAGTGGTGCTGAGATAATTAAAAATCCACAGGCAAAAAACCCCCCTTAACTTATACCTTACATCTTATATAAAAATTAACCCGAAATTGTTACAGACCTACATGTAAAACATAAAACTCTTGGGAAAAAAAAACACCCAGGGAATCTCTGTGGCTTTGGATTAGGCAAAGAGTTTTTAGATATGACACCAAAAGCACAAACCATTAATGAAAAAAAAAAAGATAAATTGGACTTTATTGAAATTAAAGACTTTTGCTCTTTGAAAGATTCTGATAAGAGTAAAAAGACAAGCTACACACTAAAAGAAAATACTTGCTTTTTATATATCCAACAAAGAACTTGAATCCAAATATACGAAGAACTCACAGAACTCAACAATAAGAAAGCCGAATTTTAAAGAATGGGCAAAAGAGTTGAGCAGATAGTTTACCAAATGAGCAAATAAAACTTCTATATGAAATGTCAAAGGAGTTTAAATAGCTAAAATAATCAGCCATTAGAAAAATGCAAAACAATAAACTACACTGAGATACTACCACATATCTGTTAGAATGGCTAAAACAAAAAGCTTAATATCAAGTGTGAGGAAGTTGCAGAAAAAAATAGAACTCACATATATTGCTGGCACGAATGCAAAATGGCACGGCCATCCTGGAAAATGGTTTGTTCATTTATTATAAAGTTAACCATACATCTTCCATATGACCCAGTACTGCTAGATACTTATCCCATAGAAATAAAAAACTATATTCACACAAAACTCTGTATACGAATGTCTATGACAGCTCTATTCATAATCAGCAATAACTGAAAACATCCCACATGTCCTCCAAACAAACTGTGGTATCTCTCTCCAAGGCAATACTATCCAGCAATAAAAAGGAACATATCATTACACACAACATGGATAAATCTCAAATGCACTACGTTGAATAAAGGCTGCCAGTCTTAAAAGATTACATGCTTTATGAATCCATTCATGTGATATTCTGGAAAAAGTAAAACCATAGATCAGTAGTTGCCAAGGGTTTGGAGTAGAGGAAGGTTGTGCTTAATTACTGAGAAGTAGCACAAGGGCTACTTTTAGGAATAATGTAGCAGTTTAGTATCCTTAGTGTGGTGGTGGTGATTACAGGAATATATAAGTTAAAACTTGTGCAATTTTACACCAAAAAATGAATTCATGTATGTAAACTTAAAAAAATAATAAAAAGAGATGGAAAAAGATTTGAAACATATCTGTGTTGGGTTTGTTAGGATGGTAGACTCATTGTCTCATCTTCTCTGGTATGGGAGCAGATCTTATTTTTAAGATAATAAATTTATAATAGGAATTTCTTGACTCACAAAGTTTTAAGCATGCACAAGCCAAAAACTTGAAACTCAATCACATTAATTTACTAACGTTAACACTGGACCCAAAAGCCATTTTTTATTAACTATATTTAAATGTAACATTTTAAAGTTCTCCCAAAGAACTTTAATTTTTCTCCTGAAAACTAGGAATCAGATGAAAATGCTGTGAGTCTTTTTTGTGGTCCTGTCAACTCCATCAATAGTGTTTGGTAAATAGCTGATAAATTCAAAGAAACTTTGGGCAAATAACCTCCGTTCAATTACTGCCAAGCAGCACCCAGAAGAACCGCCATTACTTACATACATCAAAGTTGAAATCCTAAACTCTATTTATATCCCTTCTTCCACTTATGTCCCTGATATGGTTTGGCTGTGTCCCCACCCAAATCTTATCTTGAATTCCCACGTGTTGTGGGAGGGGCTGGTTGGAGGTAATTGAATCATGGGGGCAAGTCTTTCCTGTGCTGTTCTCATGATAATGAATAAGTCTCACGAGATCTGATGGTTTTAAAAAGAGGAGTTCTCCTGCACAAGCTCTCTATTTTTGCCTGCTGCCATCCATGTAAAATGTGACTTGCTCCTCCTTGCCGTCTGCAATGATCTTGAGGCTTCCCCAGCCACATGGAACTGTAAGTCCAATTAAATATCTTTCTTGGGCCGGGTGTGGTGGCTCACACCTGTAATTCCAGCACTTTGGGAGGCCGAGGTGAGCAGATCACCTAAGGTCAGGAGTTTGAGACCAGCCCGGCCAACATGGTGAAACCCCGTCTCTACTAAAAAAATACAGAAAAATTACCTGGGCATGGTGGTGCGTGCCTGGTGGTCCCAACTACTTGGGAGGCTGAGACAGAAGAATCTCTTGAACCCAGGAGGCGGAGGTTGCAGTGAGCTGAGATCATGCCACTGCACTCCAGCCTGGGTGATAGAGCAAGACTCTTGTCTCAAAAAATAAATAAAATAAAATAAACGTCTTTATTTCGTAAATTGCCCAGTCTCAGGTATGTCTTTATCGGCAGCGTGAAAATGGACTAATACAGTCCCCTTATAAAAGCAGCAGCCCTACCATCTTAGTGAGTTCCTACTCTAAAATAGGTGCTTTAGATAGGTTTTCATTTAACCCTTACAACAGCTCATTTTCCAGGTAAGGATGTAATTCAACAATCGCATACTCGTATGCGATGGATCTAACTTCTAGTTGTTGCTACCCAACTCTCTTCCCAATTCCCAACTCCTCTGGTGAACTTACAAGAAATGAAAAACTTCTGCTTTACAGTGTCTTTCTTATATACTTACTTTTTTTTTTTTTTTTTTTGAAACAGGGTCTCACTTTGTCACCCAGGCTAGTGTGCAGTGGCACATTCACAGCTCACTGCAGCCTCAACCTCAAGCGATCCTCCCAACTCAGACTCATGAGTAACTAAGACTACAGGAATGCGTGCTACTTAACATTTTAAGCAGTTCTAGAAATAGAACATTAGAATGTAAAACCAGGTAAACACGTTACTGTTATTTGCATGAATCTGTATGATTATGAATTGAAGAGTTGAATGCAGTTAGAAGGAACAAAAATTGGGGCAATGGTGAGTGGGTTTAAAAGGAATATATGAGTTGGTACTTATCTCCCTGAGATCACATCCCATGGATGATGCATATTTACATGTGTGTGCACGTATGTATCTGATGATATATAAAGTAAAAAAATATTTTGAACTATGGCATATGAGATCCTGAATGTACTTCCTTTTATACTTTAAGTGTTAACCTGACTCAGGGGAAAAAATGTATTTAGTTTTCCTTGGCAGATTGAGTAGACAATCAGAATTACTACTGACTACCAGTAGTTGGTCTCTGGCTCCTGGTTTTCTTTTGATAGCTCTCTTACCGACTGTTAATTTCTACCTTCAGCTGCTTTGGAACTCCACATTGACAGGAAAGGGGGCCACTATCTTGCCTTCTAGATATATTACTTTAAAACAAGTACTTACAAATGGAGTGTCTTTATCAATTTTTAAAATACAATGTTTTCTGGCATGAAAAATAAAATTTTTTAAGTTAAGATAGCAGCTAGTCTTTGGAAAGCAAGCAGACATGCAAAAGGGAACATATACCTTTCTTCTCTGTGAAGCACATAACTTGCAAAGAAAATCCATGTGTAAATTTTCAAAGATCCAATTCACACATGTTCAACCGTCAGTTAACATCTGTGGCTATTTTCTGCTCTATTTTCTGCTCTAGTTAAAGCACTAGAATTCTTTAGACAAGTTTCCATCATGTATTCCGGCAACCCCCTCCCCCAACACACGCACATACTCAAACACATCTTTTCTCTAAAGTTCCTTATATTTGGAGTTTCTCTGAACAATTAATGTTTCTATTATCCTGGAGAATTAAGAAATAACTTTTAATTCAACTATAATCCAGTATGAACTTGAAAAAAATATGCCATCAGCTACTGTTGGAAGGCAAACATCACAAGTTGACTTAAGTTTTGTTATAGCTTGATGATTTTTATAAGTGAAACAAATACAAAAGCTTAAAAAGTATGTCCACCTGAAATCTTAATAGGATGCTTATCTTTCCTCAAAACAGTAAAACATACTGAAACAACCTAATATTTTAAGAATGGTTCGGGCAACCACATTACATTATAGATTTATATTAAGTTTATAGTCAACTAAAATCTTAAGCCTATTTTCTGCATATTATTATTAAACTATACTTCCTTTTAAAAAGATCATCCCTGGCTGGGTGTAGTAGCTCATGCCTGTAATCTCAGAACTCTGGGAGGCTGAGGCGGGAGGATTGCTTAAGCCCTGGAGTTCTAGACAGCCTGGACAACATGGCAAAACCCCGTCTCTGTAAAAAACACAAACATTATCCAGGCATGGTGGCACACGCATAGTCCCAGCTACTCAAGAGGCTGAAGTGGAACAATTGCTTGAGCCTGGGAGGTCAAGGCTGCAGTGAGCCATGATCTCGCCATTGCACTCCAGCCTGGGTAACAGAGTAAGACTCTATCTCAAAAAAAAAAAAAAAAAAAAAAAGATCACCCCCTTGTTCCTCAATGAGGACATTTATATATCTAAATCCACTTCTGACTTTCCTGCTGATATTTTTCTTGACCTTCATTTTTAAAGAATAAAAAGAAAACAAAACAAAAAAACTACTTTATTTTTCTAAAAGCACAGTATATGCAGTATTTGGAGTTTTGCCGTTTCACATCTGGACATCTCTCAAGCTGAAATTCAACTTGGTGAAATGTGCTTTACTTAAACAATTTTTAAAGCAAATAAGAAACAAATTTGTTCCTATAGATGCACTTCTTTATCTCCTTCTCACCTCTGTCCTTAAGTCATATTCTTTCAAGTCAACTACTTTTCTTCAAGCTGAACTCTTAAATGCTAGAGGCAATAACTGAGTTGCTAAATATTTCTACTTCATCTCCCCTTTTACTTAAGATAAAGAAAAAGACTTAATGGATATATGCAACTCATTTTCACTTACTTGAAAATCTTTTACTGGAATTAAGCCACAAAAGGTTAAAAAAGAAAACTCCAGGAGAAAAATCGCTTGATAAAATAGTCACCAGATTCCTCAATCTTCAAAGAATGTAAAACAGTGATCAAAACAACAGCATCATTTAAATATTTTCAATCTTCTAAAAGGAAAAATAGGTAAAGGCAACCCTTTGTCATGTAACAAGCATGGTAAGCATGTGAAGAAGCATGATAAGTACGTGCCCTTCTTTTGCATGTGGTTAGATGTTTGACTGGTTTAAAATGTACTGGTTAAAACATATTAATACCAATCTAAACTCTTCATTCAATACATAGTAGAGCAGTCAAAGTAGGGCTACAAATCCCAAATATAATATGCCAGTGATCAAATACCAATAAATGAGAGCATTCTAATGTCAGAAACATATCAGCTATTGCACTGTACGTCACAATAACAGTCATATAGGCAATGAGTTTCTCTTCCATTTCACCTAATAGCAGAGCTCTGGATAGACTGAGAACACAGACACACTGAATTCAGCTGAATGCATTTTTCAAGGACCCACTGTATTAAAAGCACTCCAGGTGATTCAAAAACCAAGGTGGAGGGAAAACAGTCTTAGTCTTAACCATCAGGTAACCTACAGTCCAACTGAGGGGGAGGGGGAGGCAAGTACAACGTGATGTTTAATGCAAGAGTGTCTGAACAAATGTCAACAAGCTACAAACAACATACTATGATAGAGGTCACTTCTGATTTCAATGACTGCTTCTAACGAGATTTCAGAGAGGACAGACCACGTGATGCAGGTGATGGAGAAACCGAGGAGGGAGAGTAGCATGAACAAAGGTTTTTCCCCAGGGGAATGATAGACTCAGGACTCCATTTCAGGAAGATTAATCTGATGGCAGGAGGTAGGACAGGCTGGGAGTGGGTAGACCAAACGTAAGCAGCTAGCATGCTGGCAGCTGGAATGGGAGAGAGAAAACAGATAAGGAAAAGCTCATCCACAGAGCTAGCAAAATATCAAGTGTGCCATCAAGGACAGTGGAATTTTTACCATGATTGATGTCTTGTGGCCTGGGGTCAGTAATTTTAAAAATGAAGGGAATCCTGCCTGTAATCCTAGCACTCTGGAAGGCCAAGGTGAGTAGATCACTTGAGGTCAGGAGTTCAAGACCAGCCAGGCCAACATGGTGAAACCCCGTCTGTATTAAAAATACAAAAATTAGCCGGTTGTGTTGATGGGTGCCTGTAATCCCATCTACTCGGGAAGCTGAGGCAGGAGAATCACTTGAACCCAGGAAGCAGAGGTTGCAGTAAGCTGAGATCATCATGCCACTGCACTCCACCCTGGGTGACAGAGCAAGACTCCGTCTCAAAAAAAAAAAAAAAAAAAAAAAAAAAGGCAACAAATAGACTTTTGAGCAGTTTTAGGTTTACAGGAAAATTAAAAGAAAAGTACAGGATTTCCGTATAGCCCCTCACCTATGCCCATTAATGTCTTACATTAGTGTGGAGCATTTGTTACAATGGATGAGCCAATATCCATATGTTATTAATAACTATAATCCATAGTTCATGTGATGGCTCACTGTTGGTGTTGCACATTCTGTATTTTGATGAATGTATAATCCACTATGACAGTATCATCCAGAATAGTTTCACATTCCTAAAAATCCTCCATGCTCCACCTATTCATCCCTCCCTCCCCTTAGCCCTTGGCAACCACTGATCCTTTTACTCTCTGTAGTTTTGCCTTTTCCACGGTGTCATGTACTTGGAATCATACCATATGTAGCCTTTTCAGCCTTAGCTTCTTTTGGATGGCCCAATAGCTTCCACTAACTCTTTCACTGTGGCAAATCAATATTTCTGTGGCTTATATGGAACATGGGAAGTTACTGAACTTCAATGTCATAAGTGTGTTTTATAAGGAATTCTAGGAATTTTATACATATACGCAAACTAGTTTAAGTGTTTGAATTATGCCAGATTTTACCACTGTTCAAGATCATCATCCCTATCAAGAGTGGTGTTTTGGTGGCAGACAGACCTGGTTCAGACCCAGAGCTTTCCCTTCCTGCTCTGGTCTTGATCTTTGAAATCTCAAGGGTTCTTAAAAATGTATTTTGGGGAAAATGCCATGTTCCTCAAAGGAGTGCTGTAAGGACTGACTGTGATAATATGCCTAAAATATTTAGCACAGTACTTGGCACAGAAAGAGTACACAATAAATGGTAACTATTAATGTTTCATGATCTCTGTAAGCCTTCTACCAATGAAAAAGCATTTAAAACTAGCCAAGGCCACGAAAGTGCAAAAGTAACATTTCTTTTCTTTTTTCTTTTTTTTTTTCTTTTTGAGACAGACTCTGACTCTGTCACCCAGGCTGGAGTGCAGTGGCACAATCTCAGCTCACTGCAACCTCCACCTACTAGGTTCAAGCGATTCTCCTGCCTCAGCCTCCTGAGTAGCTGGGATTACAGGCGTGCGCCATCATGCCCAGCAAATTTTTGTATTTTTGGTAGAGATGGGGTTTTGCCATGTTGGCCAGGCTGGTCTCGAACTACTGACCTCGTGATCTGCCTGCCTCGGCCTCCCAAAGTGCTGGGATTACAGGCGTGAGCCACCGCGCCCAGCCCCAAAAGTAACATTTCTAAAAACTCATACATAGTATATAGTTGATAGAGGCAAAACATTGCAGTCATTGGAAATACTTTTTTCTGAAAATTGTAATTTGATAGACTGTCTAAAAATCTGTAAACTTCCACATCCTCAGTTGCCACTAGGTAACATCTGAGAAGCACTCCAGTCTCACTATAGTACTAATTAGCTTTTCCCCTGTCTAATTCAATAGATAGTATCACACTTCAGAGTTTGGTTTCTTTACAGACTGACACCAATAAGCCCAAGTTATCTCTTAAAGATCACCAATAGAGAAAGCAATTAAAAGGTTTTGATTTCATGGAATCAAAAGTTTAGCTACTAAAGCAGAAAGGTTAGCACGTGTAAACTTGGTGCAGAGAAGGATCATGAACTCGTGAAGCTCCCAATCCTCCTAAGGTTTTAAATTTTCCTTCTCAAGATACAAAAGCCTTATACAAAGTCTGAGTTCCACACTTTCAATGTGTCTTACGATCTGTTTTTGGATGCCCAAGTAACTTCTTGGGATAGGATTCTGGACCCTCTTCTTTAATAGTAAATTCTGTATTTTGGCTAATAATCAAGCTCCACTAGAGTTTCTGTCTTCAAATAGTTTGTCTTTCAAACTCTGACACACCCCTATCTCTCAGTTTCCCTGTTACTGCAATATGAGAATAAGAATTAGAATCCATCTCCAAAGTACCCTGGAGACAATCTGCAATGTAATATAATCTTGACCTAAGGATACTGATGAAAGGACTATATGCCAATTGTCTGTATAAAACTCATTTAAGGCCTGGCGCGGTGGCTCACGCCTGTAATCCCAGCACTTTGGGAGGCCGAGGCGGGCGGATCACGAGGTCAGGAGATCGAGACCATCCTGGCTAAAACGGTGAAACCCCGTCTCTACTAAAAATACAAAAAATTAGCCGGGCGTAGTGGCGGGCGCCTGTAGTCCCAGCTACTCGGGAGGCTGAGGCAGGAGAATGGTGTGAACCCGGGAGGCAGAGCTTGCAGTGAGCCGAGATCGCGCCACTGCACTCCAGCCTGGGCGACAGAGCGAGACTCCGTCTCAAAAAAAAAAAACAAAACAAAACAAAACAAAAAAAAACTCATTTAAGAAAGACACTTCCTTTTTTTGTTTAAATGGGATTCCAGTTTTATTTCAGGAGGCAGTGTGCCAGTCTCAGTAGATGGAACATGACTGGTCTACTCAACCAATACAACTCTGTTCCCTACTGTCTTAACTTTCTTCACAGCTACAGGTGCAGTGGTAGCTAGCTCAGGCCAAGGGCACCTAAGTGAAAATCTGCAGGAGGAGAGAGCAGGAAACAGGTTTCTGACAGAAGTTTTACTTTTTGATAGAAGTTGACAGGTCCAGCGAGCTTGGCCCTTCTTCTTCCCCCACTCCTTTTGTCCTTGATCACAGACATGATTCTTGGAGACATGGCAGCCATCTTGTGACCATGAAGTAACAAGCAAATGAGGGCAAGGCAAAAGGATCTCGGAGATGTGACCCCTACCATCACACAGCTGTTGAACCAATACCATTAGCCACCCATCTCTGGAATTCATGCTATGTGGAAAAACAAACTTGTTTGTTTAAACCATCGCAACCAAGGTTTTCCTTTCCTTATGGCAGAATGTAGTCCATATAATAGGGTTATATAAAGACAAAAATGCAGTAGGATCCTTGTTCCTGGGAATGTGGAGCCAGCAGCATGTGGCTCTGCAAGCCCATCTCTGTTCTCCTTTCATTCTCTCAATAATGCTTCATGGGTAAGGCCATGATCCAACTGTCATAGATGTTGGAACTGAGGCTCCCACACTGTTCAGCATGAGTCCAAGGCCTTGCAGCTGGTGAGAGGGGTGCCCAGAGTGAGACCCTCCCCACAGGTGCAAAGAGAATGCATCCCTGCTATCCCTTCTGGAAGGCCCAGCCTGCTGGAGGCCAGGTGTGTCTTCTGGGCTCTTGGAGGTGGGGGCAGGTGCCAAGGAGGTGGTTACTGCAAGTCTGGTGTGGGTGCCCCCAGGTACACCCTTAGGTCCGAGAGGGTGAAATGGACAAGCTTGGCAGTCTGGCTGCAGCTGCTGCTAGGCTGTTTAGCGGTGGCAGTCCCCAAAGGAGTAGAAGTAGTCACCTCCCTGGGCCCCTCTGATCTAGAGGACATCGATGGCACACTGTCTGGGTCCTTCCAGATCGT
Organism: Homo sapiens; assembly: GCF_000001405.40. Classification (NCBI taxonomy): domain Eukaryota; kingdom Metazoa; phylum Chordata; class Mammalia; order Primates; family Hominidae; genus Homo; species Homo sapiens. The sequence continues at coordinate 76,510,568 of NC_000005.10, read as the reverse complement.
GTCCATGAGACTCTATACCTTGGCGGGGTCCAGCACAGATGGCAGCAGCCAGATGAGCACCACGGGAGATGCAGCCTGAGTGGATCCTGCCACCTGTGTGCTGCTGCCTGGCCCGGGACCCTCAGGCGCCACCCCTGCCTGTATGGGCCCTGCACCGTCATCACTGCATCCCCCAAGAAAGACACATCTTTATTGCAGTTGCTAATACTATATTGGAAAACCTTCTTAATGATCCAATAACATTCAACAAGGTTAAAAATAAAAATTAAGACCAGGCACAGTAGCTCATGCCTATAATTCCAGCATTTTGGGAGGCTGAGGCGGGTGGATCATCTGAGGTCAGGAGTTCGAGACCAGCCTGGCCAACATGGCAAAACTCCATCTCTACCAAAAATACAAAAATTAGCCGGGCATGGTGGCGGGTGCCTGTAATCCCAGCTACTCAGGAGGCCGAGGCAGGAGAATAACTTGAATCCAGGAGGCGGAGTTCACAGTGAGCTGAGATTGAGCTGCTGTACTCCAGCCTGGGTGACAGAGTGAGACTATCTCAAAAAACTAAAAAACAAACAAAAAAAAAAAAAAAAGAAAGAAAATTAATCATTTAAATCTATTCAGTGTGAAAAGGAGCTCTCTAAATATTGTTTCCCATAATTTTAAGATATGGAAAACTATTAGCAGCTCTTAGGAAATGTTGGGTGGGAAGAAAGTTTTATTATTCATTCTGCCCACAGGTACACCCTTAGGTCCAGGAGGGTGACTATCTACTAAGGGTAAAAGTACTACGGATACTTTTCTCATGTTCTGTCCTATGACCCATCTCTGCCCTCAGGATACTCCCAAGTCTAGACATAAAGACAGTTTAAAAAGGACAAGGAATCTGGGCACAGTGGCTCACACCTGTAATCCCAGCACTTTGGGAGGCCAAGGCAGGAGGATCACGAGGTCAAGAGATTGAGGCCATCCTGGCTAACATGGTGAAACCCCATCTCTACTAAAAATACAAAAAAAAATTAGCCGGGCATGGTGGCAGGCACCTGTAGTCTACTCGGGAGGCTGAGGCAGAAGAATGGCGTGAAACCGGGAGGCGGAGCTTGCAGTGAGCCGAGACTGCACCACTACACTCCAGCCTGGGCAACAGAGTGAGACTCTGTCTCAAAAAAAAAAAAAGGACAAGGAATTGCAAACAAAAAACAAATTGGCAAGTACTATAAAAGAGAGAGTTTATAAGGTACAATTGAGTCTTGCTTTTCTCACTCAACAATACGATCATAAACATTGTTCAGTGTTACTATTCAGTCTTTCTACACATCATTTGTGAAGTCTGCCTAACACTCCCATTGGCTGGCTAGATTAAGATTTCCCATTCTTCACTATACTAAGTGGTGTCATGATAAACATGTGGCATTTACTGCACTTGAGATGGTTTTCTTAAGCAGAGTTTAAAGACAGACATTAAAGTATGAAATATATATATACACACACACGCAAGCATGCACACACATACATACATACACACACACACACACACACACACACACATATATATACAGCCAAACTGTTTACCAAAAAGGCTCCCCCAGAGCACACTGTCATCAGCATGGTACATGGTACACCTATTTCCCCGAGAGGATCAGGATACTTAAAACAGAGGGTACATGTAGGGGCTGTATGCATGCTTGCATTTGTGCTTTTACTAAATTAACAGGTAGAAAAAAGGGACCGCATGGTTTTGTCATTTTGTGGAACTGAGCATGCTGGAAGCTTTTAGTTTTACTTTTTTGTGAATTGGCTACTCCTGTTCTTTGTCCATTTCGTATTTTTTCCTATGAATTTGTATGCCTCTCACGTGATCTTTAAAAAAAAAAAAACAAAACAAAACAAAAAAAAAACCAGAGACAGGGTCTCACTATGTTGCCCAGGCTGGTTTCAAACACCTGGGCTCAAGCAATTCTCTTGCCTCCGCCTCCCAAAGTGCTGGGATTATGGGGGTGAGCCACCAAACCGGGTCTGATCTTTATTAAATTCTAATACTTGATCTTTGGTTTTCAGAGGGGTTCTGGAAGCCACCCTCTGTACCAGCCCATCATAAAGGCCATTCTAAGACGTATATAGTGATATCTCATTGCTGTTTTAATTTGTAATTCCCTAATGGCATATGATATTGAGCATCTTTTCATATACTTATTTGCCATCTGTATATCTGTATATCTTCTTTGGTGAGGTATCCATTCATATCTTTTTTATTTTTTTAGATGGGAGTCTGGCTCTGTCACCCAGGCTGGAGTGCAGTGGCGAGATCTCGGCTCTCCTGGGTTCCAGCAATTCTCATGCCTCAGCCTCCCGAGTAGCTGGGATTATAGTCATGTGCCACCATGCCCAGCTAATTTTTGTATTTTTTTTAGTTGAGATGGGGTTTTGCCATGTTGCCCAGGCTGCTCTTGAACTCCTGACCTCAAGTGATCCACCTGCCTCAGCCTCCCAAAGTGCTGGGATTACAGGTGTGAGCCACTGCACCCAGCCCCTGTTCATATCTTTGGCCCATTTTTTTTTTTTTTTTTTTTTTTGAGAAGGAGTCTCACGCTCTATCACCCAGGCTGGGGTGCAGTGGCGCGATCTTGGCTCACTGCAACCTCCCAGGTTCGAGCAATTCTTCTGCTTCAGCTTCCTGAGTAGCTAGGACTACAGGCGCGTGTCACCACGCCCAGCTAATTTTTGTATCTTTAGTAGAGATGGGTTTCACCATGTTGGTCAGGTTGATCTTGAACTCCTGACCTTATGATCCGCCTGCCTCAGCCTCCCAAAGTGCTGGAATTACAGGCGTGAGCCACCGTGCCTGGCCCATTGGCCCAATTTTTAATCAGATTGTTTTCTTATTGTTTAGTTTTAAGAATTATTTGTATATTTTGAAAAACAGTCTTTTATCAGATATATCTTTTTTGCAAATATTTTCTCTCAGTCTGTGGCCTGTCTTTTCATTCTCTTGACATGGCCTTTCACAGAACGGAAATTTTTAATTTTAATTTAAGTCCAGTTTATCGATTCTTTCTTTCACAGATCATGTCTTTGGTATTGTACATAACGTCAATGCCAAACCTACAGTCATGTATAATAGATTTTCTATTATAAATCTAACAAAACATGTACAATAAATATCTAGGAGTTTTAGAGTTTTGTGTTTTACATTCAGGTCTTGTTCATTTTATGTTAATTTTTGTGAAGGTTGTAAGGTCTGTGTCTGGGTTCATTTTTGTGCATGTGGATTCCAGTTGTTTCAGCACCATTCGTTGAAAAAAATTATCTTTTCTGCCTTGTATCACACCTTTGCTCCTTTGTCAAAGATCAGTTGACTATATTTAAGTAGGTCTATTTCTGAGATCCCTATTCTGTTCCATTGATCTATTTGTCTGTTCTTTCACCAATACCACACTGTCTTGATTGCTGTAGATTTATAATAAGTCTTAAAGTTAGATAGCAACAGTTCTCCAACTTTGTTCTTCTCCTTCAATATTGTATTGGCTATTCGGGGTCTTTGCCTCTATCTATAAACTTTAGAGTCAGTTTGTCAATATCCAGAGTTATTTGCTGGGATTTTGATTGGCACTGCTTTGGACCTATAGATCAAGTTGGGAAGAACTGGTATCTTGACAACATGGAGGGTTCCTATCTGTGAACATGAAATATCTCTTCATGCATTTATAGTTCCTCTTTTATTTCTTTCAGAGTTTTGCAGTTTTCCTCACATAGATCTTGTACATGTTTTGTTAGACTTATACCTGAGTATTTCATTTTTGGGGGTGTTGATGTAAGTGTGTTGTGTTTTCATTTCAAATTCTACTTGTTCATTGCTAATATATAGGAATGTGATTTACTTATGTATTCATCTTTACATTGCAATCTTGCTATAATCACTTGTTAGTTCCAGAATATTATGTACATTTTTGTATAAAGCAAAAAAGAAATTCTTGAGACAATAAGTTAGAAAAGTAGATGCTCTAATATTTCCTTTTCACTTTTGATTCTGGAGATCACTGTTACTGTCTATTTTGGAGTCCAGTTGTCTTAACTGTTATGTCAAATCCAAATAAGATGCATAGATTTGTGCCTATTGGTCAATATTTTTCCCATTAACTTCCAAACTTTGAGATAAGTTCATGCCACTGCTTTCAGGGAAAAAGATAGTAGTACTTAGGAATTGCCCATTAAGTGCTTACATTTTCACACATTGGAAGCAAGAAGCTTACTGGCAAGAACTAGTACTTAGATAGGGTATGAGAATGAGGGTGAGGAAGGTGATAGAGAGAGGGGAAATAGCCCAGTCCTTCGTCCTGCCCTCAAGTAGCTCTCTCGGGTTACTTTCTGTACAATGTTTGACCTACGAATGGATCAAGTCCTCAGAGCTGTCCAGGGGTTTGAAAATCTGTAGTGCTTTTGTGGATCACAGAAAACTATGGATACTTCCTGACTTCACACTAGTTCATCTGCCCATTCTTGTGTGGTTGATGGTAGTGTAAACAGATTTCAAGGCACAGGGTGTGTCTCTTCTTAAACCTCCAAACCTAGCACAGTATCTGCTACACAGAAAGTGTCTAATTAATGTTGAACTTAAATCATAAGTTCAAGACCTCATTACGTAATGAATGATAGTTCCTGTAAAAGTGTGGGGGTTGCTGAGCAGAGGGGCAATGGTAAGGAGATGCTTACCAGGAACAGGAATAAAGGTGGGCAACCAGCGTAGTGCCTAGAACATAATGGGTGCTAAGTAAAAGTTTCTTGAATGAATAAATATGGTCTAAAGAGACAAGAACCAAAAGAGTAGAGAGGAAGAGCTGAAGCAGACTGAATAAGAGCTCCAAGCCAGGAGATCAGGAATACACCTGCAAAACTCTGACAGGCCTCCTCAGGAAGCAGTGGAAAGTGGACTTGGAATGTTACTTAGAGGTTGGCAGCAAAATCTCTGATCTAGCTCTACAGCTCCCCAAGCTTGTTACTTAAGAGGATTTTTTTTTTCTTAAAGAAATGACCCTAAGGAAATTAGCATCGGTAAAATGCAAGTCTCCTCAATGTCTCCCTAATTTCTCTACTAGAAGAAGTCCTGCTCCATTCTCCCTGTAGCATCACAGATTTTTATCAGTAAAATCAAATAGCAGCAACTGTCTCTCCCTCAAGGAAGCCAGTGGTAGCAGCAGAAAGAGCCTGGGCTTGGGTGTTGGCTCAGCTCTGGGTTGACTCCCCAGTTGAGATTTGCAGTTTCGACGGTTTCCTGGATTAAATGAGATGTGTACAAATTGCTTGGCACAGTGCCTGACATTCATTCACTCATTCATTCATCCGCTCATTCCTTCACTAGACAAATATCTGTCAAATGCTCACCTGGTGAGGGGTCTGCCCTAGGCACTGAGCATATACTGTAAGCAAAGACAAAGCCCTTATTGCTGTGGGACTTAAGACTCTAGTGAGGGTGCCATACAGGCCACAAGAGCTTACCCCCCTAGACACTGACCTCATTTGAGCATCAAGGGAAGCCTCCCCAGAGGACATGACCTTTGAACATGAAATCAGGAGGATGGTGGGCAGTGGGGAGGTGGGGTGGATTTCAGCAAGTGGGGGCTGGTGTAAGGCCTCTAAGGGGAGGAGGGTCCACCTAAGCAGGGCAGAGAGGGACAGCTGGAAATCAGGCTAGTGAGTGAGGCCAGGGCTAGATCATGCTGGGCCTAAGGACAGAGATTTAAGAATCTAAACTGATAAAATGTACTGAATACAGAGGGAAAGCAAGAGATTACGGTATTAACTCCCAGCTTGCAAAGTTAAGTGGATGAGAGCGTCCTTCACATGATAAGGACGTGAAAGAGACCAAATATGTTATTTTGTTGTCGGGGGAAGGCTTATAGGTAGGAGGGAGGGTTACAAAATAATGAGTTTGGATTTAAACATTTAAAGTTTGAAATAGTACACAGTGGCGGAGAATGTTGAGTTTGCAATCACACACACAGATCTGGGGCTCACGGAAGTGGCCTGGGCTGGAGCTACACATTTGGGAGTTGGCAGGAAATCTCACCTGCATCCATCTATACCATATAGAGAAGGTACAGACTGAAGCCCAGGACTTTCGCACTTAGGTGTTGGTTATACAGAGTAACACAAATGGAGGGAGAGTGGCAGTAAAATAGTAGTAATAAGAATTAGGAAGGCAGAAAAACCTTACAAGTAGATAACCCCAGGCAATGGAGGCTCAGCTACCAGTTCCCCTGCCTGACTTTGAAGCCACTTAGCTGAGCTGTATCCAAAGACTCTGCCTGCTCCCTCACCACCAGGACAAGAGGTGTCGAACAGTAGAAGGTGGCAGGAGGCTGAAGAGATGCAAGGTGCAGAGTACTGGGTGAAAGGAACACGCTCACTGATCCCTGGACATTACCCTATTACTGTTTGGAGGAAGCAAGCTCCTCTTTGTTAGCACGCTATGCTCTAAAAGTCAAGGCCGCTGCCAAAGTCAGTGCCAGCTTTGATCATTCAGGGATTCAGCAGCTTTAGCAGGGCATTTGAAAAGTGCCTATCAATCTGGTCAAGTCTTGTGAGACACAAGATTCTAGGTAGATACTGCTAAACAGCACCAACCAACAGAAGAATATCTGTACTCCACAAATGAATATCTGTCTGGCCTAAAAGAAAAGTAAGCTGAGGTCAGGTGCGGTGGCTCACACCTGTAATCCCAGCACTTTGGGAGGCTGAGGTGGGTGGATCACCTGAGGTCAGGAGTTCAAGACTAGCCTGGCCAACATGGTGAAACCCTGTCTCTACTAAAAATACAAAAATTAGCTGGGCATGGTAGTGCATGCCTGTGATCCCAGCTAACTCGGGAGGCTGAGGCAGGAGAATCACCTGAACCCAAGAGGCGGAGATTGCAGTGAGCCGAGATCATGCCACTACACTCCAGCCTGGGTGAGAAGAGTGAAACTCTGTATCAAAAAATAAATAAAATTTTTAAAAAAAAAGTAACCTGAGAGTTCTTTTCTAAGACTCCACAAACACAGGAAGGTATGACAACAAAACTCAATCTATACCACAATAAAAATAAATGAATTAGAAAATTAAAAAGCAGCCAGGAGCGGTGGCTGATGCCTGTAATCCCAGCACTTTAGGACACTGAGGCAGGTGGATCGCCTGAAGTCAGGAGTTTGTGACCAGCCTGGCCAACATGGTGAAACCCCATCTCTACTAAAAATATGAAAAATTAGCCAGGTGTGATGGCAGGCACCTGTAATCCCAGCTACTCAGGAGGCTGAGGCAGGAGAATTGCTTGAACCCGGGAGGGGGAGGTTGCAGTTAGCTGAGATCGCACCATTGCACTCCAGCCTGGGCAACAAGACCAAACTCCGTCTCAAAAAAAAAAAAAAAAAGAAAAGAAAAGAAAAAGAAAAGGAAATTTAAAAGCAAAATTTAAAAATAAAGATAATTAAAAAGTCAATCTGAGCTTTACATCATATTTATTGCTTCCAGGAGTAACCTATCATAAGAAAATATTTGGAGGTCGGGCATGGTGTCTCATGCCTGTAATCACAGCACTTTGGGAGGCTGAAGCAAGGAGGATCACTTGAGCCTGGCAGTTCAAGACTAGCCTGGGCAACATAAAGAGAACCCTCTCTCTCTACCAAGAATTAAAAAAAAAAAAATAGCCAGCTGTGGTGGTGCATGCCTATAGTCCCAGCTACTTGGGAGGCTGAGGTGGGAGGATCACTTGAGCCCAGGAATTCCAGGCTGCAGCAAGCTATGACTGCACCACTGGACTCCAGCTTGGGCAACAGAGTAAGACCCTGTATTAAAAATAAAGAAAATGTTTTTAAATTCTCTTCTTTTGAAACAAATTGTTTTACACTTTAGACATGAAGTAGGGCCTCATAAAACTATTTTATGTTGCACTATTCCCACAATCACAGTTTTAAAAAAATCTATTTTAATTCAGGCATGATTAACTGAACTAAAACCAATGACAGCACTATTTAGGTTGGACACCTACAGTGTAAGAATTCAAACATACACAAAGTGACTGACTGCCTTCCTCCACTCCTTTTATTGTCCCTCAGCAAGTGGTGGTGGCTGTTGGCATTTAATGGCCATTTGAAAAAATCCCAGTAGTGTTTTACTATTCACTGGTCACAGGCAGGGAATTTTCCTATCCCCAAAAAACACTGTGGCAAAGCTGAAGGTGATGCTTATATTAATGAATACTTTGGTGAGGTTAACCACTACCATCTCACTAAACTTAATAACAGCCATACTTCCACCTAAACAAACACAGCCTTTTATTCATCTTCCAAATCTCTACACATCTTTGAGTTCGCAGAATGTGCCCAAGGATGCCACAGTGACTATACCTGCAGAATATAATGAGCAACTGTATCTGTGCCAAATGGAGTCCCCTCTCTTTCCAAAGATAAGCAGGCGACTTTCTAGTCAGCTTTTCAGCTTGGCATTGTAGCTGCCACAGCAACCATAGCAACCATTTTATTCTTCTAGACTTTACAGGGCCACGTCTTCATGGGCAAAGCAAAGGAGGAGAGTGGCTTCCTCCCAGGTTGTAGCACAATCAATCACAGATGCACAACTGTACAACTGTAGAAAATGCAGCAGGGGCCAGGAGCGGTGGCTCACACCTGTAATACCAGCACTTTGGGAGGCCGAGGTGGGTGGATCACCTGAGGTCAGGAGTTCGAGACCACCCGGACCAACATGGTGAAACCCCCGCCTCTACGAAAAACACAAAATTAGCCAGGTGTGGTGGTGCATGCCTGTAATCCCAGCTACTTGGGAGGCTGAGGCAGGAGAATCACTTGAACCCAGGAGGCGGAGGTTGCAGTGAGCCGAGATCGTGCCATTACACTCCAGCCTGGGTGACAAGAGTGAAACTGTCTCAAGGAAAAAAAAAAAAAAGAAAAGGAAAAAGAAAATGCAGCAGGAGGGCTGCTTAGAACATAAAAGCTCAGACTTCACTTCATAGTGGTATGGGGTGGGAGGAAGGTGGGGGAATTAAGGGAGGATAAGGGGGAACACCAGACAACCCAACACTATAGACTCTTCAAATAAAAGCAGAGCATGCAATACTGTTCCGATTCTCAAAAAGTTATTTTCCTTTATAGTTTATTATTTTTAATATTCTTTTAAAATTAAAAATAGAGCCGGGGGTTCTTACTATGTTGCCCAGGCTGTTCTTGAACTTCTGAGCTCAAGTGATGCCCCCCCACCTCAGCTTCCCAAAGGGCTAGGATTACAAGCATGAGTCACTGAACCTGGTCAAGAAATTATTTTTGTTTTTCCACATTCCTTGTGGAAGCTTGCCTTCATCTGGAATTTTCTGGCACCAGTACCACTTAAAAACTAGAACTTAGTCATGTGTTATTCTTGTTTAGAATTAGGCAGAAATACTATATTTCTGTTTATGTAGTTTCGGACTGTGTTTTTGTTCCTACTTTATCATTAAGCAAGTTCCCATAACGTCATCATCACATTTAATGGTCAATTCCTTAAATGTACACGGTGCCTCCAACATACAGCCCCATAAAGTCAGCCTGTCCATGGTAGAAATGGCAAGGGTTTTGGAAACACAGACTTGGACTCTAATCTCAGTCCTTTGGCATACTCTGTCATCAAGGCAATTTACCTAAACATTCTGAAATGTAGGTTTCACATCTGTAAAATGGGGAGCTGCTGCAGCTCACAGCATGTTGTAAAATTAAATGAGTATATAAGGCACGGTACCGGAAAGGCTATTCTATGATCTGTAATTACCTTGAGCTCTAAAGATAAGAAAGCAACCTAAAATGATGACATTATTGAAAAATACTTATGATACAGTAGGAACAAAAACACAATATAAAACTACATAAACAGAACTAACTTGATTCTAGAAAAAAATAATAATAAATGGAAGAGCCAGGCACAAAAGGGGCTCATAGAGACTAGCAATGTGCTAGCTCTTAAATTGGAAAGTGGTACCCGTATATTTAGTATTCCTTAATTCATACATATATGTTCCATGCACTTTCGTAGACATGATCTATTTCACACACAAATCTAAGTTAAAAAGAAAGAGCAAAGACACCAAAATGTCTTACTACTTCTATAGAGTAAGGCTGTAAATGGAATTTATTTTTTATGCATTTCTATATTTTATAAGCTTTTTACAATGGATAAGAAAAAAATTTTAAGTTATAGCAATGCTATGCTTAGCCACACAGTCTAGCTATGGGAAGAACATCTCCGTTTCTTAGGTCCCTACCTCTACCAATGAACAAATGCAGCCACTCTAAATCAGTATCTGCATTCATTTTTAATTACTTGGGAGATTGGGAAATGTCTATTCTTTCAGGAAGTGGTAGCATGCAACAGAAGAAAGTAAATAAAGTTCTTCGAGGCTTTTTTTCCCCCTTTCAATAGATTTTATTTATTTATTCATTCATTCATTTTGTTGAGACAGGGTCTCTCTCTGTCACCTAGGTTGGAGTACAATGGTGTAATCACAGCTCCCTGCAACCTCAACCTCCCACGCTCAAGCAATCTTCCTGACTCAGCCTCCCAGGTAGCTGGGACTACAAGTGCATGCCACCACACCCAGTTAATTTTTGTCTTTTTTTTTTAGGGATGAGGTTTCACTATGCTTCCCAGGCTGGTCTTGAACTCCTGGGCTCAAGCAATCCTCTTGCCTTGGCCTCCCAAAGTGTTGGGATCACAGGCATGAGCCACCAGGCCCCAGCAGGATTTTTTTTTAAGGAAATTAACAATTGAGTTCTTACTGTGAGCCTATTCTCTTGGTAACAATTCTGTGAGGCAGCTCTTCTTATTCTCATTTTACAGGTAGCTTAAAAAGGTTAAGCAGCTTGCTCCAGAGTTGAGTTAGTAGGCCGACTAACCATTTTGCACAGCTTGACACTACTATCTTACCTTGAAACTGGAGCCTTTCATCAAATGCTGCTGGGTATGTGTGTGATGCCATGCTTTAAAAAACTGCACAGACAACATGCTAAGGTATTAAAATCTAAGGAACAATTGGCCCAAAGAGCTCAGAGAATTTTATTTTCTGCAACACCTCTCAGGCCCCAAGTAGGGAGGTGATGGTATCTCTCCCCTTTAAGGGAGTTGTTTTATTTCTGAATGGGGAAAGGAGATTTGGACAAGAAGCAACAATACTTTTAATATTGCTTAAGAATAAATCTGCTAAGAGGCCAAGAGGTAAAGCTGCTGTCTGATTCAAAGACAGAGGGGCAGAAAGAGTGAGCCCAGGTGCTTACATTTCAGAAGAAACCCTCTCCAGCACAAAAAAGACAACCAAGTTTATGGCAGCAGATCTGTGTCAGCGTTAGTACCTGAGATAGATTTTGAGAGTAGGTTAGGGGAGACGGCTTCTTGTGTTAAGACAATCATAATTGTGCTATCTCCACTGGTGGCAAATTAGAACCCAAATTCCCTGCCAGGTGGTCAGAATTCAAATCCTTGATGTCACAGTAATGGAAGCCCATCACACATCCCTGCTCTGTTCTTCACTAAACGAATTGCTAATATGTCTGAACAGCAAATCCAAGAGTTTGCCCAAAAGCCACTCTCCTGTTTCTACTATTTTCTTTTCATCCTCTTGCGGGCAAAGCCCCTCATCCCACCCCGTAACAACTCTCCTGTTGGGGGCACTATCTAGAACCCCAGACATCAAGCCAGCTCCCAGGTAACCAAGCCTCAGAGATGTATCAACATTGTCTCTTCCACTGATTCTGAATTATGGGCCTAGAATGCCAGATACTCAGATCCAATGGGCCTTAAGGAGATACACCAGGTAAGCTCAACTAACACCCAGTTGTGCAAATAGCAGTATGCCAAAACCAACATAAACCACATCAGTAGCTGCCATTTACTGAGTGCTTGCAAGGTTTAGGGACGGTTGTAAATTTTCATTTAACCCTAAAAACCCTAAGAGAAGGGAGTCTCCCTATTTCACAAAGGAGAAAACTGAGGCTTTGAAGTTCAGTAACAGCCCAAGGTCACAATGCTGGCATATGAAAGAGCCAAGATGCAAACCGACTCCCTGCTTTTCACCACAGCTCCTGCCTGAGGTTTGGAATGAGGAGGGCTTGGCTCTGTTTCTGTCTCTGCTACAGAAGTGTGACATGACCTCAGGCAAGTCAAGTTATTGAGCCTCAGTTTCCTCATCTGTCAAATGGATATAACACCATCTGCCACATTCCCACAATTTGGATGCATTCAATGAAGAAGAACTACAAAAACATTGAAAAGTCCAGCATTATGCAAATATGTGGCATTCAGAAGAGTGGAAATATGTAGATACTTGTTTATTCAACCCTGCATTCTGAAAAACAATTGGTCCAAGAGAATGCTGAAGCATCTCTCCGTTCTAAATTTGAATATGTATGTCATGCACAATCACAATGTCCATGGTGGGGACTGCACAGGCTTTTTGCTCTTACTATTGTGAGACAGTTAGAATGTTTGTTTTTTCCTTATCCGGGAGTTCCAAACTGTAAGAAGCCCATAACTTAACAATGCCTTGCTAAGTTTTTTCAGTGAGCCAGAAACTTAGGATATGCTGAGTACATGGAATCATAAAATATTTCAAAGTCTAATCACCAAAACACCAACCTCTCCCCACTTCAAGGGCCATAGGTGGTGGCCAGTACACCTGTGTACAGCAGAAAAAAAGGTTCCAAATATTCTTCAGGGCCTCTTAACCCTTGGTTAAGGGTGTGGTCAATCATCCTTCCTTGTCATCTTACAAATGTACCTCCAAACCATTAAATTGTTTTGCATTGTGGTATCGTAATCTCCAACAGCACTCTCACTTTGTCGTTTGCAATACCCATATAATTCTCAGCATTGTTCCTCAACATTCTCCCATACAGAGGAGAGCTGACTGAGCATAACTCCAAGCTAGTGTAAGGAGGGGGAGCCCAGTAGAGAATACGAAGTGCCAAACTTCTCATTTAAGAATGCCAGTGTAAGAACAATCCAAAAATGGCTTTTTTCAATTTAGAAAACAAATGAAAGTTTAAAGCTTGACAATGAATCTGAGTGAAACAAAGCAATGGTTATCTTCACTGAAATGAGTACTTATTATAAACATTGCACAAATAATAAAAGAAAGTTTTACATTTTAGAAAAGATTTTTTTAAAATCACCTTTGCAGGGATATTTCAATTATTCCTTACAAAGCAAGAAGTTTTGAGGTCCTGAAAAGCTCCCTTGGTTGGAAGATATCAGACAGCCACGTTTTCAAAGAAGAGGGCTGTGTCCTCAATAAACTCCAAACCGCAGAAGGCAGCATTAGTGGCTGTTAACAGTTAATATCAGGCAGCACAAAGTGCCTTTATCTTGCTTTCCAATCAGTATTATTAAAATATAAGCCAATATTTTTATCAACCAAATGTTTTGCTAATAGAAAGATTTGGGCCGGGCGCAGTGGCTCATGCCTGTAATCCCAGCACTTTGAGAGGCTGAGGTGGGTGGATCATGAGGTCAGGAGTTCAAGACCAGCCTGACCAACACGGTAAAACCCTGTCTCTACTAAAAATACAAAAATTAGCTGGGTGTGGTGGCATGTGCCTGTAATCCCAGCTACTCAGGAGGCAGAGACAGGAGAATCGCTTGAACACAGGAGGCAGAGGTTGCAGTGAGCTGAGATCGTGCCACTGCACTGCAGCCTGGGCAACAGAGCAAGACTCTATCTCAAAAAATAAATGAAAGAAAAGAAAAAGAAAGAAAGAAAGAGAAAGAAAGAAAGAGAAAGAAAGAAAGAAAGAAAGAAAGAAAGAAAGAAAGAAAGAAAGAAAGAAAGAAAGAAAGAAAGAAAAGAAAGAAAGAAAGAAAGAAAGAGACAGAAAGAAAGAAAAATATTTGGTACGTTTTCCTCTACTGTTTGAAACACATGTGAATATGAATACCATTTGTAGCAAACAGACTCCCTCCGCATGATCCCCCAACAATGTTCACACCTTCGTGTAGGCCCCTCTCCCTGAGTACAGACAGAACCTGTGATTTGCCTCTACCCAACAGTAGATGGCAAGGGGGACAGACTGTACTCTTGTGATTACCTTGCATCATATGAGACTCTGTCTTACTGGCAGACTTGTGCTTTGTCTTTCTCACTCTCCTTTCTTGCTGGCTTTCAAGTGCAAGCTCCTATGAATCCTTCAACCCCAGGAAATACAGTGTTGCTGACCGCCACATGAGCAAGGAACCAGATGCCTTTCTAGCTGAGCCTACAGATGAGAACCCAGTCCCAGTCAACACTTTAAGGCAGCCTTGAGAGACCCTAAGTAGAGGACCCATAAAGCTATGCCCACATTTCTGAGCTAAAGAAACCATTAGATGATAAATATGTAAGCTGCTAAGTTTAGGTAACAGAAAGCAAATATATCATTACCGTAGTCATTCCCTGTAAAGTGAGTAATCACTTCCTAATTCAAGGTTTCCAAGTTTGGTTCTCTTGAAGGAAGTGCCATGCCTCCGCTGAGGGCTGCTCTTCATAAGAAGAGCCATTTGTTCACTGAGCTTCACTCTGTGCTAAGAGCTTTGTATACACTTACCTCAACAACCTCAACACTACCTGATACGGTTTGGATGTCTGTCCTCTCCAAATCTCATGTTGAAATGTGATTCCCGGTGTTGGAGGTGGGGCCTGGTGGGAGGTGATTGGATGATGGAGGCAGATCCCTCAAGAATGGCTTTGTGCCATCCCCTTGGTGATAAGTGAGTTCTCACCCAGGTAGTTCATGCAAGATCTGGTTGTTTGAGCTGGGACCTCCCCCTTCTCTCTCCCTCTCCTGCCATGTGGTACACAGGCTACCTCTTCACCTTCCGCCATGATTGTAAGTTCCCTGAGGCCCTCTCCAGAAGCAGATGCAAGCACCGTGCTTCCTGCATTGCCTGCAGAACCATGAGGCCATTAGACCTCTTTTCTTTATACATTACTCAGCCTCAGGTATTTCTTTATAGTGACTCAAGAATGAATTAACACACTACCCCACAATGGTCCTGTGAGGAGAGGGATGATGGTTATACTCATTTCAAACACCCTTCTCCTTCCCAGACTCTACTCCTGCCAGCTGGTCCCTGGCAGCCCAGCAAGGCCTTCCCTCTGCCCTCCAGGAACTGAGTCACCTGAGCAATTCTGTCCCTCTAACCAAAAAGTGCCTAATAGACCAAATTGATCATGATAAGTCCATGTCCTACCTAACAGGCTCATGCCCTTGGACACAGCTCACTGTTAAACTATCAAACACCACGTAAAAGCATGAACATGCAGAGCAGACCGTTTGTGCTCTAGGCTGGTGCCTCTGAGTGTGGGTTCAACCAGTGCTTCTCAACCATTTTCATTACTGTACTCACCCTGAGGATATTTTTATAACATAGATATATTGTATATCTATTTATTGTATATCTTTTATATATAGGTATGTATATCTGTGCTTTATACATTTAAATAGGGTTTTTAAAATTTATGTATTTATGTATTTATTTATTTATTTTTGCCTTCTAAGAACCAATGTTTACCTCCTGCAGGGAGATACTGCCTCCACTGACAAATGGGTTATGTAATGAAAAGAAAACACCCTCACAGTCTAAATGGAAACTTTCCAGCTGGGAATTTAAAAAGGTCCCAATTCACTTTTGAAAGTTACTTATAAGATGGCAGGCTAGCTAATTAAAAGTTATCCAAAGGTTTGCACATGTCGACGTTCTCTGTTCTGATTTCCTGAATCTTCTTCAACAGCTTTCTTTAATGGGGAGGAGGTAGGGACAAGGAGGGTTGAGTGTATATGTGTATGTCAATGATGCATGTGTGCACAGGAAAAAAACAGGCTAGGTGACAAGACCAAAACAAAACAAAACAAAACAAAACAAAAAACAACAACAACAAAAAACTAAAAACCTTCTGCGGTGTGGTCCTTTTAGGAATTATTCTTTTCCATCTTGTATTCTATCATGTGCTTTTATTTAGCATTTTGTGCTGTGTGTGTTTAGTTCTCGAATTAAGAGGCAACAGAATGCTGAGGGCATGTACAATTGTGGGGGTATCTGAAATTCCCCCAAGATAATAATGATGGAGAACTTGTCACTGTTGTTAGGAATAAGTGGAATGCACCCAGACCATGCAAGCC
The DNA here is from genome assembly GCF_000001405.40 of Homo sapiens. Lineage (NCBI taxonomy): Eukaryota > Metazoa > Chordata > Mammalia > Primates > Hominidae > Homo > Homo sapiens. The sequence goes on along the minus strand of NC_000005.10, from coordinate 76,494,414 downwards.
AGAGAACCAGTGGACCTTATCCTCTGGTTACAACATTTTTATCCTCCACTTTAGCCTTGCAGATTACAAATCGTTTCTAATATGTGACTGAACCCTTTTGCCACATTTCTTTTATTTGAAAAGTCGCTTTCAAATTTTCTTTTCTAATTATTGTGCCCATTTTATAGAACTCTGCTCTAAGAATTTCAAAGAGAAAATACGTCATTTGAAGAAAACAAATAACAGGTAAAATATACACCTGGCCCTTCGTATCTGTGGGTTCTGCATCTGTGGATTCAACCAACTGCAGATCAAAACTAACAAGACAACAATAAAAAAAATACAAATTTAAAGAACAACACAGTAGAACAACTATTTACATAACATTTACATTACATTAGGTATTATAAATAATCTAGAGATGATCTAGCATATATGGGAAGATGTGCATAGGTTATATGCAAATACTACATCACATTATAGCATGGACTGGAGCATCTGTGGGGGCTCCTGGAGCCAATTCCCCGAGGATACCAAGGGGCAACTATATTTGGAATTTAGGCTGTGACAGGATCAACCTTTCTTTCTCATAAACAAAATCCACTTGGTAGTGGGGAAAAGTTAACTAGGCCGTACTAGTAAGAGCAAATAAATTACAAATCATTCGACAAATATTGACTGAGCTTCTTCTTTGTACCAGGCACTGTTCTAGACATTTGAGACACATCGTTAAACAAAACAGAAGCTGATTCCTGCCTTAAAGAGCCTACCAAATAAAAAGAAAAAAAATCACTAAATTAATTAATTCCAAAAAAAGAGCCACCTATGGGGTGGGGGGAGCAGTGTGGAGGATCTGACAAGAAACAACAGCAAATGACACATCATGGCAGAAGGTAATCAGTCATGACAACAAAAGGTAGGACAGGGTCAGAGGGGTCAGAAGGGCCAGGGTTAGGGCTGGGGGACAGGTTACAATTGTAAATAGGGTGGTCAGTGACACTTCAGCAGACTTCAAAGAGGTGAGAAATCAGACATGGAGACACACAGGGAAGGAGGGGCCTTGGGGAGCTTTATAGGGGTGAGAGGAACAGCAAGGAGGCCAGTGTGCTCAGAGTGGCTGGGCTGAGCAGGAGATGAGGCCAGAGGGGTGGTGAGGGGCGGGCGGGGCCCTGTGGATCTTCATGAGGACTTTGGCTTTTACTCTGGGTGCGACGAGAGCCACCGTGAGTGTGGGGAAGAGAAGTGACGCGATCTGACTTAAGATTTAAATGGATCACCCTGGCTGCCATGTTGAGAACAGAGCAAGTGGGGACAAGGGAAGCAGCAGGAGACCAGTTAAAAGGGACTGAAGTTGACAGCATCAGGGAGATGTCCGGTTAAGTGACTAGAGCAGCACAGGCAGCATTGTTTGTTTCACTGTGAACAAAGCCCAGATCTGCAATCCACGATCTGCACATCCTGTGACTATGCTGGTACGCATATCAGTCAACCAGCATCCTTATCACCTCCTATGGATTTTCCTTCAGGTTGGAATCTTCTCACTAGAAACGTGACAACTAAGGTGATTTTGTTTTCATGCCCCTTTCTCCTCAAGGGACACTACTCATCACAGACTCTCCATGGCCTGGCACATGGGACTCACTTTGTAGGATGAGTGAAGAGCGGACTGTGTCTTGGGTCAGGATGCTCCCTGCCTAGACTACTGCAAAAGTCTCCTTCTCTGCCCAGTATTCCTCTGCTTTCATCACTAGACTGTTTGCTCCCATTTCTTCAAAGTTACAAAACCTTCACACACTCTTCTGTACGTCAGGATAACACCCAAATATCTTTAGCCTAGCAATCAAGGCTCTCCGTAACTGGCTTCTGGGATTCCTTTCTTCCTTCCCTCCCACTGCTAATTCCAGAACAGGAAATCTCTGCTCCAACCTTTTGCCCAAATACCTTGCTCCTTCTCAATGCTAATCTTTTCCTTGTGCTCCTCCTCGTTCCTTCACCCCAGCTTATGGAAATCCTATTCATCTTAAGGCAATATCCCAGTGCTACCTTTCCCTTTAGCCTCTGACCGCTACCAGCAAGATGCTTGCTCCCACTCTGCCTTCCAGGGACAGGAGGCCTGAGCCGTCCGGCACCTCACACTCCAGAGAACATGGCCTGAAAGCAGTCCACAGGTGCATGCTGTGCTCTGTTTCACTTCACAACTCCTCTGCCTAGCAGCACAGCAACCTTCCTCAGGTACATGCCTGATTTCCCCACCCTAGGTAAGAACTACTGGGGCCAAATGCATCTCAAACTTCTCCGAATCCCTTTTCACAACCTCAGCAGATTCATACAGTTGATCAACATTTACTGATAACCTGCTTATGATGTTATTACTAAGGTCATGAACAGGGCTGTGTCTCACTGCAGCCTTTCTATGACATGGGAGATGGCAGGTGAGCAAACCAAAAAAAAAGGTGGACTGGGTGTTCCAGGAGAATCGAGAGGAGACAAATCAGTAACTCTGGGCATGTGGAGCCATGGGAGGTGCAGAACAAATGCCAGGGAGAACTTCTGGAGATGAAGGTACAACTCAAAGGTCCTAAGAGTCTTGTGAGTTATGCAGGGCATTTAAGGTGAGGGGAGCAGCATGTTCCGAGACATATAAATTAGGCAGAGAACCACAGGGTACTTGCTTTGCCTGGAGGGTGGTAGGTATGTGAGAGAAGAGAAAAAGAGGACTGAACAACCAACAGGAGCCAGGTATTTGCTGACGGCTATCAGAGGCTAAAAGCACATGTCAGGAAAAGAGAAAAGTTATGGGAAGATGAGAAACATCAAGAAATCCTGCATATCGGCCAGGTGCGGTGGCTCACGCCTGTAATCCCAGCACTTTGGGAGGCCGAGGTGGGAGGATCACTTGAGCCCAAGAGTTTGAGACCAGCCTGGAAAATATAGTGAAATCTTATCTCTACAAAAAATAAAAAATAATAATAAAAAAGAAATCCTGCATACCTCTCAAACAGATAAAAAGCCCTATAAAACTGTAACACTGTTACCAATTCTATTTAGCACAACTCACAGAAACATCTATTAAATCAGTATATTTTCACATTATTTAATTAAAGGAAGTATGAGGGAAAAAGGCATCTTCCTAATCTTTCCACTGTATTCCATCTACTAAGACTTTTTCAAGGTTTAGCAAACAAAACACACCCAGAGAGCCAGTGCTAACCATTCAGAGAAGCATCAACAAGAACATGAATAGTTTCATCATGTTTATACAAACACATCATAAAACACAGCAAGGACAACATGCAAGACAGAAACAATCTTCCAGGAAGTAGAGGAAGTGAGAGCATTTTAAAGCACATGTCAATTATGACACATTTATTACTATGTAAAGATGCAATAATGCCATGAAAGTTTCCAGCTGATAAACCCAAGGACTCAAAAAAAAAAAAAAAAAAAAGATGAAAATCTCCAATGCTACATATTCTAAATGTCATATTCATTTTACTGGGCTTTCCTTTTAGGGGTGCCAAGGAATATGCTTTTAAACTTGAATATTTAAAGAAAAATGCTCAAGGTTGTTCAGCCCTTTGGTCCTACAGCCTTAATCTGTTCAGCTTAAATACATTCTGCCACACAGATTCCATAGTATTTTTTTTTAACATAATGGTATTTTCGTGTTTGAAAGTCACAATAAAAATAAAGTGGTATCCAGCTGAAAAATTTTAAAAGGCCCTATAACCTATACAGTTCCTTGCTGGGTGTTATAACAATGACAACAAAATAGCTTTTTTCTCATAGCCACTATTATGTTTTGAGCTACATTTTGGCCAGGCCGCCCCACTTGAGTGGGACCTTAGGGTTTTATATAGTTATTGTTGAATCTTTCATTCTCTCCACATCCACTGCACTGCTCCTAAGTCCTAATGGTCTCTAAAAGCATTCCAAACAAAGGACATTAATTTTATTTTTAGATTTAAGTCACTATTTGATAAATGCCTTAAGGTAGTTCATAAATGGATAAGGAAACAAATAAAAATGGGCATTCCAGGGTGATGGCGGTTTATTAACTCAGAAATTAAATCCAGATATGAAGTTATCCTTCTCCCCTCAAAGTACCAGCAATCCCACACTGGTAAAATTCCTGAGAATACTGCATATTGTTAGATATGCAAGCTCCTAGAGTAGACCAGAGTTGCCTAAATGAATCATCCTCAATCTTGTTGCATACTAAAAAAAGAGATACCAGGAGAAAGATTTTCTCTTCAATGCTTGTAACATAAAACCTGTCTTCCTCCTGAGAAGTCCGCAAGAATGAAAACGGGTATAAGGCAATTTACATTTCAATGAAAAGCACTGCTTAGAGTGAATTGTTATTTCCAACCGGCACTCTCAATTTGAGGCACACATTTGAAATACCATGGTGAGCTGCCAACAGAACTCTCTTCACATACTGTGTCAAGGGCTAAGAAATTTCCTTGCAGCCAGATTAACAAAGTAAAGTGAATGTGAGTGGTGAAGTCCGCAGTGTGCATATGTGTGGTGTGGACGTGGAGTGTATGTGTCTGACAGGGGAGGTGAAAAGGGAAATGAGAAACAGGAGTCAGAAACAATCCTCATAAAAACAACAGCTTAATTCAGATTTTATCAAGATAAACTATTATTTTTAAAAGTGTATGTGGGCTGGACATGGTGACTCACGCCTGTAATCCCAGCACTTTGGGAGGCCAAGGCGGATGGATCACGTGAGGTCAGGTGTTGTAGACCAGCCTGGCCAACAATGGTGAAACCCCATCTCTACTAAAAAAATCCAAAAGAGTTAGCCTGGCATGGAGGTGTGCACCTGTAGCCCCAGCTACTTGGGAGGCCGAGGCACAAGAATTGCTTGAACCTGGGAGGCGGAGGTTGCAATGAGCCGAGATTGTGCCACTGCACTCCAGCCTGGGGGACAGAGCGAGACTCCATCTAAAAAACAAACAAACAAACAACAAAAACAAAAAAGACTGCATGTAGAAGAGGTCAGGGATGGGGGTGGGGTGGCGAGATGAAAGGACATCTTTACTGGAAAAAGATATTTTCCTAAAAAAAGTTACTTCTTGGCCTGAGAAGTGACAGAAAACAAAGGTGTCAGCTCTAGTAGACAAAACTATAGAGTTGTAATCAGGAGATACAGCCTCCAGAGACACTCACTGGAAGGACTGTGTGCAGACTCTGGACTGCAGGGACCAACCTGCTCCCACCAGGCAGGCTCTCCAGATCGGCTCATCCATAGGTCAAACTGTTCACCTGCGTGTTCCATGGAACCCTACCACTGCGAGGCACGGAGGGAGAGAAGACAAGGCTGTGTCAAGCGCAAGCTGGGAAGGAGTTTAGAACACAGTGGAAGAACAAGGAGCTGGGAGCCTGGCTTTACATCTGGGGTCAGCCTTTTCCAGTCGTGTGACCCTGAATGATTACTGAACCTCCTACCTGAAGGGAGGAACAACACCTACATCACAGGACTGCTGTGGGGGCTGGACTTAACAGTGGATAGGACAACTCAGCCGGGTGCTTGGCCTTTCAAGGTATGATATTTATTAGCTCCCATCTGTCCTTCCCAAGCCCGCACACCAAGAGAATCTGAAAGCAGAAACTTTTGCCTCTGTTTTAGAAGCTAACAGATGGCTAATCTTCCTAATATAAGCTGGTGGATTAGTCCGGCCATTACAGGGAAAGGGCAAACCTACAACCTCTCTCCTTGAGGCAACACGTACCTTGTATCTTCGTACCTCCCTTACTGAAGCAAAACCTGATCAAACTGTTCAAAGAAATGACTCGCATAAACAAGATGAACCCTCAAAAGATGAATTATTGAATCTCAGTTTCTCTGACCTTTCCCCAAATGGATATGTTTTTAGATCAGAAGAATTTTATTCTAGAAAGTTGACCTTGTAGTTTATTGTTATTCAGAAGCACAGAATCTTTCGCAGGGAACTTGATATTTTATCCTACACTGCTCCCCTAGGTCAATCTTAAAAGATAGGCATTCATTATAAACTGAAAACCAAGAAAAAAACAACCAATAATTTTTTTAAAAAAAGAATATTTAATCTATAAGAGAAGGATCTGACCTTAGCTTGATCAATAGAACTTGATTAACAGATACCACAGACAAATGTCACACTTTGATGCCAAAGAGTAAGCTAATTTCTCACTAACAAGAATTTCTCCTTCCCTTCACCTCACATTTATAATAATTTAAATGAGGATTAGGAATTGACAGCTATCAGTTACCAAGTCCCAAGGAAACTGTGCTCACTGCTAAAACAGTTTTTGTATCCATTATTACATCCAGTGCTCACAGCAGTCCTATGACTTGGTATCATTCCCCAAGAAAACCACAGATGAGAGGCTCAGTGATCATTCAAGGTCACATGAACGGCAAGGGGTGATCCCCAGATGTGAGGATAGGCTCCCATGTCCTACAACTCCAGTCAGCCCTAAACTCCTTTCTGACTAGGGCCTGATAAAGCTTATTCCTTGTCCCCAGTCATGGCTTCCCAATATGGTTCTACCATTTTGAATTTTGAAAAGGACTGGACATATTCCATGTGTCTGAGTATTCAAACATGTTTTCTGACCCACTGCTTCAGGACAGCTTTGGGCTCTGTGTTCTGGAGGTGAGCTGTGCCAGGACAGAGTGGAGAACAGACAGATGCAGTGTCTGGCCAATGCACCCCTACCCCATGTAGGAAAAGACCCTGCCCCCCATTCTCTAACCTCGCTGCATAAAAAAAAGCACATACATGTGCCTGAGCACCACTGCATGCAGATCTGCCTGGAGGGGTGGTGAAGTGGAGGAGGGAAGCTGCCTTATGATGAAGTGTTAGAATGGCTAGACTCCAATATCCACTTTGCAACATCTACAAACTTGAATTTGCATACCAATGTACAAATAAAAGCCAACTTCAATTAATAAATAATACTATAAAGATAAACTTTTTTCTTACAGTGATCCTAAGTGTAAGATCCGCATCCACATCCCCCCATTCAAACTGACAATATGGAGTACCAATAGACGCGGTGGCTCACGCCTGTAATCCCAGCACTTTGGGAAGCCAAGGTGGGCAGATCACAAGGTCAGGAGTTTGAGACCAGCCTGGCCAACATGGTGAAACCCTGTCTCGACTAAAAATCCAAAAATTAGCTGGGCGTGGTGGTGGGCACCTGTAATCCCAGCTACTCAGGAGGTTGAGGCAGGAAAACTGCTTGAACCTGGGAGGCGGAGGTTGCAGCGAGCTGAGATTGTGCCACTGCACTCCAGCCTGGGTGACAGAGCAAGCCTCCATCTCAAAAAAAAAAAAAAGAAAGAAAGAAATACCAATAAACATTTACACAGCAATCAAAGTGTGTAAAAATGTCACTATTATATATTACATTAAAAAAACACTATTGTGCTTAAAACAGTGTTTGGCATGGATCAAATGCTCAGTTATGATAAATGCAGGTGACTAAAATATTAAACATCATATATTCTAGATAGTCCTCAGGTTAAATGATTAGTAAACTCCTAGGTAAGAAAATGTGCCTAGGACAGATATAAAAAGGAAAATAAATGAGAAACAGTTCACTTATTACTTATAACTGAGCTTGTAATGGTGGCTACAGTGTCAAACAAAACAAAACAAAACAAAACTCTGAAGAAGTTTAAATTCAATGATCTTTTTTATGATATTTAGATATACAATCAGCTTCTTTTACATGGGTGTTGTCACTTTTAAGGGTGTGATAACATTCATTTTATTAAAGAAATCCTTTTTTAAAAAAAAAATCACTGAATTGGCAAAATAACTTGAATTTGTTTAGGAAAAACTTCCCCCTAGTCATCTGACAGGCCTTCAGCGCTATTTAAGCAAAGTCAAATAGAAGCATCTAACAGGTTGATAACCGTGCTTAAGGTCTGAAATTGATGAAATTTATGTGTTGAGGATGAAAATGAGTTTATTTCAACATAAAGCAGTATATTAATATAAGCCAGAAACATCACTAACATTATAATCTAATACATGGTAAAATCATTTGATGAGGGGACATAAAACTGGGCAGAATTTTAAATCCATGTTTTGGAGACCCAAACAAAATCTAAGCTTTATTTATGTACAGGGCAAACATGCTGCAACCAAATGAGATTTATTTATTTAAAAGATGGCTAAAAATTCCCATGATAAGCTTTTCAAACTATAACCTTTTGCACTTTCAGTCCTTGGCAACTTTCTTCATGAAGGTTCAGCTGAACACCTTTATACCAAAGCAAATTCTTCTTCTACATTTTAAATGAAATCTACTGTTCAAGCATATTGCTCTTTGCATTAGGAACATTCTGAATTTCACCAAAGTTACCATAGCAACTATCATTAATTGGCCCTTGGCTGGATTTTTAAGGGGAGAAAAAGGTGAATCTAAACATCAAGGATCAAGTTTTTACAAAAATTAAAACCAGAAAAATTGTATGTGCTGAGGAAGTCATTGAAAATCTTCCTACTAAAGCTGTGGAAAAAAATAAAATTAAGACTCAAAGTTAAAATGTACTTGAAATATGTCAAATATATAAAATACAATTGGAAAAGGTCACCCTTCCTCCCATCCAGAAGCTACAGAGAACAGGACAGACCCAGCAGTGCATACCTGCTCTCTCCCTAGAGCCACACCTGGGGGGCTGTACAGAATGAGTGCCTGGCCAAGGATGACACACTCAGGATCTGTCCAAGTCCAAACAGCAGCTCTGACACCCAACTCTGGCCACTTCTCCAATGACTACATGGACATTCAACTCCCCATGTGTGGCCTGTACTACACAAAGATATGATTTCTACAAAACCTCCAAACACTAGGACCCACTTAGGACTTTAAGAACTAACCCATGCAAATGCAAATACTGGGTGGTTTTCAATGTAACCAAGGAAAACTCCAAGGAAACCAAAGAAAAGTATAACCAAGGGGGGAAAAAAGGTTTGTTTACTCGCTATTGCAATTAAAATACAGCAAAAGAAAAATTCTGTCCTCACTACACCACAGCAAATCAGAACCTAAAACTAAAGCAAAGACATTTTGAAGCTATTTATAGATAATATTTTGCCATATGTGAATATGTTGTTTAGTAAATCTTTATGTGTCAAAAGAGCTCCAAATATTCCACAAAAATATACTTACCGAAGAAGCATGGTCATCCAGAGAATTGGGTTCTGGCCTGGGCTCTGGATATAGGCTCAGCTCTCTTCCCTCTGTGCCCATTCGCACCCTACCTCGAGGTGTTATAGGGAAAGCAGGTATGAAAATGATTTTGAAAAAAGAAGGCTGGACACCATAGCTCACACCTCCCAGCACTTTGGGAGGCCAAGTCAGAGGATTGCTTAGGAGCTGGAGACCAGACTGGGCAACACAGGAAGACTCTGTTGCTTCAAAAAATTAAAAGCATAGCCAGGCATGGTGGCATACACCTGTAGTCCCAGCTACTCACAAGGCTGAGGCCGGAGGATCCCTTCAGCCCAGGTCAGGTCTGCAATGAGTCGTGATCATGCCACTGCACTCCAGCCTGGGTGACAGAGTGAGACCCCGTCTCAACAACAACAATAACAACAATAACAAAAAGAGAGAGAGAGAGAGAAATGAGGCCACCTGTAATCCCAGTGCTTTTGGAGGCTGAAGTGGGAGGACTGCTTGAGTCCAGGAGGTCAAAGCTGCAGTGATTAATGATTGAGCCACTGCACTCCAGCCTTGGTGACAGAGCAAAACCCCGTTTCTTTTTTTAATTTTTTTATTATACTTTCAGTTCTAGGGTACATGTGCACAACGTGCAGGTTTGTTACATAAAGACCCCGTTTCTAAAGAAAAAAAAATTTTTTTTAAAGGAAAAGTGCTTCATAGCCCGATATATTTAGTGATTGCTTTATAGGATGATGCAGAAAAGAACCCTCTGCCCAACATTCTGACACTTAAAAACATGATGGGGGAACACCCCATAAAGGAGGAATGAACACAGTACTCTCAAGTGGGAAGCAGAACAGACAAGTGGAGACCAGCTAGCACTAAGACAGCCCTCCCCACCTGAGGGGCCACCTGTCACAACCTGCGCCCCCACATCTGCAATGGCAGCTGGACTAGGTTATTCCTTGTAACCCTGAGAAGGTGTTGACACCTGACTAAAGCCACTTTCCTCATAAGCCTTCACAACACATGAAATTACATGCTCTATTTTGAGTTCTTTGAAGTTTCGTTTGCTCTTTCTATGGGGCTTAGCTTAAATTTAGGTTTTAAAGCAAGATTCTTCCAAAGAAATGTCTGGGGCCCAAGCTGGAAGTCATTTTAACCACCACACCGAGAACCTGCTGGACAGGAAAAAAAAAAATGAACAATGAGAGTCTCCGCCCTCAAAAAATGTGTATCCCTAACATCCTGAAGTCAGGAAGGCTTCTCTATTTGATTCACATTGCGTCCCCTAGTTCTTTAGGGGAATTCTAGAAGGCTTCTCAGGAAGAAGGAAAAGCTATTATTCCCTTGACCCTTGCCTATCCTGTGGCTCTTCCCAGGGGCCTCTGAGAGGCTAAGGAGCTGTCTGTTTAGAGTCCTCTCCCCATCCCCCCAATTCTGCTTGGCTGGCATGGGGTGGGGATGGAAAGAAGAGGCTGCAGGACTAGCATAAGAGAACAAAATTATAAATCTGGCACTTAGCAAGAGCAGACACACACATATCCCAACCCATGGGGGAGCTGAGGTGAGCCTAAATTAGCTTTATTTCAGGAGAGGTGCCGTCCTACTGCAGTGCTCCGGGTGGCCAGGAGAAAACCTGCAGCCTTTTATGTGCTTGACTCGAAAACACCCAGTCTACGTGCTGCCCACATCACCTGTAAGAGCCAGTGACTTAACATCCAGCCCTATCCAAGATGGTAGGTTAGAGAATCAACATTTTGACCACCTTATTTTTCTTTCTGAAGGAGATGCCAGTTGTTCCAATACGAATTATATTTAAAAGCTGAATTTGCTGGGCCAATATTGCTCCAAGTATTTCCTTGATGGATGCTTTCTTTACCTTGTAAATGTATAATTAACCACATGCATATACTTCTAGGTTTAAAAAGAGGTCTCCTACTCTCCCGGTGCTACAACAGAGGGGCCTGTATCTGGTATTGAGAATATTGTTTACAGAAGGAAGATTCCACTTCTAGGTTGTTCCAATGTACTTATTCTTCCCTGCATAAACCTACTCCACCTCTATTTATGCTATTCAGGAAGTAAACGTGCAAACACTATCAATAAAAAGCAGCTGAAGGCGCACATTCTTTGACTCTAATTAAGTTGGGCTGCCTGATTCACAGCTGTTCCTACTACTGAAAATGTTTTTCATAATAAACAATGGAGCTTAAGAGGTATTTTATTCCATGTTTCCACACTTTACAATTCATAGCAATGTAGCGCTTAATTTTTAGGCTGCTTTTCACATCATAATGCTGGGATATAGGTGTGAAAGGTGTTCCTGGACCCATTTCATAAATTCAGAAGTTGAGCCACAGAGACAGTGCTTTGCTCAAGGCCACTCAGGCACTAACAGAACCAGGACTAGGAAAAATAAATCGACTATGGTTCATACATTGTTTGAGAAGAACAAAAGCAGCATGTTACCTCCACACATTTCAGTCAAGGCTACATTGAGCCTGATAATTTTATTTGGATAATGCTGCTCTGATAACCAAGGGGCTATATTTTCTATTGTTTCTGCAGCTGTACACAATGAATAACTGAGCCTTGATTTTCCTGTGGATAAAATTTGGACAGTGTTTGCCTGGGTAGAAAGAGAACATCCTTCCTGGCCTTTATAACAGTAGAGACTTTGTTTTTAGTCCTGGGTATTAACATGTCGATATTGGGCCACCCTCTTCCTTCTGTATGTACTATCCTCTTCTCCCTCCAGCACCACCCTTATGAAATTAGGTAGTGTGGGCATGTCTTAATTTAATTCCAATGACTCTAAAATAGGTGGCCAATCTTGTCACAGTCCATCAAGTCCTTTATTAAGAGAAAAAGACAAATGCAACATGGATTTGCTGCCATCAGAGACACCTACTGACCAAGAAGTAATTTTTCATCACCACTTTATAAGCATATATTTTGGTTATTTAACTTCAGGAACAAAGCAAGAGGCTATCAGAAGCAGAGGCTGAGGTGGCTGGAATCACCATTTCTTCTCTACAAGCTCTTCCTGCAAAGATGCCACGCTATCATCCACTCACCCTGGGAAAAGGTAAGGCAGGTGCACAGGACAGAAGAAAAAGAATGCATCCCATGCGCTACTTGTATTTGCGTAAGTACTTGGTGAGTTTCTCCTTTCTGTTGTAAATTTTTCCTGTTTCTCCTTTCTGTGGTAAATGTGAATATGGGAAGAAAACTAAGGGAGAAAAAAGTTAAGTGCACCTCATTGGTAAATTCTCTGTTTCTATTCTCTTAAAGCTTTAATTTGCCTCCTAATACATGAAACACAACCCTGTAACCTTTCTTGCTTCTTCCTGGAATAATCAGAAGATCCCTAAGAGGCTCCTGTTAGACTAAGGATCAAGAATGCAGGGCCTATTCTCTCCAACATGGCAGCTTCTAGCCCCATGTAAGTATTAAACACTTGAAGTGCAGCTAGTCTGAGCTGCAGTGTCCTGTAAGCGTAAAATACACATCAGTTAGTAAAGACTTAGTATAAAATAAAGGACAGTAGCATATCTCATTAATATTTTTGTACATTGGATCGGGTGTGGTGGCTCATGCCTGTAATCCCTGCACTTTGGGAGGCTGAGGCAGGCAGATCATCTGAGGTCAGGAGTTCAAGACAAGCCTGGCCAAAATGGTGAAACCCTGTCTCTACTAAAAATACAAAAAATTAGCTGGGTGTGGTGGCACACTCCTGTAATCCCAGCTACTCAGGAGACTAAAGCCGGAGAATTGCTTGAACCCAGGAGGCAGAGGTTTCAGAGAGCCAAGATTGTGCCACTGCACTCCAGCCTGAGCAACAGAGCGAGACTCCATCTCGAAAAAAAAAAAAACTTTTTTTGTACATTGATTATGTATTAAAATGACGTTTGGGATATACTAGGTTAAATAAAATACATTAAAATTATTTCACCTGTTTTTCTACTTTTTTACTGTGGCTAGTAGAAAAGGTAAAATTATACATGTGGCTCCTGTTATATTTCTATATAGAGGACAGCCCCGGTAGAGACAATATTGTCAGTTCCCATATAAGGCTGCTGCTATGGCCTGAATGTGTGCCCCCAAATTCATATGTTGAAACTTCATCACCATTGTGATAGCATTAAGAGGTGGATCCTTTAGGAGATGATTAAGTCATGAGGGCAGAGCTCTCATGAATGGGATTAGTGACCTTATAAAAGGGCTGGAGGGAACTAGGTAGGGCCTTATTGACCTTCCTTCCATCACTTCCACCAACGGAGGATGCAGCTACAAGATGCCATCTTGGAAACAGATAACCAGCTGGTATGGGACACCAAACCCACCAGTACTTTGATCTTGGACATTCAGTCTCCAGAACTGCGAGAAACAAATTTCTGTTCTTTATAAGTTACTCAGTCTCAGGTACTCTGTTATAGGGGCACAAGAGACTAAGACAGCTGTGTGCCCAGGGATGCACAAAAAATTCTCTCACATCCTCAGTCAAGGTACACCATTATTTCATTTACATGACAACTCACTTCTTTCCCCCTGCAAAATCCCCTAGGAACTGTAGCAGACATGGTAAGAATTGACACATTGGGGCTGTATTTGGGGAGACAAGATAACATACAGAACAATAATATGGAAGTTGCCTATGTATATGAGACACAAAAACACTGAGCTTCCTCCATCTGCTATTCTGTTATACATGACACAGAAGTGATATGGACAGTAAGTGCTAGGGGCGTTCAGAAGAAAAATTACCACTATTTGGGTGACCAAGAAATCTGCAGAGAAAAGATAAGCTCTGGGTTCATCTATGAAGACCAGGTAGACTTTAAAAGGAGTAAAATGATAATTGAGGGAGAAAGGAATAAGAAAACTATTCCAGAGAGAGGGGATTAGCAAAAGTATGGCTGCGAGAAAGAAGGGCCATGTTTGAGAGAAGAGGACCTCCTCTCCACCCAGTCCCTTGAGCTCAGCTCCATCCAGAACAGAGGGTATGTGAAATATGTGCCTTATCCCTCAGAGGACACATATTTGCTTCTCCCTGAGCAGGCTGACATTAATCTGAGGCACACAGACACCCCACTGAGTGAAGTTCTGAGGCAGAGAAGTCAAAGTCTCTGGTGACACTCCCTGCCCAGCCCCCACCTACACAAACAGCTCTGTGGGTGCGTAAAGTGGCACAAATGTCCCTTCAATTCTCTTCCTCCCACACTTAAACCATATCGCTCCTCCCTTCTCCTTGACTGAGCCTGACAACTTCTCCTTTGTTCTTTGTCATCATCCAGCCTGGGAGACACATCAGGAGTAAGAAAATAATACTCCATCTACTTCTTCCTTCTATCAGTCTCTCAAAACCAACACACACACACAGTTCTACACCACACACATGAGTTTATTTATAATTTGACTTAGCCACAAGACTTCTGAATATCATTTAAGTCTGCTGAACCTTTGTTAATTCATCCTTGAACCTGTCTTGTTGGTGTGTTTCAGATTGCAGGCAGTTCTGATGCATAAAAAGCCTACTTAAATCTATTTGTGCAGAACACATCGTCAGGGGTTGAGGGGCTCCATTTGCACAGAGGTCCTTTAAAATCCCTATTTCATAATGTCATCAGCACAGAGCAGCTGCTAGACAAACTATCCCACTGAAATGGAAGGGTGAGGAGCACCCGGTCCTATGTATTCAAAATTGTGAGAGGGATGGCACGTGCTCCCCTAAATGTCTGTGAGTAACAGAGGATATGTGGAATTCAGCCATTTCCACCACACAACACCTTGCTGCCAAGCACAGCCAGCTGGTCTGTGTTCCCCAAAGCGATCCATGCAATTGAGAATGAAAATCATTCAAAGGCTATCCAACAGAATCAGCGTCCCTCACAAAGCCTCTCTAGACAAAAGCACAGGGACAAGAAGCCTAAGCCAGAACTTCTGAGATCACAACACTCACTCAGGCAAAGCAACCTAGCACCCATTCTGCACAGGCCCCGTGCAAGGCAGTGGGGTACAGCGAGTGAGAATGTCTTCCTCAGGGAGCTCCCTGACTGCTAAGAGAGGACAACACATGGAGAAAGCTACCATAAAGCATACTATGCACAGTGGAAGCAGGACAGGGACCTGAGGCATAACTGAGGAGAGAACGATCAACCATGGCGGGAAGGCGGAGGCGGTGTAAAAGGGGTGAGTATGGGCTCCTGGGCCAGGCTCAGGAGGTGCCCTTCCATGATCCTGCAGGGAAAACGGAGCCTATGAAAGTTGTGAGCAGGGAAAGGCCTAACTAAACACCTCCTGGTTTCTCCCAGATGGTACAATAAACCCCAAGTATGAACTAGGTACAGAAAATTAAAATTAATGTTCTTCCTCCCAGAGATGCCTAGGAAGCAGCACCTAGTGCGGTCATGTATCACTTAATGAGGGAAATGTGTTCTGAGAAGTATGTCATTAGGTGATTCCGTCATTGCGCAAACATCACAGAGTGCACTTAAACAAACCTAGATGGTACAGCCTTCTACACACCTAGGATATATGGCCTATTGCTCCTGGGCTACACACCCATACAGCATGTGACTATACTCAGTACTGTAGGCAGTTGTAGCATGGTGGTATTTGTGTATCTAAACATAAAAAGGGGGCCCGGCCTGTAGCTGGGATTACATGTGCGCACAACCACGCCTGGCTCACGCCTGTAATCCCAACACTTTGGGAGGCCAAGGTGGGCGGATCACTTGAGGACAGGACTTGTGTCACTGTCCTTTAGGATAGTGAATGTGAAGCCCTAGGACATTACCGTACACTACTGTAGACTTTATAAACATCGTACACTTAGGGTATGCTAAATTATTTTTTTTCTTGAGGCGGAGTCTCACTGTCTCCTAGGCTGAAGTGCAGTGGCACGATCTCGGCTCACTGCAACCTCCACCTCCTGGGTTCAAGTGATTCTCCTTCCTCAGCCTCCCAAGTAGCTGGGATTATAGGTATGCACCACCACGCCTGGCTAATTTTTGTATTTTTAGTAGAGATAGGGGTTTTGCCATGTTGGCCAGGCTGGTCTCAAACTCTTGGCCTCAGGTGATCCACCCGCCTTGGCCTCCCAAAGTGCTGGGATTACAGGCGTGAGCCACCACACCATTGCACTCCAGCCTGGGTGACAAGAGCGAAACTCCATCTCAAAAAAAGAAAAAGAAAGGTTCTTTCTTCAATAATAAATTAACCCTAGCTTACTGTAACTTTTTTACTTTATAAACTTTTGAATTTTAACTTTTTGACTCATTAGCTTAACACAAATACATTTTACTGCTGTACAAAAATATTTTTCCCTTTATGTCCTTATTCTATAAGCTTTTTTCTATTTTTAACTTTTTAATTTTTTTTTTTACTTTTTAAACTTTTTTGCTATAAACTAAGACACAAACACACATATTAGCAAGATCCCACATGAGTCAGGATCATCAATATCACTGTCTTCCACCTCCACATCTTGTCCCACTGAAAGGTCTGCATGGAGCTGTTATCTCCTATGATAACAATGCCTTCTCCTCCAGTGCCTCCAAAAGGGCCTGCCTGGGGCCATTTTACAATTTGCTTTTTATTTTAAGTAGAGAAAGTTCACTCTAAAAATAACATAAAAACATAGTAAATACATAAAGCAGTAACATAAGTATTACCATTATGAAGTATTATGTACTGTACACATTTGTATGCGCTATACTTTCATATGACTGGCAGCACAGTAGGTTTATACCAGCATCACCACAAACACGTGAGTAATGCTTTGATTGGGAATTTTTCAGCCCCATTATAATCTTATGGGATATTGTTATGCAGAACATAACTATTACCAAAACATGCTCAAGATAGTGTAAAGCACTTTATTCAAATGCGGCTGTAATGTTTTATTTTGTTTTGATTTGAGACAGGGTATCACTCTTTCACACAGGATGGAGTGCAGTGGTGTGATCACTGTGCACTGCAGCCTCTACCTCCCAGGCTCAGGTGATCCTCCTACCTCAGCCTCCCAAGTAGCTGAAACTACAGGCGTGCACCACCATGCCTGGTTAATTTTTTTTTTTGTATTTTGTGCAGAGACAGGGTTTCACCATGTTGCCCAGGCTGGTCTCAAACTCCTGGGCTGAGGCAATCTACCCATCTTGGCCTCCCAAAGTCCTGGGATTATAGCCACCATGCCTGACCTGTAATGTTTTAACGGATCATAAAATCAACACAGTGGTTCATGACCAGCATTTTCTTAGAAAATGAATTAGAACAGAACAGAATAGTAAACATAAGAGGCTGTTGCATATAGTAGAAGTTAAGTGTTGCTCGGTGAATCTTTAGTTAGACACACACGCCCACTTATTACACATATCACACAGCTACCTGGGTCATGATATAAAATTATTTTACTCTGGGTCATAAGGTTTTAGTCACTTGCTGAAAGTGTATGTCACAGCTAATGAATTAGTAATAAATCAGTAGCACAATTAGTAAATCAGTAACACAAGATCTCTAATGGGCCCCTACCACAGTTACATAAATCTATGCCTGTTTCTGCAGTGGATTTGGTTTCCTAGTAAACTCTAGTAAAAGTCCTGACCCCCCCAGAACTCATATAAAGTCATCTGTCTCCATCCTGCTAACCAGCCCTCCTTAAACATACCCCAAGCCTACTCACTCCTTCCAATGAGCCTCTGAACTCCTGACCCGTTGTAATTCTCCTATATTATCACTTTTTGTTTACACTTTCTCTACCTACTTGTCTAATGAAAAGCTGGCTTTTGCTTCAAAATCCCACCCCTCATAAACCCACTCCAGGGGTGGTTGTTTGCCAAATTTCCTTGACTCCCAGGACAAAGAGAGGATAGTCATCACTTTCCCAAATAAACGTTTCTCCCAGGCCACATCCTGTCCATCACCTCACTTCTCAGGGCTTCACTCTTCCCTCTCACCCCTAACCTTGCCACTCATTTCTTGACCTCCAGGACTTTTCCTTTCTTGCCACAATTGCTGCCTTCCTCCCAGGCCTGCCTCTGCTGGGTGGCTTCAAGAAGGTGGATGACCTTGGTAACACTCCTCCACTACACTCCAACCACACACAGGCACCACACCTTGCACGTTATCACTACCTGGAAATACTCCACCTGTAAGATCAAGGCTTCCAAATCTTGGACTATAGCCTTTCTATTTACTCACTTCTCCACTTCCTTATTCTTATAGATCCTGCCCTTTATTCTCATTGTAGGTGGTTCCTTGATTTCACCCCACTCCATCTTTCCCATCCTGGCTTCATAGGCTCCTCGGCCAGATGGGACCTCAAGAACCCAATTTCAGCAATACTCTCATGAACACCCTGGAGTCCCTGTTTCCCATGCAGAGGCCAAAGGAAATCCTCCCCTTTGCCATCTGAAGGTTCTCTGAAAAAATCAACTCACAAAAGGCCGATCAATTGGAGAAAAGGCATATAAGTTTTATTAACATGTACGCAAGTAGACTCACATGTTTACCCACCCCTCAAGTGACTCAGAAGCTTAACTACCATCCCAGCAAAACAGGTTATGGGAGGGGGGCAGAAAAGGAATTTGGTTGAGATTACCAAGGAAAAGGGATGGGGAACAGAGATTAACCTGTATGTCATCCTGTGAAAGGTTCTGTTCAGGTGTGGCCACATTCCCGGTCTTACAGGGAGGGGAAGGAAAAACAATTCTTTCCCCTGGTGGGTCTCGATCTTTGGTAGATAAAGCCTTTGAAAGAGAATGTGGGATGCAGGAATGTCAGAGACACCTTGAAGCTTCTTCAGTTTGGAATGTCAAAATGCTGTATTTTGGGGCATCAGTGTCTGAGCCCCAACACCTATGACTTGGTCAGAGCCAGCAGGTCAATCCCTAGGCATAGTTACCCCATTCTTTTATCTTGTTGGAGAAATTCACATGAAAATGCTTATTGGCTCTGCAAAGAACATTTATAACACTAATTGGATCTTCAAAACTACTCAGGCTTTCTATCCAACCCTGGCTGATGCACTACTGCTTTTTCATGCCTCCACCCTCCTCACCTCAGCAGATGGTGACTCTTAGTATCCTTCCTCTCTCCCCTCTCATCCCAGAGGAAGGGGTATCCTCTGTTCCTTTTTTCTAAGCTGGGGTGGGAAGGCTGAGAGCTGAGACAGCCTCAGCCATAGATGCTATCTCAAATGTCAGTGTGCATAATAGTGTACTCCAGTGCTCTGTTAAAAGGCAGACCTCAGCCGGACGCGGTGGCTTATGCCTGTAATCCCAGCACTTTGGGAGGCTGAGGTGGGTGGATCACATGAGGTCGGGAGTTCAAGACCAGCCTGACCAATATGGTGAAACCCCGTCTCTACTAAAAATACAAAATCAGCCAGGTGTGGTGATGCATGCCTGTGATTCCAGCTACTTGGGAGGCTGAGGCAGGAGAATCGCTTGAACCTGGGAGGCGGAGGTTGTCCTTAGAGATGGCCTTATAGGGTCAGGAGTGATCCTCAGAAGCCTGCACTCACACAAGCATCCAAGTGACCTTGATGCAGGTGTAAATGAATTTGGGGATCACTGCCCTAAGTCACTCTCCCAGATGACATAGCTGCCTCAACTCTTGCCTTGAGAAATACCAGGGGCAGGAAAAGCTGTGTATTACAAATCACACGATGGGAAAAAACAAACAAACAAAAAAGCAACCCAGGGACATTAAGCCAAGTAGGACGGAGTACAGAGTGCAGAAATGACTAGAAATGTTAATTCCTGAATTCCTGTTCTTGCACCAAAATGGGTTCAAGTTTCTCAGCAAAAATGAAAGATCAAGGACAAGAACATATGAATGGCTAATTCCCCCAAACCATTTGCAGCATTTAACCAAAAGCAAACTTGAACTGAATCTACCAAATAAGTTTAATATTCATGTTTATATTTTTTCTTTATTGAGCTTTCTACTTTTACTACTCAACATGATTTATAGAGACTCATTTGAGCTTTCTACTTTTACTACTCAACATGGTGTATAGAGACTCATGGAACTAAAGAGCACTGTCAAACAGTCAGAAGACCTTTATCCTAATCCCAAATCTACCACTAACTCCACCATGGATAAGTGAGATAAATTTCTGAGCCTCAGTATCCCCATATATGAAATGGGGATTTGACTCTGTTAAAGAAAAACAAAGGTGTTCAGACTGAGAAGGCAATGGAAGATCGCTCTACATTCTATATCACCCTAAAAATGGAAGACACAAAGAAATCATTCTGTGACAACCTTGTACAAATGTTCTCCCCCACCAGCTTCCCTAAAGTCACTCTATGCCTTGAATAATGATACCGTTTTATGACTTTTAAGCATCACAGCATGAGGCAGCTTCCGGTGGGGAGGTTCACACAGGAAGGAAGAGATCTCAGTGCTGTTTGCTACTCATACCTTTTGATGTTTCAACAAAAAGCCAAGCATTCTTTGAAACCAGTCATAATAGTGGCAAAACCAAAAAGATAATTGATGAATTGAAGGTGGTATGGAGGCCTAACCAAGAATAAAGATGCACCAAAATTTTCTTGGGTGAAGAGAACAGAATAAAGTCTACATCATAGAGAAGTACAAATTCTTAATAATACTTTAAGGCACAGTAGCTGATGCCTGTAATTCCAGCACTTTGGGAGGCCAAGGTGGGAGGACTGCCTGAGGCCAGGAGTTCAAGACCAGCCTAAGCAACATAGTGAGATCTCATCTCTATTTTATTTTAATTGAAAAAAGAGAGAGCAAGAAAGAGCTAGCCTAAAATGAGCAAAAGAGAGAAGGAGAAAGAGGGAGGAAGAACACAAAGTAAATACAAGATAAATTATTCCCAGAACAAACTACTTATAATAGTACCAGTTAAAACAAAATAGAAACAGTTCACAGGAAAAAAAAAGAGAAAGGAAAATAAAACAATATATAGCCATATATAGCCAATGGATAGCTATATTGTGCTAATTCCACCAAAGCTTAAGTGAGAATTTATTGATCAAGAGCTAGAACTAGAACTAGCCCATATAGAACCTAAAAACCAAGACCATGTTTTGGACTTACAAGGAAGACATGATCAAAACACATTAAGAAATAAAGAAATGGGACAGTATGTTATAGTTTTTAAGCACAGTCTTTGAAGTCAGAAAGACCTAGGTTGTAATACTGTTGCTGTCGCCTGTTGGCTGCGACACTGAATAAATTACTTAAGTTTTTCCAAGACTTGGTTTTTCCATCTATCAAATGGGGATAATGCTCCTTCCCACAGAGTGGTTGTGAGAATCGAGACCATGTGGGTTGAATGCTTAAAGCACCGTGCCTGGTGAGTAGACACTTGTGTGATAATCCTTGTGAGTAAAGTACATTTGCAACCATGGAAAATTCCAAACCTCTCCCAGGTTTCCAACTTTGAAGATCCTGAGAAACAAATATAAACTTTGGGATCAAATATCAGTTGCTCAACTTGTCTTTGGCTGGAGATGATTAATACCGATTATTTGTATTTTAAAATACCAGCACTCTGAAAAGTTATACTTTCATCTGTCAGAACATACCCGATTGGCACCTGTCCAACATACATCCAAAGCTAGTACAATATGTGAAACTAAAAACAAAGAACTTTTTCCACCTACTATATGCCCAAGCCTAGGCTTGGCAGACAGAGAACACGAAATGTGTCCTGCTGAGTCAGATAAGCAATGCTTTGATCTGCCCCAGGGCATCTGACCTCCCAGTGTCCTCCTCTGCTGCCCAAATCCAGACCCCCGCCAAGTCCTGTAGCTTTTTCCTTTATATCCTTAATAAGTGTTCCTTCCATTCTAGCTCCACAGCATAATCCCTGGTCACCGCCAGCTGGCCCTCAGCACCAACACCTCTCTGAGGCCCCAACTACAAGCACTACTTGTTGGCAGGTAGGGCTGGCTGGGATCACGTCTATTCCTGTGCCACGGAGATCACCCTGTTAAGACCACCTCTCCAACTCTGCCAAGCTACCCTGGACAAGTCTGGGCTCCTCACAAGTTACTCTCTCCCTGCCATTGGGATGTGCCAGGCCCTGATCTCAGCCTCGCTGGCACAGGGCTCCTGAGGCAAGCTGGTTGGAAAGCAGCCCCAAGCAGGCCTTCCCCTCAACCAGGTGCCAGACTTGCGAGGGGGTCCCTGCTCTCAGCTCACTGCACCCTCTGCCCCACCAGCTGCCGCATGGAACAACCAAGCAGTTCATCTTGCTCCCCGTGGAAAGCAGAGGTGAGGTCAGAGCCAGGGAGAGAACAAGGGAGGGAAGGGAGAAATGGAGAGTTACAGTGGAAACATGAAAACTATTTATGTTTTGAAAATGCAATTAGGAATTCTTAAAAATTTCATTACTATTTTGTGTGTAGAGCAACAAAGAAAAATATTTCCCTGGAAATTCCAAGTTCTTATTAGCATTGCTTATCCATGGGTATGTCCTAGGAATAAGGATAGTGAGGTCCAAGCATGCAGAGGAAATCCACTGGATTCTCTAAAGTATTCCCCAGTCAGAAGATTCTCTTTTTTTTTTTAAACTAATCATGAATATTGACTGTTAAGCAACTCATGGCTTTCACTTGCTTAAACATTTGAAGCACTTCTCCTTTCAAATCTGATTCTCTAACTCACCACTAGATAAGGCCAGAGCTTGAGACTTGATTTAATCAACAAGGTGTTCTTTTGGTATCTGAGTTGTAAACACTGACACAAAAGGAATCACACCCGTGTTTTGTTTTCTTTCCAGGGCACATATATAACTGTCCCAGACTCACCAATATAGCCAATGGCTTGGCTTACCTAAAGAGACCTTTGAAGATAATATTTCTAAACAAGCCTATCACCAAGGGAAGGGTGTTTTTTTTTTTTTTTTTTTTTTGCTTAGTTTATTTTCAGAGGTAGGACAGAAAAAGGAAGCACAGCAAAAGTTTTCTGTGCATTTTCTCTTTCCTTAAAAAAGGAATATAATATCACAGGAACTTTCCTTGGGAGACACAATAGCAGTCCCATTCATAACTATTTACTCAAGCTGCAATTTGCAAACTCCGTCTCCATTCCTTGCCAAGATTCCCTCTCCTGTTTTCTGACCTTCACAATAGCTCCGGTTGGATTAAGTTCCTCAACCTAGAGTTTATCCAAAAAGAATTCTCCATCGTACATTTTTGCATAGTTGTCCTAAAAACTAAAAGACTGAATTTCTTAAAACAGATTCATTTTCATTATTTGAATAAATTTTAGGCAGATTAATATAAAATCTACTCAGCAGTACTAATTCTTTTGGAAAAGTTACTCCTTTAATTTAAATAGTAGGATTTCTGGCATCAGAGAGGACATTTCAAAGCCCA
Source organism: Homo sapiens (assembly GCF_000001405.40). Lineage (NCBI taxonomy): Eukaryota > Metazoa > Chordata > Mammalia > Primates > Hominidae > Homo > Homo sapiens. Next base: position 76,470,898 of record NC_000005.10, on the reverse strand, counting down.
TATTAGTAGTAGACTTGTCTGTACAGTTTCATTTCAGCAAAAGCCCCACAGCAAAGAAGCTATAAAGTTAGCTTTGAGGGCCTACTTGAAAAGGAAACCTAAAAAGTCCATTTAGTATTATTTTAAATGACAAAGAAATGAAAAGGCTTAGTTTAAAACAGCTCCCAATTAAAAAAAATCAAGGGAGTTGCCAGGCATGGTAGCAAGCAACTGTAGCCTCAGCTACTTGGGAGGCTGAAGCTGGAGGATTGTTTGAGCCCAGGAGTTTGAATCCAGCCTGGGCAACACAGCAAGACCCTTAAAATTAAAAACAAAAACACAAACCAACAAAAAACAATCAAGGCAGCAGTAAGCTTAGAACCGTAAGCATTCAGATCAGGAAGGATTCAATTTCTGATTGAGTTTCTAATAGTAACAAAAATAATTTTATCCTCAAATTCCCTTTCTGGGGTCCATTTCAAAAGCCTATGAAGACACCCTGTGAAAGGCAGCTTCTAAGGTGGTGCCCCAGTCATCCCCATCCCTCTGAATTCAACCCCTTGTGGAAAACTCCTCCCCTTGAGCATGGCCTTGACTTAGTAACTCGATTCTAATGAATAGGATACAGCATAAATGATGGGTGTCATTGCTAAGAATAGGTTACAAAAAGACTAGCTTCCATCTTCTTCTCTCAGTTGCCTACTCTGATGGAAACCAGTTGCCATGTGTAAGTTTCCATGTGTAAGAGGCCCAAGTGGTGAGCAACTGAGGGAAGACTCTGGCCAACAGCAGCAAGGAACTGAGATCTCCAGTCCAAAAACCTGTCAGAAACTGAATCCTGCCAGTGTCACTGGGTGGCTTGGAAGTGGGTGTGCCCCACGTGAACTGTGAGATGACTGCAGCTTTGTGAGAGACCCAAAACCAGAGGACCCAGTTAAGCAATGACAGATTTCTGACCCTCAAAAATTCCGAGATAAATGTTTATTGTTTTAAGCTACTAAGTTTTAGAATAACTTGTTATATAGTCATAGGCAACTAATACATATACAAGACATCCTTTGCCTCTTAACAGAAGTGATTCACTCTCCACTTCATCTGAATCCTTCAGCCTGTAGGGTGAAGTAATTTGGGTGAAGAGCCAAATTACTTCTTTTTGGCCCTAAAAAAAAAAGCCTGTTTAATATTTTGTTCATTGCCATCAATATTAGTTTTTTGAGGCCAGGAGCGGTGGCTCATGCCTGTAATCCCAGCACTTTTGGAGGCCAATGCAGGCGGATCACTTGAGGCCAAGAGTTTGAGACCAGCCTGGCCAACATGGTGAGATCCTGTCTCTACAACAATATAAAAATTAGCCAGACATGGTGGCATACTTCTGTAATCCTAGCTACTTGGGAGGCTGAGGCAGGAGAAATAATCGTTTGAACCCAGGAGGTGGAGGTTACGGTGAGCCGAGATCGCACCACTGCACTGCATTCCAGCTTGGGCAACAGAGTGACACTACGTCTCAAAAAAAAAAAAAATTCATTTTTTGAGTCTTAACATCTATACGTAAAGACTTCATAATTTTATAAAGTTTGAGCAATAATTTCAGCCTTAAGTCCTCCTAATACACAGGCTTCCTCTTTCTCTCTTCATTCATTCATTGAGCAATACTCTATACGCCTTTCTGGATATTTTCTAGTTCACTGTGGTATCACGGCTTATTAAGTTGTCTGGAATTCCCAGCTTCATAACTTACTGGGTCACAAACCTGTCGGGAAGGACTTGCATCATCTAACTGCAATATAGAATTTTCCAGTGAAACAAAGATTACCGCTAGGCTGGCAGTCTAGCTGTCTACCGTGAGTCTGATTCATATCCTCCTTGTTACCTCCAACATCCAAAATGTACAGAAAACAGAGCATAATCAAACCTCCTTAGTAGCGAATGATACTGATCCAACACTGGGCATTACGTTATTCATTCAAACATGCAATAGATGTGATGTCAAAAGGCCTTCTAATCGGTGAGTTTGACCTGGATGTGGAAGCCAGAGAAGGATACCCTGAAAAAGTGAGCTGCAATCTGAAGAGGAAGTAAGTCTGACTAGATAAAGAGGAATATGAAAAGCGAATAGCACATGGCAAGGTCCTGTGCAGGAGGGAACAGGGAATAAAACAGATCAATGTGGTTGAAGCACAGAGCAGTGCGGCACAATGTAAAACTAAAGAGGTTGAACTGGACTATGCAGAGCCTATGAGGCCAAGTAAAGGAGTTTGCTCAGAGTTTTGAAAAGATTTATCTGACTATAAGACAGATAAAGGATTGAAGGAGGCTAGAGACTCATGAAGAAACCAGTTAAGGACCACTACAGTAGTCTCACAAGAGATGCTGGAATCCTTTGGCGGGCTAGCAGTGGTGGGATAGAGAGGTGAACATATGAGAGCTGTTTAGGAGGATGATGGCTGGATATGGAGATGATACACATATACAGAGAGATTAACAGAGCAAACATAAATGAAGGAAAATAACTTTAAACTCTTGAGTAAAAAGTTCAACCAAATGGCGAGTTTTTCTGAGCACAGCATTATTTGTTGCCTGAACTCCATCTCCCAAAACAACCCTCCTAGGCTTGTTTACACATAAAGGATGCTCAATAAATATCTGTAAAACAAACACAGTATTTAGATATCTCGTGTATCTTAGGGGTACCTTCTATATGCAATGTATCTGCTAATACCAATTGATCTTATTTAACAGCTTCCTAAGGACCTCTCCAAGCCAGTGTAAGGAAATTATCTTTAATAAATAGCTTTATTGAGATACAACTTATATACCATACAATTCTCCCTTTTAAAGTAAACAACTCAGTGGTTCTTAGTATACTCAAAGTTGTGCAACCATCACCACAATCAATTTTAGAATATTTTTATCAGCCCAAAAAGAAATCCCATACCCAGTAGCAGTTACCCAGCATTTCTCTTCTTCCCCTAGGCCCTGGCAATCACTAATCTACTTTGTCTCTGTGGATTTGTCTATTCTGGACATTTCATATAATATGTGGCCTTTTGTGTCTAGCTTCTTTCACTCAACATGTTTTTAAGGTTCATCCATGTTGTAGTATGTATCAGTACTTCATTCTTTTTTATAGCTGAGAAATATTTCATTGTATGGATACATCACCGTTTATCAGTGGGTAGACATTTGGATTGTTTCTGCTTTTTGTCATTATGAATAATGATTCTGTGAACATTCGAGTACAAGTTTTTGTATGGGCATAGATTTTCAATTTTCATTCGTATATACCTGGGAGGATAATTGCTGGGTCATATGGTAACTCTGTTTAATTTTTTAAAGAGCTGCCAGACTATTTTCTAAAGTAGCTGCACCATTTTACAATCTGTTCAGCAATGTATGAGTTTTGATTTCTCTACATCCTCACTAACATTTGTTATTGTCCATCTTTGATTATAGCTACGCTGGTGGGTATGAAGTAACATCTCATTGTGGTTTTGATTTGTATTTCCCTGATGACTAATGATGTTGACTACCTTGTCATATGCTTATTGATCACTTGTGTATCTTCTTTGGAGACATGTCTATTCAGAACTTTTGCCCATTTTAAAATTAGGCTATTAACTCTTTATGTAGAATTTAAAAGTGCTTTACTTTTATTTTTATTTTTTTGAGACAGAGTCTTGCTCTGTCACCCAGGTTAGAGTAGAGTGCAGTGTGATCTCAGCTCACTGCAACCTCCACCTCCCAGGCTCAAGCAATTCTCCCACTTTAGCCTCCAGAGTAGCTGGGACTACAGGCATGTGCCACCACATCCAGCTAATTTTTCTATTTTTTTGTAGCGATGGGGTTTCACCATGTTGCCCAGGCTGGTCTCGATCTCCTGGGCTCAAGCGATCTGCTGGCCTTAGCCTCCCAAAGTGCTGGGATTACAGGTGTGAGCCACCTCACCCGACTTAAGAACCCTTTGTATATTCTGAATACATGTAACCTTTATCAGACACATGATTTGTCTTTTCACTTTCTTGATGGTATCTCTTGAATCAGAAAAGGTTTCAGTTTTTATAATGTCTAATTTATCTGTTTTTCTTTTATTGGTTGTGCTTTGGTGTCATAGCTCAGAAACCAATGCCTAACACCCAAGGCTACAAAGATTTACTCCTGTTTTCTTCTGGAGAGATTTACAGTTGTGGCTCTCACATTTAGGTTAATAATCCATTTTAAGAAAATGTTTGTATACGGTGTGAGGCAGAGGTCCAAATTCATTTTTATGTATGTAGACACTGAGTAGTCAGCATCCTCTGTTGAAAAGGGCATCTTCTCTCACTCCCAGTGAATTGACTTTATTCTGCTGATGAAAATCAGTTTACCAGAAGTGTTAGGGTTTATTTCTAGACTCTCAAATCTACTCTATTGATCTATATGCATATCCTTATGCCAGTACCATACTGTCTCAATTACTGTGGGCTTTGTAAGTACGTTTTGAAATTGAAAAATGAGTCCTCCAACTTTGCGTTTCTTTTTCAAGACACTTTTGACTATTCTGCATTCCTTGCATCTCCATATAAACTTTATTTTTGTTCTTGTTTTTGAGACAAGGTCTTGCTCTGTCATCCAGCCTGGAGTGCAGTGGTGTGATCGTAACTCACTGCATCCTCAGCCTCCTGAGTGATCTTCACGCCTCAGCCTCCAGAGTAGCTAGGTCTACTGGTGCATGCCACCACATCTAGCTAATTCAAAATTTTTTTTTTTTGCAGAGACAGGGTTTCGCTACATTACCTAGGCTGGTCTCAAACTCCTGGCCTCAAGCAATACTCCCATCTCAGCCTCCCAAAGTGCTGGAAGATAAGCACAAGCCACCAGACCTGGCCACCATATAAATTTTAGAATCAGCTTTCTAATTTCTCCATTTAAAAAAAAAGAAGGCAGCTGGGAATATTTCTAGAAACTGTATTGAATCTATAAATCAATTTGGGACCATTGTTTTCTTAATGCTATTTTCCAATCCATGAACATGAGATGTCTTTCTGTCTATTTAAGAGTTTTAAAATTTTCAATGTGTTGTAGTTTTCAGTGTTCAATTCTTGTACTTCTTTTGTTAATTTTATTCCTAAGAATTTTATTGTTTTTAATGCTATCATATAGTGAATTGCTTTCTTAATTTCATTTTCAGATTGCTTATTGCTCGTGTCAAGAAATGCCATTTTTACACACTCCCCTAGTATCCTACAACCATGATGGACTCATTGTGGTGGGGTTTTCTTAGTGTTTTCTTCTGTTCTGTTTTTTAGTAGATTCCTATGGATTTTCTATAAACCAGAAAACATCCCTTAGAAATAGTTTCACGTCTTCCTTTCTAACCTGGATGCCTTTTGCTTATTTTTCTTGCCTAACTGCCTGGCTAAAATCTCCAGTACAATGTTAAACAGAAGTGGTAAGAAAAAACATCCTTATTCCTGTATTTCACCACTGAGTATGGTGTTACTTGTAGGTTTTTCATAGATGTCCTTTATCAGGTTGAAATTCTCTTCTATTCCTAGTTTGTTGAACGTTTTAAGTCAAGAAAGGGGGCTGGATTTTACCAAATGCTTCTCCTGCATATATTGAGATGATCATATGGCTTCTGTCCTTTCTTCCATTAATATGGTCTATGATATTGACTTTCAGGTCTTAAACCAAGCTTGCTTCCTAGGATAAATCTCACTTGATGGTATTAAATATATTTTATATGTTGCTGGATTTGATTTGCTAGTATTTTGCTAAGGATTTTTGCATTTGTATTCATAAGAGATATTGGTCTTTAGTTTTCTTGAGATGGCTATCTGGTTTTGGTATTAGGGTAATGTAGGCCTCAGAAGAATGAATTGGAAAATGTTTTCTCTTTTCGTATTTTTTGGAAGAGTTTGCAAGGACTGCTCTTAATTCTTCTTTAAACATTTGGCAGAATTCTACTGTGAAGTTATCTGGGTTTGTGGGAAGTTTTCTGATTTCTAAGTCAGGCTCTTCACTTATTATAAGTCTCATTCTGTTTATATTAGTTTTTTTCAGATGTTTAAGTCTCTTATTGAGTCAGTTTTAGTAGCTTGTCATTCTAGGAATTTGTCAATTTCCTCTAAGTTTTCATTGGCATGTAATTGTTCATAGTATTCCTTTATAATCCTTTGTATTTCTGTAATGTTGGTAGTGATGTCCCCTCTGAATAAAGAACTTTTCAATGGCCTGATTTATTATAGAATTTTGAAATTAATAAAACCAAAATAAAAGATATACTGGAATATTATAATTCTCAATTTGTAAAAATCTTAAGTTACAGGATATACAAACTAGATACCTTCCAATTCTCACCTCCAGAAAGAAAAACAGGTGCAAAGACAGAACCAATACATTTTTAATTAAAATGCAATAAAGTCATTTCAACTGAAATCAGAAACAAGAAACACTTCCTAGATGAATATATACAGTACAAGCATACAATTTAGTAGAAACTCAATATTCTAAGTCAACTCCATTCATGTGAACACACATATGTGCATTATAATAAACCCAATATCACAAATTCCAAAGGTACTAATACTTTAAAAGAATCATGCAATAAATCCTCTCATCTTTTCAAGAAAGACAAATTCACCCTTTCCTGTATTTCTTGCATTCAAGACCATGAGTTTTCTGTGCACTATGCTTTCTTAAATCAGCACAACTATATGTCTAGTAGTAGCCACAAATTTTTATATAATCCATGACCAAAAATCAGCTTCTTTCAAAGTATTTGTGTCTTGGCCGAGTACAGTGAGTGGCTCACGCCTGTCATCCCAGCACTTTGGGAGCCGAGGTGGGCGGATCACTTGAGGTCAGGAGTTCGAGACCAGCCTGGCTAACATGGTGAAACTCCATCTCTACTAAAAATACAAAAATTAGCCAGGTGTAGTGGTGAGCGCCTGTAATCTCAGCTGCTTGGGAGGCTGAGGCAGGAGAATCACTTGAACCCAGGAGGCAGAGGTTGCAGTGAGCTGAGATCCCGCCACTGCAGTCTAGCCTGGGCGACAGAGTGAGACTCCATCTCAGAAAAAAAAAAAGAAAAAGAAAAAAGAAAAAAAGTATTTGTGTCTTAATAAAAGATTCATAAATATATACTACATCTAATATACTCATCAAATAAATTTATGAAAAGCCATCTTAGAGGAAAAATTGTACATTTTGATAATTATTTTCATGAAACTATTCCAAGGAAAGTTTTCCTCAAAGAATCTGAAATAATCATTATGCTGACTTTCTGAAACAAAATTCAACTACAGAATTTCAAAAATACTAGAGAAGATGACAAGCTTTCAAGCTACATTTATACCATTTCAATATACTGAGGAGAAAACTTTGCTTATGTTATCACCATAAACCTGACTGGCACTATAGCTTACAGAATACTTTCACCTTCTTTAAATGATTTTTTAAAAATCCTTGAATCCATGAATAAGTAGGGCAATAAGTAACATCATCTTGATTGTCTCATTTACAGAGGGGACAAATTGAACTTCCCACAGGTAAAATGGTCTGTGGAAGGTCAAGCTGCTTGTGTAAGTGGTGGAGCTGGGACCAGGAAGTTAGGCAAACCAACTCCCAATCACATATCATTTTCCTCTACATGACACCCCTTCCCACTTGTTAAAAACAGGAGGCAAAAACAAAATGTAAAGTGAGTATCAATAGAAAAGTAAGTTTTTCTACTATCTCCTTGAACTTATTCACTGAAAGTATATTTTTTCTTTTCTTTTTCTTTCTTTCTTTTCCTTTTTTTTTTTTTTTTTTTTAAAGACAGCGTCTCACTCTGCCACCCAGGCTGGAGTGCAGCAGCCCGATCTCAGCTCACTGCAGCCTCCACCTCCCAGGCTCAAGTGATCCTCCCACCTTAGCCTCAGGAGTGGTTGGGACCACTTCTTTCTAATGCCTATGAATCAATCTCCTTATCTAACTTTTTTGCGACAACTTGACTAAAAGCATGTTTTTAATGATCTTAGACTGATAGTGAATCGCTAGCATCCTGCAACCTAACTGTAGACTTCACAGACATGTTAAACAATCTTTAAAACTTGGTTTTTAGAGCCTAAAGAAAGTTACGTGACACTACTAAAATATTAAACAACTCTGAGAAACCCCTTGAAAGCAATTTTGATGTCAAATTAGGGCATGTGTCACCAAAATACTGATTAAAAACCTCATCATTCTAGTTCTGTAGATAGCCATTCATCAGTGATCAGAGATAATTAACACCAGTGACCATTTAACCAAGTATTTATTTCTATATAGCTAAGAGGGCTGGAACATATCTTTGTCCAGGGAACAATACTGTCGCTCCACCCTGGCATAAAGCATTCAATCAAACTCTAACTCATGGTATATGAACTCTGTAGTATTCACCCCACAAAGGATAAAGTTCTCTCAATTCCTCTCATGAGGAAAGTATTTGCACTTAGGACTCTTTATCTTCACTTTCTCCTTGGAGAACGCAACATTTATTTAATCTAAAAAGCCTAAAAGAGTCAATGTGATTTTAGAGACAATATACCCTAAGTGGCCACACACCCACGGTTTAAAGAGGAGATTGCTGTCATAAACCTACTTAGGGACTGATGGACTTCAGTCTGATATGCCACTGTCCTGCTGGGCATTTATCATCATTGGGCTGCGAGTGGGGAAAAGACCCAAGGAAGCTCTGCGGAAAAAGGAAGTTGATTTAAGTCATTGTTGCTCCTCTACATCCAAGCCAGTGAGATGAAGAATTTGAAACAATCTGCAGTTGGCCCCGTGATTTCCTGGGAGGCTCCGAGGCAGGGAAATGAATAGTTGCCTTCCTCCTAGTGCCTCAACTTTGGCTGTGGCATCAACTTTTTCTCAACTCTGCCCAACCATTTGCAAGAAATAGATGCTTCTTCTCCCATTATCCTGCTGCCAACAAGACTGCAAATGAGTTATTAGAACTATGTAGCATATGCACAGGAGTGTGATGTGCACCCAGCTGTGACTCAGGAGTGGAGCAGAGTGTGGAGGGGTCATCCCCTAGCCCACTGGCCTCCTGGCATGGGAGGTTTGGCCAAATCTAAATCACTGAGTGCAGGCAAGAATCTCTCCCTGGCCATCTCCAACTACGACAACTCTTTAGAATTGCTGGCCCATTTCAGAACCCTCTGGTCATCAAATCCCACGCCCTTATCACAAAGCTTATCTCCAAGAGATGGTGCACAAATAGACTAAGTCTGGATCTTACCTTTTGGCTTCCTCTAAGTGGCACAGATATTCATAAGCAATGTTCTGCCGCCTCCTCTCATCCATCTCCTCTGCAGAGAGCCTTTCATCGTCCACAATAGCTAGAAATAGAGGATAACAACATGTGATTTACAAAGGCAGTCTTCATTAAACACCTGAGACAATCAATCAGAAAAAAATCATATGCAGCTGAACATTTAACATTCAGAGACAGGAGTATTGAAACACCAGGCAGAGAGAGAAATTTGCCTTTGGATTTTACAATATCATTTCTTTTCCTTTATTTTTATTTTTTTTTTTTTTGAGACAGGAACTGGCACTGTCACCCAGGCTGGAGTGCAGTGGTGCCATCATGACTTACTGCAACCTCAGCCTCCTGGGCTCAAGCAATCTTCTCACCTCAGCCTCCCAAGTAGCTGGGACTACAGGCACACGCCACCACACTTGGCTAGTTTTTTTATTTTTACAGTATTATTTCTAACAAGTGAATCAAGGCCAGGTGCGGCGGCTCACGCCTGTAATCCCAGCACTTTGGAAGGCTGAGGTGGGCGGATCACAAGGTCAGGAGATCCAGACCATCCTGGCTAACACGGTGAAACCCCATCTCTACTAAAAATACAAAAAATTAGCCAGGTGTGGTGGGGGGCACCTGTAGTCCCAGCTACTTGGGAGGCTGAGGCAAGAGAATCAGGAGAATCACTTGAACCTGGGAGGTGGAGGTTGCAGTGAGCCAAGATTGTGCCACTGTACTCCACCCTGGGCGATAGAGTTAGACTCAGTCTCAGGGAAAAAAAAAAAAAAAAAAAAAAAGCAGTGTGCAAACGGGCAGGAGCTTCCATGGATGTCCTCATCCTTGTCCCATCCCCCTTCCTACCACTCCCAATTTTCCATTGTGGCTCCATTCCTTGAACATGGAGACCTCACCCCACAGCATTGATACCAACGGGTGTCAACAAAGATTGACATGTGTCAAAAACATTTTCTTTTTCTTTAATAAACTCAGTCCAATCTAAACTTTAAAACTGAGCTCTCACATTTCAGAAAAGTACAGAAGCTCTCAATCTTCCTCTGCACCTCCATTGCGAGAGTCCAGGTCTTAATGTCTCTCCCATAAAACTCTCAGAACAGGTCTAGTCACTCAGCCACTACCCCTTTTCCACTCATTCTCCCCATGGCCAACAGAAGCGTCTTCCTTATTACTTCCCCTCTCAAAACTTTTGATGGCTCCCCTATTTCCTACAGAACAAGTTCTAGAGCACTTTGCATCTCCCCACATCCAGGAAGCCCACACTTTAGCCAGAGCTCCCAGGCAGCACCGTGTTCCAGGACCACACCACTCCCTCCAACGCTGAGTGCTTCTGCTCCACCCTTCTCTCTGCCTGGAAAGCCATTCTCCCACCTTCTGCAGGTGGTGCCTTTCACATCATCTCAGGCAAAATTCCATGGATCTCTGAATCTAAATCCATTGGCTCTCCTTGGCACTTTAGTTCACATTTTTATTACATCACTCATCAGAAAAGCCCCCCACTGTAAATCAGTCTGTCTGTCTCTCCAAACTAGGGGATCCTTAGAGGAAGCTTTTGATCATCTTCATGTCTCCTGCCAATTTGTCAGGGCTCCTTGCACATAGATAGCACTCTGCGCGTACAGAAAAACTACCTTCCAGTGAATCCTCACTAAGTGAGCTCATCATTACTCCATAATGAATAGACTTTAAAAATTATAATTTTTAGGCCAGGCACGGTGGCTCACGCCTGTAATCCCAGCACTTTGGGAGGTCGAGGCAGGCAGATTACTGAGTCAGGAGTTCCAGACTAGCCTGGGCAACATGGTGAAATCCCATCTCTACTAAAAATACAAAAATTAGCCAGGCGCGGTGGTAATCCCAGCTGTAATCCCAGCTACTCAGGAGGCTCAGGCAGGAGAATCGCTTCAACCCAGGAGGCGGAGGTTGCAGTGAGCTGAGATGGCACCACTGCACTCCAGCCTAGGTGACAGTATGAGACTCTGTCTCAAAAAAAAAGTTATATTTCTTTCCCTGTGTTTTCTTAAATGATACCTGCCACACTCACATACCATCACCTAATCCTCCATCTCTACTGTTCTGAACAGTTAATCCCCAAGATACCTCATGATTTCCAGTTTCTCTTTTTAATTTCAGCTTAAAGACTTTCCCATTTCTGACAGGATATTTTCATTTTATAGTAAGTACTTCAGAAACAGTAAGGTTTGGATCCAAAATAAAACTCCTAGTGGGAGCCCATGTGCTTGTCACACCATCCCCAACTTGGAAGAGTGGGCACTGGAGTCACATTAAAAAGGCGGTGCTCTCCCCATCTTTCCTATGCTGCTGCACCCTTCCGGCCTCAACTAACCCCCCAGCAGAAGACAGAAGCCCCAGCAGAACCCCGTCCCTCGGCCTCTGCCCACAACTGCCTCCACAAACCATGCAATATTGTACCAGCCCAGGACAGCTGCTGAGGGGCTCCCAAACTCTGTTATCATCCTGTCCAAATAAGAGATTTTACTTAATGTGTGAATTAAAATACACACCCACAAAGCTTTAAATTGCAATTGCAACATATTGACCCCATCTAGTGGGATCCTACCTATCTTCCAGGCTTGACCCAGTGGGCACTTTTCTTCCCAAAGTCTTCCTGATTGTCTCAGCTCAAAATGCCCTCCTATCCTGCTTTGGTTAACAGTAAACTCCTAGAAGACGTATTTGTGTCCTCATGGTGCCCAGCACACCTCCCTGCACAGGCTGCATGCTCTGTAAAAATATATGATGAAAAAATAAAATATCTTATCGGGAAAGGCTCCCAAAGGGCTCCAAAATATCTCTGTGAGGTAATTTTATTTATTTACACTCAATAAGAGTATGATCATTAATGGAGCAAAGATAGCACCATTCTGTGGACTTTACTCAACTAATGTTCAATTCGTAGGTTCTATGTGCCACATGTGAGTCAAAGCACCAGACACAGGGTAATAAGTATAAAAAATGTGTACCCTCATGGGACTTCCTTGTACATACCCATTCCTTGCCTTCTGACCTTCTGCCTGGCCCACTGACTTTCTAACTACACACACTTTGGCCTCACCTTCCTTGAATGGGAGAGAACACCTTTCATAATCTACTGTCAAATTGTAAGTCTAGGAAGGTTAGGGAATTTGAGAAAATCTTAACAGCAAAAGCAAGTCCTTCTGGGCCACAGAGACTGCCTGCAAATATTTCTGCATTACTCAATATTTACTAAGTAGTGGCTTTTGATAAGAACCACTGGCATGGATAATAACACTGTCATTTAAAGATCCATCATGGAGCTAATAAAATAATTCACTTAAGATGTGGCTTTACTGCCTATAAAGGACGTTTCCATATGTTACTGTGTGGTTCTGTGGTTCTCATGATCACCCTCAGAGATAGGCATTATCTCTTTCCTATAAATGAGGAAACCAAAGTCAAGCAAGGGAAAGGGACTGCCCACAGCTATTTGCTGGGTCAATGGTAAAGCCAGGGCCGGAACTAAGGTCTGTCAACATTGCAGCCCTTATTCTTTGCCCAGTACCTCCTGCTGTTAAATCTAAGTGGGCCCAGGAAGGGACTTGTCACTGCCAAGCCCAAGAAGCAGGTCATTTAAGTGGCTTCAAAATTCTTTTCATTTTAAAGTAACTTGATTAACTGCAACCTCCACAGTTCATCTTTACTTGCTGCCGTGAACCACAAAAAACATGAGGACATTGTGAAGAACACAGCTTTCTGATGTATTAGCAACTCACAAAATACCACTTGCAGCATCAGATGACAGTTCAAAGCAATTGCATTCTATGAAAATTACACAATAAGGCTTATTCACAGATTCAAGGAGCAGAATGAAAGCAAGTTGTTAGAGAGTATTTTGAAATAGAAGTATAAATTAGAAATGAAAGGGTCCTTTAGGAGTCCATTTCCCAAAGAACACGTACAAAATCCAATGTAAAAATAGCCCAAAATCTACCTAATTCAATAAGGAGTTGACATGGTCGCTGTTTAATTTCCCCTATTCTCTACCTGCTACCTTCACACAGAGACACCAAGGCCACCATACACTTTGTATTAAAATTCACTCATTTGTTCAACAAACATTTGAGTGGCTGCTTGGTGCCAGTTTATTATGGAGATGGAACACAAAGTGATGAATATGACTCAAAAGGTCTCTCAAAGTTTTTATTAAACAATTGAAAGTTTGGCATAATTACGAAATGCTTAGATTTGAGGGATATATTGAAGGGAGGGTTGGCAAGAGGCCCCAAAACCAGGGCTTGGAATCTGTTCTGTAATAGGGTATTATTTAGGGTGTTTCTCTTCAAGGAAAAGCAGAAAACCAGGAATTACCAATTCATAGAAATATGTCCGGCTGGGGTAGCTCCCACCACTTTGGGAGGCCAAGGTGAATGAATCCCTTGAGTTCAGGAGTTTGAGACTAGCATGGGCAACATGGTGAAGCCCCATCTCTACAAAAAAATACAAAAAATTGGCTGAGTGTGGTGGTGCAAGCCTATAGTCTCAGCTACTCGGAAGGCTGAGGCAGGATTACTTGAGCCCATGAAGTGGAGGCTGCAGCAAACTATGATCGCGCCACTGTATTCCAGCCTGGGTGACAAAGCAAGACCCTGTCTCAAAAAAGAAAGAAAGAAAGAAAAAAATATGTCCACAATTTAGCATTTATTTTGTATTTTTAAAAATTTAACCTTTATTTATTTTCAGTAGAGAAAAGGTCTCACTATGTTACCCACGCTGGCCTTGAACTTACCCCTGAGCTCAAACAGTCCTCCAGTTTACGCCTCCCAAAGTGCTGGGATTACAGGAGTGAGCCATGGTGCCCAGCCTTAGCATTATAAATACACATTGTTATTCTATGTGTTTCAAAATTTCTACAAGGAATCCTAAGTATACTTGAATAGATAATTCATTTCAATTGTTCATTGAACCATCTTCTAAGAGTTGGGAACTGCTTTTATCTGGAAGAAAATACCTAAAAGGATATCTGCCCCCTCTCACAACTTAAAGAATAGTTATCAGAGATGGCATTTATACATCAAAGAACACACTAGAAGGAAGAGAACTGATTCCAAGACACTAAAACTGGGGTGGGAATGGGAGAATGGAATATAAAGATGAGAGAACCTAAAGTCCAAGATTTCAGGTAAGCTGATACCCTCTGTAAATTTGACCCGTGGTACATTCCTGCTTCATACCAGCTTCCAAAAGTATTTCACAACTGCTTAATCTTAAGCTTTAAAGGACTACATAATCAAACTTCCTTAAACTGAATTTTCTTTTGAAAAATAGGCAAACCCTAGGCCGAAGTTGTTAGTAAACCAATACGTATTCACAGGCACTCTAAAGAATCTGAAACGATGAAAGAGACTGCCACCCCCATGTTAAAAACATGGCTTCATCAAGACACTAAAATTATGAGACACTGAGCACAGGCCCTCGAGTCTCATCCATTTCTATATCCCTACCAAGGGCAAAAGAAATAATAGGTGCTTAGTAAAGGCTGCTGAATGGTGTGCTCAACTTTGTGCTTCAAGGCAGAGATGCTGTGTCCTTCCAAGTTTAGTCCTACGAAGTTTGCTGCTCTCATAATAGTCACACAAGATACTAAGGGCAGGGGAACTTTATGGAAAGCCTGCCTTCCACATCATTCCTGGAACTGTTCCCCCATGACACATTTCTAAGAACCTTCCAAAGTTATAAATCAACACACAACTTCAGAGGATATTCGGGTTAGACAAGGCTGTAAGCGACTATGGCCACCTACCATAATAACACAAAGCCCCAAATCTTCAAGTTTGGCATTAGAAGAATTTCCCAGGTGGAGAAGTGAGGGTAACTAACAGTGACAAGACAAGTTTACCAACAAGAGTTAGAGTTCCTGATTGGCTGCCAATACCCTCTTTGTTGCAGTGAGGTCACTAGGGCCTGGAATAGTTAAGAAGCTTGTCATAATTATGCAGGAAAATGGAGAGATAGTTTAGGCTTTACGAAAATAATTTATCCTTTTCTGCAAATATGCTTTCAATGTACATGGCATCAGGATCTACACATGAAAGAGGGTTCCTTAATCCCACTTTCATACAAAAGTCCCCACACTATTTTCATACTTACAAACATCTACTTAACACTTGTTGGTTTTGTTTGTTCTCTTTTTTTTTTTTTTTTTTTTTTGAGACAGAGTCTCGCTCTTGTTGCCCAGGCTGGAGTGCAGTAGTACGATCTTGGCTCACTGCAACCTCTGCCTCCTGGGTTCAAGCGATTCTCATGACTCAGCCTCTCAAGTAGCTGGGACTACAGGCATGCGCCACCATGCCAGGCTAAATTTTTTTTGTATTTTTAGTAGAGACAGGGTTTCACCAAGTTGGCCAGGCAGGTCTCAAACTCCTGACCTCCTGAGGGATGCCCACCTCAGCCTCCCAAAGTGCTGGGATTACAGGTGTGAGCCACTGCATCAGACTGTTCATTTGTTTTTAAACCAAGCCTGGGTCTCCAAACCCAGGATGTCTTTCCAGAATAGAAGAATTATTTATAAATTTCACACAAGAGAAAAATTCATTTGGTCCGCTGTGTAAATCTGAATAAGAATATCTAATTTCTTGCAAATCAAAACCAAAATGAGATACCATCTCACACCAGTTAGAATGGCAATCATTAAAAAGTCAGGAAACAACAGGTGCTGAAGAGGATGTGGAGAAATAGGAACACTTTTACACTGTTGGTGGGACTGTAAACTAGTTCAACCATTGTGGAAGTTAGTGTGGTGATTCCTCAGGGATCTAGAACTAGAAATACTATTTGACCCAGCCATCCCATTACTGGGTATATACCCAAAGGATTATAAATCATGCTGCTATAAAGACACATGCACACGTATGTTTATTGCGGCACTATTCACAATAGCAAAGACTTGGAACCAACCCAAATGTCCAACAATGATAGACTGGATTAAGAAAATGTGGCACATATACACCATGGAATACTATGCAGCCATAAAAAATGATGAGTTCATGTCCTTTGTAGGGACATGGATGAAACTGGAAACCATCATTCTCAGCAAACTATTGCAAGGACAAAAAAACCAAACACCGCATGTTCTCACTCATAGGTGGGAAATGAACAATGAGAACACATGGACACAGGAAGTGGAACATCACACTTTGGGGACTGTTGTGGGGTGGGGGGAGGGGAGAGGGATAGCATTAGGAGATATACCTAATGCTAAAGGACGAGTTAATGGGTGCAGCACACCAACGTGGCACATGTATACATATGTAACAAACCTGCACATTGTGCACATGTACCCTAAAACTTAAAGTATAATAATAATTAAAAAATATATATATATCTAATTTCTTTTTTCATTATCTAGAAACCCAAAGCAGCCCATGGAGACATTAAGGCCCATATACAGAGGGCTGGCCTGCAGACTGGGTTTGTGGGTGGGGTGTATCTAGAACCCTGCTTAATTTGGAAGAATTATAGGCAATGATTCCTAGATTTGGGATTTCTTGGACAATTACAATTTCAAGACACAGTTTGGAAACCAAACCTCTTACTTATTACCAAGTAGGCACAGAGAAAATTCCATTTGCCCACTGCCTGCTCCTATACACTCTGTCCTCCCATCCCCATACAGATCTCAGTAAGAAAGAATGAAGTGTCAAGTTTCCAAGGCCAATTTAAAAAATTTAACTCCAACAACAGAAGGTAATTTAAAAATCTTTAGTTTGGATAAGCTTCTACTATATTTAGAAGAAGGGAAAGAAACTCAACTCCCTATGACTCGGTATGAACCTTTTATGCTTTAACTGTTGGTCAGGGCAAAATGTCTCAAGTTATTTAGAACCAATCCTAAAGTAATTCTCCCTATTCTCTATAGATAATGAATAGTTTAAAGACCCAGATATTTACATAAACTTTAATGCCCCATAGAAATAATAATATTTTACAACTGTTAAGCAGAATTAGCAGGTCTTATAACAACAGTCCTCTGGGCTGTTCCCAAGGAGTAGCAAGTCACTGCTAACACCCTGTCCCTATCCTCACAAAAACCACCCCAAATAGTAAAATAGCAGAGGATATTCCTACAAAGTTGGAGGCTTTAGAAGACAAGGGAACAGTGAGCCTTGGCTTAATTTTCCCTTGACTATTAGGAAAAATGAAAAAATAGATCACACATGATTCAATGGTACATGCAAGAAAATAAAACAATCTCTTGGTTACAAGTGGGTTTTTTTTCTGTATATTATACAGCACATAACTTATTCCTCTAATCAATGTAAGCTCTTTATGATGTGTTAATAAAAAAACACAGACAGAAAGGATTAATACTTAACATGCACTTACTACATCACATATTTTGCATATATTACTTCTTAGTCCCTGCATTCCTCTTTAAGATAGGAATTGAAGGCTGGGTGCGGTGGCTCATACCTTTAATCCCAGCACTTTGGAAGGCCGAGGCGGGTGGATCATGAGGTCAGGAGTTCAAGACCAGCCTGACCAACATGGTGAAACACCGTTTCTACTAAAAATATAAAAACTAGCTAGGCATGGTGGCGCAAGCCTGTAATCCCAGCTACTCAGGAGGCTGAGGCAGGAGAATTGCTTAACTGGGACCTGGGAGGCGGAGGTTGCAGTGAGCCAAGATTGCGCCACTGCACTCCAGCCTGGGCTACAGAGCGAGACTCCATCTCAAAAAAAAAAAAAAAAAAAAAAAGATAGGAATTGATTGGAAAATACATTTTTCGAATAGGAAACAAACTCAGAGAGGTTAGCTAATTTAGTCTTTGGTAATTCTAAGATCATAAAAACAGGTAAATGGCAGAATTGGGATTCAAAACAACTGGTTCCAAAGTTCATGATCTTTCTACTAAACTGAAGTGCCACTATCTCCCTGCATGTAAATGCTTGATGACATCAGCAGCCATTAGGCTTTTCTGAGGGTGTTGCTTTTCTGAGAGTGTCGCTATTATTATAGATATCTTGTTAATCAGCAGATAGATTTGTGTGAATTTGTTTTTCCCTGAAAACCACATAAAATTAATGTTACTATCTTGAAAGTATAAAAAGTAAAATTATAGGCTTTTTTCTCAGAGATCCAAAAATCTCAAATATAGTCCAGCAACAGAAAAAAATTAATATTCAATATTGACAAATTAGATCACATGAGGAATGCCAGGGTTGTAATAAGATCAAAAGAAAAAACAAGGGCTGTCCCCCTTCCTGGGGGGAGGGTAGAGGGATAGCATTAGGGGATATACCTAATGTAAATGATGAGTTAATGGTGCAGCACACCAACATGGCACATGTATACATATGTAACAAACCTGCACGTTGTGCACATGTACCCTAGAACTTAAAGTATAATAAAAACAAACAAAAAAAAAAAAAGAAAAGAAAAAAACAAGGGCTGGGCGTGGTGGCTCACGCCTATAATCCCAGCACTCGGGTAGATCACCTGAGGTCAGATTTGTTCTTTTTTTTTTTTTAATTCTTATACATTTTCCAAATATTCTATACCATTTACCTGTATTACTTTACTATATCTATATCAGAAATAACAAGAGATTAAATTTTTTTCTTTTTTTAAGACAGTCTCATTCTGTTGCCCAGGCTGGAATGCAGTGGTGTGATCTCAGCTCACTGCAACCTCCACCTCCTGAGTTCAAGCCATTCTCATGCCTCAGCCTCCCAAGTAGCTGGGATTACAGGCACACATCACCACGTTCATTTAATTATTTTGTATTTTTAGTAGAGACGGGGTTTCGTTGTGTTGGCCAGGCTGGTTTTGAACTCCTGGCCGCAAGTGATCTGCCTGCCTTGGCCTCCCAAAGTGCTCAGATTACAGGCGTGAGCCACTGTGTCCAGCCTAAATTTGTTTTAATGTTCAGTTGCAGAAAAAAAAATAATAATAATGAGGAATAAGCATTAATACCAGGTCCACTGCAAAGGATGACTTTCATGCATCTAACTGATCTATCTGAACTTCTAGAAAAGGATCATGGTCATTCAAAATGTACAATGAATATTTAGTCAGTTTTACCGTATTTTTAAAAATCACAGAAGTTCAAAGGCAGCAGAGAGGAAGTGATCAGAAGATGACTAATGCCATGATATCTTATTAGAAGGCCCAACGGCCTAAAGAGATAGCGTGGGTGTGACAGGCTAATGGGAGAAAACAGGTAGGGTAAGAGGTGAGTGAAAGAGAATGAATGGAAGGGAACCTAACCTGGACAGTGACGAGAAGGCTGCAGCAAGCCTGTGTGACATGAAATCCAAATTAGAAGAAGAAAGAAAAACATGGTGATGCTTTTCATAGGCAGGACTGGCAATAGAAGGAACAAGAGGAAGAGGAGCACGGTATGGGGGAAGAAAAAGGAAGTCAACAAGTAACAGCCAGCACACTTCGTGACTTCAGATGGTGGAGGTGGAAACAAGCCATGGCTTGGCACCAGAAAGTCACCCCAATATGCCAATTTACATAAAGACAAGCTTGTTCAATTAAGGGGACAAAACATAAAGGCATTTCACTGTTCCAGGGATATACTAAGGAGCTGACTTTAAGTCAAAACTTATATTTGGAAGAGAAGTTTAATATAACAGACACAATTAGAAGACTATGATGTTGAACAGATGGGTGCTATTAATGCAAGCATATGCTGTTAGTGAGTGTGAATTAACACATGATTCAGGGCAATTTAAAAAAGATTGCCAAAAACTCAGCTCTCAAGTGGATCATACTATGCAAATGGGGATATGTTGACAATACAGTCATGGATCAAGAATATATTTCAATGTGATTAGATTCAGGACTAAAGCCACCTAGGCTAGTTCTCATTAGCAAGAAGTTTCTCTGGTTTAAGTAGGATATGAAAATCAGCTCAGGTCCACACATTTAGGGTTTGTAAGGAGACCAGACTCATGAGAAGTCATAAAACACTGCATATGGTGCCAACAGCAAGCAGCAAGACTTGAACCAAACATGCTGAGCTCTTCAGTTTCATAGAAGTAGTACATATTTATAAAGTGCTACCACATAAATTCTCTCATATGACTAAAACAGCTCTCATCAGATAGATGGGACAAATATTATTACCTCCTATTATTACCTCCACTTAACTAAGATTCAAATGGGTTAAGTGCTTTACTCAAGGTCCTAGAGCTAATAGATTGCTCTATAGAGTTGGTGTGTATTTAAAACTATTCTTGGTTTTTGTTTAGTCTTCACTGACCTTTATGTTTTGGAGGTACCCTATTATATTAGTGCAAACATTTTTATTCTTTTAGGTCAACAGCACAGGAAGCAGTAGGAGGAAACGGAATGGCTGATGTGGGAAGGGAGTTGGGTTGGCAAGAGTGGGTGAGGTTCACATCGAGTTTGCAGGCTGAAGATAATGTATACAACCCGTGATTGTGTAAACTACTTGGAAAGTGTATAAAATACACAGAGAACAGCTCTCTCATGGGAAAGAATTTACCCCACTAGGGCAACAAAGCTGCAAACATTTTGGTTTTGGCTTGTTGTGTGCTTTTTGTTCTAACATGCAGTACCACTGCTCTCAGAAAGTAAATGGTCCCAAGTTTAGAAAAGGATGTTCTTATAAACATACAACAGACATGAAGGTTTTCAGGTATTATGATTCTTTAGCCCAGAGCTGAAAGAACTTTATACAAGAGCCAGAACAGCAACTACCTTAAATATAATTCATGCTGTACTGCTTCAGATTTAAATAACTGATCTCCTCCAGGCGTTTAATTCTTGGCTGGGAACTGGATCGTGGTACTGTATGTAAATTCCCTCATGCCACATGTCAGCTGCAGACCAGAGGAGATAGCCAAATCTTCTCTGTGTATTAGCCACTAAATACAATTTCAGAATTAAGTCATGAGAGCCCTGCCAGCATTTGTGCAGCAGAAGTGTCTACAATTATGAAGCTAGGCAGGGATGGAAAATTATTCCTACTAATGGTCCACTAGGTGCAAAGTGCTGGCAGAGAATTATGGAGATTCAGAATCCTAAAATGCATTCCAACTGCTTTATAATTAAAACCAATAAATACAACAACAGAATGTGTTTCTTCTGATACATGGCAAAGTCTCTAACTAATGTTTAAATAGTTGCAGGGCACTTCATGGGTAGAGAAAAGGGATAAGGTGGAAGAAGGACTTTGTACCTCAGTTTACAATCTAACAGGAGAAGACCCATTTAACAGCTGGAGAAAAGTTATAAAGCTCCTTTGGAAAAAGTACCAACTCATTAAAGTAGAAAGAATAGAAAAGCCGAGGGAGGGAAAAGAGGTTGTTCAATAATGGGATTAATCAGAGCCAGTTTTCTAGATGAAGAGAGTTTGAAGTCAGGTTTGAAGGACGGGAGAGAAAGGAAGTTAGGTGCAAAACACATCTGGAGAAGTGAAGACAAGAATAGAGAAATCGTACACACACATCAAGGCACATTTCTGTCCCAATCCTCAGCCTTCAAAGTCTCTGTTTTATGGACACAGCTAAGAGGGCCATTCCCCTCCACCCTTCCAAGTCTTTGAGCTTCTCCAGAATAGGTGAAGGGAGACCCCCAGGTCATTTTACAGCTGTTTCTAAGCTGGGTAGATGAGAGGAGTACGGTTGTGAGATGAAAGTGAGAAGATCAGGTGACAGCTCAAAATCAAGAAGCTGGGCAGATGTTCATTCTATTGATAAAAGTTCTTTCAAGGTGGCTGACTTGGAACACCTAATAATACACATACCTGCAAGAGAATCATGTACAGTTCACTGGGCATCAATTGTTAAGTCACTGATGATATTATAATAATTACTATTAATTTAATACTCAAACCAAGCTCATTTTGCCAGTTGACCAGTATTCATAGTCCATGTGGATCTGCTTTTTCTTGCAACATGTTTAGAGCTGCACCCATGGGAATGGGGATGGAGATTAAAGATAATGGCTCTCATCTGCCCTTCAAAATCCTTGCTTCCCCATTTCCTCTCCTAGTGCTCCACCCACTACTATCCTGATGCTTCCACTTATGGAGAGCCTTGAGCAGCACACCAGATGGGTTTCTTGCCCTTGGAGGTAAAGTCCTCTGGAGTAGTCTTCAGGTACTCCAGATCTTCAGCTACTCCAGATCCCAAGCCAGCCTTCCTTTCATCTTGATATCAGGTCTGGAGGAGTTAGAGTTATCTAAGGGGAGACAAAGGGCAGAGAGAAGAGATCCAGCAATAAAAGAAGGCTGTGAATTCCAGCATGTAGAGACCTTGCTACATGAATAAGTAAGGATAGAGGGCTAGGAGAGGCACTAATAGAAGCAGCAGGTGAGGCTTCATCTCCTTATCCACCCTTCCACAGACACAGACAAAGCCAGCACCAGCTCCTCTTCATTGCACAGCATTTAACCCACAACAATCCTATGACACTGGTATTATTCCCACTTTACAGAGTGGAAACAGAGGCTTGAGACAGCCCAACCATTTGTCCAAGATCACAGATGACACATGGCGAGCACAGCCATGCAGCAGTCTGACTCTTACCAGCCACGCTACCCTTAGGAGATGCAAACCAGCCTTTCTGAGTCTCTCTGGACCTCCACACATCCCCAGGCTTCCCAAATTGTGCAGCAATAAGCTTTTTCATAGAAAACCCTACATGCAGAAGAGAGGAAACACATGGAATGAACAAGGGGTGAAAAGGAATATTTGGGGGCACAGCTCAAAGTCCAATTAGCATAAAGTATCATGTCTGTCTCACCCTTTTAAAAAAATCATCCATTTTTCATTTTAATCCACAATTTATCTGTGTTTCAGTATTTAAAATAGAAGGGGTTCCCACCCCCAAACTTAGTAAAATTGGCATTTTTGAGAAGATGTGCTATGTGTACCCCACGGGCTGCATAGGTCTGCATACCAGCAGCTCCTGGTTTAACAGCCCAGAGGTCTCAGGCCACATAAGCAACTTCATGTTTAACCAACCAAGCACCCACCCCAGCTTAGCTCACACTTGGTCAAACATGTGCAGGCAGCTTAGGGAACCCAGCTGGGAGGCATCATTCCTGGGAAGAAGCATCTTATTCAAGACCCTAGACCCACCGATTCTGGCAGCTCTCGACGGACGTGGCTATGCCCCATGTTTTTTGTTTGTTTGTTTGTTTTTGCAGTTACAAGATTTAATAGAATGAAAACAGAGCTCCCATAAAATGGGAGGGGACCCAAAGGGGGTTGCCATTGCCGGCTTGAATGCCCAGGTTTATATCCCGATCACTGTCCCTCTCCCTGTGCTCTCAGGCGATAGATGATTGGCTATTTCTTTACCTCCTGTTTTTGCCTAATTGGAATTTTAGTGAGCTCTCTTTACTACCTGACTGGTCGAGTGTGAGCTAAGTTGCAAGCCTCGTGTTTAAAGGTGGATGTGGTCACCTTCCCAGCTAGGCCTAGGGATTCTTAGTTGGCCTAGGAAATCCAGCTAGTCCTGTCTCTCAGTCCCTGCTCTCAACAGGAAAACCCAAGTGCTGTTGGGGAGGTTGGCCGACAACGGCTCTTAACTGTTTCCTGCTGAATTGGGCTATGCCCCATGTTACTACCAATCTCTGTGATCCGCAGAGCCTTCTGGAAACTGGTCGCAAAATAGGCATGACCTTCTTAATGCACTGGTGCCCCTGGCACCCACTGAAACTTGTGCTCACAAAGTAAGGAAGCACGTCAAGAGGGAAAACACAGGCCAGAGGGAAAACACAGGCCAGAGAGGAACCAGAACTTTCTCATTCCATCTGTTTTTTCCCCACATCTTTTTTCACGGATGGGCTACTTTTATGCTGGATATGCTAAGTCTGTTCATAAAAGTTTTACAATACACTTGGAGGGTAGGATCATTCTAATTTGGTAGATGAAACTGAGCCAACCCATTTTTTACACACTGCAGTACATAAACCAAAAAGCCATTTGGTTCTAAACGAATTCTTGTTATAAACTTACTACCTATGACTTGCCTTTCTCCTTAAAAGTAGAGTGCAAAGGATGGGGGTGGGAGTATTAGATCAAGGAGAGGTTAGATGAAACACAGAAGGAGGGTTCTAGAAACACAGAAGGAGGGCTTTGCTGGTAAACATTGATTAACCAGCATCTGATTAACCAGAAGATTTCCCAAATCTTCCTTCGTCAAAATATTTTACTCATTCCTCTTTAAAAAGACTAAGGCAACAACTTAACAACACTGGATATATGACTGCTGGTTAATAAATTCCTCCAATAATTTTACATATTAAAAAATGCATTAAAAAAACAACGAGTGGTGGTGCAGGTGTGGAAAAAAATGAAACCTGCGTGTATTGCTGGTAGGGATATAAACTGGTGCCACTCCTGTGGAAAGCAGTACAGCAATTCTGCAAAAACTTAGACATAATATTACCATATGATCCAACAATCCCACTTCTGGGTATACACCCAAAATAAGCGAAAGCTGGGACTCCAGCAGATATTTGTACCTAAGTTCATAGCAGCACTATTCACAATAGCCAAAAGGAAGAAGCAACTCAAGAGTCCACGAACAGACAAGCAGATAAGCAAAATGTGGTATATACATACAAGGCAATATTATTCATTCTTAAAAAGGAAGGAAATACTGACACATGCTACAGTGTGGATAAACCTTGAGGACATTATTCTAAGTGAAATTAGCCAGTCGCAAAAAGAAACACTGTATGAGTCCACCTATATGAGGTACCAAGAGTAGTCAAATTCATAGAGACAGAAAGTAGAATAGAGGTTGCTGGGGGTTGTTGGGGAGGAGAGAACGGGGCGTTCATGTTGGCTGCACGACAATGTGAAGGTACTTAATGCCACAGAGACGTACACTTAAAAATGGTTGAAATGGGCCAGGCATGGCGGCTCACATCTGTAATCCCAGCACTTTGAGAGGCTGAGGCAGCAGATCACCTGAAGTCAGGAGTTCGAGACCAGCCTGGCCAACATGGTGAAACCCCATCTCTACTAAAAGTACAAAAAGTAGCCAGGCATGGTGGCTGGCACCTGTAATCCCAGCTATTCGGCAGGCTGAGGCAGAAGAATCAGTTGAACCCAGGAGGCGAAGTTTGCAGGGAGCCGAGACCACACCATTGCACTCCAGCCTGGGCAACAAGAGCGAAACTCCATCTCAAAAAAAAAAAAAAAAGGTTAAAACGGCCGATTTTTGCCACAGTTTAAAAATGTTTGTATAGCATGTTCTATATGCCAGGTGCTATTCTCAATTCTTTGCAAATATTAACTCATTTAATCTTCACAACAGCCCTATGAGGCAGGTTTTATTATTGTTGTCATCTTCACTATTATCCTGGTCCAGAGTCACTCAGCTGGCAAGTGGCCAGAGCAGACACACAAATGCTGGTATCCAACTCCATCACCTTTCCCTAACCACTCTGCCCTGCTGCTTCTCAGTGAGTGAGACAGCCCAACCTGTGGGATTGGCCAATCATTTCATGTAGAAATGGTAACAGATGCTATTGCTCACATGCCACTGGAAGAGTCCTAAAGACACGAGGCCACCCACCCCTCACCGTGATGTACTGAGTAATATTCAAAGGGCTCATCACATAGAGACAGATCTTGTATCAAATTTAGCCTCTTTAACCAATTTCACAGAACCAAAGAGTTTCAAATTAGAAATGGTATCTCTCTGGTCTAATTCTCTTTAAGACAGAACTACTGCTAAACTACCCCAGAGAAGATACAATTTTGCTTTCTTATCTTTTATATATTTACATTTTCTTTTATTTCCAAAAAGCACTTAAGCCGATAGTCTATGAAAAAACCCAATCCCAGGAGGCCATGGGATGAAGGTTCTAGATTTGGCAGGAACCATCTTGAGCAAGTCATTTATCTTTTCTGGATTTTACTTCTTCGACTGCCAAGATAATTTTAAATCTTAAACAGTATTAGTGGCTTAAGATTAGGTTAAAGTGTAGGGAAATACTTTCAAAAATTTCAAATGCTGCCTTCATAATTCCAAGCACTCAGAAAGTTGTTAAAAAATAACAATTTTGGCCAGGCACAGTGGCTCACGCCTGTAATCCCAGCAATTTGGGAGGCCAAGGTGGGCGGATCACCTAAGGTTGGGAGTTCGAGACCAGCCTGGCCAACGTGGTGAAACCCCGTCTCTACTAAAAATACAAAAATTAGCCAGGTGTGGTAGTGGGCACCTGTAATCCCAGCTACTTGGGAGGCTGAGGCAGGAGATTCACTTGAATCCAGGAGGCAGAGGTTGCGGTGAGCTGAGATTGTGCCATTGCACTCCAGCCTGGGTGACGAGAGTGAAACTCCATCTCAAAAAACAAAACAAAACAAACAAAAAAACACTTGTATTTACTGATGTAAGCATCTATTTTCTCTTTCTATTATTTTAATTTCCTTTATTTTAAATAGAGACAGGGTCTCACTATGTTGCCCAGGCTGGTCCTGAACTCCTGAGCTCAAGTGATCTTTCTGCCTTGGCCTCCCAATGTGATGGGATTACAGGTATAAGCCATCGCACCCAGCCTATTGATTTTCTAACTCCATAATTCTTTCTACTATTGTGAGGAAGAGCCTTCTCTCCCATTTATTTCTATTACACTTTACAATACACTTGGAGGGCAGGATCACTCTAATTTGGTAGACGAAACTGAGCCAACTTTACACACAAGTTTAGACTTGTGAATTCTATATTCAATCCCCTCCTGTAGCCAAATTATAAGCAAAAAATATACCAATGTGGCTATGAAATAGAAAAAAGTGTCAATAACTAAAACTTTATATAAGTATCTCATGAAACTAGAGTTTGCCCAATAAATGTGCTAAAACTTCACCAATAAAGACTATAGCTGAACACTTGCTCTTTGACAAAACCCTGGATATGTTTCAGACATGAAATGTCATGTCCCATAGCAGCTGCCATTGTTAATTTACTAGGCTGTGTGCTAGTGGCCTGACATGTAAGTACTGATCTTTCTAACAACCCTGGCTAGAGAGACGGCTTTATTTTCAGAGGAAGAAAACAGCTCAGAGAGCTGGAAACCTGCCCAAGGATTGGGTGCCAAGCAGGCCAGAATCAGGGGTCAGATTCTGAAACTCATACTCTCTTAATATACCATTCTGTCCTCTCACATTTTTTTTTAATTAAAAAAAAAAAAAAACTTTTGGTGTTTTCAGAGATGAGGTCTCACTATGTTGGCCAGGCTGAACTGGAATTCCTAAGTTCAAATGATCTTCCCGTCTCATCCTCCCAAGTAGCTGGGACTATGGATGCATGCCATCCTCTCACATACATAAAATGAGACATAGTTGAATTTTGGTTTGTAAATCTACCATAACTTTTGCTTCCATCCATTTCATACACCAGAGAACTGTTATGTTGAAATGAGGTTCTGTAATGAGCAGATGATTTAAAACTCTGGAGACTATTTGTATATATTTTCCGACTATAAATCCTGACATGTCACTCTCTGTAGGGCAATAAGCGTTCTCACTGTCCAGCCCCTTCCTAAAACAATTTTCAACTACAACATGGTGTATTTAAGCTTCCATTGCATGTCCCTTTAGATTTGAGCAGATTACGTGTGGTCTTTATTCCGGTATCATATTATTAACTGATTTTATTTTATTTATTCTTATCTTTTGAGACAGAGTTTCACTCTGTCACCCAGGCTGGAGTGCAGTGGCACGATCTTGCCTTATTGCAACCTCTGCCTCCCAGGTTCAAGTGATTCTTGTGCCTCAGCATCCCAAGTAGCTGGGATTACAGGCACCCACCACCATGCCTGGCTAATTTTTGTATTTTTTAGTAGAGACGGGGTTTCACCATGTTGGCCAGCTGGTCTCAAATTCCTGATCTCAAGTGATATGTCCACCTCAGCCTCCCAAAGTGCTGGGATTACAGGTGTGAACCACTGTGCCCAGCCTGTTAAGTGATTTTAAATGTAGGAGAAATAAGAAAGAACTGGGGTTACAGCTGAATAGGCACTCAGGTAAGCAAGTAGAGATGTTTACATGCACTCTAGGTGAAAATCCTTTATCCCTGGGCAAGGTAGCACGAGTGACCAGGTGCGTCCTCATATCTGCCTTGTGGCTCTAAAACTGTACTATGTTGTTGGTTTACTTCGTGTGATAAAGGATTCACATTCCTTTCCCTCCCCATTACACAGACAGCTTAGTTATTCACTTCTATAACTATTCAGTGGGTTAAGTCAATTCATAGGTCTGTATTATGTCAAAGCCTAAAAATGTTATAATCTAGTTTTACTGTGATGTCATTTTTATTCAAGGAAATGAGATCAGACTATTAGAAGTTAAGTAAAGCTTCTTGTAATAAATCATACCATAGGTTTTCATTTTAATTGGAAAGATAGGAAGAAAAGAATTAAATCCTCCAAAGAAAAATGGAGAAACAGAATGCATATATATTCTCTATGAAAGCACTGTAGCCCGATACCCTTTTATAGCTCCCTTAACCTTCTCCACCTGCCTCAGACAACTCTGTGTTAATGTCTCATCTGATGGGGGGATAAGATCACATAGATAAGAAATCAGCTACTTCATCTATGAGTGATTCAGGCTTTGGGTCCCTGTTTTCTTGCCAGTTCCTTTCTTTCCTCCCATGGCTATTCCCTCGCTAATGGGTAGGATCCCTCCAACCCCCATTTTATAGGTAGAACAGCTCTTCCTGCTTCCAGGCATTAATACGAGAAAAGCTGAGTACCATTTTCCTAGTCCTCAAAGGCCTGAACTTCATTCCACATGTGCCATTCTGCTGTAACTCCTACTCAACACTCAGGCTTTGAATGCCCTCTTTATGGATGGCACAGGGGGATTTCTCATTCTTGCTTTCTTAAGGAAGGCAAAATTTCTTTAGTTTTGATATCTTTTACATGCCTGATGCAAGAGTGATTCTTCATCTGCAACAGTTCAGTCTACAAAGTTAACCAAAAGGTAGAAAAGTAACAGGTATTAACAGCATAGGAGATCAAAGGTAGTGCTCGAATGGGAACAGAACCAGAAGTGAAAATCAGCCCAAACATACCGCTGAGATTCACGAACCCTGCCACTGGCTTTATAAGAAGTAGCATTATTACAGTTGTACCTTCTCTTACCAACATGCTCGCTTTCTTCCAGGCTCGTAATTCCTTCTTTTTCTTTTGGTTCTTTTTCTCATATCCCGTGACTTAGACACAACCTCTTCAAAAGTAGGTACTTTAGGTAGTTAATTCCTGATTCCTTCCGGGAAGTAAAAAAGAGTTTACTAAAATGTGACAGACAAGACTTATAGATGAATGTGATTACACAGTGGCAGGAAGAATAAACGGGCATCTCAGACTGTCAAGATAATGACAGCAATAAAAAGCATGCTAACCACTGCTGAACACTTACAGTTGTGCTAGACATTCTCTTAAACCCTTTACACAAATTAACTAATTAACTCCTCACAAAACCTGTGTGAATAAAGTACTATTATTTCCGCTCACGAAATGAGGAAACCAAGACACAGAGCACAAGGACACTGAGCAGTAATTTGTAGGGCCTAGATTGTCATCAATGCAGTCTGGCTTCAGGGCCCTACTCCTTTTTTTTTTTTTTTGAGACTGAGTCTTGCTCATGTTGCCCAGGCTGAAGTGCAATGGTACGAACTCGGCTCACTGCAACCTTCACCTCCTGGGTTCAAGCAATTCTCCTGCCTCAACCTCCCGAGTAGCAGGGATCACAGGCATCCGCCACCACGCCTGGCTAATTTTTGTATTTTTAGTAGGGACAGGTTTCGCCATGTTGGTCAGGCTGGTCTCAAACTCCTGACTTCATGATCCGTCCGCCTCAGCCTCCCATAGTGCTGGGATTACTGAGTCACTGCACCCGGCCAGGGCCCTACTCTTAACTACTTACTAGGCTATGCTGTCTCAAGCCATCTCTGGTTAGATGGCAATAATGGGCTGTATGCTCTCAATCACTGTCAACTTGGCCAGCCTAGAGTTCTTCTGCAGGTCAAAGAAATTAATACACACCCAGGATGCACTGAGGTGAGACACAGGTAACATGAGTAAGTTCTGGTATTTGTAAGTCAAGAGATCACACACAGAAATAAATATCCTATCTTTCAAAATAGTCCCTAGAAGCTCTATGCTCATTTCAACTTGGCAGCCATCACTGAGCACATCTTTAGGTGCCTCTTTTGGAATGTCCTTCAACTCAATTAATGTATTTTTAAAATTTTACTTTTAAAAATATATAATTATAAAAAATGAAAATGCTTTTAAAAAGAGAAAGGATCTCACTATGTTGGCCAGCTAAGTCTTGAACTCTTGGCCTCAAGCAATCCTCTCACCTCAGCCTCCCAAAGTGCTAGGATTACAGGCATGAACCAACACACCCAGCAGAAAATGTATTTCTTTTAAATGTCCCCTTAACTTCAGCAGAAATCTTACAAGCTAGAAGGGACTGGGGTCCTATCTTTAGCCTCAAGCAGAATAACTGTCAGCCAAGAATTTGGTATCCAGCTAAACTAAGCTTCATAAATGAAGGAGAAATAAAGTCTTTTCCAGACAAGCAAATGCTGAGTGAGTTTGTCACAACCAGACCAACCCCACAAGAAATGCTAAAAGGAGTTATAAATCTTGAAACAAAAATTCAATATGCAGCAGAATAAAAACTCTTGAAAGCATAAAACTCACATGGCCTATAAAACACTAATATAACAAAGAAAACCAAGTATCTAGGTAACAATCAGCACAATGATTGGAACAGTACCTCACATTTCAATATTAACATTGAACATAAATAGCCTAAATGCTCCACTTAAAAGATATAGATTGGCAAAATGGATTAAAACAAGGCAAGCCAAATATCTGCTTTCTTCAAAAGACTTATCTAACATACAGGGACTCAAATAAACTCAATGTAAAGGAGTGAAAAAGGTATTCCACGCAAATGGAAACCAAAAGAGAGCAAGAGTAGCTATTCTTATATCAGAAAAAACATACTTTAAAACAACAACAGTAAAAAAGAAAAAAAAAGACAAAGAAGGTCACTATATAATAACAAAAGGATCAATCCAACAAGAAGATATTACCACCTAAACATATGTGCACCTAACTCTGGAGCTCCCAGCTTCATAAAACTATTATTACTGGACCTAAGAAATAGATAGACAGCAACACAATAATAGTACGGGACTTCAGTACTCCACTGATAGCACTAGACAGATCATCAAAGCAGAAAGTCAACAAAGGAACACTGGACTTAAACCACACTCTAGAACAAATGAACCTAACAGATATTTACAAAACATTCTACCCAAGAACTGCAGAATATACATTCTTCTCAACACATGAAACATTCTCCAAGATAGACCATATGATAGTCCACAAGTCTCAGTAAAATTAAAGAAACAATTGTATTAAGTATCTTCTCAGACCACAGTGGAATACAACTAGAAATCAACTCCAAAAGTAACCTTCAAAACTATACAAATACATGGAAATTAATCTGCTCCAGAATGATTTTTAGGTTAACAATGAAATCAAGATGGAAACTTAAAAATTCTTTGAAATGAATGATAATAATGACACAAGTTATCAAAGCCTCTGGGATACAGCAAAAGCAGTGCTAAGATAAAATCGGAAAGATCACAAATTGACAACATAACACCTCAAGGAACTACAGAAACACGAACAAACACAAAGCTAAAACTAGAAAATAATAAATAAATAAAAGATTAGAGCAGAACTAAATGAAATTTAAACAAAAAATACAAAACGTCAGTGAAACAAAAAGTTATTTCATTGAAAAGATAAGCAAAATTGATAAATCATTTGCTAAACTAACCAAGAAAATGAGAGAGAAGATTCAAACAAACTCAATTAGAAATGAAAATGAAGGCCAGGCACGGTGGCTCTTGCCTGCAATCACAGCACTTTGGGAGGCCAAGGTGGGTAGATCACCTGAAGTCAGGAGTTTGAGACCATCCTGGCCAACATGGTGAAAGTCCATCTCTGCTAAAAATACAAAAATTAGCCGGGTATGGTGGTGCACGCCTATAATCCCAGCTGCTCGGGAGGCTGAAGCAGGAGAATTGCTTGAACCTGGGAGGTGGAGGTTGCAGTGAGCCAAGATCATGACATGGCACTCCAGCCTGGACAACACAGCGACACTCCATCTCAAAAAAAGAAAAAAATGAAAATGAAGCCCATAACAACCAACACCACAGAAATACAAAGGATCACTTGAGAATACTATGAACTCCTCTGTGCACACAAACTAAAAAATCTAGAGGAAATGGATGAATTCCTGGAAACATACAACCTTCCTAGCTTGAATCAGGAAGAGACAGAAATCCTGAAAAGACCAATAACAAGAACTGAGATTGAATCAATAATTTTAAACCTGCCAAAGAAAAAAGAGCCCAGGGCCAGATGGATTACAGCTGAACTCGACCAGACATTCAAAGAAGAATTGATTCCAATCCTACTGAAACTATTTCTAAAGATTTAGAAAGAGGAATCCTCCCTAACTCATTCTATGAAAGCTAGTATCACCCTGATACCAAAGCCAGAAAAGGACATAATAAAAAAACAAAAAAAAAAACAAACAAAAAAAAAAAAAAAAAAAAAACTACAGACCAATATACCTGATGAATATAGATGCAAAAATCTTCAACAAAATACTAGCAAACCAAATCCAACGGCACATCAAAAAGATAATACCATTTGACCCAGCAATCCCATTACTGGGTATATATCCAAAAGAATATAAATCATTCTGTTATAAAGATGTATGCATGTGTATGTTCATTACAGCACTATTTACAATAGCAAAGACATGGAATCAACCCAAATGCCCACCCATGATAGACTGGATAAAGAAAATGTGGTAAATATACACCATGGAATACTATGCAGCCATAAAAAGGAATGAGACTATGTCCTTTGCAGGGACATGGATGGAGCTGGAAGCCATTATCCTCAGCAAACTAACACAGGAACAAAAAACCAAACACCACACGTTCTCACTTGTAAGTGGGAGCTGAACAATGAAACCACATGGACACAGGAAGGGGAACAACACACGGTGGGGCCTGTGGGAGGGGAGCGGGGGAGCTATTTATCAGGATAAATAGCTAATGCCTTTGGGGCTTAATACCTAGGTGATGGGTTGATAGGTGTAGCAAACCACCATGGCACACTTTTACCTATGTAATAAACCTGCACATCCCACACATATATCCCAGAACTTAAAATAAAATAAAATAAAAATTTTTTAAAAAGATAGGCTGGGCATGGTGGCTCACGCCTATAATCCTAGCACTTTGGGAGGCTGAGGTGGGCAGATTGCCTGAGCTCAGGAGTTTGAGACCAACCTAGGCAATGTGGCAAAACCCCATCTCTACTAAAAATATAAAAAATTAGCTGGGCATGGTGGTGGGTGCCTGTAATCTCAGCTACTCAGGAGGCTGAGACATGGGAATCACTTGAACCCAAAAGGCAGAGGTTGCAGTGAGTCGAGATTGCGCCATTGCACTCCAGCCTGGGTGGCAGAACAAGGCTCTGTCTTAAGAAAAAAAAAAGATAATACACCACCATAATCAAGGGGCTTCAACCCAGGAATGCAGGGATGGTTTAACATACATAAGCCAATAAATGTATGCATAACATATAATGTATGTTTAACATATACATATAAATGTATGTATACATTTGTATGTATGTATGTATAACATAAACATATAAATGTATGTTTAACATACATAAGTCAATACATCACATAAACAGAATTAAATACAAAACCATACGATTGGCCAGGCACGGTGGCTCATGCCTGTAATCCCAACACTTTGGGAGGCCGAGGCAGGTGGATCACGAGGCCAAAAGATCGAGACCATCCTGGCCAACATGGTGAAACCCCATCTCTACTAAAAATACCAAATTAGCTGGGCATGGTGGCACACACCTGTAGTCCTAGCTACTCAGGAGGCTGAGGCAGAAGAATCACTTGAACCTGGGAGGCAGAGGTTGCAGTGAGCCGAGATTGCGCCACTGCACTCCAGCCTGGCAACAGAACAAGACTCTGTCTCAAAAAAAAAAAAAAAAAAAAAAAAAAAAAAAATATATATATATATATATATATATATATATATATATATATATGATCATCTCAATAGATGCAGAAAAAGCATCTGATAAAACCTAGCATTCTTTTATGATAAAAACCCTCAACAAATCAGGCATAGAAGGGATATATCTCAAAATAATAAAAGTCATATATGACAAACCCACAAGCCAACATTATATTGAATGGGGAAAAGTTGAAAGCATTCCCCCTGAGTACTGGAACAAGACAGGGATGCCCACTTTCACCACTTCTATTCAACATACTATTGGAAGTTCTAGACATAGCAATAAGGCAAGAGAAAGAAATAAAGGGCATCCAAATTGGAAAAGATAAAGTCAAATTATCATTGTTTGCTGATGATATGATCATTTATCTAGAAAACTTAAGACTCCTC
The DNA here is from genome assembly GCF_000001405.40 of Homo sapiens. Lineage (NCBI taxonomy): Eukaryota > Metazoa > Chordata > Mammalia > Primates > Hominidae > Homo > Homo sapiens. The sequence continues at coordinate 76,436,117 of NC_000005.10, read as the reverse complement.
CAAAAGACTTCTAGATTTGAAAAATGCGTTCAGTAAAGTCTCAGGTTATAAAATCAATGTACACAAATCAATAGCACTGCTATACACCAACAATGACCAAGCTAAGAATCAAATCAAGAGCTCAATCCCTTTTACAATAGCTGCCAAAAAAACCAAAACAAAAAACAAACAAACAAACAAACAAAAACCCAAACCCAAGAATATAGTTAACTAAGGAGGTGAAAGATCACTACAAGGAAAACTACAAAACACTGCTGAAAGAAATCACAGATGATACAAGCAAACGTAAACATATCCTGTGCTTATGCATTGGAAGAATCAACATTGTGAAAATGACCATACTGCCTAAAGCAATCTACAAATTCAATGCAATTCTTTTCAAAATACCAACATCATTTTCACATGACTAGAAAAAAAAATCCTAAAGTTCATATGGAACCAAAAAACAGCCTGAATAGTCAAAGCAATCCTAAGCAAAAAGAACAAATCTGGAGGTATCACATTAACTGACTTCAAATTATACTGCAAGGCTATAGTTACCAAAATAGCATGGTACTGGTATAAAAGTAGATACACAGACCAATGGAACATAAGTAAAGAACTCAAAGCCAAATTCAACCAAGTGATCTTTGACAAAACATACAAAAACATAAACTGGAAAAGGATACCCTATTTAATAATCGGAACTGGGGAAACTGGATAGCCACATGTAGAAGAATGAAACTGGATCCCTCTCATTGTATACAAAAATTAACTCAAGATGGCTCAAAGACTTAAATCTAAGACCTGAAACCATAAAAATTATAGGAGAAAACCCAGGAAAAACTCTTTTGAACATTGGCCTAGGCAAAGAATTTATGACTAATACCCTAAAAGCAAATGTGACAAAAACAAATAAATGGGACCTAACTAAACTAAAAAGCTTCTGCACAGCAAAAGAAATAACCAGCAGAGTAAACAGATAACCCACAGAATGGGAGAAAATATTTGCAAACTATGCATACAACAAAGGTCTAATAACCAGAATCTACAAGGAACTCAAATCAGCAAAAAAAAAGAAAAAAAAAAGAATCCCATCAAAAAATGAGCAAATGACATGCGTAGACATTTCTCAAAAGAAAATATAAAAATGGCCAACAAACACATGAAAAAATGCTCAACATCACTAATCAGGGAACTGCAAATTAAAACCACAATGAGATACCACCTTACTCCAGCCAAAATGGCTACTAATAAAAATCAAAAAACAATAGATGTTGTTACGGATGTGGTGAAAAGGGAATGCTTATACGCTGCTGGTGAGAATGTAAATTAGTACAACCTCTATGAAAAACACTATGAAGATTTCTTAAAGAACTAAAAGTAGATCTACCATTCAATCCAGTAATCCCACTACTGGGTATCTACCCAAAGGAAAAGAAGTCATTATATAAAAAAGACACCTGCATGTGTATGTTTAATGCAGGTGTCTTTTTCACAATTCACAATTGCAAAGATATGGGACCAATCTAAGTGCCCATTGACCAATAAGTGGATAAAGAAAATATGGACTATATATACTATGGAATACTAGTCAATCATAAAAAAAGAATGAAATAATGTCTTTTGCAGCAACTTGGATGGAGCTGGAGGTCATTGTTCTAAGTGAAGTAACTCAGGAATGGAAAATCAAACACCGTTACATTCTCACTTATAACTGGGAGCTAAGCTATGGGTATGCAAAGGCATACAGAGTGGCATAATGGACTTTGGAGACTCAGAAAGAGGAGGGTGGGAGGGGAAATAGGGATATAAAACTATGTATCGGGCACAATGTACACTACTCAGGTGACAAGCACACTAAAAATCTCAGAATTCACCACTATACAATTCATCCACATACCAAAAACCCTTGTACCCCCAAAGCTATTGAAATTTCTTTAAAAATTTTAAATATATCCTTAAACTTGGTCCTCAAAAGTGGATCAGGTGTTTGCAAACAACCAGTAGTCAACCTGAACCAAGCCTAGAGAATACGGTGGCAAATTGAAGGTTTGATTACTTTTAGATTATTTTTTCCTTCCTGGCTTATAATATGAATCTGATGGCAATTCTAAAAGAAAGTAACGAAAAACTCTGAACCACAGGAGTTGATTGGAAGGATGTTATTTATTGAAATATTTAAGAGCTAGTTTGTTTTATAGCCTCATAACTTCATAGCTGTATCTGACAGGTAAGAAACTTTTCCCTAGGGTTTCTTCTCAATGTAAAGATGACTATGAGAATTCCTTGGATGTGACAAATAGGAAAACACTGAAGTTAAGAATCAGCCGTGACATAAAATAATCTGAATTTGAATCCTAGTTCTGATATTCACCGATCTCTACGCCTCAACTTCCTGACATTTGTAAAATGGGATATTATCTAAGTAGTCAGGGTTCAGGCAGGAAAAAAATTGTACTCAAAACAAAGTCTAATTATAAAAAGTCTAATTACAAAGAGTTTAATGACAGAAATTTTACAAAGACATGAATAAGGTAAGGGAAACTAGCAAGAATTGTTGGGTACTTAGGAGGCTAGCAACAGCAAAGCTATCACCTCCCCTACGTCTGAAGGGGTGGGAGAGTTTATATGCATTTTTGTTTGTTTGTTTAAGTGTTTTTGAGGAGGAGGATTAGTTGCCAGAATTCAGCAAGAATTTAGCTGCAACAACAGCTGTAAGAGAGGGCCACCCTATGGGAGCTGTGGCTTTCAGCAGAGGAACATAGCACCACCAATGACCCAGAGCCTTAAGCCTTGGATCAAAGACTTAAATCTAAGACCTAAAACCATAAAAGTTCTAGAATAAAACCCAGGAAAAACTCTTCTGGACATTGGCCTAGGCAAAGAATTTATGACTAAGACCCTAAAAGCAAATGTGCCAAAAACAAATAAATGGAACCCAACTAAACTAAAAAGCATCTGCACAGCAAAAGAAATAACCATCAGAGTAAACGTGAGAGAAAAGTATCTGCAAGTATTTGGGGTACCTCCCAGGTACCCCACAATTCTTGCTAGTTTCCCTTACCTTGTTCACATCTTTGTGAAATTTCTGTCATTAAACTCTTTGCAATTAGACTGTTTTGAGTACCATTTCTTTCCTGCCTGGACCCTGACTACTTAAATAATATCCCATTTTACAAATGTGAGGAAGCTGAGGGAAGGAGGGAGCAGGGGAAATAAATACCTAAAAGCCACAGGGCAAGGGGCCCCATATGTGATCCATAATGGTCTGCCTCCCAGGGCACAGAGCATGGTGGATCAGAAAGGGCAAACAGAGAGTATGCAGCCAGGTGTATCTCTCAAAGTTGTGATGAGCCGATCTTCTCATAATCACTTATTTTATGTTTCTGTCTATCCTACTAAACCATAAATGTTATACAGGTAGGAAGTATCAGCTAACTCATTGCCCAGCCAGAGCACAGCTCAGTCCCTGGCACCGTTTAAGTTATTCTTACTACTTCTTGTCTGACACTAATTTAAATAACATAATTGTTTGAAAAATGAGGCATGATCAGGTTACCATACAACACAGGAAGTAAGTAGAGGACTGGCACCTTTAAAATGTAGCTCTAGATCTCCATCTTGGCTTCTATCCTGTTCTATTAGCTTGAGGGGTATGTGATGCTCCAAAAAACCCACCCCAGAAGATTAGCTCAGAAATAGACCAGCCTGGGCTGAGCATGGTGGCTCATGCCTATAATCCCAGAACTTTGCGAAGCTGAGGTGGGTGGATCACCTGAGGTCAGGAGTTCGAGACCAGCCTGGCCAACAGGGTAAAACCCCATCTCTATTCAAAGCACAAAAATTAGCCTGGCGTGGTGGTGCATGCCTGTAATCCCAGCTATTTGGGAGGCTGAGGCACAAAAATTTTTTAATCCTGGAGGGAGAGGATGCAGTGAGCTGAGATCCAGCCACTGAACTCCAGCCTGGGTGACAGAGCAAGACTCCATCTCAAAAAAAAAAAAAAAGAAGAAAGAAAGATCAGTCAATTCCATTAAAGTCATAAATCTTTTCTAATGACACCAAATTTCCTTAATTTGATTATTATCTATAATTAACTATATTATGAATATAGTTAATTCCATTTGGGAGATAATACAAGCATAAGTGGCTCAACCCAACATGAGTATGTCTACCCTTAATTTCTATTAAAACCATTATAAAAAGATCATTTGGAATCACCACACATTCCAGGAACTGCTGCCACTGAGGAGACTGCCTGAGCAGTAAGAGGAACAAAAAACAGTAAGACTGGCATTCCTTTTTTTTTTTTTTTTTTGATACAGAGTCTCTGTCGCCAGGCTGGAGTGCAGTGGTGCGATCTCGGCTCACTGCAATCTCCGCCTCCCAGGTTCAAGCAATTTTTCTGCTTCAGCTTCCTGAGTAGCTGGGACTACAGGCAAGCGCTACCACGCTTGGCTAATTTTTATATTTTTAGTAGAGCTGGGGTTTCACCATGTTGGCCAGGATGGTCTCAATCTCTTGACCTCATGATCCGCCCGGCTTGGCCTCCCAAAATGTTGGGATTACAGGCATGAGCCACCGTGCCCGGCCAAGACTGGCATTCTTAAATTTCTCTCGCAACTACAAAGCATGCCAAACAAAGCATGCCAAACAGACTAGTGCCCATCTGTGCCCATGCCACACCTACTGTACCAATTCATATAATAAAATACTAGGAAAGTAAAGTTCAGTAACAGTCCCAGGAAGAAAAATGTTTACCAAATTAACTAAATTAAACTTTACATTTTATAAAAATATGAAACATTTTATATTTTTATATTTATAAATTAAATTTAATGTATTTTAAAAGTTAAAATCTCACATAGCAATTCATATCATAAGAGCAATATAGGAAAACGTAATACATCTAAAAATTTAAACAGCATAGAACTATAGAGTGAGAAGTGGGTTCTCCTTCCTATTACCCACCCAAGTCCTACTCTCATCTACAGTAGAAATCCACTAACAATTTAATGCAATTTTTAAGACTATTTCCTGAATTTTTACATATATATGTACACGTTAAGATAAAATACTCATGAATCATTGCATACATGTTTTTCTGTAAACAATCTTTTCACTTAACAGATCTTGGACATATTCTTATATAATTACATATAGAGCTACCTCATTCTTTTTAAAGTCTGCATCATATTCCTAATATAAATATTTTATTTATAATTTATTTGAACTACTCCCCAATTGCTAGGCATTTAGGTTAACTTGAATTTTGCTACTGAACGCAATTATTTTCATTAATTCTTCACAATATACACTGTTCATGCTTTTTCCCCCATTTACAATTAACTCATTCTTGATATAGCTTTCCTGACTTCTACTCAAGCTAATCTTTCATTGAATTAGCACCATGGTGTAGCATGAAATGGCTTATGTGCTTTTTCTGTTTACGTGGCTGTGAATTTTTTTAGTCCTTCCAGTGAGAGGTGGGTCCCTTCTCCTTGAATCTGGGGAGACGTGCAATAGCTTCTACCAAGAAAGAGTGGCAGAAATGCTGTTATCTGACTTCCAAAGCTAAGTTATAAAAATCCATGCAGCTTCCACGTGGTCTCTTGGAACATTTGTTCTGTGGAGATGCTCACTCTTGGAACCCTCCCACTTGGGAAGCCAGCTGCCATGCTGCAAGAAGCCTGAGCTCCATGAAGGGTCAACTCGCAGATGCTCTGGTAAACAGCCCCAGCTGAGTCCAGCCTTCGAGTCATCCCACCCCAGGTACCAGGCATATAGGTGGAGAAGCTTCCAGATGATTCCAGCCCCCAGCAGTTTCAGTCTTCCCAGCTGGAGCTCGTTAATTGGTCCAGTAAATGGAGCAGAGACAGCCATTCCCACTGTGCCCTGTCTGGATTCCTGACCCAAAGAATCTGTGCAAATAAGATGGTGGTGGTTTTATTCCACTAAGTTTTGAGGTGATTTGTCACAGAGCGCTATGTAACTGAACCACATATATAGGTCTGCCTGGCTAATTCAGGCAGGTAACATTTTTCACACCTCAAATCCTATTACTTCCAGCTATAAAGACAAGTCCAAGGAATCTGAGGGCTGCACTAGGACCTCAAATCAGTCTTTAAATCACTGGAACTCCTGTCCCCACCCACAGGCTACAGATATCTACTCTCTCTACCTAGATGGATGCTGTGAGAAAACTAAAAAATGTCCTAAATCCTATACAAATGAAATAGTCGTGTGTGTGTGTGTGTGTGTGTGTGTGTGTGTGTCTGTGTCTCCTTTTCATTCAGCTGGAATACAAATGCAAATCCTTAGTGAACTTGGGATTGAAGGTTTGGGCAGGATCTCTGGACTTCAGTTCTCCCACAAAGACTTTCATAGATTGATGTTCTTCTAATTTCAAAGAATTATGAATAGCACAAGTTTACTTTAACACCCTTCATCAAGGTGATGGGAATGTTAACTAATTTTAACATATATATATACATATATGTATATATATAAATTTATATATGTATATATATAAATATACATATATATATATATAAATTTTTTTTTGAGACAGAGTCTCGCTCTGTCGCCCAGGCTGGAGTGCAATGGTGCGATCTTGGCTCACTGCAAGCTCCGCCTCCCGGGTTCACACCATTCTCCTGCCTCAGCCCCCCAAGTAGCTGGGACTACAGGCACCCACCACCACGCCTGGCTAATTTTTTGTATTTTTAGTAGAGATGGGGTTTCACCGTGTTAGCCAGGATAGTCTCGATCTCCGGACCTCGTGATCTGCCCACCTCAGCCTCCCAAAGTGCTGGGATTACAGGTGTGAGCCACCACGCCCAGCCTAACATGGATATATTTTTAAAAAGAGAAAAACAGGAATAAAAACTAAAAAGAAAAATGCCTTAAGTATACAAAATGATTATATTTGGGTAATAAGGTCAAAAAGTATCTATAAGAGAAAACATACATGACCTACTTCTCAATGGAAGGAATCACTTTTCATTTCAGATGTTTTTCTAGGAAAGCAATGTACTTCTAGAATTTTTTTTTTTTTTTGAGACAGAGTCTCGCTGTCACTCGGGCTCTAGTACAATGGCACAATCTTGGCTCACTGAAACCTCTGTCTCCCAGGTTCAAGCAATTCTCCTGCCTCAGCCTCCCGAGTAGCTGTGTCATCACGCCTGGCTAATTTATGTATTTTTAGCAGAGGTGGGGTTTCACCATGTTGGCCAGCCTGGTCTCGAACTCCTGACCTCAGGTGATCTGCCTGCCTTGGTCTCCCACAGTGCTGGGATTACAGACATGAGCCACCACACCTGGCTGAGAAACCTTTTTTTTTTTTAAGTAAGTTGGTTTAGTAAGCAATGGAAAGACGCTGCCCACTTACAGATTAAGATTCAGGGTAGTCACGGTGACTCAGTCCTGTAATCCCAGCACTTTGGGAGGCTGAGACGGGTGGATCACTTGAGGTCAGGAGTTTGAGACCAACCTGACCAACATGGTGAAACCCCGTCTCTACTAAAAAAAATGCAAAATTAGCTGGGTGTGGTGGCGCACACCTGTAATCCCAGCTACTTGGGAAGCTGAGGTAGCAGAATCACTTGAATTCGTGAGGTGGAGGTTGCAGAGATTGCGCCATTGCACTCCAGCCTGGGCAACAAGAGCAGAACTCCATCTCAAAAAAAAAAAAAAAAAGAAAAAAGGATTCAAAGCAAACTCCTGGCGCAGAACAGTGGGTTCCTGGGCTCCCCATCTTCCTTTGCATTACCAGATTTAAACATTTTACTCACTTCACGTGGTGCCCAATACCATACCCTACTCCTTCTCCCTTCCCAGGTACCCAGCAGACCCATAGCAACAAAGGCTTCAGGGTAACAAGGGCAGCACTGAGCTAGGAAAGAAGGTGTCTGGCTGCCCATCACCCCGCAGAGCTGGGCAAGCAGAAAGGCAGGCCAAAGCCCTTCTGAGGGGCTGGCGCTCCTCTGTGAGTCTCTGCTCAAACCACACCCAGGGAGCCACCAAATAGCTCAGAGTCTAACAGTCCAAGCTGCTGCCTCTCTGGGGCCAGTTTGCCCCTTCAGTGCCCATTCAGAGGGTGCAGCCATCTGTCTCAGGCTGTCCTGTTAAAATGCTCCCCTCAGTGCCAGGTAAGGAACTGCAGGCATTGGTCCTCCCACTGCTTGACAGCCTGCAAGGCTGCAGACGGGCTCAGGGACTCACCTCCAGCACAGAGAAGGGTCTGCGAGCAGCCCCGCACACAACAGATTGCTGAAAGCTTATGCTGCCCCCGCTCAGAGCCTTTCATCATCCTCCTGGACATATGTGCCAACTTTTCTTTTATGTCAAGAACTGGTCCGTAGCAGAGCCTCACTACTAAATGTGGCCTGGAGACCTGCAGTGCCGGCATCACCTGGGAGCTTGTTACACATGCAGTCTCGGGGCCCAGCCCAGACCTGCGGGAACAGAATCTGCAATTTCACCAAATCCTCACATGACACACGCGCATTCAAGTGTGGGAAGCACTGTTCTAGGGAACCCTCATTTAAAATGGAACGTTTCTGTCAGGATAAAACCTAGGATGCTAGTCACAGTAGAAATTTTGAAAAAATAGTTTTAAGTTGTGGGAACAAGCATAATCCTATTCCCGGCAGAAAGACCTCATTATTCATGCACTCTTGAAAGGGGAGGGGGGAGAGCTCAGCTCACTTTATTTCAAAGCCAAATCCAAGAGCATGAAAGTGAGGGTATTTCATTTTAAATCACCACCCACCGTCACAACACTAATTGGTCCAGTAAATGGTATTATAAAAGCTTAAGGTGGGAGCTTGGCCAGGCAACACACAGCTTCACAAAAAGAAATGTCCAGAAAACAATTTTGTTTCTTTATTTATAACAGTGATTCTTAACCGGGGACATGTGGCAATGTCTGGAAACATTTTGTGTTGTCACAGGTGAAGGGGACTGCAACTGGAATTGAGTGTGTCAGGGATGATACTAAACATCCTACAATGCACAAGTCAGCACCCCACAACCAAGAATTGTCCAGTCCTAAACATCAGCAGTGCTGAGGCTGAGAAACCCTGACCTACAGGATTAACTCTAATGTTATTTTCTCTTCTCTCTCAGTGCCCACCACCCATTATGTACTGATCACTCCACTATGCAACTCATTTTTCAGTAAAGTCCTGCACACACTCACACACACACACACACACACACACACACACCCTCCATGGTTTTTCCCCGCTTGGCTCAGAGAAGAGCCTGCCATTGAGTGTGTGACAGCCAAGGATGGAGGGGCAGGGGCCCTGTCCTTTCATCAAGAAGGGCCCCTACTTGTCCTTCCTCATTACCCATGCAGCACAGGCCTTAGGTTACCTATTATAAAATCATGGGCTGTGAGAGCTGGAAGGGGCCTTAGTGATCCTCTCGTCCAGCGCCCTTCGTGTATTAAAGGGGCTGCTTCCCAGCAGACTCGGCACATAGACCAGTTCCTTTACAACACAAAGCAAAAGGAGCCAGGACTCATAAGAAATGCAAAGAAAAGGAACAATGGCACAAGCCCCAGTGTTTGAAGAGCTCGAGCAACTGTTGAATGGTGATGTTCTATTTTTAGCTCAACTTTCCTGAAAAGGAACCCGGCTTCCCCTTTTCTGGAATGCTGTGGCATCCTCTCCAACTGTTTGGTTTCCCTTCTGCTCCAAAGGTTGCTGTAAAGGCTGTCTAGGAAAGTGAATGTCATTGCACAGACCCATCCTTATGGGCAGGGTGACCATAAGTCCTGGCTTGCCCAGGGCTGGCACAATTTATATGGTTGCCTTGGAAAAACTAACAGAATCCCCCTTTCCTAGGTGTCTAGGTTTGGATGATGATTTATACTGTAACCTTTCTTCTGGGGCACGCTGTTCCCAGGGAGAACAAAGCTCCAGGCCTGGCATGCTTTTGCAGAGCACATTAAGCCACAGACCTTAACGTGAAACTGATGTGCAATTATGTCTAATTTGGCCCTTGCTGGTGATGTGCCAGCTGACCGCAATTCTGCTCACTGAAAATGACTGGATGCCGATGAAGGGAAACCCAGAACTGCGCAAACACATTCTAATCCCGTTGACTTGAGAGCATCAAGACTGAGGATACTGGCACAGACCATGGGAAAACCTGCTCTGAAACTGATCCATGAAGTTAGTACCCAAGAATTTCCACTTCAGACTGAGTCTATCCTCCAGTTTCTAACCCCAGCATGCATGAACAACTCACATTTCTGTGTGGTATGCACGCACTGACCCATGAGGCACAGTGGTGTTATGGAGCTCAGAGGCTCAGGTAAAAGGTAACCGAAAAGCAAGGCCAGCAAAATGATTATTGGCAATTCATCCCATCAACAATGTCTACCTGGGACCTATTAGCCCACACTAGTCAAATCCGAGCAGATGAGAACTTCATCTCTCATAATCAGAAGGAATAATATGAGAACTAATGTGGGTTTTTTTTTCTTTTGCTTATAATACTTACAAGTCTCTCTGGGAAAAATGAAGACTACAGAACAGGAAACATCATTCTATCTAAAACAACTGTTAACAATTTGACACATTTCCTTTCAGTCCTTTCCCCGTACTATTTAGGTTCTAACTTCCCTACAGTGTATCTTGCCTTTTTGCTTCCTGAATAAGCATTTCTCCATGTCATTATAAACCAATCAGTTTATTTTAAGTTGTGTCCGTGGTTCTGCAATGGCAACATTAACAGCTGTTTGCTATTCAGACTTCAAAAGTTTATGTATAACAGAGGGTAGTAAATAAAGAGGATGGAGAAGAAAAAAGGAAACCAAGCAATAAAATTTTAATGAAGAATCTGTCTCCCAGAATAGTGGTCACCAGTGTTATGAGTGTTGAACCGATCCTCAGTCCTGCTGGAACCACTAGAGAGGGCAGCCCCCCAACTTAACTGAGCTAGCATAGTCTCCAGATGGATTAAGCGAATGCAGGGAAAGAAAGCAAGAAAGGCAGAGGCTTAGAGTCCTGCAGGAAGATAAAGAAAGCTGAGGAGGCAGAAGCAGGAAAGGTCTGACTGTGAATGCCTCCTCAGTGTCTCCAGAATACTTGCCTCCCATGGCAGTCCAGACCCTCCATGCACCGTGCTCTCCTTTCCCTAATCAATCCTGCGTGCATGCATGCATTAAGGCCAGGCCTGGGCACAGCCTGTCTCCTCTTCACAGAATGCTTCCTCCTTCTCTCACTGGGCACTCTCTCTGTGAGAGTGCTTTATATTTGTTGTTCCATTTTGTCCTAATAATGCCATCAGGCAGGTACTACAATTTCATTACTTCAGGTCACAGGAGAGGAAACCAGAGCTAAGCATTAGCAAATGACAGAGCCAGAGCCCAGCTCTGGGCCAGTGGGCCATGTCGCCTCCCAGAAAATCAGCTCCCTGAGGGCAGAGAGGAGTCCAACCACTCACTTGTCCAATGAACACTTTAATTATATCTCATGTTTTTCCTAAAAATATTTGAGGAGGTTTACAAAAATAGATCTGTTAGGGCCGGGCGTGGTGGCTCATGCCTGTAATACCAGCACTTTGGGAGGACTAGGCAGGTGGATTAGGAGTTCGAGACCAGCCTGACCAACATGGTGAAACCCCACCTCTACTAAAAATACAAAATGAGCCGGGCATGGTGGCACATGCCTGTAATCCCAGCTACTTAGGAGGCTGAGGCAGGAGAATCACTTGAACCAGGGAGGCGGAGGTTGTAGTGAGCCAAGATCGTGCCATTGCACTCCAGCCTGGGCAATGAGCAAAACTTCGTCTCAAAAAATAAAATAAAATAAAAATAAAAAAGATCTGTTAGGGAAAAAAAGGTTTATAAATAAAAGAAATCTTAAAATTGGGTAAAGGGAAAATAAAAGTAGACAAGGACAATGAAAGCAGGGGGGAATAAACACACTGAAAACAATATTGAAGCCCCTCACGAATTCTACAGTTCAGTCCCAAATTTGGGTCTCTGTTTTTGATTACCCAAGGCAAAAAATAGAAAGTGGATATTCCTAACTGAGTTATGGATATATTTCAGAAAGTCCTGTTGCTATAGAAATTATTTTAAGAACAATATATATCCCTGCCATCCTGCCTGATTAAAGAGCTTCTAAATGAGCCTATTTTCCATTTAACTGTTCGCTAAACCTACAGGTGCTACAATGTAAACGTGGTAGAAAACTGCTCTATAAAGGATTCCACGCTTCCCAGTTTCCCTATTCAGAATGTGCTGAATACACTTTAAGTCACTGAGAGACAGTGTAAATTATCATCATGAGTTACTTTCTTCTAAACAGTGATACTCTTACTGTGCCCTCTCTCACTAGCTCAGTGCCCACCATGGCTTCATGTGCCTTTTGATGCTTCTAAATCCTTTCTTGCATATCTGCTACTTCTGCACTCTTCCCACTCTTTCTTCTTTCATCTGTTTTTGTGATGACTTCTCAGCTTTGATGATGACCAAGCACTATTTCTCCTTTTTTGAGATGAAGTCTTGCTCTATCGCCCAGGCTAGAGTGCAGTGGCACGATCTCAGCTCACTGCAAACTCCGCCTCCTAGGTTCAAGCGATTCTCCTGCCTCAGCCTCCCAAGTAGCTGGGATTACAGGCTCCCGCCACTGTGCCTGACTAATTTTTGTATTTTTAGTAGAAACGGGGTTTCACCACCTTGGCCAGGCTGGTCTTGAACTCCTGATCTCGTGATCCACCCGCCTAGGCCTGCCAAAGTGCTGGGATTACAGGCATGAGCCACCAAGCCCGGTCGACCAAGCACCATTTTAATAGCGGGTACCAGCACCATTTTAATAGCAGGTACCAGCCAACCCCAGTAACTCACAGCTTCTTCCCTGGCAATGCACATCGCTGTTCATGATTAGACAGTCACTGTGCCAAAAAATTTAGAATGTCTAAAATTCTTCTTTTTCCCAAATTTAATGGCTATACTGAGTTGATTAGTGGTAATTTTTTATAGCAGGAACAAACAGGAAACTAATAAAATGGATAAATCCTTTACTCAGAAGACAGAGTACCAAGTACCCAAAAGCTGTCTTTCTAGCTTGTATTCAACAGGCATGACAGGCACAAAGCCTGGCGTAGCATTGCCTGGTTCATTCTGCCACTTACTAGCTGTACCTTGGGCAAGTTACTTAATGTTTCTGCACCTCAGTTTTCCCACCTATAAAATGGGGATAACATTACCAACCTCAGAGTTTAGTTACAAGGATTAAATTGGGCGATTCCTACAAAGTGCTTAAAACAGCACCTGGCATATAGAAGCATCATATGTGTTTGTTATTATCTGCACCATTTGAGATTAACCTGGCAGAAAGTGTAGAAGCCGGTCCCCACTTCTTAGAGCTGTGTGTACATGCCTCCTTCTCATAGACCTGTCCTCTTCTACCAGACATGAAGCACAATCCCCCCAGATTGCACAAGGGAGCCAGAGACAGACCAGAGACTCGGGGTTAAGATCAGGATTTTTCCACTGAAGTAGGATTGTCTGCGTTTCAAAATTTACTAGGCTCTCCTGCAGAGCCAACATTTTCTCTTGTTAAATAATCCTGGGAACTCCACACAGAGTACTTAGCACAAGCTCCAAACTAATCATTATGAGACAACCACTTGGTTGCATGGAGTTAAACTGTTGTTTTTATAATTCTTGGCTAATTTCCAATGAAGGAGTGGAAGAATGATCAGCCTTCAAAAACAGCCGCCAACTGAGTCCTGGATCTACCTCAGTCAAAGCACAGTGAAGTCAGACTCCTCGGAACACACTTGCTTAATCTGGACCCTGTGGCCTCAGCAATCTATAAAAATTATCAACACTCACCCTTAGGAAATACATAGCGTCTGCTTACTTTAAGGCCACAGTTATGCTAGAGCTCTCACATGCTCCTGCCACCTTTTGCTCCAGTTAAGCACCACCATTCTAGAGCCCCCAGGCCAGTCTCATCTCAAGACAGTCAAATAGATGCCACCTCCTGTAAAAGAGTAATAACTCATTTAAAAATATCAGTTTCTGGTGTATTGGAATTGTCTAAACACCTTTAAAATCAATGGGAAATATTATATTAATAGCTTGCACTGAATGAATGCTTTCTATGTGTCAGGCACCAAGCACATAGATTAGCTTATTTCATTCTGATTACCATTATTATCCCCATTTTATAGCTAAACAACATGAGCTAGGGAAGTTAAGACCTTGTTCAAGATCGCACAGTATTTGGATGAGCCAGGTTAACAAAACAATATTCTATTTTGAAAATCCCATATGCCCCAAGAGGCAGCCTGTTACTTTGTTTTACACTATTTATAGAGGTCAAAGGCAACTTGTTGTCTATGCACTATTTAAGTCACCAATCAAAAACTTTAAAAATTCTAAAAAGTCATGATTAATGTAAATGAAAAACTGTGACCCTTGTCCTGCATATCTGAGGTCACACCTGAAGTCACAAAGAAGTAAATTTTGCCACACCTATTTTTTTTATGAGACAGGGTCTCACTCTGTCACCCAGGCTGGAGTGCAGTGACACTATCATGGCTCACTGCAGCCTTAACTTCCGGGGCTCAAGTGATCCTCCCATCTCAGCTTCCCAAGTAGCTGGGACTACAGACACACACCACCACGACCAGCTAATTTTTGTATTTTTTTTGCAGAGGATAGGGTTTTGCCATGTTGCCCAGGCTGATCTCCAACTCCTGGCCTCAAGCGATCCTCCTGCCTCAGCTTCCCAAAGTGCGGGGATTACAGGCATGAGCCACTGCACCCAGCTGCCACAGCTAGACTTTATACCCATTGCTCTTTATCTCGTGTGAAGAAAAGATGAATTTACACATGACCTCCCAGGAGGTAATCCAAACAGGAGCCTAAAGGCTGGCATTCTAATTGGCTTCTTCCTTCAAGTCATGGATACTTCATTCTTTGAAGTGTTCTTCAATTCACTCCATTAAAAAGTGATAGGTATACAATTCCTCAAAAAATTAAACAGAATTACCATATGATCTGGCAATCCCACTTCTGGGTATATACCCAAAACTAAAGCAAAGGCTCAAACAGATATTTGTACACCCATGCTCGCTGTAGCAGCACTCACAATAGCCAAAAGGTGGAAATAACCCAAGTATCAATCAATGAATGAATGGATAAATAAAATGTGGCCTGTACCTACAATGGGATATTATTCAGCCTTAAAAAGGAAGTACGGATACATGCTATGACATGGTTGAACCCTGAAGACATGCTAAGTGAAACAAGCCAGACATAAAAGACCAAATACTGTATAATTCCCCTTACATGAGGTACTTGGAGCAGTCAAATTCATAGAAATGGAAAGTAGAATGGTGGTTATCCAGTGCTGGGAGGAGAGAGAATGGGAGTTATTATTTAATGTGTATGGAGTTTCAGTTTGGGAAGATAAAAAAGTTCCAGAGGCTGGGCACGGTGGCTCACGCCTGTAATCCCAGCCCTTTGGGAGGCCAAGGTGGGCGGATCACAAGGTCAAGAGTTCGAGACCAGCCTGGCCAACATAGTGAAACCCCATCTATACTAAAAATCCAAAAAATTAGCCGGGCGTGGTGGCAGGCACCTGTAATCCCAGCTACTTGGGAGGCTGAGGCAGGAGAATCACTTGAACCCGGGAGGCGGAGATTGCAGTGAGCCGAGATCATGCCAGTGCACTCCAGCCTGGGTGACAGTGTGAGACTCTGTCTCAAAAAAAAAAAAAAAAAAAGTTCCAAAGATAGATCGTGATGATGGTTATACAACAATGTGAATGTACTTAATACCACAAAACTGTCCACTGAAAAATGGTAAGAATGATAATTTTATGTGTATTTTAGCACAAAAAAAAACACATACAAATAAAGTAGGGTGGATTTAATTAATTCAATGAATTCAAACCTTGGCTGCACATTGGAATCTCCTAGGGAGGTTTTTAAAAATATCTATTCATCACCAGTAGTGGGAGGGTGGACACTGTAGCCCCTGATGTGATGCACCTGGAGGAAACAGGCCTGGACTCCTCAGAGGATTCAGGGTCATTGCATTGAGAGGGAGGTGAGACCACTCTTCCAGGCTGGGGAAGGCCTTGAGGAATAACAGCCAAAGGCAATGCGAGAAACTTACCTGGGTCCTAAAACATGGCTATAAAGCATAGCAGGGGAAATCATAGTGTGGAATTTATATTGAACAATGGAACTGAACACACAGTAATGGTAACACTGAGGATGAAGCTGGAGAGAAGAATGTCTTTCTCAGTATGTGAGATGTGTGCTGAAGGATTTAGGGGTGAGCCATCCCAATGTCTGTAGATGGAATGGTGTGGCAAGATGTCAACAGGTGGTAAAGCTAAGTGAAGGGAATAGATGTTCATTGTATCCTTCTTTGAGGTTTTGAGAGCTTGAAAGTGTTTAAAACACAAAAAAAAAAAAAGAAAAGAAAAGAAAAAGAAAAAGAATACCCTAGTGAGGACAGGCATGGTAGCTCACACCTGTAATCTCAGCACTTTAGGAGGCCGAGGTGGGGGGATCACTTGAGATCAGGAGTTCGAGACCAGCCTGGCCAACGTGGTGAAACCCTGTATCTACTAAAAATACAAAAAATTAGCCAGGTGTGGTGGCATGTGTCTGCAATTCCAGCTACTTGGGAGGCTGAGGCAGGAGAATTGCTTGAACTTGGGAGGCGGAGGTTGCAGTGAGCTGAGACCATGCCACTGTACTCCAGCCTGGGCAACAGAGTGAGACTACATAAAACAAAACAAAACAAAACAAAAAACCCTAGTGAGACCCTGTCTCAACCAAAAAATATTTTTTTAATTAGCCAGGTGTGGTGTGCATGCCTGTAGTCCTAGCTACTTGGGAGCATAGCTTGAGCCCAGGAGTTTGAGGCTGAAGTGAGCCAATATCATGCCAATGTACTCCAGCCTAGAAAACAGAGCCAGACCCCGTCAAATAAATAAATAAATAAAGTTTAAAATAAAAACACCTATGCCAGAATATTCTATCCCCAAATAAACAGAGGATAGTGACAATATCCAGGGAACACACATTTTCTTGGTAAAGCTTTCCTGGAGTTTTCAGTGGGTAGCCAGGTTGACAACTATGAATTAGATGATCTCTAATCCAAGATGGGATATTATGCTGGTGTGGATAATAGTCAAGGGCGTGGATAATAGTCAAGGACGTGTAATCAACCTAGGAGGCTGGCCCGCTGTTGACACCCAGCAGCCCTAGGAAACCTTTTCAAGCATTAAGTGACCCCAGCCACACTATCTTCCACACTCACCCCCCTACTTTTCCTGAGAATAAGCCATAAGCTTTATAAAGAGAGGATCTCTGTCATCAGATTAGGAGACAGAATTGCCTTCCCAAGCTTTATCCTCCAGTGTTAAAAATACAGATGTCCCCTCCCTCGCAGAGTAGTTTCCCTTGATGAAATATTTTCCTACAGCATGGGTCTCAAAGAAACTACTCTTAAAGTCTTTTCAATTTAGAGATTTTTTTTTTTTTTTTCGAGATGGAGTCTCACTCTGTGACCCAGGCTAGAGTACAGCTAATTTTTAAAGATTTTTTGTAGAAACAGAGTCTCCTGACATTGCCCAGGCTGGCCTCAAACTCCATGGCTCAAGCAATCCTCCCGTCTCTGCCTCCCAAAGTACTGGGATTATAAGCGTGAGCCACCGGGTCCAGCCTCAATTCAGAGATTCTTACTATTAACTTCTGTTTTCAAAATTCACACTTCGTAGTAAAAGAAATGCTAAGATGGACAAGGAAGAATCTGGCTAAAAATCATATATTAGGATTCAAAAAAGTTACGTCTCAAAGATAGTGCTACCAAAATGCAAAATGTTGCCTTTCAAGTTGAAGGAGAAAGGAAAATCTTTTTTTTTTTTTTTTTTTTGAGACGGAGTCTCTCTCTGTCACCCAGGCTGGGATGCAATGGCGCAATCTCAGCTCACTGCAACCTCCGCCTCCCACGTTCAAGTGATTCTCCTGCCTCAGCCTCCTGAGTAGCTGGGATTACAGGTGCCCGCCACCATGCCCAGCTAATTTTTTTATTTTTAGTAGAGACAGGGGTTCACCATGTTGGTCAGGCTGGTCTTGAACTCCTGACCTCATGATCTGCCTGCCTCGGCCTCCCAAAGTGCTGGGATTACAGGTGTGAGCCACCGCGCCCAGCCAGGAAAATCTCATTTCAAACACCGTTTCAAAAAAAAGCACATATCAGCCAGGCACAATGGTTCATGCCTGTAATCCCAGCACTTTAGGAGGCTGAGGGAGGCGGATCACTTGAGCTCAGGAGTTCAAGACCAGCCTGGGCAACATGGCGAAACCCCATCTCCTACTAAAAATACAAAAATTAGCTGGGCATAGTGGCATACACCTGTAATCCCAGCTATTTGGAAGACTAAAGTGGGAGAATGGCCCAAGCCCAGGAGGCGGAGGTTGCAGTGAGCCAAGATCGCACCACTGAACTCCAGCCTGTGACACAGCCAGACCCTGTCTCAAAAAATAAATAAATAGGCCAGGCGCGGTGGCTTACACCTGTAATCCCAGCACTTTGGGAGGCCAAGGTGGGTGGATCACTTGAGGTAAGGAGTTCGAGACCTGCCTGGCCAACATGGTGAAACCTTGTCTCCACTAAAAATATAAAACTCAGCATGGTAGCAGACGCCTGTAACCTCGGCTACTCAGGAGGCTGAGGCAGGAGAATCACTTGAACCCGGGAGGCGGAGATTGCAGTAAGCAGAGATCCCGCCACTGTACTCCAGCCTGGGTGACAGAGCAAGACTTCATCTCAAAAATAATTAATTTATTTATTTTAAAACATATGTCACAAAGCTAAGGTAGCATTGCCTTTGAGGTAATGATTAAATGATAAACCCGTTTCAACACTAATAAGACTTCACCAAAGAATTATTCAAATAAGTGGTAAATCCCTCCCCACTGTAGACACACACACACACTTGAACAATTTTCAGAGCAATCTCCCATACCTCACCCTCTTTTGAGACAGGGTAAACATAAACCCACTTTTCAAATGTAGAAAGAAGCTCAGACCAGCCTGGGCAACATGGCAAGACTGTTTCTACAAAAAAAAATTTTTTTTAATTAGCTGGGCATAGCGGTGCATGCCTATGGTCCCATCTACTCAGAAGGCTGAGGTAGGAGGATCACTTGAGCCCAGGAGCTGGAGGCTGCAGTGAGCTGTGATGATGTCACTGCACTCCAGCCTGGGTGATAGAGTAAGATCCCTGTCTCCAAAAATAAAGAAGAGCTCAGGCCGGGTGTGTTGGCTCACACCTGTAATCCCAGGACTTTGGGAAGCCGAGGTGGGCGGATCACGAGGTCAGGAGTTTGAGACCAGCCTGGCCAATATGATGAAACCCTGTCCCTACTAGTAATACAAAAATTAGCCACGCGTGGTGGCATGCGCCTGTAGTCCCAGCTACTTGGGAGGCTGAGGCAGAAGAATCGCTTGAACACGGGAGGCGGAGACTGCAGTGAGCCAAGATCGCGCCACTGCACACTCCAGCCTGGGTGACAGAGTGAGACTCCGTCTCAAAAAAAAAAAAGCTCAAAGAACTTATACCCAATATCACACAGTAAGTGGCACCTCAGTCTAAGTCCTCAGATGCTAGATGCAGGTCTTGCTATCACAGTGCTTCTCGTCTCTCATTGGTCTAAGGTCACGGTACTTCCATGGCTACCTCCATTTTACAGCATAATGCTGGGGCCAGTGGCAGCTTCCAAGATGCTAAACAAGACTAATCTATCTTGTTTTGCCTGTACACTGCTCACAAATGTTTCCCTTCCAATTTGAGTGACGAAAGCAGCAAATGCATTCTCCAGCTGAGAGACACTCCAAAGCTTCCTATTATTTTATACAGGCTGTGATCACATTTGACCCCTGAAGGCATTTGGTCATAAACCCTATGTAAATTCCACCTTATACATGGCATCTAGCACCTCCTGTTGAATGAAGGAATGGTCATGAGTAGTTCACCTCTTCACAGGCTCTTCAGAGTTCACTTTGTGAGTCAAGAGAACACTCCACTTTCGTGTCACAACCTTTATTTCCCCCATGGACACTAGTTGATTCATTACTACCTTTTACAGATCTGCTTCCTACACACTTTCTTTTCACATTTTTTTTTTTTTTTTGAGACAGTTACCCTCTGTTGCCCAGGCTGGAGTGCAGTGGCATGATCTCGGCTCACTGCAACCTCCACCTCCTGGGTTCAAGGGATTCTCTTGCCTAAGCCTCCGGAGTAGCTGGGATTACAGGCACATGCCACCATACCCAGCTAATATTTTTTGTATTTTTAATAGAGACAGGGTTTCACTACATTGGCCAGGTTGGTCTTGAACTCCTGGCCTCCAGTGATCTGCCTGCCTCAGCCTCCCAAAGTGGTGGGATTACAGGTGGGAACCACTGTGCCTGGCCCCTTTCACAAATTATTAACTACAACAGTTTAACAGCTATAGAGTCCTGGGCCTCTTAACATTTCTGTCCCTCATTCTCTATGCATGTACACACATACACACTTGGAAAATTAGATAGCCACTGAATCCTTCCAATAATAACTGATCTATCTTTCAGACTAATTTTCATAAGGCAAAGTTTGTAGCCAAAGAGAACTTTGTATCTTGAGCAGCAAAGGGTAACTTACAATTTTTCCAACTCAACTGTTACAGTCTAACTATAAAAACATGTATAGCTGAAAATTTGAGGAAGAAAAAATATTAATCACAAAATATCTCATTACCTACACAGAATCACTGCTGCCATGTTGACCTATGTACCAGACAGTGGGGATACAGCATTGACCAAAAGATACAGTCCTGATTCCTCATGGATTTTACTGCTGTTCTATTTTGTCCACATTATTCTCAAAACATATTTTTCCAAAACACACATTTGCTTTATTTTTTCAAAGGGTAATACGGCATATGGTGAAAACTATTTCAAATCGCATTCCCACTCCTGCCCCCAGTCCCTCTTCCCAAAGGCAACTTCTAAAAAGATATTATAACCTTCTAGATTATTTGCATAACCTTCTAGAAATATTCACATGTCCACAGGATGAGGATGTCCCTCCCTGTTTGGTTTGTCTTATTTGTCCTGCTTAGCAGAGAAAGGTACACGTTTTCAGAGATATCAAAGCTACAATACAGAAGCACATTATAAGCTCCACTTCTTTCTCAGAGTTCCCCTAATCTAATGTGAAAAGTTACAGGCAGAGTCCAGTGAAGAGGAATAAGCAAGCACAATCCTCCAACCTGTTAACCAATTCAAACTAATAGCAAAGATTAGACTGGAGAACTGAGGAAGGAAGCTTTTGAGACTATCACCAGAATCAGTGCCAAAGCAGGGAAGGGCCTCACGTGACCCTGGTTCTCATGGAGGAAAAAATTATCTTTATATATTCATTTTTTATTTTGTTTTTGTAGAAACAAGGTCTTGCTACGTTGCCCAGATGGTCTTGAACTCCTGGCCTTAAGCAATCCTCCTGCCTTAGCCTCCCAAAGTGCTGGGATTACAGGCTTGAGCCACCATATCCGGCCTTATATATTCTTTACAAATAAATGTATCTTTGTTTCTTTTTGGAAAATAAAACTCATTAGTAGAGAACAGAATGAGAGCAAAAGCATGTTTGTATTAGCTCTATAACTACCATTTCTTGGACAAACTTCCTAAGAGTTCAACATGCAGCGAGGCTCTGGTGGGCTGCCTTACTAGATCTTACCTGAGGAAGCACAGTTTAGGGGGCAGGTGAATGGGGAGTCATATTTCATGAGGCTGACTATGTGACTATCTTACCAGGCTCCTCATCCCACCCTGAGAAGCCTGCTTCGTGTAGGACTGGGGCAAAAAACAGAAAAGTGACAATCTCAAGGACCAAGACTGGCTGATTACAATGGTCCCCTTTTGGGGAGGTGAGGAATAATAGAGGGGTTACTAGCAAACATCTTCTATGAAAAGTACTAGAATTTTTTTAAAAAGTGGGCACGTGAGTTGCGGCCCAGGTTTTCGATTCCTAATGGCTTCAACATTCCAGTTAGTCCTCTCAGCTGAGCTTCACTGAGCTTATGAACACAAAATTTCATTAACTTTGTAGAGGCGGTGAGGCCTGAGGGACGTTAGGTGAACCCAGTGTACCAAGTGTACTTCCTCTTCCTCACCTCCCTTCTAAACTCCCACAGGACTGGGTTGACCACAAGGTTGGCTGACCCTGGTAGCTAAGTCAAACTCTACATTCTGAAGCAAGCATAAAGATTCAAACACATTTCAAGTAGCTCCTTCCCATCTAGATAGCATTATAAACCCTCAGGCTTTTAGACAAGCAACAGCAGCAGCAACGACCAACTTCAACTTGGAAGCCTAAATGAAATAAGAGAATGCTTGGTAACTTCAGAATGACACTTCCAAGATCCCCTGCAAGATGGCAAAATATACAACACAGAAGTCCAAATGTTCTCCCCACCTCGGCTATATCTGGAAACAATAGAACATACTAGTTTTTTAAGTATACAGACACAAGGATTAATTTGGTCCCCACCCAAATTGATAGACTGAAGTATTTCCATATAGATAACTTAAGAATTTTCCCATTCTGAAGAGAAAATAGGGCTAGAGTTGGGCGTGGTGGCCCACGCCTGTTATCCCAGCACTTTCAGAGGCCGAGACGGATGGATCACCTGAGGTCAGGAGTTCAAGAGCAGCCTGACTAATACGGTGAAACCCCATCTCTACTAAAAATACAAAAAATAGCCTGGTGTGGTGGCATGTGCTTGTAGTCTCAGCTACTCGGGAGGCTGAGACAGGAGAATTGCTTGAACCTGGGAGGTGGAGGTTGCAGTGAGCCAAGATCGCGCCACTGCACTCCAGCCTAGGCGACACAGTGAGACTCCATCGCAAAAAAAAAAAAAAAAAAAAAAAAAAAAAAGAGAAAAGAAAAGAAAAAAGAAAATAGGGCTAGGATTTTAAATCCACATTCTGTTAAAGTGAAAAAGAACAGGCAAGGAGGTAGACAAGGATACAGGTAAAGAAGGATACAGGTAAAGAAGGATACAGACCAAGGGGCAGCAGTAATGAGGGGGGTTCTGCCATCACCATCCCTGCCCTTTAGGTGTTGACTCCATGGGAGCACACTTTGAGCATGTACGTTTCCATCTATTAAATCATTTAATCCTTTGATGATGCATTTTCCACTTACATTTTACAGATGAGGAAACTGAGGCACAGAGAAATTAAAACAACTTGCCAGGTTCCACAGGGGATGGAAGCAAATCTAAACTCAACATTTAATGTTTGCATGGCATCTGAAAGCTGCCAAGATGATCTTTAATTAGACAGACAATAAATTCCTCATTTAGACAAACAATACAGTATAGACATGTTATGCAAACCTGTCATAACAGCAAATATTTACTGAGTATCTTCTAAGTGCCAGGATACCAAGCTGCTGGCTAGATACTGAATCTAGGCATAAGTATGTGAAATATATGTTGCTTCAATTATATGCAAATCAAGTCTACTTATTTGGAGACAACTATAGGATATGCATTAACATTACTTAAGATTGAATTCATATTGCCAGTAAAATATGAGAACTGAGACAAAATTATCAGGAACTATGTCAGGCATGGTGGTACACACCTGTAGTCCCAGCTACACAGGAGGCTAAGGCGGGAGGATCTCTTGGGCCCAAGAGTTCAAGTCCAGCTTGAGCAACATAGTGAGATCCTATCTCTTAATAAAAATTATCAAGAAATAAACCACCCTAATTTTTAAAAAAATTAAAATGTCTTCCTTCAGAGATTTAGTAGTAATAGAGAAAGAACAACCAATTAGAAATCTTCTTTTTGGGAGATCCCAAGCAATAAACAATAAAAATGTCCTCCTATCTTTTATCAAAAGTAAATTAAACAGATTGGTAGTTTCCCTGCAATTTGGGAATGACCTGGGTGCACTTATGTCTATCAAATAATATCTCTGCTAACATATTCAACAGTTCTAAAAATTGTGAATGAATAAACGAATAAATGAATAACACTGTAAGGTGTCCTGGAGAGAAAAAAAATGGAGAAGGAGGACATCTATCAATTCTTACTGTCCAGCCCCCCATGTGCCACCCCCAGGGATTAGAAGCTCAGAATTTCCAGGCTTAGAGTTCCCTTTCTTACACAAAAAGGTTCCCCGTTCACTCAGCCTTCCCAATGGCTCCTATAAGCCTCACTTCCAGCTGAAATCCCTGGGAAGCTAACCTTGCTTTATCTCTAGTCAGTGGAGATTTTAAACTTTTCCATTTGTTTTAGTCTGTTTTGTGCTGCTATAACAGAATACCTGAGACTGGGTCATTTATGATGAACAGAAATTTGTTTCCGCACAGTTCTGGAGGCTAGGATGTCCAAGGTTGAGGGGCCTGCAACTGGTGAGGGCCTTCTTACTGCACCGTAACATGGCAAAAGGCATCGCATGGGTGAAAGAGAGAGAAAAGGAGGCTGAACTCATCCTTTTACCAAACTCACTCTCACAATAACATTAACCCATTCAGGAGGGCAGAACTCTGGTGGCCTAATCACCACTCATTAGGCTCCACCTCCCAACACTACTGCATGGGGGACTACGTTCCAACACACGAACTTTGGGGAATACATTCAAACTACAGCACCTTCCAAATCACATTTGTTTCCCAGAAGAAAGAAAAGCAAACTTAAAGTCATAGCAGAATTAATTCTATAAAATAAACATGAACCTGTAAAGTAATCAAGGCCTGGTTAGCATGTGGTTTACAAATCAAACATCCAAGAGATACTGTAAATAAAGCGTTCCATAACATACCCATGTGTTTTCACTTACTTGACAAAAACCTGCAAGCACTGTGAAGAGTAACTATATATCAGAAATGCCTCTTTACCTTTCTGATGCTCTAGCGCATCAGAATCACCTGGAGGGCCTATTAAAACTCAGACTGCAGACCCCGTCACAGGCTTTCTGATTTGGCAGGTCTGAGTGGGGCCTGGGCATCTGCCTTTCCAACAAGCTCTCAGGAGATGCTCCGCTGCTGTTACTGCTGCTGCTGCTCCAGAGACTGCTCTTTGAAAACCACTGCATATACTAAATAAACAGCTGTCAGCTCCTCTTAGGCACCTTGGCAAGAAGAAGTCATACACAATACACGATTATAAAATTAAAGGAAGGTCCAATTAGAGCTTAGTAAAATCCCACAAAAAGTCTAAATGAAAGTTCCTCAGGCAATTGCCAATGAATTGGAAACACAGTCTAAGTCATTCTTCAATAAAACTGGGATGCTGGACATTGCAGGACCGTAAATCAGTGAAATCTGAAAGGTAAACATTGCCACAATTAATGGAGAGAATGAAGAAAAATGAGGTGAGAGAAACCCTACCCCCTAGAGAATTCAGTTGTCAATATCCTTGTCCTGCTCTAAGTACAACTCATTTTCTTACCTGTTCTCATTGAATTCACCTATCCTCGGCAAAACCCTCTGGCAAAGCTGTTCATCCAAAAGACAGCCAAACCCAGAAGCACAGTGAAGAGGCCGCTAAGCAGCCAGCAGACAGGGCACCAAATGCTCACATCGCTGTCTTGCCACACCTGCCTCCCCTGTCACTCACTTCACTGGGCCACTCACCCATGTCTCTAATGAAAAGTTTGGGGTGTTTCTTTTTTTAAACCATCTCAAAGAACAAGAAGGTACATCAGTAAGGGGTTGCATCAGGTGACTCTCCTCAGGACAGCTCCAATTGTCCTTTAT
The DNA here is from genome assembly GCF_000001405.40 of Homo sapiens. Taxonomy (NCBI): domain Eukaryota; kingdom Metazoa; phylum Chordata; class Mammalia; order Primates; family Hominidae; genus Homo; species Homo sapiens. Next base: position 76,410,321 of record NC_000005.10, on the reverse strand, counting down.
TGCCTATATAAATAGAAGATTCCACAGTACAAATATACTAGCACGCCTTTCAGGTTTTCCTCTGACCTTCCTCAAGGTCATTTCAAATTCACAACTTTCATGAAGCCCTCCCATTGCCGCCATCCAAATCCATCCTTCTCATATCTTCTCTTCCACAGAACTTGGAAGGGCACTAAAAGTATAAGCATTTTTACTTGTCACCCAGATTCTCTGGTAAGCTGTCAGCAGCTAAGCGGTGTTTCATTCATCACGATACTTTGCTAGTATTAGGTGCTCAATTAATTGAAACCATTACAACTTGTTTAGCACTATGTGCCAGGAACCACATCAGCCACCTCTATAGATATATCATTTCCACACACCTCTCAAGGTACAGGAGAAAACCCCAAGGCTACTGAGGCAGGCAATGGAAGTCAGAATTCAAACCCACATCTATTCAACTCCAAAGCTTCTGCCATTTTATCAGCACCACACTGCATCTCAAGAGAGAAAAATAAAATAGAGCAGTAAGGTGACAAAGTATCAGCTCACAGGTCGGCTTCACTACTAAAGTTTCTATTTCATTTCTCAACAATCCCAGACTTTAAGGTATGGGCAGTGTATGTAATAAAGCATGTTTTACAAATTATCCTATTAGCAATCACTGGGGCACATCACTATATTATTATGGAAAAGCCTTTCACTTCAGCACCTCACAGTAAGAGATGGGATGTTTCTAAGTATACACAAAATCTTTTGATGAAGCTTGGATGTATTCTATGAAAAGCCCATGTAAGGCTGGGCATGGTGGCTCATGCCTGTAATACCAGCAATTTGGGAGGCTGAGGAAGGCAGATCATTTGAGCTCAGGAGTTCGAGACCAGCCTGGCCGACATGATGAAACCCCATCTCTACCAAAAATACAAAAATTAGCCAGGCATGGTGGTACATGACTATAATCCCAGCTACTCAGGAGGGTGAGGCATGAGAATTGCTTGAACCCGGGAAGCAGAGGTTGCAGTGAGCTGAGATCATGTCACTGCACTCTAGCCTGGGTGACAGAGCAAGACTCTGTCTCAAAAAAAAAAAAAAAAAAAAAAAGCCCATGTATTCTATGCTGTTTCTTGGGAGGAAAAAATTCAGCAGCAAAATCAACTTTATGCATCTATTTATAAATGAGCACACTATCCAATGGCCACAGGTTTTTTTGTGTTGTTGTTTTTTGTTTGTTTGTTTTAGAGATGGGGTCTCACTGGGCGTGGTGGCTCACACCTGTAATCCTAGCACTTTGGGAGGCTGAGCCGGGCGGATCACTTGAGGTAGGAAGTTCGAGACCAGCCTGACCACACGGGGAAACCCCACCTCTACTAAAACATACAAAAATTAGCTGGGTGTGGTGGTGCATTCCTGTAGTCCCAGCTACTTGGGAGGCTGAGATGGGAGAATCACTTTAACCCAGGAGGTGGAGGTTGCAGTGAGCCCAGATCTCACCACTGTACTTCAGCCTGGGTGACATAGTGGAACTCCATCTCAAAATAAATAAATAAATAAATAAATAAGAGAGATTGGGTTGGGTGGGGGGCAGGCAGATCTTACTATGTTGCCCAGGCTGGAGAGCTGTGGCTATTCATAGTTGTAATCATTGCACACTACAGCCTGGAAATCTTGATCCTCCTGCCTCAGCCTCCCAAGTAGCTGTAACTACAGGTGTATACCACCACATCCAGCATAAATAGCTAGAGGTTTCTACATCTTGAGAGAATCATGACAAACTACTTAAAGACACAGAAGGGGTGAACATTTATGATTCAGGGGCAGCAAAGTTGCAACAGTCAATGAGGAAAGGCTCCAGGATCTGACAGTGCTGCTTTCAAGTTCCTCTGCCACCAGCTAGCAGGGTGGCCTTGACATAGTACTAGGGGTTTCAGCTTCTTTGTGAAATGGAAAACCACTGGCCCTCTCAAAGGCCATAATGAGCCGATGATAACAGTAACACATGAAAAGCACCTAGCCCTTGGTATGTTCACAAACCTTTGTTCCATATCCCATATTAAACTGCCTGCCCTGTAGGACTTACCTGACCCTATCAAATCAGACGTTGAGTAGCCTTTGTTTCTCTTTTGGTTACCATGAAGACATGGTAAGCATTAGATCTGTTTGTATACTAGGTTTTGTTTTTTTTGAGACAGAGTCTCGCTCTTTCGCCCAGGCTGGAACGCAGTGGCGTGATCTCGGCTTATTGCAACCTCTGCCTCCCGGGTTCAAGCGATTCCCCTGCTTGGGATTCCCCTATTTGGGATTCTCCTGCCTCAGCCTCCCAAGTAGCTGGGATTACAGGCATGCACTACCACACCAGGCTAATTTTTGTATTTTTAGTAGAGACAAGGTTTCACTATGCTGGCTAGGCTAGTCTCAAACTCGTGACCTCATGTGATCCACCCGCCTTGGCTTCCCAAAGTCCTGGGATTACAGGTGTGAGCCACCATGCCCAGCCTTTTAAATAGAAGGGGCTGTTAAAAAGCTTGTGTAGTAAGAGGGTAGATGGCAATAGTAAGTCATTGGTTCCCTAGAGAAAAAGGAGTTAACACCCCAAATAACACTAAATTCTAAAACAAACTCGGTATTACAAGCTTAAACTCTCCCAAACAAGTCATTCTGGCTAACAGCATGTGTAATTAAAGTTAAAACCATACTAAAATAACACTTTAGCTGTTGACCTTAAAGATCCTTTTGAAAAGCTCAACCAAAACACCAGCATATGAGGGAGCAGCTTGACTTTTTGTCTACTGAAGACAGTATCTCAAGATAAGGCTGCGTATACCTTTCTATGGTTCAAACGAAAGCACTGATAGGATGTTACAGCTGAGCTATGCTAAATACCGACTTATTCAATCACCTTTTACACAACTGCGTTTAACTACTTCAGAACTTAAATTTCATCTCAGATTGGTCATCGTAGATGGATAAGAGTTTAGTTGCACTGACCACCCCAAAACTCCAGTTTCCAGGTAACTAACTTAGTAACTTCACTATTCAGATAAGAGCAGAGAGTAGTACCCAAAAGCTCACAGTATCAGGCCAGGTGTGGTGACTCACACCTGTAATCCCAGCACTTTGGGAAGCTGAGGAGGGAGGACTGCTTGAGCTCAGCCTGGGCAACATGGTGAAAACCCATCTCTACAAAAAAATACAAAAATTAGCTAGGTGTGGTGATGTGTGCCTGTAGTACCAGCTACTCAGGAGGGTGAGGTGGGAGGACAGCTTGAGGCTGGGAGGTTTGAGGCTGCAGTGAGCCATGATTGCACCACTGCACTCCAGCCTGGGTGAGAGAGCAAGATACTGCCTAAAAAAAAAATAATAATAATGCTCAACCAGAATCTTTCTCAACTTCCCCTTCCCCGCCCCCACAACATGCTGGACTTAGGTTGCACTTTTTAAAAGAAGCAAACAGTGAAACATTGATCCCCAATTTTTGTACAATGTATCTCATGAAAGGAAGGCTCTGAATCTTGTAGTGTAGAAAACCACAGTTCTTGCCTATGCAATCATTGGAGACCCACTGTAGTCACTTAAGTGTTGATTGGGTTATCAGTGGTAAGTGAAGTCATCTGCCTAGTCACAAACCCCTCTTTTGCTCTTGCTGGTGTTTTTAACTCTCAAGTAACTGGAACAAAACTTACGACAGATCATGGCAGCAATGTGTTTTCAGAATTAATTTGGCAGATACATCATAATCCATTACAACAACACAAGTTATTCGCAAATCACACCTAAGCGTAAGTGTCATCTTAATTTGGTTGAGTATAGAAAAATACTATACATACAATATATAGTACATACTATGTCTATGTCTGCATTAGTTTAAACAGCTACCTACTATCACTTCCTTCTTCCACCTCTTCCCTTCAGAATTGTGTTACTGAATTGTTTCAGCTTTGTTTGTAGTATTAACATTATACAAAAATAGCTTCACAGATTGCAGGAAGATGTGGCCAATAACAGTGGAAATTAAATAGAAAATAGTCTATTTAATTTCAATCCAGTGCTCCTGTGTGCAAATCAGGGCGACTTCAGCAATCTTGCATCTGTCAGAAACCTGAGAAGAGTCAGAGGCCTCATGGAGAACTCATTGAGAAATCCCTCAAGTACAATTTATTATGTGGCCTTTTACAGACATTCAGTCTGGTACAGAGGAGAAAGACCATAGCAGCCCTGAGCTGAGTTAGTTACTTTGTGTAAGAACTACTGAATTAAATGAGGAGTCAAGTGGGTAGGAGAGAGAGCAGAACAGAAGCTCAGACCCAAAATAAGCAATAGACAACTTAATTCAAACTACCAAAAAGTTGTGTTTAAAGCCCAGTCTCAAACATCTTATACTCAGAACGTTCAGCACTAGAACTGAAATTACAATGTATTGCTACTTTATTTTTAAATGCTAGGGGTAACACCTGTTTCTTATAATTTGAGGTTTTACTGAAACTGTATTTACCAAACCAATAAACAAGAAAAAGCACAGCCCTAGAACACAACAGAGCAAGGACAATCCTGTGTTATCCTTCCCTAGCCTTCCCATGAAGAGCTCACAGCACGATTTTCAGTCTCATGTTGATAGGAGGCTCAGAAAGCCAACAACAACCAGAAATTACACTAACACACCAAATAGCCCTCTTCTGCATGAATAGGTAATGTTAGGTAATGCCTATTAACGCCAAAATCTATTCTGCTAGATATCATGTTCTGAATACACTGAAAATACACCATTCATAAACCAAAATTATAAAAGTGTTCATTTTAATGAGATAACTGTCATATTAAAGCCTTAATATTTCAGGGTGACAAGAAAGTCTGGAAACATAGGCAAATATTTTCCATTTTGACAGTGTTAAGTGACCAACTTGAATGCCAGCACTTGATGAGTGGAGGGAAAGTAACCGGGAGTGATTCCAACAAGATGGCACACCACCCCCTTACACCACATTGGTGAAGAAAGCTGGATGAAGATTTCCAAAGAAAGCGGCCCTGTGGAGTGGGCTTCAGGCTTGCCAGATCTGGACTCCCTTGATAGCTTCTTCTGGAGTGCACTTAAAACACAGATTTATTCCGTGAAAATCAAGCAGCATCACAGATGCACATGCAGGGACTGACAGAAATGCTGCATTCATGTACCACATTCACGGAAATTTTGCACTATTTATTGCTCATGAGGGCCGACATCAATCATGTGATAGCAAGAAATCATTTGTTCATGTAGATTCACCTAGTTTGCAGAAGTTTGTGGTTATCTTATCATTTGACACAGTGAAGCCACCATATATTCTGAGAGCTGGTCACATTAAAGTACTTCCACCAACCTGAGGTTGGCACTGCAAACACTGAATGAGCACAGCATTCCTCCTTGAACCCAACGGGCTCTGCTGTATCTGTGGTTTACCAAAAGGCAAAAAGCTGGGTCCCACCTGAGGTTGGCACTGCAAACACTGAATGAGCACAGCGTTCCCTCTTGAACCCAAGAGGCTCTGCTGTCTGTGTGGTTTACCAAAAGGCAAAAAGCTGGGTCTCAGTCAACTGCTGAATGCATTAGAGTACAGAGGCTGTAGTCCTCAGGCCTCCCCCTCACTGCAAGGGTAACACAGGAAAGATAACCTCCCATCTTTGACACGCCAGCGGGGAGGAGGGGAAAGAACCTACACAAGTTGAGGAGCCCTTTTTCAGTTAAGCAAGTCAGTGGCCTTACGCACCATCCAAAACCACACACACACACAAACAAAACACCCTGCTGAAGGTATCACCACCTTAACCCAAACCTGGTACCTCTGCCACCAAGGCCAGCCTGGGCAAAGATTAACCTGTGGTCTTCGGCCTTGGGTTCACTGACAGGGCCACCTTGGAGAGACAGCAGGCCAACTTTCTGTTTGTTTTAAAGGAAATGCTTCCTGGCACATGTTTAGGACTCTGAACTCTGCACATGAAGCCACGTGGTTGGTGTTAATCTGGCTCCATCCACTCACGATCGGCCAAAGCAACCTATTTCCGAGGGCAGCCCCTGGCTGGGTAATCGACACCATCTCGTTCAAGTCACGCGGGCTCCCGCCGGATTCCCCGGAGCCTAGTGCCGCGTCCTCTCCACACAGCAATCCTCCCGCGCGAGGGGAGCGGGGGGGAAAGGGGTTGGGGGGTTTCAGAGGGGAGGGACTTACACCTGTGAGGCCAATGGCTCTAGCGGGTCAGGTGAAGTTCGAGGGCGCGGGACAGGAGGAGACTCCCGCCCTTCCAGTCAAGCCGGCTTTGCACTAGCAGAGTGCGCCGGCGCCCTACTTGCGGTGCCCACCTGTAGCCACAGCAAACAAACTTTCCTCCCCTTCTGGGTTGGAAGAATCCGGTGCCTTACGCCACCCCCTGGCCCAAGCCGGCGGCGACCCGGAGCTCCGCGGACTCCTCACCTGATACCCCTAAAATCCCAACCTGGTCTGTCCCAGAGCGCAATCCCCGCACTGCCCGCGCACCCCGTTTGGGTATGCGGAGTGGAGGGTCTGGGTTGCCAGCTGGATATTAGGAATTGGGGGGCGGGAGGAGCGGGGGGACGCGATTCACTGCCCTTTGCAACTCCAGCTCCCAACTTTGCCAGCCGCGCAGTTGCTGCCTTCCAATTTCCTCTGCGCCGCGCAACCGGCTCCCTCGGCTTCTCCAACGCCGTCCTCGGGGAGGGAGCTCCCCAAGGCCAGCAGGAACCCCGCGCGCCCGGCGCACTTACAGCCATAGCGGGGTCTCTGCAGCGACGGCAGCTCTTCGTGTGGCATCCTGCGCGTCTCCGGGGGCCCGCCCGGGGCGCGCCCCCCGCGGCTACCCTCGCTGGCCAGGCTCGCGGGCTCTGCGCCCCGCCGGCGCGCTCGGATCCCGCCTCTCGCCGATTTCCCCTAGCCGCCCGAAGATCTGCGACCCACTCCCTCGGTGCTCTCTCGCCAGAGCCAGCCACGGCCGCCGCGCGCTGACACTGAAGTAAAAGTGAACTCTCCTCCCTCGCTCCCTGGCCGGTCGCCGCCGCCTCCCGCAGCAGGTTTCCTTTCTCCTCCAGCCAGGCCCCGTTATTCACCGCGGTGGGAGCGCGCGCCGAGACGCAGCGACCCCTACCGCGTGTCGGGCGCAGCGCCCAGGCCGCGTGGACCCGCCCCTTCTCCCCCGGGGGAGAGGGAAGGGGCCGAGAGGGACGCTGGGCCGGGACCCCCTGCAGCTGGGGCCCCCGCACAGCTGGTGGCCTGGGGGTGGCGGCCACCCCGCCTTATTTCTCGCTTCTGGAGAGTTTCGAGGGTGGAAGTGAACCAACGCGGAGAAGTGCAAGAAAAACCGCAGAAGTCACAGGGAGCCCTTCGTGTCCGGGGTGTTGCTCAGTTACTGAGGGACAAACAGCGCGGTTCCTTTTCCTCTGGGGAGATTTCACGTTGACTTTTGTTCTTCTTCTTCGTCTTTTTGGTTTTGTTTTTTTTTGTTTTTTTTTTTTTTTTGCTTCGAAAGTTGCTTCTGTCACTTTTTGTCTACAAAATAACAGGGTTCCCCTTATGACAAGAAACTGAGTGTGTGTGTGCTGGAGGAACAAGATAACCCAAGGCAACCACTCAAAACACAACTGCGAGTCATCCCCCTCCCTCCGATCACCTTGTGCCCGCCCCCGCCCCAGTGTGCAGAGCCTTCTCTCAAGCCCAGCTGGGGTCGCAAGCCACAGAAACCTTTTCCGGCTAAGCTTTTAAGGAAATTAAACTGCATGTGGCTGTTTTGAAATCGGGGTTTTCATGCGGTCGCCAGGAGCTATTTTTCTCTTTGTGTCTCAGCGTGATAAAATCTGGAGGGAATGCGGGACGCTTCCGTACCTGTGCCCTCACCTATTTGACAATTGTGGAATGTGTGGGTGACCCGATAACAGGAAAAACAAACTGAGGGAGGGCGATAAGAAATTATTTAGAGCCGGGCGCGGCGGCTCACGCCTGTAATCCCAGCACTTTGTGAAGCCGAGGCACAAGGATCCCTTGAGCCCAAGAGTTCCAGACCAGCCTGGGCAACATAGCGAGACCCCGTCTCTCCAAAAAATGAAAAAATAATATTAGCCGTATTAGCCGGGCGTGGTGGTTGCGCCTGCAGTCCCAAGCTACTCAGGAAGCTGAGGTGGGAGGATTGCTTGAGCCCGAGAGGACAAGGCTGCTGTGGGTTGTGATTGCACCAGTGCACTCCAGCCTGGGTGAGAGTGCAAGACCCTCGGAGGCGGTGGGGGGATGGAAATTATTTCGCTGAGGAAATGGTGGCATAGTGACACTAATCATTTTTTATTATGCAAGGATACAGAGGATGAGCAGCTGTTTTCCATTTCATATAGGAGACGCAGTCCTTCTCAAACTTGTTGAAACTCACATTCTTGGGCCCCACCCTCAGAATTTCCGACTCAATGGGTCTGGGCTGGTGCTCATGAATTTGCATTTCTAATTTCTAGCATACTGCCAGGTGATGCTGACACTGCAGAGCGTGCTTAGGGTGGCTCTGTGAGTGGTAGATGCTCACAGGGACGTAAACTGTACACAGGGAACTCTCAATTCAGACGGGATAGCAAAATATTTTTTTTTTTTCCCTGATGGCATTAGATTCTCACCTGTTTGGAATGGGATGAATGGAGTTTTCCTTTCTTAAAAAGCAGATGCCTCTCAGTCTAAGAACAATTCAGAGGCGAAATGGCCACATTTGAGGCTCGGCACCCTGTCAATTGATATTCACCCAAAGGAGAAATGTGGAAGGGGATTTTCGTGCATGTCAGGAGATGCTGAATTAAATGATGTCTAAAGTTCATTCCATTTCTGTTGTTGCATTTGTCAAGTGTTAACAATTAAGTATTTACACATAACAATTTTCGTATGAGTGTATGACTTAGAGCCCAAATAAATGAGTAGTCTATATATTTAGAGGTGGGTGAAAAAATCACTCTGAACTAAAATGGTCCAGGAAGGTGACAGGGTTTGAAAGTGTGGCTTGAAGTGGAAGTGTGGTAAAAGCTGGATGGAGAGCATCCAAGGGAAAGAAACAATGAGGTGGAGCACAAGGTTGGGTTGGAGCTGGATTGGTTGGACTGGATTGGAGCTATGAAGTTGTCATCAGGTTGTGGAGGGCCCTGAGTGTCTGGCTAAGAGGACCGGAGATTATCGTAGAAACATTCAAGAGATCTTAAAGGTTTTGAGTATGGAAGCTGCAGAATGCAAGGGAGTTTAGGGAAGGAGAATATTGGAGCAGGTCATAGGATAGGTTGGGATGGGACAACTTGGAGATGTTGACGCCCCGTGGAAGGTGTTTGGACAGAGATTGAAGAGAGAGGTAAGAAGAGCCTCAATGAGGCTGATATCAGTAAGGGAGATGAAGGGGGTGTTTTAATATACTCAAGTTGGTGCCATCAACATGTATAGATATTATACACACTAACAAGTAGATTAAGTAAAGTAAATATCTGTTAATCGTAGAAAGTGAAGGTTAAAGCGTAAATAGGTGATTGGGAGGGCAGTAGTTCTAAGTTCATGTTCTAGCTGGTCAGCTCTTTGAAGAATCTGAGGTGGCTTCAAGGCCCTGTCGTGGGTCATGTTTTTATGAAGAACTTAAAACACTAAGACGAAATTGGAAAGGCAAATGCTCTTGTTATTTTGCAAGTGCTAGCATTAATCATGGGCATTTTGGTCTGCACTCATTGGGTAATAACAATACTGTCTCACAGGCCACTTCACCTCAGCATCTCAGAAAAGAAATTTGTCTGCAGAATGCTGGACTATTTTCTCTTAGGATTTGATACTGGAGAATATTCAAATAGGTACAAGGCAATGCGTCAGCTTACTTTGCCATCTGATTGTGCTTGCAATAATATTAGAAACAAAAATGAAGGCCATCTAGTGAAAAAAAGTTTTCAAGAAAGCAAGGTTTTTTGTTTAATGTAAAACAAAAAACAACACTAATAAACTACTAGACATGCTGAAACAATTTTTAAGCAATATTATTTTAAAAAATTTTGTTTTTAAGGCCCATCTGTTTTCTTTTGACAAGTTGAAATAAAGGTGTTTGGGAAAATGCAATTTTTAAAATAACAGATTATATCAAGAGCATCGAAAGGGAAAAAAAGTATGTCTCAGGAAAAATCTTAGCACACTTTAATATTATATTTGCCTTTGAGATGACTTGGTTATTTTCCAATAATATCACATTATTGATCAATTTTACATGCATACCCAAAATAGTGACTGTCGCCAGAAATGAGGAATGAGGAAATCATAGGAAAGAAATTATTCAAGCCTTTTTCAAAGTACTGGGAGCACTTGGGCTATTAAAATTTTCTAACTTGCTCCCATTTCCAGAAAAAGAGAGATACTGAAAAGAAATAGAAAGTACGCTTTACTGCAAAGGAGATTCCTATGTCTAAAAAGAAAACTGTTACAGTTCAACTTCAAATTTACAAAAAAATTAAAAAGAATCAGAAATGAATGAAACAATCAGTGTTTGCATTTTTAGTAGGGATGGGGTTTCACCATGTTGGCCAGGCTGGTCTCGAACTCCTGACCTCAAGTAATCCACCTGTGTCTGTCTCCCAAAGTACTGGGATTACAGGCATGAGCCACCATGCCAGGCAGAATTTGAGCTTCTTGACAACTGGAACTTGGTCTAATTCATCATTGCTATGTGTCCAGGATGTGTAGCAATGCCTGGCATGTAGTAGCTGCTCAATTATTTTGTTGCAATCATGAATTTACTATGATAAATTATATGCACCAGTCACTATACTAGAAATAGTTGTTACTTTCATTCTGGTAACAACTCTGGGAAGAAGATAGAGATATCCTTATTTAACGGTAAAGCAACAGACTCATAGAGACTGGTAGTATATGGCAGAGCTGGGTTTATCTGAGTCCACACAGTTTCCCCAACAGAAACTGATAAATTGAACTACAGTTTTCAACATTTTTGCCTTTTACCAAATACATGTTGTCTTTTCCTAGGTGAACACTAAAGGACGTACTACAAATGACCCCAAGTTACCATCATCTATTTGCCAAAATAGACCCTGGGGTCCATTTTGTATCCAGGCAATAGTTCTGATTATAGTTTTATTGCTAATCCCTTGTAGTTCTTTATTGATCTTTATGCATGAATGAGACAAAATCTGAATGGTGCTTACTAAAGGGCTCTCTGCCATATACCTGTAAAGTTGTTCTGAATCAATGTTTTAAAATCATTTATGCTTTCCCATTGACCATACTCCAAGTATACTTTATTTTAATCTTGGATTGATCTATCTTTGGCAGTAGCTTATTGTCCTAGCTTTAATCTTCCCTGCCTGACTCATTCCCTTCTAGAAGATTCTGTATTAATTGATTGATGACAAACTTCTAAGTGACCTACAAGAGCTTGGATATTTTGAATAAAGCTTCACGATTTATCAGGGAATGAAAATGAAAGCACCCGTTAGGTGCCAAAAATGTTTAACAAGTGTGGGGAATCGGGAACTCTCATGCAGTGTTAAGGGGGACGTAACTTTGAGCAACCATTTCGAGGAATAAGTTGGTCAACTCTAGTTAAAGTAAAGATGTACATTTCATGAAACCTGGCAACTTCACATCTATTAAGGTGCTCTAGTGAAGCCCCCACATACAGGAGGACATGTACAAGGATGTTCACTCCAGAGAAAAACGAAACAACTTAAATGGCCTGTTGTGGCAGGATGGATGGGCAGATGTCGTGGTATAGAAAAATAAGAGAAGGTCAGGCATGGTGGCTCATGCCTGCAATCCCAGCACTTTGGGAGGCTGAGGCGGGTGGATCACTTGAGGTCAGGAGTTCAAGATCCTCCCTGACTAATATGGTGAAACCCCATCTCTACTAAAAATATAAAACTTAGCCGAGCATAGTGGCAGGCACCTGTAATTCCAGCTACTTGGGAGGCTGAGGCAGGAGGATCACTTGAACCTGGGAAGTGGAGGTTGCAGTGAGCCGAGGTCACACCACTGCACTCCAGCCTCAGTGACAGAGTGAGACTCCATCTCAAAAAAATTAAATAAAATAAAGATAGAGAATGATAAATACAATGTTATACCATATATGTACAATTATAAACACATGAAATAATAGCACATAATATATGTTGGGTTAGGTGCATATAGTAAAAGTATAAAAAACATGTACAGGAAGAACATACCAATTTCAGAATAGAAATAATCTCTGAGAAATTAGGGAAGAAAATGGAAGCCAAAGATGTAGACAAGGAACATCAAATATATCTAACATTTAATTTCCTTTTTAAAAGCCTGAGGAAATATGACATTTGTTATATTCAGGGAGTATGTACATAAGTATTTGATGTTTTATCCTCTATGTCTTTCTTTTGTTTGTGATGCTTCTCAAAACTTTTTTTTTTTAAGGAACAAGTATTCTGTTAATATATTCAAAATAAAAGTAATGTCTTAGTTTGTTGGTTTACCACTTTTTAAAGTTCAGATTTGTTAAGTTTTCTCGATAGAGGCAAATCTATAGATTTTGAAATCTATTATTTCAAAACAAGGCCACAGTGAGATGTTGGTGGTGGCAATATGAATATGCAAACATGTATGTCTTTCTAGGAAGGTGCTCATGATTTATTGAAAGAGTTGTAGCTTCTACCCTAAAACTCAGCTGCTTCCTAGGGGGCTGCTAAGAACCACCTGCTGATGACCAGGATCTCGATTTTGGGATTGGTTAGGGACTCCTAATCCTCCTGTTCACACTTACCAAGGAATAGCTCTTCATGGATGAATGAATGAAGAGTTGACCGTATGTCTGGCCTATTGTTGAAGCAGAAATTGCCACGCTATCATAAAGTACTACTTATGCATTTTGGTGGATCCTCCTTCATTATAAAGTCTGGGCCAGGCATGGTGGCTCACACCTGTAATCCCAGACTTTGGGAGGCCAAGGTGGAAGATCACTTGAGGCCTGGAATTTGGGACCAGCCTGGACAACATAGCAAGACCCCATTCTGTAAAGGAAAAAAGGAAAAAAAATATAAAAATAGAATCAAGTTTTTCTGTTTGTTTTGTTTTGTTTTGCTACCCAGCTCCTAATGCTCAGTTACTGTTTGTTAAGAGTTAACTTCACATCTGGATCTGGTCAGCCCCTGGCCAAGTGCAAAAGCCAATAGTGAACCAAACAATATCACGGCAAGGGAGGCAGACATCACCAAAGACTGCATTTTGTCAGACCATAAATAAAACTGCCACCCCAAACTCCACAGACGAAACCAGAATTGTTCAATTCCATCTTGCTCTTCATCTACTAAAACACGTCTTTCCTCTGATTTCCATACCCTGTTAATATACACATTTTCAGTCACTTAGTTTCAAAACCTCAATCATTTTGCATTCCTTTGGAATCATTCCTTAGCATCCAGTCAGTCCCTCAGCCTTGGTGATTTTTTTGTTCCTATCACTCTCCTTTGCTGATGTCTCTTCTTTCTTCTTGGCGCCCATCATCACCCACCACTACTCTGATTCAAGCTCTCACACCATCTTACACCTGGACTGCTGCAAGGGTGATTTCTGTGCTGTTTCTTTCCTTCTTGCAATTTAGTTTGCTTGCTTCCTCCTCTGAATTCCTCTATCAAATACCATACAGTGTTATTGTGAGAAAAAAAAAGTAGCTCATAGCAGGCTGAATTCTGTGAGGTATGCAAGCCCAGAGAGACATGAGTATGGGACTTCATGCCCCCTTCCATGCCTGGGGGCAATTGTTTAAAGTCATTTTAAAGGCTGGGCGTGGTGGCTCACGCCTGTAATCCCAGCACTTTGGGTGGCCAAGGCCGGTGGATTGCCTGAGGTCAGGAGTTCAAGATCAGCCTGGCCAACATGGCAAAACCCTGTCTCTATTAAAAATACAAAAATTAGCTGGGTGTGGTGGCGGGTGCCTGTAATCCCAGCTACTCAGGAGGCTGAGGCAGGAGAATCGCTTGAACCAGGGAGCTGGAGGTTGTGGTGAGCCGAGATCGCGCCATTGCACTCCAGCCTGGGCAAGAAGAGTAAAACTCCGTCTCTAAATAAATAAATAAATAAATAGTCATTTTATTCCTGACAGCTGCTTCACCCATTATCTTCACGTTCCTGAAATTTGTGATACAAAGAGCAACGTATAGCCAATCAATAGCTTATGTTATTTTAATGTAATTCTTAGTAAACAACTTATGAACTAACTGCCTCTTCCTTTAAAAGCCTACTTATAACTGCTGCTAATTGGGGTGTATATTCAGGGCAACTTGAGTCTATGCTTCTGGGTTGAAATCCTCAAGCTTAGTCCAAATAAACTCTCTGCTTATATTAATTCTGCCTCAGCTTTTTCCTTTTTCTTTTTTGAGATAGGGTCTCACTCCGTTGCCCTGGCATGATCACGACTCACTGAAGGCTTGACTTCCAGGCTCAGGTGATTCTCCTGCCTCAGCCTCCTGCATAACTGGAACTACAGGTGTGTGCCATCACACATGGCTAATTTTTCTTTTTTCTTTTTTTTTTTTTTGTAGTTTTTTATGGAGATGGGGTTTCACCATGTTGCCCAGGCTGGTCTCAAACTCCTGGGCTCAAGTGATCCTCCTGCCTCAACCTCCCAAAGTGCTGGAATTACAGGCATGAGCCACGGTGCCTGGTCAGCTTCTTCCTTTTAGGTCAGCAATTAGTACTCTCCTTTTGTTAGCAGTGGCAAATTTGAATGGGATTGCAGCAACCTCAATTCTTGCCTCCTCAGAGGAAAGAATTCGACTGAGGGGCATAAGGCAGAGGGAGAGATCGAGGCAAGTTTTAGAGCAGGAGTGAAAGTTTATTAAAAAGTTTTAGAGTAGGAAAGGAAATATGTAAAGTACACTTGGAAGAAGGGCAAGCAGACAACTTGAGAGATTCAAGTGCATGATTTGACCTTTGACTTGGGATTTTATACATTGACATGCTTTCAGGGGGTCGCATCCCTTCTCCCATGATTCTTCCCTTGGGGTTGGCTGTCCACATGCACAGTGGCCTGTCAACATTTGGGAGGGGCTGCAGGCACGGTGTGTTTACTGCAATTGTGCACAGGCTCACTTGAGGCGTTTTTCCCTTACCAATTGAGTGTTCCTAAAAGAAGGTCGTATACCAATTAACTGCCATTTTGCCTCAGAGTGCACATGCTTGAGCCCACTCACCCAACTCCTGAGATCTTATTGGGATGCTGCTGATCACCAGCTTCAGGGTTTTTCTATCTCTTGGGAGACTCCCTTGGCTGCAACCGATTATTATTTTAGAGAGACAGTGTAACAACTGCCTGAGCATCACCTGATGATCACCTGACATTCTTGGTGTGGGTTGGGGGGCCCTCTCCTGCCTGCTCATGTCTGACTAACTACCTACTATAAGACTTTGAGTCTTTAGCAAATACTACCTTAGTTGCTATTTATGTTTCTATTGTTTCCTTGATTAAAAAAAAAAAGTCAGCATCTGGGGTTCCCAGATTTTGCTTTTATTTCCCACAATAGTAGACAAAACAAGTAACCTCAAAGGGTCCAAAACAGCAGTGCAGGAAGTTATAGCTGTTGAAAGCCTGCTGATTTTCTGTTGGCCTAAAAGAAAGAAGCAGAGGCAAAGATTAATATAGATAGTTTATTTGGGCCAGTAAATTTATTCGAGGACTGCAGCTTGGGACACGCTTCCGAGTTGCCTTGGGGAGTGCTCCAAAAAACAAAAGAGAAGCTCAAGGTTTTTTTTGTTTTGTTTTTGAGATGGAGTCTTGCTCTGTCCCCCAGACTGGAGCGCAGTAGTGCGATCTCGGCTCACTGCAAGCTGCGCCTTCTGGATTCACACCATTCTCCTGCCTCAACCTCTCTAGTAGCTGGGACTACAGATGCCTGCCACCATGCCCAGCTAATTTTTTGTATTTTTAGTAGAGACAGGGTTTCACCGTGTTAGCCAGGATGGTTTCAATCTACTGACCTTGTGATCTGCCCGCCTTGGCCTCCCAAAGTGCTGGGATTACAGGCGTGAGCCACCGCACCCGGCCAAGAAGCTCAAGTTTTTAAAGAAAAAGATGAATCAGGAAAGGGAGTGATTATAAAAGTTGTTCTTTCAGAATTCTCGTGGTTTACGGAACTAACATTGGTTAGTGATGGGCAATACATTGTAGAACTATACAATGTGTGGCATTTTTTATGGCTACTTCGTATCAGTCTGGAGCCCACAAAGCATATTTGGTTCAAGAGATAATTATGTAGCTCAAGGAAGAGAGAGACATGAATGCTGTTACTTTTTTTTTTTTTTTTTTTGACAGTTTCACTCTGTTGCCCAGGCTGGAGTACAGTGGTGCCAGCTTGGCTCACTACACCCTCCGCCTCCCTGGTTCAAGCGATTCTCCTGTCTCAGTCTCCCAGGTAGCTGGGATTATAGGCGCTCACCACCACACCCGGCTAATTTTTGTATGATTAGTAGAGATGGGATTTCTCTATGTTGGCCAGGCTGGTCTCGAGCTCCTGGCCTCAAGTGATCTGCCTGCCTTGGCCTCCCAAAGTGCTGGGATTACAGGCGTGAGCCACCGAGCCAGCCCTGTTATATTTTAAATGCCTCTCTGGGCCTGATAATTTAAAGGGGCTCACCTCCCTCAGATTAAAAAGTTTTCTTTCTCACTTCCATGAGTAGAATTCTAAACTAGTATTTTCTTCCTAGAGACTTTGAGAGTCTAAAAATTGAGAGGTTTCAGGGAGTTGGAATTTGAACTTTATCCAGCATTCAGTAGGTGCTCGACAAAGATTTGACACTAAATAGATCTGTTTGGGTCTTGACAAGTGGCGACATCAACAAAAAGTATCTGCCTACTGCATACAGAGATTATCATTTGATCTGTGTAGTTTCTAAGCCAGGTTCAGTAAAAACAATTGGTTTGAGAAAGCTTTTCATTTTCCTAAGATGTCTGTATTCGAAGCATGTTGGAGTGTTGGAGTTTTTATTTTATCAGGTCACATGTTAGATATTTTTGTGAGAATTTAATACGAACAAAGACCACATACACAGCACAAGGGTGGTGGTGTTGAGATGTAAGACAGGAACCTCCCGCTGATCAGCCACAAGGCCCTTTAGGGGAGGGGAGGCACCACAGTCACCAGAGAAACCCTGCTTCATGTTCTGTCATTTTAAACTCTTCATGTTTATTGTTAGATTTCACATAAGCCTCAGCCCTTCTTCTCACTCAAAGTTCTACATGTTGTGTAGCAGTGTTGCTTTAAGTTATCTTAAAACAAATTTAAACTGTTTTCACTTTGAGAGTGAATTCTACAATTTCTTGAAAGAACTGAAGACATTCTGGGAGGTAAAATTAAACAAAATAGAACAGATTTAGTCATTTATCTTTTGCAAACTGTAATGCTAACTTGAAGTGTCCTTTAAAATGTGGTATATTAAGCTCTTCTGAATGTCTGGAGTTTATATCTTCTCAGGAAACCAGTTAATTAGTATAAACTTGAGGCCTAGAACAATGCTTCATTGAAACTATGAGGTGTGCTTTAAAAACAGACAAAAAAAGCATTATGCTGGAAATGCTGTAGAAAGGATTCATATGCCAGGTGACAGTTCCCTTTCAATAAGCAATAAAATCTTTGATCGATATTTTGAAAATCTGGTCCCAATTCATATGCAATTCCTTTTCAGGATCACCAAAGATTTAGCTGGCATTTAGCATTCCCATGGGCCCAGAAAACCCACGCTCCCTTTGATTTTCTTTCTAATTTTTACACTAACTTATTTGTAAACAAATTACAAATAATGCTTTTAAATGTTAACATGGCTTTTATATTCTTTATTCTGTTTTCAGCATTATTAGAAATTTTTCTTATTCTGCTGCTTAAGTTAGTGCTTCTCTGTGGTAATATAATTTTCAATAGAATTCAACTAACACTGACTATCCACTCTGTTTCAAGGTCTTGGTCAGTTTTAGAGTAATTAGCCTCAAAAATTAGGTTTTGGATTTTTTTTTTTTTTTTGAGACGGAGTCTCGCTCTGTCATCCAGGCTAGAGTGCAGTGGCATGATCTTGGCTCACTGCAACCTCTGCCTCCTGGGTTCAAGCGATTCTCCTGCCTTAGCCTCCCGAGTAGCTGGGATTACAGGTGTGTGCCACCATCCCTGGGTAATTTTTTTTTTTTTTAGTAGAGACGGGGTTTCACCATCTTGACCAGGCTGATCTTGAACTCCTGACCTCGTGATCCACCTGCCTTGGCCTCCCAAAGTGGTGGGATTATAGGCGTGAGCCATCACACCCAGCCAGGTTTTGGATTTTTAAATGAGATATACTGGCATGCTTGGCTATGTACAGTGATTTATTCCCTAAATAAATACAAGTTTACAATTGAATTCAGCTATGTATAGTGACAGCCTGGCATTAACGCTACAAAGTTAGTGTTATGAAATCTAGAAGATTTCTGAGGAACAAAAGTGTTTTATGCTACCAAAAAATTGCATATAGGGTAGTGGTGGTGGAGTGAGAGATAATGTGTATGATTTTTCAAGAACTCTTCCAAAATGGTTCAGTGATTGCATAACCCTTTTCAATGCATGCTCCATTTATTTATTTTTCTATTTCTTTCTTTCTTTATTTTTGGAGACAGAGTCTCGCTCTGTCACCCAGGCTGGAGAGCAGTGGCCCGATCTTGGCTCACTGCAACCTCTGCCTCCCAGGTTAAAGCGAGACCAGCCTGGCCAACATAGCAAAATCCCTATGGCCACGTGCCACCATGCCCAGCTAAATTTTGTACTTTTAGTGGAGACAGGGTTTCACCATATTGGCCAGGCTGGTCTCGAACTCCTGACCTCAGGTGATCTGCCTACCTTGGCCTCCCAAAGTGCTGGGATTACAGGCGTGAGCCACCAAGCCCGGCCTTTTTTTTTTTTTGAGACTGAGTCTTGCTCTGTGGCCCAGGCTGGGGTGCAAAGGCATGATCTCGGCTCCCAAGTAGCTGAGACTACAGGTGCACACCACCATGCCTGGCTAATTTTTTGTATTTTCGGCAGAGATGGGGATAACGTGACCTCAGGTTATCCACCTACCTCGGCCTCCCAAAATTCTAGGGTTACAGGCGTGAGCCACCGCGCGCAGCCAATGCATGGTACCTTGAAACCCACTTCCTCCCTTGAGCAAAATAACCCACAATAGGAACAACGGTTTTCTTTGTTTTTGCTGTCTTCTTATTCCTTGTTACAGATCTTGAGACAAAGCAATTAAAGGTTTTGTTTTGTATATATTTTTGTAATTAGATTTTGGAATTCCACTTGTGTTTACTTCTCTTGCTTTAGTTGCTTAGTCCCTTTAAAAATCCCTAGGATCTAGTGGCCAAGGACCACAAAGGGAAGAGGTCACATTCCTCCTTTCTTCCTCCCTATAATCTCATACTGGGAGGAACTGATTCTTCTCCTGTGATGCCTCTAACAGGCTTCATTGATACCTCAGATGAAAGAGTCCTATTTTAGGAACATTTTTTGAAAGTAAGAAAGAAAGAGGAAAAGGAAAGACGCAAGCTTGAGCTGGTATATAAAATGACTACTTCCAGGTAATTTTCATTTCTTCCCCAAAGAGTTCTCAGGTCTCCATGACTTGGAATGCTTCATAAGTCATCTGTTGTTCTGATTTTACAGCTCTTCAGTTTTATTCATGGCTCTATACCCAGTGCCTTGCATATAGTAGGCACCCAGTGAATATTTTTCAAATCAATGAATAGTTAACTCTAATCTCAGTTCTCTCCAAAATTAACTTATTGGTTTGTCTTCTATCACTTGCCTCAAACTGAAATTTATTTCTTGCCTCTCTCAGGCTCTTTGATACCAGCAAGGCCTGTTGGAAAGGAGAAGTTCAATAATTTCCCATATTTGGCTAATGACCAAACAGCATCTGGTTGTAACAGAGAGCTAATTCTTGGTACCTGACCTATATATGTATTAATGATCACCTACATTGCAGTATCTCCACCCAGAAAATAACAGAGCAGCAGCATAGCAGAATGATATAAAATATTAGCATGGAATCTGGAAAGAGAATCAACTCTGATGTCTCTGAGAAGGAAAAACACTGTGTAACCTCTTGGAAAGTCTCTCACAGGCTTTCAGTGCAAGCATGTTCATTCCAGAGAGCCAGAAAGTTCAACTTCAAGAAAGAGTCTCATGAAACAAAATGCAACATGAATTTAACTTTCCTAGGTGCCACCCATTGTGGACAGGCTCCCATGGTGAGAATGATTCCAGCTAGAGAAAAACCCTGTGGCAACAGCAGGTCATACCGCAGTGGCTCCAGCGCCAGGAACTCTGACAGGGGGCAAAAGTTATGTCAACATGTTCTGGTAGCTCCACTGTCTAGGGACCCGGGAGAAAGAGAGTGGTTAGGAAAAACACAAGCTGCATAAATAAAGGGAGAAGAATGACAGGTTATGCCTAAGAATAGAAAAAGAAATATCTCAAGGGTCATAGTGTAGTTGAGCTGAGTCTATGGTCAACAAAACATCATCGCGGGGCACAGCTGAATGCTGGCTTCTACTCACTCGCTGAGAAGAAGCGAGCTTTGACAGAATTCACTGTGCCATGTCATTTCACTATTTAGCAGTTTCTGAATTTTTTTTTTTTTTTTTTTTTGAGATGGAATCTCTCTCTGTCACCGAGACTAGAGTGCAGTGGTGCGATCTTGGCTCACTGCAACCGCCGCCTCCCAGGTTCAAACGATTGTCCTACCTCAACCTCTGGAGTAGCTGGGACTACAGGCGTGCACCACCACACCCAGCTGATTTTTGTATTTTTAGTAGAGACAGGGTTTCACCACGTTGACCAGGCTGGTCTTGAATTCCTGACCTCAGGTGATATGCCTGCCTTGGCCTCCCAAAGTGCTGGGATCATAGGCATGAACCACGGCGCCCAGCCAGTTTCTGAATTATTAATGCAAAGCTCTGAGAGGGGAGTGGTCAAAATGATAACCTGTTGAGAGAAGAGAAGCAGCCACGAGGGGGTTGGAGAGGATCATTCAGCTTTTTCGCATGGAAGCGGGAGAGCTAAATGCTTACTTATGGAGAAGAGACGAGTTGGCAACAATGGTGAAATTGTGGTTTGAAATGAGCATGTGCGAAAAGCAGCTCCAATACAACAAATGAAACTTGAGTGAAGCATGGAAGGACTTGCTGTACCCTCTGCCCAGAGCCAATTCTGGAGTGGCTGGGGGTTCACTGTGCAGGCAGCCTTTTAGCCTTCCTACTGTTTGACTCTAATTCTCATGCGTCCTGTATTTAAGCAGTCGCTGGACTTTTTCTGTTGTTCAGTTTTTCTACATATTGAACAATTTATTGGATATCTCCTTTGTGTGGGATAATATGCTAAGTGTTGAGTAGGATTAGAGAGAAAGATTAACCACGGGATGTGCCCTATAGCAGCTTATGGTTCTATTTTACTCTTGCTCTAATTTATATGCAAATCTGTGAATCCAAAAGGCCAGCTGGGTCTACATAACCTAGGCAAAATAATAGGAGTGGGATGGAGAAAGTTATTCTATTCACCTAGGCAATATTGTGGTGAATATTCATAAAAACACTGTTTACATGTTTAGTTTCACAAAAAAAAGTGATTCAAAATGAAATAGCTGAATGAAGAAGGTAATAGAAGGGAATTTGAGAAGAAAAAAGGCTCATTTTTATAATATAAAATATTACCTATCTTAACAAAAAAAATTTATGTTCTTTTTACTGTTGAGCTCCGGTATAGCTATAATTCTCTAGTTAAGATATCAAGGTGGTATTCACAACAGAGAAATATGTCTTGTTCTAAAAGTTGTCTGTCCAGTCTTGCTGCTTTTAAATATTGTAGAGAATCACTCTGTGAGTGAGTTCAAATACTTCCTTTTATGCTGAATAAATAAACTTGCTTCCAAGTCAGGATGAGCAGATAGCTCCAAACACTAAACACTTACTGGCATTCAGTATGAGAGTCCTGGATGTGATCCCTCTAATCAGTGGGCTAGTACATCCTGAACCTTTAAGGTGAGGGAAAAAAAAGTGTATGAATTCATTATGTAGTTTTTTGTACAAATGACATTCATTTGTATATAATATTCTGCACCTTTTCATGTATATTATACACATACCTTGCTGTCGCTTAGTAAAATCACCAAACTTTTTACTCAATTAAGTGTCTTGGGGGCATCTACAGTTCACCTGGAGGGCATCAGGTCACCAGACGTGGAATGGAGATCAAAGAATTTTAATATCACCCAGTTCACACTTTTGCCAGAGGGCATTCCTGAGTTCTGCCAAGGGCAGTGCTCTAAGTAGAAAGCTGTTAGAGATCCTCAGCCCAGAGGCTTAGGTCTATCCTGCTAATTTTATGGGGAAGAAACTAAGGCATAAGATGCAAAGATGATGGCTGCCGGGTGGTGCAGTGACTCACGCCTGTTATCCCAGCACTTTGGGAGGCTGAGGCAGGAGGATCACCTGAGGTCAGGAGTTCGAGACCAGCCTGGCCAACATGGTGAAACCCCATCTCTACTAAAAATACAAAAATTAGCCAGGCATGGTGGCAGGTGCCTGTAATCCCAGCTACTCAGGAGGCTGAGACAGGGAGAATTGCTTCAACCCTGGGAAGTGGAGGTTGCAGTGAGCCAAGATCACGCTACTGCACTCCAGCCCGGGCAACAGAGTGAGATACCATCTCAAAAAAAAAAAAAAAAAAAGAAGAAGAAGAGCCTCATGCTGGTTAAATAGTTTTGTTATGCATTAGAGCTGGAAAGAGTGGTAGTTCAGCTGCTCCTGAAAGCAGATATGGCCTTGGGCAGAATCCTCCTTTACTATTCCCTAGAAGCCAAATGGGGCCCACAGGTACTTCATTTAGCTTGTACTGTTCAGGCCTACAGTGTTTCAAAATAAATTAGTTGCCAACATCTAAAAAAAAAAAAAAAAGAAAGAAATTGGTTTCCACCTTCTCTTAAAAAACAAAACAAAACAAAACAAAAATCTGGCAAGTGGGGCCCACAATTCCATGCAACAGGAATGGGCTGAGAGTGGTCAGTGACTGCCTCCTTAAATGGGACACAAACCCCAGTTCAGTCAAAGCCCCAGGACCTGCTGCCTAGGGTTGTGTGCCCTGCCTGTCTCTGCCTTGCTTTTCCCACCCAAAGCCTATGGAGCACTAGTGCTTTGGGGTTTCCTAACTCACCTCTGCTATTAGACTTAGCTCTGCAGAGTCTGGCTCTATCTCTCGAAGCCCTGATTTCTTCTAGGTGGCATCCAGCAAACTGGACAGTCTTATAGGTCTGTTAAGCCAGAGCTGGAATCTTATACCCTCAGTTGGCACTTGTTCATTTTCACAGGGGTTTTTTGGACCTACTGGAAAGCGTATGGTAGTGCAAATTTTAGACCGGAAGACAGGCCTGGTGGAGAGAGATTTTGGTACAGGTGAATCTGCCTATTGTGTCAGCCTGGGAGATGTGCTAGCCTTTTTGAGAGTGGGGTGAGCCAGATATTTGAGCCTGTAGTTAGGTGGTAGGGTGGTGGAGCAGTTACACCCCTCACCAGAGCTATTCCAGAAAAAGAGAAAGCTCTCCCACCCCCATATCCACCTCCAGTGGTTTCCCTCAAGGAAATTCCCTCAGGGCCTGGAGCTTCCACAGGCCTCTTTCTGGGGCCAGCCCAGCCATGACTGGGGCTGGAGCACACGAAGAAGTGCATCACAGCCACCTGATGCCAATGGGGCGCCAGGCCTTCCGGCAAAGTGCCAGGCATTGCTTAGGGAAAGATGTGGCTCCTCCCTCGCCTTGCAGGTACAGCTCCAAGGTCAAACAAGACTGGAGGGCAGCCAAGGCCAGGACGTTGGCATGAGATCCTGCAGCCCAGAAAGGGAGAAAACCTGTTTACTTATAATTCTGCCTGTGCCATTCCCCTTCCCCATAACTGGCCCTATATTCATTCTGCACTGTGATCATCAGCCTGACAGATGATTTTGTTCCTAGCTTTTCCTTTTCTCTCTCTCCAAACTTATAGAGCTGTCTGGTTTTAGAAAGTGCTTAACAAGACTTGTGTTTAAACAAGAACCCTGAGAACCTTAAGGAATGATAGGCAGAGGTCAGCAACCTTCCTCAGAGTCTCCTAGTTTTTCTTCACAGCCCAGAAGATACTGTCTGAATTTAGAAAAATCTGACTATGATCTGAGAGACTGCAAGAGAGGGAAAAGAGAGAGAGAGAACAGAATTTGGAAAAAAAAGTCCATAAAGCTTGTGTGTTATTGGCAAACATTTCTTATTTCCCTCAGTTTGCAGGAATCTGAGACTCAAGGAGCTGAATTTCAAGTCACACCAAATATTATCACCGTCTACACACATGGACTCACAGTCCAGATTTAGATCCTGGGGTAAAAGATGATAGGAAAATTAAGATCATACATTTAATGCTTAAAATCAAATGGTTGACTTGCTTAAGTGTAAATTTTTTTTTTTTTTTTTTTGAGACAGGGTGTCACTCTGTAACCCAGGCTGGAGTGCAGTGTTGCAATCTCAGCTCACTGCAACCTGCAACCTCCACCTCCTGGGCTCAAGTGATCCTCCCGCCTCAGCCCCTTAAGTTGCTGGGATTACAGACATGAGCCACCACACTAGGCTAATTTTTGTATTTCTTGCAGAGACTGGGTTTCCCAGGCTGGTCTAGAACTCCAGAGGTCAAGCGATCCACCCGCCTCGGCCTTCCAAAGTGCTAGGATTACAGGTGCGAGCCACTGTGCCTGGCCAAATGTAAACAATTTGATTCTACAGGGAAATTATTCAGTATCAAAAATTATTTTCATGAAGTCAAAGTGTATTTGTTGGGTGACTGATATGTGTACAACCTCGGCTCTAAAGGAGTTCATAGCCTAACTGGTTTAAGAAGGCATGGGTTTTGGAAAGGATTCATAACAGTACAAATCTCTGCCAAACAAGGTCAGAAAGTTATAGGAGTAAGGACATTTCTTGGCAAAAAGCAGTGCTGTGAGTTTTTACAACAAAGAGTTAGATCCATCAGGGAAGGTTTTGCTGAATTTGATGTTTAAAATGTTTTACCTCTGCATAATGGCAACCCAGTGTCTGGCCAGACAGACAGGACTATATCATATTTCCAGCATCTAGAACAGGCCTGACACATAGCAGAAGCACTCAATTTACAATTGTTGAATGAGTGAGTGAATGAATGAATTCTGGTAAAGAAAGCAGGTAGATTCCATCATTTTTAGGCATTCCTTCTAGGCACACTTCCCAGCAGAACCAATGATTATGAAAGTCAAAAGCTTCCCGTGCCCTTCACCAAGACATCATTCTAGGAGATGCTTCTCTGCCAGGGGAAGTCTGGAGTAGCAACTTTGCTACTTACAGCTATGTGACCCTGGGCAGGCTCCTGCACCCTTTGAGCCATTGTGCCATCATCGTCAAGTAATACCCACTTGACAGGGTTGTGGGAACATCAAAGGAGATAATGTAGGCAAAGCTTTTAGCAAAGTGCTAAGAGGGGCATAATAAGTGGAAACTGCTTTCTAATTCGACTTATTCTAATTGGCATAAAAGAAAAGTGCACATTTACCTGCCCTAAGAGGCTTTTTAATTTAAAAAAATTTTATTTGGTCCTTCTCTCTCCAACTTAAAAAAAAATTTTGTTCACTGGTAAAAGAAATTTTCTAGGAAAACACTAATGAAAAGCTGGGGGGGTGGTGGGGGGGGGAAGGAGAGCCACTACTGAGGCACTTAGGGGCCTCTTACTGAGGGTTCTTCCCTCTCCAGAACAGGCCAAGTGCTTCCTGACCACACCACTACATTGGAGCAGGCAGGGTTAAACCTGGTGGTGAATTTGAGCAGCATTTCCTTGGCAGCAGCGTGACAAGCCACGGTACCTTGCAAACTGCATTTCTCCCCACCTTCTGCTATGCTGGAAGCCGGCCACTCCAGCGTCTTGTTTTTGTGTATGAGCTTATCAGTAAAAAGAGATTTAAATGAACAGGCTCAAAATGGTACCTCTACAAAGTCCAGGTCAAATGTCATGTACACAACTCCTCCTCCACAAACTCTACCATCAAGCCAGTTTGCTCCCTGACAAAGTCAGAGCACCTAGAAATTCTGCAACAACACAAGATGAAATGGCTCACTGGAGGGGACCAAGAGGGGATGACTTCCAGGGAGCTCCCTGGCCTGAGTGGCAGGGCTGCCCTCCGGCATTGCAGATGGAGGCAGGAAGCTGAGGGGGCTCTGCTGGGTAGGCAGACACTCAGCCCCCAGGAAAACCAATCTGGGGTGGTCTGAGGAATGCAGTCAGAACCTTCTGTCCCTGTCTCCTGACAGCTCCTGAACCACATAAGTCAGATGATTTTATATATATATATATGCATGCACATATAAAATATACTACATATAATCATATATGTTCAAACATATATGTATACATTTAAAAATTAAATACATGAATAAAAGGAATGCATATGCTTACATTACTTTAGTGAGAGAGTGGAATAGAACATTTATTGGGTAAGAGGAACACTGTTAGTTAGACACTCAGTTGAGGCAGTGAGGATGGTGGTTAAAATTCAAATCTTGGTTCCACCCTTTGCTAGCTGTGAGTGATTTAAATCTCTCAAAGCATCTATTTCCTCACTGTACACAGCCGACAATAATAATACCCAGTTCATAAGGGTGTGGTAAGGATTAAATGAAATAACATGTGGTAAACCCTTAGCAAGCTTAACATTGTAAGCACTCAAGAAATAGCAGCAGTTATTAGTAATAACAACTCTTATCACTGTAAGGTAGGTATAGTCATTTTGGGTTCTCCAGAGAAACAAAACTAATAGAGGATGCGTGTGTGTGCATGTGTGTGTGTGTGTGTGTGTGTCTATGGAGAGAGAGAAAGAGAGAGAGAGATTTATTTTAAGGAATTGGCTCATGTGTGGAGCCTGGCAAGTTCAAAATCTGTGGAGTAGGACAGCAGGCTAGAGACCCAGGGAAGAACTGACGCTGGTATCCAGTCCGAAGGCCCATCTACTGGCAGAATGCCTTCTTGCTGGGGTAAGTGGAGAGAACAGTCTTTTGTTCTATTTAAGCCTTCAAATGATTGTATGAAGCCTGTCCATATTATGGACAACAATCTTCTTCACTTGAAGTTCACCAATTTAAATGTTAATCTCATCTAAAAACATCCTCACAGAAACATTCAGAATAATATTTGACCAAATATCTGGGTGCTGTGGCCCAACCAAATTGACGCATAAAATTAACCAGCACAGGAGACTTGATTAGCCCCGTTTCAAAGATGAGAAGCCTGAGGCTCCAAGAGATTAGACAGTTGCCCAGGGTTTACAGTCAAAAAGCTGGAATTCAAAGCCTGGCATAAACCAGCACCTGGCCAGTGCTTGGCCCACAGCTGACTTAGGGTTTCCTGAATGTAATCCTTTCTTTTTTCTTTTCTTTTCTTTTTTTTTTTTTGAGATGGAGTCTCTCTGTGTTCCCCAGGCTGGAGTGCAGTGGCACGATCCTGGCTCACTGTAACCTCCACTTCCCAGGTTCAAGTGATTCTCCTGCCTCAGCCTCTGGAGTAGCTGGGACTACAGGAGGGTGCCACCATGCCTGGCTAACTTTTTGTGTACTTTTAGTAGAGACAGGGTTTCACCATGTTGGCCAGGCTGGTCTCAAACCCCTGAGCTCAGGTGATTCGCCTGCCTTGGCCTTTCAAAGTGCCAGGATTACAGGCGTGAACCACTGCGCCTGGCGTGCTAAATGTATTTCTAGCTCTAGTCTCAGCTCTTACCCCTAAACTGCATCCTGGAGGAAGGGGGCACAGGAGATTATTATTATTTTTTTTTTATTGAGGACAAAGGAAGCAGGGGAAAGAAAGAAGTGGGAGAAAGTTTGGTATGTGATGACTTTGGGGGTCATCAGCTGAGTGGTGGGGTGAGGTGAAGCAGAGTCGGAGGACCTGAGCAGTGGCTCCTGGTGGGGCCCTGGAGAGACACAAGGGGGACAAAGAGACAAAGACAGATGTATGGCCTGATCTCAGGCACCATGTTCTGGGCTGCTTTAGACCAGGTGGTAGAGACAACTTCTGACTATGTGAGGCATTGTTGTGAGACCTGGAACAAAAAAAGCTGAGTAGGGAAGGTATCCCAGGCTAGTGCCACAGAAAACCACAAAAGCTGGAGTATGGAAGGGCTGGGGCAGACTGAAGCTGGAGGCAGGAGCAGCATGTGCAGGACTCTGGGTTTCCTTCTAAAGAGACAGGAAGGCCTGGTGTGGTGTCTCATGCCTGTAATCCCAGCACTTTGGGAGGCCGAGGCGGTGGATCACCTGAGGTCAGGAGTTAAAGACTAGCCTGGCCAACATGGTGAAACCCCATCTCTACTAAAAATACAAAAACTGGCCAGGTGTGATGGTGGGTGGTTGTAACCTCTGCTACTTGGGAGGCTGAGGCAGGAGAATTGCTTGAACTGGGAAGCAGGAGGTTGCAGTGAGCTGAAATTGCGCCACTGCACTCCAGCCTGGGTGACAGAGTGAGACTTCGTCTAGAAATAAATAAATAAAGAGATGGGAAGCCACTGGAGGGTTTAGGTAGGATTGACATTATCTGGCTGCCCCACTTGCTAGCGGATTGAGTGATCAGACCCTTTGGGTTTCTTTCTTTCTTTTTTTTTGAGACAAAGTTTCACTCTTGTTGCCCAGACTGGAGTGCAATGGCGCCATCTCAGCTCACTGCAACCTCCGCCTCCCAGTTTCAAGCAATTCTCTTGCCTCAGCCTCCCAAATAGCTGGGATTACAGGCATGCACCACCACGCCCGGCTAATTTTTTGTATTTTTAGTAGAGACGAGATTTCACCATGTTGGCCAGGCTGGTTTAGAACTCCTGACCTCAGGTGATCCACCTGCCTAGGCCTCCCAAAGTGCTGGGATTACAGGCATGAGCCACTGCACCCAGACTGACCCTTTGGATTTCATAGCTAGCCAAGGATCCAGGCTTACAGTGGCTGCCTGGAGTCTGAAAACAGGCTCTTCTCAAATAAATACTTGAAAAGTTATTAAACTTAAAGTCTAAATATTCAATAAGGAAGCCCAGCCTTGGGATTTCCTCTGTCTTCTGCTGCCCACACCTCTGTGGGTCTGGGCCCAATTACTGGGCAGTGTGTGAGAGGACAGCTGGCCTGGAGCAAATGACACAGGTTCAAGATAGAAATGTTTGACCTTCTGCTGAGGGAGAGCCTTAGAGCTAAGACTGGCACTGTCCTTTCAAACCCAAAAATAAACAAACAAAGAGAGAGCTGCATGCCTGCAGTGAAGGAACCTAAAAGTCGAATTGATTTAAATAGTAATTGATCATCTCATGATGTTTGAGAGAGGCTTCAGGGAGCAAAAATGAGATAAATACGTGTGAGGGAGACATAGAGACACCCAAAGAGATTAGAGTTCACTGTGGACAGATGGAGTCTTGCTTATCTGTAAGGAACCACAGGCTTTAGTTCTTCAAACCCAGCATTATAGGGGGAAAGAGATTCAACAGCAAAATAAGAACATGTCTGTAAATGACAAGATTCAAGTTAAAAGAGGCCACCAATGGGGTATGTTATACAGGGGAAAGCCCATGGATTCCTGAGTGAGGAGACTGAGCTTGAGCTGCCCCCGACACCTCCTTTTGGGGTGATCTTAGGTGAACTGTGAAACACACAAGAGCTCCATTTTCCTTGACTATAAATTTCCCTCTGACTCCCAGAGCCACAGCCAGGTAGAGTGTGTGAAAGCCGAGGCAGGCGCTGTGCTCCTGGCTTGAAATGCAAGCATCCTGAAGGGGCATGGAGAAGCAGCCTTCCCTCTCCTCTTCATGAAGACCACCCCCAGGAGGAGGCCGGGCGGGCTCCTGGGGTGGGAGGGGGCTGCTTTATGAGGATGCCTCAGTGTGAGTGGCTGAGGTCAGGGGTGAAAAAATCCCAGTTGATAAAATCCTCAATGGGCAGGACTCAAGTTCTGCAGATACGAGATTGAGAGGATTTTCCTTTGAAACATAGCAAAGGTCAGTTGAAGGCAGATTAAAAACAAACATTACTCTGACAAAAGGGGTGGTGAGCATATGGATTTCACTAAGATACATCCCACTTCCTTTTATGGGAATGACATGTAATAAAATTATATATGTTATGAGATTCTTCTTGGTGATGTATAACTGTTATGGTGGGAAATTCTAGAAAACCATCTGAGGACTCAGTGATCAAATAAAACCTGGGCTAGCAGATCCCAGTTCAGAGCCCCATAAAAAATATCTTGGAACCATGTATAGCATTGGACGACTGGCAGAGGGCTTTGCCCTGTGATATCTTATCAGATCTTTATAATAACTCCATGAACAGATTTTACTCTCCTTATTTTATAGAAGGATAAATAAAAGCTCAGAGAAGTGCCCAAAATTGCCTGTTAAATGTAGAGCCATTTCTAAAGTCT
Organism: Homo sapiens; assembly: GCF_000001405.40. Lineage (NCBI taxonomy): Eukaryota > Metazoa > Chordata > Mammalia > Primates > Hominidae > Homo > Homo sapiens. The sequence goes on along the minus strand of NC_000005.10, from coordinate 76,379,859 downwards.
AATTTCATTACTACAAATTCTGAGCCCCGTTCATCAGACCAGCATTAGAAATACAGATTCTATGGTCCCAAATCCCAGTGATTCTGGTTATTGGTGGGGCCAGGATTTTATTTTTTGTTGTTGTTGTTGTTTTTTTTTTTTTTTTTTTAAAGTCCTAGGCAGCTTGGGGAATTCCTGCGTGAGATCACACAGGTTATTTATTATCTTTGATTTTAAAATGAGGAGTAAATTGGAAATAGGAATTTAATAGACAGCTAAAAAAAGGAGCTCTGTGGCTTTGAAAGGGGAGGAAACAGGAAGCTTGCTTCTGACTAAGAGGATGGCCCAGAGCACTCCAGGTAAACACAGCGTCTGTCCTCATACATCCCGAGTCCAGTGAGAATACTAGCTAACACTTCAAAGAGTTTCCTACATGCTTGGCACTATTCTAAGCACGTCCATACATAATTTCATCTTACCCTCACGAGAAACTGAGTTTTTCTGTCTCCATTTTACAGATGAGGAACTTGAAACACAGTTGCTTGTCCACAGCCAACTATTTGTTCAAGGTGGCCAGTGAGTACTGCGGGTCCCACTAAACGAAAGAAAATTCACCAACTGGCTGAGGGATGTTCAGACAAACAGAATGGGTCGGTGATGAGAAGATGCTGGGAAAGGCAGGACTCCCAGGGTTGAGAGCAAGAAAGACCCACGGTGCTTGCACACCTGGGGCTGCCTCCCTCCTTCCATCCCAAGAGCTGAGGAGGGGCCTCCCTCCTGTCTAGAGCTCATCCTTCCACCGTGCTCCAGCCACATGCCCTCTGTTTTTTTTTTGTTGTTGTTGTTGTTTGTTTGTTTTGTTTTGTTTTTTTGAGACAGAGTCTCGCTCTGTCACCCAGGCTGGAGTGCAGTGGAGCAATCTCAGCTCACTGCAACTTCTGCCTTCCGGTTTCTCCTGCCTCAGCCTCCCGAGTAGCTGGGATTACGGGCATCCGCCACCATGCCCGGCTAATTTTTGTATTTTTAGTAGAGATGGGGTTTCACCATGTTGGCTAGGCTGGTCTCAAACTCCTGACATGATCTGCCTGCCTCGGCCTCCCAAAGTGCTGGGATTACAGGCCTGAGCCACCGTGCCCGGCTGATCTTTGGCAGAGCCTTCACATCACAGATTCCTGGGCCCCTTTTTCTCTGTCCTCATCATCTCCCTTGACTGGTTCTTTCCTAGCAATCGATGAACAGTTCTCCTACTTTTTAACAGCCCTTCCCCTCAACCTCATATACCCTATATCTCCTCAAACTAATTTCATCTGTTCCCTGACTCCAAATCTCAGTTAATGACATCACCATCCATTGGGATGCCTGAGCCGGAAATGTAGGCATCATTCTCGATTCCTTCCTCCCAACACTTTCTCATCTGATTCATCTCTAGTCTTGTAGATGTTACCCTATAAACACCTCTCCCCTTTTCTCAACTGTCTCCACCTTCAGCCACCATCCTTCTATCCGGGGTCAGCCCAGTGCTGTCTGGACCACTCTCTCCTCTTGCAGGTTTGCCAGCCTCCCCTACCTCCCATTCATGGGTTCTCTGCACAGCACCCAGAGACAACTTCACAAAGACAAAGCCACCTCTGCCACTCTCCTGCTTCACACCCTGCAGTGCCTCTGCCTTGCTCCCAAAAGCTTTTAGCGACATAATTCTGCTCACCTCTCCAGCCTCATTTCCCCCTCCCCCCAGGAACCCTCTTCCCTGCCACCACGCAGCTGAGCCAGTCCTTCTTACCCTTCTGCCATCGATTTGGATGCCACCTGGCCTAGGACATCTCTTTCAACCTATCCTATACATGTAGACCCAGTGCTTCCCCTAGTAGCATTTATCTCACTATATATATATATATATATATATATATATTTTTTTTTTTTTTTTTTTTTTTTTTTGAGACGGAGTCTGGCTCTGTTGCCCAGGCTGGAGTGCAGTGGCGCAATCTCGGTTCACTGCAAGCTCCGCCTCCCGGGTTCACGCCATTCTCCTGCCTCAGCCTCCCGAGTAGCTGGGACTACAGGTGCCTGCCACTACACCTGGCTAATTTTTTTGTATTTTTAGTAGAGATGGGGTTTCGCCATGTTAGCCAGGATGGTCTCGATCTCCTGACCTCGTGATCCACCCTCCTCGGCCTCCCAAAGTGCTGGGATTACAGGCGTAAGCCACCGCGCCCGGCCTATCTCACCATATTATAGTTGTTGACTTGTCTAATTTTTTTTAATTAACCGAGCTGTTTATTATTTTAACCAACAAAAGCTCTACAAGTGCTAGATTTAGTCCTGCACAAGATGACTTTACTAATAAAGGGAGGATGCCCAAAGAGATTTACCATATAGCTAAGGAAAAAGAATCTCACACAGAGGACATACTGAAGAGATAATGAGCTAGAGAAACAGAACTGGAATGTTTCATTTCTTTTATAATATACAGAGAATACAGAGGGGAGGAAAAAGGGAATACACTTTTAACTAAAAGAGTTGACAATTTTATTTTCACATTTCCCAATACAAATGAAAACTGCATCTTTTTTGTCCCACTTCTCCCCTCCAAAACTATTCTCTTTGATAGGAGAGGGGAGCAAGACTTCCTTATGCTGTTTAGAAAACCCAGCATCACAGCAGCATGATCTCCTGGTGAAGCAGAACAGGTAATATAAAACCGACATAATGAGCCCTCTCCTTTATCCTTATCTGTCTGGTCAAGTCTTTCTGGGCCGAGTGGGCACCATCATGGGACAGGCAGGAGGTCTTATCACTGGGGACCCAGGCATCATTGGCCTGTGGCCTCCCATAAGCGGCCTCATTCCAGGAGCAGGTCCCCCTGGCATCATCCCAGGAGGAGGAGGGCCCATCATTGGCATCATGGCAGGACCCCTCATATGGGGTGCTGGCATCATACCAGGGTGAGGAGGACCTGGAAGACTAGGGGGAGGTGGTATCATTGCTCCTACAGGAGGAGGAGCAGAGAATGGAGCAGGAGGTATCTTTCCTTGTTGAAATGCAGCCGTTGTTTTGTCAATCAGGCTCTGAGCCTGCTCTTTCATCCATTTCTGATAGTAGTCTTTCACATTCTCTTTGTGTTTCCTACCACTGCAGTGTGTCTTTCTCACAGGAGGAGAGTCATGGGTGAGGTATGTATTGCAGTAGTCACAATAAAACTTGGGCATGTTGCTCTGCAGGCCATTGGCCACTCCATTCCGTGACACCCAGAAATGAATGACTTGTCTAATTTTACTAAAGCAAAGCTCTAGCTCCTTGAGGATGGGGACTGTTTAAAGTTTGTCTTAATTATCTGTATGTATTCTTTTCACTGTATCTGGCATTCGATAAAACCTTAGTAACTATAAGTTGAATGAATGAATGACCCAGCAAGACCATGAGGAGTGACCAGAAGCTCATCAGAAGGATTTGAGTTTCAGAATACAAAATGTTTTCCTCATTAAGGGGCCAGGCTGGCAGCAGAGGTGGACTGAAAGTGTGCAGAGGGAGCCCCCAAGAGCTGACTCATGCTTGCTGAACACCAGTGCTGTGCTAGCCTCTGTTGCTGTGAATTATTTTTTCTTACACCTCATAGGAATCCTTTAAGGTAGATTCTGTTTTTGCTTCCACTTTAAAGACAAGAAAACTGAGGCCCAGAGAAGTTAAATAATTTGCTGCAAGTCACATAGTGGCAATGCTAAGATTCAGATATTGTCTATGCACCTTTCTCTAGGCTACAATAAGTCTGTAGTATTCATTTGCAGGTTCTTTGATAAGACTCACCTGGAATCTTTAGGAAGCTGCCTATGACTTCATATGCAGAGAAAAACCCAGCAAACAGCTTGGAAGAAGAGCAAATTTCCCACGAGACTTGGGACTGTCATGCTAGAAGTTTGGGTATTTTTGCTTAGTATTTAGATAAATTCAGATTCGGTAATTGTGAAATTTGAGAGCTGGAAGGTATCTTAGAAATCTTTGAGTCCAGTTCCTTGAACACCTGAAGGGGCCAGTGACTTGCTGAAGGCCACTCAGCTACTGGTGGAGGCAGAATTAAAACACTGGGTCTCTCTCTCTCTCTGACCTTCCTGTAGAGCTATGCATGTTTCACCTTTTTGGTGCTTGATTTTGCTTATTGGAGTCTCTTGGTAAAACATCTCTCTTAAGACTTCAAACTGGGTGGGACGCTGTAGCTCACACCTGTAATCCTGGTGCTTTGGGAGGCGGAGGTGGGAGGACTGCTTGAGGCCAGGAGTGCAAGACCAGCCGAGGCAACATAGTGAGACCCCTGTCTCTACAAAAAATTTAAAAATTAACCAGCTGTGGTGGCATGCACCTGTGGTCCCAGCTACTCAGAGGCTGAGAGAGGAGGATTGCTTGAGCCCAGGAGGTCAAGGCTGCAGTGAGCTATAATTGTGCCACTGCACCCCAGCCTGGGTGACAGAGTGAGACCCTGTCTCTAAAAAACAAAACAAAGTAAAACCTTCAAACTGCACATTGCTTTGTCAGAGAAAGAATTTCAACTTTGCTGAATGGCCAGATGTGGTACAACAGTGGGCCTGGACCTGCTGGGACCAGGAAGTTTAGGGGAGCCAGAGAGCTCAGGGTGAGTTGGGGGGTTGAGATGATGAGGGAAGCCCAAGAAGAAACACGCTGGAAGTGGGGCCTTCCTTTCACAAACATCAGGAGAAAACATATGGGGATTTCAGAAAGTTTTCTTGAATGCATACCAGATACTAGGAACTGGAGAAATTGCCCTCAAATGCTTACAATCCAGAAAGGCAGTAGATGTGAGTACAGTCATGAGATGGGATGAAAATATAAAGGGAGCCTTGATCTCCTGGGCTCAAGCAATCCTCCTCTCTCAGCCTCTGAGTAGCTGGGACCTCAGACAAGATGAGGGCATGAAGGATTTTGCCTGGGAAAGTCAAGGAATTTTTCCTGAAGGAAATGGACTCCTGAGTTGGGTCTTGGAGGAAAAATAGAAGGAAGAGAAAGTAGGCCATTTTTTTTTTTTTTTTTTTTTTTTTTGAGACAGGGTCTTGCTCTGTTGCACAGGCTGGAGTGCAGTGGTGTGATCCTCCCACCTCAGCCTCCTCAGCAGCTGGGACCACAGGTGTGCACCATCATGTCTGGCTAATTTTTTGATTTTTATTAGAGATGAGGTCTCACTGTTGCCTAGACTGGTCTCAATCTCTTGGGCTTAACTGATCCTTGCACATCAGCATTCCAAAGTGCTGGGCTTAGAAGCATGAGCCACAGCCCATAGCCAGAAGTAGACGATTTTATACAGAGGGAGGAACAAGGGCAAAGTTGGAAGGGCTGGCAGGGCATGATGTAAATCATAGCAGTGGTTATCAAAGTGTGGTACCTGGAACAACAGCATCTGCATGACCTGGGAAAGTGTAAAAACTGGAATTGCTGGGGATGGGTTTTGCACTGTGTTTCATAAGTTCTCTCAGTGACTCTGATGAGCCTTAAAGGTTGAGTCCCAAGCTTGGCACAGTAGCTCATGCCTGTAATCCCAGCACTTTGGGAAGCTGAGGCGGGAGAATTGCTTGAGCTCAGGAGTTCAAGACCAGCCTGGGTAACATAGAGAAATCTCATCTCTACAAAAAATACAAAAAATTAGCTGGGCATGGTGGTGCACACCTGTAGTCCCAGCTACTTGGGAGGCTGAGAGGGTGAGAAGATTACTTGAATCCAGGAGGTTGAGGCTGCAGTGAGCCATTGTACTCCAGCCTGGGTGACAGAATGAGACCCTGTCTCAAAAAAAGAAAAGTGAGGTTGATTTCCACTGAATCTGATAATTCCTAATGGGAGCCTCCCTGCTCCCATGGTAGGACTTTGGGATGGCAGGGACAGGTGTGGACAGAGCATGGGGCCTATACTCTGTTTCCCTCCTTAAATGCCTCGTGGCTCCTGTGGCTCTCTGACTCAGTCAAGTGTTATACACTGAACTGTGTGCATTCGGACATAAGCTTCTTCTCTCATCTGTGAGGTCCTAGACAGTAGGGTTTCCCCATGATCCTCAGAGCTGACCACACCAGCACTAAGAGTTCCAGAAGCCTCATCATGTCTACCACGCACACAGCCCTATAAGGGGTCTCTTCTTGGCCTCTCCACCTCCTTTCTGTCCTTTATGACCTCAATGTCACTCTCTCAACCAACCTGTGGTTGAAAATCGACATACAAGGCCCTGCTCCCGGCACTGTCTATACCTCTACCTGGCTTTTTCTCCATCACATGAATCAACATTGAGCCTATGTTTTACTCTTCATTTTTTTCTTTCTTTTCTTTTCTTTTTTCTTTTTTTTTTTGAGACAGAGTCTCACTCTGTCACCCAGGCTGGAGTGCAGTGGCCAATCTCGGCTCACTGCAACCTCTGCCTCCTGAGTCCAAGCAATTCTCCTGCCTCGGCCTCTGGAGTAGCTAAGATTATGGGCACTCACCACCACATCTGGCTAACTTTTGTATTTTTAGTAGAGATGGGGTTTTGCCGTGTTGGCCAGGCTGGTCTTGAACTCCTGACCTCAGGTGATCCGTCTGCCTCGGCCTCCTGAAGTGCTGGGATTACAGGCATGAGCCACTGCACCTGGCCGATTTTATTTCTTGTCAGCCATCCCAGCCCCCAGGAGAATGTGAGGCAAAGACTTGTGTTGTTTCTATTTCACCATTGTATTCTCCACGCCAGGACAGAGTGTGACATACGTGAGGTGCCCTATTTGTCAGATGAATGAATGGTTTATATCATGTGACTCTGCATGTGTGGCTTCAGGTAAATTAATTGATTAAGCCAGGAATTAGCGCCCTTACTCCAAGGCAGCTTCCCACTGGTTGGCCCATGTCCTGTGAGGGTGTCTGGCGTGAGAGCTCTGTCATGGTGACAGGTGGAACCCATAAACCCTACTGGTAGGGAGTTTGTGAGACCTTGAGAGGGAAGACCATGAGTAGGATGGGATTGAAGAAAGGGGCCACAGAGAAAAAGCCACAGAAGCTGCGGCACAGAGGCGGATAGCAGAGACTTTAGTCAGCAGGGACAGAAGCAATGGAAGCAGAGATAGAAAAATGATGAGTCATCCTAATGACAGAGAACTCCAGCCTGATAATCCCAGAGAATGACTCAGAAACCGGTTGAGATGCAAGGGCTGCTGCAGGGCTACTAGAGCTGCTCTTACATCTCAAACGATGTCCTGCATGTCAACAAAGCCCGGCCTGGTGGCTGGTTTGCTCGCTCTTACTTCTCTGCATATCCTAAAAGCAGCTTGCCATTAACCAAGATAGACTGAGGGGCCTCTGGCCCCTTCAACAAAGTCCCTGACAGCATGAGCCCGAGGACCAGCGTGGCCCTTGCCTGGCAGGGGCTCCCAGGGACTGGGCTGTGCTGGCCCTCACCTCCCGTGGGGAAGGCACCTGCACAGGGGTGGAAGTTATCAGGTCAGGCTAGGGCAGATGGCCTTGCTCATTCCAGGAAGCAGTGCTCAGCTGAGCAGTTTCCCTTCAAAGCGTGGCAGTGGTCATGGGAAATCTATGCAATCCCACTTTCAACGTACCCTTTCTCTTTAATGCTGTGCAGAGAAAAGGTCAGAGTGAGGCCTTGTTGCTAAGCCAAGTCAGCAAAAAAAATCCCATGTTTGCCATTCCAGCGTGGCCCTGGAGAGGCTCCTTTGAGGCTGCTGGGGTGAGGTGGGGGAGTCAGAAGGTGGAGTGTGTGCAGAGAGAGGAACATTGCCCCTGTCCTCCCTGCTCTGGGACCTGTTTGTTACTTGGTCTACCACAGGGCCTGGCCCCCTTCCTACCTGCCTGCCAGTCATTTACTGTCCTGAGTCATTTCCCAAGAACATACTTGGAAAGCTTCCCACCTGTCCAGATACAATTTTTCAATATGCTAGTTGTGCTATTATATGTACGTTTTTTTTTTATATTTTATATTTATAAATGTATATTTTTTCTTCATTTGTTTGTTTCATTTTGTTTTTTGAAATAGAGTCTTGCTCTATTGTCCAGGCTGGAGGGCAGTGGCACAAATCAGGGCTCACTGCATTCTCAGCCTCTTGGGCTCAAGCTATCCTCCCACCTTAACCTCTCAAGTAGCTGGGACCACAGGCGCATGTCACCATGCCCAACTAATTTTTTTATTTTTATTATTTTACAGATGGGGTCTCACTATGTTGTTCAGGCTGGTCTCAAACTCCTGGGCTCAAGTAATCCTCCTGTGTTGGCCTCCCAATGTGCTGGGATGACAGGTGTCAGTCACCACACCCTGCCACACATATTGGTTTTCATACACAGTTCCTGGCTCATAACTCCCACAGCCCTTATTACAGTAAAAAGAATATCTCTCTCTCTGGTCTTTCCCTGCCTTCCTTTGACCTCCCCATGGCAGGACCCTAATCTGATTGTGGGTCATGAGACCCTTATTCCAGAGAGGGTCCTGCCCCGTACCCTAGAGGTAGAAATGCTGTACAGAGAGGCCAGGAAGAATCTGAACAGACAGAACAGGACTTGCTGGGTTTAGATCATACCTTTTTTTTTTTTTTTGAGACGGAGTTTCACTCTGCCACCAGGTTGAGTGCAGTGGCATGATCTCAGCTCACTGTAACCTCCGCCTCCTGGGTTCAAGCGATTCTTCTGCCTCAGCCTCCCAAGTAGCTGGGACTACAGGTGTGCACCACCACACACAGCTAATTTTTGTATTTTTAGTACAGACGGGGTTTCACCATGTTGGCCAGGATGGTCTCAATCTCTTGACCTCATGATCTGCCAGCCTCGGCCTCTCAAAGTGCTGGGATTACAGGCGTGAGCCACTGCGCCCGACCAGATCATACCCTTTTTGTCCAATCACATTTGAACCAGGTTATCCATACTTCAATCATGCCTATCCAATGAAGTCTCCATAAATGGCCCAGAAGACAGGGTTCAAGAACTTGGCCCAGAAGACAGGGTTCAAGAACTTCTGGATAAGGCTGGGCATAGTGGCTCACATCTGTAATCCTAGCACTTTGGGAGGCCAAGGAGGGCAGATCACCTGAGGTCAGGAGTTTGAGACCAGCCTGGCCAACATGGTGAAACCTCTTCTCTAATAAAAATACAAAAGTTAGCCAGGTATGGTAGCATACACCTGTAATCCCAGCTACTTGGGAGGCTGAGGCACGAGAATCTCTTGAACCCAGGAGGCGCAGGTTGCAGAGGGCCAAGATCATGCCACTGCACTCCAGCCTGGGTGACAGAGCCAGACTGTCTCAAAAGAAAAAAGAAAAAAAAAAAAGGCCAAGTGTAGTGGCTCACTCCTTTAATCCCAGCACTTTGGGAGGCTGAGGTGGGAGGATCACCTGAGGCTGGGAGTTCGAGACCAGCCTGACCAACATGGAAAAACCCTGTCTCTACTAAAAATACAAAATTAGCTGGGCATGTTGGCAAGTGCCTATAATCCCAGCTAGTCAGGAGGCTGAGGCAGGAGGAATTGCTTGAACTTGGGAGGCGGAGGTTGCAGTGAGCCGAGATCGTGCTATTGCACTTTAGCCTGGGAAATAAGAGCGAAACTCCGTCTCAGAACAAAACAAAACAAAGCAAAACAAAACAAAACAAAACAAAAACCTTCTGGGTAGCCAAACATGTGGAGGTTTCCGGGAGGGTGAACGGTTAAGAAGAACTCATGCAAGGGCCAGGAGAGTGGCCCATCCCAATACCATGAGGACAGAAGTGCCTGCACTCAGACCTTACCCTATGTTTCTCTTCATCTAGTTGTTTATTTGTATCTATTAAAATATCCTTAGGAATAATCTAGTAAATATAAGTAATTGTTTCCTTGAGTTCTGTGAGCTACTCTAGCAAATAAATCGCATCCAAAGACTGGTTTGTTGGAATCCCAACTTGAAGCTGGTCAGTCAGAGGTTCTGGATGCCTGGACTTGTCACTTGTGTCTGAAGAGGGAGTTGAATTTTTGGCACTGAGCCCTTGGTCTGTGGGATCTGATGCTATCTCCAGGTAGACAGTGTCAGAATTGAATTGGAGGGCACCCAGCTGGTGTCTGCTGCGGTATCGATTGCTTGCTTGTGGTGGGGAGAATCCCCCGCATTTCTTTCTTTCTTTCTTTCTTTTTTTTTTTTTTTTTTTTGAGATAGAGTTTCGCTCTTGTTGCCCAGGCTGGAGTGCAATGGTGCGATCTTGGCTCACTGCAACCTCCGCCTCTCGGGTTCAAGCGATTCTCCTGCCTCAGCCTCCTGAGTAGCTGGGATTATAGGTGCGCACCACCATGCCTGGCTAATTTTTTGTATTTTTAGTAGAGACGGGGTTTCACCATGGCCAGGCTGGTCTTGAATTCCTGACCTCAGGTGATCCACCCACCTAAGCCTCCCAGAGTGCTGGGATTACAGGCATGAGACACCGCGCCCAGCCACTCCCCCACATTTCATCACAGAAGTTTTCTGTGTTTATTGTTGTGTGGCGTGACAGCAGAGGAAAACATTTTGTTTTTCCTACCACTAGTGCAATTCCAAAACATCTTACTTTGGTTCTGCCCAACATTGAGATTGTTGGGGGTCATTCATTCTTCTCAAATAAAAAATATTATGCCCAGATAGCATGATAACAAAAGCTCACTCATTCCATAAATGTTTATTAAGTTTCATTAAGTGTCAGGAGCTAGACCAGATATTGAGGAAACAGCAATGACAAGAGAGAAATTCCTGCTTTTATTGAGCCTCAGTCAACAGGAAAGACGGATATTAAACAAACAATTATAAACAGGAGGAATATTTTGAAAGAGGAAGTACAAGGTGTAATAGCAAGGGGCTTATAACAGAGGAAGCTGGATGCAGTGTGGGAGTCTGAGAAAACTTCCTTGAGGAGCAGACATTTCAGCTAGGCCTAGAGGATGTAGAGGGGGTATTCCAGACAGAAAACACCACAGGTCTGTGGGTCTAAAAGAGAAATAGAGAGAGCAAGAGCAAGAGAGATGTTTGAAGAAAATAGAAGTCCTGGCTGGGCGTGGTGGCTCATGCCTATAATCCCAACACTTTGGGAGGCTGAGGTGGGCGGATCACAAGGTCAGGAGTTCGAGACCATCCTGACCAACATGGTGAAACCCCGTCTCTACTAAAAATGCAAAAATTAGCCAGGTGTGGTGGTGGATGCCTGTAATCACAGTCACTCAGGAGGCTGAGGCAGGAGAATCGCTTGAACCTGGGAGGTGGAGGTTGCAGTGAGCCGAGATCACGCCACTGCACTCCAGCCTGGGAATGGAGCAAGACTCTGTCTCAAAAAAAAAAAAAAAAAAAAAAAAAAAAAGAAAACAAAATAGAAGTCCTGAATGGCTGAACTGTAGAGAGTGAGGTGGAATCAGTGAGAGACATCAAATACAATTTGAGGGGAAATAGAAGAGTCTTTGCTCTTCACATCCTCCAAAATTTGGCATTTGATAGACAAATGACCTTCTCTCCTCCAACTCTACATGACAAATGTTTTTACCAGTTTAGAAACAGATAGACAAACCACCTACCGTGGTCTGAATGTCTTCCATGTTCATGGTGCATCCAGAGAAAAGTTGGCCATGCAGACTGTCACACTGGCTAAGCTCATTGGTACAGAGAAGACACCTGACCCAGAAAAAGCCAATCTGTAGGCTGGTCAGTGACTTGCGAAAACAGCTTGCTACAAAAGCTTTGTGAAACAGAGGCAGCTTAGACTACAAACCAATTAAGAATGTCTCTCTTGGAGCATTTGAATACAAAGCATCAAAGCCAGTTAGTCAACAGCAGCAGTAACAGGAGAAACAGAGGCTGAGTCACCAAGACAATGTAATGGTGAAACCCTTAAGTAGGAAATCCCCAAAACCTGTGACTGAAGGTCTTCAGGTCCCTAAAGCACAGTTCCATTGCCATGAGACCTGGCTGTCCCTGGATTCCCCTAAGACCTGGCTGTGGGGTTGAGGGTCTTATCTTCCTATTTCCACACATGTCCCTACGGAAATCCTCATTCACCTCTGGATCATGCTTCATAAAGTGGTGTTTGGGTCCTATCAGCGTTCTTCATTGCTGACCGGGGCAAGTCAGTGTTAGGGCCATCTGGAGATGGGGCCTTGATGTTTTCATGAATAATGGCTCTGTACCCTCTGATAACATTCAGTACCAAGTGGAGGGAGAAAGGAAATTAATCTTGCTGAGTACCCACTATGCGCAGGCAAGATATCAATTGTCCTTATAACTATCCTAAGAGATGCAATTGACCTCATTTGACAGCCAGTAGAAGACAGAATCAAGACCCAAACCCAGGTCTTTCTCCCATCTTCCAGATTATTTTTGCTACATTGTGTTGCCTCCTTCGTTCATTTAAATATATATTTATGGGCCAGGTGTGGTGGCTAAAGCCTGTAATCCCAGCACTTTGGGTCAAGGCAGGAGGATCACTTAAAGCCAGGAGTTTGAGACTAGCCTGGGCAACATAACAAGACCCCATCTCTACAAAAATACACACACACACACACACACACGCACACACACTGCTCTCAAGGGGTTCTACCTTATTTACATCTTCACTGAAAACTGCAGAATTGCTTGACAAATTGCTTTGTTTTAGGAACTTTGTATCCTAACTCTTACAGAAGGCAATTATGAACAATCAAGTAAGAAAGAAGACATTTTCATTTAGATTCAGTAGCCTCACAAAGAAACTGGAAGTCTGCTAACATATTTTGTTTTTGTATAAACATGTTTTAATTATCTACATTTGTTATATTATGAAGTTCTATTAGCTTTAATAATTCATAAATATAATTGAAATGGGTAATTCAGAAATACGGTTGAAATTTACCTCAAAACCATTCACTTTAAAATGAAAAGCAATGTATTTTAGTTAACTCTGTAGAATGTGGTGTGAACATTACCTAGTGGTGACCGGTTGGGTAACCCAGAAATAGGGTTGAAATATACCTCAAAACCATTCACTTTAAAATGAAAAGTGATGTATTTTAGTTAACTCTTCAGAATGTGCTGTGAACATTACCTAGTGGTGACTGGATGCGTCTAACCATGGTCTACCCTTCCCTCTTGGAATTAGCAAATGAAAATCCCTGGATTAGATCTGGGTGTGGTTAATATGTTCACAGTAAGCACAAGAGATGAAGTGGATGTGGGAATTTAAAGCTCAAGATATAGAAACAGTGGTTCTCCATCACCCCTAGAGCATGTTAAAACAAAAATCAAAAAACCAACATACAAACAAAACCCTCTACCATTGTCCAGCTTCAAAAATCATTTTAGTAGGGTGGTGGCTTTTGTTTTAAAGGGAATGAAAAATGTATATTTTAGTCACATATTAAAATTACTACTAGCTGGGCGTGGTGGTGCATGCCTGTAGTTCTAGCTACTCAGGACGCTGAGGCAGGAGGATCGCTTGAGCTCAGGGGTTTGAGGTTACAGTGAGCTATGATTGCACCACTGTTCTCCAGCCTGGGTAACAGAGTAAGACCCTGTCTTAAGAAAGAAAAGAAAAGAGAAAAGAAAATAAAAGAAAGAGAGGAAGGGAGGGAAAGAGGGAAGCAAGGAAGGAAGGAAGGAAGGAAGGGGGAGGGAGGGAGGGAGGGATACTAATATCCTTTCTCCCTCCACCTGGTACTGAATGTTATTAGAGCCATTATTCATTCAAAACATCAAGGCCACATTTCCAGACAGCCATGACACTGATTTCCCCCTCTCGGCAATGAGGAAGGCTATAGGTCCCAAACACCACTTTATGGAACTGGATCCAGAGGTGAATGAGGTTTTCTGTAGGGACACAGAAAATAAAATTGCTGTAAGAAATTTTAAAAAGCATTTATTTATATGAGCAAAAAGAAAGAGGAACATTATTTTCACATACCCATCCAGGGTGCAGACGTGAGAGTGTCTCAGTGGGAATAGTGAAAACTTGTTTTATGCAAAAATTTTTAATCAAACACAATTACTGCCAACTAACCAAAAGTGGCTTTCAGCCTCATTGACTAAAATGATTGTTTGATATTCAGCTATCATGTCCACATTCCAGGCAGCCTGACCTTTCTGGAAGTTATACATGACACTTCTATTTACATCCCCTTTGCTAGAACTTAGGCACATGGCTACTTCTGTCTGTGGCTATGTGGCTAGAAATAGGAAGTCTATTACTAAAAAAGAAGAAAACAGATACAGGGGCCACTAGCAATGGCAGTTAGTGTCCTCAGGGGTTGGATGATATAAATATTCAGGAGGAAATGCTTTTTAAAATTAAACTATAATAATGATAATGACTTTCCCAAAAAGGTCAAGTGACTCTCATTTATTACTCTAGGGCATAACATTGCCATTGGTCAGAGTGGAGAATAATTTCCCAAAGAGAAGCAATGCTTAGCAGGAGACAGAGAGGAATGGATTTTCAGAACAGAGTAGGGGCTCAGGTCTGACTGGCTGCTGTCGATGGTCAGACAGAAGAAACTTTGCCTTCTCTGCAGCAGTGGTTCCTAGCACCAGCAGCTCAGGTCACCTGTTTCTTTTATCTTGGAATCAGGACAAATCATGAGTTTTGATGACTTGAAACTTGAACTCTGGATATTTAAAGGAGCCTTCAGTGTTTTTAAACCAAATGATCACATTAGGTTAAGAAAATTACTGAATTTGCTGTACATCAACCTTGGGGGTAAGCTAGAGCTATGTATTTTATATGATAGATTTGATTCCATTAAAAATAAGACAATTGGTCAGAAATAAAATTACACCTTAAGTTGTTAGTGAAAAGGGGCTTTTAAATGAATCTTACTTTTCCCCAGATTAAACTATAATTTGAAAATGGATTCATTCATTTTATTTGCCCATTCACTAGGTCAAGCATTGATTGGGTATCTCTGAGTACTTGATGGGTGTACAGAGATGACCTAAAAAGGCTTGATTCTTGGCCAGGCGTGGTGGCTCACGCCTATAATCCCAGCACTTTGGGAGGCCCAGGGGGGTGAATCACCTGAGGTCAGGAGTTCAAAACCAGCCTGGCCAACATGGCGAAACCCCGTCTGTACTAAAAATACAAAAATTAGCCAGGCATGGCGGCGGGTGCCTGTAGTCCCAGCTACTCAGGAGGCTGAGGCACAAGAATCGCTTGAACCTGGGAGGCAGAGGTTGCAGTGAGCCGAGATCACACCACTGCACTCCAGCCTGGATGACAGAGCAAGACCCTGTCTCAAAAAAAAATAAACAACAGTTTGATTCTTTTATTTTCAATTATTACTTTTTTTTCTTTTTTAATAGAGATGAGGTCTCACTATGTTGCCCAGGCTGGTGTTGAACTCCTGGGCTCCAACAATCCTCCTGCCTCAACTTCCCAAAGTGCTGAAATTAGAGGCACACCAACCTGGCAGCTTGATTCTTTTGAAATCAATTTTTATTGATTTGCAGTTGTCCGTGGTTTCTAGTGACACTATAAGTTTCTTGGCTTTTTATTCAGCTGTGAAGGCAGTGTAATGGAAAGAACATTGAGTTAGTCTGGGGTGTTTTCCAAGACCAACCACCAATTCTCTGTGAACATTAAATGAATATCCTAAAATTCAATTCAATTCTGACAATAACTACTGTCAACTGAGAATGACAAGGCCTATACATGTGGAAAGGAGAGTTTTCTTTCTCATAAAGCGTTGCAGCCTGCAGAGTGACAGGCTGGGAAGTGTAGGTGCTGGCCAGAAGCCAGAAACAGATGCGTCAAGGGAGTGGCAAAGGGCACATGAATTTATACCGAGCGGGCTGGCCGAATATGCATATTCAATAAGCTGTAGCAGGAGTTGTGAATATTTATGAAAGGAGAAACATGAGCTTCATGCCCCTTCGTGTGTCCCGTGTACAAAAACGGTGGTGATAGCATGATCTGAGGGTAGAGTTTTCAGCCCTCTGACCCCAAAAGATGAAGCAGAGAGCACAGAAACCCCTACTGCACATTCTTTGTAGACTGGCCAGAACCGCTCCGTGGTCAGTGGCCTCTTATCATGGGGGGGCAGCCTCACATGGTTGGTTGATACGAGAGCCTTTTGAAAGGGCTGGTTTCTGTTAAGCCCTTAGGAAAGAAAGCCTTATCATGCTTAGCTAGGGAGAGGGCATAATAAGGTGTGTCCAACCTCCTATCCCACCATGACACAGAACTCAATTTTCAAGGTTACTATGGGGTCTCTTTAACCAAGAGAGGGTCTGTTTAGTCCGTTGGGCAGTTTAGGATTTTATTTTTATTTCTTGCTGCCCAAAGCTATTACTAGCATAGACACCACAGGTTAAGGACTCAGTCCCACAAGGCTCCTCCCACTTCACATCAGTTACAAGTCTCAGGTTCCGGCACTTCTGGCTGTCCTTGCTACAAATCAAGAGCTACTGTAACCGCCCCCCGCCACCCCCCACCCGATTCGATAATTTGAAATAATGGCTCACAGAACTCAGGGATACCTTATTTATGTTGATCAGTTTGTTATAAAGGCTGCAACTCAGGAAGTCAAATGGAAGAGATGCATAGGGCGAGGTATGGGGATCAGGGAAAGCCCTCTCCAGACACACCACCCTCCTAGCACCTCAATGTATTCACCAACCCAGAAGAGCATCAACTCTCATTGCTCAAGAGTTGTTTGTTTTTCTCCTTGAGACGGAGTCTTACTCTGTTGCCCAGGCTGGAGTGCAGTGGCACTATCTTGGCTCACTGCAACCGCCACCTCCCGGGTTCAAGCAATTCTCCTGCCTCAGCCTCCTGAGTAGCTGGGATTACAGGCGAGCGCCACCACGCCCCACTAATTTTTTGTATTTTTAGTAGAGATGGGTTTCATGAGCGTCCGTGTGAAGAGACCACCAAACAGGCTTTGTGTGAGCAACATGGCTGTTTATTTCACCTGGGTGCAGGCGGGCTGAGTCCAAAAAGAGTCAGCGAAGGGAGATAAGGGTGGGGCCGTTTTATAGGATTTGGGCAGGTAAAGGAAAATTATAGTCAAAGGGGGTTTGTTCTCTGGCAGGCAGGAGTGGGGGTCGCAAGGTGCTCAGTGGGGGTGTTTTTTGAGCCAGGATGAGCCAGGAAAAGGACTTTCACAAGGTAATGTCATCACGTAAGGCAAGGACCGGCCATTTACACTTTTGTGGTGGAATGTCATCAGTTAAGGCGGGACAGGGCATATTCACTTCTTTTGTGATTCTTCAGTTACTTCAGGCCATCTGGGCGTATACGTGCAAGTCACAGGGGACGTGATGGCTTGGCTTGGGCTCAGAGGCCTGACATTCCTGCCTTCTTATATTAATAAGAAAAATAAAACAAAATAGTGTTGAAGTGTTGGGGTGGCGAAAATTTTTGGGGGGTGATATGGAGAGAGAATGGGCGATGTTTCTCAGGGCTGCTTCAAGCGGGGTTAGGGGCAGTGTGGGAACCTAGAGTGGGAGAGATTAAGCTGAAGGGAGGTCTTATGGTAAGGGGTGATTTTGTGGGGATGTTAGAAGAAACATTTGTCATATAGAATGATTGGTGATGGCCTGGATATGGTTTTGGATGAATTGAGAAACTAAATGGAATAACAGAAGGAGAAAAACAGGTATAAAAGGTCTAAGAATTGGGACGACTCAGGATATCTGATTAGAGAGTGCCTAAGGAGATTCAGCATAGTCCTGCCAGCAAAGATTATTTATTTACTTCAAGAGTTAAGAGTGGCAGTTTGGGGATAGCACCAGGAGATATCAGCTGTGATGGCTTGGAAAAACAGTGTAAACCGGCAGTGTAAACAAGAGCAGGGCATGTATGAGTAGTTGAGAACGGTGAATAGGAGTATGACTAGACAGAAGATAGTAGGGATGACAAGTTTTCGGGGGCACAGTCTAAGTTGGTCTGGTGTCTGGAATGAGACTGGGGCCTAATAAAAACGAGCGTCTACACAGGAGCTCAAATGGGCTGTACCCTGTAGCATTCCGAGGACAGGCCTGAATTCTGAGAAGGGAAAGTGGTAACAGTATTGTCCGGTCCTTTTTGGTGGCTGAGCTTGGTGAGGTGTGTTTTTAAAAGACCTTTAGTCCATTCTACTTTTCTTGAAGATGGAGGACCGTAAGGGATATAAAGGTTTCACTGAATACTAAGAGCCTGAAAAACTGCTTAGCTGATTTGACTAATAAAGGCTCATCTGTTTTCAGACTGTATTGAGGTGGGAAGGCTAAACTGAGGAATTATGTCCGACAGAACAGAAGAAATGACTGTGGTGGCCTTCTCAGACCCTGTAGGAAAGGCCTCTACCTATCCAGTGAAAGTATCTACCTAGACTAAGAGGTATTTTAGTTATCTGACTCAGGGCATGTTGAGTAAAGCTAATTTGCCAGTCCTGGATGGGGCAAATCCTCGAGCTTGATGGGTAGGGAAGGGAGGGGACCTGAATAATCCCTGAGGAGTAGTAGAATAGCAGATGGAACACTGAGAAGTTATTTCCTTGAGGATAGATTTCCACGATGGAAAGGAAATGAGAGGTTCTAAGAGGCGGGCTAGTGGCTTGTACTATAGTATAACCTGCCTTTGCTGGTGTGTGGCGATTAGGCCTGGTGGACCATCAATAAATCAAGCGTGATCAGGGTGAGGAACAGGAAAGAAGGAAATATGGGGAAATGGGGTGAATATCAGGTG
Source organism: Homo sapiens (assembly GCF_000001405.40). Lineage (NCBI taxonomy): Eukaryota > Metazoa > Chordata > Mammalia > Primates > Hominidae > Homo > Homo sapiens. The sequence goes on along the minus strand of NC_000005.10, from coordinate 76,361,247 downwards.
GATCAGAGAGATACAGTCATGGGGGTCAGGTGTGGTATCAGGAATAATGTGGGAGGCCAGATTGAAGTCCGGGCCAGGAACAATGGTAATTGTGAGTACAGCTGAAGGAGCCGGGGAGCAGAAAGTATATGCGTCAGGTATGAGGAAGAAAATAGATTTTGGAAGTTATGAGAACTGTAGAGAGTGAGTTGAGCATAGATTGTGATTTTGAGGGCCTCTGAAAGTATTAATGCAGTGGCAGCCGCTACACGCAGACATGAGGGCTAGGCTAAAACAGTAAGGTCAAGTTGTTTGGACAGAAAGGCTACAGGGTGTGGTCCTGGCTCTTGTGTAAGAATTCTGACCACACTAACCATGCCTAGGAAGGAAAGGAGTTGTTTTGTAGAAGGTGCTGGGGTTTGAGAGATCAGTGGGACACGATTGGCAGAGAGAGCACGTGTGTTTTTATGAGAATTATGCCGAGATAGGTAACAGATGAGGAAGAAATTTGGGCTTGATTGAAGTAATGGGGGCTGTCTGTGAAGCTTTGCGGCAGTACAGCCTAGGTAATTTGCTGAGCTTGATGGGTGTCAGGGTCAGTCCAAGTGAAAGCGAAGAGAGGCTGGGATTAAGGGTGCAAAGGAATAGTAAAGAAAGCATGTTTGAGATCCAGAACAGAATAATGGGTTGTAGAGGCAGGTATTGAGGATAGGAGAGTATATGGGTTTGGCACCACGGGGTGGATAGGCAAAACAATTTGGTTGATAAGGCGCAGATCCTGAACTAACTTGTAAGGCTTGTCTGGTTTTAGGACAGGTAAAATGGGGGAATTGTAAGGAGAGTTTATAGGCTTTAAAAGGCCATGCTGTAGCAGGCGAGTGATAACAGTCTTTAATCTTTTTAAAGCGTGCTGCGGGATGGGATATCGGTGTTGAGTGGGGTAAGGGTGATTAGGTTTTAATGAGATGGTAAGGGGTGCATGATCGGTTGCCAAGGAGGGAGTAGAGGTATCTTATACTTGTGGGTTAAGGTGGGGGGATACAAGAGGAGGACGCAAAGGAGGCTTTGGATTGGGAAGAAGGGCGGCAATGAGATATAGCTGTAGTCCAGGAATAGTCAGGGAAGCAGATAATTTAGTTAAAGTGTCTCAGCCTAATAAGGGAACTGGGCAGGTGGGGATAACTAAAAAGGAGTGCTTAAAAGAGTATTTTCTAAGTTGGCACCAGAGTTGGGGAGTTTTAAGAGGTTTAGAAGCCTGGCCGTCAATACCCACAACAGTTATGGAGGCAAGGGAAACAGGCCCTTGAAAAGAAGGTAATGTGGAGTGGGTAGCCTCCATATTGATTAAGAAGGGGACGGGCTTACCTTCCACTGTGAGACTTACCTGAAGCTCGGCGTCCGTGATGGTCTACGGGGCTTCCGAGGCGATCGGGCAGTGTCAGTCTTCAGCCGATAAGCCGA